>NC_000012.12:57460128-58710128 GCF_000001405.40 Homo sapiens | reverse complement strand
AGATCAAACTGCAAGGCAGCAAGACTGGCTGGGGGAGGGCTGTCTGCCATTGCTGAGGCTTGAGTAGGTAAACAAAGCAGCCAGGGAATCTCAAATTGGGAGGAGCCCACCACAGCTCAATGAGGCCCACCTACCTCTGTAGTCTCCACCTCTGGGGATAGGGCATAGCTGAACAAAAGGCAGCAGAAACTTCTGCAGACTTAAACATCCCTGTGTGACAGCTCTGAAGAGAGCAGCAGTTCTCCCAGCATGCTGTTTGAGCTCTGAGAATGGACAGACTGCCTCCTCAAGTGGGTCCCTGACCCCCGTGTAGCCTAACTTGGAGGCACCTCACAGTAGGGGCCAACTGACACCCCATATAGCCAGGTGTCCCTGTGAGACAAAGCTTCCAGAGGAAGGATCAGGCAGTAATATTTGCTGTTCTGCAATATTTGCTGTTTTACAGCTTCTGCTGATGATACCCAGGCAAACAGGGTCTAGAGTGGACCTCCAGCAAACTCCAACAGACCTGCAGCTGAGGGACCTGACTGTTAGAAGGAAAACTAACAAACAGAAAGGAATAGTATCAACATCAACAAAAAGGATATCCACAACAAACGCCACCTGTAGGTCACAATCATCAAAGTCCAAAGGTAGATACAACCACAAAGATGGGGAGAAACCAGAGCAGAAAGCTGAAAACTCTAAAAACCAGAATGCCCCTTCTCCTCCAAAGGATCGCAGCTCCTTGCCAGCAATGGAACAAAGCAGGACAGAGAATGACTTTGATGAGTTGACAGAAGTAGGTCTCAGAAAGTCGGTAATAAACTTCTCTGAGCTAAAGGAAGATGTTCCAACCCATCACAAGGAGGCTAAAAACCTTGAAAAAAGATTAGATGAACAGCTAACTAGAATAAGCAGTGTAGAGAAGACCTTAAATGACATGATGGAGCTGAAAACCATGGCAAGAGAACTATGTGATGCATGCACAAGCTTCAGTAGCCAATTCGATCAAGTGGAAGAAAGGGTATCAGTGATTGAAGATCAAATTAATGAAATGAAGTGAGAAGAAAAATTTAGAGAAAAAAGAGTGAAAAGAAATGAACAAAGCCTCCAAGAAATATGGGAATATGTGAAAAGAAAAAATCTACATCTGATTGGTGTATCTGAAAGTGACGGGGAGAATGGAACCAAGTTGGAAAACACTCTTCAGGATATTATCCAGGACACCTTCTCCAACCTAGCAAGGCAGGCCAATATTCAAATTCAGGAAATACAGAGATCACCACAAAGATACTCCCCGAGAAAAGCAACCCCAAGACACATAATTGTCAGATTCACCAAGGTTGAAATGAAGGAAAAAATGCTAAGGGCAGCCAGAGAGAAAGGTTAGGTTACCCACAAAGGGAATCCCATCAGACTAACAGTGGATCTCTCGGCAGAAACCCTACAAGCCAGAATAGATTGGGGGCCAGTATTCAACATGCTTTAAGAAAAGAATTTTCAACCCAGAATTTCATATCCAGCCAAACTAAGCTTCATAAGTGAAGGAGAAATAAAATCCTTTACAGACAAGCTAATGCTGAGAGATTTTGTCACCACCAGGCCTGCCTTACAAGAGCTCCTGAAGGAAGCACTAAACATGGAAAGGAACAACTGGTACCAGCCACTGCAAAAACATGCCAAATTGTAAAGACCATCAAGGCTAAGAAGAAACTGCATCAACTAATGGGCAAAATAACCAGCTAACGTCATAATAACAGGATCAACTTCACATATAACAATATTAACCTTAAATGTAAATGGGCTAAATGCCCTAATTAAAAGACACAGACTGGCAAATTGGATAAAGAATCAAGACCCATCGGTGTGCTGTATTCAGGAGACCCATCTCACTTGCAGAGACACACATAGGCTCAAAATAAAGGGATGGAGGAAGATCTACCAAGCAAATGGAAAGCAAAAAAAAAAAAAAAAAAAAAAAAAAAAAAAAAAAGCAGGGGTTGCCATCCTCCTCTCTGATAAAATAGACTTCAAACCAACAAAGATCAAAAGAGACAAAGAAGACCATTACATAACAGTAAAGGGATCAATTCAACAAGAAGAGCTAACTATACTAAATATATTTGCACCCAATACAGGAGCACCCAGATTCATAAAGCAAGTCCTGAGAGACATACAAAGAGACTTAGACTCCCACACAATAATAATGGGAGATTTTAACACCCCACTATCAATATTAGACAGATCAATGAGACAGAAGGTTAACAAGGATATCCAGGACTTGAACTCAGCTCTGCACCAAGCAGACCTAATAGACATCTACAGAACTCTCCACCCCAAATCAACAGAAAATACATTCTTCTCAGCACTACATCACACTTATTCCAAAATTGACCACATAGTTAGAAGTAAAGCACTCCTCAGCAAATGGAAAAGAATAGAAATCATAACAAACTGTCTCTCAGACCACAGTGCAATCAAATTAGAACTCAAGATTAAGAAACTCACTCAAAACCGCACAACTACAAGGAAACTGAACAACGTGCTCCTGAATGACTACTGGGTACATAACAAAATGAAGGCAGAAAGATGTTCTTTGAAACCAATGAGAACAAAGACAGAACGTACCAGAATCTCTCCGACACATTTAAAGCAGTGTGTAGAGGGAAATTTATAGCACTAAACGCCCATAAGAGAAAGTAGGAAAGATCTAAAATCAACACCCTAACATCACAATTAAAAGAACTAGAGAAGCAAGAAGAAACAAATTCAAAAGCTAGCAGAAGGCAAGAAATAATTAAGATCAGAGCAGAACTGAAGGAGATAGAGACACAAAAAACCCTTCAAAACATCAATGAATCCAGGAGTTGGTTTTTTGAAATGGTCAACAAAATTGATAGACCGCTGGCAAGACTAATAAAGAAGAAAAGAGAGAAGAATCAAATAGATGCAATAAAAAATGATAAAGGGGATATCACCACTGATCCCACAGAAATACAAACTACCATCAGAGAATACTATAAACACCTCTATGCAAATAAACTAGAAAATCTAGAAGAAATGGATAAATTCCTGGATACATACACCCTCCCAAGACTAAACCAGGAAGAAGTTGAATCTCTGAATAGACCAATAACAGGCTCTGAAATTGAGGCAATAATTAATAGCCTACCAACCAAAAAAAGTCCAGGACCAGACGGATTCACAGCCAAATTCTACCAGAGGTACAAACAGGAGCTGGTACCATTCCTTCTGAAACTATTCCAATCAATATAAGAAGAGGGAATCCTCCCTAACTCATTTTATGAGGCCCGCATCATCCTGATACCAAAGCCTAACAGAGACACAACAAAAAAAGAGAATTTTAGACCAATATCCTTGATGAACATCTATGTGAAAATCCTCAATAAAATGCTGGCGAACCGAATCCAGCAACACATCAAAAAGCTTATCCACCAAGATCAAGTCAGCTTTACCCTGCGATGCAAAGCTAGTTCAACATACGCAAATCAGTAAACGTAATCCATCACATAAACAGAACCAACGACAAAAACCACAGGATTATCTCTCAGAAAAGGCCTTCAACAAAATTCAACAGCCCATCATGTTAAAAACTCTCAAAAAACTAGGTATTGATGGAACATATCTCAAAATAATAAGAGCTATCTTTGACAAACCCACAGCCAGCATCATACTGAATGGGCAAAAACAGGAAGGATTCTCTTCAAAAACTGGCACAAGACAGGGATGCCCTCTCTCACCACTCCTATTCAACATAGTGTTGGAAGTTCTGGCCAGGGCAATCAAGCAAGAGAAAGAAATAAAGGATATTCAATTAGGAAAAGGGGAAGTCAAATTGTCCCTGTTTGCAGATGACATGATTGTATATTTAGAAAACCCCATCGTATCAGCCCAAAATCTCCTTAAGCTGATAAGCAACTTCAGCAAAGTCTCAGGATATAAAATCAATGTGCAAAAATCTCAAGCATTCTTATACACCAATAACAGACAAACAGAGAGCCAAATCATGAGTGAACTCCCATTCACAACTGCTACAAAGAGAACAAAATACCTAGGAATACAACTTACAAGGGATGTGAAGGACCTCTTCAAGGAGAACTACAAACCACTGGTCAACAAAATAAAAGAGGACACAAACAAATGGAAGAACATTCCATGCTCATGGATAGGAAGAATCAATATCGTGAAAATGGCCATACTGCCCAAGGTAATTTATAGATTCAATGCCATCCCCATTAAGCTCCCAATGACTTTCTTCACAGAATTGGAAAAAAAGCTACTTTAAAGTTCATATGGCACCACAAAAAAAGCCTGCATTGCCAAGATAATCATAAGCCAAAAGAACAAAGCTGGAGGCATCACGCTACCTGACTTCAAACTATACTACAAGGCGACAGTAACCAAAACAGCATGGTACTGGTACCAAAACAGAGAACTAGACCAATGGAACAGAACAGAGCCCTCAGAAATAACACCACACATCTACAACTATCTGATCTTTGACAAACCTGACAAAAACAAGAAATGGGGAAAGGATTCCCTATTTAATAAATGGTGCTGGGAAAACTGGCTAGCCATATGTAGAAAGATGAAACTGGATCCCTTCCTTACACCTTATACAAAAATTAATTCAAGATGGATTAAAGACTTAAATGTTAGACCTAAAACCATAAAAACCCTAGAAGAAAACCTAGGCAATACCATTCAGGCCATAGGCATGGGTAAGGACTTCAGGACTAAAACACCAAAAGCAATGGTAACAAAAGCCTAAATAGACAAATGGGATCTAATTAAACTAAAGAGCTTCTACACAGAAAAAGAAACTACCGTCAGAGTAAACAGGCGACTTACAGAATGGGAGAAAATTTTTGCAATCTACCCATCTGACAAAGGGCTGATATCCAGAATCTACAAAGAACTTAAAAAATTCACAAGAAAAAAATCAAACAACCCCATCAAAAAGTGGGCAAAGGATTTGAACAGACACTTTTCAAAAGAAGACATTTATACAGCCAACAGACACATGAAAAAATGCTCATCATCACTGGTTATCAGAGAAATGCAAATCAAAACCACAATGAGATACCATCTCACACAGTTAGAATGGCAATCTTTAAAAGTCAGGAAACAACAGGTGCTGGAGAGGATGTGGAGTAACAGAAATGCTTTTACACTGTTGGTGGGAATATAAAGTAGTTCAACCTTTGTGGAAGACAGTGTGGTGATTCCTCAAGGATCTAGAATTAGAAGTACCATTTGACCCAGCCATACCATTACTGGGTAAATACCCAGATGATTATAAATCATTCTACTATAAAGACACATGCACATGTATGTTTATTGCAGCACTATTCACAATAGCAGACTTGGAACCAACCCAAATGTCCATCAATGATAGAATGGATTAAGAAAATGTGGCACATATACACTATGAAATACTATGCAGCCATAAAAAAGGAAGAGTTCATGTCCTTTGTAGCAACATGGATGAAGCTGGAAACCATAATTCTGAGCAAACTATCGCAAGGACAGAAAACCAAACACCGCATGTTCTCACTTATAGGTGGGAACTGAACAATGAGAACACTTGGACACAGGGTGGGAAACATCACATACCGGGGCTTGTCATGGGGTGGGGCAATGGCAGAGGGATAGCATTGGGAGAAATACCTAATGTAAATGACGAGTTAATGGGTGCAGCAAACCAACATGGCACATGTATACTTATGTAACAAACCTACACGTTGTGTACATGTGCCCTAGAACTTAACGTACAATTAAAAAAATAAAACTAAAAATTAAAAATTAAAAAAACAAGCTGAGCTGTAATTGTCTTTCAATCTAAATGTGAATTTTATTTTAGTCAATTCCGTGATGGCAATCTGATTTTTATTTTTAAAGTTCAAAAGTGTTCTTGTTTTATTTGAAAGGCATTTATAGAACTTCCCTGCTTCTCTGAAAATGCAACCCTCCTCCTGTCACTTGGCTTAATGCTCCACACATGTTTTCTCACTTAAACTTTGCCTCATTTGGCTGTGTGTGTGTGTGTGTGTGTGTGCGTGTGTTTTAAATGCAGCCTTTTGAAACCATCTCTAATGGAAAAATGCAGCTGTGAGCAAGATTTCATAAAATGTACATGGAATTAATTTTCCAGGCATTTCATTCAAGGGCCCTGATGTATCTGAAGGAGAGATTTTGCCAAAAGGAGTTTTAATGTAACCGAAGGAAAGAGAGAAACAGCCAGAAAAGAAGGTTAGGGAAGTAAGCAAACCCCTGAAGCACAAAGAAGAGAAGAAATGGCAAGGAGGAAAAAAAGAAGAGGAGGCAAAGAAATAAATGTTAAAGATGGAGCAAAAATAAGAAAAAAAAACATTCTATGAGAGGGAAGAAGAAAAAGGAAAAAGAGTGGAAGCAAGAATTGGAGGAATGAAGAATCTTGCTAGAGAGAAAAAAAAATGTTATTTCCTAATAGTTTCTATTAGGACATTTGCTTAAACATATCAGTATCTCAGACTCTGCCACTTCAAAGTGTATTTTACTTCAGATCAGTGAATTTTATTGTCTATAAATATAAACAAATTTCAGTTTAAAAAGCATATTTAAAAATATTTTAAGTATTACTGTTGAGAATTTTTTAATAAACAACTTCCACTGGCCACATATTGTGTTTTTATAGACACTACAAGATTAAAACCTGAAACTATGATGTTTGAACTTCCTAATGCACAGCTGCTGAGTTTTTCATGCCCATGGGATTATAAAAATATAGAATTATGTGGTTGACTTCAGACTATGAAGACATATTTTGTCTATTCTTTCTATGTCAAATTTTTGCATCCTGTTTAAGTTCTCAAGATGGGTGAAAAAAGTCTGAAAATCAAATGTATTTTTAATATGCATATAGGGGTGTGATTATGTATATTCCAGGATTGCTCCCAGGGAGAACATAAACTTCTAATATATGTGTAACATATATTCCACATTATAAAATATTAAACATATTAATGTAATACAAAGAAATTAATAATTTGTAACTATGTAGAGCTACAGGATAACCCAACCTTTCTCTCTGGCTGCCCTTAGCATTTTTTCCTTCATTTCAACCTTGGTGAATCTGACAATTATGTGTCTTGGGGTTGCTCTTCTCGAGGAGTGTCTTCGTGGTGATCTCTGTATTTCCTGAATTTGAATGTTAGCCTGCCTTGCTAGGTTGGGGAAGTTCTTATGGATAATATCCTGAAGAGTGTTTTCCAACTTGGTTCTATTCTCCCCGTCACTTTCAGGTACATCAATCAAATGTAGATTTGGTCTTTTCACATAGTCCCATATTTCTTGGAGGCTTTCTTTGTTTCTTTTTACTCTTTTTTCTCTAAACTTGTCTTTCTGCTTGATTTCATTAATTTGATCTTCAATCACTGATACCCTTTCTTCCACTTGATCGAATCGGCTATTGAAGCTTGTGCATGCATCACATAGTTCTCGTGCCATGGTTTTCAGCTCCATCAGGTCATTTAAGATCTTCTCTACACTGTTTATTCTAGTTAGCCATTCACCTAATGTTTTTTCAAGGTTTTTAACTTCCTTGTGATGGGTTCAAACATCTTCCTTTAGCTCGGAGAAGTTTGTTATTACCGACCCTCTGAAGCCTACTTCTGTCAGCTCATCAAAGTCATTCTCCATCCTGCTTTGTTCCATTGCTGGTGCAGAGCTGCAATCCTTTGGAGGAGAAGAGTCCTCTGGTTTTTAGAGTTTTCAGCTTTCTGCTCTGGTTTCTCCCCATCTTTGTGGTTGTATCTACCTTTGGTCTTTGATGATGGTGACCTACAGATGGGGTTTTGGTGTGGATGTCCTTTTTGTTGATGTTCACACTATTCCTTTCTGTTTGTTAGTTTTCCTTCTAACAGTCAGGTCCCTCAGCTGCAGGTCTGTTGGAGTTTGCTGTAGGTCCACTCCAGACCCTGTTTGCCTGGGTATCACCAGTGGAGGCTGCAGAACAGCAAATATTGCTGCCTGATCCTTCCTCTGGAAGCTTCAGTCCCAGAGGGGCTCCTGCCTGTATAAGGTGTCAGTTGGCCCCTACTGGGAGGTGTCTCCCAGTTAGGATACACGGGGGTCAGGGACCCACTTGAGGAGGCAGTCTGTCCACTCTCAGAGCTCAAACGCCATGCTAGGAGAACTACTGCTCTCTTCAGAGCCGTCATACAGGAATGTTTAAGTCCGCACAAGTTTCTGCTGTCTTTTGTTCAGCTATGCCCTGCCCCCGGAGGTGGAATCTACAGAGGCAGCAGGCCTTGCTGAGCTGCAGTGGGCTCTGCCCAGTTCGAGCTTCCCTGGCTGCTTTGTTTAGTACTCAAGCCTCAGCAATGGTTGATGCCCCTCCCCCTGCCTGCTGCCTCACGGATCGATCTCAGACTGCTGTACTAGCAGTGAGCAAGGCTCCGAAGGTCTGGGACCCACCAAGCGAGTAGCAGGATACAATCTCCTGGTGTGCCATTTGCTAAGATTGTTGGAAAAGTGCAGTATTTGGGTGGAAATGTACCATTTTTCCAGGTACAGTCTGTCATGGCTTCCCTTGGCTAGGAAAGGGAAATGCCTCGACCCCTTGTGCTTCCTGGGTGAGGCAATGCCCCACCCTGCTTTGGCTCACCCTCTGTGGGCAGCACCTACTGTCCAACCAGTCCCAATGAGATGAACCAGGTATCTCAGTTGGAAATGCAGAAATCACCCATCTTCTGCATCGATCATGCTGGGAGCTGCAGACCGGAGCTGTTCCTATTCGGCCATCTTGGAACGGAATCTACCCCTCAGCTTCTTAAGTGACTGGTAAGTAGAAACCAAGTATATAAAAATAAATTGAAATATGCATGATGACAACAAAAGGAGTGGCGGTAGAGATAAAGACAGGTGGGGGTGAGGGGAGAAAGAGAGAAACTCAAGTAAAAGCATTCCATCTATTTATCACTACTATTATTGACTATTTGATCATAATAATGCTCTAGAAATCATAGTCTACTAAAAACCCTGCTGTTTATCAAACTTCCACTAAGTTAACTCATTAATTTATGATATTGCCTATGATTAACATATATTTTCTTTCCCAATTTTGGACAATGATCTTTTTCTACTGTTTTTTTCAAATATATCAAAAATATAAAATTATATAAGTAATATAAAATTAATATCAGCAAATGATTAAATATTGTCTAATCTTTAATAAATGTTTCAGTACACAGATTTCCCTGAATTTTCTACAACCCTTTGGTGTAGGTCATGGCACATGTATAATGAATTATCAGCCTTTTCTCTTCTCATCTACTATACATGCTTGAGAAGAAATAATACAATAATAACATTTCTAGAATAAAGAAATAATAACATTTCTCTACAGCCTCCCAAGTTTCAGAAGACCTTTTATACATGTTCTTATTTGATAGAATTGTCTATTTTTAGGGGAGTAAAAGGGACTGTTCTATTGTCTTATAGCTTAGAAAGGAAAAAGGGGAATCACTGTAAGAAAAATGGTTGCTGGGTGCAGTGGTTCAGGCCTGTAATCCCAGCACTTTGGGAGGCCGAGGCAGGTGGATCATGAGGTCAAGAGTTTAAGACCAGCCTGACCAACATGGTGAAACCCCATCTCTACTAAAAATACAAAAATTAGCTGGGCGTGGTGGCATGTGCCTGTAATCCTAACTACTCAGGAGGCTGAGGCAGGAGAATCACTTGTACCTGGGAGGCAGAGGTCACAGTGAGCTGAGATGGTACCACTGTACTCCAGCCTGGGTGACAGAGCAAGACTCTGTCTCAAAAAAAAAGAAAAATGAAGGGAGTTGTTAGTTGCTTTGTTATTAAGTGAGTATTCATTTCGGCTTTATGTAGATAAATGTTTACTGTAATTCTGAGATTCAAAAGTCAATTGAAGGCTGGGCGCGGTGGCTCACACCTGTAATCCCAGCACTTTGGGAGGCTGAGGCGGGTGAATCACAAGGTAAGGAGATCGAGACCTTCCTGGCTAACACAGTGAAACCCCGTCTCTACTAAAAGTACAAAAATTAGCCGGGTGTGGTGGCAGGTTCCTGTAGTCCCAGCTACTCAGGAGGCTGAGGCAGGAGAATGGCATGAACCCGGGAGGCAGAGCTTGCAGTGAGCCAAGGTCATGCCACTGCACTCCAGCCTGGGCGACAGAGCGAGACTCCGTCTCAAAGAAAAAAGAAAAAAAAGTCAATTGAAAAGGAATTGATGTGAAATAATAACTTGATTTCCAAGAGTTTCTGCTAATTACAAAGCAGACACTTATGAGGAAGTAACAGGGAAAGATATAAATATATAGTTTATACCTTCATGACCAGTTTGCTTTTCTGCTAGCTTGGGAAGATCAGATAGGAAATATGACCTTTGCTTAGAGAAACCTTCTCACTCTACCACCTCCATGCTAATCAGTTTGAGTTAAAAGCTTAATGGAGATACCTTCTCTTCAATAACTTATGAACTCTCTCCAATAACTGATGGTCAAGAGCTTTCTTTCAATTCTTTTCTGAAATGTCTGAAATGTCTGAGGGATGGAGAAGTTTGGAAAATTTTCAAGTTGCAAAAAATGTGGTAGCTATTTATAGAATGGTTCTAAAATTCATTGTCCAAGCCAACACACTCTTGATAGTGAAGGGGGCTGCTGAGTGATAGAACACCGTGGGGAGATGAATTTCCCTACAGGCAAATGGTTGGAAACGTCCAAAAACATAAAGAGTATTTCTATCAAATAACAACAACAATACATATAAAATCTATGTAGAATAAATAGTAAGTAATAGCTGTTGACTCAGTTGAGAGAAGACATGCAATTTAGATTTTTTAAAAAATTTTAATTTGTTTTCATGTATTGAAGAGACTGCATTTTCCCAACGTTCTTGGCACATTTGTTGAAAATAAGTTGGCTGTAAATGCATGGATTTATTTCTGAGTTCTCTATCCTGTGTCTCTTCAATAAATAGTGCTGGGAAAACTCGATATCCATATGCAGAAAAATAAAACTAGTCCCCACTCTCTCACTTATAAAAAAAAATCAAATGTATTAAAGACTTAAATGTAAGACCTGAAACTATAAAACTACTAGAAGAAAACATTGGAGAAATGCTTCAGGTCACTGTCCTGGGCAAAGATTTCTTGAGTAAGAACTCAAAGCACAAGCAACCAAAGCAGAAATGGACAAATGGGATTACATCAAGCTAAAAAGCTTCTGCACAGCAAAAGGAAAAAATAAACAAAGTGAAGAGACAAGCTACAGAATGGGAGAAAATATTTGCAAACTATTCATCTGACAAGAGAATAACCAGAATATTTGAGGATCTCAAACAACTCAACAGCAGAAAAACAATTTGATTTTAAAAATAGGCAAAAGATCTGAATAGACATTTTTCAAAATAAGACATACAAATGACCAACAGGTATATGAAAAAATGCTCAACATCACTACTCATTAGTAATATGCAAATAAAAATTATAACAAGATATCGCCTCACCACAATTAAAAGAGCTACTATCAAGTAAACAAACAAACAAAAAACAAAATTTGGCAAAAATGTATAGAAAGGGGAATGTTCATCAATGTTGATGAAAATGTAAATTAGTACAGCCACTTTGGAAAACAGTATGGAGGTTCCTCAAAAGATTAAAAATAGGACTACCATATGATCCAGAAATTCCACTACTGGGACTTATTCCAAAGAAAGAAAAACAGTATATTGAAGAGATTTCTGCACTCCCATGTTTATTGCAGCATTATTTATGATAGCCAAGACATGCAATCAACCTAAGTGTTCATCAGTGGATATATGAATAAAGAAAATAAATATGGCATATATACACAATGAAATATTATTCAGCCATAAAAAAGAATTAAGTCCTGATACTTACAACATGAATGGAAGTGGAAGACATTTTATTAAGTAGAATAAGCCAGTCACAGACAATGATCATGTTTGCACTCATATGTTGGAGCTAAAATACACGATCTCACAGAGGTAGTGAGTAGAATGTTCATTACCAGAGGCTGGGAAGGGTAGTGGAGAGGAAGAGATGGAAAGACTTGGTTAATGGGTACAAAACCACAATTAGGTAGAAGAAATAAGATCCAGTGTTCAATAGCACGACTATAGTAAGCAATAATTTATTTGTATATTTCAAAATAGCTAAAAGAAGATTTGGAATGTTTCCAACACAAAGCAATGATAAATGTTTGAGGTGATGGATATCCCAATTACCCAGATTTGGTAATTACACATTGTATGCTTGTTTCAAAATATCACATGTACCCCACAGTATGGACAACTATTATGTACCCGTAAAATCAAAAATAAAGAAAAAATGTTTTCAAGTAATACATGCTCCAAAAAAAAATAGTGCTATAAAGCCAAATAACAGAAACAAAAAACAAACAAAAACTCCCCAATACTCTTAGCTCTTCATGCTTTACCTCATCACATGGGCAAGCTCTTTAAACTCATTTAGTGGATAATGTTTCTCTCAATGCTTCTAAATGATAAATGAGTCATGGTTTGTAGTTTGATATCTATGGCCTTTAATCAGAGAAGTTGAGGACTTTTCATTCTTTCATATGTTTTCTCTATTCTCCATACATGATTTTTGTCATATTTTGCGAATTAAAATTTTAGTCTACTTTGTGTGCTTTGTATATTACCATAGGTATTTATAAGTTCATTTTAAAGGCTCAATCAGATTCAAGTTTGACTTTTTAAAAATAGAAAGATTACTTTGTAGGTACTTCTACCAGGAAGTACATAATTCTGGTTGGCTCTCTTTTTGGTATGTTAGAAACCATTAATTCATAAACGATTGCAAAATGGTAATATTCTAATTATCTCATTTCTTCATTTATTAGCTCAAACACATTTATAAAGATAAACTTACCCTCATAAACTGTTTTGCTTTGTTTTTCTAAGGTATAGTTTGAATTGAAAATTCAAGATAAATGCTAATTATTTCCCTGCATTTGCCAGCCTTCAATTTAGCTAGTTGATTTCCTTTTTTTCCTCCAAAGGTAATAATAAAGTATTTTGTGTTATCATCATGAATGCATAGACTTAATTGTCTTTGATGTATTTCAGTTATGTTCAAGAATGCCATCGGATGCAATCAGCAAATTCAAACTCTGAGAAACTTTTTTTTAGAGTTTCACAAAATAGTTTTTATTTTTAACTTTTATTTTAGGTTCAGGAGTACATGTGCAATATTGTTCTATAGGTAAACTGCATGTCATAGGGGTTTTTTGTACAAATCATTTCATCATCCAGGTAATAAGCATAGTACCCACTAGGTATTTTTTTCTGAACATTTTCTTCCTCTCACACTCCATCCTCAAATAGGTGCCAGTGTCTGTTATTCCCCTCTTTGTGTCCATATGTTCTCATTGTTTAGCTCCACCTATAAGTAGGAACCTGCAGTACTTGCTTTTCTGTTCCTGCATTAGTTTTTTAAGGTTAGTGGCCCCCAGCTCCATCCATGTTCCTGCGAAAGATATGATCTCATTCTTTTTTATGGCTGCATAGTATTCCATGGTATATATGTACCACATTTTCTTTATCCAGTCTACTGTTGATGGGCATTTAGGATGATTCCATGTCTTTGCTATTGTGAATAGTACTGTGATGAACATATATGTTCATGTGTCTTTATAATACAGTGATTTATATTCCTTTGGGTATTGTATTAGTCCATTTTCACATTGCTATAAAGAAATGCAAGAGACTGGATAATTTATAAAGGAGAGAGTTTTAATTGACTCAAAGTTCCACATGGCTGGGGAGGCCTCAGGAAACTTGCAATCATAGTGGAAGGTGAAGTGGAAGCAAGCACCTTCCTCACATGGTGGCAGGAGAGAGAAGTGCAAGCAGGGGAAAAGCCAGATGCTTACAAAACCATCAGATCTGATGAGAATTCACTCACTCACTATCATGAGAACAGCATGGAGTAAGCCAACCCCATGATCCAATCACCTTTCCCTCAACACATGGGGATTACAATTCAAAATGAGATTTGGGTGGGGACACAGAGCCAAACTGTATCAGGCATGTACCCAATAATAATATTGCAGGGTTGAATGGTAATTCTGTTTTAAGTTCTTTGAGGAATTGCTACTCTGCTTTCCACAAGGGCCAAACTATCGGGGGAACCAGCCCCCAATATTTCAACATAGGTTCTTTTCTATTTTCCCTAAGTGTCAGCCAGCGTGAGAAATAAAGAGAAAAAGTACAAAGAGAGAAATTTTACAGCTGGGTCTCTGGGGGTGACATCATATATTGGTAGGACTGTGATGACAACCTTGAACCACAAAACCAGCAAGTTTTTATTAGGGATTTTAAAAGGGGAGGGGGTGTACAAACAGGGAGTAGGTCACAAGGATCACATGCTTCAAAGGGCAATTAAGATCGCAAGGCAAAGGCAAAATTAGAATTATCGTTGAGGGTCTATGTCCCACTGTGCACATATTGTCTTTATAAACACCTTAACAGGAAATAGGGTTCGAGAGCAGAAAAGCAGTCTGACTAGAATTTACCAGGCTGGAATTTCCCAATCGTAGTAAGCCTGAGGGTACTGCAGGAGACCAGGGCGTATTTCAGTCCTTATCTCAACCGCGTAAGACGGACACTCCCAGAGTGGCCATCTATAGACCTCCCCGCAGGAATGCATTCCTTCCCCAGGGTTATTTCTTGCTGGGAAAAGAATTCAACGATATCTCTCCTACTCACACATCTGTTTATACGCTTTCTGCAAGAAGAAAAATATGGCTTTATTCTGCCCAACCTCGCAGGCAGTCAAACCTTATGGTTATCTTCCCTTGTTCCCTGAAAATCACTGCTATTCTGTTCTTTTTTAAGGTGCACTAATTTCATATTGTTCAAACACACATGTTTTACAATCAACTTGTACAATAGTGGTCCTGAAGTGATGTACATTCTCAGCTTATGAGATAATGTGATTAAGAGATTAAAGTAAAGACAGGCATAAGAAATTATAAGAGTATTATAAGGGAAGTGATAAATGTCCATGAAATCTTCACAATTTATGTTCAGAGATTGCAGTAAAGACAGGTGTAAGAAATTATAAAAGTATTAATTTGGGGAACTGATAAATGTCCATGAAATCTTCACAATTTGTGTTCTTCTGCCTTGGCTCCAGCAGGTCCCTCCATTTGGGGTCCCTGACTTCCCGCAACACTGAACTAATTTACACTCCCACCAGCAGTGTATAAGTGTTTCTCCACAACCTCACCAGCATCTTTTACTTTTTGACCTTTTAGTAATAACCACTCTGATTGGTGTGCAATGACATCTCTTTGTGATTTTGATTTGCATTTCTCTAATGATGAGTAATGTTGAGAAGTTTTTCATATGCTTGTTTGCTGTATCATGTCTTCTTCTGAAAAGTGTCTGCTTATGTCCCTTGCCTCCTTTTTAATAGGGCTGATTGATTTTTGTTTGTAAATTTGTTTGAGTTCCTTATACATTCTGGATATTAGACCTTTGTCAGATGCATGTTTGCAAATATTTTCTCCCATTCTGTAGGATGTCTATTTACTCAAAGTTTCTTTTGCTGTACAGAAGCTCTTTAGTTTAATTAGATCCCATTTGTCAATTTTTGGTTTTGTTACAATTGCTTTTGGGGTCTTCATCATGAAATCTTTGCCAAGTCCTATGTCCAGAAGAGTATCTCCTAGATTATTTGCCAGGGTTTTTATAGTTTTAGGTTTCACATTTAAGTCTTTAATCCATCTTGAGCTGATTTTTGTTTGTGGTTTAAGGTAGAGGTCCAGTTTCAATCTTCTGCATATGGCTAGCCAGTTATCCCAGCACCATTTATTAAATAGGGAGTCCTTTCCTCATTGCTTGTTTTTGTCAGCTTTGTTGAACATTAGATAGTAGTTATAGTTGTGTAGCATTATTTCTGGGCTCTGTATTCTATTCCATCAGTCTATGTGTCTGTTTTTGTACCAGTGCCATGCTGTTTGGTTCCTGTAGCCCTGCAGTATAATTTGAAGTTGGGTAACGTGATGCCTCCAGCCCTCCAGCTTTGCTCTTTTTGTTTAGAATTGCCTTGGCTATTGGGGCTCTTTTTTGGTTCTGTGTAAATTTTTAAATAGTTGTTCCTAATTCTGTGAAGAATGTGAGTGGTAGTTTAACAGGAATAACTGACTATGTTAACTGCTTTGGGTAATATGGCCATTTTAATGATACTGATTCTTCCTATCCATGAGCATGGAATGTTTTTTCATTTGTTTGTGTCATCTCTGATTTATTTAAGCAGTAAAACTCCGAGAACCCAACAGGAGAAATAATGTTTTCTATTTAAAAAAAAAAATGTTTAGAAAACAAACAAAAAAAAGAAATGGAAGGGAAACCTGTGGAGTTAAGAAAATGTTAAAAGACATGTTAATGCATTGCAATGAATAGCTTTTTAAATCTTGATTCAACATTCACAAGAATATTGAAGAAATTTGAACATTAAATGATAGCTAATGATATTATTGTTGCTTTGGGGACTAGAATTATGGGAATGTGGTCATTTTTTAAAGGAGTGATCATTTTAAAGGGGTTTAGAATTGTTGAAGTTGAGTGTAAAGTAATTATACACTATTCTTTCTAACTTTGTGTGTTTGACATTTTCCTTAATAATAAACCCTTAAAATTACCTTCTGGACTTTAATAATATGACTATATGAATATTGTTCAATGTTGTGTCAGAGTATTTTGTTTTCTCTCTCTTCTTTTTTTTTTTTTTTTTTTTTTTTTTTTTTTTTTTGGAAATGGATTCTTGGTCTGTTGCCCAGGCTGGAGTGCAATGGCACGATCTCGGCTCACTACAACCTCCACCTCCCAGGTTCAAGCGATTCTCCTGCCTTAGCCTCCTGAGTAGCTGGGATTACAGGTGCATGCCACTACACCTAGCTAATTTTTGTATTTTTAGTAGAGATGGGGCTTCACCATGTTGATCAAGCTGGTCTCGAACTCCTGACCTCAGGTGATCCACCCACCTCAGTCTCCCAAAGTGCGGGATTACAGGCGTGAGCCACCGCTCCTGGCCCGAGTATTTCGTTTTCTTACTTGAACAATGTTTTGTTTTTGCTAGAGTTAAAATTGCCTAATTTTTAAAATTTGCTTGGTTTTATTTGAACTTACAGCTATGTTTTTTCACACCATATAATAACTGTGTAAATGCCTCTTGTTAAATTAAGTTTAGCCTAAAGTTGCCTCCTTATGTATTTTAAGTTCAGCCTAAAGGTTTCTCCCTACACAATGAGCTGTAACCTAACTGGATGTCTAAACAGGCTAAACTCTACTCTTGTACCAATCACTGAGTTTCAGTCAATTCAAGGCGGGCAACTGTTCAAATCATTTTTAAAAATGGTAAACTCCATGCTGTAACCAACCCAGCTGTTTCTGTACCTCACTTTCATTTTCTGTATGTCACTTTCCTTTTTCTGTCCATAGTCTCTTTTGCCCATGTGGTGGCACTGAGCCTCTTTGAACCTATTCTAGTTCCTGAGGCTGCCCCATTTGCAAATCATTCTTTGCTCAAACTCTGTTACATTTAATTGGTCTACAATTTTTCTTTTAATACTCACAACATAGTATCTCCACCTAATGAAACCTATCAGATGATCTGTCATTTTTCTTTCCTTTTTCTGGAAGAACTCATACTGAAACGCTCCATCCTTGCGTTCTATTTTTCACTCTACTTGCCCTTTGGCATAATTAACAGTTGTCATCCTGAGAATTCCCCTTGCCTTTCTCCTCTCCTGTGTCTTGTATAGTGTATCTTTTTTGTTCCTTGCTTCCTTATTTTGGTGGAACACATCCTTCAGAAGTTTTCTGAGAAAAAGTACATGAGAGAATTTTTTGAGACATTATCTGAAAATATCTTTATTCTATCCTCACAGGAGATTGAGTTTGGCTGCATACAGAATTCTAGATGAGTAAAATTTTACTTATAATTAAAACCATTGTGCCATTGTTTTGTAGCTTCCAATGTGGGAAAAAGGTGATGTCAGGCTTATTTTTAATCCTTTGTGGGTTACCTGTATATTTTTGGGGGGGGTGGGGTGGGGAGGAAAGGCTTAGTATCTTTATGGCTAGTGGTTTGAAATTTTACAATTTAGATACTTTCTTGTATAATTATTATATCTTATACAATCTTTCTGAATGTCATGATTATAGTTTCTCTGAAATTTGCTTAAGTTTCATACATTTTAAATGTTTTTTTCTGAGTTCACTCTTACTGTGTTGAGTCTCCTTTTATAATATCAGAGTTTTTCCTCAAATAATAGGTGATCTTTGCCCATTTATTTATTTATTTATTTTGAGATAGAGTTTCACTCCATTACCCAGGCTGTAGTGCAGTGGGGTGATCTCAGGCCACTGCAAACTCGGCCACCCAGGTTCAAGCGATTCTCATGCCTAGCCTCCCAAGTAGTTGGCATTACAGGTGCCCGCCACCATGCCTGGCTGATTTTTATATTTTTAGTAGATACGAGGTTTTGCCATGTGACCAGGCTGATCTTGAATTCTTGACCTCAAGTGATCTGCCTGCCTTGGCCTCCCAAAGTGGTGGAATTACAGGCGTGAGCCACCACCACTGGCCTGCCCATTTATCCTTAATGATGCCATACTGAAAAGCTAATTAGAAAATATGTCTGCCTCAATATATAGCCTGTTAACCGGTAGGTCTCACACTAGACTGATCGGACGATTGAATTTGGGTTGGCGAACCCCAAATGTCAGTATCTGTAGTACTTTTCTTTGAGAAAGATAAGTTTATCAGAGAAGGATACACATGTCTCTTGCTAAGGCACAAATGTGGAGGCAGGAACATAAGGCTGGTTGCCATGATTCTGGTGAGGAACATGGTTGGGGTGATCCCACTGCTCAATATGCTAACTTTCATCTTATCCCCGTTGTCCATCAACCATCTCACTCACACTCATACACTTAGCTATATTCTTGGTTTTGTTTTGTTTTGTTTTGTTTTTGAGACGGAGCCTCACTCTGTCGGCCCCAGGCTGGAGTGCAGTGGCGCGATCTCAGCTCACTGCAACCTCCACCTCTCAGGTTCAAGCGATTCTCCTGCCTCAGGCTTCCAAGTAGCTGGGACTACAGGTTCGCACCACCACACCCAGCTAATTTTTATATTTTTAACAGAGACGGGGTTTCGCCATATTGGCCAGGCTGCTCTTGAACTTCTGACCTCGTGATCTGCCCACCTTGGCCTGCCAAATTGCTGGGATTATAGGCATGAGCCACTGCTCCCAGCCCTTGATTTATTTTGATAATATTTAGCTAGATAATCATACATTCAGTGCCATCAGAGGCAGGCCTAACATTCACTCTCTAGTAAAAACTTATCTGGGTATTCAAATTGCAGTTACAATATACCTAGGAAATAATAGGTGTGTTTTTCCCCAGCTAAATTTGCAAACACAGATCCATTAAGTGACAGCAAACATTGCAAAGCTTTAGACTTTAAAGGGTTTTTGTGGCATAGGCTTTATTATAAAACTCTGACTAAACAATGAATTCAAATAATATTCACCTCTGTAATGGATGAACAATATTTGATGGGTTTCAGTATTCTAAGGTATATTTTCGGATTGATATTGATGATATAAAAATCGATCTAATAGCAGTATATTAGTGAATGCCCCCCACATCTAATTATTTGTGAAATTTGGTCAATTCTATTTCAAAATTTCTCTCAGATTTTAGTCCCTTCTTTCAGATCCATTGTTTTCATCAACATTAATAAGACACTTTGCACAAAGCACCTTTTAAAACTTTTTGCCTATATTTAATTATGCCACCAGATTTGCTTCTGGCTATAAGTCTGAATATGGCACTCCACTCATTAATGTTTCTGTGGCAACCTATTACCTACAGCATAAAAGTATAGCCTCTATACACCCACAACTTTGCTTCAGTCTGTTCTATACCTTGCACCTTACACTATAGCAACACAAACATGATCTCCTTGTGTCACACTTGCTAGTACACAATGATTGTTACCAGTGCTGTTCCATTATTTCTAACTAGCATCCTCTTTCCTCCCACCCTCCAGGTCTAGCACACCACTACTTATTTTTGAAACTTGGAACAGATGCCTTCTTTGTCTCCTATGGGTAAAATCAGTCATTTCTTCATTCAGTTACTTGTACATATCCATGTCATGTCACTTTAAACAGACTTAATTAAATTATAATACACAGTACAGAGGTGTTATATAAAATTTATCATAGATCTTATATTTAGGGCTCTCAGTTTACATAAAAATATCAACAAAATACAGTTGGAATTGTGTAAGTTAAATGGGTACATTGAAGCAACCCTAAATAATTCTAGCAGATCAGCGGTTACTGCAGTGACCTCAGGCAACACTCACTAGGCCTATCTTAACTAGTAAGCCATATTGGTCTAAATTAATGGAAGTTTTGTTCAACAATTCAACAATTTGAATTTGAATTCAATAATTCATCAATTTGACTCTCATACAAGAAGGAATCTAAATAAAAACTAAGAGTCAGAAATAAATTTCATCAATGACATGTCCATGAATTTTAAATCTTTGAAAATTAGATTATTTCACAAAACACATTTTTCACTGTAATAAAAATTACTATTAATCTTTAATATTTAAATTTTTATTCCTCTACTTTCTTCTCACTTCTACTCTACTTTCCCAAATATAATAGATTTTCTTCACTTGCTTCCAAAAGGAATAAAATTATTTTTATATAGTGATCCCTGTGTTGATGTTTAAAATATATCCTGTGAAATGCTGAAAATTCAACTAAATTTGAAAAACATAAACTGATTTTCTACTTTTTGCCAAGTACTAAAGTGATATTCTTACTACGTTGGAAAACCGACAGTGTGATATAAGCAAAAGACTTTGGAATCCCAAGTCAGAAAACCTAGATTCAATCCCAGGTTTCAATATTATAAGCTTCATGAGCCCAAACTAGTCACTAGAATATAGTTTGAGAAAATTCTGTGTTTGTATAGTATATTCTTGGTAACTTCTCTATCTCGGGGAAAATTTGGTTGGAAACACAAAAATTCTTCACATTAATTTAAGTAAAAGAGTATGTATGATTCATAGTTCTGTAGAGGAAACAGAAACCTCTATAGGTATTTTAAACAGAAAGGGACTTAATACAGGAATTAAACACCTCTATAATCATTAAAAGGGCTAGAGGAGCTGTAATGAGGAGACTGCTACTGGCAACATTACGTGCATGAATATGAAGCTAGAGCTTTGATCCAGGGATCAGAAATATTTCACTAATACTTCAACTGCTTCTCGACACCTATGAAGGCAGTGACCAGACAGGGACTCACGGTTTGACCTCCATCCCAGCACCACACTGTTTCTCCATCCTAGCACCACACTGTTAATATACCTAGAGGTATATTAACCATACCTAGCCTGGAGAGTATGGAGTCAGTGAAGGAGTATATAAAGATGTACAGAGCCTTGTGGCATGAAAATGTAGCTGGACATATTCAGATAAAAACTGGAAAACTAGAAAGGGAGTCAGTGAGTAACCTTAGGATGCTCTGTTTCCCAAGAGCGCTGTATACGTATGTTTTCTCTCTCTCTCTCTTTCTCTCTCTCTCTCTCTTACTCTCTCTGCCCCTCTCTCCCCTCCCCACCACCCCCCAAGAGCTCTATAACATAAACAATCAAGGAAGGGTCTCACACGTCTCAGGTGTACAAAGCTCTGTAGTACATAGGACATGCTCAGTAGAAAGAAAAATATAAAGAAGTGAATACTTTCCCTCAGTTTCTTCATAAAGTGAAATATCTGCTCAATCCTTTCTGGGTTATAAGGATCAAATAAAATAATTAAAAAGGGCTTTTTAAAATGTTAATCTTTTGTATTAGATATGCATCCTTTTGTCATCAATTTAAAAATGTTAAAGCAGGAAAAAAGAAGAAAAGTATTATTTACAACAGCCTTTTTCTATACCCTTTGCTATGGTTTGTATAGATGCACTATCTGACACTGGGTCTCTGGTTCTCAGTAAATACTAATTGACTGTACATGTGTACTCATGTGTTTAGCAAACAGCATAAATGCATCCATCCATGAGATATTTTTATCATTGCTAACAAACCTTATTATTTTCTTTTGTGAAGTCATCTGATAATTGAATTTCCAACTGGGAAATCCAAGAGCAAACCCAAGTGTCTTTCTATGGAATGGCTACCATGACTAGTATATTCTGTTCATTCTCAATAAACTTCACTTTAATTTATTCTAGAAATATGATTCCAATAGTTTTATGGGACATTACACTATATATAAGATTATTGTCGCCATAAAGTTCTATACTTCTAACAGCACTAAATAGCAATAGGTTTTTGTGTAAAAATTGAAATCACTTTAAGACTATGTTCACTCATTCCATATCCTAAGTAAATTTTCCTAGGAAACAAATGAGAAAGGGAAAAGAAATAATATTTATTGGAGGACTACCTTGAACATTTTATATAATCACTGAATTCTGACATTTTATTTAATAGTAGGGCCTATGTCAAATAATTTAGGTAGTCTTTTTGTATTATAAATATTAAATCAGTATCTAGTATATGCCAGAAAATAATCTTGGAATATAATGATGAGCGAGGTAAATGTGCCCTGTGCACTCAAGGATCTTCAGCTAATTTATGAATAAAAATTCAGTTACAATGTGCTAAAAAAACGTGTTGATGGTATGCTATGGAAAAACACAATAAGAACTCTGAATTCAGCCTCTGGCCAACAAGACATTCTGGAGGAAGTGGCAGCAGAGCCAGGCACTGAGGATGAGCATGTCTGAAGCACAGAGAATGAGAGGCATGGTAGAAATGTATGAGACTTTTGTAAAATTTCATGAGATGCTACAGCATTCTGATTTAATGAAAAGAGAAATGGAAGACTTTAAGTCAAAAGGGATGTGATCATATTTGCATTATGGAAAGATCAAACTGGCTGTGTATGGGAATGAGCTGAAAACCTGCAAGCATGAAGGTGGGCAGGACACTTGGGAGAATGTCTCAGGAATAAAGGTGAAAGGTGATGTGGGCCCGTGCTAGGGCAGAGCCAGTGGGGACAGAAATAAAAAATATTTTAAATGTTTAAATGAAAGAATCTTGTGATTTGACAGCACAGTAAGAATGAGGGAGAGGTTATAAATGACACTTGTGTTTCTAGTTGGCCCGGACAAGTGGAAGGATGAGAGCACCATTCACTGAAATTGGAAAATAAGAAAAAAAATGGAATTTTGGAAGAGTTGATGTGAGTTTGTACCATTTTGAAGGTGAGGTGTTAGAAGGCATCTGGGTGAAGATTTCAATAGTACTTCTATTCCATGCTTTAAGTAGGTCTGGAAGGGAGATGATAGAAACCAGGAGTGAAAGAGATACCTGGGGAGAGTAGGTAGGGTGTCCCTAAGTGACACCAGTGCCTAAGAGACAGGTAGAGGAAAGAAGCTTCCTAGGGAAGAAGGCAGGGAGCATTCAGAGGGGAAGGAAAAGAAGATGGAAGAAAATGCTGGATCATGAAGCCAACAGAAAGGGATGTTTCAAGAAAGAGTGAGTGGCCAACAGTGTTAAATGCTACTAAAGGAATAAGTCCAATAAGCACTGGGAAGTGGCCAGTTCAGTTCAGTGCGGCACTGTAAGGAACGGAATATAGTGAGTTGGAAAATGCAGAAATGAGAAAAGGAGGGCAGTTAGTGTAGACAGACATTTCATGAAGTTTGACTGTAAAGGGTGTAGAATGCTAGTGTGATAGCTGCAAGAGGCATTAGATCGACAAAAGCTCTTTCTGGTTTTGTTTTGTTTTGTTTCGTTTTTCAAGATGAGAGAGACAAATAATTTTAAAAGCTGAAAGGGAAGAGCCAAAATAGCAGAAACAGAAAGGTAGAAAGGATAGGAGAGGAAGAAGATGCTCAAATGAGAAAGGTAGGAGAGGAACCAGAGCATAGATAAGGATGTATTATTGTCCTTAGAGCCATTTAATCATTAACTCAACAAATGTTTATTGACTATGTATGCATTTCTGAAAATACAGAATGAACTGAGATTCAGGTGGGAAAAAAGTAAATATGTTTGTGAAGGAAACGGTAAAAAACAGAGAAACTGGAGGTGGTAAAAATGGAATTTGTTATTAAACTGAAGTGAATTAACTTTGGGGAGGCATTGGATTTAATCGAATTTTCCAGATTAATCTCCTGAATTGTGCTTTATTTATAAGCTTTCCCTGAAATCATGTGTATGTTTTTATCATATTCTATGGCTGTCAAGTCTGAAGTCAGCTTGTTACCCCTAAAAGAGTGAATTAATCCGAAGTGTTTTCTTCTTGGCCTTACAAAGAGCGGTTCACTTGTCACAAGGCAGGACTTGTTAACTCAGCCAGATTTGTTTCTTAAGCATCTGCAGAGAGATGACCAAGATAATTCATTTTAAATCACCAAATATTACCAGACAGGAACAGTTTAAAAGGCAAAAAAAAAAAAAATAATGGGGAGGTCACACTCCCTGCACCTGATGTAGTCCAATGTTTCTTCATTCAATTGAATCAGAGTCTTTTTTGAATTTATCGGTTCATGCCGTGGAGGATAAGACCAAAATAGAGTGCCCTTGTACAAAGAAGGAAACCACACACAGCTTTTTATGCTTAAGAGGAAAGACTCTTGGGCAGAGGAAAATAATGTGTGCCAGCTTGTGTGCTTCTGCTGTTTAGGTCTGGACCTCCAAGGAATCAGACTGACAATTTCATGAAAGGTTCTGATTTAACTGCTCCTTTCAAAAACACTTCAAAGGGTGATGATGAGGGATACCAAGGGATAAAAGGTTTCTTTCAGGGCTGTGTTAATTTATTTTAGACCAAAGAACAAATATCCCAATAGAGAAGGCAGGTGATTCTATCTGTCTGATTGTAGTAACAAACCTTGTATAAAGACCAGGTCAGGAGGAGGCTGGAAGAAATTTTTAATCAATTGTTCACCAACTTGCCTACAAAGTAAGTCTCTTAAGTAACTAACTGGAATATGAGTGCTGATAGTTAAACCCAGAGAAAAGTCAATGTGCGCAAGGTCTGGAGAGGGAAATCAGGCAGATGAGAGACATTTAGTAACTTTGCTCACCAGGCTGCTAATAGCATCTCTGCAGATACAGAGGCAGAGACAGGCAGAGGCAAAGGAGAATGAAAGAGTATTTTGTCACAGTCAACCATCTCCAATCTAGTTAGAAAATGTACTTACTGGCTTTGAAGTTAGAATTTCAGAGTGTGGATTTCAACATGCCCCAGGTTGGGTTATCTGTGAGGCTGGCAGCAAGTAACTGCCTGCAAATTTCTATGTGTTTAAATGGAGGCAATTTCTCAAAAGTAAATTATGGAGTTGAAACCTTTAAATGAGATACTATAACACAAAGTACGTTGCAAACTAAAATGTTACACAAGGTAGAATTTTTTTAGTTATAGTTGTAGGACAAACATGCGATGGCATATTCAAATTTTAAGAGTAATATTTAAAAAGCAGTAGTAAAAATGTCACCAAAATATTTGAATGATGACAAGCATGAACTCAAACTGAAGGAAAACCAGACTTACAGAAAACATAGGCAGCAACCCAGAAGCTGAGGTTGCAATGCATTTTAAAAGATCAGGTAGAACAGTTAGAGGAGAAAAAACAATGGGAAACCATGTTCTTGTCCTGCATTCACCATTACTTGGTAAGCTGGTGATGCATTTCGAGAAAAAATCTAAAGCAAACTGCTGAGGCTCCTTGTACTTAAGTTGAGTTTTTGTTTTCAGGGGTAAAGATAATAAATCGTCCTTCTCCACTGTTTCTATTGTTACTTAGTTCAAGTACCTCCTTTACCTCACTTAACACCGAAATTATAAAAAGCTGTTTAGTTTCACTCATAATCAGGGTTATGCAAATTAATACCACACCATTTTCCACCCATCAAATCAACAAAAAGCAAATTTTAATGAATATATTGTGTTCACAATAATGTGAAGACACAGGCACGTCTATACGTTGCTGAGAAGTGTGGAAACCAGCCTTCAGTGCATGACAAATTGTCAAGATCTATCAAAAGTACAAGGTCATTGACTAAATAATTCCAGGACTAGGAATTTATTCTAGATTTTACAGATATGAGATGATGAAATGGCATGGACACAGAACTCTTCATTGCAGCATTACTTGTTATAGAAAAAGATTGGAAAAAAAATAGAATGTTTGTCTCTAGGAGTTGGAAAGATGAATTACAGAATATTAGTACAATGAAAACCAGCCACCTATGTGAAATAATAAAATCTGGAGGTATTGAAATAGAAAGGTCTACAAGATATATTGTAAGGTGAAAAACATTAAAGTGCAAAACACTGTGTTAAATAATCTACTATTTGTGAAAAAAGGGGAAGGTGATAATATATATTTATATTTTCATTTGTATATATTCTAAAATATCTAGAAGGTTACATGTAAAATTAATAATACTGCATCTTGGAGGGTCCTGTTTATGAACTGAACAATGGTGAAAAAGAGACTTCTTTTATACTTTTTGGTTTTTAAAACAAATGTATCATTGTTTTGAAATTTAAGTAACTAATTAATTTTTTAAAAAATTATTTGCATGGAAATCCATTTTCCTCACTAAATTATATACTATGCCTTCTTCATTTTCATAGTCTCATTGCTTAGACCAATGCATAGCACATAGCACCTGCTCAACAAATGTTTACTAAATAAACATGGAATAATAAAATATTGTAGATTAAACTTTCCTGAAGGAAGGGCAAACATCTTGCTCTAGCTCCAAGAATTTTTTATGTGACATTGTGGGACAGCAGAAAATAGCCTGAGAAGATAAGAAAGTGAGATGCAATGGAAAATCCTAATTCTAGATGTCATTCATTTTTCAGTTCTTTCCAGAGTTTTTCAGTGAAGGTTAGAGTGGTAGAGTGAGGAGCATAACTTCAAAATATACATTAAAGAAAGAGAGAGAAATAAACGAAGTTTCTAGTAGAAGCAGCTGCTTTGAAAATCATAATGATTTCTGGTAAACTATTCTGTTTTGTGGACTCCTGTTTTATAAGTAGTTATAGATTTTAAATTTTTACTTTATGTTTTTTAAAAATGTTTGATATTGTTTTCCAAATACATCTTCCTTGCCTCAGATTTAAAGTAGCCAGCCTGCATTTGCTCAGTTGAAGTATGAATGATTAGCACAAATGTTATATCCTGTGGCTTAGAGCACTGGTTCTCAATGTTGGCTGTATGTTGGATCCATAAGGAACTTTAAAAATAATATTGATGCCCAGGTCCCACCCCTAGAGAATCTGCTTTAATTGTTCTATAAAGTGGCACAAACATCAAGGTTCTTAAATATCCCCCAAGTGATTCTAATATGCAACAAAGATTAACAACTACTGGTTTATAGCTTCTCCAGCCTTTGTGTAGAGATAAACGATCTCCAAAATAAAATGAATATAGAACTTGTTATTTTGAATAATTAACTTATAGTAAAGATTGTAGAAATAAAGTGTCATATTCATTTTTTTTTCTTCTGAAGGGTAGCCTAGATTTCACTAACTTTACCTTCTTAATACAGGGGCTACATATTGTAACAAGGACCTACTGACTTCATATTAATGATCACAGGTAGTGGCAACACCAAAGGGCAGCTGTGAGGGTCTTCAGGTTGCCACTGCTGCTGTCACCACAAGTTTTCTCAATGTTGTCTGGGAAAGGCCATTGGGCCTGCTTGTAGGTGATTCACCCTTGTTTTCTCAATAACATCAAAATAGTTAGAGTAGAAAAAAAATTGGAAAAAATTCAGATGCCCACCCACAGAAAAATTGTGCTTTATATTATAGACACACATACACACATACACAAAAATAATAATTGACTGCAACTATATCTACAAATACAGATTAATCTTAGTAACATAAAACAGTATCAAGTGTAAAAAACAATTCCCAGAAGACTACATATAGCCTTAAGCCCTTTTTATAATTTTCTAAAACAAATAAAGCTAAATAATATATCGTTTAGACATATATATGTCATAAAAGTACAGGGGTGGAAAGCAAGACAATGCTAAGCATAAAATTCAAGCTGGCAGTGACCTCTGGGGAAGGAAGAAGGGAAGGACATAAGTAAACATGAGTCCTTGTTAGTGTTCTAGCTCTTGGTCTGGGTAATAGGTCTGTGGGTGTTCATCACATTATTAAAATAAGGACATTCAAAATGAACACACGAATAAGAAAGATGGGAATGAAACTTCTTTGTGGTAGAATCATGTAGGATTTGGTTAATATAAGTATGGTATCTTTGTAAGCTTTTACTTTGTGTACATATTTACTCTACTTTTAAATGTTTATATTGGTGGTAGAGTTTAATGTGCTAATAACTTTTTTGTTTCCAACTAACATACTCCCTGAGACTTAAATTGGGACTTAGTTTATGAGAAAACATTTTCAGTCCTTCAATCTGAAAAATCACTTTGATAATGAGTAAGTGACATGAAAATAACTCCTGGAATAACATTGAATTTTGGTGGATTCTGAAAAGTCTAAGAGTAAAACTGAGTTATTCACAAACAACTGTATAAGTGAAATATGACCCTCTAGACGTCTTCCTGGTCTTACTCTTTCAGCCACTTACCTGCCCCAGTAGAAGTAGCATAAAACTAATGAACATTACCCTTGTGTAGAGCTTTACAGTTTATAAGAAGAGTTTAATTTTATCTCCCATATTTATCATAACAACCCTGTGAAGAATGGAGAGCAAAGATTAGTTCAAAACATGAGTATAGATGATTCTTACAATATAAAACAATGATTCCAAAATGTGGCACGTACACCAATGATTGAACACAAGACAAATTTTCAAGTATGAACACACTGTTTATTATTTATGTTCATGCATACATTTTTAATAGCTGTATATTGCTTTTAATTTGCATTAATCTGTACCTACTATTTGTGGCAAATAATGCTTTTTTCACTTATAATAATGGCATAAAGTTGCCTTTAAAAATAAACTTATTTTAGGGAGGGCGATGCAAGATGTCTAACTAGAAGAATTCCATGCCTGCCTTCTCCACTTAGGAGAACCAGAATAGTGTATAGACAGTCACACTTCAAATACATTGTCCCAGAGACGACACTGGATTTCAACATAGAAGTGACAGGAAACACCAAAGTATAGAAGGAGAAGGGAAAACGGCAGCCTCCCTGACAGGGAGTGGCTGGGAGCCAGGAGTAATCTCCCGATGTAGGGGAAGTGTGAATGAGAGAATTTCAATGGCCCACATTCCTACCATGAAATCATGCAATCCTGCCCATGGGAGAGTCCCTCAACCCTTCCAAGCCCTGAAAGTAACATAGGGAGCTTCCAGGAGACCATGGGATGGAACTGCTCCAGGGAGGGATCTCGCACTGGGTCCCACGCGCTTTCTGAGACCTAAGCAGCTACAACAAGATGGTATTTTCAAGCCTACGCTCTGGTAAACAGCACACTGTCATGGGGCACAGTGTTGCCAGGACAAGGCATTGTGGATACTCAGGCTGTTGCTTCTGGGACAGAGAAGTGAGCTAGGAGCATTCCCACAGCTGAGCCTAAGAAACAAGGGAGGCATGGTCTGTAGAGGCCAGTATTGGGAAGTAAGTGCTGCTGGGATTTGAGACACAAATGTGAATAACACATGAGTTGTCAATGGGACTTAGTCAGGAGCTGGGTGAGGGCTCCTGCAATCAGGGCAGGGTGTGAGCTAGACACCAGCTACTGCTACCAGAGCAAGGGAGAACACCCTGTCAGTACCGGGGTATGAAAAGGATGACATTGCTTACCTGTCAGCCCAAGTTGTGGCCACCAAAGATGACCCCACTCTCTCCGGTGACACAGTCTTGGTGTGGCTGCTACTGACTCTCACCTGAGCACTCTACCTAGGGTCTAAGGATTGTTGTGCCCCCACTCACCACGGCTGGTGCCTGCTCTCACCACTGGGGGCCTAAAAAGAAGCCCATTCAGTTTGGCTTATATCCCACCTCTAAAACAGAGCACATAGCCCAGGGTTCTGTGGATTGTCCAACTCAGTTCACCACCTTGAATACCTGAGCCCTCATTCTGAGGGCCTGAGATTGGACCTAAACTCCTGGCTGCTACTATTTTAGCTAGCATCTACCTATAAACACCACCAATGGGCCTGGAGACTGACCCACTTAGCCCATTGTAGCCACTGTCAATATCAATGAACACTGCTCAGGACCCAAAGAATCATCCTGCCACTGCTTCTGCCATTGCCCATACTGACTTCCCAGGGGCCTGAGAACTTGCCCACCTGCCAGTTCCACTGCTGCCACTACTGGCATCTGGGCAAGCCAACTGGAAGTCCATTAATTGGCCTTATAATAACCACCAACACAGGTGTCAGAATATATTACCCTGGGCATACGTAGCCCACTGCTGCCACCACTGGGGTCTGAAGACTGGCCTAGCTGGCATACCAGTCCCCAACACAATTTTAGCACCGTTTCCACTAATAAACTCACCCTAACCCATCAAGGGAATCATGGATACCACTAACACAGTTTACGGCCAAATAAATCATACAGAGACTACACTACTACAAGCACTCAAAATCAAAGGCAAAGCCCCCTACCCATCCAAAACCATAGATACAATTTCAGGAAAAAGCCCCACCCCCACAACATACACACAAAAGTAAATTCAAAAATGAGAAGAAGTGAATGTTACACCTGATGTGGAAATATCAACATAAAGATACAGGAAGCATGAAAAACAAAAAAAGATACCTCCAAAGGAACACAATAATTCTCCTTCAATAGATCTTAATCAAAAAGAAATTTTTGAAAGCCCAGATAAACATTCAAAATATTGATTTTAAAGAAGCTCAGTGAGATACAAGAAAATTCTAAAAAGAAAAAAAAAAAGGATTCAAAGAAGTCAGAAAAATAATTCAGGACACAAATGGGAAATTTACCAAAGAGATATGATATTTTTAAAAAGAACCAAATAGAAATTCTGGAACTGAATAATTCACTGAAGGAAACACAAAATACGTTTGAAAGCTTCAACAGTAAACGAGATCAGGCAGCAAAAAGGAGTCTCAGAATTCAACACAGGTCTTTTGAAATAATCCAGTCAGACAAGAAATAAAGAAAAAATAATTTTAAAAAAGAGAAAAGCCTTCACAACATTAGGGAAAACATAAAGTGGCTGAATTTACAAATTATTGGTATCCCCAAGCACAAAGAAAGGATTAGAAAACCTATTTAACAAAGTAATGATGAAAACTCTCAAGATCTAGCAAGACATAGAGACATTCAGATATAGGAGACACAATGATCCCTAGGAAGATACAGTGCAAAAAAGGTCTTCTCAACAAGGCATTATAATCAGACTCTCTAAAGTCAAAGATAAGAGTGAATCCTAAAAATAGCAAGAAAAAAGCATGTAGCTACCTATAAAGGAAACCCCATCAAACTAACAGTAGATTTTTCAGCAGAAACCTTACAGGCCAGAAGAGAACGGGATAATATATTCAAAGTGCTGAAAGAAAAAAAAAAGTGCCACCCAAGAACACTATATCCAGCAAAATTATCCTTCATAAATTAAGGAGAAATAAAGCCATTCCCAGACAAGAAAATGCTGAATGAATTTGTTAACACTAGACCAGACCTAAAAGAAATGCTTGAGGAATCCTAAACTGGAAACAAAAGGACACTATTTACCACATGAAAACACATGAAATTATAAGACTCACTGGTAAATCAATCACAAAAAAAGAGGAAGACAAAGGACTCAAATGGTACCAATATAGAAATTCACCAAACCACAACGACAAACAATAAAAGAAAAAGAATGGGAGAAAATTTTTGCAACCTACTTATCTGACAAAGGGCTAATATCCAGAATCTACAATGAACTCAAACAAATTCACAAGAAAAAAACAACCAACCCCATCAACAAGTGGGCGAAGGATGTGAACAGACACTTCTCAAAAGAAGACATTGATGCAGCCAAAAAACACATGAAAAAATGCTCATCATCACTGGCCATCAGAGAAATGCAAATCAAAACCACAATGAGATACCATCTCACACCAGTTAGAATGGCGATCATTAAAAAGTCAGGAAACAACAGGTGTTGGAGAGGATGTGGAGAAATAGGAACACTTTTACACTGTTGGTGGGACTGTAAACTAGTTCAACTCTAGTGGAAGTCAGTGTGGCAATTCCTCAGGGATCTAGAACTAGAAATACCATTTGACCCAGCCATCCTATTACTGGGTATATACCCAAAGGATTATAAATCATGCTGCTATAAAGACGCATGCACACGTATGTTTATTGTGGCATTATTCACAATAGCAAAGACTTGGAACCAACCCAAATGGCCAACAATGATAGACTGGATTAAGAAAATGTGGCACATATACACCATGGAATACTATGCAGCCATAAAAAATGAAGAGTTCATGTCCTTTGTAGGGACATGGATGAAGCTGGAAACCATCATTCTCAGCAAACTATCGCAAGGACAAAAAACCAAACACTGCATGTTCTCACTCATAGGTGGGAATTGAACAATGAGAACACATGGACACAGGAAGGGGAATATCACACACCAGGGACTGTTGTGGGGTGGGGGGAGGGGGGAGGGATAGCATTAGGAGATATACCTAATGCTAAATGACGAGTTAATGGGTGCAGCACAACAACATGGCACATGTATACATATGTAACAAACCTGCACATTGTGCACATGTACCCCAAAACTTAAAGTATAATAATAATAAAATTTTAAAAAGAAGAAAAAGAAAGCAACAAAGAATACATAAAACAATTAACAATATGACAGGAATAAAACCTCATATATCAATAATGACCTTAAATGTAAAGGGATTATATTCTCCATTTAAAACATATGGAATGGCTGAATGCATTGAAAATTGTGATCCAAAAATATGCTACTTACAAGAAACTCATCTCATCTGTAAAGACACATATAGACTGAAGGTAAAGGAATAGAAAGATATTACAGGCAAATGAAAGATATTACATGCAAATGGAAATCAAAAGTGAACAGAAGTAGGTATACTTATATCAGGTAATACAGACTAAGTCAAGAACAATAAAAAAAAGACAAAGAAGGTCATTACATAATAAAAAGTGATCAATCCAGAAAGAGGGTATAACAATTCTAAATATATATGCACCAACACTGCAACATTCAGATTCATACACAAATGTTATTAGATCTAAAAAGAGAGATAGACTTCAATACAATAATAGTGAGGGACTTTAATACTTCACTCTCTGCATTTGACAGTGCATCTAGAAGAAAATTAAATAATAAAAAAAAACACTGAATTTTAGACCAAATGGACCTAACGGACATTTACAGCACATTCTATCCAACAGCTGCAGATGATACATTCTTATCACCAGCACATAGAACATGTATCCCAGAACTTAAAGTAAAAAATAAAAAATACAAAAATAAATAAATAAATAGGCAAAACAAAAAGATGTTGGTGAGGAAGAGGAGCAAAGATAACTCTCGTATACTGCTGGTGGGAATGTAAACTAGTATAGCCATCATAGAAAACTGTATGGAGGTTGCTCAAAAAAACTAAAAATAGAATTACTCTTCAATCTAGCAATGCCACTACCATGTATCTACCCACAGAAAAATCAATATATCATAGAGATATTTGTACTCACATGTTTATTGCAGCACTATTCAGAATAGCAAAAATATTGAATCAACTTAAATGTTCATCAACTGATGAATGGATAAAGAAAATGTAGCATGTGTACACAGTGAAATACTTTTCAGGCATATAAAAGAATGAAATCATGTCATTTAAAGTAACATGGATGGAAGTAGAGGTCATTATCTTAAGTAAAATAAGCCAGGCACAAAAAGATATCACATATTCTCGCTTATATGAGGAAGCTAAAAAGTTTGGACACATGGAGGTAGAAGGTGGAAAGATAAATAACAGAGACTGGGAAGGGTGAGTGAGGGGACAGGGAAGAATGAAGAGAAGTAGGTTAAAGGGTATAAATGTGTAATATGATAGAAAAAATAAATCCAATGCTAGATAGCAGAGTAGGATGACTATAGTTAAAAAAAATGCATTATGCTCAAGTGATGGACACCCTGAATACCCTGATTTGATTATTACACATTATATACATGTAAAAAATTTCCCATGTACCCTGTAAATATGCACAAATAAAAAACTATTTAAATTAAATTTATTTTCCTAAAAATGTTTATCTAAAGAAAATTCTTAGATAACAGCACAGCCATTATTTAGAGCAGACTAAGGTTATAAAGGTGGTATGTGAATAACTGAAATACTCATCCTGTTAAACAATATTCAAGATTGTATTACTATCCCTCAAAAAGGAAATATACATGTTTCAAGCTCACTTACAATTAAATTAATTAGACAATTTGTTTATAGAGGAATAATTACTGTTTCTCCTATGTTTCACCTTGAGGGCTAGGTACTAGAGAAATAATAGTGAAAAGTGCATAGTCTATATCCTTATCAAACTTTCAGTCAAAAGAAAACTTCAAGAAGATGAGTAGGTGATTTGTGAGTCAATAGAGAAGTAAAAACATGGTCATATTAGGGGAGGTAACGCATTCTTTAAGTACTAGCCAAAGCTTCCTAAAGGAGCCAACATCTAAACTGAAGGATGTATAAGAATAAGCCAAGGCCAGGCATGGTGGCTCACGCCTTAATCCCAGCACTTTAGGAGGCCAAGGCAGGCGGATCACGAGGTCAGGAGATCGAGACCATCCTGGCTAACACGGTGAAACCCTGTCTCTACTAAAAATACACAAAATTAGCCAGGCGTGGTGGCGGGCGCCTGTAGTCCCAGCTACTCAGGAGGCTGAGGCAGGAGAATGATGTGAAGCTTGCAGTGAGCCAAGATCGCGCCACTGCACTCCAGCCTGGGCAACACAGCAAGACTCCATCTCAAAAAAAAAAAAAAAAAAAGAATAAGCCAAGACAGGCCGGGCGAGGTGGCTCACGCCTGTAATCCCAGCACTTTGGGAGGCCCAGGCGGGTGGATCAGGAGGTCAGGAGATCAAGACCATCCTGGCTAACACAGTGAAACCCCCTCTCCACTAAAAATACAAAAAAAAAATTAGCCGGGCATGGTAGCAGGAGCCTATAGTCCCGGCTACTCAGGAGGCTGAGGCAGGAGAATGGCATGAATCCTGGAGGCAGAGCTTACAGTGAGCCGAGATTGTGCCACTGCACTCCAGCCTTGGTGACAGAGCGAGACTCTGTCTCAAAAAAATAAAAAAAAAAAAAAAGAAGAAGCCAAGACAAGGGGTATTCTGGGAGGAAGAAAGAGCATGTTCATATACCTGGAGAACAGAGAACATAAGGCATTCAGTGGGCTCCAAGTAGATTGGAAAGACAGGTCTAAACATAGAGAGGGAGTTGGGGGTGCCAGGAAACGAGCCTCAAGAGAAAACGCAAGTAACAGATCATGAAGGGACTTGTCCCTGTAGATCAGAGCATTTGCTGGAAAGCAACAGAAAAGAACCTGGATTACACAAAAGATTTTTTGGAAGACTATCAGAGGGAGGCAGTGCATTGTATCCCACTGGTAGCATTTACTGGTGAATTTCCCAAAATAAAATAGATCAGATGTAGATATAAATAAACAAGACAAAAATTAATAAGAATAGAATATTCTAAGGAATTTGAATTTTATTTTGTGGGCAACTAATAGTAATAAGGAGAATCGACATGTTCAGATTTGCATTTTAGATAGATGAGTTTTGCAGTAGTGGGAGTAAATTGAAGTTAGGGAGAGGATATCGAGAGCTGTTACAGTGACATAATTGACAGATGATGGTGACCTAAGTAAGGATAGTGCAGTGGAGAAATAAGAGAATGGGAAAGAATACATTTGAGAGCCAGGTTTGATCACAATGGTAGCAGATTTGCATTTCTGGACATTAAAAAGCCATGGCTTTAGTGGCTTGGCTTTCATGAGCAGGAGAAGAAAAATCTCAAAAGCGGGTGGAGATAGGGAGTGGAGAGGTAGCTCTTCCCTCCTCCTGAATATTTCTGTGTGGTCCCAGAGTCCACAAAACAGAATTATCCATTACCCCCACTTTAAATACTGTAAAAGCTGCCTGTTTTATTTTCAAACACCTCCTGTTTGGCCATAACACCTAACCTTGACTGTCCCCATAATGGGATGTAAATTTATTAACACCCTTTAGTCAGTTGCCTGCAACTATATGTTTTGGCTGCCTCCCAAGTCTTTAATTCCTTTATTGAAGCATTTCATGATGGTTGTTGCTTCTCCTTAAAAGCTTTTTTGCAATCGCTGAGTTTTTAAAATCCTATCTGTTTTTCTCCTATCCTGTCTTTCATTAAAATTGATTTTCTCAGCTTCTCACATATTTCTATATGAGGCAAAGAATTTTAGATAGATACCACAACCTAAGCATCAGAGGTAGAGATGGAGGACAACTAAGATCTAAGTAATGTTATTTTAATTGCAATTTAAAGCCAAAAGGCAAAGACTTAGTAAAGAGCTGTTTTCATTACAGTTGTTCCATGCATGAAATGAACCATTACACATTGGAAAAGAAGAAATTATTCCAGAGTGGCTTAGTTATAACAAACAAAATGAGTTCCAACAAGCTGTTTTTAGTCCCATGGCCAAAAAATGCATTCTGTTGGTATTTTTTCTAATGTGACATTATATTTTGAAATGTTATTTCATGTTATACTCTCTTTATATAACATATTTGCATTGAATAATGAGAGAAATGACCAGCTGGTCTCTAGCAATTATAAAAACCTTTATTGGAGGCAGCAGGATGATGGCAGATGGCAATTTTAGGTTGAAGTCTCACTAAGAATAGATTTGTAGCATCTTGTTGATGTGGAATATAGTACAACCTTTCTCTGAGTCTATAAGCAGGATGGTAGGGTGGTTTATTGAGATACTAATTTGCATTTTGATCTCACTGTATTTTTTTCTTCCCTCATTAAAATAGTAAAAGCTTTTGGGTTCAGTGTATTTGAGTTCCAAAGCCGAAGAAAGATGTGTTCAAAGATAATGCCTCTTATCAACTTTTGGTTTTGAAAGCCTGAATTGATTAAGGAGGTAATAGGCCAATGAGAGGAGGAAAGGAGAAAGAAGGTCTTTGGGGTTGAACAGCAGGAAGAACAATTCCATATCTTTAATAAGGCAAATTCTGCAAGCCTGGGGAAAGGAAGGTGGTACTTGATGGAGTAGCAAGATTGACCCTGGCTCATTTGCAAGCTGTGTCATGCATCTTGAAAGACTGTACCAACCATCAAGACCCTCACTCTGCCCCTAGGTTTGGTACAGGTATAGCCACACCACCTAGATCTATGGGGCCATCAACTAAAAGTAGACATTTTGAGGTGAAAAAAAGAAAAAAGAAAAAAGAAAGGGACCATTGATAAGGTGAGTCATCTGTTTTCATAATGATCATAAACATTTGAGTAATAAACTCTGTGATCATATTGAAGACAAGAAACTCTAATCTTTCAGAGACTATATAGACCCCTATTCTCTCATGTGACCTCGGAAGTACAGGGCCTTGACCATCCCCTTCTCAGCTCCATATTCTATGATGGGTAATAAATTTCCCTCAAGAATGGAGATTTGGAATCTGTTTTAAAATGATATAGAATGATAATGTAATATATCTTGCATTGGCAAGTAACGAAGTAAAATGTAAACCCTTTGCAAATGTAAGATGCCACGTTATTTAAGGTAGAATAATATAAAAGAAAGGGTCTTGAAGATATAATTCCAGATCACTCTGTACTTTATTATAATATGTATTAGAAGATAAGAGCAGTAGAAAAGCACAGACTTTGGTGGGGGGAAGGGAAAAGAACTGATTCCTGAAACATAGATTTATGTCTTTAATTGGCAACCCAGCACTATATTACAATCAGTGTTCCTGAAATCAAGGGGTTAATTTGATCAGGTCCACCTGCCCTGCTTGCTTTTGGTCACTTAACTTTTTTCCTTTTTCCATGAAGACGAAGGTCCTGGTAGCTGAAGGCTACTGCTAAACACTGAAACTTAACCTTCACTGGCTACTTTATAGATAACATTCATGTGTCATCATGGTAATGGTCATTTCAGTAGTTTTTCAGGAACTGGACCCAACTCCTGTCCGGTTCAAACCTGTTGAGACCACTAACTCTTCAAATGGGCCTGAACAAGTGCCCAAGAAGGGGGCTTTTGACATCAGAGAGCCAAAAACTCCACCCTCAGATCATGCTAATGCTGCCATTTTCTGTACATGTATTTTATGGAATGCCATGAACCCTGATTGTGCCTGCACAGAAGGGACCTGTTATTTCACTGTTCCTCACTGCCAGTCACCTTTCCCCATACCTTAGACCACTCCACTTCCCTAACCCATAAATATCTGTAAGACTTATATTTGGAGAGGTGGACATGAGAGTTGTTCTCCCACCTCCTCACTTGGCAGCCTTGCGAATAAAACTTTTCTCTTTTGTAAAACCTGTGTCACAGTGATTGATTACTCAGAATGGACTCAGACCTGGCTGGTACATTCCTAGGAACGTTTTCATTTCTGTCCTGCGTCCTTCATCTGGAGATAAGGGTAAACCCCAGTGCTTCAGAGCCCAGGGTCATTGTCTTTCACCACTCAAGCTTGCACCTAATCTTCCCCTTCACCAGACTAAATGATCCCAGTTCCAATAGTTTAAGCTCCCAAAGTCTAGTTCCAAGGGTTTTGTTCTCCTCTTTGCACTCATTAAAGGCATTTCTGCTTTCATATTTCATCATCTATTTGTGCCTAAGATCATTAAAGGTCATGTGGTATAAGGGCAAAAACCAGGCGGCTGTCTAAAAGTCAAAGCCATACAGGATTTTCAGAGGCAGCTTGAGCTGGTTCATGTCCAGGCTCTGCTACATCCTATCTGTGTGATTCTGGGCCAGTTCTCTAAACTTTTCATATCTCAGTGTCCTCATTTATATTAATCATACTGTCTATTTTCTTTATCTTATGATGTTTTGACATCTTGAGGTGGGGATAGGGCAGGACTTACAGATGTGGGAGAGATGGCCCCTACCAGGGCTAGTTAATCCCTAAAAATAGTAAACAACTCACTTGGGAGCACACCTTTCACATGCAAAGCAACTAACGCAGAGTCTGCCTCCCCACCCACTCTCTTCATCTAACTCCCAGACACTAAGCCAATATTCCTCCTGTGCTAAATCATCCCAGGGCCAGATACTAGGCAGCAAAAAATTACTCCTACAGCCCAGAACCCACCAGAATTATTCAAACTAACCAAGCTTACACTCTTGACTCTGCCCTGCCTTGCCTTTCTTGCAGAAACCCAGTTAAGACTCTGGTAGGCTTTCTCCTCACTCCTGCCTCTGCCTCCTCATCCAGTCTGGCTCTTCTCCTGTGGCCCTGTGTAGTGAGGCATGCCCCCTTCTCTTGAGAAATGTAAGTAATATATATAGATTTTTTATGGCATTGACCTATGTCAATCACTCAGTCACCTCCATAAATTAAAATCCGATGGGTACAAATGAGACATTGAAAATTCAGGATGATTGTAATAGTAGGTTGTCAGAAGGATTAAAAGACCCAACAATGTATGTACATATAAGTCCTATGAACAGCACTCTGCACAATAAGTGCTTAGCTGCCTATTATCTTTAATAATCTTTAAGAAACAACTGTTGAGAACAAAATCTCCTCACCTCACTTCTTCAGTTTCTTCATTGGTTAAGAGGTATATGATCACAGTATGCCAACAGCAAATGAATAACTTGACTATTAATGTTGACTTAAAAAGAAAAATAAAGGGGCTACCTGGGTGTGGTGGTTCACACCTATAATCCCAGCACTTTGGGAGGCTGAGGCGGGCAGATCACTTGAGGTCAGGAGTTCAAGACCAGCCTGGGCAACATGGAGAAACCCTGATTCTACTAAAGATACAAAAAATTAGCTGGGTGTAGTGGTGCACACCTGTAATCCCAGCTACTCAGGAGGCTGAGGCACAGGAATCACTTAAACTTGGGAAGCAGAGGTTGCAGTGAGATGAGATCATGCCACTGTACTCCAGCCTGGGCGACAGAGTGAGACTGTGTCTCCAACAATAAATAAATAAATAAATAAATAAATAAATAAATAAATAAAGGGACTATATTCATACACAGTATTACTTTAGAAGATTCCAACAATAACTGTTGCACTATAACCTGTAAAAACATGTTGCTGTTAGGGCAATCTTATTGATCTAATAATATTGATAAATAACTTCTTTAAATGACTGGATTAAGGCAATTTAACGTTAGTCATTTTTACCTTCTGGAACATTGTTCAAACTAGACAGGGGACTCGACAGTTCCCAGGGGACTCCCAGCTGCTGCTAAATCCCAATCTTCTCTTACTGGGAAGGAAAGGATTATGAAGCAAACCTGCTCACAGTGGAAATGACTGTCACATCATCTTTGTGTTCTTGAGAAGGCTCAGCCACATTTCTGAACAATTTCTACATTACAACAACATTTTTTTAACCTGTTTTCTCATGTTCAGTATGAACCAGAAACTCCTGTCTAGGGCACTACACTCAAAAGCCACTCTTGACTGTGATCTCTGTCTAAACTTGAGCCCTGACATAGACATCGTGGTCCTATTCACCTTCTGCAACTATCTCAAACCTTTAGATTAAAGTGATATAAGACATGACTATAGTAGGGGATTTATGAAAGGATTGACAAATAAGGAAAAGGCTTTTCTGCTAAGATAGTAACAGTGACCCAAAACTTTTCATGTTAACACACAGATGCTCATTCATTTGCCCCACAGCTGTGGTAGAAGGGAGGTGGTTACAAAAACATAAAAGCAAAGATTCTTGAGAATTTAGTAAGCATCAGAATGACCTGGAGGGCTTATTAAAATGCAGACTGGGTGAATTCCACTTCTGGAAAGATGGAACGGAAATGCTTTTCACTCTTTCTCCCACTGAGTAGTAAACTAAAAGCCTTGGACATTTATGTCTATCTATCAATCACATAAGACAACTCTGAAAGGTCAAGAGAAAAAGTCAGATGGACAAAAGCCTTGAGACCTGAGGAACCACTCAAGATAGTGAGTTCCCTAGGTTTTCTTTTTGCCTCATATATCCCAGACATGGAATGGAAGAAAACAGCAACCAGGAAATGCCAATGGTCTCAGACAAAAAAAAAAAAAAAAAAAAACCAAAAAAAAAAAACCACCAACCAAAGGACCAGGAAAGCGGCAGCCTAGCAAGGCAGAAAACTTTCTGAAAATACAAACTTCACTCCAGCTAAGCACCACAGAAACAAATGGTAGCCTCACCTTCACTGGCCAGCAAAGTTGGAGCGAGGAGCCTAGACATCCATCCTAGTGAGGCTGTCAGGAGACATCCCAACCCCACTGCCGGGTGATGTAAAAGAAGACCTAGTAGGGAGCCAGGACTTTCTTACCCTCCAATCAGTAATGAGTCCTCATCCCATGTTAATGGAGATCACATGGGAATCCTGGACTTCCCCCAACACCTGGCTATAATAATGAGGCACCCTTCCCTTTCCTGCCTGAGGTGGTATCAGAGGAGGCCTAGTGTACAGTCAGGACTTTCACCTATTACCCAGCAGTAATAAGGCCATCCTCACCACAGTATAGTGGAGATCACATAGTCTCCCACCCCTACACGGTGCTAAGGAACCCTCTTCTTTGAATGCAGGCCAGGTGGAGAATCTGGTCTTCTATTTCCACTTTGTAGAAACAAGGTGATACACCACCTCCTTATTCCCCTGCCAGAGCAGTATCAGAGAAAGCCAACTAAACCAGAATTTTAAATAAGATCTGGAGTCTCATAACACAATTTTTTAAAAGTTCAAGTTTCAATTGAAAATCACTCATCATATCAAGAATCGGGAAGATTTCCAACTGAATGAAGAAAAAGACAACCAGTAGATGCTAACATCAATATGACTGACATATTAGAAAGATTTTAAAGAAACCATCATAAAAATGTTTCCATGAGCAATTAAGAATATGCTTGAAGAAATAGAAAATGAAAAAATAGAAAGCCTCAGCAAGAAAATAGAAACTCTCAGAAAAAAAAACATAGAAACTCTCAGCAAAATAATAAAGGAATAAAGAAAAAAACAAATGGAAATTTTAGAAATGAAAAATATAGTAACTCAAATAGAAAATCTCAATGGATGGGATCAACAGCAGATGTAGGAGGCAGAGGAAAGAGTCAGTGAACTGAAAGAACAAGCGAAATAACCCAATCCGAACAACAGAAAGAAATCTAAAAATAAAAAAAAAAAACAGAACCTCAGAAACCATGAAACTATAACAAAAGATCTAACTTTTCGATTATCGGAGTCCTAGAGGAGAGAAAAAAAGAGGGTGGAACTGAAATGGTACTCAAAGAAATAATACCTGGAAACTCCCCAAATTTGGTAAGAATCTCAAACAAGATAAACCCAAAGAAATTCATACCAAAATACATTATAATTAAACTTATAAAAGCAAAAGACAACTATCTTGATAACAGCCAGAGAAAAACACCTACCTAGAGGAAAGAGTAATTCAAATAACTGCAGATTGCTCATCAGAAACCATGGAGTTCAGAAGGAAGTGGCACAATGTTTTCCAGGTGTTGAAAATAAAAGGAATGTAAACCCAGAATCCTGTGCCCAGAGAAGATATCTGTCAGGAATGAAGGAGAAAATCCAGACATTCTCAGATGAAGACAAACTAAGAGAATTTAGTTCTAACAGACTACAAAGAATGACTAAAGGAAGTTCTCTAAAAAAGCAAATAATAAAAGAAGAAACCTTGGAACATCAGAAAGGAAGAAAAAACATGGTAAGCCAAAGTATGAATAAACACAATAGACTTCTTGTCATCTTGAGATTTCTAAATTATGTTTGCTGCTTGAAGCAAAAATTGTAACACTGTCTGTGTTATAGAGGTGACTCTAAGTGCATAGACAATGCCTAAGATAATTCTTTTATATACAGGGAAAGGAAAAGGACTAAAAGTGAGGCTGGGCGTGCTGGCTCACACCTGTAATCCCAGCACTTTGGGAGGCCAAGGCGGGTGGATAATCTGAGGTCAGGAGTTCGAGACCAGCCTGGCGAACACGGTGAAACCCCATCTCTACTAAAAACACAAAAAATTAGCCAGGCGTGATGGCAGGCGCCTGTAGTCCTAGTTACTCGGGAGGCTGAGGCAGGAGAATGAAATGAACCCGGGGGGCAGAGCTTGCAGTGAGTGGAGATCACGCCACTGCACTCCAGCCTAGGTGGCAGAGCGAGACTCTGTCTCAAAAAAAAAAAAAAAAAAAAAAATCAAATTGCTAGGTCCCACCTTCAGAGTTTTTGATTCAGTAAGTCTAAGGTAGTACCAGATAATCTGCATTTGTTTTTTTTTCAGTTTCAAAAATGTGCTTTATTTATTTTAATTATAATTTAAGTTCTGAGATACATGTGCAGAACACGCAGGTTTGTTACATAGGTATACATGTGCCATGGTGGTTTGCTGCACCCATCAACCCGTCATCTAGGTTTTAAGCCCCGCATGCATTAGGTATTTGTCCTAATGCTCTCCCTCCCCTTTCCCCCGATCCCTGACAGGCCCCGGTGTGTGATGTTCCCCTCCCTGTGTCCATGTGTTCTCATTGTTCAATTCCCACTTATGAGTGAGAACATGCGGGGTTTGGTTTTCTGTTCCTGTGTTAGTTTGCTGAGAATGATGGCTTGGGCAAAAAATAGGAACAGACACTTCTCAAAAGAAGACATTTATGCGGCCAACAAACATGATAATCCGCATTTCTGAAAAATCTCCAGCTGATGCCAATACTGCTGGTTAGGCCCACACTTTGAGAACCATGGTCCTAGAGAAAGAGGGATTTTGATACCAGGGAAAAGCTTAAAAGAGGCATTTATACCCAGCATCTCTTTTATCCTATCAAAAACCAAAATGACAATGTAAATAGCCCCTTTCTAGGGTGCTAGGTCCAGAAGCAAGAGAAAGAAGAGGGACCCAAAAAGGACTGGAAAGAAACCAGCCTTAAGCCTAGGCCTGTTGTAACTTTAAGACCAATGTGGAGAGTGACCAGAGACGTCAGTGACCCTGTGGTCACGGTAGTGCTTTTAATACAGTGGTCCCTAATCCTGGCTTGAAACTAGAAACACTATGATAAAAATACGGCTTTCTGGACCCTACCTCAGAAGCAATGAAATCAGAATCTCTTCTTAGGGGCTGGGAGAGACACAATTCTATACTTTTCACCAAGCTTGTGAGTTAAGGTATGCATACTTAAGTTGGAGAAACACCAGGGGGCTGGAGACTTCTGATACAGTTAAGTAAGAATAACCCAGGAAGGAGAACAGAGAAAGCTGCCAGCCTAGACCAGTATAGAGTACCAGGGGCTCTCGGTAAGAGGCAACACTTCTCCTGCCTCCCAGATCAAGGGGCTTCTCCTCCAGCACCCTTATTAGCTACTTATTTTGGAGCACCTGCTCTGTATCAGGCAGGGCACCTGGTACATTGTAGACTCTAATTTGATCCTCACAACAGTCCTACATAACAGCTATTATTATCCTTATTTTATATATGAGAAACTCAAGGTTCAGAAAAGTTCACAGCTGAATGTCATATACTTGATAAGTAATTAAGCAGGGCTTTCAACCTGAGATTTTCATTTAGATAAACTCAACTTCAAAACTCACATTAAAATCACAGTATCACTTGGATTCCCCAGTATAGTATATAAGAATGGAAATGGTAAGAGCAAAGGGTAGGGAAAGATGAATCAATAACAGCATCAAACTCACAGATGCAACAGCTGAAGTGGCATGGGGCTGCAAATAACAGAGCATCCTGTAGAAGGAATATGGTCTAGAAAGTGAGGGCTGGTTATCAGAGGGAGATATGAAAGAAGAGAGAGTGGGGTTCTGCGGGGCAGAGAGAGATACTGTGGAACAAACTTAAACTTTTCACTAATAGTACAAAAGTAGTTTATTTTAAATTACAATGGAAATTTATATTTGTAAATTAAAATAGTGCTATGTAAAAATATACTTAGAAGGTCATATATGCTTTAAGAGAAAAAAAAACATATTTTCTAGGAACTATAAATTACCGGAATAATGTAAAATCACAGTGCTTCAAAGAAGCAAATGTCAGGCCGGGCGCGGTGGCTCACGCCTGTAATCCCAGCACTTTGGGAGGCCGAGGCGGGCGGATCACGAGGTCAGGAGATCGAGACCATCCCGGCTAAAACGGTGAAACCCCGTCTCTACTAAAAATACAAAATATTAGCCGGGCGTAGTGGCGGGCGCCTGTAGTCCCAGCTACTTGGGAGGCTGAGGCAGGAGAATGGCGTGAACCCGGGAGGCGGAGCTTGCAGTGAGCCGAGATCCCGCCACTGCACTCCAGCCTGGGCGACAGAGCGAGACTCCGTCTCAAAAAAAAAAAAAAAAAAAAAAAAAAGAAGCAAATGTCTTTAGATTTGCTCATTTCCACTTTAAACATTTGTTTTCCTAGAACATGTGTCCTATAAATAATCTAACACCCAATATAAAATTTGGCAAGAAATATAGCCCATTAAATTTATCCTATTGTGCTTTCTTTATCTGTCACATATTTTAATGTGGTTTTATTAACTGTGATAATTGCTCCTTTACTGCTAATGATAGTATGATACTGTTAACAATCAACTTCCAAGGTGATAGTCTTTATGATCTGCACCTCCCTCAGTAATTGCACTAAAACTGTGTGCCTGACTCTTGAGTTAAAGGACACTTGGGTTTCTTGTACTTGAGTCAATTTGGTCTCCTTTCCAGATGGTAAATTAAGGACTATGCTATCCTCTTACTCCAAATTTCCACTATTTTACTTAACCCCTGGAGGATAATACCCTTCCCTACAACTGTCATATAGATTGAATGTAATAATAGATGTGCAGCATCTGATGTATTGTCTGCTTAAAAAAAATTGGTAGCTAGTCATCGTGTGACAGCAGTAGTAGTGGTAATAACTAGTAGTAAGCAGTAGTAGCAATACCCAGTAAAGAATTCTGAAAGAGTTCTTGGTATCTATTGGTATCTATTTTGATCAAAACAAGTTATCTTATTTTCAGGGATTTTTCTTATATTGTTCAGAGGAGAAACTGCTAATATCTGGCCCATTCAAAGGCATGTCTGAGGTTACCATTAGTTACTAACCTCAGACTCTAAATCTCTCAGTTTACTTTCCTCACTTTGAATCCATGCTTACCAAACAACTTCTTTGTCTTTCTATGTGGATTCGGCCTTCAGGAAGAGAATGTATTGATCAGCTGGTATGATTATCTCAGGTTTTCATTTTTTTTTCATTATAATTCTGGTTTACAAAAAAAATAAGGAAAATGAAATATCTTGCTTGTGCAAATTCTAATCAGGGTTTTAATGTTCTATTTCCTCTTTTATTCAATGAATTATCCATTGATTAGGGTAAAAGTAAGTGCTGAGAGTGTTTCTCTAAGAAGCAAATATCAAAAAAATAATATTTGTATGTTTAGGCTCTCTCTTTATGAAATAAGTTTTTTAAAACATAATTTAACAATGATAATAGTTAATAAGAAATGTTCAGAATTCCATCCTGATGCTACGAACTATCAATAATGACCTCTAACAGGTTAGTTTCCCTCTCTGGGAATCAGTTAACATCTATAAATGAAGGGACTTCTCCAAGACACCATGCCAAACATAATGCGTGTCAATTACAGTTGCATATGACCAGGAACTATGTTTATTTTTATTTTCCACATCAACCTGCTCTTTGTCAGCTATAAAAAATATTTCTGCCCAGGTGCGGTGGCTCACGCCTATAATCCCAGCACTTTGGGAGGCCGAGGCGGGCGGAACACGAGGTCGAGATGGAGACAATCCTGGCCAATGTGGTGAAACCCCATCTCTAGTAAAAATACGAAAATTAGCTGGGCGTGGTGGCACGCGCCTGTAGTCCCAGCTACTCAGGAGGATGAGGAAGGAGAATCGCTTGAACCCGGGAGGTGCAGGTTGCAGTGAGCCGAGATCTCGCCGCTGCACTCCAGCCTGGCAACAGAGCGAGACTCCGTCTCAAAAAAAAAGAAAAAACTTTCTAAATTCCCTCTCATCACCCAAAATGCAAAATAGTTGTTAGAGATTTTCAAACAAACTGAAGTCTGGTTAGGTTGTCGTTGGTAATGACAGGCAGATTTTCATAGATGTTGAATTTTCTGAAGTATGATTATTTGCTTTCCGTTGCAATATTGACAGTTTCCCAAACATGTTATTCTCTGCCAATGCAGACATGGTAATTAAACTTCTAGAGGAGGATTCTTTTTGGCCATGAAGTATTACTTCTTTTGTTAAAAAATAAAAATGTGGTTTCTTTAGTCCTGCTCAGAACTGCCCTTGCTTTTTAGCATATTCATCTGGAAATTTAAGAAAGAAGAAAATAGAACTATTTTATATGTCTTCTCGATTGTTATTCAGGTCTCAGTTGTCTGTAAATTCAGTCCATTGTTTCTAAGGTCTTCTTAATCTATGAAAATACCAGGAATTTGTCTAGGGCTTATTAGGGCATGTTAATATTAATTCTGAGGCAACCCAAACATTTGTTCTATGTGGTGGACTGTAAAATTTAACTCATTCATGATGTCTAACCTGCCAGTTCTTTCCAGTAAGATTGGATAAAGGAGTCAGGATCTCTACTCTTTAACTGTGAAAAGGAAATTTGACTTTTCAACCAAAAGATTGTTTTTGGAGATGCATGAGTCTGTTTTACGTTACTATAAAGAAATACCTGAGGCTGGTTAATTAATAAAGAAAATATGTTGGCTGGGCACCATGGCTCACACCTGTAATCCCAGCACCTTGGGAGGCCGAGGCGGGTGGATCACCTGAGGTCAGGAGTTTGAGACCAGACTGACCAACATGGAGAAACCCCGTCTCTACTAAAAATACAAAATTAGCCAGGCGTGGTGTCTCATGCCTGTAATCCCAGCTACTTGGGAGGCTGAGGCAGGAGAATCGCTTGAACTCAGGAGGTGGAGGTTGCAGTGAGCCGAGATTGCGCCATTGCACTCCAGCCTGGGCAACAAGAGCGACTCCGTCTCAAAAAAGAAAACAAGAAAATATGTTCAATTGACTCACAGTTCTGCATGCTATACAAGACGCATGGTGCCTGCATATGCTTCTGGTGAGGTCTCAGTAAGATTTTACACATAGTGGAAGATAAAGGGGGAGCAGGCATATAATCTGGCAAAAGAGGGAGCAAGAGGGAGAGAGGGCGGCATCAGACTCTTTTCAACAAACAGCTCTTGTGTAAACTAATAGAGTGAGAACTCACTCATTACTGTTGGGAGAGCACCAAATTATTCATGAGGGATCCGACTTATTACCCAGACACCTCCCACTAGGGCCCACCTCCAATGTTGGGGGTCACATTTCAACATGAGATTTGGAGGGGACAAATATCTAAACCACATCAGGAGATATGATTTTTTGGATAAAAGTATACAGCTATATATAATTTGGATTATTATATATCCTTTCTATTTGGGAATCAATCTCTGAAATAAATACTAAAATAACAAATGATGCCTAAAGGGTTGACTTAATAAGAGATTTTAGCTCCTACCTCTTGCAAATATACATTCTTGGTGACATCTTACTGTTAGTCCTATAAGTGAGTATGTTTGAAATGTTTGTTTTGTTTCATTTTATTTTTTAAAAATAATGTTTACTTTTAAAATGACTGAAAAGGAAAATATTCAGAATAATGAAAAAAAAAGACATTAAGACAACATCAGCACTTTTGAACCAGTTCATTACAGTATATCCATTCTTTTATTGAGAGCCTTTCATGTGAGATTGTCTTAGGCATTATGAAAGGAACACAGTATAAATACTACAATTAATACAGATTTTCATTTACTGAATATTTGTATCCTATACAGAACAAAGTATCAGACTGATATGGTTTGGCTGTGTCTCCCCTAAATCTCATCTTGAATTGTAACTCCCACAATTCCTGTGTGTCGTGGGAGGAACCCAGTGGGAGGTAATTGAATCATGGGGGTGGGTCTTTCTCGTGCTGTTCTTGTGATAGTGAATAAATTTCACATGATCAGATGGCTTTATAAAGAGGAGTTACTCTGCACAAGCTCTCTCTCGGCCTGCTACCATCCATGTAAGACGTGACTTGCTCCTCCTTGCCTTCCACCATGATTGTGAGGCCTCCCCAGCCACGTGGAACTGTAAGTCCATTAAACCTCTTTTTCTTTCCAGTCTCAGGTATGTCTTTATCAGCATCATGAAAACAGACTAATACACATATATACACTTATTTCTCAACAAATCTATAGGTTAGGTATTGTCATAACTGGTTTACAGATGAGAGAATTGAGGTTCCAAGAGTTTAATTGAATGGCTCAATGTCATGCACTTGTAAAAGTTGGATGTGGGATGTGAAACCAAGTTGTCTGACAAATGTCTAGGATGTGAAACCAAATGTCTGACAAGTTGTCTGACAAAAACTAATTACCTTCTAAAGAAACTGTTATGAATTCCACTATTAAAACATATCATCCCACACACCAGGGCCTGTCAGGGGGTGGGGGGGCTACAGGAGGGATAGCATTAGGAGAAATACCTAATGTAGATGATGGGTTGATGGGTGCAGCAAACCACCATGGCACATGTATACCTATGTAACAAACCTGCACGTTCTGCACATGTACCTCAGAACTTAAAATATAATAAAATAAAATGAAAATTAAAAAAAATATAACCCCACCTTAACTTAAAGATCACCTAATTAAACTACCCATTCATCCTTAAGATGGCCCAAAATATTAATTTCTACTGTATTTGAATTTTCAGTCAATAGAATTAGCCAGTAAAGGGTAATATTTAAAATTTCAAGTCTAAGATTCTGACTTTAAGTAGGCTCATACATACAAGGAAAACTAATTCAATCAGTCTTTTAGCTTTGATCTAAAAGTGAACTTTGATCTTAGCAATTTCACTTGAAGAGAAGAAAGGAACTTTTTTGGAAGAAAAGTCTACAATTAGAAAATAAGACAGAAGGTCTTAGAATACATTTGCTATTTAATCTTGAAAACAGCGTAAGAAAGTAGTGTTTTTGAAATGCTTCATTAAAAAATAGTTTCATTGATAAGAAATTAGAAAACTTAGAAAATGCTATTTAAATTAAAATGTTCATGCCAATGTGACTGCTGACTGAAAAAATGGCAGTAGTTCAAGAAAAAAGAAAGAAAAAAAGGAACAAAAAAAGATAAGATGAAGAGGAAAGAGGAGAAGGATGAAGAAGAGGAGGAGATGAAGTGGAAAGGAGGAGTGGAAGGGCAAGTGTAGGAAGAAAGGAAGAAAAGAAGAAAGAAGAGAGAATAAAAGAGGAAAAGAGATTTGAAAAGCAAGAGTTGTCCATTTACTTTTATTCTTTCCCTTCTGTTAATCTTTAATTTGCGTTGAGTGGATATTCACTAAGGTATTTAATGGAGCCTATTATTATTTTTGATATGGTCATAATGTAAATTTTGTGAGTCAGAGATTTCTTTTTTACTGTTTTCTCTCCAGCATCTAGAACAGCATCAGGCATATGGAGAACATTCAATATGTTTGTTGAATAAATGAACTTTCAGGTTGTACTTTTAAATATACTAAGACCTAGTCAATTAGATGATTAATCTATTTCTTATATTGAATAAGTTAAGAATACAGAGAATAACTGTCTGTTGACAGAATAGACTTTTCTAAGTGAATGCATTTCCATTTAGTACTTAACATGTCAACTTGGTAAATATTTCAGAATTAACACAACAAATAAGCAAAATTTTTGCCAGTCGGATCTATGTACTGATAAATTCCTCCTTCCTTTCAGAAAGCTTCAATTTATTACCTCTGCCAACAGGGAAAATGTTATTGATGTTGAAATAAAATAGAATGACGGAGGGGGCCTGATAATTTTGAATGTGAAATAGTTCTAGTAATGGGTGTAAGGAGAATGTGGGCCCTGGTAGCTTCTTCCCTTTTCTATTTTATCCTGGAAAATGTCAGACAATCCCATAGACATTTGTGTGGGTGTAGCCACCACCACCCCAAATTGACAAAAGCAATAAAACTAACAGCCATCATTTTATCACTTATTAGATGCCAAGGATTGCTCTGAGTGTTTTACATGTGTTAACTCATTTAATCCTCAGAACAACTCTTTGAGGTAAGCATAACTTGACTTCCTTTTAAGTTCCTTGCCTTTTTTTTGTTTCCTCCCTCTCTCATCATTGGAGCCACAAGGACGTATTTTGAAGGTTGGCAAATTCTGATTTACTGACTGTTTTAGTAAATAAAGTGATTAGAAAATAATCACACCCATTTATGTGTGTATCATCTAGAGATGCTTTTGCATAAAAAAAAAGTCATTGTGGTGGAGACCATATGGCCCACAAAGCCAAAAATATTTTCTATCTAGCAATTTACAAAAAACAATTACTAACTCATGATCTGTATGTTTCACAGAGGAATCTGGAAAATTTTATTTCTTTCTTTCCAGCTCTCTAAAAGTTCTGCCTCCACTTTTGCTTCTCCATTTCCCACTTCTCTTGGCATTTTATTTTGCAGAGCTAGTTAGCTTAAGACTAAGGGTGCAGATCTAGCTATGTGGAATGAACTCATTATATGAAATAAACTCTAAACTAGGGGTGAAATTGCCTGGATTTTAGTTCTTGCTCTACCCAAAATAGCTTTATGATCTTAAGCTGTCCCTTTACCTTTTCTGTATTTTCCTTTCCTCACTTCTAAAATCAAGCATGCTAGGTAATCTCTAAGTTCCCTCTTTGCTACAGGATTTTTATAAAGCTGTATAATCCTGAACCCACTTAAGGGACTCTTAAAACTTGCCCAAATGAAGTCTATTCAAACAGACCTGAATTTGATATGGGTGAAAATCATCAACTATCTGGGCTATCAAAGCAATGGCCTTTGTCTTAGCAAAACAGCCTAATGGGTCATCTCCTCTGAGGGTCCTTTACGTTAAACAGGTTCAAAAATTATAGAGAAGAAAAGAAAATAGCTTGCATAGTCTTTTTTCATCTAGATCAACTGTTTCTTGCAGAAAAAGAGAAATGACTTTCTTTTCTTTACAATAATTTCTACACCTCAAGCTGTATTTTAACACAAACCTCTAGGCTCCTGGTGGAGGAAACATATACGGCAGTATATTGGAGGAGTTTAAATGTCAGATATATTCAATGCTTTCTAAGCAATAGCTTCAGTATAAGTGGGGAAAAAAAAGACAGCCAGGGACTGAATTTGGGGCAAAGATTAAAGGCTATTTGTGTGAAGAAGGGGAAAAATGATGACATGATGGGTTGGGAAACAAAAATAATCTGAAAGTATAGATGTTTAAATTTCAATGACATAAATTTCAAGCTATTCTTGACACATTCTTTAAGGTCTTTATTTGTAATTCTACTTCAAGAGAAAGGGATTAAAAGTATTCAATTTTGGTTTGTGAGGAGACATTGCTAAAATTCCATTTCTGAATAAGGAATGAGTATACTAAGTACAGATATTTGGGCCCTGAATACTGTAAAGAAGTCTTTGAAAATGTGTTCGTGGGCCATGTTGGTCAGTGACATATTGAAGACTATATTTTGCAGGTGTTATTTCAAGAGTTCTGTCACCCCTGTTTAAACCCATTTAGAATGAAGAACAGAGAAATTAAATTCAAAAGCTAGTCTTTTGTTTTAGTAATTTATGTAGCCTAATAAAGGAGTTCTTACAAGTGAATTTTTAAAGCTTTTTGCAGAAAAAAATATAGAGATTCTTCAATTTGGAGAGAGAGACACAGAGAGAGAGAGAGTCGGCAGGGAGGACTGTTGCAGAGAAGAGATGACAAATGGCAGAAAGTGCTTGTGCATGTCTTTATCTGGGTGAAAGACTTATGTTTAAGCAGCAGTGTGCTTGTTACCAAGAAGCCTCTGAAAGGCATGGCAACATGTGCCTTGACAACATACTCACTGATGGCAGCAGCAGCCCATCTGGAGTGGCCCCTGAAAAGATGCCAGGTACAGCTGGGAAGCCACAGCTGGGGTTACGCTCCACAGGGCTGGTGGGAGCTGGGAACAGATGGGAGCCCCATCCCCCACCAAAATGGCAGGGCAGGATCCCTGCACTCTCAGGTGCAGTTGCAGCCTCCTAGCCATGGCACCAGATCTGGGCATCCCTGTGCACTCAGAAGCCCAGAAAGCCATCCTGCCCTCTTCAGGCTTAGAAGGGCCTGCTCCTGCTCCCTGGCTTCTCCTGGTGCCTGATCTGATTTTGGAGCAAAGTTATGGCCAAGCCTGGGTGCTGTCACAACCTGGTGGGTGTGTAAACACTTGGGGCAGCACTGACACACTACCCCGCCCCCCACATACCCACTGCCATCTTGGCCACCTCTGGGCATCCATGAGTGTGGGAGGTAGGCCAGGTGGGGGGTGAGGGCAGCTCAGCAGTGGGTCTGCAGGTGCCCCTCAGCACAAATAGCCACGGCACCATGGACCACATGTTGACAGTGGGAGGCAGACAGGTTCCTGGATGGAAAGGGGTGGTTCCCTGGTGAAACCCCACCTTCAAGCCACTGACTGCCTGAAGCCTGAGGGCCAGGCTGCCAGTTCCAGATGGAGTCTAAGGCCAGAGTAAGAGCTTATGGTGCTTTTTCTGGGCTGCCCATGGCCACCTGTGAACCAATCAACACACACTCCCTCCCTTCTGAGCACAAGAAAAACCCAGACTCATCCAGGCTCACACAGATGTCAGGGCTATCAGCTGCAGGAAGGAGCTACCCACTTAGGGTAACCCCCACTTGTGGGGACAACCTGCCTGCAGAAAGGAGCTAACCACTATGGGTCTCCTCTCTGCTGAGAGCTGGACACTCATTGGGACGACCCGCCTGCGGAAAGGAGCTACCCACTTCAGGTCTCCTGAGAGCTGCTCTGTTGCTCAATGAAGCTCCTCTCTACCTTGCTCACCCTCCAGCTGTCCACATACCTCATTCTTCCTGGACATGGGACAAGAACTTAGGGCCCACCGAATGGCAGGATTGAAAGAGCTGTAACACAGACAGGGCTGAAACATGGCCCCTGCTCACCACATTATGGGTGATGAGGAGAGAAGAGCTGTGGCCCCTTGGGGAACCCAGACCTAGCGGATCCCCAAGCCAGGGCTGTGACACCATCTCTGGGGCTCTGCAGTTCCTGGTGTCTCCAAGCTTCCCCAGTGCCTGCAGTGGAAGCTGCTTGCAGTATACCTGGTCCAGCCGCAGCCTCACATAGAGACGGTGCCTGTGCTGATGCCTGGAGCTGCCCACCCTGCCGCAGCTGGCATGCCTGGCTGTGCACAGTGGCCAGACCCCATGCTTGCTTACACATCCCTCATGGCTCTGCGCCTAGCTCACCCTTGGCAGGAGTGGGATCCAGGCCATTAGCACTTCTGAGCACAGCCTTCCAGCCCAAGTGGGCAGAACAAGGCCAGTGGGCCGGAGCAAAACTTGGGCAAAGGTGCTGCTAGCCACAGAGGTTTCTGGCTGGAAAAGCAATACCCTAAGGATTCTGTGACATCACGAGGCCAGAGGCTATGGGAGGTAAGCTTCACTGCCCAGCTTCCACTGACTTCAGCCTGCTGCGCTTTGTAGCACATTGTCAAAGCTAGAATTTCTGGAAACATATTCAAAAGAATTAAGAAAAATTCAAGACAGCATCAAAAAGTCACTAATGATAACAAAATAATTATTATAGTATAACAGTGATTCACATCATCTAGTAAAGCATGCCAAGTAATATGATTTGGCTGTGTCTCCACCCAAATCTCAACTTGAATTGTATCTCCCAGAATTCCCCCATGTTGTGGGAAGGGCCCAGGGGGAGGTAATTGAATCATGGGGGCCAGTATTTCCCAAGCTAGTCCCATGATAGTGAATAAGTCTCATGAGCTCTGATGGGTTTATCAGGGGTTTCCACTTTTGCTTCTTCTTCATTTTACCCTTGCTGCCACCAGAAAGCTTGGAACGTCTTAGAGACTTGGGAAAGCTTGGGAACATCTTGGGAAAGCTTGGAACATCTTAGAGACTTGTTGAATGGCTTTGACAAAAATGTTGATATGAACAATGAGGTCCAGACTTAGGTGGTGTCCAATGGAGATGAGGAACTTATTGGGAACTGGAGAAAAGGTGACTGTTGTTATGTTTTAGCAAAGAGACTGGTGGCATTTTGCCCTGCCCTAGAGAGTTGTGGAACTTTGAACTTGAGAGAGATGATTTAGGGTATCTGGCAGAAGAAATTTCTAAGCAGCAAAGCATTCAAAAGGTGACTTGGGTGCTGTTAAAAGCATTCTGTTTTTAAAGGGAAACAGAGCATAAAAGTTCAGAAACTTTGCAGCCTAACAATGCAGCAGAAGAGAAAAACCTTTTTTTTTTTTTTTTTTTTCAGGAGAAATTCAAGCCAGCTGCAGAAATTTGCTTGAGTAGCAAGGAGCCCAATGTTAATCCTCAAGACCATAGGGAAAATGTCTCCAGGCCATGTCAGAGACCTTCATGGCAGCCCCTCCCACCATAGGCCCAGAGGCCCAGGAGGAAAAAGTGGTTTCATGGGCCAGGTCCAGGGTCCTTGTGCTGTGTGCAGCCTTAGGACTTGGTGCCCTGTGTCCCAGCCATTCCAGCCGTGGCTGAAGGGGCCAATGTAGAGCTCAGGCCATGGCTTCAGAGGGTGGAAGCCCCAAACCTTGACAGCTTCCACGTGGTGTTGAGCCTTAGGTTGCACAGAAGTCAAGAATTGAGGTTTGGGAAACTCCAACTGGATTTCAGAAAATGTATGGATGCCCAGGCAAAAGTTTGCTGCAGGGGCAGGGCCCTCATGGAGAACCTTTGCTAGAGCAAACTGGAAGGAAGGAAAATGTGGGTTTGGAGCCCCCACACAGAGTTCCTAGTGGGCACTGCCTAGTGCAGCTATGAGAAGAGGGCCACCATCTTTCAGACCCCAGAATGGTAGATCCACTGACAGCTTGCACTGTGTTGCTGGAAAAGCTGCAGACACTCAATGCCAGCCTGTGAAAGCAGCTGGGTGAGGGCTGAATCCTACAAAGCCATAGGGGCAGAGCTGCCCAAGACCATGGGAACCCATCTCTTGCATCAGTGTGATGTGGCTGTGAGACCTGGAGTCAAAGGAGATCATTTTGGAGCTTTAAAATTTGACTGCCTCACTGAACTTCAGACTTGCATGGGCCCTATAACCCCTTTGTTTTGGCCTATCTCTCTTTCGGAATGGCTGTATTTACCCAATACCTGTACTTCCATTGTATCTAGGAAGTAACTAGCTTTCTTTTGATTTTACAGGCTCATAGGTAGAAGGGACTTGCCTTGTCTCAGATGAGACTTTTGACTGGATTTTTGGGTTAATGCTGAAATGAGTTAAGATTTTGGGGGACTGTTGGGAAGGCATGATTAGTTTTGAAAAGTGAGGACACGAGATTTGGAGGGGCCAGGGGCAGAATGATGTGGTTTGGCTGTGTCCCCACCCAAATCTCAACTTGAATTTTATCTCCCAGAATTCCCACATGTTGTGGGAGGGGTCCAGGGGGAGGTAATTGAATCATGGGGGCCAGGCCTTCCCATGCTATTCTTGTGATAGTGAATAAGTCTCACGAGATCTAATGGGTTTATCAGGGGTTTCCGCTTTTGCTTCTTCCTCATTTTTCTCTTGCCACCACCATATAAAAAGTGCCTTTCACCTCCTGCCATGATTCTGACACCTCCCCAGCCATGTGGAACTGTAAGTGCAATTAAACCTCTTTTGGTTCCCAGTTTTGAGTGTGTCTTTATCAGCAGTGTGAAAATGAACTAATATACCAAGCTATCACATCACTGAGTGTGATGGGCCATCAGCACTGCTGTGATGTCCTGCAAAAGTGGAATTATTTCTTGACTTGACCTCACTCTTATGTACTTGAGAAGCTGAGTTCTCTTCTCGCATGTTCTAATAAACAAGTCTTATAAGTCTGGCTCTGGTTAGCCCACATGTTGAACCTCTTACTTGCAACCCCACTGATGTGTCTCCCCTATGCCTGGACATAAGAGCCTCTCAATCTCACATTCATCCAACAGCATCTCTAGGTGTATACTCACTTGTAGCCAAAGTAAATTTTACACCATGATAAAAATTAGTGTAAAGACTTTACAGGGAACCAAAGTGCCTGGGAATTCTGATGAGTAACTACTGAGTGGTTTTTTTTAATCTCTTTATTCAATAGACGTAAAAGTTTAACAATTGAAGATTTTAGGTGCCTCGCTTTTACATTATGATTTTTAACTAGTGCATGCACAAATATGCTTTGGCACACAATACCCTTTCCAGAGCCATCAAGATTTAAGTCATATTTTTAAGGACAGTGTTAAAATGTTTACAGGTTTATGACCCATAAGTATCTGGTTTAACTACTCTGTGCTGCAACCATTTTTATAATTATTTTCTCTTTCACAACTTTTACAGTAATTTTATATTCATCCTTGGAGATGCCACATTGTGTTTTCTTTTGGCTTACTAAGTGGACATCACAATCGGTTAAAAATTTGCCATTTGTGTGTATCAGGGCATAGAAGGTGGAGGATAATAGTGGGGGTTGTAAATGTATTGGATAAATTATATGGTACAATATGTTAGTGTTCATTTATATCCATCTAATATGAGCTTATATGTCACCCAAAGGTAGCCCCAGTTAGGCTGTGAATACTGTGGCCCAGTATCAAAGTGATCGTAAGTTATTCCTAGAAGAGCGTGTCCCTGCCAAACACATATCAGGGCTTCACAGTTTTGACCTTATTTCATGTGGTCCCTCTTGCAGCTAGAGTCTGGCACAGAAGGCAGGACTTCCAGCTGGTACTTTAGGTACATTGGGGCACTAGAGATAATGAATGCACTTGACATTTACAGTTGGGTCTAAATTCACAACTGTGTCAGATAACAAGAGCTGGATTAACGAGTGGCCAGTATGCAGAGATACAGACCATCTCAATGGAGACCTCCCTGGAGTATCAAGACTTACAAAGAGAGATGAACACATTGGAAGCCAAGAATGGTTTATGGATTATATTTGCTAAATGTGTGCAATCCTCAACAGGAAAACCACAGCCAGGTATCCAAAGCAGAACTGGAGTGTGCTTATATGTGTCAGGGGAAGAGGTTTTTATGTCTAATAGGCACAGCTAGTTTAATATGAAACTTGCACTGACAGTTTATACCTAACTCGACTCAAGACTTTCATAGTTATCTGTAAAGCCAAATACTAGATTTGACTGGCTATTAAATAAGCATGGCAGAATTGTGAAGACAGTATTATACGACTATGAAGCGAATTAAACCCTTCTTATCACCCCTCTCCAAAATCAGAAGAAAAAATATTCTTTCACTCCTTTTTTTAAAAATCATGAGATACATTTTTTTGTTAAAAAATTAAAAATGCAAAAGTGCAAAAAGGAGGATATAAAAATCTTCACAACCTCAGATAAACCCCATTAGTATTTTGGTTAATATCCTTCCAGTCTCTTTTCAATGTATGTGTGTGGGATCAATTTTAAAATATATAATATGAAGTATAAAGCATAAAAATATACTTTTTCACAACCTGATTTTAGTCTGACTCACCAAAACTTTGCGATTATCTTTCCATGATATTGTTCTTCAGCTGCTTCAGGTTTAGTAGCACATGATATTCCATTGTATAATCTTATTTTAATTTACTTAAGCAGCCTCGTACTGTTGGACATTTGTTATGTCCAAGTATTTTGTTACTACAAGCAATGCTGTAATGCACACTAAGAAGAAACATATCCCTTGAAACTGGTTCTACTTTTAATATTTTCAAGCGTTCTTTCTGCCATTCCCATCATTATAAATTAAGTTTCACCCACTCACTTGCTGAGCATCTAGTTTTCCTCTTTGTCTGGAACTTTATGTATGTCCCCAAATGGAAATGACAAGAAATATTTAAACCCCAATTGGTTTAAAAATTAGGTATCTACCTTATTTAGGGACAGTTTTATTTATAATAATTCTAAATGTCTGTGAAATTTTTAAAAGGATTGTATCTGCATGATCCAGTTTCTTGATGTATGTATTGCCGTAGTTTATGCAGTGATGCATCTATTTACAGAGTGTGTAACACTCAGGACATATATGTAGAGCATTGTTGATCAGTGTGTGGCCTTGGGATCAAGAGGAAGCTGGAGTAAGTTAGCACTGGTTCTCAAAAAAAGAGTTCAAGCTAAAAGCATGTGGCATGAGGAACTAGTCTACTCAGGCTACATGGTTGAAAATCCTGAGATAGCAAACACTGAAATCCAGTTCATGGGTATTGATGCCAGGGAAGGATACCAGCAAGTAAAAAAGTAGCTTTTTGTATGGCAAATTTTGTCTGAAGCAGGAAGTCTCTCTCCTTTCTGCCAAAGTTATCTGATAATCTCAGAAAGTGGGCAGACATGAGCTCAAAATTATAGTTTAGTAAAAGGTTCTGTTTTTGATGGCATGAAGATACAAACAGAGTAGAACGTCTCTGACACTAATAGCTTGTGGATGAGCAGCTTCATAAGCAACCAATTATGCTTAAAAATGGTATCGATTGGCCTGGGAAAGTCTTTCAGAGATTTTCTAGGCTGATGAGCATGTGGTGCCCTCTGGAGTGACACAGTCTATGATACAAGGAGAAACATGAAGAAGCTAAGCTTCTCATCTAGTCTGCACAGGAAAAGAATGAATCAAACTCATACCTTAATACTCTTTCCAGGGCAGCACAAAGTCAATCCCTCATGTTTTGTCTTACAAAAGCAAGACAGCTAAGAAGGTACATATGTCTTTTAAGATGCTGGCGTGGTCCCCACTCCATTTGCTTATTCACCTACAGAAATAATAGCTGTAGAAGTCATTTCAAATGCAAAAGCTGCTGTTATACATATTTAATATTTATATATGACTACATAGTTATCCATTTATTTTTTGATTTTGAAGGAAATACACTTATTCATTGAGTAACCTTTATTAATTAGCTGTTTGTTGACTTCCACTGTACTAAGTACTATTAAGTACATAACTAAATGATTTCTATGCTTAAGGAAATTATGTTACCGAGAAACATATGTGTTTTTAATGTGTTTTTAATGTGTCTCATGTTATATGTTCTATAAATTGTTTCCATATATGTTATCTCATTTGTTCGGCTGTATTTCAGAAATTTCCATCTGAAAGAGATCAGGATATCGTTTCACCCACCAGGTGTACAGATGAGCAGAAGTAAGACCCACAGAGATTGTGACTTGTTTGGACAATCAATATCAGAACCAAAATCTTCTGATTAAACAGCAATGCACCTTTTTAACACTTTTTTTCTTCCTATGCAAACAGATACAAAAATGCCTCTTCTCCTTTCCAATATATATTCTAACTTTCAGTTTGTCCAGTCAATTCTAAGTTTGTCAAACAGCTTTAATTACTTTCAAATACTTGAGGTTTGTCCTGATACAAATCATATTTATGAAGAACATTTTTTAAACTTTACAGAGCTGTTATATTTAAGGGAGAGCTAACACATATGTTTCTGATTCATTACAATTAACTCAAACTTTTATTTGCAATACTTATTTGATGCTTAAATACATCATTTTGGCTTCAGTACAGTTTCTCCTAAAAGTAGATGCCATTGTTCATTAAAATTAAATTTACCACTAAAAATCATCATTTAGGGCTCAAAACTTCATAACATTCTATTAGATTTCAAGCTTAACAAAATTGTTCATTTTTACTAAAACAAACTTTTCCTCCTTTTACATTTATTTTCAACTCCCTATTTGCTTATAGATAAAGCTATTTCCTTTTACATTTTCTAAGAATCCTTTAGACTTTGTATATCACAGTTATTTAAATGGCTTTTGTTGTCAAAAAGGAAAGAAGAAGGAGGAAAAAATTTGCTGATTTTTTTCTAAAAAATAATAACAAGCCTTTAAATGAATACCTCTTTTCACCGTTCAGACATGACTGAACTTGGCATTAAACCTGTTCTTAATTCAACCCATCTGTTCAGTGCCCACTACTTTATTTTTAGTGCCACCCTTTAAAACTGCCTGAAATACTTCATAGTAAAAATTATCAAAGAACATGCCACTCTCAACATAACAAACACATATATGTTCACCAATGAACCACCCTTTCTGACATGGTGGTATTTATCTCATGTCTCTCTAATACCAAATACATCTTTTGAAAAAAATTCTCAACTTAGGCAGTTTAAACCACTAATCATGTGGTTTTATTCAGTGTGGCATTTGAGTTTAAATCATTAATTTAGTATAGTGCCAAGTATATACACTGGATTTTTTAAGTTACTGGCAATAAACGGAAGATGGCTGCATATTTTATTAATGTCTGAAATTGTGGTGGCAATGAAAACAAATGACCTCATGTAATTCCTCAAATGGCATAGATGGGATTGTTGATGGTGGACTGCATTTAGTTGAAGTTCAGGCTTTGCCACTGTCTTCAGACCCACGGACATCCTTGTGCTGGAGTGAGAAGCCACACCACAGCTACAGAGCGACGTGGAGGGCACTGTGGTGAACCCAGGACAACAACCAACAGACTTTGCCTGGGACATGCCCAAGCTTCTCCTGAGGATCCTCTGCTTTCCAAAACAGCCCTGAGAGTTTCTCAGAAAAACCTGATTGTGCTGCTTGGAACTACAGTTTCAGTCTCTGTATAGTTCGGAACTAGAGTTTCCTATTTCACCAAGAATTCTTGGTATTTATTATTAAAGCCAAAAATCAGTTTCCCATACTTTAAAACTTTTTATTTTACACGAGCTGTACATCAAAGATACACGACCATTTTTTATGAGAATTCTGTAGTTTTAACTTCTGGGATAACATGTTTTATGCATAATCTTTTTTTTAAATAGGACTTTCATTGCGAGTAAGAATTTGAAAGCATTGGTGGGGTTGGAGAAAGCAAAAACTTGTGCAGGTAGGTGCATAATCCATTGTTTTTCTAGTTTTCGTTATAATTTTAAGCATAATGATTGCTATTATCAGAGGCAGTATAGTAGAGATAGTATAAAGTCTTCAGAGCTGCAGGTGACTTCAGAAAGCATGTAGTTTAATCCCTTCCTGCACAGGGACAGCCTTGCAAGGTTGAGCAATTTCCCTCAGCACTGGCAGATAGCAAAACTAGAAAAGTACTCAGCATACTGAATCCAAGTCCATTGTTTTTTTCCACTCCACTATCTGGACTGGGATTGAGAAAATGTGATCTTAGCTTTCCACCGACATTATGACCTTTCTAAGCCTCCATCTCCCCATATTTGAAATGACGGGGGGTTAGACTGCATGATTTCTAAGGTTCTTTCCAACGCTAGAATGCTATGTGTTCTAGCCAGACAGTTGCATATTTTTCATTTATGGAAGACATCTATTTTGAAAAAATGCAAAATTCTCTATTTTGTCTTCTCCTTTTTGAATGATGGGTATAATTAAATAAGATAATGTGTGTAAAGACATAAAAATGCCTGATACCCAATAAATGGTAGCTTTTAATATTCTCATCTATTCCAAGGAGGCAGGGATATTTTCATTTCTTTGCCAAAATTTCTTCTGTGCCGTGTCCTTCAGGGGTTGGGCCCACTTCTCAGCCTAATCTTGCTTCTGACATTTTTCTCATTCCCAACTGTCTTTCCAAATTAGAGGCAAAAGGGGCTTGAAGAAAACAGTGGAGCTATGAAATGGTGAGGGTGGGGGAAGATTCTGAGAAAGTGCTTCTAATAGAAAAGTATTTGTAGGTAAGGAAATCTCATAATAAATAACCAAAAAGAAAATACTTCAGAAATATTTTAATAGCTTTCTATCCAGAATAATTAAAGTGGTCTAGTGAATTTCTGGGAATTTCCTGATGACTTCCCATGACCCAAGGGGATAGAAAATGTTAAGTATTCAATTAGCAGTGCCCAAGAACACCAAGAAAAGTGCCTGGCTACAACTCTGTGTGTTCTCTAAGCTTAATTAGGCCATACTCCAGGGCTTAAAGAGGCTAAAGTGCAGTTAATATTTCCAGCTTGCCTATCAGGTATCTATAATGTACATCTTTTTGCAACTCACCATTTGGGAGTGCCTTTTTAACTCCTGGTTGTTTTCCAGGCATTTGAAAGCTGTAGCTGTATATGTGATATATACCAATGTATCCAACTAGTTGCTCCAAGCTTGCCAGTAAGCTGAGCCCAGAATGAGCTTTTCTCCCAAAGCCCACTATGAAACAAACACTACATCATAGAGCAGGCGATTCCCAGTTAACAAATGACCTAAAAGGGGCGAAGGGGCAACTTCTAGTTTCCAACACCCAGGGGTCCCACTGGTTACAGAAATAATCCCTGGGGCAAGATCCTATCAGTGGGCAAGTTTCTAAGCCACAAGGGTACTATTTAGAGCTCAGAAGCAAGAATCTGCGAAATTGTACCCTGGTGTCCTCAAGAAATGAAGGCACCTGCAAAAAGAAGTTTATTTATACTTGGGGAACAGGTTACTTGTGCACAGGATCCAGCACCAAGGTTAATATATTGTCTCAAGGATCCATGGAGTTGTTTCTGTGTTCAGAGGGGAAAAGGAGAAACAAGGGAACGATTTGGGCTACTTTATTTGCTTTCTCTTATGGTAATGCAGAACCCTTTCTCTGTTAGGACTACAGGACGAGTTTTTGCCTTGAGGCAGTTTGGGCTAAGGAACTGTGTACTGGCCCTCTGGGAGTTAATCCTGAGTTTACTGCTAACTGGCAGACCAATCTGTAGCAAGCCACTCTTTGCATTTTCAATTCCTTTATCTGTGAAATGGGAATAACTGTATTTGTTTCCCCATGTCACAATGGCTTTTGTGATTAAGTAATTAATGTGTATAAAGTCCATTGAAACCAGATAGAACTATATAAATGCTAAGTATTATTATAACAAATCCCAGCTACTTGTCTGGTTAATTTCCTGCTAGCCCAGACAAAAGGAGAAATTGAGTTAGATTTGCAGGATGGGTGTGACATTGTTTTGGGTTGGCTGTACCATAATTACTTTAGATTGTTTACACAGACTCAAGTATGAGTCTCCACCCCCGACCCCCGCCACCCCCAAGAGAGAATGGCTTAAACAACATTTTTTCATCCTGTAGCTATAGGAAAAACCTGTTACTGTTTTCTAACCCCAGTCTTATTTTCTCTTTACCCACATAGATGTAATGGGAGATAGTGTCCCTTTGCTAAAAAACCTTCATTTTGGCTAGGCAGGGTGGCTTACACCTGTAATCACAGCACTTTGGGAGGCCCAGGAGGGTGAATCATTTGAGGTCAGGAGTTTGAGACCAGCCTGGCCAATATGGTGAGACTTTATCTCTACTAAAAATATCAAAAAAATTGCTAGGCCTGGTGGCACATGCCTGTAGTCCCAGTTACTCAGGAGGCTGAGGCAGGAGAATCACTTGAACCCAAGAGGCGAATGTTGCAGTGAACTGAGATCACGCCACTGCACTCCAGCCTGGATGACAGAGCAAGACTCCATCTCAAAACAACAACAACAACAACAACAACAAAAATAACCTTCATTTTAAGCAAAGTTCTTTATTCAATTTGTTATTGGTATATGTCATGCTCTATGATTAATATCAAGTTGAAGTAGACACAATCCTGCTTTATAGGAGGTCGCTGTCTAATTGGGGAGATAGACCCATCCATAAATATCAAGAATGTAAGAGCTGCCTGAATGTTATCACCTAGGTACAAAGGTTCCCCAACCGTGAACTTGGGTGAAATGGATTCTGTGTAATCCATTTCAGATTTCAGTTTGGATGTCACATCCTCCTGGAACCTTTCCTGATGCTTCAGGTCCCTCCTCAGTAAGCCTGTATCTCTCCTATGTCAGCTATTGTGAACAGTATTCTAATTGCCGGTCCCCTTGTATCTTGCACTAGACTGTTGGCTCAGAGATGGCAGCATATATCACTGACACAGCACCAGCATAGCAAGTGTGCAAATAAATGTCCCTGAGAGAATGAATGAGTGTATGGTCTAGAAGCACCCTCCTGAGCTGCAAAGTGCACAGCTTAGCTACAAGAATATGAAACCTATTTTGTTTCATTTCTCCAGGATTATTTCTCATCTCGACTAAATTATGTCTAAGGCTAGGATCTACAACTAAGATCACTTTCTTATACTGTATGCCCTCATCAGGCATATACTGTTTATACCATAATGAGTTTCTAGTTTTTATACCACACTATTGTAACAAAAACACCAATTTCCAGTGACATGAAAGTCCCAGCATACTTTTAATTATAACTTCGTATTGAGTTTCTGTGACCGTATTCATAAAGGGGGAAAATAGAGATTTATTGGCATGTTTCATCACAATAGTTAATTGAATATAAGGTATATTTAAAAAATTTTTAATGTATGTTGTCAATTTCATGTTTCCTGAAAATTCATTTTGACATTGATCCAAACCCATTCTGCAAAAATGATATTTTACTGCATATAATTATGTACTTCATGTTGCTCTACAGCTGTTCTCCAGTAGTTTCATCAGTCAATCAACAACACTTATTGAGTGCCTGCTAGGAAGGTGCTGGGCATTTAGGTGGGAGCTATGGGGGGATAGAGAAAAAGTATAATTTGTCTGCCTCCTGGCCTCAGGCAGTGTGACATCTAGTTTAGGAGTTAACTAACATGTACAAAAAACCAAAATCATTAAGTAGCAGGTATAAGTCTCTATCCACAAACTTAGGAAAACATGAAGTATATTTCTCTTTATTTCCTTACTGCCCAAAATGTGGTCTGAGGATCTACCGTACCAGCATCAACAGAAAGCTTGTTGAAATGCGGATTCTCAGGCCTAGCCTTGGAACTACCTGATGAGAATCTGCATTTTAAAAAGGACCTCAGGTCATCAGGGTGCACATTAAAGTTTCTTAAACACTGCTCTTGTAGAACATTTTGCAAAATGGTATAGAGATAACCTGCATGGGATCACCTGGGGGCTCTGGTTAAAAATTCAGATTCAGCTAAGACCTATGAAATCATAATTTCTGAGTACCAGATCCAGGAATATGCAATTATATAAAGTTCCCCAGGTGAGAAATAACCACTAAAAAATTTGAGAACCTTTGCTACACCACTTAGAAATGAGGTAGGTTTAAATAATATGGAATTGCAGTTAATTTTAATAAACTTCATTTTAATAATTTTCAACAGATAACATACAAATATGTATAAATACTGAATAATGCATTTATAAATTTTGATGGAGAAGAAAAGGATAATCTGATATGAGTTGGACTGATGACAGAAGTACAAGATAAATTTTCAACGGATTTTAGAATTACAGTTAATGCAGTTCAATTAAATTCAGCAAATATTTATTTAGCACCTGCTATGGGTAAAGAGTTGTATCTTTGCTATAATGATTCATTAACTGAATGTACATTTATTAATTTTCTATTACATGTCAGGAACTGCACTGGGAATACAGCAATACAATATGATATGGACTCATTTCTTAAGGAGCTGGTAAAGGAATGTTGCTGAGCTTTCTTAAAGCATTTTTTTACAATTATCTCACCTCAAAAAAGGAAAGAACAGAAGCATACTTATTGTTTATGGGAATCTCCTAAAGAATATGGTTTATGAATATCCTACTTTAGAAGAAGTAAATATTATATTGAATATGTTTTTATCTTTTAAATGTATTGTTCTGAGTATATTAATTAGACCTAACACTATACTTATCACTGAGATTAAAATACAAAAATTTTGGCTTTTGCAATTTCTAATCTTTGCTCCATAATTGTATCAAACAGATTGGGCTAAGTTAAGGATAAGTTATCCTACAGCAACAATTCCTAAATCTCAGAAGCTTAAAAACAACAAAGTTTTTTTGTTGTTTGTTTTTGTCCATGCTGTATGTGCATTGTATTTGACAAAAGGGCCGTGTTCATGGTAGTCATTCAGGAATTTGGGCTGATGAAGGCTCTACCTTGACATGGGCTTCCATGATTGAAGAATCAGGGAAGACAGAATATGACAAGCCCCATGCTGTCTCATGAAGCTTCTGCCTGGAACTGACACATGCCCCTGCTGCTCACAATTCATTGACCAAAACAAGCCACATGGCAGCCTGAGTTCATTCTTCTGCATGGAGGGGCACTAAATATTTATAAAGTCGATCACAATAAGCAGACAGAATAGTTGATTAAATAATAATTAAGCCAGCGAGATTTAAACTCCAGGTTCTGGTGCAATAGTGAGGGCAGTAGTTTAGTGAGAAGTAGGGTTGGGAAGAAAAAAAGGGCAAAGCCCCTGACAAGGAGTATAATTGCTGCAGTATACATCTTATTTGTGCAGCAAATGCTGTGAGGCTCAATTCAGTTCCACCCTTCAAATGAGCAACCAAAGAACCATACCTAGTCACATTCAAATCATTATCAAGAAGAGTCATTAGTTCTTTTCCATAGTCAACTGTGTCTTTCCCAAAAGGAAATGCCTTAACCTTGAAGGCATCCAGTTTGTTCAGCTAGGCGGGGGAGATAACTACAAGTTGGCAGGATGGTATCATATTCTTCTCCTTTGCCCATCACACCCAAGCAAAAGCCCTCTTTTCCTCACTTAAGTGCCTAGTGTTAAGAATGCTTGATTCTCCTCGTTCACGCAGGTTAGGGAGGAGTGGGACAATCCATTTCCCATAGCTCTAATTGATTAACTTAATAAAAAGAGAAGTTTTCTGTATATTGTCAACAAAAAATTGCAATGCACTTGCAAAGGATGAATAGTAAAGATGTCAATATAATGCTGAAAAAATGATAAATATATTTCTTATTTTCAAGTTTCTCAGTTTCATGTTGTGTACATATATGCAAAGTTAAAAATTTCTCATTTTCCAGAGCAGACTGTTCGAATAGTGAAGCACTATACACCAAAGTATTAATAGAAAATGTAGAATGAGGCCAAGTTGCCTGAGGACTCCAATATCTGTAGATAGATGTGACCCACCAATTAAAGAACACCAACTGGTGACTGGTGTGCATTCAACATAATGGAGAGACTCCAGCCTAGGGGACCAGGCAGGAGGAAATTCCATGAGGCTAAACAGGAAGGGCTGGTAGAAATAGAATTTAAGAGAACTGTTGGCTTATGGGATGTAGAAAACATCAGAAGAGGAGTCAAGAACCACTGGCCACCAATCTTGCTCTCTTCCTCTAGACAGTCCTTATCTGTTCAGGAATTCTCCACTGATAGACAGTAAATGCCAGGACTCAGGAAGTCAATCTAAACATGAAACCACCTAAATAAGACTTCAGAGCTTTTCACTCAGGGCCTTGCCTTACTGAGAAGATGTACCATAGACAGGTTACAAACATCAGTCACTGTCCCTGCAATAGAAGTTGCAGCCAGGTAGAAGCTCTCAGGCCTCTCACCAGTCCTCATGTTTCTGTGATTCTCCCTTGAAATGTCCTTGACCTGTCAAAATGTGCTCTCCCTTAGTACAACTCCTGTTGCTACTTATTTTCTTGCCAATGAAAATCCCTTTATTGTTGACGTGGCATTATTATTCTTCATTCTGTCACTATGGAACAGGGGAGCAGATCTCTATGTTTCCATGGTAATATGAAGATTTTTTTTTTTTTTGCTTCTGAAATACTTTACTTAAAAGAATATATAGTTATGTAGTTAGGCTTTGTTGAGTTGATGAGGTCTTCTGAGACTAAGGGAGCCCAATACTAAAGCTATACGGGCCAAGTGATAGGTCACAGAACTCTTAGAGGTTGGCAAAAAGATATACTTGGTCCCTTTCTCCAAAAGCCCCCTATCTAAGTAATATTCACAAAGCTCCTCCTATTGGAGCTTTAAAAAGCTCCAATAAACAGATAGAAACACTAAAAACAGATAGAAGGAAGATAACAGTGATGGAGTAAATAATATGAGGATATGGGGAAGAAAAAGTAGATGAGGGGAGGAAAGGAGAAAGTGAGAAGATACAAAGGAACGCTTTGAAGGACCACAACTGAAAAAGCTGTAAATAGAAAGGAGATTAATCTACTAAGAGTCAGGTAGTGGAGGTGGGATTAAGGCTTTAGCAAAATGTCACTCACAGTTTCTAACAGTGGCATGAGGCATGTATGATGGTCATGTAGCCCTGAGGACCAACTGGCATAACACAGCAGGAATCTGTTATGGATCCATGCATCTCATTTTTGAGGTCCTGGTGAGATAAGCAATCCTAGGTATGGAATGTGCATGGGACAAATGAGACCACAAGGTGAATAATGCACTTCAGAAGTATACATTCTGCTGCTTCCAACTTCACCCAGACCCCTGTATGTGCTGGTGAAGCAACTATGTGAGAGCCCAGTAATATCAAACAGTGAGTCAGCAGGGTTTTGTAGATAACTACATGAAGTGAAACCCCTAAAGACACTATAGATTGCTGAGGTTACATGCTTATCGGAAGAAGAGTCAAAAACTATTGACCACCAATCTTGCTGTCTCTTTCCCCAGGAAATCCCTACCTGTTCAGGAATTCTTTCTCAATAGACAATAAACATCAGGATTTGAGAGGTCAACCTAAATATAAAAGCACCAAGTAAACATGCCTGTGGTTGTGAGAGGCACCATCCATACTAATATAATTCATATTTCACTTTTAGGGTTATTTTTTCTCACTTTAACAATCCCATTCAGGAACAATGTAAAGAGCTTACAGAGGAGGAGGGAATTAACTTCTGAGAATTTTATATGCTATTTAAGGAAGATGAAAACTGATAATTCATTGTTTTCTTCTTTAATAATGATTTAAATAGGGTATCTGTCATTTTACAGTCCTACTAGAACATCATAACACTTAGTTTATGCAGGTCTTATAAAAAGAGAGAGATGGAGAGGTACACACAGACTCATAAAACTATTTTAGAAACCTTAAGACAGGAACAATTGCCAAATTTCTTTTTTCATTTTCAATTTTGGTATCCGTATGTCGTCTAAGAGAAAACTATCTCACAATTTATGATGCATTTATGACTCATTTACACTTAATTTATCAAAGCCACATTTTTCTGATAATCCTCAGATAACAGGCAGGCTACAGGCTGTTTTGTTAAGTCACTTTAAACGGTGATGCTTTGAATGTGAAGGACTAACTAGACTTTACCCACACTTAGTGGAATATGTTCTTGAGTTTGAGTCAACTCTGAGTATCTAAGAGCTTGTAGGATTTCAGACATGAAACAAACTGCTCTCCAGTGTAATTATCAAGCTAAGCTTTAACTGATGAGGTGTATTTTATTTATTAGACACTTGTGTCATCAAAGGTTTTAACCAGCTCTATATTGGGCAAGACCTGGCTACTTTCCAATTTATAATGTGCCATCTGATCGCTTCAGAGCCACAGGGCCAGCAATTATCCAAGTCATCTATACTGACACAATAAAAACAGATTAGCCATCTAAAACAAATGGGTTTACAATTAGGTCATTAAGAAGATGGCCACCCACTATCACCTTTTCTCCATCTCTGTCAAAAAAGAAAAGGCCAAATAAGTCTGGTCATTTCCTATTTTTTCTCCGTTAACCCCTGAGGTATTTGGTGAGTGAAAAACCTATAAAATTTTTCTAGTGCTTTTTATCTTCTGCTATTCTCCTCCATCCTGCCGTAGGTTATTTAAATAAATGTTTGCTGCTTGAATCCATTTGTCCTGGTGGCAGTGATTAATGTACCTGCTTGGTTTAATTTTATATGCATTTTACATCACCCATTGTGCATTTTCAGTCTTATTAAACAAGTGCTCCATCTTTTCACACATAGTCAGTAAGCATTTTATTTATATAATGCATATGTATGTATATATCTTATTTTAAAAACTATTTTCTTTTACTCTGAAAATAAAAAGTACCTATAGCTTTAACTACCTATGGTTATGTTTGTTCTCTAACCCACATGCTACAATGCAAAATGAAGACAATGCTTTGAGTTTAATAATTGGTTGTATTAATTTAAAATAAAATAGCTTCAAATTTTAACTCTTAATTGACAATGCATTGCGTATGTTTTCTAATAACTCATCCAGAAGCAATGTCTATACTTCTCTTAAATAACTTTGGGTTTTATAATATAAATTTGTAGGCAAAATTTTTAACTGATTTTTATAAATTAGGTTTCATTAATGTGGAAAGCTCCATTTTGATTTTAGGTAGATTAGTCTATCCTCTTCTAAGGATTATTTAGTGCCAAGACTATTAGTTCAAATCCTGGGCTAACCAACCATAATTCTTAATAGGATCCCTTTATCTTCAGCCCATGCCAAATAAATAGATCTGCAGGGAAGATGTACTATTCCAATGCTTCCTGCTACCTCAACCTCTATCACCAGGAATGCAAGGCTATCACCAGCCTCAGTAGATTAAATCAGTCATCTCAAGACTTCTTTCTTTCTGTCTTCAGTACCTTAAAGGCAATGCTTGGCCTTCAGTAACTGCCCCTGCAAACAATATAGTGCCATTAAGAGCACTATGAGCCAAACAATCTTACCCAGAAATAATTATGACCAAATACACATAATATGCACACACATGCTACTGAAAGCCCAAAGTTAAACAAAGACACTTGATTGAAAGCTTATTCTCATCTAGAACAATAGTTTTGACCATAATCTTTAATCTCCAAATTATTCAAGAACTCTGCAAAGTTCTGCAAGCTTCTAATTCAAATTTTGAAATATACTTTAAACTAATTTACTCTAAAAAGCAATAAAACCACTCAAATTTGCTGCATTACCACATTTTGTCAATAAGAAACCATCAGCATGTTATCTAGGACAGCTAGGTTTACTTAACTTTTCTGCCAATCTCAGAATAAATTTTCCTCTGCCACACCTGTAGACATTTCACTTCTTACAAACATAACTTTGAAGTTGTAACTCTGGGTGTGTGTGTGTGTGTGTGTGTGTGTGTGTGTGTGTGTGTGTGTGTTTTGAGACAGAGTCTCGCTCTGTCGCCCAGGCTGGAGTGCAGTGGCGCGATCTCCGCTCACTGAAAGCTCTGTCTCCTGGGTTCATGCCTTTCTCCTGCCTCAGCCTCCCGAGCAGCTGGTACCACAGGCGCCCGCCTCCACACCCGGCTAATTTTTTGTATTTTTAGTAGAGACGGGGTTTCATCGTGTTAGCCAGGATGGTCTCGATCTCCTGACCTCGTGATCCACCCGCCTCGGCCTCCCAAAGTGCTAGGACTGCAGGCGTGAGCCACCGTGCCCGGCCAGCTCTGGGTTTTTTGTTTGTTTGATTGACTTTAAAATGCAGACATGAACATGTCTATGTCTGTAAAAGATACTAGTTTCTCATTTGTACAGGCTTTTGTTATGCCATAATATTCAGTTAGGTAACAAATGAATTTATTATACAGTTATCATTTATCGAGCACTTGCTATGTACCTAGCATCATTTTTAAGTTCCTTCCACAATCTATCTCATTTAATTCTCACAACAACCCTATAAACTAGGCACTATTATTAATTTTTTATTTTTAGTTTTTAAAATGTATTTTAACTGAAAAATAACAATTTTATGTATTATATATTAATGATGTAAAATATGATGTTTTTACATATGTTTACATTGTGGAATGTATAAATCAAGTTAAGTAACAAATATGTAACCTCACATACCTATTTTTTGTTGTGAAAACATTTAAGATCTACTCTTTCAGCAACTTTGGAATATAGAATGCATTATTATTTATTGTAGTCACCATTCTGTGCAAATGATCACTAAAGCTTATTCCTCCTGTCTAAGTGAAATTTTGAACCCTTTGATCAATATCTTCCTCTTCCCATCCACACCTCCCACACCACCTGGTAACCACCATTCTACTCCCCACTTTTATTAGTTTAACTAATACTAATTAATACTGTGAGTGAGATCATACAGTATTTGTGTTTCTGTGCCTGGTTTATTTTACTTGGCATAATATCCTCAGGTTTATCCATGTTGTCACAATTTTTTTTATTTCTGTGAAAAATGACATTGGAATTTCAATAGGAATTGGATTAAATCTGTAGATGCTTTGAGTTAGTATAGACATTTAACAATATTAACTCTTTTAATCCATGAACACAAAACTTTTCCATTTATTCATGTCATCTACAATTTCATTCATCAATGTTATATAGTTTTTAGTATAGAGATCTTCCACCTTCTTGGTTAAATTTAATCCTAAGCATTTTATTTTAGGTTTTTTATGCTACTGTGAATGGGATTGATTCCTTGATTTCTTAATTTCTTCTTCAGATAGCTTGTTGTTAGTGTAAAGAAACATTATTTACTTTGTTTGTTGATTTTGTATCCTGAAACTTTACTGCATTTGTCTATTAGTTCTAACCATTATTATTATTTTTTTTGGTGGCATCTTTAGGATTTTCTGTATGTAAGATCATGTTGTCAGCAAACAAAGACAATTTTGCATCTTTGTTTTTTCCATTTGGATGCCTTTAATTTCTTTCTTTTGCCTAATTTCTCTGGCAATGCCTTCCAATACTATGTTGAATAGATGTAGTGCGAGTGGGCATCCTTGTCTATTCCAGATCTTAAAGGAAAAGGTTACAATATTTCATTGTTGAGCATAATGTTAGCTATGGGCTTATCATATATAGCCTTTATTATATTGAGGTACATTTATTCCATTCCTAATTTGTTAAGGGTTTTTGTCATGAAAGAATGTTAAATTTTGTCAAATGCTTTTTATGTATGTAATGAGGTAATCATATATTTTCTGTCCTTCATTCTGTTAATATTGAATATCACATTTATTTATCTGCATATATTGAACCATCCTTGCATCCCAGGGATAAATCCCACTTGATAATAGTGAATGATCCTTTGAATGTGCTGTTGAATTTGATTTGCTAGTATTTTGTTCATCATAGATACTGGCCTGTAATTTTCTTTTGTTGTCATGCCCTTGTGTGGCATTGGTATTAAGGTAATGCTGGCTTCATAAAATGACTTTGGATGTGTCCTCTCTTTAATTTTTTGGAAGAGCTTGAGAAGGATTGGTATTAGTTCCTCTTTAAATGTCAGAATTCAACAGTAAAGACATCAGGTCCTGGGCTTTTCTTAGATGCAAGATTTTACATTTTTGATGCAATTTTCTTACTTATTCATCTGTTCAGATTTTCTGTTTCTCCTTTATTCAGTCTTGGAGTTTGTATGTTTCTAGGAATTAACCAATTTATTCTAGGTTGTCCAATTTATAAGCACATAATTGCTCATGCTAGACTCTTATGATCCATTGTATTCTTGTGGTATCAGTTGTAATGGCTCCACTTTTAGTTCTGATTTTACATATTTGAGTCTTCTCTTTTTTTCTTAGTCTGGCTAAAGATTTGTTGATTTTGTTTATCTTTTCAAAAAACTAACTCATAGTTTTATTGATTTTTTCTATTGTCTGTCTAGTGTATTTCATTTATTTTTATCTTTATTTGTTTATATCTTTATTATATATATATTATTTACTAAATATCTCTGATCTGATTTTTATTATTCATATTTTACTTCCTTCAACTAACTTTGGGCTTAGTTTGTTCTTTCTTTTCTAGTTCCTTGAGGTGTAATAAATTGTTTATTTGAGATCTTTCTTTTTTATTTTTTCAATGTAGTCATTTATTGCTATAGCCTTCTCTCTTAAAACTACTTTTGCTGCATTCCGTAAGTTTTTGCATGTTATGTTTTCATTTTCATTTGTCTTAGGATATTTTTAATTTCTTCTTTAACCCACTGCCCATTGGTTGTTTGGGAACATATAGTTTAATTTCCATATATTTGTAAACTTTACAAACTTTCTCATGCTATTGATTTATAGTTTTATTCCATTATGGTCAGAAAAAATACTTGATATTATTTCAATCTTCTTAAATTTGTTAAGATTTGTTCTGTGGCCAAAGAGATTATTTATCATAGAGAATATTCTGTGTGTTTTTGAGAAGAATGTATATTCTGTTTCTATTGAATGGGAATGTTCTATATATGCCTGTTAGATCCATTTGGTCTAAAATCTTATTCAAATCTACTCTTGCCCTATTGATTTTCTGTCTGAATAATCAATCAATTTCTTAAAGTGCAATATTAAAGTACTCTACTATTGTTATATTGTACCTTATCCTACCCTTTGGATCTATTTATATTTGCTTTATATATTTAAGCATTCCACTGTTGGTTGCATATATATATTTAAAATTGTTATAGTCTCTTGATAAATGTACTTCTTTATCATTAAATGATGACCTTCTTTGTCTTTTTTTTTTTTTTTTTTTACCATTTTTTTCTTAAAGTCTATTTTGTCTGATATACGTATACTCATCCCTGCTCTTTTGGTTACCATTTGTCTGGAATATCTATTTCCATCCCTTCACTCTCAATCTATGTGTGTTCTTAAGGCTAAATTTCTTATAGGCTGCATATCATTGGATCTTGTTTTGCATTTTTTAATCCACTCAGCTGTTTTGTGGTTTTGACTGGAGATTTTAATTCATTTAATATAATTATTGAAATATAAGAAATTACTACTAGAATCGTTATTCTTTTCCCAAATGTTTTGTAGTTCTTTGTTCCTTTTTCCCTTTCTTGCTCTTTGTGATTTGTTGCAGTTTTGTGGTAGTATACTTTGATTCATTTATCTTTTTCTATATACTAGAGGTTTCTCCTTTATGGTTACCATGAGATTTATATTAGAAATCTTACTGTTATAATATTCTTATTTAAGCTAATAGTACCTTAACTTCTATCACATACAGAGATTCCATACTTCTCCCTCGCTTCACATTTTATGCTATTGATATCATACTCTACATTTATTTATGTTTTGCATCTGTTAACCAATTTTTTATAGCTATAGTTGTTTTTAAAACATTTGTCTTTTAACTTTTATACTAGACTTAAGAGGGATTTACCCATTAGCTTTACAGTATGAGGGTGTTGTGAAGTTGACCATGTATTTACTTTTAGCAGTTAGCTTTATACTTTCATGTTTTCATATTGTTTTTTATTATCCTTTCATTTCAACTCAAAGAACTCCCTTTAGCATTTTTTGTAAGGCCAATCTTGTGGTAATGAATTCTTTCAGCTTTTGTTTGTTCCTGCAATGTCTTTATCTCTCCTTCCTTTCTGAAGGATAGCTTTTTGAATAAGTCATCCCACTCCTTCCTGACTTGCAAGATTTCTGTTGAGATATTCATTTATGGCCTTACAGAGATTCTTTACATGTGATGAGTTTCTTCTCTCTTGTGGCTTTCAAGATTCTCTTTTTGATTTTGACTTTGACAATTAGATTATAACATATATTGGAATATTCCTTTTTCTCTTGATCTTACTTGAGATCTTTTCAACTTCCTGAATCTGTATGTCTGTATCCCTCCCAATATTTGGAAAGCTTGCAGAGAGTAATTATTTAAATAATCTTTCTGCTCCTTTCTCTTTCTCTTCCCCTTCTGGTACCTCCATAATTTATATATTTGTATGTTTGATGATGTCCTGTATGTCCCTTATGTTTTCTTCACTCTTTTTCAGTTTTTTTCTTTTAGTTTCTTTAATTGTCTAATTTCAACTGAATTGTCTTCAAGTTCACTAATTATTTTTTCTGCATGATCAAGCCTGCTGTTAAAATTTTCTATTGAATCTTTTAGTCCTGTCATTGCATTGTCCAGGATTTCTGTTTGGGTCTTTTTTATGCTTTCTTTTCCTTTATTAAACTTATTTTGCTCAGGTATTGTTTTTCTGTCTGTATTTTGTTGCTTCTCATTGAGCTTCTTTAAAATTATTATTTTGAATTCTTTTTCAGGTAAATTTTATATCTCCATTTCTTTGGAGCTGATTATTGAAACTGTATTAGTTTCCCTTGGTGGTGTCATGCTTGCCCAATTCTTTATTATCTGCAAAGCCTTCCATTAGTACCAGTGCACTTGAAGGGGCAAGTCCCCTTTTCAATCTTTACAGACTGGTTTTAGCAAGTTAAAATCTTCTCCTGTTAGGTCTCCCAGCTGATAAGATTACCTCTGGGATTGCCATTGAGTGGGATTGGATCAGGTCTCATGACTGATGCTGAGTCTTCATTGGAAAGCCTGTTACCAGGGATTCTAGTGGGCATGGGCCTCTATGTCCCTGAGTAGACTGAATTGTCTTCAGGACCTGGTCTGTGTGGCTGGCATTGAGATAAAGGTCAACTTTAGGGTTTGCAGATGCCAGGTCTGTTACCATATGTACTGAGGGGTGTGGCTTCCCTTCAAATAGGAGAGATCTCACTGGATCACTGGATGGGTTCCATAGTTAAGATGTTCTGAACTGAGATACAAGGTTATTTCAGGGTCCACCATCAATACCAAATCTTTAGGCCTGTCTCCAGGGTCATGAATTGGTATGTCTCCCAGTGATTTTCTGGGTGAGCAGGCCAGTTCTTAGACTGCAGCTGAGGAGGACTGGAGTCAATTTATAGGGTTATTTCAAGATCTACAGTGAGACCAAGTTCAGGGTGTCACTATGCAGGGGCCCTACAGGGTGTGCTTCCTTCTGGTTCTCCAGGCAAATGGAACTACTCTTATCTTCAAGACAGAAAGGGCCAGAAATGAAATCCAGGATCATTTGAGGATCTACTCTGGGAAAGAAATTGGCAAACCTGTCACAGGGATTCAGAGGGGCTTGTCTCCCAGAGGGAGCTGTACTTGGAAGAGCTGTTTCCAGAACACAGCCAGGAGGGGCTACAATCAAGCTTCTGAGTTATTTCAGAATCTGCTATGGGATCGATGTTGGCAAGCCTGACTCAGTGACACCAATGTGTGAGACTTCCAGCATAAGGACAGAGTTACTCCCAGACCTCAGCTCAGAGGGGCCAGAGCTGAGATTCAAGGCCTCTTCAGGAACTGCTCTGGGACAGGCTGGCAAGCCTGGCCAGGATAGTAGTCCCTGCATAAGAAAATTAACTCTGGGGATGTGGCAGGGTGGCTGGGGCCAAGAGAGGGTCATTTCAGGATCTACTATAGGACAGAGGCCAGCAAGCCCGTCCTGGTGCATCAGGTAGGCAAATCTCCTTCTTGGTCTATGCGCAAGCAGTACAAAGCTGGGACCACAGCTCAGGAGGGCTGTAGCCTATTTACAGGGTAACTTTCAGGTCCACTGCAGAGACAGATGTCAGCAAGAAGACAGGCCTGTCTCTCAAGGAACTAGCGTGTGTGATTCTTCCCAGATCCCTTAGCAGATGGTTTTGGTAGTTGTCTCAAGGCCAAATGGGGCTGTAGCCAAACTCTTTGGAAAATGAGGTTGTTTCTGGGTCCAAAATTGGGAGCATAACTGGAGGGCCTGCCACCTAGGTGCAGATCTGCACTCTCAAACCAATCCTCTTAGATCTTTGGCTCAAAAGAGAAGTTTTACAACCCCGTACATGAATCCCAAATCTCCCACAAAGAGACTTTTGTTTGTAGATGGGTGCAGAATTCATGTTGCCCTGGGGGGATACAAGGGGGTAACCTCCTATTCCACCATCTTGCTGATATCACTGATTTATTAATAAAATGTTAAACAGCTGAAAAAACTTAGACACAGGGAGATAAAGTAACTTGCCTAAGGTCACGCAACTGATAGGTGGAAGTAGTGGGATCTAAACCTAGGTGGTCAGACTTTCATATGCACACTGTTGATCATTACATTCGACTGTTTCTCAGGCTTAGTTTTTAGGAATGAGACTTCTAAGACTCTAAGACATGTAAATATATTTTTCCACGTTGTATGTAATTATGAAAAAGTTGACGTTTATAGTTTATGTAATAGAGGAGAAGTTTCTTTCATTTGTTTATGTAACTCTGTTGAGCCACATATGCATGCAATCATTTACTCACACAAAAATTATTTGTTGAGAATATATACTAAATATTGGTAACAAAAATACAAAACACAGTTATTTCCTTCAAGTTACAGTCTAATATGTGAGGCAAAAATTCCAAATAATAAAATACTCTAAGTGATATTATAGAATAAAATGAAATTCTATGGGAGCACATAAGAAGGATACCTATGGCAGATTGGAAAGACAGAGACTTCCAGAGAGTAGTAGTGATGCCTGAGCTCTGTCTTTAAGGATGGGTAGGAGTTGATGAAGCAAATAATTGTGGGAAAGGCATTCCAGCTGGAGAAAAGCCATTACTGGGGAACTTCAAGTAAATAAAACAGTGCATCTAGAGTTCAATATTTAATAGGGGCAGGGGGTAGAGATACTGAAAGATGAACATGAAGAATTAAGTAGGATAAAATCAAAGAGGCTTGTATGTGTTATACAAAGAGCTTGAGTGTTGATGTGAAGGAAATGAGAAATCCCTACAGATTTTTAGCAAAGGAATGACCTAATAGAACTTGTACTAATGAGTTAAAACGGAAGTTGAGAATGGATGAAGAAAGCAGTAGGTATAGTTCAGATAGAAAATGATAAAGCCTAAAGTAAAAGAAATGGTAGTTCCAGTGGTAATGGGTAGAGACTTGATTAGATGAAATTCTCTTCCTATGGAGGAAAGAAACTTTGATTCTCCGGCTATGGAAGGTTAATATGTTAGTTCCAGATTTCTGGTCATCTGTGTCTTCTTACCTGAAAAGAAGCTAGTCTATGGTAGAAGATAATAGCCCCAACATCCAGAAACAAACTGAAGACAGAGATGAACAGAAACCTTGTCCAAATGTTACTAGCAAATTGCTTTCTACATAAGCAAATTTGTACTTTTTTTTCTTTTTTTACTTGTAGCCCAGAGTCCTTGAATAATACAAGCAGAAAAAAATTCAACATCTGCTTTCAGACCAAGAATTATGATAAAACCTGATGCTATGGAAACCACAACTTATTATTCTTTCCCCGCCACTTACCTGATAAGTTTCAGTTGTCAATATTTCCAAATAGACAAAGGGTGTTTCACCAGAGATAATGTCTTTGGTGTTTGTGTCTTTTTAGCTTGTCCCATTAGCTGCCTTTTCCCAGTTTTTGTGGTCAAATAACATATTCATTTATTCAGCAATTCTTTATTAAATGCATACTACTCTAGGCACAGAGGATAAAACAGTGAAAAAAAAAGTTCTGGCTCTCGCAGAGCTTACACTTTAGTGAAGTTGTATAATGTAACTAGAAAGTGTAAAGAAACTGGGAATCACTTATGGAAAATAGTTTATTTTCTGGTACATGTTCTCATGTTACTCCTTTCAACTCATCTTGCCTTGAAACATTGCTCAATCTTTTTGTAGCCCTCCCACTTCTACCCTTGATTGGCCAACTGTTCCAAATCATAAGTCATGCACATTTCCTTGCTAATTTACTTCTGTCTCATCAGCTTATAATGCTATATATTCTAGCATTACCTCTTAGATACCTTTATGTACCTGGATAATTAACCTCCTAAGCCTCAACTACCTCATCCAAAAAATAAGGGGTTTTACATAAGTATTAAATAAAATAATTCATGTTGGGACACATAGTTATACCTCTTAGATACGTTGTTAATAATAATGATAAGGAGGAGATAATGAAAGAAAATTACTGTGTAGTCGGCTTTAGAAATTACTAAATCTCTTGGACTAGATTAAGGAGCCCACAATTTTTTTCTGTAAAGAGCTAGACAGTAAATATTTTAAATTTTGTAAGCCATATAGGCTCTGTGACATCTCAGCTCTGCTATTATAGTGTGAAAGCAGCCACAGTCCCTAAAATAACAAATGGACATAACTATATTTCAATAAAACTTTATTTATAAAAATAGTTAGTGAGTCAGATTCAGCCTGCAGGTTATAGTTTGTTAATCTCTGTACCGGATCATGAAATTTCCAAATTCAGGCGAGTTTTATATAACAAATTTATGCAACCTAGAGAATTCAATACCTTTTGTTCAAAAACTTTCAGCTGACTTCCATAAGACACTAACTTGCTTTAGTAGCAATTAATTTACATAATGAAAAACATGAAACTATGAGCTAAACCAAATAGAAAATACAGAATAAGTCCTTGCATACTTTAAATATGACTTAAAATTACACTGTAAATTCTTAAAGTTCTAAAGAGTTAAAGATCATGAGTGAGTGTTACAAAGAAACAGTGTGCCACCATGAGGTTATGCCTAAGTGCTGATGGCAAAAAGTGATTTAGATGAAATTTATTTTCTTTTATTTTTTTGAGACGGAGTCTCACTCTGTAGCCAGGCTGGAGTGCAGTGGCTCGATCTCGGCTCACTGCAACCTCTGCCTCCTGGGTTCAAGCAATTCTCCTGCCTCAGCCTCCCGAGTAGCTGGGACTATAGGAATGCGCCACCACATCTGGCTAATTTTCGTATTTTTAGTGGAGACGAGGTTTCACCATGTTGGCCAGAATGGTCTCTATCTCTTGACCTTGTGATCCACCCTCCTCAGCCTCCCAAAGTGCTGGGATTACAGATTTAGATGAAATTTTATATTCTGAATGTAAAAGTTATGGCTTATAATTCGTGATATTTAAGAAGAAAGTAATATGTAGTAGTATAGATCAATGTAAGCTAGTTTTTGTTAGTTTTTTTAAAATGATGAATGCATAACGAATCAACTCTTTTTTCTCCTAAAAATATTTTTTAATCCATACTATTTTTTAATGGATTTTTAAATCCATCTATTTAACTATAGATGGCATCTACAAATTGAGGGCATACAGTATTCCTTTCATGAAGAAATTTGTAATAATATAAATTTTGTAAAAGTAGAGTTAAAGCTTAGGAATGTATTCATGTTTATCCAGCACTGGTTAAAGGAAAGAAACTGATGCTGGAAGACATGAGTATTTTAGTACCTAATGTGGTAGACACAGTGATGAAAGAAGGAAGAATACTTAGCCAAGCTTGAATAAAATGTTCCATAAGAATAGCAACTCTTTTTTATCAGATATGACTTTCTATCTATTGATTATTTATGTGATTTTCCAGATACCAGGATAACAGAAACAGATTGTGTTCCCATGATCTTTAATTAATAACTACTTATTAAAGGTCACCTATGATTCTAGCCCCATAATAAGCATTTTATATGAGTTAAGTCATGACAATTTAATGAAATGGGACTATTACCTTCATTTTATACATGGGGAAACTGAGGATAAATATATTGGCCAAGGTTACAGAGCTAGTAAGTGGTAGATCTTAATTCAAATCTAGGGCTAAAATAATACAGGCTAATGCCCATACTATTAACCACTGCTCATTCCAGTCACAGGAAAGGAAAAGACCACCCACTGGAAACTATTAAATGGTCTTTCTGTGTGATAAGCTCAGCTCTTTTGAGGTTGGCTGATTTGAATTAGTTGCTAAGCCTATAAATCCAGGACTTATCTTTGAACTCCAGGTGTCCCAGCCAACATTCCACTAAGCCATATAACTACACCATCAGGGTGGTTAATTTTGGTAATGTTCCTAAAGGTTAAATAAATACAAAGTTCAAGAGAGTACATATTCTAGAACCAAACTGCCTGAGCACATATCCCAGTATTCCCACTTAGCATCTGTGTGGCCCTGGAGAGGTTACTTAAGCCTGGGTTTATTCACCTATCAAATGGGAATTCTATTTGAATTTGTCTCATAAAGTCATAGAGTGAATTAAATGACACAATCTATACAAAACACATAGCACAGCACTTAAGACACAGTTACTGAGCAACAATTAGTATCTTTAAAGAAAAAAAAACCATGACTCGGGTAATTGAGTGGCATCATTCAGACAATCTCTTTGATGTGTCTCTCTACCATAACAAGGCTGAAATGATGTGACTGCTTTGCTTTGAGTAACACCCACACCTATGGCAGAATACATATAATAGTAAAGTTTCCAATTTTTAAAATGTCCCTCATTTTTCCCCTTGATCTGCCCAGTAAACTTTAGACAGTATAGTAAAATGTAAGATGTCCTTCCTAAATGGCATTTCAAACCTTACACCAAAAGTCAGAGACTGGATAAGCTAACCTAGTTTCCCCCACTTAATGGGAGAGTCAGTTCTATCATAAGGCTCACTACAAAATTTTTTGGTAATAGAATTGTTTAAATATGGTGGAAGCTAACCTTCAGGACTACTTGCTTCACTTATGGAAATCAGAAAACGAATTACCCAGCTGAAGCCAGATTAATAGTATGCACACTTAGGAATTACATTTAAAAATTGACTTGGGAGGGTGCAGTCCTCCAAGACTGCCACTAATGCCACACCAACCCTACTTGTTTAGATCAGTTGGTTCGAAAGCCAGCCACACAACAGCTGTATTATATATGCAAATGAACTTGAACTTGAAAACATTAATAAAATAACTGTTAATTCAGTCTGACAGCTTTGAGATTTGGAAGCCAATCCTCCAGATAAATATGAAACTAACTGGACAATTTCTCTAATCTGAACCTAGACTTTATGTCTGATTCTGTTTGTTTCTGACATTTTTCTAAGTATGCACTTAGAAATAGCGATTAGAATAAATAGGATTGCTCAAAATAAATAAACAAAATGGCATTACTGCAAGTGGTGTGCCTTTTTTTCTCTCCAGAACCTATAGCATAATTCTGAATTTTGTAAATAAAGAATTATAAAGTAATTTTGCAAATAAAAGAACTAAAAGAGATGATGACCATGTGCCATTTGGAGGTATCAAGTTTTTTAGATTCTAATCATATAAATGAATAGTTGTGTTGATTCAAGCCATGTAACTTAAAATTACTCCCTGAGTGGACCATGAGGCCAGTATTATTACATTCAAAAATTGCAAATCAAATGATTGCCTTGACCAAAAATAAAATTTAAAAAACATTTAGAATTTCTTTTTCTCCCTGAAAATATTTATGAGTATTTAAGTTTATTAATATTAAAAATATACTTTAGGAAGATTTATCATCATCCACCTAAATTTTTCATTTACTTCTGCTACTGTTTTGAGTCTTCCTTCCTTCCTTCCTTCCCTTTCTTTCCTTCTTTTTTTCTTTTCATTGTAAATATTTTCTGGAGTATAAATTACAAGCAGTTCAGTATAATCAATATATTATAATAAGTTTTAATGTAGTCTTTGTAGCTTGTTATTCTTTGAGTGTCCCGACCAAAACTCATATTGGAATCTTAATTCCCAATGCAGCAATGTTGGGAGGTGGAACCTTTAAGTCGTGGGGCCTAATGGGAGGCATTTGTGTCATGGAAGATCCACCTTCATGGGTGGCTTAGTGCCATTCTTGAAGTTGTGAGTGAATTCTTACTCTTGTGACACATGATTAGTTCTCACTGCAATGGATTCGTACCTGTGAAAGCAAGTTGTTATAAATGAGAACACCCTTCCTGTATTGCCCGCCTTTTACATGCTTGGTTCCCCTTCCATTTCTTTGCCATGTTATGATGCAGCACAAGGCCCTCACCAGAAGTTGAGCAGATGCTGGTGCCAAGCTCTTGGACTTCCCAGACACCAGAATCATCAGCCAACTAAATCTCTTTTTTAAAAAAATAAATTACCCAGACGCAGGTATTCTGTTATAGCAATACAAAATGGGCTGAAACACAGCTTATGGCATTTTCTAATGCCTCTGAAAGCACCTTGATAAATAATATCATTGATCACTGGACTAGCAAAACTTTACTTATCCTTTGAGTCCTAATTTAAATCCAACCTCCTTTATGGAACTGTCTCTAATCACCCCAGCCTAAAAGACATAGTTCTTTAATCAATCTCTTAGAGCACATATTTTCTGCCCATGCACTTCTTTATCTTTTACTTTCCCTCTCTATTAATAACTTCATTTTCTGATCATTTGTTCATTTATTCACCTATCCATTCATCTTTTAATAAATATTTGTCAGTCATTGTGCTAAAATGTGGAGATTCATAAATCAAGAATCAGCATTTGTTTTCAAAGATTATACATTTTAATAGGTAAACAAATTCATACAATATTAAATTACATATATGATAGTTGCTTTATAATAAGGGTATTATATAGAAAACAATAAGAGAACCAGAAGTCAGAAAAGCTATCTCTGTCAAGGGGCATCAAGAAAAGCATCACAGAGAAAAGGGATAAGTAGCAGTTTGCTAGGTTAAAGAGAGGAGAAAGTCTTTCCATAGCGAGAGACAGGAAGTAGTGAAGCAGCATGAGAGTTTTCAAAAGTGGACACATTTTCACTAGTATTTCATCCGTTGCCTCAGATGTATTACTTCCCACTAGCCACTTTCTTAGAAAAAATCAAGCTTTCTCTGTTCATACTTGAATAGAAATGTAGTCCTATAAGTGCCTATCTGAAAAGGACTCTAAGTAAACTAGACATTTGTGTTCCAAATATCAGAGTAATTAAATGCCCCTCCAAGTGAGACATCATATTTACATCCCTTCATTTGGCGGGTATTGCTCAAAAACTGAGAAACCTAATGTTGATCGAAACAGAACTATCAAATCTCACCCTCTGGAAAAAAAAATGTATGCAACAGATGTCAGGACTAGACACTAACCTTTTTGTAAAAGATGTATGCAGCAGTATAAAGAAAAAGCACCTTGTTTAACCAGAATGCTCAAATTGTCCATGAGAGAGAGTTACCTGGAAATTCCTTTGTTTCACCATTTTTAGTTGGAAAATACAAGTTTACTTCTCTTTTAGAATGAAGTATACCACAGATTCCTAAACCTTTTGTTAGTAGGTAGAGATCTTAACATTTGTTCCCGTTTTTGCACTTCAGTTACTCCTGGGAAGTACCAAAAACGCACAAAGAACATTGGGTCAGTGGCCTCAAGAAAAATAAGTTGAGTTCATGAGTAAGTCACTAATAAAATCCTATTTGTGTGTATGTAAAAGCTAAGTGAACAAGGAAAAAATACAACATGGAGAATTGGATTTCTGCAAATCTAAAGTGAGAGGTGAGATGGGAGGGAGATTTCCATCATTAAACTCCATCCTGGTTAGATTCATAATAGTATTATCTGTCACATCAATTCTTTTAAGCTTTACCTATAGCTATGATGGGCACATTTTTCTCGACTAAAAATCTGGATATACCAACTGACAAAACAATTTTTTTCAATCTACTGTTTATATTGTATTTTTTTTAATTTTCGTGGGTACACAGTAGACATATATATTTATGAGTATATATATTCATCAAAACAGGTGTGTATATTTATCAAAACACAGATGTTTTGATGAATAAAAATATATTTAAAGGAAACATTTTTAGAAGATTTAAAAAATTACATTTTTCAGATATCTGCCAATTTAACTTTTTTGACGGAAGAAATTATTTTCTAAGTGAAGCAACTCCAAAATAAAAATGTGTGCTCAAGTGATTAATTAAGGAAGTTCCCCAGGAACACCATGGAAGGGGAATAGGGGAAACAGAACAATGAAGGGGAAGAAGGCAAGTGAGGGTGCAATCTCAAGGTCCCTCAAGGGTGTTCAGACTGATCCAAGGGATTTATAGAGTGTGAGTTATGCCTCAAAGTTGTTCTGACAAAAATAAGGGAGGTGGGCTTTCATATCTCAGCACCCACTGAATTAGGACCACCTGAAGGCTCATGGAATTTTCTAAGTACTCTTGGCTCTCTAGGGATGTAGGCAATGTGCTCTGTGGCAGCATGAGGAGAGTTCACCAAAAAAAGATACAGGTGCTGCCTATTGGAAACAAGAGGTAGTGTATTTTTGAAAAAGGAAAAAAGAAGGATGGAAAGGAAAAAGAAATTTTTTTTAAGAGTGAAGGAGGAGAAGAAAAAATGAAGAAAAATAGGAGAAGGAAAAAACGAAGAGTCAAGACTTCTAAATGGGGCACTGATATTGATACAGGCTTACATGAAATAAGAAGACTCCAGGAAAATTTCGTATTTGTAATCTGATACATATTTCATTTTTCCTTACCTGCCTTGCCTGCCACTTGGAGAAATTTCATTATTAACATTATTAACCTCAGCAAACAGGGAGGCTAAAGTATTTAGATGGGGCATGGATAAAGTGCAAATCACCACACTTTATTCACATGCCACTGACTATTCTCCTTTTCTCTATGACACCTTGGTGTCTGTAAGTAACATATTCTGAAGAATTCTGTCCAGATCAATTAGCACAACCCTGTCATGAATTGTGGTTGACTCTTGTTTGTCATTTTGTTTTGAATGCTTTCTAAACTCAAAATTCTGTAACCCACATTGGTTCTTCCTGTCATTTGCGTGAAGTGATTATGCTTCTTTATGAAATAGGCAGGTATGTATTAGTTTGATTTCTCATCGCGGGTAGAATCATAAGGTAATTGGCATGCTCTGATGCTCCAAGATAACTTAAAAGTTATCTTTGCTTTTCTTGACATTGATGAAACAAGACTATATCCACAGGCAATGGCTCAAGGTCACACTTTGGATTTTCCTTTATCTTTGATTTTCCTTCATTCGATCTCTGCACATTTATATTGGTAAAAATGAGCTCACTTTGTACTGAATGACCCCTCTTAATGAATACTGATGTTGTGTAACTTCTCATATGCATAGCTCTGTCAGACATTTACATGACAGTCTCTAGTGGATAGAGCAGGTTAGAATATAATGGTTCCATGAATTCTTTTCTGCTCATGGAGCTAAATATTTCCACCAGTTTCAGTAAGAATTTTTAAAAAGCAATTCTATATTCTGATAAAGTTCTGTGCCTCAAACCTTTCCTTTCTGTTATATCCTCAAAGCATACATTTCAATATTTTTAATGCATGTGAAAATACTACATACATGTAAAGTTCTCAATATAAAGCATTATAACATCAAAGAAAGTAGTCAAAACTTGAAAATTAATTGTACTTGTCAAACTTTTAAATTTAGAAAAATTACTGGCTTTATTTTTTTTCAAAAAATACTTATGTGCACATTGAAAAAAATAAATAAAATCATACCTTACTCTCATTCTCTAGAAGAAAACACCATTAAAGCTTCCTGTGCATTTAACAAGGCCTATGATATGTGCATAAACATCTATCTATATATACAGGCATGTTTTCCATTTTTAAACAAATATTGGATTATATCCCATATATTCTATAAATTGTCTTATTACTAAAAAATATATAACCAAAAACTGTCCATACTAGTCAATAAAATGTACTTTATTCCTTTAAAAATCTTTAGAGTAATCAATAATATGGAGGTACCATAATTATTTTTATCAATTCCCTATTTATGAACATTTACATTCTCTCTAGGTGTTTGTTCTAGGAAAATTCTAAACATGTTTTTTTAACCTTTACATATATAATATAGATTCCTAAAGTGGAATTGCTAGATTAAAGAGTAAGCACATTTTATTTAATTTAATTTAATTTTATTTATTTATTTATTTAAGGTTGGAATTGCTTTTATTGGGGGTGGATGCCGCAAGCCCCGCCCATGGTCAGGTTAGTGTTCTGCCCTTGCAGAGGTGCTGGCAGCCTGACACCTCCACCTGCCACCTGCCCGGGTTAGTGGAACATGCAAAGCTCAGAGGGTGGAGGCAGGAGTGGCGCTGCTGAGGCCAGGGCTGAGTGGAACGGGAGGGTCAGCACAGAGCCCAGCCAGTGTCCCTGGGCCCAACAGGGGCTGGGGCTCCCTGGGAGAGAAATGGGCAGGCAGCACCCCAAGGTGGGGCTCCACAAGCTCAAGGGGCCTCTGGGCCCACCAGGAGGATAGGTCTGCAGCTCCCAGCCATGCCAGCTGGGACATCCATCTCCACCCTGGGTCTGGGTCCCTGGGGCCTGGGTTAGAGGTGGACACAGAAGGCCCTTACTAGAGGAACAGAGGCTGGAAGGCTGAAGCCAGAGGCCAGGGGTCTCAGGAGTGATTGTGGGGGTATGAGCTGCAAAGCAGAGATCAGACAGTGCTGTGGGACTGGGCTCACATGGCCTTGACATCAGACATGGGCCTTGTCTTCCCATGGGGAAGGGAAAGAGTAACCACATTTTAAATGTTGACAAGCATCGCTAAATTATTCTCAAAGAATCATACTGTCTAAGTCCATTTGTGTTGCTATAAAGGAATACCCGAGGCTGGGTAATTTGGTGATTTATTTTAGAGAGAGGTTTATTTGGCTCACACTTCTTCAAGCTGTGCAAGAAGCATGGCATGAGCATGTGCATCTGGTAAGGAGCTCAGGCTGCTTCCACTGGTGGCAGAAAGTGAAGGGGAGATGGCATGTGCAGAGACCACATGGCAAGAGAGGAAGCAAGAGAGAGAGGGGAGGAGGTGTCAGGCTCCTTTTAACAACCTACTCTTATGGGAACTAATAGAGCAAGAATTCATCCAGGGAAGGCAGTAATCTGTTCGTGAAGGATCCACCCACGTATTAGTCTGTTTTTACGCTGCTGATAGACATACCCAAGACTGGAAAGAAAAGGAGGTTTAATTTGATGCACAGTTCCACATGGCTGGGGAAGTCTCTCATAATCATGGCAGAGGGCAAAAGGCACTTCTTACATGGTGGCAGCAAGAAAGAAATGAGGAAGAAGCAAAGGTGGAAACCCCTGATAAACCCCTCAGAACTTGCGAGACTATTACAAAAATATGTTTTAAAAATATATTTGTCTCTACTTTTTCAATACTTGTACTTCAGTACTCTTTGGTGTTGTTTACCTTAGCTAATAAGGTAGAACTTCCAGAACCATATTAAGTAATAGTGCTAACAAGAAATATCTGTGCCTTTTTCTTAACTCTAATTGGACAGTTCCTAATGGCTCACTGCTAAGTATAACGTTTGCTATTTCAAATGGCTACTCTCTTTGTCTGTCTCACAGCCCCCTCAACATCTTTCCAGACTTTTTGGTATCCTGACCCCTGATTACGTTTCTGGGAATATGACCCCATTTGCAGTCAATCTTACTGTCTAGATGAGCACATGACTCAAGCCCACCTAACAAAAAAGCTTCCACAGAATTTTTCAGCTGGACCTTGCAGGGGAAATTCTCTCTAGCCTCTCAAGAAACAGTGCTAGAGGCGTGCAAATCTGAGGTTGCTGGCAGCTATGCTTCATGCCATCATGTTTCATGCTATATGGCAAATCCTTACATTAAATAGGAAAAACTGAGGCTTACCGCAGAGATAAGACAGGGAGAGAGAGAGAGAGAGAGAGAGAGAGAGAGAGACTGAGAGACTGTATTTGTCTCTTGAGCCAACAGGTCTTCTCAGAACTTCACTTCAGGGAATCATTTTTACCTGATTAAAGTAGTGAAGACTCCCAAGATTTGTCTACTGTTTTCTGAATTTTTTCCTTCAGTTTTGTCTCTCAAATATTGTTTCCCGTTTCCTAGAACTCTTTGATGTGCAGTATTTGCCTTTGCATACATCTATTCTCATCATAATCTGGCCTAGTTATCCTTAATCTTACCAGGATATGGGTATTTCTGATGCCATAGAAATATCTCTATAAACTCGATTATTTTTATAAACTTTAACCTGAAGACCTGTTGCCTGTTGGAGCTCTCAGTGACAGAATTACAAATTTTTCATTTTGGAATCTCCCTTAAATTTGACTGACTTCATCCTGTCATTTAAATCTCAAAGCACATGGAGTGATTCACTCTCATATTCATCTGTCCTGGGTTTGAGCCTGGATCTCCACCTGCCAGAAACCTCCAACCTCCCCTGCTAACCAGGTGGATGTATTTTCCTTATCACCTCTACCATCCTTGGAAACCTTGGGCAAGTACTTTAATTTGGTTCAGTTCATCCACCAGTAAAATGAGATCATCATTACTACATTAAACTTTGGAGATGAGAATGAAATGAAATTTTATATATATAAAGCATGTAGTGCAATCCCTGGTGCATAGTTATCATCATAAATAGTTATTATTACCATTATCCATCAAAGGAGTGTTTTTAAATTCTAACTGAACATCATAATCACCTGTGGAACTTTAAAAAAATACAAAATTATCTCTCCACATCTCCTTGGAGTTGGGGCCTTGGTATCTACAGTGTTAGAAAGTCCCATAGATGACTGTAATAAGCAGCTGGGTTGTGCAAAAATTCCTGAGTCAATCATTTCCATCTTTTTGAAGATTCAACTTCCAGAAAGATCTTTCTGTTATTAAGCTAAATTTATCTATTTATTTATTTATTTATTTATTTTGGCCCCAAGGGGAGAAAGATAATCAAATAATCTTTTTTGTTTGTTTGTTTGTTTTTGTTTTTTTCTGAGGTCCTTCAGACACATGACAGGAGCTATTAGCTCTCCCTCTATGTCTTTTCTCCTCTTGGCTAAATATCCTCAGTTTCTTCAACCACTCTTCGGTAACATGGTTTTAAGTCCTTTCATCTTCCTAGCATGCTACACTTCTATGCTTTGACCAAAATGCAGCACTCCAGATTTCTTCCAATTAGTCTCAGTCAGGGAGGCAGAAGGGTTCTATCACTGCCCTAAGTTGACATTTGGTTTGTTGATGCTGAGGAGTTGGAGCAAGTTGCTTTTAACCACCTTTGACTCATATTGTGCTTAATGTCACCTAAAACTCCCCTATTATCATCTACGAAAAGATCCTCATCTCTTTCTTGGCTCCATCTTGCTAAACGGGGTAGTCATGCTTTTAGGTTCATGAGTAAGATCTGATATTCATCTCACTTACATATCCTTTTGTTAGATTCCATTTTTTTCGTCTGTCTCTTAGACTTTATTTGAATCCCAAGTCAATCATTCAATTTAATTACTACAATTCTACAGCATTGTGACATCAATATTGGTAACAATATTGAACAGAGTAGTAATTAGAGTAGAACCTAGTGGCAAACACTAGAAAATACCCTATCTTTTGTTGTTGTTGTTGTTGTTGTATACGTGTCACTAAACTAAGAGACAGACTTTGAGTTAACATATCTGGTTCCAATTCTAGCCTCTCCATTTGTTAATTGCATAATGTGGGGAATGTTCATTAAGTTCCCTATGCCCCGGTGATGTCACCTATAAAATGAAAAGACAATAAAACGCGAATAAAGTAATAATAGTACCTGACTCCTAGAGTTGTTGCGAGGATTCAAGGAGTGATTTATGTAGAGCAGGAAAACACAGCTGGTTATTAGTAAAGTCAGAAAATGTTGGTTAGGGGCATGCGTTTAGATTCAGCTTGTGCTACCACTACCATTCAGAAGGTTTTTGAGCATAAGAAAGTTGTCTACCATCGCTGAACTGCAATATGTCCCCTGTGAAATTGGGATGATAGTCATACCAACATCACAGAGTTACTGTGAGGATTTACACAGGCGGGTGCATGTGAAGCATTTAGCGCAGTAGCTAGTACATAGGAATTCACAAAATTAAGTGTAGCATTGTTGCTGTTATTGTTGTTAGTATTATCATTTAGTTCTTTTTGTCTCCTGTGCGTAGTTCTTTCCACTATTTTATATCATTCAGGCCCCACTTTTCAAAACTGAACTATTTGGCCATTAGTGCCTAAATAAATCTTTGCTGTTTTAAAAGAAATAAAGTTATGGTGTAATACCTTCCAATTTTCATAGCTTTCTTTACAATGGACTTTTTAACATACTACTTAGGATAACATTTCAAAGAGTTAATAAATCTTTGAAGCCTTTTATTTTTCAAGTTGTATTTCATGTGTCTTTTATTACATACAGAAAATTATACTATGACTGCAGAACAGTGATGCTGTGAATTCTGCAGTTCTTGAACTGCCCTTGAAATAAGTTTAAGTCTTCTCGCATTTTTATTGCAGGCTTCTCAAATCAGAAAAAAAAAAAATCAGTGGATTAGAGGACCCTTACCACAACTTCTTATTGACACTTTATCTGAGTGCATATGAGTTATCACACAGATCTCCACTAAACACAAATGAAAGTTCTGAAATGGGGAAATAATGGTTGATGTACTCAATTGCTTGCTGGGATGTGCTTCCCTGAGGCTTGCCAGGTAGGTGGAGAGGAAAATGTTGATGTACCTGTGCTCCCAGCAGCCATGCCTCATGCCTCTGCTTGCTCATTCTCATCTCTGCTCGTGTGGCTAGACTCCCACCTGCAGATCCCTTAGATTCTATTCTCTTCTCAATCATTATTTCCTTGGCTCATGACTCAAGCATGATTGTTATCCTTCTGCTGCAGGGCTCTGTAGACTCTGACCTCAGAAGTCTCTTTCTCTCTCTTTGGCCTTTTCTCACAGATAACCCTATGAATCTGCAATCTTGTTCCCTCTTCTCTCTTCCCATGCCAAGATCCCAGAAGAACTAGCCCCAGATACGTGTAATCTTGAATTCTGTGCACTTTGAGGTTGGCTATCACCTTGAGAACTTGGTAGAAATACAGACAATGAATATCCCAATTCATTAGGTCTTGGGGGATATAGAAATCTGTATAATTAAAAAGCTTCCCAGTTAATCCTGGTGTAGACTCAAGTTTGGAATCTATATTTTACATATAATTACCATATAAGTTTTCCTAAATCATGGTTCAGAAAATGCCAAGTTCCTTCTCAAAATACTTTATTTCCTCAATGTGTACAAATTAAAATCAAAGTTCCAACTTGGTATGTAGGGTCACCATAACTTGGCCTCAACAAATGCTGTTTGCCTTTCTTCCCATTACTCCCCTGTACATATGTACCATAAACTCGAGCCAAATACTGCCCAAAGCATTCCAGAGGCTTGCCAGCCTCCAGGACTTAACAGATGCCTTGCCTTCCACCTGGAACACCCTCCTCCTACCTCCAGCAGCTGTTGAAAACTCTCCCCATCTTTTAAGAGTCAATTCAGACTCTGCATTGGAGTCTTGTCTAACCTTGATCCCTCACCTTTACCCCCAAATAGAAAGTTTATTTATTCAGTCAAAAAGTATTTATTGAGAAGCAACCATATGCCCGGTGATGATGAAAGCACTGATGATACAGTGTCTCATAAAACTGAGATTTCATGTAGCTTACAGTCTAGCAGATATATGCCTTTAAAGCCTTATAGCACTTGGTTTGTGCCTTTCTTACAATGCCAACCTTGTATAATAGTTATTTGTGTGCATGTCCTGTATTCTCTCCCAGACTCTAAGTTCATCTCTATGTGCCCTGCAGCATCTGCCTTGGGGTTATACACATGACTGGTCCTCATCAAAGGGTTATTGGACTGAATTGAATTCTTCCACAGGGATGAACACAGAGTAGATGCTCAACATTGGTTGACATTAGGCACTTCAACTACTGCAGATTGTTCTCTGCAATAGAAAATATGTTTTATGGATACCAAAGCAGAACAAAACAAGCAAAATATTGCTAAATTTCCAAAAATAAATGTGTTTTCCTCAAAGTGTCCTTAAAATTAGGATTTGAAACTAGAATACTTTGAATTACACTTCAGAGGAAGGTACTGAAATAATTACAAACCCTTGTATGATTTATCAGCCACATTGGTGAACTGAGATAAGAGAATATGCCCAAGGTGCACCATGTCAGCTGATTTCTCAGGAAAAAAAGCTCAAGAGTTTTCTTTCTTGAAAACCTCAAGATAGGCAAGCCCAAGAAGAAATAATAGCAATAAAAAACCTTGGAAGTATGTGACTGGCCTCTAAATTCTGCAATAAATGTGCTTTGTTGAACATTAGTGTCAGCATATCATAACGTCAGCTCATTTGATGTGGCACAACTCCCGTAAGTCTTTTTAAAATGTCAAAATACAGGCTATAGTTCTTTTTTTCCTGTGGAGGAAATAGGAAATAGTAATAAATTTCTCTACCATATGTAGGCTGCTGGACAGGTCTGTTTCTAGGCTCCCAGGCTGATTGTCAAGCAGTTGTACCTCCAAGGAACATGAAATGTCATTCCATGGGCATCTAGTGATTGGTCCCCTGGCTTTGCTAAAAGGCAAAAAGGCAAAGTTCCCAGCAACAAGCAGGGAATGGAGGGCAGGGAAAACCCGAGGGAACGCCTCTGCTCTACAGAGGGCTCTGCCTACATGGTGCTTCTGTGCCCAGCATTGTGTTGGGCAAATAGTAGATGCCCAATAAATACTTGCTGACAGGGGGATGTTGAATGAATCCTAGCTTCTTACTGCTGGAATGTACAGAGGCTGTGTCAGATGCTGAAAGGCTACTTTATAAACTTCTGGAGCTTGTCCATAGGAGTATCCAAGTGACGGAGCTTCCAAAGAAGTCAGGAGGAACATGTGCCAATATATATCGCCAACGTTGCTTCTCTAATCTTTTTAAAAAGACTCTATCATTCTAGCAATAGTGTCTCTAGGGCAGGGTATACAACTTATACATCTTGTGTGTCCTCCATAGCCCCTATGAACTTCTGAGCATGCTTATTCTATGCTTCTTGGCTAATTAGGAGTGGGAAGCACAGAGGCAAGAGGAATCTTTGATGTCAATCCCATGGCAAACCCACAAACCTCAAGAGGCTTGGGCCTCCAATGGGGCCCTGGAACAAGGCTGCTGCTTCTGTTCCTTTTCCCACTTTCTTCTCCTCCTCCTTCTCCTGTACAGGTTTACACATCGACTTGATCACAGATAAAGTGTGGAAACCATGCTCAATGGATAATAGAAACTAAACACACATGAGCATCCTTTCCCTCTCTCCTCATAATAGGCTTTCTCTTCCATGGTACTGGGTCCTCTTCCTGCATGATAATGCTGTTTCGGGCTGGCTTCTCTAATGTTTCTTGAAAGCATAGAAGAACACCTTTTTCCACCTTATTTACCCTTTAAAATAACTAACAGGGAAAGTTTTAATTTCTTTTCAAAGACTTCATGTTTCAGTCAAAGAGAAGTCTGAATCTGAGAATATTCAAATGATTCCTTCAGGGTTGGAATGCTCAATGACATTCAAAGTCACATAACACTCTCTGAGAACAGATGTCTCTTTGAGATAGTCCCAAGTACATTCTACTGTTTGATTGTCAGCAAGAATACAAACCTTTCACTCAAACCTGAAGAACTCCCTACTTGAAACTGGTATCCCAAGACAAAACCTCAAAGGGGTCTATTTTCTCAACCGACACTCAACTCTTACCTAATGAGATGATATATTAAATATGCATCATGCATCAAGTTAGGGAAATGGCTCTCCAAATTTATGAAGGCTTAGCAAGGTTAGTGTCACTTTGTGAAAAGACCTTTGGATTAACGGAAAGACCATGCTTGGGTTTCAGCTCTGACAAATCATTTATTGACTATATGACCTAGGGGGCCGGGCATGGTGGATCACGCCTGTACTCCCAGCACTTTGGGAGGCCAAGGCAGATGCATCACTTGAGATAAGAAGTTTGAGACCAACCTGGCTAACATGGTGAAACTCCCGTCTCTACTAAAAATGCAAAAATTAGCCGGGTGTGGTGGTGTGCGCCTGTAGTTCCAGCTACTCGAGAGACTGAGGCAGGAGAATCACTTGAACCCAGGAGGCGGAGGTTGCAGTGAGCTGAGATCATGCCACTGCACTCCAGCCTGGGTGACAGAGTGAGACTCTGTCTGAAAAACAAAACAAAACAAAACAAAAAAACAAACAACTATATGACCTAGGGCTAGTTAATTTACCTGTGTCTAACCCACTTTCTTCAGAGTGAACATGTGTACTACAAATTCCCCTGTATCTTCTGAGGATTTTATGGGTTAATGTATATGAAAATGCTTTGAAATGCTAACCAATTGTAAGGCAATGATTATACTCTGATATTCACAGAGATAAAGCAAATAGTCCCCTAACAGCTGAACTCTTTCAATTCATTCATTCATTCACTTAATCAACAAATGTATGTTGAATGTCTCTCATGTGCCAGGCAGTGTTCTTGGTATTGAGGATGTAGAAGTAAACAAAACAAAGCCCTTTTTCTCATGAAGTTTACATGCTAGTGGGAAGACAATAAGTGCTATGAAGCAAAATAAAGCAGTACTGGGAACAGAACATGATTTGGGTGGGAAAGCATCACATTACCCATAGGGTGGGCAGGGAAGGGTTCTCTGATACAGCAACATTTGGGCAGACCCCTGAAGAAAACAAAGGATAGAGCCAGGAAAATATCTGAATAAGCATCATTTTACATGTAAAGGCCCCAGGAAGGGAGTGTGCTCAAGGCCTTCAAGGTACAAGCAGGAGGTTGGTATGGCAGGAGCCCAGTGGGGGAGGGTCAGAGTGGTTGGGGAAATAGTCTGAGTGGTGGTAGAGAACCAGGAATTGGGCTCTGGAATTGTTCTGGGTGTGATGAAAAAGTACTGGAGACCTTTAAAGAGGGAGAAACACCTCCTGAATTTCTTTTTTTTTTTTTTTGTGACGGAATTTCGCTCTGTCGCCCAGGCTGGAGTGCAGTGGCGCGATCTCGGCTCACTGCCAACTCTGCCTCCCGGGTTCACGCCATTCTCCTGCCTCAGCCTCCTGAGTAGCTGAGACTACAGGCGCCTGCCACCATTCCCAGCTAATTTTTTCTATTTTTCAGTAGAAACGGGGTTTCACCGTGTTAGCCAGGATGGTCTCAATCTCCTGACCTCGTGATCCGCCCGCCTTGGCCTCCCAAAGTGCTGGGATTACAGGCGTGACTGAATTTCTTTTAAAAAGAAACCCTCAACTGAAGGGTTGATCATAGAAAGGAAGAGATAGAAGCAGAGAGACCAGTTAGAAGCATTTTGCAGTAATGCCAGCAAGAATTTATAATTGGGGAGTTGGTGGAGGCAGTGATTCTGAATTATTTTTAATATATTATATATTCTGAATATATTTTTAAGGTAGAGCCAGTAGGATTACTGATGTATCTGGAGTAAAGTGCAGAGAATAAAATGAGTAAGGAATGATTTCAAGTAAAGAGCAGGTTTTATTTTGGGGGGGGAATGGGGAGAGGGGGAATCAAAGAGATCAAACTCAGCTCCTAATATATTTGACATAATTCCTGACCTTGGAAGAACTCACAATCATACGGGTAAGCAAAACTCAAATGAAGAGTGGGAAAAGTTAAACAATATTTAACTGAGAATTAATTTGAAATCTCTCTGTTTAAAAAATTTGTAACAATTTTTCAAGGAAAAAATAAAGCAGTGGTGTTATTTAATGAAATTACCTCCAGGTAATTCATTTAGGCTGTGGGTTAAAATACCCAAGCTGCTGTAATTGTGCAGTTGAGAACCAATTGACCATAGTAGCCACAATAATATAACACAAAACGTTATGTTTCCTAACCCAATTTAGTTTGATAGACCTGGGTTCAAATCATGGCTCCATTACTTATTAACCGTGTGACCTTGAGCAAGTTCCTTATGTGCTCAATGCTTAGTTCCCTCTTCTGTAAACCCTGGATGATAATGCCATCTAGCTCATGGGGCTTTTGTTGAAGATGATGCACGGGTGATACTATATTAAACACATAACTCTCAATAATTGGTTGCTGCTGTTGTTCCCTCCTCTGTAAGGGTCCCCTATGTGCATGACATATCTGCCACACTCATTGGGACTCTTACTATTCAGTGTATTCTTTTCACAGAGATATCTGGTCTCTGCCACAAACTACTCAACAGCGAGAATCATTTTTATATCCTTCACATTCTCTGAGTGCCTGATGCTGTGCTGAGTTCTAGCAGGAGTGGCAGATGCGTTTGCTACTTGATAGGCAGCAATGGGGCATGAGACTCTTTGTTAATTGGCATGCAGCAGTACATTACAGGAACATTTGCTGACTGACCCGCAGCAACACAGTATGGGGTGGAATGCTGCCTGAATTGTAAAGGTGGTGAAGAATGATGAGGACCTCACAGCTGTGCTCTTTCTCACTGTATTAGTTTGGAAGGGCTGCCATAACACAGTGCCACAAACTAGGTGGCTTAAACAACAGAAAGTTATCATCTCCCAGTTCTGGAGGCTAGAAGTCCAAGATCAAGTGTCAGCAAAGTTTGTTCCTTCTAGGGGTTGTGAGACAGAGTATGTTTCATGCCTCTCACCTAGTTTCTAGTGTTTTGCTGGTAACCTATGGCATTCCTCGGATTTTAAAAGCATCTTTGCCTTCATCTTCATATTGTGTTCTTTCTGTGTGTATATCTTGTCCAAATTTCCTATTTGTTATAAGCACATCAGTCATATTGAATAAGGAGCCCACCCTACTCCACTATGACCTCATCTTAACTAATTACATCTGCAACAAGCCTATTTTCAAATACGGTCACATTTTGCGGTCCTGGGGCCTAGGATTTCAACACATAAATGTTGGGGGAACACAAACCCACAACACGCCCATGCCCTGCCATTCTGCATGATTTTCGTGTCGAGGACCTTGACTTTCTCCTGCTCTCCTCTTCTTTGTATTACACATTCAGTTTTCAAACTAGTATTTAATCAGCCCACACTCACAGGTAATGTATGGCAGCTCTCCGTATTCTTACCACTGCTGACTTGCGGGCCTTTTGCTCTGGAAAGGAATGAAATGTGCCACCTTGGGAACACTGCAGATTGTAAAAAACCAACAAAACAACTTATTTGAAGGACTGTTTGATGACCGCCTCATCACATCTCCACTCAAACTGTCTTTGCTTGTGTCTTCTAACCTGCTGACCTTTCCTCTTGGCAAACTCTTTCCAAGAAAGAATGTCTCTCCTCCTCAAAGCTCAGCCCACCTGCAGCACACAATTCTGCATGCTGACCATGCATGGCAATGATCAGCACAGGTACTACCGGGCACGGTTAATGAAGAAGAAAAGTTTTAATTCTAGGGCCATCTCCAAGCCCGTCCCTCCTTCCCATTTATATTTTCAACATATGGTTAGGCTTTTTAGTGTTGCTTTAATGTTTTCTCTTGTATTTAATTATTTAAAAATTTAATAACAAACGCTGAGAATCAATTGCACACCAGGGACACATTTCTTTGAATTCTTGCTATTTTTTCTGCTATTGCATAAAAGTTAATTTAAGTCACTGAAAACTAAAAGCACAAAGCTAAAAGGGGAAAAAAGAGAACAACTTTAAGGCATTCAGGAAAGAATATCTGTAGGTGAAATCAAATTCTCAACAACATCTGATATGTATTTCTTATCAGCAATAGGCAGCAGTGATAACCAAGGAATGCCAAAACAAATAAATTTAATTGCATTTTGTGCCTAATAATATAAAGCCAGAAGCTTACATATCAAAGATTTTCCTTTTGCTTTATATTCCTTTTAGAATTGGTTCTGATGTTAGGGGCAAGGAAATGGAAGTATAAGTATTGTTCCAGTCCTAGTTACAGAAAAAGCTGTTTTTTAAAATATCACTTTAAGAATTTTAAATGGTTTGTTGCTTAATATTTTAGGGTATTCTTTTCACATTTCTAACTATTATTCAGACAAACATTTTTTTTTATTCCACCGCAGTGTGCTGACAACCACAGAAACACATTCATTCATTAACATATGGAACGTATGTGGCACCTCTGCTAGACAGTTGTGCCAGGTACCAAGGATCCCCCAAAAGCAGTAACAACCTGATCCTGCCTTCATTGCCACTTACATCCACCCATGGGAAACAGATTTAACGAAAGAGCAATTGGAATTCATGTGCTCTGATGTGGGAAGTACATGATACTATGGAAGCCCAGAGAAAGGGTACCTAACCCAGATTTTGAAGAAATGAGAAATGCTTCCTGGAAGATGAGACAACTACCCTAAGACCTGCAAAATCAATAGGAGTATGACCTATGAAGTGAGAGAAGAAAGATAAAAATAATGGACATGAGGAAAACTCTACTACTATTTAGCCATTTTCTGTCGTACATTTTAAATAAGAATTAGAAATTAAGCAAGCATTTTACAGATTACTCCAGAAACTGCTCTTCTAAAGGCAAGCTCCACTGAATTTTTCTAGAAAAAAGGAAGCCTCCTGAATTCTCACCAAATAAATGCCTGATACTCTACCTGCTTGCTCCAGCTGACACAGTCAAGAGAAACCTAAGTCCACATCTGCAGACCATGGAGTTCCCTGAACAAAAACCTCTTAAATGCTTGGAATCCCAACTTTCAGACTAGCCAAAGAGTAGTCCAGAAAAGGTCAGAGTAAAGCCAAGAAATTTTTTTTTTACTTTGAACTGAAGGTTCACATCTCTTGAAATTCTTCCCATGCCAGTTTCCTCATACCCTCACTTTTCATGTTCACACGTATTTAAAATGGTGATACTTATTTGAAAATCAAAATGCAATTTAGAAAATATTTACAGAAGAATATAAGCCATCATGGACTTTTTCTAGGTCATATAAAGTTCATTTCAGTTAACTTTGTGGTTTCAAGAAACATATTTTTGAAATAGTTAGAATTTTTTTAGACAGTGAGCAAATAAAGCCCTTCCTTCCTTCCTTCCTTCCTTCCTTCCTTCCTTCCTTCCTTCCTTCCTTCCTTCCTTCCTTCCTTCCTTTTTTCTTTCTTTTTTGACAGAGCCTTGCTCTGTCACCAGGCTGGAGTGCAGTGGCACGATCTTGGCTCATTGCAACCTCCGCCTCCCGGGTTCAAGCGATTCTCCTGCCTCAGCCTCCCGAGTAGCTGGGACTACAGGCACACACCACCACGCCCAGCTAATTTCTGTATTTTTAGTAGAGACGGGGTTTCACCATGTTGGCCAGGATCGTCTCAATCTCTTGACCATATCATCTACCTGCCTCAGCCTCCCAAAGTGCTGGGATTACAGGCATGAGCCACCACGCCCGGTCTAAAGCTTTATTTTTTAATACTCAGTGATGTTCCTCCAGGATTTCATTAATGGAAAAGACAACTATTATTTATGATCCTGAGCACTGTGACAAATCTTACCATCCTATCATATAATGCACCCATTTTGCTGCCAAACAAGACCAAAGAAACAATGTTGTTGGCTTTGCAAAATGTCAGATCATTTTGGAACATGTGCTTTTCATAAACAACATTTATTCTAAAAGAATTTTTTGGTCCAACTACTACATGCCAGGACTTCTTCTAAGAGTATAAAGCTGTAAACAAAAAGACCAAAACCAAACAAAGAGGAAAGCTTATATTTTAGTTGGGGAAGATAAAAAATAAATAAAGCAAATTATATAATGTATTAGAAGGTGATAAGAACTGTGGAGAGAAATAAAGCATGTTAAGGAACGGAGGGCTGGGCTAAGGTTGTTATTTTAAACAAGATGATTGGAAGGTAACACTTAAGTAATGACTTGAAGGAAGAAGGGGAGCAAGCCATGTATTTATCTGCAGGAGCGCTGTTACAGCAGAAGAGATGCTTAATGGAAAGGCCCTGAGCTGGCATGGCATGTTCATGGAACTCCAGGTTCAGTGGCCTGAGTAGAATGAACAAGAGTGATAGGGGCCGATCATGGCCAGGTAGGCCATGGAAGGACATTCCAGCTTTAAAGAGAGAAGGCGTTGCAGGGTTCTGAGTGGAGGAGTGACATGCTCTGACCTCACTCTGGCTGCTGTGTTGAGAATACACCACAGAGTAATGACGATGGACACAGACCAATGAGGAGGCTACTGCAGTGTGACAAGCTAGAGATGCTGGGGGCCTGGGCCAGCGTGAAAGCAGTTGAGGTAATGCCCGTAGGTCAGATTTAGGATGGATTAAAAGGCAGACCCAGTAGCCTTTGCCCATAGCTTGAAGGTAGAGTGTAAGAGGAAAAGAGAAAGCAGTGTTAACTCCTAAGTTTTTGGCCTGAGCAACAGGAAGGGCGAGTTACATTTAACTGAGCTGGATGATGTCAGATAAGGCAGATTTGGGCACATTTTTCTTGGAAGAACAGAAAATATGGCAGTGCACTTTGTTCATATCTCCTTAAAGCTATGCTATAGATTTTAAAACTCTCAAATGTAAAGTTGGTGCTGCTATAAATTGCTATAGATTAAGAGTCCCAACAGCATATTTTATCTGGAAAGCATTTACTGGCAAATTTACCTGCATGGAAAAGTAAAAATAAATAAATAAATAAAAATATATCTCCCCTGACAAAAAAAAAAAAGAGTATTTACTCTTTATTCATAAATGCTGCGCTTCATACAATTTGCCATTGACATTTCTGGCTGGATTAAATGCAGATGTTTTCCTAAACCTATTAATTTCCCTCATCTCTTCTTCTGACATGCATGGATATTGTTAAAGTTTACCGAGGGGTTCAATCCATCCAAGGCTTGGCCCAGACCTGAAATTCAAAGCAGAGGTGTCATATCGCTGGCCTCATCTTTTCATTTGACCTCAATTTTACCATTTTCTGCTCCCAGTAATCCTACACTTTCCTTGAAAAATAAATCTAAGGCACACAAACTCATTTACAATCTTTTCCTCTAATTCCCTTCCCTGGTAACTCATTCATGTTTATTACTCTCTTTGTGTGAAATAGCTCCACCTGAACTATCCATTACTTTTATTCTACAGAATGTTAAAACACCTTCTTCTTTTAGTCCCATGTTAGGTTCATTTCACCAAACTCTCTCATAAATCTGAAAATCAGTATCAACATGATCTTCATCACCATGAAATGGCACAGGTGAACACAAAGTTGATATGTTCTATGATTTACTACAGGACAGAATCAGGAACAAACTGAAAGGAAGCACAATATAACAAAAATTATCTTAAAAATTCCACCCAAGGAATGAGTTGCTTGATGAATCATTGCATTCTCCATCTTTTAAGAGATGAGGCAGCAAGAAGAGTACTATAGAAAGGATCTTGGTGTTAAATAGGGGGTTAAATTATGAATTATTACTAAATTAGCTTTATCAATAATATACTTTTTTATTTTCCTTACAGGGTCACAGAAAGATCATTTGAGATATACATAAAGGGTATAGACCAGAACCTGGCTCAAAATATATTTCATAATTGGTAGTTGACTAGTAATAGAAGTAGCAGCAGAAGTAGTAAGAGTTGTTAGGAAAAAAAGAGAGAAAAGAAAGCACAGAAAAGTAAACAAAAAATTTAAATATCCTGCAATATGTCCACCCAAACAAAAACACTTCATATTTTTGACATTTTCATTGAGATGGATGGATGAATGGATGGGTGAGAAGGAGGGAGGGAGAGAAGAAAAAAAGGAAGGAAGGCAGAAAGAAAGGAACAAAGAAGTAAAGGAGAAATGAAAGAAGGAAGGGAGGAAAGAAGAAAAGGAATAAAGGAAGGAAGGAAAGAAGGAAGGAAGGAAAGGAGGGAGGGAGGGAGGGATAGGATAGGGAAACCACACATTGTTTTGTCGAGTTGAAATATCTGACCTCCACATTTCATGATAGTCTTAGAACTTTTTAATCCCATCTGAATCTGCTGTTACATCCCTTCTCTTTACCCTTGCTTTGTTTGAATTCTGCTATTTGTTTTGATCTCCATTCCATTTCTCTCTGCTTACATATAAAAATTTTTTTCTCATATGTTCTTTGTTTATTGTTTGCTTATTTGTAAGCTTCTTGAGTTCATTATTAGTTATTTTTTGTCAATAAATACCATTATATTTAAGCCTAAACTTTTCTTTCTCCGTATCTCACTCATTTTGATATGTGATGTTAGCATTTCATTTATTTCAGAATTCTTTATAGTTATAGTTTTAATTTTCTCTTGATCCATAGAGATATCCATAAGAACTTTATAGTTTTAAAATACATAGGCTTTGTATACATCATTATTTTAATACCAGTTTTTTTATTTTTGGAAAGTGTGTCCCATTTAAATCTACTTTTAGAAATTATTGTGATTTCTTTATTTTTTATAATACTTTAAGTTCTGGGATACATGTGCAGAACATGCAGGTTTGTTACATAGGTATACAGTGCCGTGGTGGTTTGTTGCACCCATCAACCCGTCATCTACACTAGGTATTTCTCCTAATGCTATCCCTCCCCTACCCCCCCCCACCCCCCGACAGGCCCTGGTGTGTTATGTACCCCTCCCTGTGTCCATGTGTTCTTATTGTTCAACTCCCACTTATGAGTGAGAACATGAGGTGTTTGGTTTTCTGTTCTCTTGTTACTTTGCTGAGAATGATGGTTTCCAGCTTCATCCATGTCCCTGAAAAGGACATGAACTCATCCCTTTATATGGCTGCATAGTATTCCCTGGTGTATATGTGCCACATTTTCTTTATCCAGTCTATCATTGATGTGCATTTGGGTTGGTTGTGATTTCTTTGTGAGGTAGTACATAATTGATTCCATGAGGCCTTGGGCTAAAAAATATGTTTTCATTTTTTGTCCACAAAATTTTATATATATCTATCTTAGAAATCCTTATGTTTACTTTGGTTTTATTTGCTCGATTATTTATGAGCAATATATGTTATACATCTACCAGCTTTATTTACTTTCCTTTTATTTATAACAGGTTTGCTTTGCATGTTTCATTTCTATTTTTTATGAACATAAAGGTTCATTATGGTTATATCTTCTTCAAGAATTCGACCTTATATTATTAGAAGTAGAGTACATTGTCTTAATACTTTTTACCTTAAATTCTATCTAATTTGATATTAATGTCAATTAAATTTTCCGTGAGCATTTGCTTTATATCCTGTTTTCATTTTCTTTGTCATTTTGGGTCTTACCTTTTTTTAAGCTCTATCTGATGACATTTATATTTTAATAGAGAAATTTAACCCATTCTTTAATATTTTGCCTGAAGATGTTCAGTCTGATTCCGCCATCAGCATTTGTTTTCTGTTCCCCATGTTGTTGCTACTCTTTCTCCTTCTTCTTCCATTCCTCACTATTGCCTTACTTTCCACTCTAGTAAAATAAGAGTTGTACCTCTAATTTCAATCCTACCAATATTATTGTCAAAATTGTTATAAATTTACTTGAAAGGTATTTTTGCATGTAGGTCAGAAATTTAACAATATCCACCTTTGTTTAAAATTTTCCTACTTTCAGGTTTTGGTGTAATAAAGTGGAATTTAATCTATGTATTAACTTACAGATCACGTTTTTAATTATTTAGAATTAACTATAAGCTTTGCTGGCTTATTTATTCACCACTTTTCCCTTGTACCCCAGGCTATTCCATTTTTCTGTTGGTTTTTCATTTTTCTGTAATAGATCATTAAGTAAATTTTTCTTTTTTCTTTTTTTTTTTCTTTTTTTTTTTGAGATGGAGTCTCGCTCTGTTGCCCAGGCTGGAGTGCAGTGGCACAATCTCAGCTCACTGCAAACTCCACTTCCCGGGTTCACACCATTCTCCTGCCTCAGCCTCCCGATTAGCTGGGACTACAGGCGCCCGCCACCTCGCTCGGCTAATTTTTTGTATTTTTAGTAGAAACGGGGTTTCACCTTGTTAGCCAGGATGGTCTCTATCTCCTGACCTCATGATCCGCCCGCCTCGGACTCCCAAAGTGCTGGGATTACGGGCGTGAGCCACCACGACTGGCCCCGTAAATTTTTCAAAAAAGAAATCAGTGATAAATTTTGAGGACTCTCATTTTGCCTTAGCACTTGAATGACAAGTTAGTAGGAATATAGAGCTCTCAGTCTGAAACCATTTTCCTTCAGAATTTTATATTGTCTCATTAACTTTTTGCATTCTGCCATAGTCTGATTCTTGCTTTTTGTAACTTTTTCTCTCTTTTATAGGATTTTCTGTTTACTTTTGCTCAGAAGCTTGACAAAAATGTCCTTAGGTGTGTATCTTCTTCTTTGTTTTAATTTTCTTCCTTCTCTGTCAACTATTTATTAATATTGGAAGATTTTACTTCTATTTCTTTTCCTTGCTCACTTATCCTCTCTCTTCTCTCCTACTTTTACTGATGTTAGACAGACATTAGGTACCTCAGACACATCCTCCATATTTCAACCAAAGGGGCAGCCATTTTCTCCCTCAGCTCAGAAGGAGGCACTCCTCACAGAAGCCCTCCCTGCCAGGGATGAGAGAATGTGAGCAAAAGGAAAGTTTGCCTTCTGAGCCAGGGAGCTTTTGCCCATTCCCTTATTCTACTTATTTTCCTGGAATCAATGCCCTTGCTGGATTTCCACATGCATCGATTGCTCCATTTGTTTAAAGAATTGTGTCTATGTTTTTAAACTGCAGCAAATGCTGACTCAGCCACTTTAACAATGGAGACTGGAGTGGCTGGTACTATAGGCCTTTTAATAATCAGCACACTGACCATCTTTGGCTTATTCCTACTTGAAGTTTTGAGTCTCTGATCTGGGACTTCTTTCTGAATTCAGCTAAAAAAATTCACTTTTTTTTTTTTTTTTTTTTTTTTTTTTTTTTTTTTTTTGAGACGGGGTCTCACTCTGTCGCCCAGGCTGGAGTGCAGTGGTGCGTCTCAGCTCACTGCAAGTCCGCCTCCCGGGTTCATGCCATTCTCCTGTCTCAGCCTCCGGAGTAGCTGGAACTACAGGTGCTCACCAACACGCCCAGCTAATTATTTGTATTTTTAGTAGAGACGGAGTTTCACTGTGTTAGCGAGGATGGTCTTGATCTCCTGACCTCATGATCCGCCCACCTCGGCCTCCCAAAGTGCTGAGATAAAAATTCACTCTTGAATGGTACTCATTTTCACTTCTGTGAGTCACAGGCACTCCTCTAGGAATCCGAGTCCATCTGCTCTGTGTCTTTCAGAAATTCTTTAGCATATCTGGCCTGCTGATGGTATCCTTTAAGGGGTTGCCACAAATAGCTTGTTTTATTTTACTGCCCAATAGTATGCAGTGGCTTTGCCCTTCTTGGATTTCTAATTCCACTGTAGATTTATCCTTATTTTTATATTTCTTCCATCATTTCAGTAGAATCATGGAAGGAGAAACAGCAAATGAGTTTTCTTAGTTAGATATCTTAAATCAGAGTTGTTGAATTATGTTTTACTTGTTTATTTAACTGCTTGTCTTTCCCCACTAGATTTTAAGCCCCTTGATGCCAAGGTCTTTGTATTATTTCATTTTTATATACTTGGGCCTGACAGATAGAAGATACAAAATAGAGATTTATATAATGAATAATTGATTAAATTAGGTAGCATGGCTATAAACAGACATTTTATTAAATTAAGTGTGCATAAGTAATAAAAAGTAGTCCTATTTTGAACTTGACAGAAAACAATGGGAAAGGAAATATCTACTGTGTACCACTGCACTCTCATTGTGCATCAGAGACTCAAAACTTCGAGTAGGAATAAGCCAAAGATGGTCAGTGTGCTGATTATTAAAAGGCCTATGGTACCAGCTATTCCAGTCTCCATCCTCAAAGTGGCTGAGTCAGCATTTGCTGCAGTTTAAAGACACAGACACAATTCTTTAAACAAATGGAGCAATTGATGCATGTGGAAATCCAGCATGGACATGGATTCCAGGCAAAGAAGTGAAATAAGGCAATGGACAAGAGCTCCCTGGCTCAGAATTATAAAGAAAGCAGCATTTTATGGGGCACTCAAGGCTGTGGAGAGAGGTTGGGAAGGAGAGAAGGTGAGAAGTAAAGGAAGAATTAACTCTTGAATACTCTCCTCAACCTGTCTTTACAAGAGATGGACTCCCTTTCTTGTGCCTTCTACACTATTGATCATTTCTCCTGTTCTTTGAATTTCATGCCTAGCCTCATTTCTCTGGCTGCCCCAGCTCCCTGATTTAGGTGACCTCATTCAAATCTGCCTCTGGCTGAGTTCAATCCTCAGAACCCATTTCTGGCTGCCCTTTTCAGGCTGTGTCATACCCAGCCCCATAAGTAAGAACTGAACAAGTTTGTACATACTTTTGCCTAAACTTCCTTGGTGTCCTATTTAACCCTAATAAAATTAATACAATAATTGACTCTTTCCTTCAACTCAGGGAGAATGGTAAATTGAATGCATCATAATGTATTTTCAGAGCTTCCAAGAATTATAAATAGCGCCTAATATTCAAGAGCCATGATGACAATTAGCCCAAAGGACAGAGTAAATAAAAGGTCAAAGCATCTAAGCTCCTGAGCTACTAACCACTTACTCCCGCAATTAAAATAAGTGATTAGTAAAGAATTATGTGCATTAACAAGTTAAAATAATTAAGCCTGATTCTTAAAAACTACATGTAACAAATAAAGAGAACAACAAAGATAATTATAGCATTACCATAAGACAAGGAGCTTATGATCGAATAAATTTACACATTTTATTGTTAGTAATTCTAGTGTCTAGTGTAGCCAACCACTTCATTATCTGAAGAAGAAATGCTGCTTTGGGTCATTTTCTGGCATTGAGTTTAATGAGCTAGAAAGTATATGCTGTAAATTTTTACTTGTGACAAGAACTTTTGCATTGAAGTACTACCTTTGTAATTCAGGATTGAATCTTGATTTATTGTTTAGATTTATGAAAATTGGACAGTTTGTGGGGATAAGTGGGATGCATGAAATTAACTGCAGGAAGTTAAAATCAGTGAAAAAAATCACTGGAGATGAATTTGAATTCTCTCAGATAAAGGTGCATTTTATCACACTCACCTTTTTCTTACTTTATGGTGGTCATCAAATTTAAATACATTTCAAACTGTAGAAAAAAGAATTCTAGAGCAGCAAACTGTGACAAGAGACTGGCCAGTCTCATAACACCCGCTTTTGTTTGTTCCAGTGACACAGTGAAATTACATATCCCAGCCACCTTTGCAATGAGACATAGCCTCCTTGTTCTGGAATATGCAAATCACCACTTTCATTACAGGTCCACAAAATCCTCCCACATGTAATATTTTCCTTTCTTTTTGTATCCTCTGGCTAAATGTGGAGAACTCTCAGATCCTAGATGAAAATGAGACCAGAAGATGGAAGAATCTGGATCTCAAAAGGTAACCTGCCAACAAAGAACACCCATATTGAACTGTCACATAAATAAGAAATCAATTTCTATTGTGTGAAGCCACTGATATCTGGAGACTTGTTTGTTATGGCAGCTAACATTAGCCTTACTGACTTACTCTACTGACTTGTAAGTTAGTGGCTAGCCTTTAAAAATGAGAATTGGTCACTATGACAAAGAAATTTTAAATAATCTTAATGACCACGGACGTTAGAATAGAGCTAAATCAATGGGAATAAGAAAACCATATGCCTGGAATGGCAAGTATTTATAACTCAACTCTGATAAGCTTAATTCTTTGTGTCTTCCCATCATATAGGATAGAGAGATCCAATGGCATTTCCTTAGAGGCCTTCATTCATCACATTCATCCCAACCAACATCCCTACTACATGGTTTTCTCCATAAAACTTGTCATTCATCATTTTGAATTATCTTGGTCCATCATTTATTTATTTCCTGTCACACTCCCTCTTGAATGTCAGCTCTATGAGAGAAGAGACCTTGCTAGTCCTGTCATTTCTTGATACCCAACAACTTGAACACTTAATCCATGGTAGACACTCAGTGGATAATTTTTGTTGAATTGATGAATAACCCTTGATGTCCATGACTAAACAGGATTTAAAAAAAAAATTATTAGATTCTTTTTTCAGTCAACAAATGTTAATGTGGATGAAAACAAATTTAACATATTAATCAGTGCCCTCAAGGAGCCTATAGATTAGATGAAGAAAGGACATGACAGAGTGAGGTACTACAAATGGTGAAAGAAAAATGCTAAATTTAATTTTGATGGTAGAATTCAAGTGTCTATAGGACTTCAAAGCCAAAGGATGTTAAGAACAATTTCATAGGAAAAGTAGCCTGATTTAAATTTTAAAGAATTGGTAAAAATCAATAACCTGTGTTCACCAAGTGACATGTGCTTACTTCAAGGGAGATGTGGACCACAAGACATCTACTGGGTGGAGAAAGAAACAATTAGCATTTTCATTTATAGTCACTTTTTACGTTTTTTTAAAAATTAGACTTTACTAATATTTACCATATGAACTAATAATATACATATATACAATTCTTATAATAAACATGCACATATTATAGAGGCATGTCCACAGTCAAAAAGTTTGGAGGCCACTTATAGAGAGAGGATACTTTAATGAGGAGACATGAGCAAGGAATGAAGGCAGGAGTGCACGAAGGGACATAACTGTACCCTACCTTGGCTGGCACAAGAGACATGGAGCAGTGACATGTAAGTTCAAGTTAGGATAGAGGGTTTATAGCCAAATTATAAAGAGTATTAGATGTCAGTAAAAGCATTTATATTTGATTGTTGACTCTTTCTCAACAACATATTCCTATTTGCCCACTGTTTCCATCTTCGTGCTTGCCTCCCTAAGAGAATCCCCTACCAGTTAGTCTCTGGATGGCTGCACCATCTCCTAATTTATCTCTCTCCTTCCATGCCGGTCCCACTACCACCTACACAGTATCCTTGTGATATTTTTAAAACTTCAGTGGGATCACTCCCACCCTTGCACAAAACCTTCATATGGCACCCCATTGAACTTAGAATAAAATCCACATTTCTACCAGTTTCCATGTGATCCAATCTCTACTTATCTTTCCAGTGTCATCTTTTTAAAAAAAATAAATTTTATTGTGTATATTCCAAGTTTACAGCATGGTGTTATGGGCTATGTATCAATAGTAAAATGGTTACCATAGCAGATTGACACATCTATCATCTCACGTAGTTACTTTTTTGTGTGACAAGACCAGCTAAAATCTAATTATTTAACAAAATTCCTAATGCAATACAATTTTATTAAGTTTAGTTCTCCTATTGTACATCAGATCTCTAGGCCTGTTCATCCTACATGTCTGCTATTTTGTATCCTTTTACCTAAAACTCCCCATTTCTTCTCCCCACAACTGTTTTATTCTCTATCTCTGTGAATGGCAACCACTGTTTTATTCTCTATCTCTGTGTATTTGAGCTCTTCCCCAAAATATATTGTACATATAGGTGAGATCATATAATATTTTTCTGTCTGGCTTATTTCACTTAATATGAAATAAGTGTCTCTGTTGTAGCAAATGCCAGGATCTCCTTTTTTCAGGGTTGAATAATATTCCATTGTGTGTATATATATATATATATGTGTGTGTGTGTGTGTGTGTATATATATATATATATGTGTATATATATATATATATGTGTGTATATATATATATATGTGTGTATATATATATATATATATATGTGTGTGTATATATATACCACATATGCTTTATCCATTCATCTGTCAATGAATCTTGCTTTCATAATTTGGCTATCGTGAATAATGCTAAAATGAGCACAGGACTGTGGATATCTTTATGAGATGCTGATTTCATTTCCTTTGGATATATATCAAGAAGAGGGAATGTCTAGCATCAACTTGTGTCACTCTTGCCCTTGTTTCCTATACACAAACCATATTTGTCCATCCTTTTGTTCCTCCTCCTCCATTCAGACTCTTTCCTTCCATAGTATTGCTGCACTAACTGTGCCCCCTGCTTCAAGCATTCTTCCCCATGAATGTATAACTGGTCTCATCATGCGGGCGTCTGCTGTGCTAGGTACTTTCACATACATATATCATTAATTTTATCTTCCCCACAACATAGTAAGGAAGGCACAGTGAGAAACGGTCAATTAGACCTAAAATGTATGTGTACACATTTATACGTGAATATATTACGCACTAATTCATTTGCAAAGTACTTTAACATGACTTCATTTTGTCCTCACCCAAATTTTTTCAGGTAGAAGCAGATTTATAGAGGAAAGAAATGAAAATATAAAGATTATAAGTTCATCAAAGTCACACACAGATTTTACATGGTGGGTCAAGGATTCAATTAATGTCATTTGGCTTCAAAATCTAGTGGTCTGTGTTGTATCCCATAGAGGCAAAGATGGTTTCAAGAAAGTGAGGAGAGGTAATAGCATCTCTCAGAGAGCAGGATAAGAAAAAATGTATTGACTAGGAGGTCAGGAGTGGCTTCCAATGATATAACAAATCCACCAAAAACCTCTGGTGAATTAAAATATTAAACCCCTACTGTGTGCAAAGCACTGGCCTAAGCTAAAAGCAGCATTTTATAAGATGAAGTTTGCAAAAAAAATAATAGCAGCAGAAGTCAAATTAAATGAGGACAAGAAACAATGTTCTAAAGAAAGAGAGGGAACACATGCAGGTCAATTCTCCAAGAGTTTGGCTGTGAACGGAGACAGGAGCTCAGTAGCAGGAAGCAGCAGCAGGTTAAGTGAAGGTTGTACTCAAGACTTGAGATAATAAGCAATTAAGTAGATTTCAGCTCTTCTAACTTGAGATTGTTTAGTGGACTTTGCAGCCTATATTAATAAATTTGCATTTTCACCTCAGGCCTCTAGTTACCAGCATTTCAGTGGTGTCATCAAATCGACTTTTCCTAAAGGCCTCTTTTGGGACCACATGTCAATATTGAAAGCTCAGTATTCAGGAAGGTGTGATGCTGACTCACAGAAAATGCCCTTCCCACGACTGATGGTCTTACTGCCTCAAGTTGGCAGAATGACACATTGACCCAGAGCCTCCAAGGATTTGGCTGATCCTTGGGAGTAATATGAGAGAGCTTTGCGAAGCTTCATGAATACCTGTAATGGGGGAAGGGGGCATTTGATAGATACACTTTCGCCTTAGTGTACTCGCTGGTACCCAAGAGACCTACTTACTCTGGAGAGAAGACAGACTCTCAAACTCTCAAATTTAACTCAAAATATTTCAATGTCAGATCTGAATTCAGTTTACAGTGGGACCCTCATTCATTTAAATTGCTTAAATTGCTATCGTTTCAATTGTCCAGGTCTGTGTTTAAGTCCAAGAGAAAGAGAATACAGTGTATACGAAACAGCAAAAGTTCATGTCCTAAGGAAACTTACATCCAGTGGGAAGATGGACTATAAACCATAAAGTAAAGTGTACATTGATAAATGCTATGTAGAAAAATATTGTCATAAGAAGTCTGTATTTTTAGATAGGCAGCCGAGGAGAGATAATCCCATATATCTTATTTGGATTTACTTCCAATTAACTTAGATTTTCATCTGTGAAACCAGGATTATTTGCCTTCCTCTCTAGGTTTATTGGGAAGGATAAGTGAAATTTTGTAGAAGGCCTTGAAAAGGTGCCTGGCAGGCACTAAAACCTCCATTCATAGAAAAAGAGAAAGAAAGAGTTGAGACTGGGTGACTAATCCCAAGTCAGCGGCACTCTCAGTCTGGCAATATTAGAGCTAGAACCTGAACTCAGGGCCTCAGGCTTCAAGGCGGGCAACTGTTCCTTCACATCTCAACTCTGCAGTACAGTATCACGTGTGGAGAGGGGTTCTGAGTATTTAAAGTTATGGGAGTCACACTGTAGCTATGGAAACCATGTGAGATCTACAAAGACAGAGAGGACTCGTCCCCACCATCATCCAGGAGTGTAGTAAGCACTCAAGTAATATTTACAGAATATTAACTCCACATATGACTCTAATTACTAATGGTAACCCGTAAAATTCAACACATTAGCCACGGAAATGCTGCACCTCTGTAGGTATATTTGGCTTTACACAGGTGCTGAATGAACCTCTAACACATGCTTAATTAAATTTATGCTTTGTTTATTGGTTTCATTTACTTTAGGATATGTGAGTAAGTGGATTTCAAGGTTTGAAATAAAAATACAAATATACCATTTTAAATAAATGTTTGCCTTTTTCAAGTCCTTGTCTATCACCATGACATTTCAATGCTCAAAATTCTCAGTTCCAAATCTATTTTTCCTGTAATATAAAGAAGATAGCTGTATACTTCAATCACTATCCTTGCTGTTTCCACTTCTAAATGCTTACCTGCTCTTCAACCTCTTGTTCCCATAGTGGACACCACTCTTCTGAAGATCACTCTTGTCACTTTAGTACCTGAATTCTGTCTTACCCTCCTTGGCTTCTTGGCAGCCCTTGAGCCTTGGTTAAAAGCATCAGTTTTTTATTTTTTATTTTTATTTTTATTTTAAGTTCCGGGATACATGTGCAGAATGTGCAGGTTTGTTACATAGGTATACATGTGCCATGGTGGTTTGCTACACTGTCATCTAGGTTTTAAGCCCTGCATGCATTAGGTATTTGTCCTAAAAATCATCAGTTCTTAACTCTCTCCTTCCTTGGCTTTCAGAAGGTTAGATTTTTTGTTCTTTGTCTTCTCCTATCCCTTTGTCCCTGTCTTTCTGCATGGATACCTTCCTCTCCCTTTGCTCCCTGCATATTGTCAGGCCCCAGATTGTAATCCTCATTTCTTGCCCCTTCCACCTTGGTTAACCTGTTGTTGTCCTCATTGTTGTTTATAATCATGACTTCATTTATCACCTTTATGAGGGATGCCTCTAGTTTTTTCTCCAGATAAGACCTCTGGGATTCTAGACCTGCATGTATACAAGCAGGACATTTTCATGGACACATTTCACTGTTCTCACATGCATAGCATGTCCAAAATAAAATTTTTCTTTTTTGTTTTTTTTGTTTGTTTGAGACGGAGTCTCACTCTGTCGCCTGGGCTGGAGTGCAGTGGCATGATCTGGGCTCACTACAACCTCCACCTCTCAGGTTCAAGCGATTCTCCTGCCTCAGCCTCCCAAGTAGCTGGGATTATAGGTGCCCACCACTACGCCCAGCTAATTTTTTGTATTTTTAGTAGAGATGGGGTTTCACCATGTTAGCCAGGCTGATCTCAAACTCCTGACCTCATTATTTGCCCGCCTCAGCCTCCCAAAGTGCTGGGATTACAGGCGTGAGTCACCACGCCCAGCTCAAAATAGAATTTCTTATCCTCGGGTCTTTTATCTTCTACTATCCCCCTGCTAATCCTGTGTGTTCTCTCCTCTGCTCCTGGCATCGCAGATGTGAAACCTCCACCCATTCAGTTACTCATTCCTATTCTTTACTCCAGATATGCCATGAGCCATCAACTTCAATGTCATTTCGCTCCATGATGTTCCTCGTCCCCACCCTTTCTTTTAATCCCTCTGTTGTGGTCAACATTAACTCTGACTTATACTGTTGCCTCATAGCAGTTTTCAGCCCCTTCCTGCCCTCCAGTTCATCTTCCACATTTCCACAGTTCCAATTGTGTTCCTTTCCTGTTCAGAGGCACTGACAGCCTTTCATTGATTCCAGAATAAAGTTCAAAATCTTTGCACCTAGAACAATCTGGCACCAGATACCCTCTCCCACTTAACTGTCTATCTTTCCCTTCTCATGTGCTGTGTGTTAGCTGCACCAAATCACTCATTACTGAAACTTGATTCCTTGATGCTTTTGTCCCTATGGTGCCCTCACCTGGAATGCATTGCTTCCTCCTCTGCCTTCTAAACACCTCTCCTCTTCCTTCTAAACACCTCTCCTCTTCCTTCAGATGTTACATTTTTCAGGAAGTTGCCCTTGGTTCCTCCAAAATAAAATAACATCTTTCTATTCTATGGCCAATTCACACTTTATTCTTTTTTCATTGTTCCATCACATTATCTTTCACCATAGTTCTCAGTGTACATATGGTAGAGACATTTAATCATGTAACTACATGGCTCTCGACCTGCTACTGTATTGTACTGACTGAGCATATAATAGGACATAACTGTCCTATCATTTCTGTTATTGCCCAAATGGCCACCAGGCTCAGCAAGCCCCCATCATCACCTCCCGGCAGGCCTGGCTTCCTTTTGCAACCTGGTCCTCAAATGCCCAACACTGTTCATCCTTATAATGACTCTCCTTTGAGTAAAAGCGAGAAATTTTGGTTAATGTGTCATGTTTACATCCCCCATCTTCCCCTCACTTAAGGTTGCTAATCAGCTCTTTTTAATCACCACTTTTCCCATCAACCTCAAAGACCCAAGCATCTTCCTGTTCCTTAGGCTAAAATCCTTGAGCAGGGTCATGCTGCAAAGCCAGGGGCACCTCTTTTAGGAGCCTCATCATTTTGCAGTTAGAAACGCACGCAAGCAGCCCTGCCTGACAGCTTTGCTACAGGGCTGAGAATTCAAACTAATTTCTGTGCCAGAGAACATCATGTGCTTACTTAGCAGCAAGGAGAGCATTTTCTAAATAATTAATTGCAAGCTCAGGATCTTCCTGAACTGTGCTCAGTTCCTGGAATCCACCCTGAAGGATATTGCATGCTACCTATTCATAACTGTCACTGTAGCTACAGATCTGCCTCAGTATGCTTTTGATTTTTCTCTCTGCTTTTCTCTAAAGAAAAAAAAAAGAATTCCTAGCCCTAATGTGATTTTAAAGATTTATTTTGACTAGTCAAAAATGAATATAAAAAAAGTTTCCCTGGATGCTAATCTTCCAAATGCTTACATTTGAATTTGTCCTTGGCATGCTGTTCCTCACATTCCTGCTCACACAGTCTCAAGTCCTTTGCTCGAGCATGCCTTCTAGCCTTGCTTTTGTTTGGGGGTTTAGTATATGAGACGACAAGTGGTACAAATTTTGAACAAAGGAGATGTCAGTTCAGGGGAGATGGATGGGTGATATCAAAGCATACCTGTGCAAACAGTAGGAAAAATACTTCCCCACAATCCTCTAAATCCATTTTGGCCAAGTAAAACTTATAGGCCTAAACCAGGTAATAGATCAAAAATAGCTTTATGTTAAATAAATACTCCAAATCTGCCACGAATTGTGTGTTTTTTTCAGTGTTGTATTGTGGCAACAAAATAGATTGTTAGGAGCTGTAAGAAATGACCGCACCCAAACAAAGGCTCATAATTGATATAAAAGACAAAGGATATCAGTGATGCTCAGATACCTAGAAATGAAAATCCTACAATTCTAGAGCTGTGAGTGGTCACTAAAGCTAGTCCTGTTAGAAAACCTGGGCTCAGACAGGTAAAGGAGCTTGCCCAACCAAAGTCTCACAATCATTTTATTAGTGCCAAAGCTAGATGAAAGTTTCATGCCTCCTTTAAGCCATGTCACTAAACCAAACCACATCAATGTCATACATAAGAGGTGGCCTGTTGAGATTTGCCGAGTTTATCAGAGAAACCAGCATTTAAGAAAACAAACAAACAAAAATCCTATCAACGATTAAATGAAGTCCCTTGTTTGGTTGAAGACGGCATAAGAACGACATAAACCAAATCAAAATAGTCTCAAGGTGGAAGACCTAGGAATCAAGTGTTAAAATCAAGAAATAAATTTGTTACCAAATGGTCTCTCCTTGTTCTCCATCCTTGTGTTTCTTTTCTCTTCCTCTTTCTTCAAGCCCCTTTCTTTCCTTTCCTCTTCCCTCTTCTATTAAATTATCCGACCAAAATTAGCCAGCAGCTCTTAAATCAAGTAACCCATTTAGGGAAAAGTCTCCGCCATTTATCTTTAATTAATCAAATGGCAAATGTGAAGACTTGCTCAGAGCCACCTTCTGGGGAATCTCTGTGCAAAGTGTGCTATCAGGGTTCAAGAGCTGTCAGTGCCTCCCAGGAGCTTTCTTCTCCTCATTAAAAATAGTTTCAACCTGATTGCATAAGTACTTTGAATGGTTGCTTAAAGTGACTTAGTTTAAGTAGTTGCCACCCATGGCTCAGCTGTCAGAGTCCAGTATATGAGGACTTAAAAATCAGATCTTGACAAAACTTTTTATCTCCATGAAGATCTAGAAGCTGGAGGAAAAAAAAAAAATCCATCACACTACTCAACTCACCCTCTTCATTATCCTGCCTGTGCACAGCCCAGCATGGTCTTTTCTCACCCCCGAGCTTCATCCACACATCTTTTCATACACTATCCTAAGGCAAAAAATTCTCAATGAAATGCCATCAGACCAGGTGTTTTCTGTTTCATTTTTCTATATAGTGCACAACTTTTAAACTGTGTCCCACAGTGAGATCTTTGCAAAACTGGCACCCATCCTTGTATTCCCTCAGTAGGACCCAAATTCTGGTTTAAGTTCTCTTCCATTCTATTTTCTCTTACCCACCCCAACCTGGGGTTTCTTCTAACATTCCAGTGCCAAAGTTACTAAGGGTGCGTTGTATTCACTATGTAAACCTTGTCCTAGTGCAGTGCCTGCTAGATAGTAGTACCTGGCATGTTTGTGGAGTAAAGGAATAAATACAAACTCATATTTCTGCTTCCTCCTTGAAGCAGTGGCTGCCTTTCTCTACCTCTATCTTCTCTGCCACTCAAAGCACTTGTCACACCCGAACATTTCAGCAGAAATATTCTTCACACAGTCCTATGTACCTCTTTCAGTTGAAGATTCTGTTTTCATGATGGAGCTGGACACTAAGTTTTTCCTAGTTGGATCTTACTTTTTCTAAGGCAACGGGGGACATTTCCAGTGAGTATATCATTAGAGCGATTTTTCAGTGGCTAACCAAGCTGTCGCAGACATTTAGCACTGCCAATTAGTGAAGTTCTTTGATGTTACTCGCTACCCAATCCTCCTTTATTTATTTATACAAAATATTTCAATGCTTCATTGTGCACTAAAACCAGCTCCAGACAAGGACCACAAGAAGCAAGTCGATAGGGGGATTAATAGGGCGTTGTTTGTAGAATGCAGAATTCCATAATAGATCTAAAATTAGGCTTCTGGAGCATGAGATGTTTTCAAATTCATTACTGCTTTCAAAATAACATAATTTTCTATATGAAAACAGCTTGGAATTCTTAGGAATAGAAATTGAAGGTGGTTTTATTTACCTATTTTTTTTGTTTTGTTTCTGGTGGCTGATGATTTTCCTTTTTATGCTTGGAAGGTTTCATGACCTTGTGGAATATGATCTATAGAATATAATAGTTTGGTGTATTTGGTTTCCAATTTTGAAAAAGAGTAAATTAAGAAATATCATTTTAATTCTGAGAACTTTCATCAGTAGTTAATCAAGAGGTAGAATTTTTCAATAATATTTTTCATCCTGCTTGTACCAGGCGTATACTATGGCAGAGTAATTGATTGCTAGATTTATCACGCTGGGGAAGCTGGAAATATTTTGTTGTATTGATTAAGGACTTAGCATTTCTGTGAAACATATCTGCATACATTCCAGGCACCTGGAGGGAATAAAGGTATGATAATCTCAAGATAACAAGGAAACTTAATATTGTAATTAAGCTATATATTGATTCTAATTTGCTATTAAATTTGACATGGAAAGGGATTGAAGTAGAAGGCAGAGTCTCCCCTAAAATATCTCTACCAAGAGAACATAGCTTTTTACCTATTACTTGAAAAGTGTCCACCACATATTTTCAGAATGGATTTGTGGGCTGTGGTCATAGCAGCCACTGGCTGTCACAGTCTATGAAATGTGACCAGGTGGAAAATAAATTCACTGAGTCTTCCTCTGACAGAGGGCCTAGAGAAAAGGGAGAAGAGATAAATCCTAAGTGCTAGCAAGAATGAAAAGCTCCTGGGTGGACAAGTTAGAAGAATCTGAGACACTGAAGGATGGACGTCCACTAGTCATGTACTCATCTAACGTCACTGGTTTTTAGAGCCAGGGGACTGCCTGTCCTAGAAGTCTATAATCTTTGACTGTTAGCTCTAAATGAGTGCCTTGGTCTATTCCTTCTGCTATATCAAAATTTCTTGGACCAGGTAATTTATAAACAACAGACGTTTACTTCTCAGAGTTCTGGAATCTGGGAAGTCCAAGGTCAAGGCAACAGTGGATTCAGTGTCTAGTGAGGGCTGGCTGCCTCTGCTTCAAAGATCATACCTTGTTGCTGTATTCTCACATGGGGGGATGTGGAAGAGAAAAAGGGGATGAGCACTCTCTGAAACCTCTTTTATAAGGACATTAATGCTATTCATAAGGGTGAAGGCCTTATGACCGAATCACCTCCCAAAGGCCCACCTTCTAATACTATCACCTTGGCGATTAAGTTTCAACATAGGAATTTTTGAGGGACACACACATTCAAATCATAGCAATGGGATGCCAGGGATCAAATAATTAAACCCCTCGCTTGCCATGTGTCTACATGAAGCCAAAAAGGTTAAGTAACTTACCCATGGTAAATCGAAGCAGAAAGTGAACTATAATCTAGGCCTGTGTGTCACTTCCAAGCCTTGGGTATGGCAATGGAATCCCTAGTACCTGGTGAGTAATACTGAAGATTGCGCCATGAGTACCATAAGGCTTAGCTTGAGAATTTTTGTAAAAGAGGCAAGAGGGAAGCTAGAGTGCATGTTTAGAATGAAAAGTTAGCTTTACTATATATCTTATAAGGGGAATGGATAAAATCAATGTTCATACATTGCATTTTATTCCAAGAGTCCTCAGAGCAAGACTCTCCCTGTATAGTTGTTGGATTCAAGCTAGCTATTTTAAACCTAGTTTTTCAAGCTTAGGAAAGAAAAAAACTTCTGAAGATTATACCTAGCATGTATATATGCAAGGCAATACCTAGCATGTATATATGCAAGGCAACTTCTTTGGACAGTTGCTACAATGGGAAAATTTTGTCCTCTCTAGAGTTCCTGTGAACATCTTGGGAACGTGGTGTATTAATTTTCTATTGGTGCATAGCATATCACCATAAACTTAGGAGCTTCAAATAACACCATTTATTAGCTCACAATTTTGTAGAACAGAAGTCTTTCACGTCTTGATGTGTTCTCTGTGCAAGGTACCACAAAGCTGAAATTAAGGTGTTGACCAGGCTAAGTGCTCAGCTGGAGACAACAAAGAGAAAATCTGCTTTCAAACTCATTCTTGTTGTTGGCAGAATTCAGCTCCTTGCAACCATAGGGCTGAAATCCTTGTTTTCTTGATGGCTGTCAGCTGAAGGCCACTCCCAGTGTCTATGAGCCACCCACATTCCGTGCTCTGTGACCTTCTCCATTGTCAGAGCTGCAATGATGCCTCAAATCCTTCTATTACTGCCAGAGTCTGACTTTCTCTTCTCTGGCCAGTTAGAGAAAACTCTGTCCTTTAAAGGGATCGTGTGATTAAGTCATCCCCACCCAGATTATCTTTCTATTTTAGGATCAATTGCTGTAGGACCTTCATTACATTTGCAAAATCCCTTCATATTAGTCTTTAGATTAATGTTTGATGGAATAAATGGAAGGAAGTGTGTGTACATCAGGCATCAAGAACTTTGGTAGCCAATCAGAAATCTCTCTACTATAACATGGTGGCATCCGTCCAAAGTAAAGAATGATGCCTCTTTTCTTCCTTAAGAAATGCTGCTGTTCAGTACTGAGAACTTAAAGATCCAGATACACTATTTTTATTTAGAGTGAACACAACTCCTAATTAAGATCTTTATACTTTAATATCCATAGCCTAAACCAGTAGTCCAAAACTTTTTGGCACCAGGGATTGGTTTTGTGGAAGACAATTTTTCCATGGATAGTGGGACATGGTGGATGGTTTTGGGATGATTCAGGTGCATTACATTTATTATGCACTTCATTTGTATTATTATTACCTTATAATATATAATGAAATAATTCTACAACTCATCATAATGTAGAATGAATGGGAGCCCCGGGCTTGTTTTCCTACAACTAGACAGCCCCATCTGAGGGTGATGGGAGACAGCGACACATCATCAGGCATGAGATTATCATAAGGAGTGTGCAACCTAGATTCCTCACATGTGCAGTTCACAATAGGGTTTGCATTCCTATGAGAATCTAATGCTGCTGCTAACCTGACAGGAGGCAGAGCTCAAGAGGTAATGTGAGCAATGCGGAATAGCTGTAAATACATATGAAGATTTGCTCACTTGCTCACCATTTACCTCCTGCTATGTGGCCTCATTCCTAACAGGAACCAGGGGTTTAGGCCAGGGGTCCCCAATCCCCAGGCCATGGACTGGTATCAGCCCCAGGCCATGGACTGGCCTAAACCACCCAGACTTATATGTGAAATTGGTATGACCACACATGCGTATTTCTGGGGAGAAATCTATATATTTCATCAGATTCTTAAAAGATTTGGGAGCCTCTACCTAATCATGATTCTCTTACTCCTACTAGAATATAGGTGTCCTAGGCCATTTTGTGTTGCTCTAAGTGAATACCTGAGGCTGGATAATTTATAAAGGGAACGAGTGTATTCGGCTCATGGTTCTACTGGCTGTACAAAAAGCATGATGTCAGCATTTTCTCAGCGTCTGGTGAGGGCCTCAGGCTGCTTCCATTTATAGCAGAAGGCAAAAGGGAGCTGGCATGTGCAGAGGTCACATGAAAGAGAGGAGCAAGTGAAAGAGGGAGAGATTCTAGGTTCTTTTTTAACAGCCAGTTATCACAGGAATGAAGAAAGTAAGAACTCACTCACCCCACAACATGGGGAAGGCACTAATCCATTCATGAGGGATTCATCCCCATGACCCAAGCGCTTCCCATTAGACCCCACCTTCAACACTGGGGGCCAAATTTCAACATAAGGTTTGGTAGGGACTAACACCCAAACTATAGCAGCAGGCAACAACTGTTTTAGTCCTGTTAGAAGATGCTTATCACTTTCCCCATACAGGGAACATGAGCAGTTGGTAGAAAACCCCAAGATGTCTTCTGTCTCCTTAAGTATTAGAAACAACTCAGTTACTACTCTTGGCAAGTCCAGCTCAGGTCTGGCTTAGGTTCCTGGCTGTGGAACCACCACTACTTGTCCCTGGTGTTCCCATTCATTTGTGCCCCCTGAGACCTGAAGGCCTCCATTCTGGTTTGTGCCTACAGACACGTTGGAAATCACAAGGCTAGAATCTACTATTCTGTAGCCAGAGCAGTTGATCTTTTTTGCAATTCCAAATGACTACTTTGCAACTGCATCAGGAAAAGAATAAAATTTCACCTAAGTGTGACACAGTCCTATCAAGTAGGAGGAAGCCCTGTGTATAATGATTCACAGAGCAGGCTGCAGAGTCAGCCTGGCTGGATTCGAATCCTGTCTCCAGTACTTACTAACTGAGGAACCTGGGGAAAATTTTACAAATTCTCTGGGCTTTGATTTCCTCATCTTCAAAATGGGATTCATACTAATATAGGTTAACCATCCCTAATCTGAAAATTCAAAACCTCAAATGCTCCAAAATCTGAAACCTTTTGAGCACTGACATGAAATTCCAAAGAAATGCTCATTGGAGCTTTGCAGATTTCAGAATTACTGTTTTTGGGGATGTTGTAAGTATATAGACATCCCTTCGTATCAGTGTGGCATTGACTCCAGGATCACCACATATACCAAAATCCACACACACTCACATCCTGCAGTTGGCCGTGTGGAACTCATGTACATAGAAATTCAGCCCTCTGTATGGGCAGTTTTTAAATCTCCCAATACCTTATTTTCCACCTGCCCTTGGTTGAAAAAGATCCACATGTAAGTGGACTCATGCAGTTCAAACCTGTGTTATTCAAAGGCTCACTGTACAATGCAAATATTCCAAAATCTGAAAAAAATCCATAATCCAAAATACTCCTGGTACTAGACTTTCAGATAAGGGACATTAAACCTGTACCTACTTATAGAGTCCCTGAAGCGGGGTAAATGAAATAATACAAGTAAAGTACTAGAAATCACTTCATAAATACTAGTGTAGTTGTTTTATCATTGCTATCATAATTATTATTATTCAGCTCTTATCACCATCTCTGTTGTCTGAAGCAAAACATATATCCACTGGCTGTCTTCTGGCTTGGGTTTACTCCCCACTTCTCCAAGGTATCCTCTTCAGTTATCCACAGTGCATCATCATTCTATTTCGGCACAGTCAGGAGGAGAGGGTGTCCACCCAAATGCAAGAAAGCTGACAGTAAATTCACAAAATCTCCCAAAAAGCCCTCCTTCTGTGGCTGTTTGGACAGACAGAGTCTCTAACACCTGCTATAGATCCCTGAGAAATAAACTTGGAAACTTAGCCCCAACCCAGGATCATAGCACACCAAAATAGGCATAAACTCTTGGAAAAGCTAACATAGACAGAAAAGTCCATTATTTCATCATTGGACAAATTTGGACTACAGTCAGAAACAGATGTCTCTGGGGAATATCAATGCTTGCTGATGTGATGGAAAGAGGAATGTAATATTGAATACCAAGCAGCTGTGGCAGCTTCTAGTGCTATAGACTGTGCGTGCAGGTGGTACCTTCTGTCATTCGATGTAATGCAAAAAATTATCCCCCAGGGACAACATATGAGGGGAAAGTAACTATGGGCTGAAGCTGCAATTCTAAAGGGAATTAAGAGAAGTATAATAGTAGAGTCCTAAATCCTTCTGGAAACACATGAAGAAATAGCTTTAAAACTGGGATATGAAGTATTACATGGAGACCTGGTGAAGCAATATAAATAAAGGGCCAATTTAGCTCTGGGTCAGTACTATGTTGGATCTTTAGTCATATTTTAATAGTATAAACCTCAAAGAGAAGGGGTTAGAATCTTTATCACTCGGCTTGCACACTTTCCTTTGCTGCTATGTAAATTCATAGGTGAAACAGATATAAGGACGGAAGGCCCTTCCCAGTTCACGCAGAGCAGTATTTGCTTTCTGTATACCGATGGATATGCCAGGGGAGAGACAGCATGACTCCATGACTTCATCTTGGTTCAGACATTAGAGCCCGAACCAAGATCCTCTTATGATCAGAAGTGACTTAACAACAAGAGCAGCACTAATAAATAGCAAGATTATTGAGCACTTGCTATGAGCCAGTTTACTTATTAAATCATGGTAAAATTCTAGGTATAGTCTATCCAGGGGCACAATTGTGCTCCATCTATGAGACTGTAAAATCAAGAAACAAATTTCTTGCTCCAAAAATACAACAAAAAGACAGACATAGGATACTAATTATAGATAGTCTGGCCTCAAAGGAGAGAAAATGGAAGGAAAAAATAAGTCACCAGTCCCAAGACATTTTGAAATCTAGCCAAGCAAACTCCATTTGGTTCAAGGCCTAGGAATAATTTTCTGTGGCTTGAGGCCCCACCCTCCGGAATCATAAGACTCCACCTCAGAGTCATCCTTCCTTTGTCATGAAAGGTAGCATAAGTTTGCAGCTGAGTAGTTTTATCATCCTGTTTCTTGCTTGCAGAACTTTGGAGGTCCTACAATCTTTTTTTCATATTATACCCTCTGTTACTTTCAGTCAAAGCTGGGGCCCTTGTCTGGGTCATCTAGATATGTCATGGAGGATTCACTCCATTTGACAAGAGGCTCCTCCACCTCTCTTTCCAGGATAATCCCATCCCTATTTCTGGCTTCTGCTGAGTGGCTAAGGGGATCCATGAATCACAGGCTTAATCTCTTCAAAGAGCCTTCTGTGTGGCTAAATACTCTGACCTTCTGATCCTTTTGTGGCACTGCAAAAGGTCGTCCAGCCACACCCTTGGCTTTCTCTCAAGAGCATACTTTCCTACCAGTGAATCTTCTCATTTTAGCATCGTTGCAACATGGATAGGCTGAGAATTTCCCAAGTCATCAAGTCCTGGTTTCTTTTTGCCTAACAGTTCTTCCCTCAAATTTTCTTCCACTCACATTTGACCATGAGTAAAAATTTTAAAAACTGTTCTCTCACATTGTTTAAAAGCAGCAACAGGCTGTGCCTTCGACACTTTGCTAAAAAACCTCCTCAGCTAAATATCCAAGTTTTTCTGTTACAGGTGTTGCTTTCCACGTAACTACGGGACACACTTCAAGTACACTTTCTGCCACTGTGAAAGAACAACTCCCCTCCCTCCAGCTTCCAAAAACTTGCTCTTCATTTCCATTTGATTCCTCATTGGCAGGGCATTTAGCTTCCATATTTAATAGTCTGTTGATGACAATTTAGGTATTCTAAAAAATGACTTGGGTTTTCTCTCCTCTTACTTCCTGCTGAGTCTATATTAGCAGAGTCATTAATATCTATATTTCTATTCACATTACCTTGATGGCATTCCAGGCTTTTTTTCCAGCCTCTGCCCACTGAGTAATTACAAAGCCTCATCCACAATTTTTAAGAATTTGTTACAGCAACACTACACCTTTAGGTACTAAAACCTTTGGCTGCTCTAACAAATTTGCACACATATAGGGGCTTAAAATAATACTAGTTTGTTGTCTTCCAATTTTAGACTTCAGAAGTCTAAAGGAGGTCTCACTGAGCTAAAATCAAGGTTTGGGGAGGGCTGTGCTTCTTTCTGGAGGTTCTAGGGTCAAATCTGTTTTCTTGCCTTTTCCAGCTTCTAGAGGCTGCTGTGTCCCTTGGCTTACAGGTCCCTTCCATTTTTGAAGCTAGCAGTAGCCAATCAAGTCTTTCTCACATTGTACATTGTGATTGACTCTTCTCTTCTTCCCCGTTTGAGGTCCCTCATGATTACATTGCACCCACCCAGGTAATCTAGCTTAATCCCTTTATTTCAATGTCAGCTGGTTAGCAACTTTAATTCTAGCTGCAACATAAATTTCCTTTTGGCATATATCATATCATATCATATCATATCATATCATATCATACCATATCATACATTCACAGCTTCCAGGGATTAAGATGTGAACATCTTTAGGGGCCATTATTCTGCCTGCCACACATCATTTAGTCCCTGCAACTCTATGAGCTCTGTATATAATTGCCTTCATATTGCTAGTAAGAAAATAGGCTCAGAGAGATTGAGCCACATGTCCAAAGCTAGTATGTGTGGAGTCCAGCTAGTTGTATAGTTTATGTGTGCATAAATATCTCTCTCACACATAAAATCAGGGCCCATCTCAAACATTATGTTTCAGACTTTCCAAGCATACCTTTAAAGATTTATGTCAGTCATGGACTTTATCAATTCTTCTTTTGGTATTTATGTTTATGTAGAGGTTTAAGCATTTAAACCTCTATATAATTTGCTAGGGTATTCCAAGTCAATGGGTCTCATAGAGCCAAGCAACACAGTGAGTAGATGAGATGTCCCTCAGCTGTGGAGTGTTCTACCCTATGTGGATGATGAAATGAGTGGACTCCTTGAATGCTCAGATGGAAGTAGATAGAAACAGACTGGTCAAAAATAAATTGGCCAATGCAACCATTTGGTTGAAAGTGAATCTTCTGAATCACTGTTTTGCTGTTACTTTTGGTATGCTATGGGGCAGTCCTGACAAATTTTTATACGTTCTTTAATTGCCCACTTTTTCAGAAATTTTCCCTAAGCTTTTTGCTCTAAAAAAGTTCTCATTTATTTTGTGTCTCTTCTGAATCATGTGTAATTTTTTAGAAAAATAAATGCTGGAAGCAAACTAAATTCCTATTACCAGTAAAATTACCATGCCCCAGTTAATACCATTTACTCAGTGCAGAGAAATTATTAAATCTAAACTGGTTTTAAAAAATAATTTTCAAGTTTTGAAAATACAAGCAATTAAACAAAACATATAAAATTGCTTGAAAAGTAGAAATTTTAAAGAAGAAAAAATCTCTAAAAATGTATGCTTTTCTTTCAACTTTTTAAATATTTATTTTTGTCATTACAAAACAATTATTGCTCATTTTAAAAAATCAGAAATACAGACAAGCAGAAGAACATATATATCCATAATCCTGGAAGACTATATCATTAATTCCTTACTAACTCATAGATCCTGCTCTATGTTATATGTTATATGTATAACACTCATATTATATGCTATTCTCAATAGAATCAAATGTAAAAACTACTTTGCAACCTGCTTATTAAGCCTGACAACATATTATGAATATTTCATGGCAAGATACGTATTTCTGAACCATACTTTTCTTTTTCCTTTTTTTCTTTTTTTTTGTTTTTGAGACTGAGTCTCACTCTGTTGCCACGCTGGAGTGAAGTGGCGCAATTGCAGCTCACTGCAACCTGCAAATCCCTGGTTCAAGCTATTCTCCTGCCTCAGCCTCCCAAGTAGCTGGGATTACAGGCACGCACCACCATGGCCAACTGATTTTTGTATTTTTAGTAGAGACGGGGTTTCACCATGTTGGCCAGGATGGTCTCAATCTCCTGACCTCATGATCCGCCCGCCTCGGCCTCCCAAAGTGCTGGGATTACAGGTGAAACATGCTTTTCAATGACCACATAGTATTTCATTTTATCAACAAGCCATAATTTTATTTAACCAGTTTTACATTTAGGTTTTTTCCACCTTTTGGGAAATACTGCAAAGTAGGCATAATTGCTGGAAAATGAATTAGCAGCAAAATATGAGAACATTAAAATATTTTAAATCTAAAAATGTACAAAATTGTTTAAAGATGCACAAAGTGTCAAAAAACCTCAACTATAATAAATCAATATTGTTGATAGGTAGCGGGAAAATCAACGTATGAGTTCGAGTGTTTACTTTTGACCTATTATTTTTGCCAGGTGTTGTCTGGATTATTTTTCCCCGATTAAATTGCCTCAACCAAATCATTTAAACTGAGCCTGATTCAGTGAGAAAGATATTTGGTTATTCATTTCAACACATGGTTTTTCATCAAAGTTAAGATTAGTACTGGGAAATGTGTCTCTGATGAGAATGTTAAAAACTTCCTGCTAACTTAAGACAGAAAATGAAAGAGCCAGGTGTGATGGCACTGGGAGGCAGTAAAGAGTATCCAAGTGATTAGTAACTTGAAGAATCAAATATCATATTCTTCTAAAAATGCCAAATTATATTAATCTGAAATATGAAAATAGTGCTCGCAGTAAAGCCTTGGGTTTACATTGTATATTCGAGTGAGACATTTCCAAACCAAAGTCATCCACCTTGGCTGTGGATACTGCTGGTGATCATATTGCCCTACTTCAAATTATGAGTTGATCTCCATGAGTCATCTGTCCTGAAATTTTAGACAGACCCTGTGCCTTCTCTTGTTAAAAGCCTCTGTACTGTGGAGTTACGGGATAAATGCAGCAAGCATCATCTATTATTGTGGGTTAAATGGTTTCAAAGTTGTAAACCAGTTGCCTTTCTTATTGTGACACTAGTTTATTTAAAATATGTTCAACAACCAATTCCCTCCTTTAAGCCCTATTAGAAACACAGATACTTTACCAGGCTGTAATACTACATCTTTAAAAACTTTAGAAAAGTAAATCATTTTCTCTAGATTTACATAGTCAGATTTTCTCAGAATGGTAAATACAATGTTACTGTCTGTATTACTTTGAACGCAGATTACCTATAGCAATTTAGTTCAATCCAATTTTGTGTCCAGAAGAACTTAACTTGGGCTGGACAAAATTTTATTGGCTAATTCCAAAGAAATGATTAACTTTTCCATTCTTTTATATGAGCCTTATTTTTCAATCAGCATTTACAGGCAGTTATCAGATGATAGGTACTGGGAATATGAAGGTGAAGAGTAAAAACAAAACAATTTTCCATCAAGCACATTGTCTTTGGGTCTTAGAACAGGGCCTGGCACATAGCAGATGCTCAATAAATACTGAAGAAATAAAAGAAGCTGGAACCACTGGCTAGCCATATGCCGAAAACTGAAACTGGACCCCTTCATTACACCTTATACAAAAATTAACTCAAGATGGATTAAAGACTTAAATGTAAAATGCAAAACTATAAAAACCGTAGGAGAAAATCTAGGCAATATCATTCAGGACATAGGCATGGGCAAAGATTTCATGACAAAAATGTCAAAAGCAATTGCAATAAGAGCAAAAATTTACAAACAGGAACTAATTAAACTAAAGAGTTTCTGCACAGCAAAAGAAACTATTATCAGAGAGAATGAACCATCTCCACAATGGGAGAAAATTTTTGTGATCTATCCATCTGACAAAAGGTCTAATATCCAGAATCTACAAGAAACTTAAACATATTCAGAAGAAAAAAAAACCCCTATAAAAAATTGGGCAAAGGACACAAACACACACTTCTCAAAAGAAGACATTTACTGCCTGTAATCCCAGCACTTTGGGAGGCCGAGGCAGGTTGATCACAAGGTCAAGAGATCGAGATCATCCTAGCCAACATAGTGAAACCCTGTCTCTACTAAAAGTACAAAAATTAGCTGGGCATGGTGGAACACATCTGTGGTCCCAGCTACTTGGGAGGCTGAGGCAGGAGAATCGCTTGAACCTGGGAGGTGGAGGTTGCAGTGAGCCGAGATTGCACCACTGCACTCCAGCCCAGGTGACAGAGCGAGACTCTATCTCAAAAAAAAAAAAAAAAAAAAGAAGAAGAAGACATTTACACAGCCAACAAACATATGAAAAAAAAGCTCAACATCACTAATAATTAGAGAAATGCAAATCAAAATCACAATGAGATACCATCTCATATTAGTCAGAAGGGCAATTATTTAAAAATCAAGAAACAACAGATGCTGGTAAGGCTGCAGAGGAATAGGAATGGTTTTACACTGTTGGTGGGAATGTAAATTAGTTCAACCATTGTGGAAGAGAGTGTGGTGATTCCTCAAAGACCTAAAACTAGAAACACCATTTGACCCAGCAAGCCCACTACTGGGTATATACCCAAAGGAATATAAATCATTCTATTATAAAGATACATGCACACCTATGTTCTGAGCACTATTCACAATAGCAAAGACATGGAATCAACCCAAATGCCCACCAAGTATAGACTGGATAAAGAAAATATGGTACATATATAACATATATGTATGGAATACCATACAGCCTTTAAAAAGAATGAGATCATGTCCTTTGCAGGTGCATAGATGGAGCTGGAAGCCATTATTCTCAGCAAACTAATGCAGGAACAGAAAACCAAACACTGCATGTTATCACTTATAAGAGGGAGCTGAACAATGTGAACACATAGACACAGGGAGGAGAACAACACACACTGGGGCCTGTTGGGGGGTGAGGGTAGGGAGAGCGTCAGGATAAACAGCTAATGCATACTGGGCTTAATAACTCAGTAACGGATTGATGGGTGCAGCAAATCACCATGGCACATGTTTACCTATGTAGCAAACCCATATATCCTGCCCATGTATCCCAGAACTTAAAAAAATATATAAATAAATAAGACGGAGAAAAGAGGGAAGGGAGGCAGAAGAGATTAAATGAAGATAAAAATTTCTTCCCTTAATAACTCACATTTCTTTGTATGGAGTTGTATAAAAGCCCTGGGCGGGGAGGCAAGACATCTGGGCTCCCATGGTATGCCCCTAACCACCCAGAATCTGGATAAGTTCTCTTCCCCGAACCTTGATTTCCTCCCCCATGAAATACAGGATTTGTGTTCCATTTCAGTCTAAAGTTCTAGGATGTTATAAATAACACTTTCCCAATGAAAGCAGTCATTTATTTTCCCTAGCTGCCTTTTGCACACACATAGTCATCCTTGTGTCAGGAGCTCAGCTCACCTTCTCCTCCACACACGCCCTTCCCTAAACAATGTCCTACCCAAGAGCAAGCTTCTTCTCCTTGTTGCCCTCATCCTGTGTCCTAATGATAAATATTGCCCTCTCCTTTTGGCCATGTCCTAGCCTTTCTCTTTCCTCTTGAAGGGAAGGGAAAGTGGCCTCTTGAATTTTGCCCAGATAAATAGAACCATGAGTGTAACTCTAAGTTAAAAAGACCAACTGGAAAGTCAGGATCTTCTCAGAAGGGTGAGTTTTCTGAAGCGGCTCAGCTATGTTATGTTGGACACACAGTAACCTCTTACGTGGGCCACACCTAAAATCTGAAGTGAGTCTAAGGAAGTGAGCTTGGATCTGAGGACACAGCAGAAGGAAATAAAATGTCCTGGTCTATCTTGCTTAGTAACAAGTGTTGAGCTTACTAATGTTGCTTTTCTCTCTGGGTTTGCCTGCTGCCTTCTGGGCTCCCATTAAAAACGTCTTGTATGACAATTACTATTTTTTGCTTTTTCAAAATGTCACAGAAACTATTTAGCCAATAGATCACCTCATGCAAGGCTACAACTTCTCTTTTAAATATCGCATTAATCGTTTATATGTTGGATGATGTGAGTTATTAGCTTGGCAACAAAATGGGTTTTCCTCTTGGCTCTTTTTATTTCTTCTCTCATTATTACAGGAAAGCCAAACCAATACTTCATGGTGGACACTTATGTCATGCCTCTGGGGTCTAAATAATGGTCCCTTTTTTCTACCTGTCATTCAGTGTGTGAAGCATGCTGCAGAGGTATCAACTCACCCCTCCCCTGTCATGCCATCAAGGACATGGCCGCCACATTGTGCACCTCGGTTGACATTCTAAGGATGGTTCACAGCTGCGAAGAGGGAGTAAAAGGAGTTCAGATGATGTGTCCAAAACTTAGATCTGGCCTCTCTCTGACACAGACCAGCTGTGCAGCCTGGGGAAAGTTACTTAACCCCTCTGAATTTTTCTCTAATATAAGGGAGTTATAAAGATCGCCTCTAAGCTTTGATGTTTTGTAATTATCAGACTGTACTGTCCAAAGTATTTCAGAGAGTAGAGTACCTATGGCAAAAGCTTACATTGAAACTGCTGGTCAACAAAAAGCATGGGTACGTAATGCAAGAGAACAGTGGTGGGTATTGGGATTTGTGATGTGTCCCTTTTCTGAAACCGGGCTGGTGATGCGATAAATGCTCAGTTCTTTGGAGTAGAAGCCCTTATCTCGTATCCTGGATCTTACACTTATGATGGCCTTAGGTGAACCATTTGAATTATCTAACTCTTAATTCCCTCACTTGTAAAACAAGTACATGTGTGCAGATGTGCATCTTATCTGTGACACTGTGAATGGAGTGCTGTGTCAATTTCGAGAAACGGTTGCCCATGTCACTGTTACCGGCCATGTCATGGTACTATAATCATATGAGTCTGTGCTACCACGACTGAGAGTTTCTGTATCATGTGAGTGCCTCTGGCACTCTTTATATCCTTATTTCCCTGAGTATGTGAATGGATTTGTTACAGCTGTGTGGCTGAGTACTGCTAGGCTGGAAATCCTAACTGACTTACAGAGTTGCCGTGAGGATAAAACAAAATGATAATCATGAACAATTTGGCACATTTTATAACTTAGGAAAGGTTTGCCCACATGATGTCTGTTTTTGGCATCCTAACAGCTGAATGAAATATTGTATTAATATTGTATGAGTATTATTTTATAGATAAGGAAATCTATAACTTAACTCATTAACCTGAAATAACTCAGCAAATCAAGGAAGAGCTATATTTGGAACCTAGATCTGTGTCAGTCCCAATACTTTATTTATGGTTTTTCTCATTATATATCCACCTTCTCATGAAAAAGTTACAAGGTCTATTGTAAAACATTATACAAATGTAAGGTGGTGGTGGTGATATTATGGAAAACTCTGGAGGGAAGGCTATAGAGTTATAATTTCCTATGTAATTTATTAGTTAGATTTTCCTAAGTAATTGCATTATTTCCTGCTTCTTTACCATTTAAGGTATAGCTGAAGTTAATGGCAAAGTTAGAGAAAAGTCACAGTTTTGAATGCCAACTAGTAGAGGAATTTGACTGAAATATCTGCACACATGTTCTGTGCTTAAAATTGTTACAACGTCTTCTTAATGCTTTCAGTGTATGAACTGAGTTTGCACATGATCTGTTCTGCGATCCGTACTTTTTCGGGCAGATGCTACAATAGCCTCATGTTTTCTGTGCTGAGACACCACAGCTGCAGAGTCATCAGCAGAACAGAGCATGACACATGAACTACTTGTACAGGATCAGGGGTGAATTCTCACCGAGCCAATTTCCTCTTTCTGTTACCCTGGTGATCACTTGGTCAGAGCAGAAGTTGTTCCTGTCATCATGCTCTCTAAGTTTCCTTATCTATCAAAAGAGTATATCAACAGCTGCCTTATGGAATTAGTATAACTGTTTATAAAATAGCATATGCAGAGTGGTTTACACAATAAATGACAGTTGCTTATAAGAGGCATTACTACAGAAAAAAATCACATCCAGAATCTTTGTCATTTAACACAGAACTCCCATCAGCTGAGCCAAGTCAGCTATAGTCAGTTCCATTCTACATTCTAACAATCATTTCTGAAACACATAAGAGGGTTATTAAATTAATGAAATAAACACTTTTCATTAATGACCTTAAAGAAAACTACCTTTAACATTTTTTATCCCAGTTTTGTGCATTTGTTTGCTACTCTCTTTTAGAATAATGAATAAATTCATGTCTCTTACTACTCAGCAAAGGATGTCTTTTATTTATTTAATTATTTTTTGTAAGAAACAGGGTCTTGCTCTGTCACCCAGGCTACTGGAGTGCAGCGGTGTGATCATGGCTCACTGCAACCTACAACTCCTGGGGCTCAAGGGATCCTCCTGCCTCAGTCTCCAGAGTAGCTAAGGCCATTATTTTTAATAAAGATGGGGTCTTGCTATGTTGCCCAGGCTGATCTCAAACTCCTGGCCTCAAGTGATTCTCCCTTCTCGGCCTCCAAAAGCACTGGGATTACAGACATGAGCCATTGGCCCAGGCCAGGATGTCTTTGTATTACCATTTCTGTATCAGAGGCTAACTTTAGGTATATACCAAAGAAAATCTGAATTCACAGGATTCTATAGGTGCTAAGGCAAGAAGCTAACATGTTGTTATTATTGTTATTAGCTTCCATTTATTTAACAAAATGTATGCAAAGTTCTGAACAAATGTTTTACATGCACCATTTACTCATTTATGTATTGAACATCTACCATGTGCTAGGGGCAGTAGTGAAACACATCGTGGAGAGGACAGGGTTCTGGTCTCCTCCAGGATAAAAAAAAATTATAAAACATTATTTTCCTGACCTCATATTCCTCATCTGTATACTAAAGATAATAAAATCTATTTTTCTTCCCAGGACTATTACAAAAATCAAAAGAGATAATAGACATGAAACCTTGTGAATGAATAATCAAAAGGGATTCAAAAATTTAAATGTTAAGAATACCACTGAAAGGTTTGGTTTAGATTGTTGTTTTGTTCCTTTGTCTGTTTTACTAGATTCTGAAGCACCTTTTATATCAGCTAAAATTTTATTAGACTGTATGCCACAGAAAACCCAAACCAAAGTGTCTTAACTGGGAAATTCTTGTTTTTGCAAAATAACAAAAAAATATGATGGTAGGAAGTCCTAGGCTCAACAGTATAATTAAAGATTCAAGTTCATTCAATCTTCTGCCACAGCAACCTCAGAATTTGCTCTTTTCCCTCATGATCATACTATTAGTTGCTTCATCTCTAGGATTGCATCCACTTTCCAGGCAGACCTCCTCATGAGATCTTATCAGATAATTCAGGAAAATAAGCATTTTTTAGCTAATTTTTGCATTCATTTTATTTGCCAGAATTTTGTCCCATTGCTGTCCTCAGACAAAAGGGAATTTTTAAAAGTGAGTTTTAGATTTTTAACCTTTAGGAGAACAAAACAAGAGAAAGCGGGAACAGGGTTGTAAATGATGCAGTGAAGGCTCTTCATGATATAGATTAAGGTTCAGTGACATTTTTTGTTGGTTTACTATATTTCTCAGCTGTGACTTCAAACTGCAAAGACACTCAAGAGTCACATATGCCAAAAAGCTTTAGTGAATTTCTACCCTAAAATTGCTGGTGCCACATCTGGATAGGTGGATTAAAATTGATTCGTTGTTCACATTACCCCTGCCTGGTCTCAGAGTGGCTCTGGATTTGATAATTACACAATCTCTGATGATATATTTCTAATTCAAGATTCAAACTGTGGCTTCCCCCACATAAAATGGTCAATTTATTAATAAACAAATAAAAAGAATGAGATCTCTTATTATAAAAAGAATAGGCTGTCTTTTGTGGTTGCTATAAAGAAAGAAAAAACCTCATATAATTATTATAGGCCCAAAGGCTAAAAAGGAAATTAAATGGGCATGTGCCTAGAAACTGTAAAAATCAAATTTGCTCAGAGACACAAGAGGGAATTGGAAGTGTTGGAAAACGTGCATTACTCATACTATCAGAACAGGAACAAGGAAGGAATGAAAACAGAATAAAGAAAACAAGTAGATTAAACTAGAGGAAGAAAGTAGTTTCTCTAAGGGGAATGTATTAGCCAGGGTTCTTCAGAGAAACAGAACCAATAGGAATAGGGTGTATGTCTGTGTGTGTGTGTGTGTGTGTGTGTGTGTGTGTGTGTATGCACAGAGAGAGAGAGAGAGAGAAGAAATTGGCACAATTGATTATGGAAGCTACCAAGTCTAAAATCTGCAGGGTACACCCGTAATCTGAAGACCCAGGGAAGCATTAAGCTGTGGTTTGAGTTCAAAGATAGTTTTCTGGAAGAATTATGTCTTTTGGTGAGGTGAGGTTTTTTGTTTTTTTTTTTCTTAAGGCCTTAACTGATTGAATGAGGCTTACCCACATTATAGAAAGTAATCTGCTTTACGCATAGTCTACTAATATAAATGTTAATCTCATTTTATATCTCCACAGCAACATTCAGAAGTGTTTGACCAAATATCTGAGTACCATAGCCAAGTCAAACTGACACATAAAATTAACCACCACAGAGAATATTGAGATCTTAGAAAACAAGTCAGGCAGATACAAAGTACAGATTATACTAATTTTCTCAGAGCACCAGGATCTAGGAAATTATTGGAAAGCACCCTCCTAAAACTCAGATAGAGATTTCATATTAAAAATCCCTCAAATTTTGGGACAGCTATATCTGGTGATTAACAAAAATATGAACAGAGATGAGAGTAAGATCAGTATGATTATAGAGTACTCAGATTATTATAATGCATTGTTAAAATGATGGCCCCCAATGAATCATGGCTCCTTTGGGCCATTCCGATTTGCTATGTCAGGTTGTTATTGCCTCCCATCCAAAGATGAAGCCCCTTTCCCCATCCCCTGAAGCTGGGGTGGTCTCATGACTTGTTTGGCTAATAGAATGCAGCAGAAGTGACATGGTACAACTTTCAGGGCTTGTATTTTATGCTTTCATCCTCTTAACATCACCCTAAGGCCACTATGCTGTGAAGAAACCTAAGCATGTGGGAAGAGAGGTCCAGCCATACCAGCTATGGCAGCTGAATTCAGTCCCCACTGACCTGACAGCCACATGTAGCCTCATGAGTGAGCCCAGACATAATAGCAGATGAACAGCCCAGCCCACCCAAAGAATACTAGAAAAATAACGGGTTGCTTTAAGTCACTAAGTTTTGGTGTAGTTTGTTGCACAACTACATAGCTAAGACATAGTTGCAATTCATTTATTTTCACTGCTGTCTAGTACTCCGTTGAATAATGTCATTCTCTTTTAAAGTCCATTCTTTTCCTGATAGACATTTGGATCATTCCTATTTTGTTGCTGTTTAAAAAAATGCTGCTTTTGAACATTAACATGCATACCTCCAGTTACACACTCTGAGGTATACACCTCAGAGTAGAATTGCTCTTGAAGGTATGTGCATTTTCAACCTAACTTTTAAAGCAGTTATCAATCTGCTTTCCAAAACACAAACCAGGCAGAATTATGAATCAATTGGAAAAATACCATTATAACAAGTCATTAGGAAAAAGATATGAACAAATATATCACAGAAGAAAAAAAATAAAATGGTCCATCAACATATAAATGAGTCTCTGTTTCACTAGTAGAGAGGGAAATGCATTCCTTAGTGAACCCAAAAAAGTTTATTTTCCTTTCTTTTTTTTTTTTTTTTTTTTGAGTCAGACTCTCACTCTATTACCCAGGCTGGAGTGCGGTGGCATGATCTCGGCTCACTGCAAACTCTGCCTCCCCAGTTCAAATGATTCTTCTGCCTTCTGCCTCAGCCTCCCAAATAGCTGGAACTACAGGTGAGTACCATCCCGCCCAGCTAATTTTTTTTTTTTTTGTATTTTTAGTAGAGACGGGGTTTCACCATATTGGCCAGGCTGGTCTTGAACTCCTGACCTCCTGATCTGCCGGCCTCGGCCTCCCAAAGTGCTGGGATTACAGGCGTGAGCCACTGCTCCCAGCCTCTTTTCCATTTTAAAGGGAGTGTCCTACACTAGTAAAATAAAATTTAGGCTGTGCCTTGTAACTATCTACCTATAAATTTATCTCTTGATTGATCAAAAAGAACAATTGTGGGATAGAAATGGTGACAGTAAAATATGCAGTGTTGATGCAGGAGCAGGGAAAGGTGACGCTGATTCTGCTGGTAAGGATGTAAAGTAATACCACATTGCTAGAGATGAACTTTGCAATATACATCAAAACTTTTCAAATGTGTATACTTTTTGAATCAGAAATTTTATTTCTGGGAATTTATCAGACAACTTCAAAGATATTTGTACAAGTGTTGATTATTGCATGCCTTGACCATGCTCCCTTCTGTCTACCTATAATCCTTCCTGAAAGCAAGGCCAACTTTTCTACCAGATAACCCTGACCTCATCCTGTCAGAATTGAATGGACCAAGAATTGAGCTACCCTAAAAGTGAGTAATCCATAGAGTCTAGAAAGAGGGCTGACTGGTCAGATGTAGAATAATGAGCAGGAACAACAGGATTGCTTTATTGGGAATGAGGGATTGAGAAACCAAGAGATGAGAGCTGTTGGTTACAGAGACAGGAGCCAAAAGGATATATTAAGGATTACCATAATGTATTAATAGAGACAGGGAAAGCCATCACATACCATATGCGAGAATCAGGAATTATGAAGAACAAGAGGAAGACTCTTAGTAGAAACAAGGGAATGAGACAGATGTGCAAAGAGAAGCAGCTCTCCTCACCTAGGGCTGCCTCAGACTCCAGTAGCTTTCTAGTTCCAGTTCCAGCCCCATATGTTATTACAACACAACACCTTTTCACTGAGAAACCTCAAATGTGTCTGTTTCTTCTCTTTTTTTTTTTTTTCTTTTCTTTTCATTTTTTTGAGACAGAGTCTCACTCTTATAGCCCAGGCTGGAGTGCAACAGCATGATCTTAGCTCACTGCAACCTCTGCCTTCTGGGTTCAAACAATTCTTCTGCCTCAGCCTCCTGAGTAGCCGGGATTACAGGTGCCTGCCACCAGGCCCAGCTAATTTTTGAATTTTTAGTAGAGATGGGGGTTTCACCATGTTAGCCAGGCTGGTCTCGAACTCCTGACCTCACGTGATCCGCCTGCCTTGGCATCCCAAAGTGCTGGGATTACAGGTGCCTGGCCAAGTCTGTTTCTTGATATCAAAAGGTTTTCGCTAAAATAATCCTAAAATGATATCATTATAAGCATGTAAAATCGTGATGCTGAGACATGTTGATTAAATAACAAGCTCATGATAAGCTTTTTTTCTTCTTTATGTGAGATGTGGTCTAAACCCTTGGGACAATTTACTTCTGGGAAAAAAAAATTAGCAGGAAGACTTTTTGACTATAGGATCAAGGTATGTTTTTCAATCCAACTCCACCAGTAATAATACAGCATTTTCAGTCCCCTCAAAATAAGTTAATAATATTTTGCCACCTGGAAAAAAGACACATTACAGGACAGTATGTCTAAATATCCACATTCTTTTCTTGTCATTTACATATATAGTATGTCATAAACACAGAGATTATAAATAGGTTAGAAAGGCTGCATACCAAAATATTGACTGTGGCCATCTCTGAATGGTGACATAATTGATTTGGAGTGTTTTTGTTTTTGTTTTTGTTTTGTTTTGTTTTTGCTTCTCTGGGTTCTTGCTCTTTCTACAATAAAATCAATAATTTTACAAATAAATATTTAAATGTGTAATTGTGAATATTGGTGTCATTGGAATATCACTCCCTATATGTTGCTTCTAAGGGCCAGTTTTCTGGAAATAGTTTGAAGATACCGACTCATGGTTAAATGTTTCACATTTACCCTCAGAAATGAGTGCTACTGTTCAGAAACGGAGGTAAGGGTCTTCCCTGCCATTGGACATTGGGAAGATGTTGATGATTTTAACTGACACCCTGGCTAAACCATTTCAGGACAACCATGGTTAGGTCTCTTTGTTGCTCTTTTCACAGGTGCCCACTTTGCTTGTGGGATTTAGGAGGAAATGCCACACACTGTCATAGAAAAAGTGAGTTATTTGATGTATTATTTAACATTGAAAAGTTGTTTTAATGAGAAAAAATTGGTAGCTGTGTCTGTTTATTTTTGTGATAATGCTTTGAATTAAAATTCTCTAATACGCTTATCATCAAGATTTTATAAGATGGTTGTTCAATGTTAGTTTATTATTACAGGATATTTATTTAGTAATGACTTTAAAATAGATTTTATTTGTAATCTGCCACAAATAGAATTTTAATAATCAAGAAATTGTTACTTTTATGCCATGTTAGTCATTAAATTGAGCCGGGAAATAACAGAGTTGATGCAGATGAAAATATTAAATCTGCAGCAGAAGACTGGATAAAACTATTTGATCATTTCTGGTTTACCTCTGAGTTAACTCACTGTGAAAAGATTATGAATGATTTCATTGTTCTCCATCTGTTAGAAATTCAATTAAATGCTGTTTAGTTTATGTAACCACAAACCTCCTGCTACCACTTCATTCTCAGTATTAACTCTACTGTGTGTTGACACCACTGAAGGGTAAATTACAACTATCTAGAAGGGAAATAGCATGATTCTTACTATAAATGCCATGACTTATCTACGTTCTAAATTTTATCCACTATATTTCATTCATTCAAAATTGATTCAGTGGTAGAAAGCAACAGATCCCCTGAATCCCTGGGCACACTTTGCCCTCTACCTTCAGGGTTCCTCTGACTATTGGGAACTCCCTCCCTCTCTGCACTTACCCTGCAGTGTTGCCATGACGTATTTACATGGTGACTTCTTCTCAAATGATAAGGAGTTCTTTCAGGTCAGGGACAGTATCTAACTCATTATGAAGTAATAGGACAAAAAATATTATTTAAGGACAAAGCTGATTGTACCATCTTCTTACCCATTAGGAAAAATGCCATTATTCTATTAGGCAAAAATGACATTTGATGTGCTCTTTTACCCTCCCAGAGACTTTAATAAGAGAGAGATAAAAAAAGACTGAAATTGCAAGACCTCTTCCAATTCTTTTGTTCTGCAACATGGTGGGAACTAGAGTTCCCACACGCCATTGTTTAGCAGAATGCCTTAAGTGTGTATTTCCACATATTGAGAGGTGTACTCAGAGAAGAGGAGTAGAAAATCTTAGTTGCTTTGCATAGTACAGTGAAGAAGATTGCATTTCATTGGGGTGCTAAAGGATGGGGTTCACACCAAATTGAAAACCTGAGAGTTTGGTGAATGGCTCTTAAATTATCTGTGGTGAAGAACCAGGTTTTTGTTGTTTGTTTGGGGGGAAGTTGTTGTTTAATTTCCAATCATCACTGATCAAATGCTTGTAAATGCTTATTCTCAATTTCTGTACTAACTTTGTGATATACTGATAATGCCACACTCTGAGTAATACCGGTCTAGAGAGTGGGGAGGTTGAAGGACTCACAAGAACAAGGATATCTAATATTCAAATGTAAGTTGTTATTGCTAATCTATATGAATCCTTATGTTACTAAATTTTTAAAGTTTGTTTGACATGCAAATGCTTTGTGAGACTGGACTTTGTTGTGGTTGTTGCTGGGGATTAGGGAGTTTAAAAAACAAGAAAGGGAGTTAGTTTTATGTCTTGGTCAACACAGAACAGAGACAAGAGAAGGGAGTAGATGACAATACACAAAAACTCAGTAAGATCAAGGGACTGAAGCCAGAGCGACTTTGAGAATGTAATCTCTGTAGATTGCTGACTCCCCAAAAATTCCACCAAAAGACACAGATTAAGCAAATCAAGTGTATTACCTTTGTAATAAGGGAGATAACTAACTTGACAGAACCATAGTAGCAACTTGAATGATAGAGTACAAAAGAAAAATACTTATAAGAGTATGGTTTAAGGTGGGTCTTTCAATGTAGGGGCCTGATTAGAATTGGGCAGAGTTTGTTACATAAGAGTTTAGAATTAGCAAACACAGTGAAAAAAAAAGGGGGGGGGATTTGAAGGAAGCCTTGAAAAACAGTCCCTTGAGAAACCCAGTTGAATAATTTATTGTTCTGAGAAGGAAGATATGTGCCTTGATGTAGGCTACTTGGCTAGTCTACGGTTGGAATAAATAGACTTCAGAAAGTTCATGAGACAAACATCCTCCTGAGAAAGAATTCCCTGGAAAAATGAAGTCAGGTTAATGCAGAGTTTTGAGTATAACAGTAAATCCATGCAATTAAAGACAGTTAAGGTACAGGTTTCAGTTCTGAGTCAGCAGCTGTAAACCCCAGAGAAGACATTAGTTTTTCAGAGGTTGCGCGATAGGAAATCTGATCTTATGTGACATCTGGGTTATATTTGTTATCCCTAGCATACAGCAGTGTTATTCACATAGCAGTGACTCCACGAATACTTGCAAAAAAGGAATGAATGAGTAAATAAATGAGTAAGTGAAAGAGAATACCACTCTAATACTGTCTAACCCAATGCCTAAAAACTCCAGTTTTTAGTGTCCACTATCATAATGACTTCTTCTTCTTTTCTTTTCTTTTTTTCTTTTTAGATGGCGTCTCACTCTATTGCCCAGGCTAGAGTACAATAGTGCAATCTTGGCTCACTGCAACCTCCCCCTCCCAGGTTCAAGCCATTCTCCTGCCTCAGCCTCCCGAGTAGCTAGAACTACAAGCACGTGCACTGTACCCAGCTAATTTTTTGTATTTTTAGCAGAGACGGGGTTTCTCCATGTTGGCCAGGCTGGTCTCGAACTCCTGACCTCAGGTAATCCACCGCCTCATCCTCCCAAAATGCATTATCTCTTCCCAAAATGCATTATCTATTTCATTAAGAAAAAGGAGAAAGCAACCATGCTAAGCTTCAAATAAAAGCATGTGAGCACACCTGATGACGCTAGACCCACTGGAATCTCGCATAACTCATCCTGAACGTGTTGGGAATCAAGTCTCTCAGGATTAGCCCTGGTAATCTGAAAGTCACCAGTCATCAAGAAGTGGCATCTCTACCATGTGGTGCAATCATAGCCCTGAACTCAAATTTCTGTCTGATATATTTGATGTGATCCCTCCTTTTATACCCTTTTAACTTCTGCTTGGAGAGACCCACTGACCTTGTAGCTGACTGTCAGAACTTTTCCTTGCCAGGCCAGCAATAAATTTGGCATTGTTTTGGACATTGATTTGGTGGTCTTTGTTTCTTAGTGCTCAACAATTTTAATAGAGTCAGAATCCAGAGATATAATGGATAAGCAGACTATTAATAAAGCACTATTCACAATTGCAAAGACTTGAAACCAACCCAAATGCCCAACAATGATAGACTGGATAAAGAAAATGTGGCACATATACACCATGGAATACTATACAGCCATAAAAAGGATGAGTTCATGTTTTTTGCAGGGACATGGATGAAGCTGGAAACCATCATCCTCAGCAAACTAACACAGGAACAGAAAACCAAACACCACATGTTCTCACTCAAAAGTGGGAGGGGAACAATGAGAATACATGGACACAGGGAGGGGTACATCACACACCAGGGCCTGTTGAGTAGTGGGGGCTAGGGAAGAGATAGCATTAGGAGAAATACCTAGTGTAGATGACGGGTTGATGGGTGCAGCAAACCACCGTGACACGTCTATACCTATGTAACAAACCTGCATGTTCTGCACGTGTATCCCAGAACTTAAAGTATAATAAATAAGTAAATACATACATACATACATACATACATAAATCCCAACCCCACAGTCAATGAGATTCTGAAGTTATAAGTGTTGCTTTCTCTAAAACTATAGACCAAAACTATAAAAATTATAACTTATAATAGTGTGATTTTAAAATGCAGTTGTTAAAGACTATGGCATATATTGTGGCTGAATGGTTTTGTATTTCAAACAAATACTAAAATATTCTATGGACAATGTCATGACCTTTTCAAAATCAAAACTGCCCCCTAGAAAATCTAAAAAATTTGGCCATGAGTCCAGAAATATTTCTGCCCACACTATTTAAATTATGTACTTTATAATACTGTTTGAAATTCCATTACACATTTTTAAAAACCCAGCATTTTAAAATGTAAATGTAGCATTACTTATTTATATATTATTATGAGTTTGGCCAAATAGGGGCATATGATTTGGGCATTTAGTAGATATCCAGGAAAAGTACAAGTCTGAGTCAGCTCCCTCAGAGGGCTGCTAGGACAGAAAGAAATTACTGTAAGGAGGTAAACACTGGGAGAGTAATGACCCAAGAGAGATGGGAGTATCCTAGTCTGTATGCTCAAGGCACCGAATCACAAAGGGGGGTCTGGATTGTCTGCTTGGGAGTTGGGACCTGCTTGTAGTATTTTTAGGATATCTTGGTCTCTGAAAAACCATGCTTTCTGAGCAGAAAGGGAGAAATATCTCAGCTATGTATTTTTAGAATATCTTAGTTTTGTTTGTATCTCCAGCTGAGCATGGGCTTCCAGCCTGATAGTCTGCATTTAAAATGTTCTGTTGAAGTGTTCGGTTCATTTATTTTTAATTAAAATTTTATTAAAATTATAAAACTGGTGTGAAGATTAAAAGCAGACAGTACAAATTACATATGTGATGTGGTGACATTAAATATTCACCCACCCAGCTAATTTGGGCAACTTCAGAGTGAATAGTAAAAACTAACTACTGCTTCCAACTTTGTTCTTTTCACTCTCCCACCAGTTGTCCCTGAGAATCTCTCCCAAGAGTAAATGCTTTTTCCTGGCCTGCTAGACTGCTTCTAATTGAGCCCTGCAAATAAATGATCCCTCACCAGCCCATCAGTGTGGAATGATAGGAATGGCAGAGTGGACAATAAGTTACCTGTTATCATCTCAAACATGAAAAAAGTTTCATGATCAGCACAGCCCACTCAACAAATGGAACATGGACACCTTAAAATGATGAGAGAATTCAGGGCACATTAAGATGTCTCCAGCAGTTTCAGGACTCACAGGAATGGTGATTATGTGCAGAAGAGCAATAGCACTATAGGTACCTGGCATGACTCCTACGCTTGTGGGTAGACACTGGAGATGTTGAGGAAAATAAGAGTACCAAGAACTCAAAGTTTAACAGGGAGAGACACGACAGCTTAAAAGCACCTCTAAATTCATGATATATCTTACCTTTTACTCATCAGTTGAAGTTGAGAGCAATAGGTAACAGAGCACAAGTTTAGAAAGGTGCAGTCATCTACTCAAAATCAGTCTAGAGGTGTGGGTGATAGAGTGAGCACTGGAACCAGCTTCTAAACCCTACAGTCTTTTCTACTTCACTAAGCATGGAATTCTGAGTGATGTGTGTGTGTGTGAGAGAGAGAGAAAGAGAGAGAGAGAGTCAGAGAAAGAGAAAGAGAGAGAAAAAAACAGGTCAGAACATTTCTGCATAGGATAAACAAAACCTCTGCCTTCCTACTCTGGATATACAGTTGTATTAGTTGATATCTTAGCTATGTATTTTGGAAAATGTAGCACTTGCCCCACTCTGGAATGACAGACTTATTAACCTGGTTATTAATAGCTAAATCAGATTATTTGTAGAAGCTTCTTAAAATCAAAGTTAAGTTTTGTCTAACAATTTCTGCTAAGAAGAAAAAATTTAAAGAAAAAATATACACCTTGTTTACTTAAATGTCATTCAGATAGAAGACAGGCAGTCTAAAAAATGACAAATATTTAAAAATTAATGTTGATTATAAATACAAAAATCTACAATGATTTGGGAAAATAATAGAAGGAAACTGGAAAGAACTCATTGAAGCCATCTTTTACCAATAAGAAAAAAATCAGCAAGGTTACTCCTAGGTTTCTCAGCTAACACAAGAAATCTTCTAACAATTCTTTCACTCAGATCAGGATCTACATGCTGTATTAATTGTAAAGTGCAGAGTTACATATATCTTCCTAAGTTCTGGGCCCAGCATTCAGGTGCAGGCTGTGGGGCCCGTGTTCACTGAGGTCTAGTAGGGAACCCCTGGAGTAACCAGCAATGTCACTGGACAGTGGTCTGTCTGTGCAATCTCCAAGTCTAATTCTCTAGTCCTCTTGATATGAGAGGAGGGCAGGGAAATGCTGGGTAGACAAGGGCAGGGTCCCTGATGAGGGTTCCACCCTTCGGCCTGTGCCCATGGACCTAAGTGAGGACAGGCACTCCTGTTTTCCCACCCAAATGTTGCATTTTCCAAGACCACTCTGGCCCTCCCCGTGTCCCCATCCTGTGCCTATGAAAAAAAAAAACCTGAGACCCTAGTGGGCACACACACAAGCAACTGGACATCGAGAGCAGAAGAGGAGCAGACATCAGCAGGCCATTGACAGCAGAAAGATGTGGAATTCGGCGGTGGAGGGGGGCGGTTGGAGAAGAGTCCGGCTGCCGCTGGGCCGCCCAACTCCATGGAAGACCACCTTCCCCCTCTATGACCCTTCTGACCTCTCCATCTACCTCACTGATAGCTACCACCAGTCAATAAAAAACCTTGCACCCATCCTCCAAGCCTACGTGGGATTCATTTTTTCCGGTCCACTAGGGAAGAACCCGTGATACAGAAAGCCTTCTGTCCTTGTGATAAGGCATAGGGTCTAACTGAACTGATTAACACAAGCTACCTGCAGATGGCAAAACTGAAAGAGCACATTGTAACATGGCCACTGGGGCTTCGGGAGCTCTAAACACTCACCCCTAGACGCTGCCGTGGGGTCGGAGCCCAAAAAGCTCCCTACAACCTGCCCATCTGCATGTCCCCTAGGGGTTTGAGCAGAAGGACATTGAAGAAGCGAACCCTGCCGCATACCCTGCAAGGGAGATGAGGGAAGTTTTCCTATTTCACTCTCAAAATTTCTTTAAGTGTCCTAAGATTCCTCACTACATTCCTTTTCTGTTTAAACTGCCTAGACTGACCTTTATTCTTTGAACATCGTCACACAGAGAAACACACAAGGTGCATCCACCACACAATAGCCAGAGTGAGATTTCTGATGCAAACATCAATACCTCCAATGGACTTCCCCCTGCAACAACACTACAGCTCACACTCCTCTCTAGGACTGTGGGTCCTGGTCTGGTTCAATCATAGGGACCTCTGGGTGGCTTGTGTCCCCACGTGATCTGCCCTGCCCATCACTCCATTCCAGCCATATACCAGGATCCTTCCCACCCCAGGGCCTTTGTGCTTGCTGTTCCTTTAGCTTCAAAGTTTCTCCAAAACTTCTTATTGCTGCCTCCCTCTCACCACTGAGGTCTCAATAAAATCATCACTGTCTCACAGAGGGCTTCCTTGACCATCCCAGGTGCTCTCTATTTACATTGTCTCATTTTATCTTCTGTTTACTTAGCTCTCACATGTCTAGGAAGTTATTTTATTTATTTATTTATCTGCATATTGTCTATTTTCTCAGACATAACAGTAAACAACTGAAATGTAAGAACTCTTTCATACTCCCAGTGCTTAAAACAGTACCAAGAACATAGTAGATACTCAATAATTATTCACTTAATTACAGACTTTCAGGATATCTTTTAATGTTGTTGCTCAAGTTTTACCTTTAATTTTATTTATGTTTTAAAACAATGAATTCTCATTTGAGATGACTTGAAAGATATAAAAGATTATAAAGGAGAAAACAAAAATAACCTTTATTCCCATACTCAGAGATAAGTATTATTAACATTTTGATCCATTTCTGCGTGCGTCTTTTCTATAGAACATAGAGAGAGCCTTAAGCATAATTGGGATTATGTTCTATACTTCAAATTACCACAAACTGGAGGGCTTAAAACAACAGAGACTGGCAACCCATGGAACATGAGAAAATATTTACAAACCATATATATCTGATAAGGGGTTTAATACCTAAAGTACATAAGGAACTCCTACAACCCAATAGCGAAAAACAAATAAATAACCCAGTTACAAATGGGCAAAGGACTTCAATACATATTTCTCAATAATCAATAAAAAGACATTCAACATCACTAATCATCAGGAAAATGAAACTCAAAACCACAATGAAGTATCACCTCACACCAGTTAGAATGTCATTATCAAAAAACAGAAAATAACAAGAGTTGGTGAGGATGTGAAAAAAATTTGAATCCTTGTGAAGACGTAAAACAGTATGGCCACTTTAGAAAACACTATATAGGCCCTTCAAAAAATTAAAAGCAGAATCACTATCTTATCCAGAAACCTCACTTCTAGGTATCTATCCAAAAGAATTGAAATCAGGATCTTGAAGAGCTATTTACACTCCCATGTTCATTGCAGCATTATTCACAATAGCCAATAGCGAGAAACAACCTAAATGTCCATCAGTGAATGAATGAGTGAAGAAAATATGGTATACTTACAATGGCATATTATTCAACCTTATAAAAGGAAATGCTGCCACATGCTACAACATGAGTAAAGCTGGAGGACAGTATGCTGAGTGAAATATGCCAATCACAGAAAAACAAATACTGCATGATTCCACTTATATGAGGTATCTAAAGTAGTAAAACTCATGGAAGTTTTACTGCTTTAAAATGGTAGGTAGAATGTTAGTTCTACCATCACGTGGCAATGGTAGTTGCCGGGGACTGAGGCAGAGGGGAAAATTTGAATTGCTCTTCAATGGGTATAGCGATGCAATCACACAAGATGAAAAAATTCTAGAAGTCTGCTGAACAACATTGTGCTTATAGTTAATAATACTGAACCATACACCTAAAAATTTGTTAAGAAGATAAATCTAATGTTCAGTGTTTTGTACCATGATTTCTTTAAAAAAAATAAATAAATGGCGGAAATTTATTCTTTCACAGTTTGAGAGACCAGAAGCCCAAAATCAAAATGTCATGAGGACCATCCGCTCTCTGAAGGCTCAAGGGAAGTGTCCTTCCTGTTCTCTTCTGAGCTTCTGGTGCTGGCAGTCACTTGGCTTGTAGATACATCACTCCAATCTCCCACTCTGTTGTCACATGGTCTCCTTTCTTGTGGGTCTCTGTCTCTGTATGTTCATGTGGCCTTCTATAAATATACCAGTCACTGGATTTAGGGCCCACCCTAATCTAGTATGACCCCGTCTTAATTAATTATATCTGCAAAAACCCTATTTCCAAATAAGGTCACATTTCTGGAGATCTCAGTATCTGACAGGAATTGCCTCAACTCCCTCAGGTTTTACCCTAAGACTCAATATGAAGTTATGCTTCAGCTCTTCAATGACAGTAGCCCACTCAGTCCTCTTGCCCTTAACCACTTGGCTGAGGCACTTTTATTCAATCTTCAAGGACAGGCAGGCTGTTTACCATCAGCCTACCTGACACTAACCTTATAGGTTTCTCTTTCATCCCTACTAGAGATGAAGAAATGGTTTAGGAGCTAGAGATCAACTTCCCTGACCTTAGTCCCATCTTTCAAAAGAGGTTCGGCTCTTCAGATGATCTAGGACAGCACTTGGACCCAGTTTCTTACGGGGCCTCCTATTGCAGATCTTCTCTAACTCACTCGTGAACAATTGGCATAAATTCTCTTTTGAAAGCTTGTGAAGCATTGAACATGCCCCTGAATTTCTGGGATTTTACCTCAGTAGGAGAACAGAATGAACTAGAACATGCTGAGCTATAAAATGCTCAGGCAGCATCCTCTACTCATTTCTGGTGTTCCAATTAGCCTTTTCCCAGGAAAGTATCATGCAAACAATATCAAATGCATTTGAAAATACAGCAATATCAAAATACTTCTCTCAGAGGCTTTAGAGATTTTGGTTTCGACTTGTGCTTTGGAAAGCTAGTTCTTATGTTAGAGAGTACAGAGAATAAAGAATAAGAGAGATTAGCAAGGAGACTGGTCAGTAGGTGGTTTTGAGATTAAAAGAAAGTCTTTGAACTTGGGGAGTATTAGAGAGGAGGAAGCAGTTATAAAACCTATATTTGTCTTAACTAATGTGCTACTGTGACTTGGCCAATTTTCCCACATTTCAAGGAAATGTGTCAATGAGCAGTTTAGACAGGTACAGACTGTCAGAAAAATGTCTGTCTTAAAGAGACTAACCAGAGTGCCAACAGGGGAGAAATGACAACACAGAGTTTTGATATTGATGCTTGAACTAATTAACATGCAAGGTATAAAATCTCTAGGAGCCTTGAAATGGTAGAATACCATTAGATCCAACAAGTTTTTTTTGTTTGTTTGTTTGTTTGTTTTTTTTTGAGATGGAGTCTCGCTCTTTCGCCCAGGCCGGGGTGCAGTGGTGCTATCTCGGCTCACTGCAAGCTCCGCCTCCCAGGTTCACGCCATTCTCCCGCCTCAGCCTCCCGAGTAGCTGGGACTATAGGTGCCCGCCACGGCGCCCAGCTCATTTTTTATATTGTTAGTAGAGACTGGGGTTTCACCGTGTTAGCCAGGTTGGTCTCGATGTCCTGACCTCGTGATCTGCCCGCCTCGGCCTCCCAAAGTGCTGGGATTACAGGCGTGAGCCACCACGCCCGGCCAGATCCAGCAAGTTTTTTAAAGCCTATATGTACCGACAGAATGAAGACAGACTGGAAAGGACAGGATATTTTGCTTTAAGATTACCAAATATTTGAGAAAAAATTTTTAAATGTATTTTCTAAATAAAACTCTCTTAGGCAAGATACCAGTGTGCTTATTACAAAAATATTAAAATAACTATCAAAAAAACCATATAGGTACTCAGAAATTAGTTTAGTAATTAGAGCTTTTTTAAAAAAAATTGCATTTCAACCCCACCATTTCCAGTATTAAAAACTGTATAATTAAGGCTGGGTGCGGTGGCTCACGCCTGTAATCCCAGCACTTTGGGAGGCCGAGGCAGGCAGATCACGAGGTCAGGAGATTGAGACCACAGTGAAAACCTGTCTGTACTAAAAATACAAAAAAATTAGCCAGGCGTGGTGGCGGGCGCCTGTAGTCCCAGCTACTCTGGAGGCTGAGGCAGGAGAATGGCGTGAACCTTGGAGGCGGAGCTTGCAGTGAGCCAAGATTGCGCTACTGCACTCCAACCTGGGCGACAGAGCAAGACTCTGTCTCAAAAAAAAAAAAAAAAAAAAAAAAAATTGTATAGTTAAATGCCTTTATTTAAAAGAGGATTTTTAAGTCATTTGACTTTAAAATTCTAAAGAGGAGGACATATGGAACAAATATCTTTGTACTTCCTTAGGCACAACAAATATGACATGATCCCTTTTATTATTTTTGTATCCCTGTGGAAATGTTCAACACCAGAACTATGATTCAATTTAAGAGCCTTTAACCTTATTTCATGTGATTCTCTGCTGTTTGTCATTAAGACACTTCCGATTAAAGGTTTATTGACTCAGTGGATACTCTCTATTATATATTACTTTTTTAAAAGAGCAAAGCTAACTCATTAGTTAGAAACCAGCAAAGCATGCAAGTGCTTTGTTCAACTGACAAAAAGAGAGAGAACCAGTGGAAATTTACTGCTGGAAAGTATTATCACCAAAAGATATTCACCGAGCTGACAATTTTTGACCTTTCCCATGTTCCTTCTGAAAATATTTGTGTTAGAATCAGACCTTTCAACATACCAAATCGCATCTGATTGATTTCCCTGTGATTTTTCAAACTCTGGAAACTGAAGTACAAGTAAAATGGGCAAAGTTTCTCTGAATCTTCACCACAGACCCATAGCCACACGAAGGATCTGACTCTTTCTTTAACCCTGACCCCACCACCAACACTATTAAGACTGTACTTAAGTAATAAAACTTGTGTAACTCGTGATTCTGAAGCCCTGAAGAAGTAGAGGCAAACAATCAAGGGATGTGACTAATATCACTAACAATGCTAACAAAAATAGGCTTCATCTCTGACTGGAGGGGAATGGCTGGGTCTTCTCTCTTTCCAAGGCAGGTTAACTCAAATCCCTACTCCAACCATGCATTCTCTGTGGAGCCCCCAACCTTCCCTTGCTGCAGGAGCCTTGCTGTCTGCCATCTAAAGACCTAACATGATGCCATCCCTGGACGGCTCCTGCTTCCACAGCATCTACCCTAGATTTCTTCTCAAGACTTATTATTGCTGTTTCTGGGACTCAACTTGCCACCCCATTATCCTTCCTTCCATCAAAATGTCACTGCCCTCAATGAGTGGGAAAAATTCCCTTCTATGCTCCCAGATAGGGTGTCCTGTTTTGGAGTATGGATTTGCCCTTTTGAACCACAGGACCTTGCCAAGCAGACTATCTGAAGGCTTATATGTATTTGTTCCTCTGACAGGGGATACTGCAGGACATCCCTTCGGAACAAAGGACCCACTTTACAGCAGCTGCAGGCCTGATAGAGCAACGGAGCAGCCTTGGGGAGGCACTGCTGAGGCACCACCTTGGAGATGATGCTCAGTGAGAAGGGTGAGCATCTTCCAGGATGTAGTACCTACCTTAAAACAATCACCGTTATATGGTTTTGTAGTCCCATAGGTCCAGGAAGCATGGCCGGGAGGTAGTAGAGAGCCCTCATACAATTATTCTAGGTGATATGCCTGAAAAATTTGTACTTTCAAACACTGCAGCTTTAGGCTGTGTGCATCTAGAAGTACTGGTTCCCAGAATGGGAATGATTCTATCAGGAGACTTGGGTAGAGCCCTATTTAACATTAAGCTGCAGCTGTCACACAGTTTCTTTGAGTCTTCAGTGCCAAGAGACCAGTAGGCAAGGAAAAGGGTCATTAAATGGGCAAGAGTAACTAACCGATTATAAGGAGGAGGCACAGGACTGCTTTTATACAATGAGGACAAGGAATAATATGATTGGAACCCAAATAATCCACTGGGCATTTCTTGGTACTTACCTACCCAATTTCAATGGAAAACAGAGATGTATATAGCACCCATAGCCTGAGAAAGCTATGAGAACCAAGGGCTCAGAGCCCTGAAGGATGAGGATATGGGTCATCCTGCCAAGTAAGCCACGTTAAATTGCAGTAGTATTAACCACGGACAAGGAGAATCTAAAATAAGTACTAGAGGAAGAAGAAGAGTATCAGTAGTGAGTTTCAGAAGCTACTGTGGCAAGAGGCTGAGTTGGTCCCACAAACCTTCCTCCTTTAACTTTCATAGGGAAACAAAAACAATCAGAATTTGGGGGAAGTAGTTGTTTTCAGATGTGGGGATCTTAGTATATAAAACCAATGGATCCAAATAACAAACTGTGGCAGATGGTGTGATGTCCCATCTAGACCCCTTCCTTTAAGACTGAAGCACTCATTCCCCTAGCTTCTGAGAATGCATGCTGATGACAGATTTAGGAATTGCCCTCATCTAAATTAAGCTGCCCCTCTTCAGGGTCAGCTGATATCCAAAGACTAATGAAGAGAGGTTTCGAAGGGCCAGCACCCTTGCCTTGACATGGCAGAACTCTGAGAGGTCATCCTACCACCAGCTCTCCTTGGGAGATGCTGAGGCCTCAGTCGCATCACCTCAATTCAACTTGTTCCTCTGCTCAGCCATGCTTTCCTCTCTCCTTTACAAATGCTGCTCAGCACTACTCAACGAATCTTCTGCACACAAATCACGGAATATATTCCCAGCAGAATTGAACCTAAAACAACCTCATAGGCCTTGGTTTCTGCAAGTATAAAACTCATATAGCAACACCTACTTTACAAGGTTGCTAGGAAGAGTAAATGAAAGACCACATGTAAAACATTTAGCATAATGAGCAGTGCATGCAATGTTCAATAAGTGCTCATTCTAGTGGGTCCTGTTACGAGTTAATTCTTGGTTTGCATGTCAATAGTGACATCACTATCAAAAGAATCTAAAGCCTATGCTTTAGTGGCTCCTAAAACTTGCAATAAGAGGGCCTTTCATATTTCCCCTACCCTGTCTCCAATTCTAGTTCATCTTCAAGCCTGAATCTCCTAGTTCCCACTTCAAACCTCAAAGATTTTGTAGTGTCCATGGCTTTTCTCCTTAAGGATGGCAAGAAAAGAGTCACCATGTCCATGAAAGAAATGAATGAAAATTATCAGACCTAGACCTGAAAGAGAAATGAGTTTCAAATTAATTCTAACTTGATTTGGAGTACCATGGAGACCGTCAAATGAGAATTTGAAGATATGTTACTGACCTCGAGAAAATGAATGCCCAATTCTGAGCATTCTGTTCCTAACCTCGAAACTATGGAGTTGTCTTTGGAAGGATATCAAGTTGAGAGTTTTCTGTTCTCAGCATGCCTCAGAACTCTAGCTGAACAACTGACTCTGCTAAAAATGAATGGGCAGCCAGCCCCTCTTCTGTGGTCAGTCTTGTGTCCAGGTGAAGGCAAGGGGAGCTGGCTGCTTAACAGGAAATCCTCATGTCTTTCAGTTAGAACTATTCCCTTCACCCTGTCCAGCCTTCTCCGCCACTCACCCACCAATCTGATATCCTCACTGTCTCCAGAGGAAACTACATTCCTGCCAGTCTTTGCTCACACCATGGCTTTCATGTGAGAAGGGCAAATGTTCTCCAGTGGACATCCTCCAGTGGAAATCCATATCCCTTGTCCCACCAACCATGAAATCAAATACAACAGCTGTTTATTTGGGCAGAGTAAGGACCCAGATCTCGTTTTTATACCATTCCTTTGCTAAAAGGAGCCAGAGGTTCTTAAAGAAATAGCTGATTCTAGAGCTTAGGGAAGGAAAGTAGAAAACAAGTCTGGAATATTTTGTTGTGTCAGAAAATGCAGAAGCACTCAAAGAAAAATGGGGGTATGTCAAAAACATATGGAATTCTGTTTTAGGGGTTCCTTCTGGTCAAATATGATAATTGAACATCAAATTGAATATTGGCTTAATGAATTCTATATCATTGAGTAAGATAAAGAGCCAAGAGTCCGTATTGATAAAGAATTGATCTTTGTCTTTTCCTGAGGTTACAAAAATATTCCACATTTTCTCCTAAAACCTTTAAACTTTTAGAAATTAATTAAATCTTCCATCCACTTCAAATTTGTTTTCTGTGTATAATATGAAGTAAAGATTGAGATTCATTTTTTTCATATGTTTATTCAGCTGTTCCAATACATTTTTTAAAAATAACTATCTTTTTCCCATTAAACTAAATTACTTTGGTCCATGGTTTAACAAATCAGTTGACTATATGCATATATGGATGTATTTCTATCCTCTCTATTCTGCTCCATTTCTTTCTTGTTCTGTCCTTATGCTGCTACTACCCTCCTGTCTTAATTGTTGTAGCTTAATAAAAAGTTCTGAAATCGATAATAGGATAAGTTTTCCAGATTGTTTGGCTCCTTCCTTTCAGAGATATTTTGCCTCAATTTCCAGCCACCCCACAGTTCTAAACTTTGCCCTCTATTTTTTCAGATCAACAAGACTGTGACTTTCTCAAAAGCTTCCTGAGGACAGGAAGAAGCACCTTCAGAGAAGGAGCCTTATGTATGTGAATTTCACCCAGTGTGGTTGCTTCTTGCAGGGTTAAATCCCCTTCAGTTCTTGCTAGCTTGTGGTCTCTCTCCATCATCTATAATGGGTTAGTTTAATACAAGCTATTTGACCATGACTGAGAGTCTTGCCTTTCCACTGGTTTTCAACACTGAATTTTGGGTCTGTGCTGACTGCTCCTATCAGCCCTACTTGGTGTTTCCTATCAGGTGGGTGAGCTAGGCACCATCCTCTGTTGTCCCTGCAGGTTTTTATTATTTCCCTATCTCTAGAAAATGTCAAGGTCTCCCCAGCTCTATCCCTAATGCACTCAACCACACCATGGCACCGTTGAGCTCCTTGCTGGCCATCTAGTTTCTGTCTACCATTATGCTTCCCTCAAGACTTATTCAGTACAATGGGGACAGAAGCAAAAGCAGTAAGTATCCATAAACATCCTGAAGAAAGTTGGAGGATCCAATGAAGGGTAGGAAGGAGGAGCAGGGATCTCAGCCACATCTGATGCAAATGGGTGGGCAGAATGGAGGTACTGGGGCCAGGGATACCAGGACTCAGAACAAAATCTTGCTTTCTAGACAAGAGCTATTTGTCAATGTCTGTTGGTATCGAAGAAAGCGTTTTTTACTCTATTGACACTGTCTCTTTTGCCCTCCCTGGGACCACTAATCCTTTAATTATTGCCAAGGGAACCAAAACTGTAATTACCCTTCTAGCAACCCTTGATTCTGTGGGTAGCTTGGACATCACAGTCATGTCAAATCTCCCTTCCCTACTATGGATTCCTTTGTCTCTTTTTCCTTCCAAGGTGGTAATTCTTATTTCTGAACCACCCCTATTATTAATCTTTTTCAATTTCTGCAAAAAGGCAAAACTATGCATTTTCTAATGAAAAGGAAACTGATCCTCTTTTGGAAATCATGCTTGTCTTTGAAAACTCTGCAGCTACTTCAGAGAGAAGGGTATGAAGAAAAAATAATCATTATAATCATCTTCAACTTCATGATTGCAGTTTAGTAAGATGTGAAGAGCTTCAGGTTATGAGACTTAGGTCAATTGTTTTGTTTATCAAAGAAAGATAAGGTAAGCCCTAAACAAATTCAGCTGCATGCTTTTGTCCCCCTGACCTTTCATTGAATGATACCACTTGTCACTTTTGCTTGCAGACTGACATTAAAAAGGATGAAAATATTGCTTTCTTAGTACAGATTCCTATTGGCACAGCTTTTGTTCAGACTACGATGCTCTGACAAATTAGCCCAGGAAAACAGGGCAGGAAAAAACTGTCTTTACTTCTGCTTGTTATTGTCTTTAATATTACCAGAACATTTATTGTTCCATATGCTCCTGGCTCTTTGCTCCTCATTAAAGAATGGGATCTGCATAGATTATTCAATGGTAAACACCTAACTAGATTGTAAACTGTCTGGGTGAGGAGCTTGTTTTAAATTCCCACAGCACTCAGCATACTTCTGGGCATGAAAATGCTCAGTAATTCTTCTTTGATTGTATAGTACACATGTTGTTCAATATTAATATTCTATATTTGACCTCTGTTTCCCTGAGTGTCAAGGATCTGTACTAATTTTTGGCTAGTTCTGTCAATAACGATTTTTTTTTCATGAGTTTTGTAAATACAGCGGGAAAACCTTTAATAACTGTGGTTAATGGGTTATTATCTTGAGCTTTTCCTGTACACAGTATCAAATTGAAGGAGATAAGGCCTTTTAGCAAACTCAAATCCTTGTAATAATACTTCACATTGTCAAAATAGCAATTTCTATTTCAGCACATTTAATGGTAAGAAACAATATTGATGAGTATGGTGTTGTTTGGGGTGGTGATTAATGCCTTCCACATGCTTAACCAGCTAGAATTTGCTAAATAATTTCTAATTTTCCTTTGCTTTCCATACTCTGCAAATTAAAATAAGGTGTTATTACTTGGGGTGGGGATGGGGGAAATCTCTTAGCCTTACTGTCTTTGCTTGTAAAGGAGGAATAGTAACACCTGCCCACCCTACCTCTCAGATTTGTCATGAGGGTCAAGTAGGATGATGCATGAGAAAATGATTTGTAAGCTGCAAAGCTTTGCACAAATTGAACTTGTTAGCATAATCTGGATTTTACATAGGTCAAAGCTTTATAAGGCAAAGATGCATTCTAAACTTGTAGGATGAACCATTTCTAAATCTTCAGCATGTACTGTGAACTATTTCTTCCAGTGCCACAGATCAATGATAATACTGCCTAGTCACTTATTTAATCTGACAGGAACCTAAACAAAAATAATTAAAAGCTGATCTACATACCACATATTCCTTATTGCTATATAGCACCTCACAAGCCAGTCAGAGATCAATTAATCAATGTTTTCCTCAATTATGGTCTGTCAGCAGATAAATCTACCAAACCAATCAAGGTTATTACAGGCCCATAGTTGTGCAGGAATGAATTTTGCAACTGCTGAGCCATTTCTCTTGAAAGGAAAGGGTGAGAAATGGTTGTTTTGCCTCATCTTTTCTGCAATAATAGGAAGTTTCCAACTCATGAAAGGGTGTTATTGACAGTCACAGTAAGACGTTTGGAATCCACATGTAAACTCTGTGATGAACATGGCCCCGCACAGAGGACCTGAGACATTTTGAGGAGGGCCTTCTACGTTTCTTCTCCCAGCACATGAGGCAAGTGAACCCCACTAGTGTAGTTCTCTGTCAGTAAGAAAGAGCACAAAGTCCTGTTTCTGAACTAACATAAAAGAATGGATAATATTGCCAGTAATCTTGGGAAGGCATGGGATTCAAAGGTGAATATTTTTGTATGTTTGTGCATTATTTGTTTTGATGTATAAGACAATAAGACAAGCCAGGCACAGTGGCTCACACCTGCAATCCCAGCACTTTGGGAGGCTGAGGCAGGCAGATTGCTGGAGTCCAAGAGTTTAAGACCAGCCTGGACAACATGGCAAGGCCCCATCTCTACAAAAAATATAAATAAATAAATAAATAAATAAATTAGCCAAGCATGGTGGCATATGCCTGTAGTCCCAGCTACTCAGGAGGCTGAGATTGGAGGATCACTTAAGCCCAGGAGTTGGAGGCTGCAGTGAACAAAGATTGTTTCACTGCACTGCAGCCCGGGTGACAGAGCCAGACTCTGTCGCAAAAAAAAAAAAAACATAGCTAAGAAAGATAAGACAGTTTTCATTAAGCATGGAAACCATTTCAACTTTAAATGCAAACTTTTAAGGAAGGAAAGATTTTACTATTTTCTTCCTCTGACAAATATCTTTTATTAACACATTTCATTATTAATAAATCCCACCACACTTAGTTTTATTTTTTGTTTTCTTTTCTCCTTCTCTGAAAAATAATATAATAAGGGGAGAAGCCCAGGGACCTGACTGCTCAGCCAGACCTGGCCTTCACTGCACTGGACTCCCTAGCAACATGGGGCTCTTCAAGGCTTGTTTTCCCTTTGGGAATATAAGAAGCTTAGTGTACAAGGAACCTCTTCATTGGAAGCTTATCCAAAATAAGTTTTAATTTCTAAGTTTGCAGGCAGTGGATCCTGGGTAACTGTCATGGATTCAGCGGACCCTAGAAGAGTTGAAATCATGAGTTCCCTACTTCTCCCTCTCCTTTTTCAGCCTATCCCTTTTTCCCAGATAATTTAATCTGTTATAATTTACAGCTAGAAATAGATTAAGGTTGTGCTTCCATCAGTGACTTCTCCAAACTTTAAAAAGTATCAATATCTGGGTCCCACTCCCATATATCTAGCTGCTTTGAGGTGAGGCCTGGAAAGCAATATTTTTTAGAAACCCCCCACATAATTTCAATGTATGGCCAGGGTTGAGAACCACAGATTAGAATGTAACACGTAATGGATCCTGGAAAAATTACCTTTGCCTGGGAAAAGCTTTGATTTATGGGGATTCAGGCCTATATTGTAAATTAGTGCATTGCCACGTGTTTTTAGGAAATGTGCTTGAGTTTCCCAAATGTTGCAGGTATGGACTTTGCATTGAGGAGGTCCTCTGCATCTTGTTGCCCCTGTGGAACTTTGGAAAAGCGAAGTATATGAAAGAGTTGGAGTAAAATTAATCTACTTTCAGAGATTCAGAAGGAACTACAGATGCACCCATGGGTGCCCCAGGCAGAAAGTGCCAAAGATGAGAATGAGATTCCAACCAGGCTGCTGAGAGAAGCCCCTTTCATGGATATTGAGAAAAATAAGAAAAAGGAAAATTGAAAAGCAATTATTTTGAATTACTTTCTTACATCCTTGAGTACACTAATTTCTTTGGGGGAACAAGAAGAGATTCATTTTTGAGGGAAGGGGTTGATTTCTCCATGAGAACAAAGGATTAACTTAATAATGGGATATGAGGAGCCGAGGAGTTTGCCTGATTATATAATAAAGGCAGTATCTTGTCCTGGGTTACGTTTAATTAAAAGAATATTCTGTTATGTTTTGGAGGCTTCTGAAGAAAATAATTAAAAGATATTTATGAAGTGACTTGGAAATATGAACTGCTCACTACCTAGGTCTAGAAGATATACAAAAGCAATGATGACGACGTAGCAGTGCTTTTTCAAAGGCATATACAAGACATCTCACCCTGTGATTACCTTGTCCTTTAAGGGGAACAGTAACCTCTCAGATAAGTCATTGGATTAAGCAGTTTTCTGCAGGAGGAGCTCAAGATTCAGATATGGCACACAAAAGGCAGATTGTCTAGCACAAATCGAGGACATCCAATTGGATCATAATACTAGGGAGTGGAGTTTTCAATGAAATAAGCAGTTTCTGTTTCTCTGTGTGTGTGTGTGTGTGTGTATGCACATGTGTGTGTGTGTCTCTCTTTGTCTCTCTCTGTCTCTGTGTCTCTGTGTGTGTGTGTAGGCACGTGTGTGTGTTTCTCTCTCTCTGTCTCTCTCTCTCTCTCCCCCAAACTCCTTTCTCTCATCCTCCCTCCCTGCCTTTGTCTCTCTCTCTCTGGCTTCATTTTTCTCTATCTTGGATCCTTACTTCTTCCTTTTGGTTTACTTCCTATTGCTTTTTCTCTATTTTACCTCTTCCCTTGGAGCAGGTGGACTATGAGCCAACTGTACAGATTCTCCAGGAAGAAAAATATTCTTCCTTCTGTTCCCCAAGTCCCAAGAACTCAAGGGAGAACAGAGAAAAAGAAGCTTAGAATAGGTGACTGGAGTCTACTTTGTTGAAGGCTGCAAGCAGAACTTTCTTTCCCTTGGATTAATCTTTTGGACCACACAAAAGATAATAAAACTCCTGCCGAAGATGAAGGTTTGGCCCTGGCGAAAGAAGTCAAAAGAGTCCCTTGGCCTGTTCCTGGTCAAGGGTCTTGGGCTAGATGCACAAAGGGAGTCACTGAGGCTCCCCTTTCATTAGTTCCAGTTCACTGCGTTTGGAAACAAAATCTCTATCATAGGAAACTACAGAAATAGTGGGGCCAATTCCCCAGCTGAAACTGATTGTAGAGCTTCTTCAGAAAAGCCACAATATCAGCAGTGCTGGTTGAAAATGCAGAGATTGGGGCCATCTCTATTTATCTCCATAGGACATACAACAATTAGCAACCAATGTCAGTGCCCTCTGCTTCACCACTATTTCTTTATTTCTTCTTCTTGGACTCCTGGAGTCATTTAGTTTACTAAAGTGTATGCATTATGTTGCTTTCTTTGGTAATTAAATAAATGATATGACTGGTCTGTCTATCCTGATCAGCATATCTTTTCTGTGCACTGGTCAGAGCCACATTTTTTACCTAAAATACCTAAAAAGACTGTAATTTTTATGAAAATGCAAGATTTTTCATATGTTCTACATGAGGATATCTGAAACTTGACCCATACTGTCGTGTTGGCTCAAATAAAGAAATAAAGCCCAATATTCTTGGTGAGTTGCAAATGACCACTGATTTGCAAAATCTGATATTGTTCTATTACACTTGATTTTTAAAAATCAATTTTATTTTCCTGAGTTGTGCATTAATAATAAGGTGAAAGCAATGTTTTGTTATTTTTTTTACTCCTTTGTTTTAACGCACTCACATTTTATATATTTAATTTGTCATTCTGTACCTCTGAGTAGAATAAAGGCAGATATTTCTTATGATACTATAGACTAAATTACAAATGACTCTGACCATTAACAAATGAGAACATTGCAGTTATTTTACTACAATGTGATTTAATTTCCCTTTCCAAATGTTTGTGTTACAGCCCAGCTCTTCAGGAAAGAGCAGAGTCCATTTAGATAAGTTCAGCAGCCCAGACTTTCATTTCACATGGGCAAAGATGAAGACACAGTCACTCAAGACTAAAAATGAGGCACAAATGGAAAGTTAGACAATATAGTTCTCCAGCAGGTTCTCTTAGAAAAATTATGATATTTGAATGTATTCCAAATTCAGAGATTGAAATGTCAAGAAATGTTAAAGGTCTGAGGTTTTTCCCTATGTATAAGTTAAGAAGTTAACCAGCTACAGTTTCATAGACCCTGGGGCAGACAAATCGAGACTCTTGGGTTGGTGACAAAGTGTATAACTCATAACTCATAGCATGGCAAGCATCATGAGCTTCATGTTCACGCCAGTCACCCTCTCTATCCCAGCCCTCCAGCTGCATGGAGCTAATGTGGAGCAGTTGAGGTAGATGCTGAGTGTGCAGTGAGTTTGTGTTACACAGCTGAGGAATCCTGGGCTTAGGAATCCAATTATTTTGTAATGTACTGCCAGCAAACCTACCCTGAACTTTGCCCCAAAAGGACACATTATTATTATGGAAAATAAGCAAATCTGCTCTCTGCTCCATAGAAAAACACTATGCCTATCTTCCAAGGCTGTTCTCCCTCCAAAAAACATCCTTGAAAAGATAATTCAGAGCAAAAGGTTGTCATTGCTTCTGCTAACAAGACATGCAGAGAGAGAGATCCATAGAGAATTGTCCCCCAACATGAAGGTTACTATAAAGCATCCCATCAAAGTCTGTTCCAGGTCACATACTAGTGAGTGACAGCACATCTGTGTTTATTCCCTGATAATCCATCTCCTACCAGTTAGACTATGAACTCCTAGAAGGAAGAGATGGTTTGGTTCATCTTCATATCTCCAGGGCATAGCCTAAAACCCTGAACCTAGCAAGTGCACAATAAATCTTTAATAAATGAGCAAATGATTGGAGCTACATAGCAAAATTTACTTTATGGTCTATCTGCAGAAGTAAAATATGTCACATTAGGGAGAAATTAATTTTAATATTCATTCATTATTATATTCAGGAATAAACTGATCCTTAATAGATATGGGTACCCATGGGTACCAAAGCCTCTAGACAAAAGTTTTCATTAAATTTTGCTGAAAAAGCTATTGTATGATTATGCTTTAGAATAAGGAGCTTTTTCCAGGCAAAATGATTAATTAGTGTATTGTGAAAGTAACTAAAATAATTCCTTGGCCTTGGTATCATCTCAGTATGTATGGAATCATCTTAATGGAAGGTAGCTAAATTAAGCAAGTCTCATATGGTTTTGTGTAACCACCAAAAGAAACACTAAATGGCCACTAGGAGAATAAATCAGAACATTTCAACATCAAGTCTTCAAATTTTGACCCTTGCCTCCCAATACTCTGCTGGTCTCTTAGACTTAGTTTCCATTCTTCTGGATCATCTTAAGGATATATGGATGATGATACTCACCATGTGTATAAAACAGGCAGGTCTTAAAGTCTTCATGTTTTAAGGCAGCTAGTAAAATGATGCTGGAACTCAGAGACCAAAACTGAGAAGGACTCTGAAGGTGCTGGCCCAGGGAGCAGGCAGGAAGCCTAAGACTCTGGACAGGTTATGGCTCCCAGGATGGGCCCAGAAACAGGATGGCAGCAAAGAGAACACCACATAGACCTATGAGTGCATTTATAATGTGTTTAATGGACTTAAATGACATGCCACAGTAACGTTCATCCTGGAGTTGTCAATAATCAAACCAATGAGGGGCAGGAATCCCATTTGAAAATACCACACTGACTTAGAGTAGATCTGTGGTCAAGGTCCAGCACCTCTGTTGACCTATGTGAGCTTAGGTTAGCTACATACTCTATAAAATTATCTGTAGTAATACCCACCCCACAGGACTTCTTTAGGTATTAAGTGAATTAATATATGTGAAAGGGCTTCACATGCCATGATATGAACAGTGGTTGCTATCAATGCTACTTAGAAGTAGTGTAATAGCAACTTGATTGGGTTGGTGGCATGACAGAATAGACCTGTTGTACCCAGCTCCAAGCCTTTCACTGAAAAATAACCCAGGCAATTAGGATGGCTGGTAAAAATGATAGGAGTACAAAAGTTTTAAAGTAAGAACTAATCAGATATTTCTTTGTAAATATTTTAATAGTCATGAAATGTCTGAGGATTAAATGTAATGTTTGGGCTTTGTGATTTTCAGATTGCATAGAGGCTAGGCTTCCAGAATGGTAACGGGCTTGACTTTTTTCTTTTAAATTAACTTTTGAGCAAATCTGTACTCCTAAAAGCCTATCACCCTACATTAAGCCACCAGTTTAAGCACAAAGGCTCCTCAAGGATTTTTTTTTTTTTTTTTTGGCTTATGACTTCCTATTTTAGACTTTCTCACCTCCACTGAAACCTTGGGAACACAAAAATGAGAGATCACAAGACAATAACTTTAATCCCTGTGTGTAATTATAACTCTAAATATAAATAGCATTTGTTCCATTACTGTAAGTGGAAAAACTTTTGTGGAGATCCTAAATGATGATTATCTTTTAAATGACTTTTCTTAAATGTGCGGAATAAATAGGGTGTGATGGATTGGAAAGAAATTCTTTGACTCATCTAAAAAATTCAATCTGCCCATCACTCCACCTTTTAATATTTCTCCAAGGATGTAAATTTTTCTTGAGTGCTTAGCAAAGTGCCTAACACACAGTGTGCAATTAATAAAAGTTGAATGAAAGGAAGAGAGGAAGAGGGAGAGAGAATGAGGGAGGAAAGAAGGAAAGAAGAAACTGAGGAAGAAAAGAAAGTAGTAAGGAAAGAAATTAAGAGGAATGAGGGAGAGAGAAAAGAAGAAAATTAAGAAGAAAACAGGAGAGAAAGAAAGAGAGAAGGAGGGAAGAGAGAAGAAAGGGAAGAAGGGACTTAATGAGGGAAGGAAGGAGGAAAGAATGAAAGGAGACAGAGAGGAGAAAGGAAGAAGGGAAGGAAATCATTTAAAAGGAAGTAAGAGATGGAAAAAAGGGAAGCATGAAGGAAGACAAAGGAAAGAAAGAAGAAAAGAGGGGAGGAGGAAAACGTAGAATGCTAAAAAAAAATGCAAACTTAAGTTATCCATCATGAAAGTTAGTTTAAACTCAAGCATAAAATGGCCTGGCACAACATGAATTATCCCACTGAGGTCAACCTAAAATATCCTAGAACAAAGCAGGACATTTAGACTGATCTTTTTTAGTCAGTCATTTGACATACCTGTATATGTGAATGCAACAAACACATCTCACAGTTATTCCATCCCGAGGCTCAATCTGTGGGGAAAAGAAAGAGAGATCAGACTGTTACTGTCTATGTAGAAAGAAGTAGACATAAGAGACTCCATTTTGTTCTGTACTAAGAAAAATTATTGTGCTTTGTGATGCTGCTAATCTGTAACCCTACCCCCAACCCTGTGCTCGCAGAAACATGTGCTGTGTCGACTCAAGGTTTAATGGATTTAGGGCTATGCAGGATGTGCTTTGTTAAACAAATGCTTGAAGGCAGCATGCTTGTTAAAAGTCATCACCACTCCCTAATCTCAAGTACCCAGGTACACAAAACGCAAAGCAGCAGGGACCTCTGCCTAGGAAAGCCAGGTATTGTCCAAGGTTTCTCCCCATGTGATAGTCTGAAATATGGCCTCGTGGGAAGGGAAAGACCTGACTGTCCCCCAGCCCGACACCCGTAAAGGGTCTGAGCTGAGGAGAATTAGTAAAAGAGGAAGGCCTCTTTGCAGTTGAGATAAGAGGAAGGCATCTGTCTCCTGCCTGTCCCTGAGCAATGGAATGTCTCGGTGTAAAACCCGATTGTATGTTCCATCTACTGAGATAGGAGAAAACTGCCTTAAGGCTGGAGGTGAAACATGCTGGCAGCAATACTGCTCTTTAATGCACCAGATATGTTTATGTATGTGCACATCAAAGCACAGCACATTTTCTAACCTTGTTTATGATACAGAGACATTTGTTCACATGTTTTCCTACTGACCCTCTCCCCACTATTACCCTATTGTCCTGCCACATCCCCTTCTCCGAGATGGTAGAGATAATGATCAATAAATACTGAGGGAACTCAGAGACCGGTGCTGGCCCGAGTCCTCCGTATGCTGAGCGCGGTCCCCTGGGCCCACTTTTCTTTCTCTACACTTTGTCTCTTGTGTCTCTTTCTTTTCTCAGTCTCTCATCCCACCCGATGAGAAAAGCCCACAGGTGTGGAGGGTCAGGCCACCCCTTCATCAATCAATTCTTTCTCCCACCCTACTTCTAACTCCCTCTTTGCCCTACCTCTCACTCCATAACGGGTCTACCCAATGCCTGAGGCTTACTCCATTCTGAGGCCTCATCTTGTCTTTGGGCCTTAGGTAAATATTGAGTGAGATGGTCAGTTGGGGTTAGAATGCCAAGTGACCTCAATATTTAGTAGTTTAAAATTTTTAATGTTAAGGAGTGTCTAAAAAATACTATATAAAACTGTCATGGCATCAAAAGCTGTACCCTTCAAAATGGTAGCATTAAATGGGCTATGTCCAATTGTCATGTACCTGTTACTGAGGGCTCTTGCTTTCTACTGGGTTCATGTTTTCACCATCAATGACCAATAAGGACAATGACCAACATTAGTAATGTTTTCATCATCAATGACCAACAAAATGATCAAAGAAGACAAGAAATTTAATCTTGTACCTGGTTTGGGGGAGGTCCTGGCAATTTTTAATTGGCTTCCTATTGGTCAGCAATTCTAAACTGGTACAAATTTAATCAGGCCTTTGGCTTACAGAAAGTATCATCTATTTTAGAACATCAGAGCAATTGAGGATGATTTCGTTTTGGTTTTTGTTTCTTTATCATAAAATAAAGAATGCACTATTCCCTTTTATGAGCCCTTACTCCACACAAATGCACCTTCATCTGAAGTCTTGAAAAGAAAGCATTGGCTTTACGATAGAAGACCTGCTATGATACCTAATTGATGAAGTTACACACCATTCCCCACCCTTGTATCTCTTGATCCTTCTCTCCTCTGGGCCTCATTTTTGGTTGTGTAATTGCATCCTGTCTTCCATAATTTCCAGATTCCCTTCCCTAATCTTCTTTTAACCACTCAGTGTAGCACCAGGTCATTAGCTCTTTGCTAATCTCCTCTGATGCATATTGACATGCCCTTCCCTTCATCTTTTCAAACATATCTTTTTTTTTTTTCTTTTTGTGAGAGAATCACATTCTTTGTCCAGGCTAGAGGCCAGTGTCTGGAATTACAGGAATCAGCCACACATGGCTACTTTTATTATTATTATTATTATTATTATTATTATTGTTATTATTATTATTATTATTTTAGAGGTGGGGTCTCACTATGCTGTCCAGGGTGGTCTCAAACTCCTGGTCTCAAGTGATCCTCCAGCCTCAGTCTCCTGAGTCACTAGGATTACAGGCATGAGCCATAGCACTTGCCAATATCTTCTCATGTTCTTTGCTCACCTCTTTAGCCCTCTTCCTATACCTAAGAGCATAAGCCCAGGACCTTTTTGGCCTCCTAAGGTTTAAATTTCCATTTTTTTTCAAATATTTTTGATATTTTCCTGAGCTTTCAGAAAACTAGTCACTGTTTCTTCTGCCCTGGGTTTATTCTAATTTTTACTTCCATTTTAGCTTTCATTTATTCAACAAAATGATTCCTACTGTGTGCAGAATTCTGCCTATACAATTTCCATACCAACTATATCAACAACAGATTCCTATGCATCATCCATATCTAAACTTGCCATTTCTTGATTCTTGACATACATTTTCTGGGTACAAGGTAAAAGTTATGGGAAGAAAGCCCTTCCTACAGTTACAATAGATATTTCAATTCCCTGGAACATAGCTCTGTTAATGTAGCAAGTATGTCAGGAATGTGTGAAGTTAACACTGTGCATGCAGTGTTCCCTCTTGCTGCTGAAAGAATGGGAAATTTGGGGGAGCTGAGCGAGGAAATTCATCCTGAAATGACAGGCACAACTCCACAAATTCTTTCAGAACAACCATTCCTCTATAATAGAATATAACGCTGATTGAGCTTCAAAGGCCAAAACAATGACAAAAATAATCGATATAATATCTTAATTTCATTAAAAATTACCTAAATCTGTGATTGCTAGATTGCTTTTCCAATTTCAGTCATGTAGCTCCTGTGAGCATAGCGGAGGACAGTTTTTAATAAAAGGCTTAAGAGAAAAGGAAAGAAGGAAAACAATCCAAGCAAGAGAAAAAGTTAAGGACTATGAAATCTGGTTATAGTTTATGCTGACAGATCTTTATTTTGGATTGTGCTGCATTGACTTGTATGACAGATGTAGTTTACGATTGTCTCCATTTAGGAGATTTTTATTCTCTCTTTAAGAGTGTGAGCAGCTAAGCTAATTGCTTTTGCAATTCAAGAAGAGGAATGTTTAGGTCAGATCTCCAAAATAACTCTGAAATTCAAAAAATAGAAAGCATAAAACATAAAAACCTACCTCACTAAAAGGACAATTTGGGGTGCAGGCAGGAACACTTTGTACTTTTGCTGAGTTCAGAAAAAAATCATTTAGAGGGCAACTATGAAGTGCAGTAGTGAACCAGCAGCTTAGTTAACTTGCTGGCTGGAGGGCACGCCTGCTCTTGCTGCAGCTTTTATCCTTTGCATCCCTCAACCCCAGGCCCAGAACGCCAGGCCAAAGCATTTGCGGAAGTGCTCCACTGCCATCTACAGGAGCTGTCGCACTTACACGCGATATCCTAGGTCAGGTCACACCACTCTGTACAACTTGTTTTGTGTGCTATCTTTATTAGGAGACCATAGTTAATTTTTCATTAAGAGTAATCACTCTGTGAAAAGCCTAGGTCATTGTTTAATTAGTATCAGCAATAAATGGACTAAATAACCTTAAGGGGCATATTTCTTTGTTGTAGGCAAGCTGTTTTTAAATCCAGTGCATTCGCTTTTAAATAAATAAATCAGTAATTCATCTACTGTATTGTTCACTGTCAGTGCAGGATCATACAAGCAAAAGCACTCATCTAGGAGCAGAATATTTTCCTTGCCCTAAATTTCTAAAATATTCTCCAAATAAAGGGTTCATTTTTTTTTTCAAAAACAAATAAAGTCAAGTGAATAGGATTCCTCTTTTTAAAAGAAAAGCACACTGGTATGTTTAGTATTTGAAACATGATTAGAGGTTCCTATCTCTACAGCACAGCTTACCTCAAGGAAGTTTACCTAGAGCGACTCCCCAGATGATGGTTTTGGGTTTATTCAGCAGGTGATGCCCCATGCAGAGAGCAATACTGAGTTATTCTAGAGAACAGCCTCCTACAAATGTATTTCTAGTGTTTATTTATATTGGAGCTCCCTTAGACATAGAATAAATTTTTCATGAGACCAAAGATGACCAATAAACACAGAAAAGCTCAGTATCAAATCAAACAATAACTCCCATGCTGGTTTAGATGGTATTGTCTCTCCTTCAATAGTAAGTCTGCGTGTGTGGTTTGATAAATCACAGACAACAGTATGCTTAACCATTCCAGATCCTCTCCTTTTTTCTCTGCACTAACAAACACTCTGAAGACAATGATTTTAAAGCATTTCAGAAGCACGCTTAAAACAATAAGGAAGGCACAGAAAATGTGAGATTTCTTTCCCTGATTTCCGGTTGATTGACCGCAATAGCACTGCTGACTTATTGAAAATGATATGAAAATCAAAAGGATAATTAGAGCTTATTTCTACTCGAAGCAGCAGCCTGAAATTTCCGTTGAATTTACACAAATTGGAGAAAAATCAGACTTGGCATTATCTCATCCTGAAATTTCTTGCCCATACCATGAGGGTCCATCTTCTTAGCTGGGGCTGGGGAGGTGAAGGAAGGGCTGTGACGTCATGTAGGTTTATTACTGCTGCATTCCACCATTGTTTTTCTTCCCTTTGTTTCATCTTTCTTATGTTTAAATTTATTTTATTTTGTCCTATTATTTTCATCTATGAAAGGAACTTTAAATCCTTTTTAGGATGAAGTGAGAATAAAAATAAATAGGTATATACATTTTGTTCCTGCGGTTTATGATCACCATTACACTTTCATTCTTAACCTCTCTCTAGAATCCTGTGGATCTGTCCAAATGGACAAGACCAATGTCGTCGATTATGAGCCCAGGAACTGGCTGTGACTGCCCCTGTGCTCCTCACTGTGCAGTTTCCCTGCCGAGGTGGAAGGCTGTGTGTGTAGCCAGCTCACCACGTCCCCTGCACAAGGAGCTTCAGCAAGACCATCAGAAGCACAGATTCTTCATCTGTATGTTACTTCTTCGGGGCTACCATAACCAATTACCACATACCCAGTGACTTATAACAATAGAAATTTATTCTGTCACAGTTCCGGAAGCCAGAAGTCTAAAACGAAGGTGTTCTCAGGGTCATGCTCTCTCTAAAGCCTCTGGGAGAGGATCCTTCCTGGCCTCCTCTAGCTTCTGGAAATGCCAGCAATTCTTGGCCTTCCTTAACCTGCAGATGCATCACTCCCATCTCCGCCTTCACCATCACATGGCCTTCTCTTCTATGTCTCTGTCTTCACGTGATGTTTTCTCTCTGTGTCTGTATCCCACTACCTTCTTCTTAGAAGGACATTTATCCTTGGATTAGGGTCCACCCTAATCCAGTATGACCTCATCTTAACTGGATTACACCTGCAAAGACCCTACTTCCAAATAAGGTCACATTCTGAGGTACCAGGTAGGCATGAATTTTGGGGGAACTCTACTTACCTGGAGTAACAGTACCTATCTTAGCTGTGGTGACACATACGTAGTACTCTGAGTGCCACATCCTGAGCATGAATGTAATGATAGCTCTTATTAAAAACAAACTATACTTTGACTTCTCATAACTTTGTCCACAGTAATGATTTTTCCATCAGGAGTACAAACTCAAAGTGTCTTTTGTTGTTGTTTTTATTTGCGTGCGTTTCTTTTTAAAGAAATCTCTGGTTTATTTTGGATATTTTGTTTTGTTTTTATTTTCCAAAACAAAAAAGATCAAGGTGTTGTGTTTACATATACTAAGCAGGATACTTCTTTACGGAAGACAGGGAGCTTCATTACATACTTTGACACTCCCAGTGGAAAGGTGGGTTGGGTGGATGTGCGATACAGAGAGGTTAGGTTACCAGATGCCTGCTAGATGCTAGAAGTATCTCCTTTGGGACTTAGCAGTTCTTAAGTCTGAATGGCGTGGGCCCTTCTCGGAATTCCATCCACATGCACCTTCTTCTCACTTGCTTTCCTTTTGCTTCTGGGCACCATGGGTAGTACCCTTTTATTCTCCCTCCCCATCCGTTAATCCAGAGAAGCTTGCAAAAGCCTAAAGCATAAGATGCAGCAAAGCTAACATGAAGAGACATGTCAGATACAATTCAGAGCAACACCAACTAATTATTAGACTCCAGCAGATTCAAAACAGAACCTCCACTGAGAGAGAGAAATAAGATTATTCTATCCATTTGATGTTCTTGTTAACCTAATAGCCTTTCTTACCATCACTCATGCTCCAGAGAATTTTGGCGTGGAATGAATCTTGGATGTTACACTCTTGCCTCATTTAAAGAGAACCAGCTCTAGCTTTACCAGGGTTTACAAACAATTATAGTTTTAAACTATTTTAAAGTCGGTGTTTTCCACCATTAGGTGTTTACAGAATTTCCTCGGCCAGGATAAAGTCCCACTGCATTCAATACACACCAATGTGTGTCCATTCTCACACCCTGGAAGTCATTTCAGAGCACGTAGACGGCATGTGTGTGCTGGTATGTGTTGCCAGTGTGTCTATGAGATGCACAGGCCATGCAGAAGACATCTGTAAACACAGTCTGTTTTCCCACCACATTCTTGCTCTCTGAGTCAGCGGCACACATATGGCAGGAAGAACTGGAACATTCTTCTTTTAAGGGGTAAATTTGGAACCAAGAGTTGATGTTTCTCCATCTGTGTGGCAGTGGAAGACATTTAAAATAAATACAAGCTCTTGTAATCTAAGCCAGAACCAGGGAGGAACAGGATAATGCGGAGACTTATAACTAAGAAGTGGTAAAAATCAGAGTTCTGTTAAGAACAGAAATAGTCTTTCTTCATATGAGAGAAGGCCATGTATCTCTAACAGAAAGAAGTCCTCACTTCAGCTAGAGGTACCACCTTGTAAATAAACCAGCATGAATCAGCCTCTTGCCCCTGGCTGATGAGAACAGGAAACAATTGGAATATTTCACCCTAAAGTTAAGGAAGCTTCTGCCTCAGGTCCCTGCACCTGCTCAGAGTCTCATGAGGGCTGTGAGGTGCTAGGAAGTGTGAAGCATTCTAGGTGGTAAGGAGAAGCCAGGTGGCAATCAGAGAGCATTTTGATGTAAGCATTTTGGTAAATTGCTTTAAAAAGATCTAAAGAATTGCTGGGCCACCAAGACTCTAGTAATTAATTGAGAATTCTTTTATCGTTCAATCATTTACCTAATTTTTAATTCATAATTTTGTCTTCTTTTTCTAGAACAAAGAGGGAGCCTCAAAACTGTATATACTCCTGACCACACAAAAGCTGGATATGCCCTTGGCTCTCTCAGGGAGGCAGAGCCCCACCCCTCTTTCTGGAATTAGCACTGATTTAGGAGAGGCAAACAACCATGGCTGGAGGTAGGCAGGCCAGTGGACTTTCTCCTACTGTTGAATATAGTTGAGTTTCCCAGGTGAGGGTTTGAAGTATTTGACTGCAGGCCGTATAAAAAGATATGTGTAAAGAAGGTGGTGATTGAGGAGAGAGGACATTCACCCAGTAGACTCTTCTTCAAAGCCCTAAAACTATAGGCCCACTCCCTGCATGACCAAGAATTAAGTAAAACTATTCCTTTCACAGGCATTAGAGCTCTAAATAATCCTTCATGAAGAAGCTGTGAGTGTTCCCCATAGTACTTGTGGCCGAGGCAGGAGGTCCTCAGAAAGGGATGGTCATGAATCCTAAACTAGTGTGGGGATTCAGGGAATGTGGGGCTAGGAATAGATGAAAAATGAATTCCTAAACAGATTTATAATTGGTTTTTGGTCACAGCAAGAGCCTTTCATGGCTCCTGTAGCTAAGAAAATACCCAAGAAAGAGAAACACAAAGAATTAATTCCCTATCCTCCATCCTCCCAAATGTTAACAATAAACACTCCTTTTGAGATTAAAAATATGGGCTGTGCCACACCCACGTTGCATTTATATTATTGGAGGACATTCCCTGCTGGCTTCATGCCAAGGAAAATGACTGCAAAACACACCTAAACTTTCAATTACAACCCAGGTGGTGATGATGAGGAGCTCTTGTAGGAGACAAAATGAGTGAGCTTTGCTCTGAAACATGCCTATAAAGATTGGGGCTGCTTATTGTCAAAGTAAATTTCTTCTAACAATGGGCCTTTATAAATGTATACGCCAGTTCTCTAGGAGTATAGTAGTACCTAGAGGCAGGGATGTGGATTACATTGGGAGCCCAAACATTTTGATGAGAAAAAAAGTTACATTATTTAAAGCTTTTGGACCTTTCAGGGAAAAGAAGTTGTATAATGATGCTAAAGACTCAGTCTGGAAAGAGAGAGGAAGGAAGCAAGAGAACCAGAGAGATGGACTGGGAGGTCAAAGCACTTAGAAAATGTGTTATATTATTAGATTCTTGATGGCAATGACCTTTGTTTATTCATCTACCTATGCCCTATAAAACTTATTACAATGTTCTACACATAGTAGAAACTTAGTCAACATTTGGTGAATGAGTAAATGAAGTTTAACAAATCAGGCATAACTATATAGTAGGTACCAATAGTAGGTACCAATGAATTAGGTCAGTAGTTTTCAGAATAAGCTGGAGAGCTTTTAAAAAAAGATGATGTCCCACCCACACCAATTAAATCTGGGATTTTGGGGTTTGGGACACAGATATACATATTTTTCAAAAGTTCTTTAGGTGATTCTGCTAAATAGAGAGTAGTGAAAACTACTAAATTGGGTGCTAGGCCAAGTTCCCTTCTAAGATCAAGATTCTGCGGCCTCTAAAACATTGTCAGGCTCCTTGGATAATATGCCAGTACCAGGTATAAAACTTCTTTGACTGTAGCCAGGATCAGCTATATAATTTGTGGGCTCAGTGCAAATAAAAATGCAAGACTCCTTATTCAAAAATTATTAAAAATTTAAAATTATTAAGAATTTCAAGATAGCAACAGCAGAGCACTAAATCAAGTGTAGGCTTCTTATAAGCATGGGTTTTGTATGACTGAACTGGACTCACACACAAAGCCAGCCCTGTCTATAGCATCCAGTCCTACGAAGTCACTACCTCGTAATCTCTATTTGCATCACTACTACAACTCTTTGTTCATGTATTATCAGAGAGATCACTCTTGGACACTCTTTCCTGCTCCATGAAATTTTAAGAAATAAAAGATATTGAAGATAATCTGGCAGATTTGATTCAATACACACCAATGTGTGTCCATTCTCACATCCCGGAAGCCATTTCAGTGCACTTACATCCAAGGAATGAATTTCTTTCAAGTTGCCTCTGTTACAGAATAAATAAGATAAATAACCTACTGATTTCGATTTCCCTGGACCTCATTTTCTTCATCTGTATATGAAGACACAATTGCTCGCTGCATCCTGTTGCTATGAGAATTGAGATGTGTGACACAGGTGTGTTTTTCCATGGTCCACCGTGGTTGCTGTGAACCAGTTTTAGGGCTAAATTTAGTATTTATTGATTTCTACAAAATGTAGCCAAAGCCACAGTTCATTAACAAAGAAATATATATTTTGCAGAAATTATATGGGGAGATGGGGGGAAAAATGATTTTATATTGTAGACCCACAGCAGAAACATCATCAAATTCCCATCAAGTATCTCTGTTGTTCCCTCAGAATTTCTCTCCTCTGGCAGCTACCCCGTCTCACATTGTTTTCTTCCCTAAATTAATCTCCCTAAAAATCTTCCTCACCCTTCTTTGATTATTTTGAAATATTGAGTTATCTCTTCAGTTTACAAATAAAATTCAGCAAAATAAAAGCTTGTTGGTCAACTGAGCCACGATCATCTACTCTGCCTCGAACATGTTCTGTGAGCATCTCACCCACCACACCCAATCCAAGAGGCATCTCGAAATATCACCTCCACCAGGAAGATAGTACAGATTTGGAAAAGTCTTCTGCCAGGAAAATAAGATTTCCTCCATATAACTATATAGGTAAAATAACTGGTTCACAGTAAATGTTAATTCCCTTCTTCCTCTCACCTTTTTCACTGTTTCTGTCTGAACACTTCCAGTTATGAGAGAATTTCACTCACAAGGTAAATTCATTCTATTTATCAACAACTCTACTTGTTGAAAATGCCTTCTTATGTTGACTCAAAATCCACTTCCCTATAACTTCTGTCTAATATATGCCATCCCCTCTAGGACAAGTTAGTACAAGCTTCATTCTTTCCCAAGATGACAGCTTCTTCCTTCCCAGGTTTCTCCCAGTTATTCACTGCTCTTCCTGTGACAGACTTCGCAAATTCTGGACTGTACTGGCTTCCTTCTATTGAATAGGCTCCAACTTTTCTTTATACCAAACTAAATACAATATCCTAATGTGGTCTTTGATGTAGTCTAAACTGCCAAAGGATAATTTCTTCTCTAGTTCTGGACACACTCTGATTTAATCAAAGCCTCTCAATTTTCTCAGCTCTTAGGGAAGCCCTCTCAGGAGGCTCTTTGGAATAGCATGAGGTAGAACTGAAGCAATGGTGTGAAGCCTTGTGACTTAATACTAATCATGCTGAAGGTGGCCACCAAAAATTTCACAAGTCAGGGATGGAAAGATGGGTAGAACTCAGAGCAAAGTCATCAGTAGCATTAATTGAAGTTTCAACATCCCAAGTGACAGGATCCTTACTCTAGTTGAACCCAGGGAATAAATATTACTCAGTAACAGCTTGTTTGCTCTTATGTCTTCAGTGATTCAACAAATCAAATACTTAGTGTCTCTCGGGCACTGTGTTGACATGGTCCCATTCTCAAGCAAGTTAGAGCCTAATGAGAAAAGTAAACAACTGTGGTAAAGGCAATAAAAGAATATAATAAAGTCTAATAAGAAACAGGATAAAAGGAGGGACATACTTTAATTGTGTATGATCAAAAAAGATGTTTTTGTGTAGATAATATTTAAGCTGACATCTGAAAGAAAAGGAAGATCTAGCCAGACATAGAGTAGATGAAGAGAGGTTATGGCAGCAAAGGGCATGCCAGGGGGTGGGGGTTAAAAATCTCAAGGGAGAAAATGTTGGTGTGTTTGAAGGAGCTGAAAGCATGTCAGTGTGACAAAAGCTTAGTGAATCACAGGGAGGAAGGCAGGAGATGGAGATGAAGATAGAAAGATGGGCAGGGACCAAATCACGCAAGCCCTGGAGAGCCACGGGTCAAAGACTGGGTGTTATGGAGTTCGTGCTACTAAAAGTGTTCAAAGAGCTTTAAGCAAGAGAGTAAAATGATCTGATTTAGGCTTTAAAAATATAATCCTGGCTGCTCTGTAGAGGATAAATTGGAGGAAGGCAAGAAAGGATGTTGGAGACCAGTTTGGAGGCTCTTGTACTTCAGGCGAAACTGATGGAGGATTGGATAGTAATGGTAAGTAAAAACACAGATGGAAAAGATGAGAAGATTTGAAATGTAGTCTGCTTATCACAATCTTAACTGAAGTTCAACTCATCCAATCCAGGTATCTAACATATACCTAAATATACCTAACAGTTCTTAAAATATGGCCCCCAGGCAGGCAGCCTTGGCATCACCTGGGAACTGTTCAGAAATGCCAATCTCAGGCTCCACTCCACACAATGATTCAGAAATTCTGGGGATGGATCCCAGAAATCTATGTTTTAACAAGCCCTCCAAGTGATTCTAATATGTACTAAAGTTTGAGAGACACTGACCCAGAGGAATTAATTAACTTGGGACTTTCTGAATACAACAAACATGCATGAAGAGTTACTAGGCCAATAGTATGTAATTAAAATACACTTGCTCTATTGTTAATAAAGCCTGGAATAATACAACAGACTTCAAATATTATTATAGTGCTCTGCAATCAAATTCTAGTTTCTACATTCTAGGAACTTAAATGAAAACTTAGCCATTAAGGTCAAGAGAATCCTCTTCTGGGCCTGCTGGAACATTTTTTGTCTTTACATAGTCCCAGTTAGGCTTCTACTCTTGTGTTTTCCACGATGTTTTGTATAAGGATGGTTGCATCTTTGTATCTGGTCTCAGGCTTTAATGTCTGCTTATAAATTTGTTGAAATATGTCATCTTTATTATTTGGATTCCATGGAGATTCCTCCTTCCAATATACTCGGAGAAATATTGGTTGTCTGCTTTTTTAATCATGGGAATAATCTTTTTGGTTTGCTTTGCTCCTCTCTGTCTCTTCCTAGAAAGAGAGAGAAGTTTGATTTATTGCACTTAGTAGAAAAAGTCACTACCTGATGGTATAAATTGAAAGTAGCTGTCTCCTGCATGCAGTACCGTGGCACTTCCTTTGCCATGCCATTAAACATGCCCCTTGGAAGCACTGGTTTAAAGACATCACTATGATTGCATTTCACAGCATTGTTGGGTATGCTACTTTGTAGTGATTAGTATAGATTATTGATAATTACATATTTATAGTCTTATTCAAAGAGTAGTCATTTGAATTTGGACCTGAGAAAGAAAAAGACATTGTCCTGTCTAGAAGCCAGGAGTCAGGATAAAGTGATCATGTTCCCAGAGTGTGGACACCATGGGGAAAAATATAAACAGAAAGATTTCCCAGTAAGAAACTCAGGTCTAGAATAGTGTCTGAAACACTAGTGGATCCTGGAAAATTTAATTGTTCATTCAGCTTTAACAAGGAATGAAGTTCTGATACAGGCTACAACACGGATATACCTTGGAAACATCATGCCAAGTGAAATAAGCCAGTTACAAAGAGATAAATATTGTATGATTCCACTAATATGAGGTATCCAGAGTGGGCAAAGTCATAGAGACAGAAAGCAGCATAAAGGTTACTAGGGTCTTGGAGGAGAGGGAAATGGGGAGTTATTGTTTAATGGGTTCTGAGTTTCCATTTGGAAAGATGAAACAGTTCTAGAACTGGATAATGGTGAAGGTTGCACAACATTTTGAGTGCTCTTAATGCCATAGAACTGTACACTTTAAAATGGTTAAAATGTTATGCATGTTTTGTCACAATAAAAAAAATAAAATTGTTTAAAGGCGGCACTGAATAAATACTTGTTTACTGATATCTCCACAGGGCTATTAAAATGATGAAACGATAATATTAAATGACTGCACATACTCATTGTCATATTCTTGCATATTCTGAGATTATTATACTTACCCTGTTCATTGTCAGAAAACCTCAGAGTTGAACATAAGACATCTGTATTTAGAAAGCAGGCTTTGTTAGCAATAGAGTTATACAAATGTGACCACAAATATTACTCATTAGGTCTTACAGCTCCTAGACCACATGCCTTCATCCTTGGTCTATCAAATATTCTAGACATCAGTGACTAAATACATATATTTTACAAATTTACTTTAGACCGTATGTTCATCTTAATCCATCAAGGAAATAAAAATTGTACCATGAATCCCTTCACTTTCTTTTTTTACACTAAACCCAAGAAGTCAGTAAAATGTAAAAGCTAAGCAGTTTCTAATTTCGGTTTACACATTTTCTGTAAACTGCAAAAATCCACCAGAGGAGGATTTTTATGTGTAATAAAAAACCTGCATAGCTTTCTCAGAAGGGGGTTTCATACCATACGATCCCTCACCAATCTAGAAAGAAAATGCAATTCCTGATCTGTAACTGCTAGCACACCCACCTGTCCCTTCTTCCCTAATGAGATGAAATTATAACGGGGAGAGCAATTTGCAAATATCCTCCCCTTGGCTGATTTATGCTTCTACATTGTGTGTCAAATCCTTTCTGAATCCTTTTTGTTGCATATATGAGAAGACATTTAGAAAAAGATTTTGGAATGCCTTTAATCTTCTAAATCAACAATAAAGAAAAAAATGAAATAAAGGTCAAGGTTTTGATATACTGCTTCTAAAGTACATCCCACACTGAGTAAAACACCATGAAATCATCTGTCAGAACTGACTTTCTTCCAGAGACTACATTCCAAGAGCGTGAAGAGAGCAAAGTGGCTATTGGATGGTTTCCTTAGATTCCAATGCACCTTAATCATATTCACAAGACTGTACGTTTTCATCACTGCAGGAGCTGGCAGAATTTTGTGACAATTCTGGGAAATGCTTTCAGATGGCCCCTTCTATGAATTATGAATGTTTCACAAAGCTCTATGGTAAATGGAATAGCCTTGTTCTCCACAAATGCAGGGGTGGATTAAGAGGTGGCCTTCCTTTGTTTCTTTGCCTTGAAATTTAATATTGTTTGCAAACAGAGAAATTAAATCTCGATGAAGGTAAGTAGGCTTTAATTAGTTGTAAACAATTATTTTGTCTTATGAAGAATTACATTTGTTTATTGTATTCATTAGAGATTGTATAAATACCACCATTTTCTTTCCAGACTGTGCTTAATGTGATATGAATAGATTTACAAATGACTGCTTTTAAAAAACAAAACAAAAAAAACAACTCAGTTCTCATTATTCATTCTTGTTGTTTTCTATAAAGTCACCACAAATGCTGAATAAGCAAATACTAAACCATTGCTCCTAGGGGAAGTACAGTGTTAGGTTCCTGCAAGCCTCTAGTCACACTTTTGTGAACCTTGTTTCATGTGTCTCTGTTTAAATACATCTTATTTAATATATAGTGTTGACTCATTAACATTGAACTCAGCCACCAGCACCATGACTCATGCCTGAATGAAATTTATTTAACACATGTATTTTCTCTGTAAGGCACATTACAGTCTTCTTCCACTGAGGAACAATAGACAACACTTCTGCACTACACTTGGGGACAATTTTAAACACTGAAATCACCGACAAGTAAGCACAAATGTGAAAAAATGGCACTCAATAGACTGAGAAAAGGACTCTTGTTTACAATATAAAAGATAAACAAGAAGACAGAGCATTGCCTTGCTTGACCTCAGCTGGGAACATGTGCTTCAGATGACTCAAATTCTTCCTGCTCTGCACATGTCCTTGAATGGCCATGAAAGCACTAATAGTGTTGATCTTGGGGTTATGAATAAATTTTAGCAAGTAGGAAAACTTACAAATACCAATTTCTCAAATAATGGGAATCAACTATATACATAGTCATCTGAGACATCTCTCTGCTCGAGACCATTTTTCACCTCAAAATAGTGGCCAGTTGTTAGGACAGAGTCAGGAAAGCCTGCTCAGTTACTGTGAGATCTCTGTTCCACTGTAGTCTTCATTCTATTTCTGCAGACTCCAAACAGTCTTATAATAAAAGTTACCTTCCTCATTTCCCTTTGTTTTATAGGTTCCCATGGGTGAATTTGGTGTTACAGCAAGATTTGAAACTGTCTGACCTGATAGGGGTGAAAAGAATCTGGCTGGACTGTCCACCTCTCACTGTGGGGGCAGCTCCTGGCTTAGAAGTTCTAGACCAGGTCCAAAGGCTGTTGACAGAGAACCCACATCTTATCACAGGAGATTCCAAGGAGTCACACAGATGGCCCCACGGAGGGTCAAGCTGGAAGAGGAAAGGGAAGGTGAAATATGAGAGAAGCTGAAAGGATATACAGCAGGAAGACAAGCTTTCAAGGAGCTTCAGTGTGTGCATCTGCATTTAGACCACAAACAGCAACAGTGCTGGAATTTCCACTCTCTGAGGTGTTAGGTATGACAGTCCCATGGTAGGGAAAGTTATTTAGAAAGAATCATGCAAAATTGAAGAGAATGTTTAGAATGTTTATTTAATAAGCATCAAGTTTTGCTCAAGCTTAATAGATTCTCAACTGTGTGACTTTAGGAAATACAATCTGTACAGTGTTTCTGAAGTAACCACTTACCAGACAATAAAACAAATCATACAGCTAAAATAAACATCTCAAAATTATCTGCCCAGCCCTCAGCTTCCCAACCACTCTGCACAGATATGTGTCTATTTTATACCTAAATATTACCCAAAGTGGAAACTTTTAACTATCCACCTATACCTCATTTCTGTGTTTTATCACAGTAAGTCCCAATTCCATGAATTTGCTTTTGCCATTTTTATGACACATCAATGGCTGTCCAAAAGACTCCAGAAATTATTCAACTTCCAGTAGGTCACTGAGAAAGGCCAAGAGAGAAAATTTCCATCAAATGGGTACTTTCTTCACCAGAAATAGGGGTGGAAGACTCTCTCAACAAGACACCACAGAAGAGGTGGGTGGGTGGCAAATTTCTTCTTTGTTTTTCTTCTGTAGTGTTCCATAGATGCCTCTTCCATGACAGTTTTACTATGTGATAATTATTTGTTAATATGTTTGGTTTTCCTCTAGATCCCAACCTTCCTTGATGAAAGGATGCTAGGTGCTCAATAAATGCTTCATGAAGAAATGAACCCAATCACATGCCAGGTCTGCTTCTATCTATACCATATCACCTACATTTTTGGCTTTATTAATTAACAAAGAAGTGGGGAGGGAGTACAAATCTATTTATTTCTAAGAACTCACTCTGTGCTAAAGTCCTCTGAGCAACATGTGGGCATCAGGGTCTGTCTGCATCCCAGTTAATATGTTTTCACTGAGCTTCCTTTCCAGGCTGGATGCACACAGAGTGCCAATGAGAGTGCCTAACCCTACTTGGACGATCTGTCCTAGTCCTTTGGAAGCTTCTTCCTCTGACAGGATACTGTCCTAGAGATTATCCCACTGCCCAGGGAAACTCTGGTAAGGAGGCAGAGACCTATACCCAGTCCCCAAATCTCATCTATGATTCAGGCATGACAGATCATCATGGCTACTGATCCTTCTCTGCCCTCTTTCCCATGCAAGTGATCCTACAGGATTTCTAGTATTCTAAAGGCAGCCCAGAGCCATAAAAGCATTTAAAATAGCACTTTCTGAAGTAAGGGAAAAGTACTTGATGTGGAGTCTGGAGATTAGGATTCAAAGCCAAGTTCCATCTCTTTGGAAAAGTCATTGGTTAAGTTTGAGCTTCAGTTTCCTCATCTGTAAAATGGATGCAATAATAACTATCTTGTGAAGTGCAAATAATATAATGGGTGTGAAAAGATTACATAAACTAAAAAGTTATACACATGTAAGTTAGTGAATGTAACTCAGCTCTCACCACACAGGCCTTCTATCTGTTCCATTAAGTTCATTCCTGCCCAAGTCCTTTGTGCTTGCCTCTCCATCTGCCTAGAATGCCATTTGTTGGATTCCTTCATGACTAATTTCTACTTTAGTCATGTCTACTCAAATGTCACCTTCTCAGAGATAATCTCCCTGGCCCTTTATCACTTTAACCCACTTTATTTTTTCTTGCAGCACTTATTGCTTATATTATGTTTGTTTGTCTACTGCCTCTCTCTTACTGAAACACAAGGGTTTTGAGGGCAAGGACTTTGTCTTTTGCTGTGTGCCTAAAAGCTATAATGACCCACAAATAGTAGGTGCCTATTAAATATTTGTAGAATGAATGAATAGATGTGCAAATATAAGCATAGGAACAAAAAACATCTAATGATGAGATGCAATTATAGCCTGAGAAGTAATGAAGATGAACAGAAAATATTTGATCTGGAATTAACCCAAAGCAGAATTTTAGAATTTTGTAAACAAAGTTCTATCAATTTTTTCATAAGCATAAATTATCAACACTTCAAATTCATATGTAGATTATAAATTATTGCAAACAACAACTTGCCCTTATCTCTCTGCATGCCCCCTCTCCTATTGCCAACCAGAGTACTCAGTGAAACCGGATAAAATGTTAGTTTATTTGTCTATAAAGACATCACTTCAATGCAACGCCCCTGACAACTTACTAGAGTATTGATTTAGTATTAATTCAGAGAAAAGGTAATAGCCCCTAGACAAATTAGACATTGTTTGTGTCTACAACTATATTTCTTGGTGATAGCTTGTTCAAATAGACCCAGTGCTTATAAAAATCTGCTAAAAATCACAGACTGGGTTGGAGAGGAGGGCTCAAGAACTGCAATGTATGGAGGAAAAATACGTGTTCCTCCATGAATTTCTCCCTCTTCCTTTCTCTCTTCTTGCCATCACAACCTTGCAGACTCAATAAAGATGGTGATAAACTAGGAGAGGGGAGATGATGGAGGGACCTTTGGAAGAAGAAAGAGGAGAATAGAAAATGAGAGGATGAAATCTAAGTGAGCGCATATGAATATGGCAGGAGATCTATGAGTCAAGAGGACCTGCATTGAATGTTTATCTTGTCAATGACCTATACTAATGAAAGCCAACTGCACAAAAAAAAAAATACCTACAGGAATCTTGCAAACTGTAGAAAAAATCATGAGATGATTATTTTAGAATATGGACACAAATTCTTTATTTAAAGCATTAAGTACTTTTAATCTATTCCTTCTGCAAATATGTATTAAATGCTAGCCATGGATATTACTAAACCATGGAGATTATTAAAAAGAGCCTGGAATCCCTTCCCTCTCTCTCTTGCTCCCTCTCTCATCATGTGACACACCAGCTCCCCCTTCACCTTCTGCTATGATTGAAAGCTTCCCAAAGCCCTCACCAGAAGCAGATGCTGGTGCCACACTTCTTGTACAGCCTGCAGAACCATAAGCCAAACAAACTTATTTTCTTTATAAATTATCCAGCTTCCAGTATTCCCTTAGAGCAGTGCAAAATGGACTAACACAAAGGGCATTCAACAGGACAATAGATGAAAGGCCATTGCAGGTGGAGGGGAAACCAGAAGCAGAGACAGGAGCTGGAGTAATGAGAATAGGTAAGAACTCTTTGAGGTGAATGGGCAGAATGAAAAAAGAAGAGAACGAGGGACACCTACATCTAAAGCTTGGACACAGCAAAAGGAACTGTGGTAAAATGAGCCCCCTTTAGCCACAAGGCTGGCTCTTGTAATTAGCTAGTGGAATATGGGAGGAAATGGTGTGTGCCAACCTAGGCCTGAGCATGAAATCATTTTGCTTGACTGTTAACTGGATCCCAATCCCCAAGGCTACCTGAAGCCATACTGCATATGGCAGGGACTCCAACAGCTTCAGTTCTTCATCTCCATCCCCACTTTTACCACCACCCCCTTCGCTAAAGTAAGGCATAGTCAAAAAATGAACTTACTGTGTTAAGCCACTGAGATTTATTATAAGAGTAGCCTAACCCGATGAATTCAGGAATTTTTATTTCAAGATACAGTATAATGTTAATAATTAGGGTTTCACACAACCATTTGAACAGCTAGGGTACATAGGTGAAAGAAAAACCACAGCTGGCCTACAGGAAATTTGGATGAATAGGAATCATTGGAAGTGCCTGTTGATAATCTCCCTTGACTGCAGCACCAAAGCAGGTGATTTGCAGGAGCTCTCCTAGAAGCTGCTGTAAATCTCACATCTGCTGACTGCTCACATGTCTGCCTGCAGCTGCCACCAGAAAAAAATGGCTTCACCTTTCTTCTATCTTCCAAATCTAGTGCCATGCTTCTCTTTGGCAGAATCTAACTCAGAACTCTGCAGAAAGAGAAAATCTAGAAGATTTAATTTTACTGCCTCTACTCTGAGTTGCAAAGGAGAGTTTGGAAAGGGACTAGGAAGATATTAGTCTAGTTTGTTGTAACAAACTAGCACAAAACAAAAAGAAAGAAGAGCAGGAGGGAAGGAAGGAGGAAAAGCAACCTTTTTGTGGACTCTAAAAGACGGAATGGTGCCAATGTTGCAGGGATGTCATATAGAAGCAGTACTTAAAAGAGGGCATTAGAGTTACCAGTATAAACACCAGTCACCAATGAGAAAAGAGCTCAGTAACATTGTGGAGAAAGTGCCTGATGTAATTGAGAAAAGGCGAGACACTTGGATCAAAAATATGGAAGAAAAGAGTAAGTTTTAAGAACTTATATAACTTAAAAAGGACAGAGTTGAATCAAAAATAAGGAAAATGTGGCCAGGCGCAGTAGCTCATGCCTGTAATCCCAGCACTTTGGCAGGCAGAGGTAGGTGGATCACCTGAGGTCAGGAGTTCAAGACCAGCCTGGCCAACATGGTAAAACCCCCTTTCTACTAAAAATATAAAAATTAGCCAGGCATGGTGTTGCGTGCCTGTAATCCCAGCTACTCAGGAGGCTGAGGCAGGAGAATCTCTTGAACCCAGGAGGCAGAGGTTGCAGGGAGCCGAGATGATGCCACTGCACTCCAGCCTGGGTGACAGAGCAAGACTCTGTCTCTAAATAAATAAATAAAAAAATAAATAAGGAAAATGTTAGTAGGTTTGGGAAAAGTAACTAAGCATTATAACTGAAGAAAGAAGGCAAAGAATTTAGAAGGTCCTTATTTCAAAATCCAACCAGGATTTCAAAATGACTTACGGGCATATATGAAAGTGGTATGAGAGAAATCACAGATCTGAAGTTCTAGAAAGAACTTACACTGGCTATTCCAAGCTTTCCATCTTATAAGTGAGAAAACAGAGCTCTGTATTCTCTCAGTGAACTGCCAAATTTACACAATAAAGATTAAAATATAGGAGCTAGAATCCAGCTCAGGGGTTGTAGCCAAATCAGACAGAAGGATCTAGCTCTGCCCTGCCACCACCAACCCCCACTCTTCAACCAGGCCTAGGACCAAGAGAAATTTTCCTGTGGATAAAATGAGTGAGAATAAAAAGGTAGTGTCAGGCTGTGCTGTGCAATGAAACTGAGTGTCTGTCTCAAGATCTGGTTTGCCACTACACACTCACCAGAATATCTAAAGGTAAAAATGTTGGCAATACCAAGTGTTCACAGAGATATTAAGTAAGTGGATCTTCCATACAGTACTTTAGTAGGAATATAAATTAGTACAGCCTTTTTGGAAAACTACTTGGAAGTATTTACAAATGCTAAAATATGCTTATCCTATGACCCAGCAATACCACTCAGGTATATGCCCAGAGACATGTGTATCTATCAACTAAAAGACATGAGCAACAATGTCTGTAATAATTTAGTTCATAATAGAACAAACCTAAAAACAACCTACATGTCCATCAACATCTAAGATCCATCTAATTGAATGAATAGATCAATGGTGGAATGTTTATATAATGAAATACCGTACAACAATGAAAAAAACTATTGCTATGCTCACCAGCACGGATGAATCTCAAATATCTTCTGTTGAACAACAACAACAAAGCCAGACACAAAACGTCTGTAGTGCATGATTCTATTCATCACACTTTAAGAATAGGCAACTCTAACCTGTGGTAGGAGAATTCAGAAAGTGGTGGTCCCCTTTGAGGGGAAGGGGGTATTGAGAACGCATATAAGGGAACCCTTATATCTTTATTTAAGTGGTGCTTGCATGGGTTTTTTCATATATGAACATTTATTAAGGTGTGCACTTGAGATATGAGTTTTAATGTAGTTTATATTTCAATAAAAATACATTTTCAAAAAGATCCAGTTTGGCCATCTGGTATGGTGAGTCACAATGAGGGGTTTCAGGTTCTGGCTCCATCATTTTCTATCCATGCTATTCTGGGTAAATCACTTAACTTTCTAAATTTCAAATTCCTCATCTAGATTATGAAATCAACACCTACACACTGTGTTGTTGTATTAGGTAAAAAGATGTGAGAAAGACTGTGAACGCTAAGATCCTGATATAATAACAATTATCCTCTGGAATTCTACTATTTTATATAGGCCTACTTGAATATAGATTCTACGTGGATATTTTTACCCCATGTAGCTGTGACAGTTAATTGTTTATATCAACTTCACTGGATCCCGGTGAAGATGCCCAGATATCTGGTTAAATATTATTTGGGGATGTGTCTGCAGGGGTGTTTCTGGAAGAGATAAGCATCTGAATCTGCAGATAAAGAGGATTGCTCTCTCCAATGTGGGCATCCCAATGATTGAGAGCTAAATAGAACAAAAAAGTAGAGGAATGGAGAATTTGTTTTCTCTGTCTGACTGTTTGAGCTGGGACATCAATCTCCTGTCCTTATTCTCAGGCTTTCAGACTCAGACTGGGATTACACCATTGGTTCTCCAGCTCTCTGGAGAGAGAGCTTCCTGGGTCTTCAGTTTGCAGAGAGCAGATCATGGGTCTTCTCAGCCTCCAAAATTGTGTGAGTCAATAGCTTAAGATAAGTAAATAAATATTATTGTTTCTATTTCTCTGTAAAATCCTGACTAATACGAGGCCAAAGAGCCCACCATTTATGATTTGAATGATTCACAGAGTAGGGCAAATGAAATGACAGTGATCAGGGCCCAGTTCCAAGGGAGCTAGTCTCAGAAGTAACATTCCCTTAAGGCCCTGAATGGTTCATGAATAGTGTGTTAGCACTGGCCAAAGTTGAAGGCAGCAGGGAGTTTCTCTTTAGTAGGCCTTGGGGAGCTTTGTCCTAGACACATAGATATTAGGGAAAAGGTGGAAATGTGCAAAAATGGTTGATATGTTTCTGAGGCCAGGGATATAAGACAAAGATCCCTGTAGTTCAGGAAACAAAGAAAACTAGTGGACATACAGCTGATAGTCTACCATGCCTTGCAATACCCTGTCCTGTAAGTCCCACCTTCCCCGTTTCATGCTCATTACCCCTGCACAATACCCTTATATAGAGTCCTCCTCCTGGAAGACTTTGGGGATTAACTATAGACAATTCTAAATAGTCCTGGACTCTGTTTCATTCCAATATCTCTCACTTTTCTCTTATTAAGAGGATATTTTATTGTTGTTTGCATGGTCTTTCATATGTACGCTTTGTAAACAACACTGTGTCTTCTCTTCTGGGAGGCTTCCTTCTCCATGATCTCATAACATAGTTCTAAACAAAAGAAGTACTCAAATAATGTTAGCTAGCACTGTGCCTGTCACATAAAAAATAACCAATAAAGATTTTCCAAGTGAAGAATGAATGAACATGAACAAACACTGACCAAATTCTAACTGTATGCCTAATTTAGGGCCTGGAATAGTTGGGACCGTAAAAGTAACAGAGTTTGATGAATATTCAAATGAATATCTCATTTGAAAATTCTAAATGACAATTCTCACTGTTGTTGAGATAATAACTTTCATTAAATCAAAGTGTTTCTTTCCTCTTTTTAAAAATTGCATCATCTTCCTTCAGACCTATTTTTCCATACTGTATTCTATCAAATTTACCTTTCCAGAACTTGTGATAAAATGAGGTCAACAACTGCTCTTCAAGTGAAAATTACATGGCAATTGGAAAAGGAAGGCGTAGTAGAGAGAGCCTTCCCACATAGTCTTCAACCACCACCAGCAGCATCAACAGCAGAAGCAGAATTACAACAATAATAATAATTGGTAACATTTGTTGAATGTGTATTATCTTAGCCTTCATAAAATCTCCATAAAGTAAGTTAAATCCCACTATCCAAATCACATGAACTTTCTAGGCTTCAGATTTTTCATCTGCAAAGTCAAAGTGTTGAAGCAAAGAATAACAATACACAGCTCATTGCCACATACTCTTTTAAGGTGCTTTCATATATACTATTTAATTTGCCATTCCAGTTACCTGCTTACTATATCATTTCCTAGGAACAGCCCTGAATTTACTGGAAACTATCCTGGAAGCCAACTTTACCTATCCTGACATCTAAAAGTAAACAAATCAATTTCCAAAATTATCATAGGGTATGTAGCTTCATTGAAGTTTCTTGAGAAGACCAAGGGAAGTGGTTATATCACATGGCCCCCATAATACACTATCTTTCTTCCTCAAACCCCTTGGCTTCTCCAGACTTACCTCCTCATCTCTCACACTCAAATCTGCCCTCACTATTAAAAAAAATGAGCAGATCTAAAAACATTAAACCAAACAAAACTAACAGTTGGTCAATATAATAACCACCTATTCCCCTCGTGCTTCCCCATGGGAGCCTTGATTCATCCTGCCAAAGGAATAACAACTTAATGGAGTAGGTAGGGTGGACACCAGGAGACACATGGCTAGTTTGCTGCAAATCTGGGACTAGAATCCTTATCCCCGTTTCTAAGCAGTATTTTTTTCTCTGTACCACAAAATTACCTGTAAAGGTTCTTCCAGCTCTGAAATAATACAATTTTTTGAAATGTAGAAATAAAAATGATGCAATAGTATAAACAAGTAACCACATGTGTAATGTTCTTCAATTTTTGAGAACTACCAAACACAGTTTCCCCATCTTTTACAGGGTGTGTGGATTGGATTTGGAATTACTGCACAGGGCAGTCCTTGGGCCAGTGACTGTCATGGTTTAATATGCCTGGGATCAATCCCAGAGATTTACCTCCCTGTCTCCTAGTCAAGATCTGGGAAAAACAAAATAGAAAGAATTAGCATTAATTGAGCATCAAGAATAAACCAGGCACTCTGTTTGGCACTTACACTATCCTCATAACAGCATTTCAAAACAGGCATTGTTCCCACTTTATGAGAACAATGAGACACAAGGAATCTAAACCACTAGTCAAAGTCCACATAATTTGTATACGGCAAAGCTACATTTTGAATCCAGAGAATATTTGAAACAAAAGTCCTAGAACAATCTCTCCAATGGTATCTTGGTCCATTTGTGCGGTTATAAGAGAATACCTGAGACTGGATAATTTATAAAGAATAGAAATTTATTTCTCACAGTTCTGGAGACTACATAGGCCAAGATGGAGGGACCAGAATCTAATGAAAGTTTTCTTGCTGCATCATCCCATGGTCGAAGGGAGAAAGGCAAGAGAGGGTGTGTGTGTGTGTGTGTGTGTGTGTCTGTGTGAGAGAGTATAAAAGAGAGCTGAACTCCCCCTTTTATAACAAACTCATTCCCAGGATAAGGAACCTACTCTCATTATATCAGCATTAATCGATTCACTCTGCCCTCATGGCCTAATCACCTCTCATCAGGCCCTACCCTACCTCCCAACACTGTTGCGTTGCGGATTAAGTTTTCTTGGGGAGGACACATTCGAACCACAGCAACTAGACAATTAAGTATGCTAAAACCTAACAAATTTAACTATCCCTATGGGGCATATGTATTCTGTAATCCCTGTTCTCTCTCTCTGCTGGGGAGGTGAGAGTTAAGGACAGGTCTGCCCCTGTCTGAGCACAAGTTGGTAGATCTCTGTTCTAAATTTTTCCTTTAAAAAGGACAGCTGACCTTCCACCAGTCTTTTATGATAATACTGGAAATCATTGTTACAGATGAGAAATGGTGATGGGTTAAAGTGATATATCGTAGTGGTAAAGATAGCAAAGGAGGCATAGATTTGAGAGGATATGTTTAAAAGTCTGAAATGACAATTCTCACTGATGAATGAGATTCAGAAAGTGAGACAGAAAAATCAAAGATAAGATAGTGAGAGAAATCATGGGGGCCTCTCTGAAAAGAAGAGTGGAGGCTAAGAGAAGGCAAAGGTGTGAGTTCATGAGGGTTGGAGGAGGTCCAATGTTCAGGCCCTGCAGTGGGAAAGAGATTGAAATCATTGAGGAGCAAAAAGAAAGCAGGTTGAAGTCGGGCGGTGGGGAGGGGGGCAGTGATGGAAAAACAAGTTTGGAGAGGTTTAAAAGCTTGTTACCAAAACACCAGGAGTTCCATCTGTATCTCATTTCTCACTGCACAGAAAGCCAATCACTGATACAACAAGTATTGCCAGGAAAGAAAGGCTTTAATGGGGTGATATCAGCAGAGAAGATGGAAGATCAGTCTCAAGTACATCTCCTCAACCAACTAAAATTGGGAGTTAATAGCTGGGAAGGAATGTAGCTACATGTAGGGAAAACAGGAATTAGGGAGGGGTAAAGAGAAAATCGTGACAAATAAAGAGTCTGGTGTTTCACTGTCTAGATGCAGTGATCTTGTGAGTTTCAATTACTTAATACTGTCTTGGAGGCCTGAGGGTCAGTTTCTTGAGAAAGGAACTCAGATAAGACAAACGCAAATTTCTAGCTTTAGATCAGGATGGTCAATTTCTATGTTTATTCAAAAAAACCATAAACATGAATTCTATTGGACAATTCTACCAGTCTCAGAATCATTTTAGACCCTGCTAGGGAGTCTGGAGTTTGTCCAAGAGTAACAGAAGAAGAGTTTAAAGAAAAAAAGAAAATGATCTTATGTTTATGTTTTTAAATTTTTGTTCAGACTGAGTCAATGTTCCTTACTCCTGATATCAGAGTACAAATGTAACCAAATAATGCTTGTTTTGAGCATTATGCTTGTTTTCCTCATAGATCTTACCATGATTTATGATTATATATATTTGAATTTATTGTCTGTTTTTCCCACTAGATTGTGAAGCACATAAGGATTGTCTGTTCATTATAAGTTCACTCCCTAATCCAGTGTCTGTTATATATTGGCTGCTTAAATACTTATTAGATGAATGTTACTTCTTTAAAACTCTCTGGGATGAGAAAAGGGCTGATACCTTTTCGTCCCCCACAATCGCTTCCAGACCATTTTTTTGATAGCTATCTTTCCATTATATCTCTTTTGTAAAAGTCCATGCCATCTACTGCTATCCAGTTTTCCATTTTCTATAAGCCTTTTCCTGCCTCATCAAATTTTTAACATTTTCTTTATAGTCTTACCCTTCTTTGACGTTTGTGTGATGATCTTCCAGTACTCTAATACCACAATTCATTGGGCTTGGATACTCAGATTACTGTCATCTCCATTATATTGTAGCCCCCACCACCACAAGCCTAGCCACACCTTGGCACTTTCTGCCTCCACACTTCCTTGTCATTCTTCACTTGTCATCTTACTTATTCACTCCTCCTGAGCCAGGATTTCATTATTATCACTTTCAAGTCCCCATGTCCTCTCAGTTCATTACCCCCATCCTGGATCACTTCCTTCTACACCCAAACTGGGTGGGCATGATCAGCCACTCATGCAATGCCCTCAGGAATAGGCTATGTACCCTCACCTTCTTTCTCTACCACAAAGCTATGTCTTTCCCACCCTAGGAAACCCCACTTTCTGCTTTCTCTGATCCACCTCATAAATGGCTGAGTATTGTTGGGAAAATTAAAAATATGGCAGGATCCCTTTAACGGAACTTGCTCTCACTTTGTCACCTGTGCTGCTGGTCAAGTATTTCAAATCTCCATGGAGGATTATCCCTTCCACCCTCCAGAATCTAATTTAAACCTCTTCTGTTCTCCCCATGTCCCAAGCTTCCACACTGACTTTAGGAACCTATGTCTGTTACTTACTAATAAAATAGATATAATCTAATTTAAATGCTCTCAAATCTTTCTTCCCTTTCTATTTGTCCTTAGTTCTTCAATAATCCTTTCTTCCTCTTGTATCAGAGAAAGGATTGTCCTGCTTCCCTTTTATCCACAGGCATGGTTTTCATCTTAAATATTGGTTCTAACCCCTCTTACTTCTCTCAATATATCAAACTATCAATTAAAAATATTCAAGAAATAGGTGAAATATATATCTCTATATATTGGCTTCTTTCCCTTGATCCATAAGTGTAATTATATTATCTAAGGAATTCTGCTATCCTCCTGAGTCTTTTTGTCTGGAGCTCTTCTTATTCTTAGTTCAAAACACAATTTAAATCCCTGTCTTCATTTTGTGAGCCCAGCTCACTAAACAATCTCCTGAAATCTGATTTTCAGAGCCCCCAAGATGCTGATTCTTTTCAAAAACTGCTAGTGTCCTCCAAGTTATAAAGTCCAAGTATATTTCTCAGTCTTCATCCTTCTTGACTTCAAGATAATTTGATACTGTTCACCACCTCTTCCCTCTCAAAATGTATTCTTCTTTTTGTAGTCAATTAATCAGACATTCATTCAAGAAATATTTGTTAAGTACTATGGTAGGCAAAATAATTGGTCCTCCAAAGATTTCTACATCTTAATCCCTAGAGCCTGTGAACAAATCATGTTACATGGCAAAGGGGAATTAAAGTAGCAGATGAAACTCAGGTTGCTGATCAGCTGACCATAAGACGGTAACATTATCCTGAATTATCCAGGGGAGCTTAATGCAGTCTCAAGGGTCCTTAAATGGTGAAGAGACAGGCTGAAGAGTCAGAGTCAGAGTGATGCAATGTGAAAAATCTTGACTGGCTGGCTTCAAAGATGGAAGGGGACCACAGTCAATGAATGCAAGCAGCCTTTAGCGGCTGGAAAAAGCAAGAAAACAAGTTATTCCGTAAAACCTTCAGAAAGGGATGCAGCCCTTCCAACACCTTGATTTTAGCCCACTGAGACCCATTTCAGATTTCTGACTTCCAGAACTATAAAATAAACTTATGTTAATTTAAGCCACTAAATTGTTGGTAATTTGGTACAGCAACAATTAGACGCAATTACAAGTATCAACTAAATTCTTTACTAATGAATTAAGCCTGGCTATAAAGCCACAGAGTAGGAAATCAACTCACCTTCCCTGCTTCCAATGTTAGCTGGTAGCTCCCACCATTCATCTATACAGACTCCCATAAACTGAGCATGTCTGAAACAGAGTATTTTAATTTTTTTCTATTATGACTATGATTTTTCTCATTCAAATATTCTGTAGGCAACTCAAAGCTTCTTGATAAATTTTCTTAGGGCCTGGATATTCTCTATGCATTTAATTTTTATTCTTGCTTCTGCTAACTCTCATGTGCCTCCCATCAATTATTTCCTGCAAAATTATTCAATAGCTAGTTAGTCTAAAGTGATAATTATATATATTTTTGTATACTGAAGTAGAAATTTGGCTGAGATCAATCATTATGCTCTTCAGTGGGTTGCTGATTGAGTTTTTCTCTCACTACAGGATGATGAGGAAATTGTAATGAATGAGAAGTCCTAGAAGTAAGAAGGGTAGGGGAAATCGTAGTATTAATATATAGTGAAGCCTTTATTCTGTGTCCTTCAATGATGGTTTCAGCACAGCACCTGAAGCTTTCCATTAACACACAGGGAATGCCAATCTTGCTGAAACCCAAGGATACCAACCAAGGCTATTCTGGATGCTTTTGACTAGAGCAAGTGCAGCCTACTCTTGCTTGAAAATTAAAACACATGACAACTCCCTAATAGTGTCCTGTGGAACAAACTAACACCTCTCCCCAACACAGACTTCCTTCTACATTCAAATATTATCACCTTCAAATTAAACATTCCTCCAAAATCAGTTTCTGAGGAACTTGTTCACCTTTTGCTTCGAAAAGACTAGAAGAATTACATGAAATTTTCCAAAATCATCTTTAATCAGAAATATAGGTTTTCTTAAATTGCTTTTTTAGCTATGTGTTTGCCTTTTCACCAACACACTAGAAAATATTTATTTTTAGTTTGTACTACCACAACTTCCCAAAATATTTGAAAGCAACTACAATATTTTCTAAAAAGAAGAACAATTAAATACTCCATCAAAAATGATTAGAGACTAATGTTGAGTACTGACATATTAGTAGTATAGACTCCATGCAAAATAAACACAACACATGCCATTTCCCAAGGTGTGATGGTGGTGAGTGAGGGATTTGCAAAGTGACAAAGTCTAGTGACTGTTTTTCTAAAGCCTCAGAGAACACAGCTCTCAAACTGATATCACACATCCTGACCCCACCAAAATGACACAAGATGTAGAAGGAAAATCCCAGGAAACTGAATTGTAGCCACACAAACAAGTCATTCACCAGGGTCAAGAGTTGGTACCTAGGGAGGACAGCTAAGCATCCAAAAGCATCTCTATTAAACACATCTCGATTTAGACTCACCTTAAAACCGTGAGATTCTTATTTCAGACTTCATACATTTTGAACTATTTTTCTTCACATTTAGCATTTTGGCACATTTCAGTTGACCTTTGTTTCTTGAAGTAAATTTGAGATGAAATTATTTCTTCCCGGTTAGTATCAATGAGATGACATCATTTAGCCCTGCTACTCTGGCAAACTCTATTTTTAAGAGGAACTGAAATGTACTTCTAGTGGGCCGATTAACAGCTTTCTTTTTCTGCTGTGTGTATGTGTGTGCACGCATACATGATACAGGGCTTTTGGATGAGGTTTCCAAACAGCAATGCATTGTTTAATCTCTTCTGTGATGCCTCCAGGGATTAGTTAGGGGACACAATTGCTAATAACATTTTACACCAGTAAACTTGGCTTGAAGAATTGCTGTAAAAACCCTACTGATTGTCATAAGCATTCATTCATAAGAATGCATACTACTGTGCATATGTGGGGCAGGGCATTTTGCTAAGCCAAAAGCAAATTTTCATGCTGTTGAATTTATGCATTTCCCGCTGCTACTCAAAATGCTTGTCTGAATGTTCAGGCCGGGGAGAGTGCTCTCTGTGGAAAATGCCCTTCTGTTTGTGTCAAAAGGTCTGACCTGTGCTTTAGTCCCCACTCACAGGTAATTTGCAGACTGTGTTAGATAATCTTAAAAAAAAATCCACCAAGAAAGAATACTGGGTTAATTTTTGCCTAAAAAGAAAAGGGCTATAAGGCATATTAGGAAGGGAGAAAATGGTCTTAAAATGGAAACCAAAACAGGCATTTGGGAAAGATAAATGCAACATCCCCTTCACCCTCAGGAAATGAAATTTTTCTGACAGGGTCGGAGACTCTGCTTGGCAAACCTTCTTAAATTAATTACCTTCTTGACATTTTAAAGGAAGGTTTCAGATTGTAAATTTAACCCAGACAAAGCATTCTTTTTAATCTTGTCAGTATGCAAACTACTTTGCACTGCAGTCTGTGAATTATTTATCAGAGGAACGACCCCAAAGGGCGAAAGGAAAAAGCAGGCATATTTGATCTGAGATTCCACGATAGATGTAGTTCTTTGCCTTAGATCTGTACCTGTTGCAACTACTTAACTTTTTCTGCTTTTGATGTTCTTAATACCCTGAGCATTCCTTGTCTCTGAGAGGAAGAAATTCAGTGCCATTTTATAATGCGCTTATTAAGATGAGTAAAATATATGGCTCAGTAGGTTTTATATGGCAGCCACAGTCAGGTTGGTATGAGGAACAACGGGGCTTCTTTTCAATATACTTGCTCGTTATAAGTGCTAGACAAGCAGCGTCTTAACCTACTCTAGTGCCCGTGTGAAACGGAGCCTGCAGAGACGGATTCTCAGGGAAATTAAGTCTTCCAAGTACCGATAAACTGGTATAAGTAATATTTCAACAAACAGTAGAAGATTAGTTTAGAGCTTAAAGAAAATTGAAATTTACAATGCCTAGAAGTTATAAAATGAAGTTATGGCTTTAGTTCTAGTATTAAGTGTTCTTAAGTTAAATGATTTTGAATCAAGAACACCCATGAAATGGGACATGCTCATTACTTCTAAAACATTATATATAGATGTGGGACTCCATGAAAATAGCATAAGTGCACATAAAGTAATAGAAAATAATGTCTGTTGTCTCCAAGGCAAGGTTTGCAGCATGATGGAGAATCTCAACTTTGCAAAGCATCCCAATGGCTTAGGTCCCAGGAGATTGGATGTATGCATAGATTATAACGTCTTACCTGAGAGGTCTTCCTGGGCCCTGTTAATGACTCTTCCTAGGAAATTCCTGGGCTTCCCTTGAGAGAAAAGGGAGGGATGCAGCCTCATTTGCCCTTCTCCAGCCACATGTGAATATTTCACTTTCAACAGATATCCCCAGCTCAAATCAAAAGACTGTGTATCCCTAGCAACTGTGAATAAAAATGTGCAACACGCACAGCTATATTTTTGCATAAGAAACACCTCTTGAAATTAATAAAAGAAATAAAGCTGATAAAACTATAGGATAGAGAGAATTTTTCATTTAACTCTCAAGACTATATGGGGAGGATTTATTCTCCTTCCAAATGTTGATTTGTAATCATAACAGCTACCATTTATTAAGGAATTCCTATGCCCTCTCATCTATGAGGTAGCTCTTATTGTCCCGACTTTCCTCTTCTTTTTCACAGCTGAGGAAACTGAGGCTTGAAGAGAGATTAAGTATTGAGCCCAAGCTCCTAATAAAGCTGAGATTTAAGGCCAGTTCTCCATGACCTCAAATTCCATGTGCTGTGCATCTCTAAATGTGGGGTTGATCTTAATTCTATTTTGGTTGTCTGTAATTCTTCTCTTCATATACATATAAGTCTGGTAGAAGTGTGATAAACTAATGTAGTTCACTGAATAAAGAGCTGCAGCTTATATTTTTTTAGCCATACCAGAGATATTTTTCAAGCTCATATTCATATCCTCGCAATCTATCCTCTGAAGAAGCTGTTGTGTGCAGTTTATTTAAACCAAACAAATTAAAGATGGCATTTAAATTTGAGCTTCAGTGGATACATTTTCTAGAAGAATTAGGTAAGCATCTACCAAGAATATAGCATGCAAACAGTAGCAAGTAAATTGATGTTTGTTAGTCTGTGCTCTCTCAGATACACAGAGGATTTACCTACTTAATAGTACTTATAAGAACAAATCCCCTGAGCATAAATGAGAGAAACTGGGCACTCTGAGGTTTGTCCTTTCATAAAGCTGTCACACATACTAATTCAAAGACCATAAATATCCTTCTCACTTCTTTGATAATTCCTCTTTCATTGGCCTTTTGAATAAGCACCAAATGCAGAACAACAGATCTTCATGCTGAGGTCATCTTTACTTGGGTGATAGTGAAAAGTAAGAGTCAGATTGAGGAGGATGTCTTTTGAGAGTTATGGCATGTTGGATTTCAGATCTGGAAGGAAACTTAGAGATCATCTAATCCACATCTTTTATTTGTTAGAAAGTGTTAGAAAGTCTTAGTCAGTTCTAGCTGCTACAGCAGAATGCCATAGACCAGATGACTTAAACAATAGAAATTTATTTCTCACAGTTCTGGAGATGGAAGTTCAAGATCTAGATACCAGCTATATTTGTCCATTTTCACGCTGCTGATAAAGACATACCCGAGACTGGGCAAATTTACAAAAGAAAGAGGTTTAATGGATTTACAGTTCCATGTGGCTGGGGAGGACTCACAATCATGGCAGAAGGTGAAAGGCACATCTCACATGGTGGCAGACAAGAGAAGAGAGCTTGTGCAGGGAAACTCCCCTTTTTAAAACCATTAGATCTCATGAGACTTATTCACTATCATGAGAATAGTACAGGAAAGCTCTGCCCCCATGATTCAATTACCTCCAGGATGAGATTTGGGTGGGGACACAGCCAAACCATATCACCAGCATATTTGGTGTCTGGTCTCCTGGTTTTCAGATGGTCATCTTCTTATGAGTGTTCATGTGGCAGTGACCAGAAAAGAAGCACGCTCTCCTGTACTTCCTCTTATAAGAGGACTAATCCCATTCCTGAAGGCTCCCCCCTCATGACCAAATCACCTCAAAAAGTCCACATCTCCAAACACTATCACAATGGGAGTTAGACTTCAACATATGAATTTTGCAGGGACACAAGCATTCAATTCCATACCATGAAGACACAGGCATGGAGTCACCTACTTCTCTGAGTTAGAGCAAGAACTAAATCATAAATGTCTTGAGACCAAGCATGGGCTTAACTAAGACAGAACTTTAAAATATATATGTACATAAATATATATGTATATATATAATCGTTGTGTTATTCTGGGTTCTCCAGAGAAACAGAAGCAATTCAAGGGTGGGAGAGAGAAAGACATTGGTTTGTCATAAGGAATTACTATCATGGAGTCTGAGAATTCCCAAGATCTACAGTGTGAAAGAATCAGCAAGCTGGAGACCCAGGAGACCTGACAGTGGTTTCCAATTCAAAGGCCAGGAGGCTCATGTCCCAGGAAGAGCCTATGTTCAGTTCAAGTCTAAAGGCAAGGAAGAAATGTAACATCCCAGTTCAAAAGTAGTCAGGAAGAAGGAATTCTCTTTCTTGAGGGAGGGTCAGCCTTTTTATTTTATTCAGAACTTCAACTGATTAGATGAGGCCCCACCCACATCAGGCAGGGCAATCTGCTTTACTCAGTCTATCAATTTTAATGTAAATATCATCCAGAATCAGCCTCACAGGCACACTCAAATTACAGTTAACCAAGTATCTGGACATCTTGTGGCTTAGTCGAGTTGACAATTAGCCAACACATCACCCAAGTTGGGGATAGTATTCTACTAGTTTACATACCTGTTAGGGACTGATTTTTACACTTAAAGGTTAAAAGCAATTCAAATATTCACAAAATGCCATTATTATTATTAAAGCATAAAATAAGCAGCTGTGCTTTTGTTTATCTATTAAAAGGTTACCGGTTCAATGGTGAAGTCAATTTGCATTTAATAAAATCCTCAATAATAATGACTGGCTCTATTCAATGTCTGCAACCAGATATTTAAATTATTCTTTCTTATTCTCTAAATTACAAGAGCAAAACTCACAAATATAAATAACATGATTAATCATAAGTCTAAGTTCAGAGTTTATTTAAACATTTAAGTCACCTAACTCAATATATGGTGAAACTCAGTTGTAATTTGTTGTCTACAGGATGTGAAAGACTAAGGTCTGTCTGAATCATACGAATGTAGAAATGCATTTATTCTACTACCCCCATGAATGTTTAATGCATGTGGAAATTAGAAGCTTGTCACTTATTTCTTGAGTAAATTCATACAAAGAGATATATATTTAAGATAGTGTGGGTGGTGGTTTTAAAATATACCAACAATAAATTCTTTGTTACTTCTCCCTTTAAGAGGTAGATCTTAATTCCCCCATCCCTTGAGTGTGGGCTAGACTTAGTGACTCACTTCCTACAAATAGTATGTGTCAGAAATGATGACGTACAATGTCTGAGATTAGGTTATAAAGGATAGCATCCTTTCTGTCTTCTTTTTCCTTGGATGTGTCTCTCTGAGAGAAGCCAGCTACTTTATCATGAGAATCTATGGAGAGGTCACGTGGTGAGTAAAACTTAACATCCAGAAAGGAGCTAAGGCCTCCTGCCAACAGCCATGTGAGAATACGCCATCTTGGAAGTAGATCTTCCAGCCTCAGTCAGGCCTTCAGATGACTGCAGTCTCTGCTGAGATTTTCACGACAGCTGACTATAACAGGAAAGACCCTGAATCAGAACCTTCTAAGTCTCTCCCACATTCCTGATCCACAAAACACTGTGAGATAATAAATATTTTTTTCAGCTGCTGAGTTTGGGGGTAATTTGTTAGATAGCAATAGACAACTCAGACATGTAAAATTTATATTGTCATTATCATGAAATTTTTGTCCATGAATTTTTGTTCGCTTACAGTATGTTATATTCATAATTTATTGGCCATGTATTTTTAAAGTCAAAATATTTATGTGTGTATCTATAGGAATAACACAATTTTAATATTTTAAAATATTTTCCTCATGTGAACATCACCCTGAGCACAAGTGACAAAATTGTTAAATTGTTGCTCAATATTTGGTGAACATATTTCTCTGCCACAATAGTGGAAACTTCAAAAGTACCTTGAAACCCGCTTTAACCTTACTCCTTTTTTTTCAGTTGTGTATTAGTTTCAAGGGAAAATATAAATGATGGTTAGTACTTTCAATTTTTTTGTTTACAAAGCTCAAGCATAAGTTAAAAGCACAATGAATTCTAAATAAACTCTGCATTAGAATAATTAATTATCTGTCATTGTTTCCCCAAGATTAAAAATTTGTTCTTTCTTTGTCAACTCAGTTTTATTTTTTTCCTTTCCTTTACTCATCTATTCATTCTACATTAAGACTTATTTAATTGATTTTTCATTTTCTGTGCAATTCTACATTTTCCTTTTTTTCTATCTACTGTCTATCTTCACTTCTTTCCTGATGCTTTTATTCTACCCTTCCAGCTAGCACTAACATCTCCCTTATCTATATTCCAGCTACACTTATAATGTAGCATCTCAAGTGTATATATTTATATATACACACACACACACACACACACAATGTTCATTTTAACTTACAAATATTTCAACTATGTCATTCTTGTCTTTTAAACAAGATTGTGCACATTTTTTTTCTTTCTTTCTTTTTCTTACTCCTGATGCCTACCTAGTACAGGGTTTGGCCTAGTACAGTGTGTGAAGCATTCTATTAAATCATAATGCATTGTATTTACTTTCTTCTCCCAATGGTCCCTGCCTCCTAGTGTCTTACTCTCTGCTTTTGAGAATAGCCTTACCTGGCACTAAGCACAGCTGCAAAGAAAACTAGAGGTGCCACAGAAAGAAAGCAGCAAGTTATAGAAAATTTACTAACAATTAGAGACATGGCCATAGTGCTCTTAAGCCTTCTAAATAATTCCTGAATACACATTAACTCCAGAGACACAAAATCATTGTCTCTTTTCTTTTGTTTTTTCTTTGCCTATCATGTATTGACTGAATAGAAATATATTAGGCAGAGTCACTGCCCTCTTTCAGTAAAGCTTAGCTCATAAGGTTTGCTCATATCTGCCCCGCCAGCTGAGTTCATCGTCTTATAGTTAACTGTACATTTATGAATCTTTTAAAATCTTAATGTTCCTCTAATGCCCATGGCAATATATCTTGTCTTGTATTTTCTATTATGTACAATAGGCTTGGCATTAGTGGAGGTGGTTTTACCTTCTATGAGTGTTATTTGTTCATTATACCTCCTAATCTGGCATTCAGTATTTATTTTTCATCATTGACAGTTGACTGCTCTGTTTCAAATATTTGAGAAAGAAAAAAAATGAGAGGAAAGTAGGTGAAAATTGATGATAACCCAGATTTAGGAGTGTTAACAGTAAAATTTCTCACAGAAAATAGAAGAGTGAAATGGATGGTAAAGGCACACGGCGGGGGAGAGGGCCTGCACCCTCCACTCATTCTTATTTAGGCTTTCGCACTGCAAATGTGTCTCCCACAGTAATTAATACATACAGGTCTTTTTGAGTGGTTTGCTCACATTTGCTCAGCTCCAGAACCTATATAGACACATGATGATTGGCTTTGGTATAATTATTTTCTCCATACTTTCCTCTGCTGGGTTTTTTGTCTCCTCTAGAATTTGTTAGGTAAACAGCTTTTTAAAATTCCTCACTTTCAAAAAATATTCAGACAATATGAAATAGAAAGGACCGAGTAACAGAAGGCATGGGTGGCAAACCTTTAAAGGTTTTTCTTAAAATAGAAGGGAAAGCTGTCCATGACAGAGAGCCACAGGGTAGTCTGAGTACAGCAGCCTTACCATTTTATTCTATTGAGGGATTTGTGCTCTACCTTTAAGAATCAGTACTATTTTTTTTGATGGAGAAGAAATGAAAGGAAATTAGTCAGAGGGAAGACATGGGACCATGGAAGGACATAGCATGTTCAGAGAAAGATGAGAAATTGGGAATGGCTAGAGTTTAGGGTACAGATAGAGTAGGGAGTGGGGGAGATTCTAATAAGGTATATTCTGACTAGTTTGCTAAAGACTTTATACACATCCATTCGTTCAGAAAATATTTTTTTGTTTTTTGAGATGGACTCTCGCTCTGTCGCCCAGGCTGGAGTACAATGGTGTGATCTCGGCTCACCGCAACCTCTGCCTCTGGGGTTCAGTCAATTCTCCTGCCTCAGCCTCCTGAGTAGCTGGGATTACAGGCATGTACCACCATGCCCGGCTAATTTTGTATTTTTAGTAGAGACAGGGTTTCTCCATGTTGGTCAGTCTGGTCTTCAACTCCTGACCTCAGGTGTTCCACCTGCCTCAGCCTCCCAAAGTGCCGGGATTATAGGCGTGAGCCACAGCCCCTGGTCTGATTCAGAAAATATTTAGAGATGGCCTACCATGTGTGCTCTACCCCAGATGAACAAGATAGTCACACGCCCCAGCTCAGGGAGCTTATCATCCATGTATGCTGTGAGAGGACGTGTGAACTTGATGCTATATCGGAATGGCTTGCTAGACTTTACTGGATCATAACTCTATGACTTTACTAGATCACAATTTTATTCTATCATAACTCTGGAAGGGATGCTGAGGGTTTTATGGGAGCAGGGACACCACTTAGAGGGCTGTGGCAAAGATAAATAAGATAAATAATAATAATAAGAAGAAGATGAGAGGCTTAAATAAGCCAATAATGGGGTCAGAAAATAGATAAGATTTGGGGTGCATTTTGAAGTAGAATAAACAGGACTAATTACTTAAGTAGATGTGGCCTGTGAGGTTAAGGGAGACAAAGTGAAGGACATCCCCAAGGTCACCAGGGTGGAGGCCAGACAGAAGAGGGGCAGGGCATAGGAAATGGAGGAGGAGCAGTTTTGCTTCCAAAGAAAAGGAGTTCACCTCTGAATCTATCCAGTTTTACAAGCGGCCCTCCAGAATTTCTTTCAGTATTTAATTAAACTGCTCTCATCTTAAAAGCTGTTTTTTCTCTCCCCTCCCCTGACTGTTCACCTTTACTCTCTTGACAAGAGAGCTTTGGGAAGGTGGGGAATGTGAACCGAATCAGGGCACGATGACAGTGTGGTGAGAGGGATGTGGAAGCCCTGGTCCTCATACTAAAACCACGTGGAAACGTGGAACCTTCAGTGACTCCAAGTACCTGATCTACACAGTGTCAAATAGCAGGTTGTTTTAACTGGTTATTAGTTTGGATATTTTAAATTGCCTGAGCAGAATGATGGCTTTGCCATTGTGTGTGCAAACCTATTTTGTCCAAAAGCCACAAAGCTACTTCCAGGATCTGTCAGTCACAGCCAGCCAGTTGTGTAGATGATCTTAGGTGGTATGATCTCAGATACATCAGGAAGGGAGTATACTTTCAAATATCTTCAGCATAGGCTGAAATTCCAGAACCATTATTTGGTCCAAACAGCACCACTCCACATACGTCCAACAGTGCAAATGTGCTGTGATGGCACGGATGTGTATCCATATTTAAAATGTCCTTATTCCTTCTCTGCTACCTTAAATACTCTTCTTCACATGGTTTGTCTTGTTGTTGAAAGCCAGCTCAAATGTTACTTCCACTCCACATATTTCCTTCAATTTCCTTTATGTGCCTCCACGAAATACACATGCACACACACTTTTCCTCAGGTAATAGATTTCTCCCTCCCTATGTTCCCATAACTTGTATGTATGCTTCTATTGTAGCAAATATTATATTACATTATCATTTTAGGTTTTTGGATGTTTCTTCCCCACTGGAGAGTGAACTTTTAAAGGGTGGGGAGCATATTCTATGTTATACATCTTCATGTCCCAACATGTAGCACAATGAATAGTAAGCAACAGATAAATATTTATTGTTGAATTATAACCAATATAACATCCTTGAATGAGTAATCCTTCAGGCCCAACTAAGAAAATAAGATAGGGATAGAAAACAGATTTCAACCGATCAACTCCAGTATTACTCATGCTTCCCACAGCCTGGAGGGTAAGGAGGCCATGACCTCATCTAACTTCTGTGGGAAAGAGTTCCATGATCAATTAGAGACATCTGCCACAACATAAGAGGTAGCAGTCGCAGCAAATTTATCTTCTATCCTTGAACTAGGTTGTATTCTCAATAAAGTAATCATTTACTCGCTCAACAAATATTTATCATGCATCTGGCATTGTTGCTAAGCACCAAAAGACATATTCTTGTAGATCATGAACACACTGCCCCTACCCTCAGGGATCTCAGAGATCTACAAAGTAATTGATGTGACAACACCTGTAATTTACTCAATTGTATAATAATAGCTGTCTAATAATAATTTGCCAGACATGAGGTAATGACAATTGTAGTAAAAAAGAAAGCAGAGATCATATATCTCATCTGTCTCATATATTGCCCAGAGTGGAGAGTGTGTTGATGAGTGCTCAGGAAAATTGCAGTCCCCAAGATGTATGATTGCATCACGCCATCATTGTGTAATGAAACTATCCATTCATTCTTCCGACAAATGTTTATCAAATGCCTACCACATGTAAGTCTACATGCTAGACACTGGATAGACAGTAGCAAGTAAAATGTCTAAATGGAGAAGTAAAAATTAAACAAATAATCACACAATAAAATATGTAATTACAAATAATGATGAGTGAGACCATTCCACTCCCATTGCTTGAATTCCATACCAAACAATCTTCTGAACATATGTTTGTTTGTCGTTTCTTTAATGAAGTAGGGATGCATTAACATTTACATAGATATTCCATTCTGGTTTTCTCTGTTCATTAGTAAAGGGACTTACCAGTTAGTTTCAAGTATTTGGTGGTTACTCATCTGTCCTCCAGTGTCTGCTACCTCCAAGTTAACCAATCAGTGCATTTGTGGACAGGAATCTGCCAGCCTCTCCTGGACTGTTTTGATCTCAAGTCAGTGCAGCCCAGTGGTACAAAGCTTTAATAGCCAATCTCCCTCTTGACATCTTTTAGCTGTATTGAAATCTATATATCTAACAAATATGCCCTCTTACCAAATCCAGAAAAAAATCTCGATTAAGTTTTATTTGCAAAAATTAAATGCAATAGAAAAGAGATCTGAAAATGTGTATCTGTGTGTGTGTGTGTATGTGTGTGTGTGTGTGTGTGTATTTGACTTTGGGTGCCCATTAATTAAAAATTCATTAATATTAGATAACATTCCTCCCACCATAAAATTTCATGGTCTTAAAATTCATTGAAAAGTACACCCTAACATCTAGAATTATTTCACATCCCATTTTGCAGAGACATCATTATTCACATAATTTTAAAGGATTTTTTGTTGTTTATTATTTTATACAAATTTATATTATCTGTGCCCTCTCTCCTTGTTCTTGACTCACTGCTGCTGCCTGCATACAATGGTTTCATCTCAACACAAACCTGTACTCAATGTTATTATGCTGTGGCCTCACTCACTAAAATAACCCTTCCTTTATTCTCCCATTGTTTGTGATGGGTGCTATAAAAAGGGGAACCTTATAAGCAATATAAGGGTCACAGAATTTTGGTGGTGTTTACTGGCCATCAAATCCAGCTTCTCCTTTGGTATAGGAATAGCCTCTTCAATACCCTGTGAAAGTCCCTCTGAGAAGTGCCCCCGTGGAGCTGAGATCACTTAAAGCCAAAGTCCCAGCTCAGCTGATACTTGGTCGTGTGACTGAACAAGTCACTCCTTATAAAAGAATTTAGTTCCTTTGTATGCCCGTGTCAGAGGTTTATTGCTGTAATATGTAAAAAGTGCTTGTAAGCTGTCAGGAACTCCACCAGTGCAAGTGTGGACTGAGAGCTCCATTTTCCACAAACTAAAGATCTCCAGAGTAACACAGAGGATGGAGCACAGACTCTGCCACAAACAATTTGAATCCCATTCTTCCATTTACTCCTAGTGTATCCTCGGACAAGTAATAGAACTCCTGTCACCCTCAGTCTCCTCATTTGTACGATTGGGGTTACAGTGCCTGACTTGGGCAGGGGCTGTTCTAAGAAGTACACAATTATACAGACAACATACTGATGTTCAGAAAGTGCTTAATTTTGTTTTTGTTTTAAAACTGCTGGTAGTGGTCTCTGCAATAACCTAGAACAACTCTAAATCCCCTTTTATAGCCCTTCAAATATGGAGTGAGGCTACTATGATCCACCACTTTTTCCATCAAACAATTCTTTCTTAGAGTGTGGCTCTTTTCATCCTGTCAGCAAGGCTCCTGGGTCCCTCACTGTCCACTCAGGCTCTGGGCTCTTTCCAGCCTGCCTTTGTCCCCTCACAAAGAGCCAGCCAAGGCTGTCATCTAGTCTGCAACAGAAGTGCTTTTGCTTTCTGGGGGTAATTACTCCTGCCACATCTGTGTTTACTTTAGAACCTGTGGCTAAGGAAATTAGCTGGCAGCTGGCTAAGCTTTAGATAATAATGTGCCTGACATTTTAGGTATCTCTTTTCTAGAAATCATTTTTTTTTATTTTATTTCACTTACACAGTCAATAGACAGGAATGGCAAATCGTCCCTCTGTGGAACACAATTAGGATTCATTTGCATCTGGAAGATTTGCTTTTTTAAATGTGGCTGAGTTCAGAATGACTGCTTTTAGGCACAGAGTGCTTTTTGATGGCAATGCTTTTTCACTTATTCACTAAACATTTATTGGAACTCTATGTACAGGACTTTGTGGCTAGGTGCTAGGGACACAAACACAAATCTGAAATCGTGCCTTCTCAAAGACTTTGAAGTTTGAAGGGAGGTGAGCATCAAACAAACAGGTCTCTCCACAGATTTCTGTGGGGACATATGTCGGGGAATGGGCATTCAGGAAGACACCCATAAGCAGAGGCTTGGAAAGAAAATACATGTGTGTATTAGTCAGTGTTCTCTAGAGGGGCGGAGCTAGTAGGAAAGATGTATATATAAAGAGGAGTTTATGAAGGAGCACTGGCTCACACTATCACAAGGTGAGGTCCTGCAATATGCCATCTGCAAGCTGAGGAGCCAGGAAGCCAGTCTGAATCCCAAAACTTAAAAGTAGGGAAGCCAACAGCCTTCAATCTGTGGTCGAAGTTCCAAGAGTCCAAAAGCTGAAGAACTTGAACTCCAATGTTCAAGAGCAGGAAGCATCCAGCACAGGAGAAAGATGGAAGCCAGAAGACTAAGCCAGTCTAGTCTTCTCATGTTCTTCTGCGTGCTTTTATTCTGGCTGTGCTGGCAGCCAATTAGATTGTGCCCACCCAGATTGAGGGTGAGTCTGCCTTTCCCAGTCCACTGAATCAAATGTTAATCTCCTTTGGCAATACCCTCACAGACACGCCCAGGAACAATACTTTGCATCCTTCAATCCAATCAAGTTGACACTCAGTATTAACCATCGTAATGTGTAAATACTTGGGGTACATATAGGCACAGAGAACTTCTCTAGAACAAGGAGTATAAACAAAAATTTGAAGGTTTTCTATCCTTGATACAACATGATTAGTTGACAGTCAAAACCCAAGACAAGGATGAAGCAAGCAAGTTACCTAGGGCACAATATTTAAGGAGGCACTGCAAGTGCAGCATCCACCTGAATCCTTCACTAATGACACTCACTTGCAGGAGCCTGAGAGTGAACGCCTCCTTAAATTTTGCACTATAAGAACCTCACTTGCCTCACCCTAGTCCTGGCCCTAATATGTATAAGGATTTGAGTGCTTCAACAGAGCCTATACATTGATGAGCAGTACTCTAAATATTTACTGTTTTATTCAAGCCTAGAGGTGACAACCTCTAGTTCTGATACCTGCTCCCACAATAAAATCATGCCTACCCTCATCTAGCCCAATCAGAGGAGTTCACATTAGGGAAATGGGACAAAAAAAAATAAACTTTTAAACATCCATGACCCCAGTCATTTGATATGCAATGTCTTATAATCATCCATTATGTTCTTTATACCTTAAAAGCTACTTATATCTAGATGTTCTAAATTAAGTTTTCTGTGGAAAGAGGGTGATTTGGTGCCAAGATGTAAAACACAAAATAGTTAATAAAGCTCTTTATGCTTTTCATTAAAAATAAAGATTGTTGTAGGAAAGAGAATAAAAGAACATGCCTGCGAAGCAACTCCAAAAACAGAGGAGAGGGTTGATGATGAGTCGGCTGTTACTCAAGTATATTGAGACATAATAATTATCTCAATGGCTAAAGCAGGGTAAATGTGCATGATAAAATCTTATAAGATAAGATTACTGAAAGAGTAGAAATCACACAATTAGGCAATTGCAGAGTAAACCTGAATGGTGATAATAGCAGATGGGTAATGCTATAGGAGTGCTTCTGTACCACCTGATGGGATACAAATATAATATTTCATTTCTATTCTTCAGTTAATCGTATGTCATCATAGCCTCATGACAATCATGCGAGAAGTCCATAAGTTTTCCAGTTCACACCATTGAACATCAGTGATTTGCTAAGTGTAGCTATTATTCAAATTTGACACTATTCAAAATGTGTCACTTGGTTTAAGTATGCTTAACATATTCGTATATATAGGATACTTTTTTTCAGAAAATTTTAATAGCTCTGGGACTGTATTTGACTTACTGCTATAGAGTTTTACTGAAGCAGTCTTCACCCTTTCCCAATGCTCCCTGCACATCCTCAAACCCTGTGGTGGCTCCAGGCCCTATGTCCCCCACCCTCAGGACCCTGTGTTCCTGCCATAAATTAAATCTTGCTCGTGGAGCTGGCATCAATCTTGCTGACTATGGTACCCCAGCACACAGCACCATGTCTGGCACATACAGGTTCTTAAATATTTGTTGAACAAATTATGCATTAATGACGATGCACATAAGCTGTATCTGTGTGTATGTGAGTGTCTCTCTATTCCAAACTCAACAACTAGGGTGGACCTTTAATACATAAATGGGATCATGTACTTTCTGAACAGAACTCTCCAAGCACTTCACACCTCACTGAGAGTAAGCACTCAAGTCCTTGCAGTGGCCTACAAGCCCTGGCGCGACTCAGCTCCAGGGAACCCTCTGGCTCCATCTCCTAGTATGCTCTCCTTTTTGCTCTCCCTAATGTGACTTCCTTGATGCTATGTATTTTTTTTAACATGCCAGGTATGCTGCCTCATTGGGCACTTTGCTAGAATTCTTCCCTCTATCCACCCAGCATTCCCGTGCCTCAGTCCTGCACCTCTCCAAGCCTTTGCTTAGAGCTCTACTTCCCAGTGAGGCCTGCCTGCCACCCTATTTAACTCAGCAGTCGGCCTCCCCGACTCCTGGCCCTCCACATATGTGCTCTTCCTCCCCACCCCCTATAACATTTATTTTTCTAAAATACTATATAATTTTCTTAATATCACTAGTTTTGTTATGGCTCTTTCCCCACCAGAAGTTAAGCTCTTCAGGGCAAGGATTTTGTCTGTTTTGTTTACTGATCCATCCCATATACCTAGAACCATGCTTGAAATATAAGTATTTATTGATAAATGATTCACAGATCATAGCTGAATAAGCACTATCTAATTTGATATATTTTATAATTTATAAGTCTTTTTTCTTAGCTTGCTTTATCACAACTTTTGGTGACAGGTGCTATTCTTATTATCCTCATTTTTAGATGAACAAATTGGGCCTGAAAAGTTCAGTGGCTGGCTCTTTGGCCTAGATAGTATGAGTTTGTTGCTCAACCTCCATTTGCCCCTCCTTCTATTTGGAGATACTGGAAAACTGAAAGCCACATTTTTCAGACTCTCTTGCAATTTGTGTCAAATGCACATCGCATCGAGACTGAAAGGCGGAAGTGAGATGGAGGCCATATTTCTGCCTCCTTGTTTCTGCTGGTCAGTATGGCTGTGGAAATATGATGTATCTTTGTAGCAGCATTCCAATGTCCATTCTCCAGGTTTCTGAGTGTTCAGAAGCAATTTTGGAGCTAGTAGTAATAGTAACACTTTCTGATCTGGCTTCCGAAGCCCTGGATCACAGGGATGATGTCCACCCTTCAACCTCCTGTGCATGAGAGGCACTTGAAGCTAGACAGCAAACAGCGGCATCAAGGTCTTGATTCTGCATGGTTCTAGGGGTGGCCTCTGAGGTAGCAGCTCCTATTATCTCCCACAATAGGTCAGTTGTGTTTTGTTCTAGGAATCAGAACTAGAGGCCAGTCTATAACATACTCGTTCAGCCCTTCCAACAATTTTGAAAGACCCTTATCCATTAAAGTGAATACTCTACTTAAAATATTTAAAGGGGCTTCTGTTTCTGTTCTGAATGTGATGGATAAGGCTTCAGATCACAACATGTAAGCTGGATCCTCTTTCAAGTGCCATTCAATTGCCCTTTCAACAAACTTTTTCCTGAGCTCCTTGGGTATCCTAGACTCAGGATGAGGTTCACAGCTACAAATGCAAATGCACAATAGTACATAATAACAATATTCCCTTGAGAGCAATCTCAGCTGCAGAATTCTAGGAAGTCCTGGCCCCTTTCAAATCCCTTGTAATTCAGGAGAGCTCCAGGGGTTGTCTTACATGTGCCGCCAATGTCACCTTCCATTTACCACTGGCAACTTTTTCTCCCCATGACCAGTAGTAACCACAAGACAGCAGGGCGGCAGCTTTGCTATTCCCAACACAGGCCCAAAATTGAAAAAGCACCAGGGTGAAGCTACAACATCCACTGCCATCCATAGGAAGTGGTTTCTCCCTCATTCCACTCTCCAGAGAGGAGAAAATACTCCTCGCTCTCACACGTGCTGCACTCCAGAGTCATAAAGCAGCACTAAGAAAAATAGAGGGAAAATAGCCAAGAGCCACGGAATCATCTGCCAATTGGTGATTGTGGGACTCTAATAAATTAACCACTCTCCACCTCAGTTTCCTGCATAAGCAGGAACACAAAAACAAAGACATGTATTCTGCAGGGTGGTTTTGAGAATTAAGTGAGATAATATATTAGCTCAGTAGGTTCAGGCTGCTATAACAAAATATCATAGACTGATATTTCAAAATATCATTAAGTCACTTGCTGTGAGTTAAATTTTTATTTCTCACAGTTCTGGAGGGAGCAAAATCCAAGATGAAGGTGTATGCAAATCCAGTGTCTGGTGAGGGCCTGCCTTCTGCTTTGCAAATGGCTGTCTTCTCGTCATATTCTCACAGGGCCCAGAGCAGAGAGAGAACAAGCTCTTGTGTCTCTTCTCATAAAGGCACAAATGCTCTTCATAAAGGCTCCACCCTCATGAACTAATTGTCTCCCAAAGGCCCCATCTCCTAATATGATCACATTAATTTTAATATATGAATTGGGAGAGGACACAAACATTCAGTCCATAGTAAATATGTAAAATATTTGCCAAGTTGAATATACTTAGTAAATAATCATAGCTAACATTTCAATACTTATTAAATACCAAGTTACGTGATAGACATTTACTTATACTTAATTATAATCAAAACTATGAGATATTGTTATCCCTGTTTTACAAGGTAGGAAAATGAATTACTACTAATAACTAATACCGTTATTATTATTATCATTTTTAAGCTATACTTTCATGTTTCTCAGGAATTCAAAAAGAAACACTCAGATTTCTTACAACTTTCTTCATCCAAAGCTTTCTGGAAAGAGTAGGTGGCCCTGACCAGTGCTGAGTCAGGAACAATCTAAGTAACACAGCCCTTGACATACTCAAAATAGTCTCTCCACTATCATTGCCTTTGGGCCAAGCTTGCAAAAGCTTCTTCTTTCCCATAGAATGAGAACCTTCCCAAGAGTCTTGGCCACTCGTGGTCATAGACATCTTCCAGTGAGTAATGGCCTACTCCCTTATTCCTCTAAGAATGTCAGACATTTATGAATTCACAGAAGATACACAGATTGGGCCATAACTTTCTAATACCCAAAATCAACACCTCAACATAGATGAAGAAGACATGTTCCCACCTTCAGGAAGTCTATAGCCTTATTATGAAGACAAGAAAAATAAATGTTAATTTTAAAAAATGACCAAATAGAGAGATGGCTATGGCATGCAAGTGACAGTAGTGAGAATGTAGGCTCTAAAGTCTAGAAGACTTCAGTTTTTATCTTTTCTCTCCTACATTCCAATATGAGACCACGGGAAAGTTGTGGAGGCTTGCCAAGTCTCTGCTTCCTTAAATGACAAATCAGATATCTATGAGGATTAAATGAAGTGACCATGGAGAGTACTAGGTACGGTAGTAAACACTGAATAAACAGAAGCTCTTATTATTTTCAATCGAACTAGTTTATGCAAACTTCCTGTGAAGTGGGGTGGACACCACAGTGTCTTGTGGATTAGAAAATGTTCATTACTGTATAAGTGGTGAATTCATTGTAGACCAAATTTTTGCAGCTTTTCTCTTTACATATTGGTATGACACCTTCAAAAAGATGTGATATCCAATGCAGTAAATTACTTTTTAAACAACTGATATCAAAATATACAGCACACTAAATATTGACATGAATTTATCATTGGTCAATATTTATGCCTCAAGTGAACAAATTTAGATATTGAATATAGCCTAAATCTGTTACTCTTTATTATTTTCTCTCATGATAATACTATGTTCCAGATGAATAGATTTATTTTCAACACATTTATCCCCATTCACAATTACATTTTAATATGTTCGTTCTGTTATGTGAATTTTAATTATCTATTCCAAAGATAGTTACTATAAGCCCACACAATTTTAAATTTTTATCAGTTTTTCTTCCTTTGCACAGACATGTGAGGGAGATAAGCTACTAATGATTTCTGCTTGTGAAGCTCAGAATTAAATACCGGCAGAGTAGAGTAGATGACAGTGGAAAGGGTAATTGCCTTCTAACACAGTCTTGCCCACCTGTTTTTTATTAAAATGCACAGTTTCCCTGCTGGATGTTGTTACAATGACCCAGGTTCGGAGACTGAAATTGCAACTCTGATACCAAGGCCCTGAAACAAATACACAGCAAGGAAATGCAGAGATTGGGGTTTGATAAGAACCTTCTACTTTATGAGAATTGAGAAATATATGTCCCCATTAAAGAGATTTCTATCATCTCTTGGATACTCCCTTTTACCTTCTTGGTTTCTTATCATCCAGACTTAAAACTTCTTGTCAGGTTGTAATCTTTTCCTTTCTCATCCTTGACTTTCAATCAGTCAACAAATCTTATTGCTTCTTCCTTTACCAACTTTCTCTCTGCCTAATTATTTCTACAATTTTTATCTGAAGTCGAGTACTCTGTACTTTATGACTAAGTTATGGCAATAGCCTCCCACTGGTCCTCCTGCCTCTAGTTTCTGTCCCTCCCAATTCTTTGGGCATACTACCATTAAGTTAACCTGCATCAACTATCATTTTAGCACTTCACATCCTTGGAAGGCAGCTATGCTAACCACTGTTACCACCAATACCTCAGTACATTTCATATCCTTGATCAAAAATCACCAATGAGTCTTCAGATCCTGGATCCATAGCAGGCCCTCTAATTTTGATTGAATAAATTAATAAATTTATGAATAAGTTTCCATACACATACATATGTATTCCTAAGCAAGTTCTAGAAATATCCCCACTCATTTTCACCTTAAACATTCTATATCTATGTTTATAAATCCTCTGCTTTGTTTGATTAATAATAAATCTGTGTCAAAAATAAAATCAAATGAGGAAATGCTATATCCTAAATTCTATATCCTAATTCTAAAAAATGAATACATTCATGAAGTCCCAGAGTCAACTAATTTTTCCAAGCATTTAAGATAAAATAACACCAATCTTCATGAATTTTTCAGATCATAAGAAATGAAAATACTTCCCAACTCATATTTTGAATTTAGAAGAACTCTGACACCAAAACCCAACAAGAATATACAAGAAAGCAAGGTAGAAGTTATATTCTCTTGTCAGCCAAAATGTAAAAATCCTAAAACAAAATGTTAGCAAAACGAGTCTAGCAATAAATAAAAATGATAATACATCATTACCCAGTTGGACTTACTCTAAGAGTGAAATGCTGAGTTTTATATTAGGCAACCAATCAGTGTAATTCAACAGAATAACAGAATATAGGAGAAAAATCATGTGATTATTATCTTCACATATGCAGAGAAAGCATTTCACAAAATTTAATATCTATTCGTGTTTCTAGAACTGGAAATACCATTTGACCCAGCCATCCCATTACTGGGTATATACCCAAAGGACTATAAATCATGCTGCTATAAAAACACATGCACACGTATGTTTATTGCTGCATTATTCACAATAGCAAAGACTTGGAACCAACCCAAATGTCCAACAATGATAGAATGGATTAAGAAAATGTGGCACATATACACCATGGAATACTATGCAGCCATAAAAAATGATGAGTTCATGTCCTTTGTAGGGACATGGATGAAATTGGAAATCATCATTCTCAGTAAACTATCGCAAGAACAAAAAACCAAACACTGCATATTCTCACTCATAGGTGGGAATTGAACAATGAGATCACATGGACACAGGAAGGGGAATATCACACTCTGGGGACTGTGGTGGGGTGGGGGGAGGGGAGAGGGATAGCATCGGGAGATATACCTAATGCTAGATGACGGGTTGGTGGGTGCAGCGCACCGGCATGGCACATGTATACATATGTAACTAACCTGCACAATGTGCACATGTACCCTAAAACTTAAAGTATAATTTAAAAAAAAGAAAGAAAAAAATATCTATTCGTGTTTTTAAAAAAAACCAGCAAATTAAGAATAGAATATCTTTAAGAGTAGCTACAAAAATCTTAAAGCAAATGTCATATTTAATGGTGACATATAGAAAGTTTGTAGAAGAATGAGACAAAGTTGACTGCTATAACCACTTCTATTTATCTGCAGTGGAGGTTGTAGCAAGTAAATTAAGACAAGGAAAAAGAATTAAGAACTAAAAGGGAAAAAATATAACTGCCATTATTTACAGAAAACATGATTATATGTACAGAAAATTCAAAAGAATATTAAAATACACTATTGCTCATGCCTGAAATCCCAGCAATTTGGAAGGCTGATGTGGGTGGATCACCTGAGGTCAGGAGTTCAAGACTAGCCTGGCCAACATGGTGAAACTCCAGCTCTGCTAAAAATACAAAAATTAGCTGGGCATGGTGGGATGCACCTGTAGTCCCAGCTACTAGGGAGGCTAAGGCAGGAGTATCACTTGAACCTGGGAAGCAGACGTTATGGTGAGCCAAGATCATGCCACTGCACTCCAGCCTGGGTGACAGTGAGACTCCATCTCAGAAAAAATATATATACTATTAATTTAATAAATGAATGTAATAAGCTCACTAGAAACTAAGTCAATATATAAAAGTCAATTGTATTTCTACATAAATGTGACAAATATTAAAATTTTTTAAAATAATATAACTTACAATAGTATCAAATACCTATAAATAAATGTAACAATAAATGTGCAAAACCTTTATATAAATAACTATGTAAAATTATTAGGAAAACTATAGGAGACCTAAATAAATACAGGGATATATTATATGAGTGGGAATACTCAATATTGTCATCATAATTCTCCTCAAATTTACGTATAGATTCAATGCTATCCAAATTAAAATTCTAGCAGATATTTTTGTGGAAATCTACTAGTTGGTTTTAAACTTTATATGAAAATACCATAGGCCAGAAATACCGAAGTTATATTTTTTCTTGAAGAAGAAAAATGAAGTTGGAAATTTACACTCCCAGATATCAAGAATTATAATAGGGGCTGGGCACAGTGGCTCACACCTGTAATCCTGGCACTTTGGGAGGCCAAGGCAAGTGAATCACCTGAGGTCAGAAGATCGAGACCAGCCTGACCAACATGGTGAAACCCCATCCCTACTAAAAATTAGCCAGGTGTGGTGGCATGGCCCTGTAATCTCAGCTACTTGGGAGGCTGAGGCAGGAGAAGTGCTTGAAACCGGGAGGCAGAGGTTGCAATGAGCCTAGATCACACCATTTCACTCCAGCATGGGCAACAAGAGCGAAACTCCATCTCAAAAAAAAAAACAAAAAAAACAAAGAGCTATAATAAAGCTACAAGAAGACCGTGTCATACTGTCTGTAGAAAGCTACACAGAACAGAATAAAGAGCCAAGGAACAGACCAACATACATATGAATATTTATAAAAAATATGTAGTAATGCATATCAGTGGAGAAAGGATAGGTATTTAAATAAATGTTAGTATGTCAATTGTACGAGAAAACCTTGAATCCATACAAGGAAAACTTGACTCTTGACCTCTTACTGCACACCATACCATTCCATATGAGTTGTAGATCTAAGTATAAAAGATAAAGCAATAAAGTTTTTAGGCAATGATACAAACATATCATTTAAGTGGTATGCAGAACTTGTAATGGAGTTATCAGTTTATAGAACATTGTTTTTCTTTATTACACTAAGATGATTAATAATTATTACCAAATATTGAGTCCATATGATACCCCAAATGCTGTGTTATATGTTTTACATAGATCATCTCCCTTAAACTTACCATGGATTTGGAGTATAAGGATGATTATCTATGTTTTGTGGGTTAAAAAAAATCAATCTATAAAGAAAGATGCTTGTCCAAAGTCAACAGAGCTATGAAGTTAACAAGTCAGTTAAGTTGCCTCCTAATATTTACTTTACTCCTCCCAATCTGCATATTTACTCTAAACTCATTGAAACACATATTAATTGAGATCATATGCAGAAGATGAGTGAAATAATCAAAACATATTTAATCCAAATGAAGCAGCACACCAGAGTATACTATAAGAAACTTGGTGAGAACATCACTGGAAAAAATTGTACTCATTGTTGTGATTTAATAAATCATTAATAGAATACTAACTTATGGAAATTTATTTCAGTCCTTGTAAAAATGAAGACCAAGATATTATATTTATTACTAGAGTGCTAAAGATTTTTTGAGAAATAATGAGGGTATACATATTTCGTCGTTCTGGTTTCCTAAATATCCTAAAGCCCATATGTTAAAGACCACTGTTTACATGATGCTGTCACAGGAAACCAAATGATCCAGATTAGACTGCCTTCAGTTGGTGGAGTTCTGCATACATGAGCAAATAGAGTTACCATATTTGACCCTTCCAGGATTCCCTGATCCTTACATAAGTCTTAAATAAGCAAATCTGGTCTATGTTGCTACAACAAAATATCGTATACTATGTGGCTTAAAGAACAAACATTAATTTCTCATGATTGCAGATGGCCTCTTGCTGCATGCCTGTGGTGGACGGAGGAGTGGGAGAGAGAGAACAAGAAATTGAGATCTTGTGTTTCTTCTTTGTATGAGAACATTAATCACTTCATGAGGACTCCACCCTCATGACCTAATCTAACTCTAATTACCTCCAAAAGGCCCCGCCTTCAAATTCCATCATGTTGAAGATTCAGGCTTGAGCATTTCAATGCTCAAGCATTCCAGTTTTGCAGGGGTACCCAAACGTTCAGTCCATAGCATAGTCCTTAATTCACTTTCTAGGAATTTAATTAATACACAAAGAATTCACATGAGTAGATGGGTAAGTTTGCTATCAAGAAAAAGAACCTGCTGTATGTATGACATCTACTGTTCTGGTTTCTGCATGTTATATTTTAAACAGAACTATATTACCCTTGCTGAGCTAAGATACAAAAAGTTAAACAGGTTAAAGTTGATGCAGCCAAAAATTTAAATGGCAAGTGAAACAGAGTGGGCATCACTACTCTTCTGGAAAGAAGGAAGCAGAATCATTATCTTAATGCCCTGGAGGCCATAAGATGAAAGAAAAGCTGGAGCATCAACGATAATGACTTCATTTTACTTGGAACAGAGATCGTCTCTTGTTGACAGCTAATGGAAAAGCAGTGGTTTCAGACAAAATGTGGGTGAACATCCCCTGTCTATTTAAGTAGAGTGGTTAGAATCAGGGGGTGCATTGTTATGTTGTGAAATGATACCTTTGGAGTAGAGCTAAAAATTAAAACAAAATACTTTAGTGAAACTCATTGTAAATTTGTAAGTCAAAAAAGCCCCAGCACTGGCGCGACTAGTAATTCCAACATGGCTTTAGCTGGAGGTAAATGACATGTATCACAGTTGGGGGACCCATACTGGGGCAGATTTAATATTCACCTTATGGTTCTGCATGGAGCACCAGCCTGCCTGTCTCCCAAAGATGTAGTTAACATTACTAATTTCCTTTCCATGAATCCAAGTTTTAAAATTTATGCCTCACATGAACAAATTAGTCCTCACAAATTGCCTCTGAACATCGGGTCAAGTTCCTAAATTTTTTTCAGAGCAGAAATCTGTATTTATGAGACATTTACAAGGCCACACAGAAATGACAAGTGATGGATCCTGGGATTAAAAATTTGAATTTCCAGTGCCTCATACCATATCTACATGATTTTAAATTTGATTTAAATTTCTTGGCTATACTACGTATAAAGATCAAATGATCATGTGCTGTGTTTCATAATTCCTTTTCTCTTTATTTATACATATCTTTCTCTTCCCTATGCTAGTAAGAATTTAAAGTGACTTGTTTTTGAAATGATACCACATGGTATAAAATCTAAAGTAAGAAGTACAAGATTAGAAAAGGGGAATAATAAGGAAAAAAAGAAGGATAAAGACAGAATTAAATTCACTTACACAGTGTGGGACTCTTACATTTGCCAGAGGTGGGACACAGATTTTAAAGCTTTGTTTTCTTGTGACCAATATAAAGAGATTCTCAGTGTCCAGAATATAAAAACAAACATGGCATGTGTAAGGAGCATAGTTACTATTGTTTTAATACCAGAAAGAAATCTCTCACCTACATCCACATAGAAGACTCTATGTGATATCATGAACCACCACCTAAACAATATCCCGAGACTAAACGCAGGACAGATTCCTTAAAGTCCCTCAATCTAGGCAGAGGAAATATGCTGGGGCATTAGGGAATGATAACACAGAAAATGTCTTCATTTCTAAAACTACAAACTGCTGCTGTTGTCCTTCCTGCTTACTCAGATAACATTACTTGTCATAAAAGACCCTGAGACCGAAGTCATTGCTTGACTGAGACTGTCATCTGGGCTGGCCCTGCAGCAACCACCTCTTATTATCAGTCATGTTTTTCCTTCCCTGAGGTTGTCAGAAACAAAGGGGGTCAATTCATGGTCACCTCTGCCAAAATTGTTTTCCCTGCCAGTCATAGATAGGAAGAAGGTCTAAAACTATAAATGTGAGCAGACATGTTTTTTTTTTTTAATTCAAGTCTTAAAGGAAAATGATTTTAGCCAGAAGGGAAACAGAAATTGGGGAACCATCTGGCCATGTTTCAGAACAATAATTCATCATTAAGAAACCCAAATTGGAAGTGTGGTATTGCAGGCTTGTGTGTTCTATTAAGTAACAGAAATAGGTGCAAAGAAGTAGGAGCCACATGGAGATCAAAGTGTCCACTTATTTATAGACTAGGTGAGTAATACCCAATAGCTGTCAATACACAGGATGGTTGGGTAAACTGTGCTGGCAATCAGGGCTTGAACCTGAGGACAAAGGTCGGGTATCATAAACCTTCCCCAATGAATGGAGGATGTTGGGCCCAAACTATTGGCCCGAAATGTTGGGACAAGGAGCATACACCTAGTTCATTGTATGAAAACAAAGTGAGAGGTGATTTCCTGAGCCTAGCCATAAGAAACAACAAGGAAGAGGCAAGAGCAGTTGCCTTTAGCACATTAACCATTCCCACTGATGAAATGTGGTCCAGTGGATTAGACTCTTACTAGTTAGTATCGCTGCTCCTCTCTTCCCAGGAACAATGTGCCATGGGTGGAGAAAGAGGCAGAAAGCATTTACTTCAATACTCCCCACTCACAGGGAGGGGTCAGAAGCTCCTTTATCCGTGAGAATCAGAAAGAATGTGAATAATGGTTTTCAACCAAGCAGGGCCAGCTTCATGGGCATGCAACCTATGTAGTCATTTGGGACTCCATGCTCAGAAGGCCCTCTGCTTGGTTTAACACTCTGTTGCTGCTGTCCTGAAATTCTTAATAATTTTTAACATTTTGCAGTGAGCCCTACAAATTATGTAGCTATCCCTGCAACCAAGAATTGAGACAACAGTAACAACAAAGAAAGTGACAGTGTGCCAGTGCCAGAACATTGTCTGGATATGAGGGAAACTGACACCAGGGTCAGTAGATGACAACAGCCAAAGGAATAGTGGCTAATATAATCTGATGGCATGAGCATCAAAGGGGGGGGGGGGTGGAGGTTAGGAAGGGGGAAGGGAGAAGTGCAGGGCAATGCCTTTCTCACATCCTGGCCCATTTGTTTAAGGGTTTGGGGAGAAAAACAGCATGTTTGTGAGTATACAGGGTACAAAAATAAATTGCTCCATTGCTTTTGTATACCCAACCCTATATAAATAATTTTCATTGTGTATTAGGTTTATAGGATTAGACAAGATGTATTTTGTCTTCTCATCACATACAGTGGACATTGGAATTTAGGCTGTGTTTTATGAAGAGTTTCTTGGTTTATTTCCTCTTTTTGGAATGATAAAAATGAAGAACCATGATATCAAGAAAAAAATGCTTCTCACATTGCACCATCCTGATCCCCCTGGGTTTTGTTATGTTGGGAATATGAGTCTCAGCCCTGGACTTCCTCCATCACGAACAACAATAATAGCTAACATTTATATGGTGCTTATTGTTTATTGGGCATTCATTTAATCCTCACAACAATCCAGTGAGGAGAAAAATGCTATAAATTTTCCCATTTCATACATGAGAAAATTGAATGAGAAGATAGTTGCTTAACTTGCCCAAAATCACAGAGCCAGTAACTGCTGGGGTCATGATTCAAACTAGATTGTCCAAGACTAGAGACCATGCCATTGACTCCTACACATCCTGTCTCTGATGTGGTTGATGTGGCCTATGCAGTAATGTGAGAACAAAGTATGTGAGGCTCAGATAGAAAATGACATGCACTGATAGTCTGCACCTCAGCTTTAGACAGTGAACCAGGATGCTTCATGGAGATGCCAAGGAGAGGGAGCTTTGAGTTTCTCATGATCTCTATCAATCTCTGCCTATTCCAACCTATACTAAATAGGTATGCAATACAAGGAAAAAGAATGTGCTTGCCATGACATGTATCATCAAAAGACCTTCTAGCACTCCATTCCAACAGCTTGCTGCCTGAGGCCCTCCTTTATAGAAATTCCAGAGCCCCTCTCTTTGATTTACAACAGTTTCAAAGGTTACAGATGGTCTCATTGTTCTAAAAATAAATACATTTGAATCTTTGAAATCTGAAACCAGACCATCTCTCTCGTTGCACTTTTCTTTAACATTCTTGATGAATGGATTCATGAAAGCCACATAAAAATCAGCTTTAAAGGGTTAGCATCTTTGATTAATATTGAATTTAGGCACTTGCCTATTTCTTCATTTGTATGACAAATTTTGAACTTCTGAAGAAAACTTCTAATAACTTTTTGTGTCAGTTCTCTCGTGAAAAGTTCAAAGCCAAAGCAGGTAGCAGCAGCATTAGACTACAGTCATTAAAAAAAAAAAACATATAATTAATCATTCCTTCAACAAACCCACTGGCATTCATCCAAGAGAAGAGAAACTTTCCTTAGAAGAGACTTTAGTATCACAATCTAGGTTTACATCGATTAATAGCCTCTTTGGGAAACACAAAGCAAAAAAGATGATGAGCGGAATGCTCCGACTCTTTCTCTGTGAGCTGCAAGCAGCTGGTTGAATTCTCCAGGTGTGGAGAATGAATTTTCAGAGTAGATTTTCTGGGTCGTGAGATTACTTGCATTCAAGTATCCAAATTTTTCTATTCATGCATTATTTATGAACTATCACATTTCACACAACTCTTAGGGATCTAGCAAGCTTCTAAGTCATTGATCGATTGCACATCATGTCAAATATTACAACTGATATATCTGCTTCATCGTTCCCAATAAAAATGTTTCTTTTGTGTGTGTGATTTGCATTTGGAAATGTAGAATTACATTTTCTGTTGTATGGAAAAGAGTGTATACACACTCTTCTGTGTATACACACACAAACACAACCAACTTTTTACATGGTTTTATGGTAGTGCATAGTCTGTGAACTGAAAAAGATATGCCAAACAAGAGACTGGCCCCATTTAATACAGTGAAGGACACTTTCTTTTCCTTATTAACTATTAGTAGCATATCAAAGAATAGTACAATTGTTATAATGATTCCTGGAGGGAAAAAAATGGATATAATTAAACATTATCATTTTTCCTTAATTAATGAATAGTATAGAGTGTATTAGCATTAATAAGAAGATAAGTTAATGAGCCAATAATGAAGTTGAAAGTGGAAATGTTAACAGGTCCACTGTACTGAAGTTAGAGTTGATTATGTTAGCCCAGGAATTGACACCCACACAAACGACAGCCTGCACCTGAAATCTGGTTGTTGTTTTTTCTATAGAAGATATTAAATGTGGGTGTAATTTTTTCAGTTGGATTGCTGTTGTTGCCTACCAAGTTGACAAGAAAATCCTAGAATATGTTGAAACATAATAACTGAAATAATTGCATTCACTTGGAAAAAGATAATTGACAACAAAAGCAATCCGACTGAAAAAAATTATGCCCACATTGAACATCTCCTATAGATATCTGTAAGTATCATGGAGGATACACAGAAAAAAATCTCAGTCTCTGTGATGCAGTTAATTCCACATTCCAGTTAATCAGTGATCAATTTGAATTCTCCACACTTGGGTTCTTTACACGGGCTCTTGCCTGTGCCTAGTACTGACCCTATTCATGGTATTGCTAAGGGGGTTTCATTTCCCTCCTATAGTGGATGCAATATTATTTCCATTGGACTTTTATTTCCCAGAGATTGGCTTGCTGGACATTTGTATGATGATGCACTCTGCTTATACTCTGGAGAATAAGAGGGTTCTGCCATCTTGTGTTTCATATGTTGGCTGCCCCTGGGCTCTGTTCCTTGGGAAGTTTTATTCTGCATTATTTGATGAGAAGAGTAACTTCTTATTTAAGGTCTGAGATGAAATGGAATCACCCATTGGCAGAGATATGCCAGGACACTTCCACTGTAAAGTCATCAAGTCTTTCTTGCATCCCACTCAAATCTCAGAGATTCAGTCTACCTTCTTAACCACTTCATCTTTACCATTGTGGAAGCTGTTCAAGGATATACAACTGCTTTTTAAATTTCTTAAGCTAGGCTGGGTGCAGTGGCTCACACCTGTAATCCCGGCACTTTGGGAGGCTGAGGCTGGCAGATCACCTGAGGTCAGGAGTTCAAGACCAGCCTGGCCAACATGGTGAAACTCCGTTTCTACTAAAACTGCAAAAATTAGCCAGGTGTGATGGTGGGCGCCTGTAATCCCAGTTACTCAGGAGGCTGAGGCAGGAGAATCGCTTGAACTCAAGAGATGGAGCCAAGATGAGCCAAGATGGCGTCACTGCATTCCAGCCTGGGTGACAGAGCAAGACTCTGTCTCAAAAAATATATAAATAAATATAAATATAAATAAATAAATTGCTTAAGTGAGAATTCTGCTAACTAAATTTTCATTAAATTAGTTCTATCCATATACAATGCAGTACTTTTGAAAGATGAAGGTGGTTCTATACTTCCCCTTAGGTTTTTTTGTTTCAGATTGATGATGCAAAGTTCTCAAATCTAAAATAGCAAATAATGTTTGAACTGGTGTTTCTACCAAAGTAAAATTCTTGCCAACAAAATTATTCATCATAAATATATATAAAATTTTATATTGTTTGCTTATACATAGTAGACAACCCCTAAGACACACACCCCAAACAAGTTCCTTTTAAATTTGTAAGTTTAATAAAAAAGACTAAGAAATATATGGAAAATATTAACTGCTTGAGTTGAATTCATTTTACTACATGGGATGCTATTCAGAATGGTTTCAGAAAAGCTTTTTTTTTCCTTTTTAAACAATGATATACAAACATGCTGGTCAACCAGTCAAGTTACATAACTCAGGAGCTTAAATTAAAAGAAGTTGTATTCGTGGTGATTTTTTTTAAATCAGTGAGTAAAAGGTGAGCGTTTCCTAATTTAGCCACCAAACCTTACTCTGGATTTCTGGGCTGGTACAGGTCAAATCATTGATTCATATCTCACAACTTCTTTAGCTTTGGTTCATAAATCTTAAGTTCCCTAATTGCTAATGTGTAAAGACAGCTTTAGAGACCCATTTTCCTAATGATGGAACATTTTTCTGATAAATTAGGTGTCAAAACTTTGTAAAAGTTCTTGTGTTATCATGGAAGTTAGGTAGGGCATTTAAATAAATGAGTTCATGGAGAAGTGAAAAAACCTTCCTGTACACCTTAGACTTTTGGGGATTGATTTTTGAGCTAACACCATCCTTGAAAGGACAAGAGTACCTGAAAAGAAACTCTATTTTATTTTTAAATCTCAAAACCAGAAGCTGCTTACACAAAGACATAGCAGACTCCTTGGTGAATAAACACAATGACAGGGAGCTGGTATTTTTGTGAGATGGTTGCCAATTTTAAGGTATCATCATGTCTATTTTCTTAACATTTACTCAGTACTTAAACAGCCACATAATTTATTACTATTATGCATGCAAAAGATCTGATCTCACCATAAGAAATGTGCCTATGAAAGTGGCAAAATAGATAACAGAGGAAAACACAGTAACTGTCCATGGCTATTTTCTGATATTGTAAAAAAATATTTTGATATGTATAAAACAGTTCATAGCTAGAAACTACCTATGAAGGAAATAAATAACAACTGAGGCTGCAGTGAGTTATCTATCAGAATTCTGTGAGGGCTCAGGGGTGTCCCCCAATTTTTACCCTTTATGGCTTTCAACATTCCTTTGTTTTGACCTGGTCATTTTTATTTGCTGCCACCATAATGGTCCACTCTTGGTGTGACTCCCTCTGGCTTTCCAGTTTCTGTGCTCGGATTCCTCTTTCATCAGAAACTTTCTCATTCCAGGATTTACTTCTTGGATCTTGCTTTCTGTATCTGTCTTCACCCCTTGCTTTGGCCCATAACTGCACAGTTGACTCTACTCCCTCCTCCCTACCCAGTTCTTAGAGTATACAGAAGATTATAATTGTGGAGGAAGATGAGTTCTAAAGTCCTGAGTGGGGAATACAAGGAAATATTTTACAATATTTTAAAAACACAAAGAAAAATATATAATATTCCTTTTTACTGACATATTCTTAAACGAGGATCTCAAAACTATATTTTTCCCCTAAGTAAGATTACCTTCTAAGAATTGTTAATGTAAGTGCTTTGACAAGTGCTATCTTGACTTATATTGTGTACAAGTTGATAAACTATAATATGGCATAGAGAAGGAACAGTGCCAAACTTTTATTCATATTAAAACCAGCCATGGGCCGGGCACGGTGGCTTATGCCTGTAAGCCTAGCACTTTGGGAGGCTGAGGCGGGTGGATCACCTAAGGTCAGGAGTTCCAGACCAGCCTGGCCAACATGGTGAAACCCTGTCTCTACTAAAAATACAAAAATTAGCCGGGTATGATGGCGGGCACCTGTAATCCCAGCTACTCGGGAGGCTGAAGCAGGAGAATCGCTTGAACTGGGAGGCGGAGGTTGCAGTGAGCCAAGATCGTGCCGTTGCACTCCAGCCTGGGCAACAAGAGTGAAACTCCATCTCAAAATAAAAATAAAAATAAACCAGCCATGAAGGAAGTCCTCACTTCATAATAGCTTATTTAAAGCAGAGTTCTTGTCCTCTAATTAATAGATATTTGCTAAGTTCCTAGTAGGAAAAAGTTGTTCTAGATGCTTTAAATTTGATAGAATTCTTAAAATTATGACATGTTTTCTACCTTCAAAGAGCTTATATTTTATTTGGAAATACAAGTTACAGGGTAGGTAAATGATAAACTAAAAATGAAATATAAGATTTAAATCATATATCTAGTACAGAATTTGGATGTCTGCTACTCAGGATTTCTCTTTCATGAGGACAAGTTAACACCTTTTTTCATCCCCTTGCATGTAGTCAGAAAATTGAACCACCAATTTTTATTTTAGACTTTTGGGAGGGTAATGATTAAACTGTATATAAAGTGCTTACAGCTGATTTTTAGAATTTCAACTAGTGAGTTAGTTAACTCATTTGCTTTTCAAACTTGGGATTTTTATGATTGTCTTAGGCATGAGAGTAACTAACACATAGATATAAGATCAAGAACCATATATATTACAGAGTTGCTTTAATAATTCTCATCTTGTTACATAACTTTTATTACATACTTATAACAGGGAGATATGAGATACCACTTATGACTGTATGATAACCTCCAGGTGAGACCCAAGGAGGTTAGGGTTAAGAGCTTTGAGTAAGAAGCAAAAATCAAAGGATGTTATAGAACATGAGGTTTCCTGGTCAGGAAAATGATGTCGTTGTAATTCCAAAAGTTAAGAAGTAGAAGAATATTGTCAAGGATCTCAGCAATAACTTAATTTTTTGACCCTAAGGGAGAATTAAAGAAAGATTGAAATATGTCAGCAAGATACAAGGGGACCTCAAGGGAAATCTGGTATTGACTCCATAGGAGGCATCTGTTGGCCCTGCTCGTTTCACTGCACACCACTGGTGCACCCGTCATGAATAATGACAATGAAAATGAACTCATCATTTTCAGTCAGGAAATGACTCTTTATCACTGCAGGGACAGATTGTAAAACTTCATCCAAGATGCCATATTTTAATAAGTTACTTAGAATTACAACGTTGTTGGACTGTATCTCATCTACCAAACAAGTAGGATAAAACCAAAATATGTTCTAAACCAAGAATTGGTACAGCCAGCTCATTTTTAGAGTACATATTGCTGCCTCTTTTTATGTCTTTTTTTTTAAACAAAAGGTCAGAGGCTTTTAAAGTGACAGGCTAGAAGATGTTTTGATTTGTGCTTTTCCCCACCTTCCCAATTCCTAGGAAATATGAAAGACTTTTTATGTAGTAACACTAATATCCATTCATTTCACCTTATGTCAAATGTATTCACAACTCTGCAGCACAAAATAGCATACAAATTACAAAGGAAATAGTGTGCTTTCTCATTTATATTCTTATCTTCAAATTCTGACTATCAGCACAAGTTTAAATGTGGAATTTGAAACTGAATGGGACTGTAAGATCACCTCACCCCAGGCTTCTTATTTTACAGATGAAGAAAGAAACTTGAGAGTGACCCTCCCAAGGTTACAAGCTTTAGTGACAGAGCCCTGACAGAGAGCTTTTGACTGTCAGCTCCATGTTCTCTTTATAACACACATCCTCTAAGTCTAAACCATGGAAGAGAAAACTTCCCCAGAATATCATCCAAAACAGCTATTTTTCTCAGTTTTCTTTGACCACAAATATATTTGTAATCAGTGTTAGAGGACTGATATGAAACAATGCTAGCAAAAATGTTAATATACTTCATGATTGTAGGTGTCTTCATGATCTGCCATCAGGAAAACATGTGCTTTGTGGCACTATGGGGCATAATCACAGACCCTAAAGTTGGAAGAGACCTCTGAGGGCATCTTGTCCAACTTCAAAGTTTTCTATGAATATAATGAGCCTCAGAGGTGCTAAGTGACTGGCAGAGGTAGAACCGTGTTGTTGACCTCTCCGTTGTCCTTTAAAACTTTTCCTTGTGAACGCAGACCCACATTATTACATAGCTATTCAGAGTCAAGAGCACATATGGCCATGAAACAAAACAAATGTTCCACCCACAAGGGAATAAAACCAAGTTTTCATAAGCAGGATCAAACTTTCAGTAAACCTTATTAAAAGAGATGGTACAAATTGAAAATAAAGATTTAAGAAGGGTTCAAATAATTCTTGAATATCAGCTTCATAGTGAGTATAGAACATGTTAGACATGTTTTGAGTTATTGCAACAATACTTAAACAAAAAGCAGGCACTAACCCAGACTGCACGCATTAAAATGAAGGCTCTGTCATTTTCTAGTGGTGTGAACTTTACTCAGATTGCAAGACAGGAATAAAGCAATGCCCACTCTCGTGGAACAGTTGTGGGGATAGATGAGTCAGATACACAAAGTGCTTAGTGCTGTGCCTGGCACACAAATGTTCAACAAATGTTACCTGGTACTCCTATTGATGCCATGGAAAATAACCAAGAACTCTCCCAAGAGATCTGCTGGAAAGATGCTGTGATTTAGTAGCAAGAAAGTTGGATTTGGCTTCTGAAGTTTTCAAGCTTTAGCCCTTCTGTTTACTGGCTATGTGTTAGGCAAGATATTAAGTTGTCTGGAATTTCATCTCTATGCCAAACATATTGGTAATATTGCTTTTCCTGTTTACTTCATGTGAGTAGCTGTGAAAATCAAATGAATTGATGAATATAAATTTGCTTTCTGAAGAGTAAGGCGATTGACAAATGACCAATATTGTTTTTATTCTTTTCTGCTGCCTCCATACTGAGAGGTACAACGTGGCTGGACAAGGTTCTCAACTCAATGTGAGAACACAAGGACTCTACCCATCCAAAATTTCCTTGTAGATTCACAATAGCAGGGAATGAGGAGTGGGGACTTGGTTAATAAGTTAGTAACATTATTAAGTGTTTACCATCTATAGGGCACTCTGGACAAAAGAAATCACACACAAATTCTAAGTTCTCTGTCATTTAAAAAAAAAAAGTTTCATTTAAAGGTGTTAAGAACGTTCCGTGATAATGGACAGCAGTTCTGACTGTAATTCCTGAGTATTGTGCTGTGGGACTAGCCTCCAAGACGGCTGCTGTTACTTCCTTTCCTCTCTGTATGTGCATTGTGTTTCACACATCATGGCATGGTGTCCAGTTCCCCTCCCTTTGAGTGTGAGCTGCCCTTAGTGATCTTCTGGATCAGAAGAATGTAGCAGAAGTGACTGGGATTGCTGAAACTCACTCATAAGAAGGCTTTTCATTTCTGCCCAGGCCTTTAAGAATACTCACTATTGGAGCACTCTCTCTAAGAACCCACATGCAGAGGCCACATAGAGGAGCTTCAGTTGACAGCTCTGGCTAAGCTCCAACCCAATAGCCAGCAGCAGCTGCCAGGCTTGTGAATGACATCTTGGACATCCAGCTCAGTCAAGTCTTCAGATGACTCCAGTCTCAGCTGCCATCTGACTGCAACTGCATGAGAGATTCCAAGTAAGAATTGTCCCAGTTGAGCCCAGTCAACATGCAGAAGTTGGGAGATGATAAAAAATTATTGTTTTGAGACACTAAATTTTAGAGTATTTAATTTTGCAGTAATAGACACCTGAAACAATGTTTTCTTCTGAGTTAATTTGCGAATTGTGAAAATTTTCAAGAGATGGTTAGTAAAAGTTTTTGTGTGCATATTTCAAGTTTAATGTACCTGGTGCTGAAAACCATTTGGAACTGTAAGCATGTTTTATTCTTTTTAAAAACAGTAATAAAAAACACTATAATGTGTTAAGAATCTATTATATGTCTGACTGTCAGTTACTGGGTAGTTTATTTACTTATCTCAGAGCTAGGGTTTAAAACCAAATTTATTATTTCAAAATAAAAACATCATTCATTACACCATACAGCCCATTATAAACATCATCTCCTACACACCCACAGCAATTCATTAAGAGGAAGTTTATGCTTTCTAGATAGGAAGTTCTAAACTCTATAAGAAGGTAGTATGGTATGTTCTGGATTTCTGGCAGTTGGCACAAACCCTGATAACCAAGTAGTACTCAGTTAATGGCTATTAACCTAGTTCTTTATTACCTGTTTATTTCTACATGTACCATCTAGCTCTTCACTACTTTACTCTGAGACAGTTTAAGGCCTTTTCTTCCTCATAGCTTGGTCATCAAAATTTAATTATCAAACTCACAATTCAAATTAAATTTAAAAATCAGCAAAATTCCTACTGCCCTCCTTTAAATATTTATAAGATCCTAGAGGACTGACAAGAGCCCCACATCCTCTCAGACCTCTCCTGCTGCCATATCATTCCTGGTTCAATTTACCTTGGCTTCACTGGTCTCCCTGCTTTTCCCCTAACTCACCGGGCATGCTTTTGCCCCAAAGCTTCTATGTGGAAGGTTCTCTCTCCTCCCTTCAGACCTCTGCTCGAAGGTCACATTATCTGTGAAGACTTTCTTGACCAGCCTTTTAAAACAGCACTCCCTGCACCCCACCTAGCTTCCTTACCCTCTTTTATTTTTTCTTCATAGTGCATATCATCATCTGACACAGAGTATGTTTGCTTCTAAATCCCTTTATTAGAGTGTAAGCTCTTCAAGGGCAGGGACTTGGTTTTGTTCTCAGTTGTATTTTGAAAACCAAGGACAGTGTCCCCACATGGCAGGAGCTGAATAAATGGATGTTTTTGAATGAATGGATAGCCACAATTCTGTAGTTGAGTCGGAGAACAGAAATATCAATAACAGGACAGGAAGCATTCCTCCCATTATGTTTTAGGTAAGGGGTTCACATTTGGGATTTCTGCCACAAAGAGAAGAAAATCAAAAGTTGTTGGGAAATTTTCACGGATATATTTTGGAAAAAGGTAGTCATCAGGTTGATCTTAGCTTTCACAAAGTGCTTGCAAAGATCTTTGCCGCAGAGTTGACCTGGAGCTCTAGAACCCCACATATCCCTTATGAGGAGTGATGGCCTAAGGCAGGCACTGGGGAGGTAAGACAGGATCTGCATAAAGTCTGAGACATGAATAAAGTGAAAGTCAGTAGTCAATAATAGTTTATGCTCTGTGAAAGAAGGACTAAATTATCCCTCTATGTTTGGGTAGGACTTTGGCTTCAAAAACACTATGTATCTTTTAAAACAATATTTCAAAACTATTTTGAAGAAGCACTAATTTTTACAAAAATGGGTCAAACGTGTGCTCTCATAATCAACTGTGCTTATGGAAATGCCTGGTAACTTGAATCAAATTTCTACACAGAGGTATCACCCCCTCTTAGGAGAAAGATGCTAAAATGAAAAATAAAATCCTTCTAGAGCAAAAGTGGTCAAGATATCATTAGAAATCTCAAATTAAAAAAGTCATAGCAGATGAGGCTGGAGCCAAGATGGCTGAATAGGAATGGCTCCGGTCTACAGCTCCCAGCGTGAGCGACGCAGAAGACGGGTGATTTCTGCATTTCCATCTGAGGTACCAGGTTCATCTCACTAGGGAGTGCCAGACAGTGGGTGCAGGACAGTGGGTGCAGCACACCATGCGCCAGCCGAAGCAGGGCGAGGCATTGCCTCACACGGGAAGCGCAAGGGGTCAGGGAGTTCCCTTTACTAGTCAAAGAAAGGGGTGACAGAGGGCATCTGGAAAATCGGGTCACTCCCACCCCAATACTGCGCTTTTCCCACGGCTTAAAAAATGGTGCACTAGGAGATTATATCCTGCACATGGCTCGGAGGGTCCTACACCCACGGAGTCTTGCTGATTGCTAGCTCAGCAGTCTGAGATCAAACTGCAAGGCGGCAGTGAGGCTGAGGGAGGGGCGCCTGCCATTGCCCAGGCTTGCTTAGGTAAACAAAGCAGCCGGGAAGCTCAAACTGGGTGGAGCCCACCACAGCTCAAGGAGGCCTGCCTGCCTCTGTAGGCTCCACCTCTGGGGGCAGGGCACAGACAAACAAAAAGACAGCAGTAACCTCTGCAGACTTAAATGTCCCTCTCTGACAGCATTGAAGAGAGCAGTGGTTCTCCCAGCATGCAGCTGGAGATCTGAGAACGGGCAGACTGCCTCCTCAAGTGGGTCCCTGACCCCTGACCCCCAAGCAGCCTAACTGGGAGGCACCCCCCAGTAGGGGCAGACTGACACCTCACACGGCCGAGTACTCCTCTGAGACAAAACTTCCAGAGGAACGATCAGGCAGCAGCATTTGCGGTTCACGAAAATCCACTGTTCTGCAGCCACCGCTGCTGGTACCCAGGCAAACGGGGTCTGGAGTGGACCTGTAGCAAACTCCAACAGACCTGCAGCTGAGGGTCCTGTCTGTTAGAAGGAAAACTAACAAACAGAAAGGACATCCACACCAAAAACCCATCTGTACATCACCATCATCAAAGACCAAAAGTAGATAAAACCACAAAGATGGGGAAAAAACAGAGCAGAAAAACTGGAAACTCTAAAAAGCAGAGTGCCTCTCCTCCTCCAAAGGAATGCAGCTCCTCACCAGCAATGGAACAAAGCTGGACAGAGAATGACTTTGACGAGTTGAGAGAAGAAGGCTTCAGACGTTCAAACTACTCCAAGCTACAGGAGGAAATTCAAACCAAAGGCAAAGAAGTTGAAAACTTTGAAAAAAATTTAGACGAATGTATAACTAGAATAACCAATACAGAGAAGTGCTTAAAGGAGCTGATGGAGCTGAAAGCCAAGGCTCGAGAACTACATGAAGAATGCAGAAGCCTCAGGAGCCGATGCTATCAACTGGAAGAAAGGGTATCAGTGATGGAAGATGAAATGAATGAAATGAAGCGAGAAGGGAAGTTTAGAGAAAAAAGAATAAAAAGAAACAAACAAAGCTTCCAAGAAATATGGGACTATGTGAAAAGACCAAATCTACTTCTGATTGGTGTACCTGAAAGTGACGGGGAGAATGGAACCGAGTTGGAAAACACTCTGCAGGATATTATCCAGGAGAACTTCCCCAATCTAGCAAGGCAGGCCAACATTCAGATTCAGGAAATACAGAGAACGCCACAAAGATACTCCTCCAGAAGAGCAACTCCAAGAAACATAATTGTCAGATTCACCAAAGTTGAAATGAGGAAAAAATGTTAAGGGCAGCCAGAGAGAAAGGTCGGGTTACCCTCAAAGGAAAGCCCATCAGACTAACAGCTGATCTCTCCGCAGAAACTCTACAAACCAGAAGAGAGTGGGGGCCAATATTCAACATTCTTAAAGAAAAGAATTTTCAACCCAGAATTTCATATCCAGCCAAACTAAGCTTCAAAAGTGAAGGAGAAATAAAATACTTTACAGACAAGCAAATGCTGAGAGATTTTGTCACCACCAGGCCTGCCCTACAAGAGCTCCTGAAGGAAGCAGTAAACATGGAAAGGAACAACCGGTACCAGCCACTGCAAAATAATGCCAAATTGTAAAGACCATCAAAGCTAGGAAGAAACTGCATCAACTACCGAGCAAAATAACCAGCTAACATCATAATGACAGGATCAAATTCACACATAACAATATTAACTTTAAATGTAAATGGACTAAATGCTTCAATTAAAAGACACAGACTGGCAAATTGGATAAAGAGTCAAGACCCATCAGTGTGCTGTATTCAGGAAACTCGTCTCACGTGCAGAGACACACATAGGCTCAAAATAAAAGGATGGAGGAAGATCTACCACGCAAATGGAAAACAAAAAAAGGCAGGGGTTGCAATCCTAGTCTCTGATAAACAGACTTTACACCAACAAAGATCAAAAGAGACAAAGAAGGCATTACATAATGGTAAAGGGATCAATTCAACAAGAAGAGCTAACTATCCTAAATATATATGCACCCAATACAGGAGCACCCAGATTCATAAAGCAAGTCCTGAGTGACCTACAAAGAGACTTAGACTCCCACACAATAATAATGGGAGACTTTAACACCCCACTGTCAACATTAGACAGATCAACAAGACAGAAAGTTAACAAGGATACCCAGGAATTGAACTCAGCTCTGCACCAAGCAGACCTAATAGACATCTACAGAACTCTCCACCCCAAATCAACACAATATACATTTTTTTCAGTGCCACACCACACCTATTCCAAAATTGACCACATAGATGGAAGTAAAGCTCTCCTCAGCAAATGTAAAAGAACAGAAATTATAACAAACTGTCTCTCACACCACAGTGCAATCAAACTAGAACTCAGAATTAAGAAACTCACTCAAAACCGCTCAACTATATGGAAACTGAACAATCTGCTCCTGAATGACTACTGGATACATAACGAAATGAAGGCAGAGATAAAGATGTTCTTTGAAACCGACAAGAACAAAGACACAACATACCAGAATCTCTGGGACACATTCAAAGCAGTGTGTAGAGGGAAATTTATAGCACTAAATGCCCACAAGAGAAAGCAGGAAAGATCCAAAACTGACACCCTAACATCACAATTAAAAGAACTAGAAAAGCAAGAGCAAACACATTCAAAAGCTAGCAGAAGGCAAGAAATAACTAAAATCAGAGCAGAACTGAAGGAAATAGAGACACAAAAAACCCTTGAAAAAATTAATGAATCCAGGAGCTGGTTTTTTGAAAGGATCAACAAAATTGATAGACCGCTAGCAAGACTAATAAAGAAGAAAAGAGAGAAGAATCAAATAGACGCAATAAAAAATGATAAAGGGGATATCACCACCTATCCCACAGAAATACAAACTACCATCAGAGAATGCCACAAACACCTGTACGCAAATAAACTAGAAAATCTACAAGAAATGGATAAATTCCCCAACACATACACCCTCCCAAGACTAAACCAGGAAGAAGTGGAGTCTCTGAATAGACCAATAACAGGATCTGAAATTGTGGCAATAATCAATAGCTTACCAACCAAAAAGAGTCCAGGACCAGATGGATTCACAGCCGAATTCTACCAGAAGTACAAGGAGGAACTGGTACCATTCCTTCTGAAACTATTCCAATCAATACAAAAAGAAGGAATCCTCCCTAACTCATTTTATGAGGCCAGCATCATCCTGATACCAAAGCCAGGCAGAGACACAACTAAAAAATAATTTTAGACCAATATCCTTGATGAACATTGATGCAAAAATCCTCAATAAAATACTGGCAAACTGAATCCAGCAGCACATCAAAAAGCTTATCGACCATGATCAAGTGGGCTTCATCCCTGGGATGCAAGGCTGGTTCAATATACGCAAATCAACAAATGTAGTCCAGCATATAAACAGAACCAAAGACAAAAACCACATGATTATCTCAATCAATGCAGAAAAGGCCTTTGACAAAATTCAACAACACTTCATGCTAAAAATTCTCAATAAATTAGGTACTGATGGGACGTATCTCAAAATAATAAGAGCTATCTATGACAAACCCACAGCCAATATCATACTGAATGGGCAAAAACTGGAAGCATTCCCTTTGAAAACTGGCACAAGACAGGGATGCCCTCTCTCACCACTCCTATTCAACATAGTGTTGGAAGTTCTGTCCAGGGCAATTAGGCAGGAGAAGGAAATAAAGGGTATTCAATTAGGAAAAGAGGAAGTCAAATTGTCCCTGTTTGCAGATAACATGATTGTATATCTAGAAAACCCCATTGTCTCAGCCCAAAATCTCCTTAAGCTGATAGGCAACTTCAGCAAAGTCTCAGGATAAAAAATCAATGTACAAAAATCACAAGCATTCTTATACACCAATAACAGACAAAGAGAGAGCCAAATCATGAGTGAACTCCCATTCACAATTGCTTCAAAGAGAATAAAATACCTAGGTATCCAACTTATAAGGGAAGTGAAGGACCTCTTCAAGGAGAACTACAAACCACTGCTCAATGAAATAAAAGAGTATACAAACAAATGGAAGAACATTCCATGCTCATGGGTAGGAAGAATCAATATCATGAAAATGGCCATACTGCCCAAGGTAATTTATAGATTCAATGCCATCCCCATCAAGCTACCAATGACTTTTTCACAGAATTGGAAAAAACTACTTTAAAGTTCATATGGAACCAAAAAAGAGCCCGCATCGCCAAGTCAATCCTAAGCCAAAAGAACAAAGCTGGAGGCATCATGCTACCTGACTTCAAACTATACTACAAGGCTACAGTCACCAAAACAGCATGGTACTGGTACCAAAACAGAGATATAGATCAATGGAACAGAACAGAGCCCTCAGAAATAACGCCGCATATCTACAACTATCTGATCTTTGACAAACCTGAGAAAAACAAGCAATGGGGAAAGGATTCCCCATGTAATAAATGGTGCTGGGAAAACTGGCTAGCCATATGTAGAAAGCTGAAACTGGATCCCTTCCTTACAACTCATACAAAAATTAATTCAAGATGGATTGAAGACTTAAACGTTAGACCTAAAACCATAAAAACCCTAGAAGAAAACCTAGGCATTACCATTCAGGACATAGGCATGGGCAAGGACTTCATGTCTAAAACACCAAAAGCAATGGCAACAAAAGACAAAATTGACAAATGGGATCTAACTAAACTAAAGAGCTTCTGCACAGCAAAAGAAACTACCATCAGAGTGAACAGGCAACCTACAAAATGGGAGAAAATTTTCGCAACCTTCTCATCTGACAAAGGGATAATATATCCAGAATCTACAATGAACTCAAACAAATTTACAAGAAAAAAACAAACATCCCCATCAAAAAGTGGGTGAAGGACATGAACAGACAATTCTCAAAAGAAGACATTTATGCAGCCAAAAAACACATGAAAGAATGCTCATCATCACTGGCCATCAGAGAAATGCAAATCAAAACCACAATGAGATACCATCTCACACCAGTTAGAATGGCAATCATTAAAAAGTCAGGAAACAACAGGTGCTGGAGAGGATGTGGAGAAATAGGAACATTTTTACACTGTTGGTGGGACTGTAAACTAGTTCAACCATTGTGGAAGTCAGTGTGGCGATTCCTCAGGGATCCAGAACTAGAAATACCATTTGACCCAGCCATCCCTTTACTGGGTATATACCCGAAGGACTATAAATCATGCTGCTATAAAGACACATGCACACGTATGTTTATTGTGGCACTATTCACAATAGCAAAGATTTGGAACCAACCCAAATGTCCAACAATGATAGACTGGATTAAGAAAATGTGGCACATATACACCACAGAATACTAAGCAGCCATAAAAAATGATGAGTTTATGTCCTTTGTAGGGACATGAATGAAATTGGAAATCATCATTCTCAGTAAACTATCACAAGGACAAAAAACCAAACACCACATATTCTCACTTATAGGTGGGAATTGAACAATGAGAACACATGGACACCGGAAGGGGAACATCACACTCTGGGGACTGTTGTGGGGTGGGGGGAGGCGGGAGGGATAGCTTTAGGAGATATACCTAATGCTAAATGACGAGTTAATGGGTGCAGCACACCAGCATGGCACATGTATACATATGTAACTAATCTGCACATTGTACACATGTACCCTAAAACTTAAAGTATAATAATAATACAATAAAATAAAATAAATGATGCAATCACTCTGGAAAAAAAAAAAAGTCATAGCAAACATCATAAGAGTAAAGGGAAATTAAAGCCCATGTCATAAAGCAGGATCTCTGTATGGGGCAGAATGAGGCACAGCAGAGGCTGCTCAGCCCCGCTTCCTCAGAATCAGTCCATTTTTAATGCAGTGTGAATATTGTGTGCTGGGAGAAAGTGTGTTTCTATCATGCTTAGCCCTGCAGGCAGAAATAAACTTTCTGAAGATGGCATTAAGAAAATGTGCCCCTTTGCTTACTTGGATTTTGCAATTCTGGGCATGAGACCCTTGATAGTAATCAACAGAATTCAGCCTTATGCTGCTCAGGACTCTCTTTCCCTATCTTACTTCCATTCTCTAATTGCTAAGTTCTTTTTCATTGCATCTTAAAGGCTCAAAGTTCATCCAAAATACCTATAAATTGGGTTCTAGGGGGTTTTCTCAAATATGCTCTGTAGAATGCCAACTCCTTGCTTTACTTGTCTAGAAGCATGGCATAGTACTGAAGAGTGTGGATTTTGCAAGGAGAAATTCAGATTTATAGGCTGGCATTACCACTTACTAATATGGGGACTTTGTGGGGAGTTACCTCACCTCTCAGCTTCTCTTTTTCTTCATCAATAAAATGGCAACGTCAATATCTTCCCCAAAGGGTTTTTGTATGTGTTAAATCACATAATGTATGACTGCTTAGCTTAGGGCTTGCCATGTATTAAGCCTTCAGCATATGGCTAAAAGAGGGAGGGGTGTTCCTAGGGTGGACCCTGCCCTTTTGACTATGTCTATAGCCATCTTTCCTCACACTGTTGTAAAAATTTATCTTCTATCACAAAGTGCCTCTTCCTGTGGTTTGATAATGAGCTCTTTCATAGGTGGTTCACCTACCAGCACCAGCCATCTCTCTAGCAATGATGACTTGGGGATTTTACTCTTTTGTCACTTAGTGGTCACTGTGTTTCACATCTTCTGATGTTCTGTGCTTTCCTTCATCTGGTTGTGCCTGCTTCTATCAGAAAGCTTTTTTGGTAAACTCAGGAGGTTTTCTGACACACAGAGAGGGCTGTTTAACTTATTAAATCTGGCTTGGTTTGCCTCTAAATTTTTTATTCTATGTGAGTAATTTTGTGGGTCTCGTTTAGTGCTTTTGGGGCATAAAAATTTATAGTTGCTGCCATTTATCATTCCATCACTGGGCACCATGCTCAGCACATAGAGATAACCTAATATTACTAATAATATTTCAATGTATAAGGTGCTAACAAAGTTTCCCCTAGAAAAAGAGCCAAACCTCAAATGTAATATGGCAAATCCCAGCACCTACCCACAAGGAAACAGAAGCAAATGTATTTAGAAAATTTGCAGTGCTATATCTCCTCCTGTTTATGACTAATGAGGATCAATAAGATATGTGACTGCAGAGATGTGAAGGAAGCCTGTGACCATTCAGCCCCTGTGAAAACTACATTATGTCATTAGGGGGAAAAACACAAAACTCCCAAACAAATAGTAAGCTGGAAGTAAATTGAACATTCTAAATTATTAAAGGGGTTTGACACAGAGTTTGATCCTGGCTAAGCTTGCAGAATATGCAAACAAACAAAACCAGATAAGAGTGTAAATGACCTAGCCAATCAAATATCAGATAGCATCACCAAATGAACAGAGCTGATCATCCCTCAGAGAACTTATCAGAGTGCCAGGGAAAGGTTGTTGAAGCTTTTATGCAGGCCCAGCACAGTCACTTACATGTACCCACACTTAACTGAGCTAGTAATTTCACTCCACCTGACAGATAACAAGGAAAACCTAAACAAAAAAAAGCCAACTTTAGAAACTACCAACAATAATAAAACACAAGAGTGGCAAGGATTGGATCATAAACTTGAGATTTCAATGGTGGGGTGGGAGGGCTCATTCTTTGACTCATGATAGAAAGAAAAATAAAAACTAGGTTGTAGAGATCTAAAAAATGAATACTTGTGTCAACACTATTGCATTGAACTCTGTTATCTTGTTTTGTAGCAAAAGCACTAAGAATGCAATTCAAAAGATTTGTGATAATCAAGAGATTGATTCATTAATTCACTGTGAACCTCCAGTGTGCCAGGCAATGTAATTGAATGAGATAAATAGAAGTCCTTGCTTTAAAGGATTTTGTGGCTTATTTGGAAAGAAAAGTGAACAGATAAATTATAATACAATGCTGCAGATGCTTTTATATATATATATATAGTAACATATATATAACATATATGTATGTGTGTGTGTGTATATATATATATGGTAAATTTACCAATTTACTGCTATATCTGCTTAGGTAGAAGAGGAAGATGAAGCATTCATGGGACTCTACTCATTTTTGACAGTTGTATTCCTTAGGAAACATTGTCCCCAAAATCTGACCAACTGGAGCAGGACTTCTCCATCCTGGGAGGAGGGACAGGGTTCCTTTGTTGAGAGGACAGTGTAGAGAATGGTGCTATATTGTATTTATATACATATGCAAGGCCCTGCAAGGTTTGGAAGTGCCTTCTCAATTTTGATGAACTATAAAATTTATTTTTAGAAGTGTGATATGGTTTGGCTCTCTGTCCCCATCCAAATCTCATGTTGAATTATGATCTTCAGTTTTGGAGGAAGGGCCTTGTGAGAGGTGATTGGATCATGGACTTGTATTTCCCCCATTTATTCTAATTAGAGTGAGTGAGTCCTCATGAGATCTGGTTGTTTAAAAGTATGTAGCACTTCACTCTTTACTCACTCTCTCCTTCCAACATGTGAAGACATGCTTGCTTCCCCGTTGCACTTCTGCCATGACTGTAAGTTTCCTGAGGCCTCAGCCATGCCTTCTGTACAGCCTGTGGAACTGTGAGTAAATTAAACCTCTTTTCTTTAAAATTACCCAGTCTCAGGTAGTTATTTATAGCAGTGTGAGAACAGACTTGTACAGAAAATTGATACCAGAGAAGTGGAGGCATTGCTATAAAGATACCTGAAAATGTGAAAGCAACTTTGGAACTGGGTAATGGGCAGAGGTTGGAACAGTTTGGAGGAATCACAAGACAGGAAAATGAGGAAAGGCTTGGAACTTTCTAGAGACTTGTTGAATGTTTATGACAAAAATGGTGATAGTGATATGGGCAGTGAAGTCCAGGCTGAGGTGGTCTCAGATGGAGATGAGGAACTTAGTGGGAACTGGAGTAAAGGTCACTCTTGCTACACTTTAGCAAAGAGACTGGCAGTATTGTGCCCCTGCTCTAGAGATCTGTGGAACTTTGAACTTGAAAGAGATGATTTAGGGTGTCTGGTGGAAGAAATTTCTTTTTTTTTTTTTTTTGAGACGGAGTCTCACTCTGTCACCCAGGCTGGAGTGTAATGGCATGATCTCAGCTCACTGTAACCTCTTCCTCTTGGGTTCAAGCGATTCTCATGACTCAGCCTCCCGTGTAGCTGAGACTACAGGCACATGCCACCATGCCTGGCTAATTTTTGTATTTTTAGTAGAGACAGAGTTTTGCCATGTTGGCCAGGCTGGTCTCAAACTCCTGACCTCAGGTGATCCACCCACCTCAGCCTCCCAAAGTGCTGGGATTACATGCGTGAGCCACCACACTCAGCCTCTGGTGGAAGAAATTTCAAACCAGCAAAGTGTTCAAGATGTGGCCTGGCTGCTTCTAAAAGCCTACACTCATTTGCATAAACAAAGAAATGGCCTGAAACTAGAACTTATATTTAAAAAGGAAGCAGAGCATAAGAGTTTGAAGAACTTGCAGTCTGACCATGTGGTAGAAAAGAAAAACCCATTTTCTGGGAAGGAATTCAAGCTGGATACAGAAACTTGCATAAGTAAAAAAGAGACGAATGTTAATAGCCAAGACAATGGGGAAAATGCCTCCAGAGCATTTCAGCCACCTTTGTGACAGCCCTTCTCATCATAGACCTGGAGACCTAGGAGGTAAAAATGGTTTTGTGGGCCAGTCCCAGGGCTCTGCTGCTCTTCGCAGCCTTGGGACGTGGCACTCTGCAACCCAGCCACTCCAGCTTCAGCTGTGGCTAAAAGTACAGCTTGAGCCATTGCTTCAGAGGGTATAAACCACAAGCCTTGGCAGTTTTCACGTGGTGTTGGACCTACAGGTGTACAGAAGGCAAGAGTTGAAGTTTGGGAGCCTCTGCCTAGATTTCAGAGGATGTATGGAAACACCTGCGTATCCAGGCAGAAGTCTGCTGCAGGGGCAGAGCCCTCATGGTGAACCTCTACTAGGGAAGTGCAAAGGGGCAATGTGGGGTTGGAGCTCCCACACAGAGTCTCCCTTGGGTACTGCCTGGTGGAGCTGTGAGAAAAGGGCCACCATCCTCCAGACCCCTACAAGCAGTTTGCACTGTGCACCTGGAAAAGCCACAGGCACTCAACACCAGCCTGTGAATGCATCCACAGGGGCTGTACTCTGCAGAGCCACAGGAAAGAGCTGTCCAAGGCCTTGAGAGCCCACATCTTGCATCAATGTGGCTTGGATGTGGGACATGGAGTCAAAGGAGATTATATTGGAGCTTTATGATTTAATGACTGCTCTGCTGGGTTTTGGACTTGCATGGGGCCTGTAGCCCCTATGTTTTGGCCAATTTATGTCTTTTGGAATTGGATAATTTACCCAATTCCTGTATCCCCATTGTATCTTGGAAGTAACTAACTTGTTTTTTATTTTACAGGCTCATAGTTGGAAGAGACTTGCCTTGTCTCAGATGAGACTTTAGACTTGGACTTTTGAGTTAACGCTGGAATGAATTAAGATTCTGGAGGACTATTAGGAATGTATGATTAGTTTTCAAATGTGACAAGGACATAAGACATGGGCAGAGCCAGAGGCAGAATGATATGGTTTGGCTCGGTGTCCCCACCCAAGACTCATGTTGAATTACGATCTTCATTGTTGGAGGAGGAACCTGGTGAGAGGTGATTGGATCACAGGGGTGGATTTCCCTCTTGCTGTTCTCACAATAGTGAGTGTTCTCGTGATAGTGAGTGGATTCTCATGAGATCTGGTTGTTTAAAAGTATGTAGCACTTCCCCCTTTGCTCTCTCTTTTCTGCCACCAAGTGAAGACATGCTTGCTTCCCTTTCACCCTTCCACCATGATTGTAAGTTCCCTGAAGCCTCCTCTGCCATGCCTCCTACACAGTCTGTGGAACTGTAAGTCAATTAAACCTCTTTTCTTTAAAATTACCCAGTGTCAGGTAGTTCTTTATAGCAGTGAGAGAATGGACTAATACAAAGTGTTTTATTTATCTCAAGTGTATTTTGTTATTTGAAATTATGATAATTCCCCTTAAACCATGTTCTTACCAGGATAAGTAAAGGTTTGCAGTATTTGAATGCAGTATTTGTCTTTCTGCCCTTTAAATGAGATGGGGGGAGAGGGAGAGAAAGTGGGTGTCCTCATTGCAGCATGGGAATCTGAAAGAATTGGCTGGTGATAGAATCAGGAGTTGGAAAGGGTTGGGAGGTCACATAGGCTGGGCTTCTACCTGACACATGAATGTCCTTTTCAATACATCCATACGTGTTTCTCTGGTTTCTCCTATATGAGTCTAGGGACAGCCAATCCCTCATTGTTCGGTCTTGTAGGAGAGACTTTTTTATACTGAGCAGAGTCCACTGCCTGGCAATTTCCTTTTTGCTGCTAATTAGATCCTCTGGAAAAATGAGAGCAAGCTCAATACATTATCCACAGGATACTCTTAAAAGATAAGAATGCTTCTATAAAAGCTTTCTCATAAAAAGATGAGTCATTCTCATTTCATCCAAATATTTCATTTGGAGTGTTCTTTCTAAATTCCTCACTTTAGACACAATTCTTTAAGTTTTCTATGACACCTCCGAGGGTTGGCACATGGTGCTCACTTTTCATGAACATCCTGAGGAGCTTCTTTGCTTGGCTGGTTGCTTCTCTTCTTGAAGTCTTCCCCTATGGCTTCTTCCTTGCCTACGAGCTAGGACTGGGTACCCCTTCCCTGTGCTTTCCTCCTTCTACAGACCTCTTTAATACTTTGGCTCTAAACTCCAATGAATAACTTAAATAGATTAGACCAAATACAAAACTCCTTTTTCTAGGCTAATTATGCCTGAATAACTTCAAACTAAAGTGGGCCATAAGGTCTACTCCACTAGATTCTCTACCTTGGATGTGAACACTAGTGGGAAAGGAAGTGTCTGTTCAACACCCACCCACCAGTGCCAAGGAACAAGGCACATAAAAAGATAGCAAATTTGCCTCCAAAGTTCCATGCTGAGCTGAGTCCAAGACTGATTAATGTCTGCAGCCTGGCAGCACATGGGGAAAAGACAGTGTCCAAAGAAAGAAATAATGGGTTGATCTGCCCTTGGTCAATTTCCTAGTTTACTGTTGTGTCTGCTTGCTTGGGCAGAAGAAGAAGATAAAGAATTCATGGGGCTCTACCTATATCTTAAAGCTCTGTTGCTTAGGAAACATTGTCCCCCAGACCTGACCAACCAAAGCAGGACTTCTCCATCCTGCGGGGAGGGACAGAGTTCCTTTGTTGAGAGGACAATGTAGAGAATGGCACGGCATTGTAATTGTCTGCTTACCTGCTTTTCTCCCTCACTGACCTTGAGTTTCTTGAGGTAACTGAGTATTAAGCATTTTGGGAAAATAAATAAAATGCAATAAAAACTCTGTACTTTCAAAGAGCCAGTCCAGTAGTACCATTTAGTAGTACCATTTGTTAATGAATTACATCCTCATCATCCTCTAGTCTGTAGAGTAACTCTTAATATGTTGTACCTGGAATGAAATAAAACACTTCACTTGTAAAATACCCCACAGGGGAATTCTTTCTCCTGTTGTTCCCTGATCAGGTTACCCTGTATCCTTGTGAGGGTTTGTTCTCTGTGCTCAGAAGCTAGGCCAGCACTGACTGGCCTATTCGTAAATGATGATTTCTTGTGTGCATTGACACAGTGCAAGAATGAAGGCACCATTCTACACCAACAGACCTCACAATCATCCCCTCCATCAAACTTTCTTTTCTACCATAAACACTTTAAAATATAGTTTTAATGAAGCAGAACTATTTTAAATACCATAAAGTGTCATATGATAGCTTAATGTTATTTTTATGCAGCTTATACTGACTACTGTTTATTCAACTATTATATTTCATTTATTCCATCCATAATTATTGAATGACTATGATGAATTTGGCACATAAGATACCAGAAGAAAGAGCACCTAGCATAGAATTTGATGGATACTAAGTACTTAATAAATATTGCTTTAATGTTATAAAATTCAATTCTCAAAACAATAGTTTGAGGTAAGAATTATTATTATCATAATATAGACAACAAAATGAAAATTCAGTGGGTTTAAGTAATTTATTCCAAGTCACAAACTAGATAAACTCAGAGACTGAATTTTTGAGGTATGGCTCTGACTCCAATGCTCATTCTATTATACCACAACTGCCTTTCCCTTTCAGATAAGTGCAGATAGATAGTAGGCTACTGTCAGACCTTGAATGCTGGGCTAAGGGGACCTTGGACTGATGTATTCTTATTGGACTTCCTCCTTATTGGCTTAAACAGTATTTCTTATTCTTGCTTGAACTCAAGACTTACTTGAGACTTTCAATAAAAAATACCAATTATCTAACTCTTGTAGATTCTGATTCAGTGGATCTCAGGTTTGGCTTGGAATTCTGTATTCTTAATGGGCTCCCCCTAATAAGCTTCTTACCAGGAAAATTTGAAAAACACTAGGCCTAAAGACTTTCTAGCTTATTATAATACGGTTGCCATTTTTCTTGACTAAATTCACATATAATTAGACGTCACTAAAGGAAGGCACATTCTTGAATAAAAAGACCTTCTGCAAAAGTCCACGGAAGCAGCCCTGATTGTCAGTAGGATCTGGATCCATTGTGCTGCCCTGCTGCAGGTATACCTGCCTGTATTTCAGACCCTCTAGCCCACTTGACTCGAGGGATATTTGTGGTCGCTGTAATTCAGTAAATCTCAGAAGGTAGATGCACACTCTCCTTGAAGTACTGGCTTAGGAACATTTTCCATTGACAAGTACACCTGATGAGGTCTGACACAAGGATGAGGTATTGATGATGACTCACCAGAAGTTCGTTCTAGAAAGGGCACTTCTAAAGAGCTCTTCACAGTGAGGCTGCAGAGAGATGATAGACTTTGCAGTTGGGAAAAATGCAGAATAAGCAGATGTTCTCCTTTGAAGAGACTGACTTTTCTGACACATTTGTTTAAAATAGCTTTGTGTTTAATGTGTAAGAAATATCTGGCCAGGTGTGGTGGCTCACGCCTGTAATCCCAGAACTTTGGGAGGCCGAGGAGGGCGGATCACGAGGTCAGGAGATCGAGACCATCCTGTCTGACACGGTGAAACCCCGTCTCTACTAAATATACAAAAAATTAGCCGGGTGTGGTGGCAGTCGCCTGTAGTCCCAGCTACTGGGGAGGCTGAGGCAGGAGAATGGCATGAACCCGGGAGGCGGAGCTTGCAGCGAGTAGAGATCACGCCACTGCACTCCAGCTGGGGTGACAGAGCAAGACTCTGTCTCAAAAAAAAAAAAAAAAAAAAGAAAGAAAGAAAGAGAGAAATATCTTTGGGGAAAAAGTCATATAAAAGTCGTATGCCTAAATGAGGGGCAAAAGTAGAGTGTGTCTGAAACTCTTCTTTGTGACTTGTTCAACTGAGCCTGAGATGAGTAGAGGGCACTGCCTTTGCCCTTTGGCCAGCATATTGAAAAGAGGAAACAGCTCTTTTCATCTTACCTATAAATTCTTCCTTGAACTCCTTGAATGTTGTGGCTCAAGTTGCCATCAGCACTAGAAGTCAGTTCTATGAGTTAGTGTGATCCTTGTATGACAAGCAGGAAAGTGTTAATGTTTTTCTGCTGGCCTGAAGACAAGAGCTGCAGCCCAGTGCAGTCAATTTCTTGGCATGTCAGAAGATTGTTCAGGTAAAAAATAGAGAGATAGTGCCTGCTTGGGTTTGGAAACCATAAGTCTTTTAAAATCATGACTTATATAAATATGGCTTCTCCTACAGAAAGAAGAGGAAAATGTTTTGCTTTCTTCTCATGAAAACAAAATGATCTCCCGCATAGAGTCAGAATTTTGGCATTACATCTAGAAAGAAGATTAAAAGAAAAATAATAATTACTATAGTAAAAGATAAATAATGTTTGTAGTAGTAACGGCATTTTTGCAGTTAAGAATCCATTAAGTAAATTCAGAGTCTAAGCTCTCATAGTCAGTGAAGAGAGGCCACCTTTGATTCAAGAAGAGGACATCTTGTTCAGGAGAGAAGAGGATGGCATCAAAGATGTGAAGAATCAAAAGGAGGAGCAACTCTCTGGTTCCAGGTGTCCTTAGTTGGAGGGAGATTATAAACCCCCAGTGAGGATGCACTGTTGAGTAAACCAAGAAACACACCTACAGAATCCAGGTATAAATAACTGTGCGAACACAAATATGTTTTAAATTAACTGTTTTCTAACTACATACAGTCAGCCCTCCATATCTGCAGGTTCCATATCTGCAGGTTCCACATCTGCAGATTCAACAAACCACAGAGTGTAATGGAGCTGGGCCCAGCATAGTTTCATCTATACCAAACATGTACAGACTTTTTTCCTTGTCATTATTCCCTAAATAATATAGTGCAACAGCTATTTATACAGCATTTACATCGTATTAGGCATTACATATAACCCATAGATGATTTAAAGTATACAGGAAGATGTTCAGGTTATATGCAACCACTATACCAGTTTACGTAAGGAATTTGAGCATCACAGATTTTGGTATCCACAGAGGTCCTGGAACCCATCTCCCATGGATACTGAGGGATAACTGTATTTCTTTTCTTCATAATGTATTGATTCTTTTTAACTAATTTATTTGCTTCTAGTGTCTCTTCTATTTGAGACTATTTCTACAAGCAGAAAAACTCAAATCAGGGAGGAGGAATTAGCTAATCATGTGGGGATGACTATTGTGGAGTCCAGGTGGTCTTGGACATCCAGGCCACTTGTTCCATGAACCCACCCAGAAGTGGATGTAAACATGAACTATTCCTATATGGGAAGTAACAGAAGGCAAAAGATAACATTAGACTTTAAGTAAACTTTCTTATTCCTGGGCCTACACTTTTTTGCTTCATCAGATACATATAAACCTTATAATTTTTACACACAGTTGATATTGTTGCCTATATAAACTGAGATCGAGACATTATCTTTGCATCTTTTATGTTGCAAAGTAGGAATGTAATTGCTGTTTAATAAACATTTATCGAATAATGGTTAATTGTTGGGGGGAACCCTGTTTATCGTAGAATTGGGCCAAGTTGAAGTAGGATGCAAAACCTAAATTGAGCTCACTAGCATTAGAACATGCTGCTTTTGCTGTCTCATCTTTGAGGGATAAAATAACCCTACAAAGTTTTACATTTTTAGAGTCTTCCTCAAATAAGTTATATTTGTGGAGATCAACAGTCACTACAGATCTCCTCTGAAAAGACATCACCCAAATAGTCAGCAATTTCTCCTTCTGTGGATGGAGTCATACATAATGAATGTTCTCTGATGGCTGCAGGAGTTGTGCAGCTATAATTAATGTTATAGAACCCAGTGGAGTTCATTTAATCAAGTCTGTAATGGTGGTATTGACTGTAAAATGTAATGATGTGGTACTAAACATAGTTGATTTGAGATTGGAGTGGGAGTGTTCAAAGACATGTTTGATACCATTTGTAGCCTAAAATATTGTTAAGGACAAAAGCACAAAGAGTTGGGACAATGGAAAACCACCTTGTTTTCATTTTGAAGTGGATTTCAACTATTTCTGATTTGGAAAAAAAAAATTTAAACCACTGTTCAAAACCTGTTTGCTCTCAACATAAACAGGGAAATTTTATGTTCTGAAGAGTTAAAAATAAACTTGAATCTTCAGGGGCTCATGTGAAATTAGAAAAACAAGCTCTTATAAAATTTTTCTACCTGACATTACTGGACGTGTAGTCATAAAATGAAAATAAATGACTGGATATGGTTATAAGAATTGAGATGAGTGCATGCATCATGTGGAGAGGAGAGGAAAAGGAAATAATTCTCATAAATTGATCAGAAGACTTAAGAAACATGTTGGAATTTCTCCAGCAATAAGATAAAGAGCAAAACAAAATATTTTTTAAAAAGGCAGCACATGCTTGCTGTAGATGTAATGGGAAAAAATATATGGTGTGTTAGTTCAGGAGTCAAGATAAAAGTCTTCAGTCTGGTGCTGGTGCCCATTTGAACTTCTAGGAGTAAATGACCTTGGCAGAAGTTGTGATCAATAAACTGGATCTCTGCAGAAAGAGAATGCTGGGACTAAAATCAAGATAATAGAATGAGAGGCATGGAACAAAATGACTCAATACATTGCAACGTAAAGCAGTTATCTGCAAATATTAGTGTATGAAATAGATAGCTTGGAAAGTTTCATTAAAGGAAAGAAAAAATTGGGGAAATAATATCAGCATGGAATGTGATAGTTTATTTCCATGTTATTAAAGGATGCTTATAGCCTTAAATCCAAGTTCATTAATAAATAAAATTGCACAAGCATTTGCAAAGGCTAGAAAAGAATTGGGAGGAATAAAGAGCTTAGACATAAGATTTCCCCATCTTTTCAAGCCAAAATTCCTCCAGTAAAAAAGCTTTCTTCATTTAGAGTATCCTGACTTAGAATAAAGATGAATGTCCCTCTTTTCTTTCCTCTATTCTTTGAAATAGCCAAACATCCAAAATCACTCATTCAGGTCCCATATATGTTTATATTGGAAAAAATAATACTTTCTAAAGCAAAAGTGGGATCTTATGCCTTGATTAGTTTATAAATAAGTATTCACATTACTGAGCCAGATACAGCTGAGGAGTCATAGGGCAAGAGAAGCAGCTGCACACCCATCTTCTGGAGACTTCCTGGTATTGCCTAATTTTGTGTGTCTGTGTGTGAGTTTAATTTTTTTTTTTTGCTTATTTTTATTTATATGACATCAAAGTCACATGCAAATGTGCAAATGTAACCTATATATTTGAAATGGCCAGAGAGTGTAACAGCCACTGATAAAAATTGGATTTTCCATTAAAAGACACATGCTGAACAAAGACACATGAAGGGTCTAAGAAAATGTAAAATCTGTAACTGCAGCAATGACAAGAAAGAAAGGGGAGGCAGGTGGAGGTAAAGCCAGGAACTGCAGCCATGACTAGATGTCTCAGAGCACCTAGATGGAGTTCTGTTTTGAGTAGGTAGCAAAGTAAAATTCACAGATTGAAAGCAAAGAGGATAGAAGAGGACAGAGGCCAAGTGATCTCAACTATCATTTGGGGAGAAGCCATGGGTGGATAATCTGCATTTCTAGGACGTATATTTAGATTTTTAAAGAAGCGTTGGCCCCTTGGTGAGAAACAGAGCACTGACGAGATATACTCCAGAATATTCCAGATTTTCATGAAGAAGCAACTGCATATTCACACACTGATGAGTGCATACCCAGACATCTTGAATGTGAGTTAATGCCTAGAAATAGCTTTTAATCTCACTTGTAGCACCTGGAAACAATTCTCAAAATTTGTATACTCTCAAACATCATAGTTTTTTTTAAATTACACCCTTGGGTTTTTTTGTTTGCTTGTTTGTTTGTTTGTTTGTTTAGCAAACATGTGAGCTTAATTTTCCCTTGTTTTTATTCTTATTTTATACATTCCTCAAAACTGGTAAAAGCAAAAGGGGTGACTTGATCTTGTAGTTCTAGCAATTTCCCACAGCTAAACCTTCTAAAGTATGATTGAATTACAATACACAGAATAGACTGTGGCTTAATCCTCATGGTTCCCAAATGCTCTATGTGCAGTAAGATCTATTTTTATCAATTTAGCAGTATTGCCCCTATTATTTATTAAGCACTGACTACACAGAGCTATAAAACTGAATGAAGATGTCAAAGCTCTGCCCTGTGGTTTTATAATCTACTCATAAAAGGTGAACTATTTAACAAAGTGAAAACCATGATGTAACTGCTTGAGGTCATTCATGACCTCCTCTTGGGTCATGGAGATAAACAAAATTAGCATATAGCTTCTTTGGAAAATAACCGGGTTACTATTCACAGCACTCTAATTCAGATATCTCAGTTCTTAATTCTATTAGCCCCAAGGAAAAACCAGAAGCAGAAGTTATTACCCAATAAGCCATGTTCTTTATAAGAAACATGGAATGTATAAGTCAATAATTATGAAGCACATGACTACCTAGTCATACTCACCTAGTCACACTCACAAAAATGTGTGTGGAGGGGACCTGATTGGAAATCTGCACTATTCACACACTAACCCAGATGCACACTCACTGTGCCCCCCAACCCTGATAATAGTAGATGCAAATATTGACTATGATGAGAATGAACAGATATTTTCTTAGAGTCACTCCGGGGCAGAGATACTTTGGGCAAAGTTCTGGTGTATCCTGATCCTCTCAGGATAAGGATGGTAACAAAAATACGGGACCAGGTGCAGTGGCTCAGACCTGTAATCCCAGAACTTTGGAAGGCTAAGGCAGGAGGATTGCTTGAGGCCAAGACTAGCCTGGGAAACATAGTGAGACCCTGTCCCTACAAAAAAAAAATTAAATTAGCAGGGCATGGTGGTGTGCACCTGTGGTCCCAGCTGCTCACAGGAAAGGCAATATAAATCAGCAGAAACATAAATGCTTTTCCAGAACTGTTTTTCCATTTATGAATCTCATTTGATCTTCACAACTTACTATAAGTGATAAGTAGTCAGGTTTCCTAGGAACCTCCTCGATCATAACTAAACATGACAGTTTTTCTAGCCTCTGTTTTCAGCCATGCTATGTCAAATTGTCCCAGCTTATCACTCAGTATCATCTTAGGAAGTCTTTATTTTTTAAAAGTTTTTATTTTGCAGTTTAAGGTTTGCAAGAAAATTGCACAGAAAGAATGAAGTTCCTGTATGTCCTCTACTCCCCTACACACTTGTCTCCATTATTAACATCTTACATTAGTATGGTACATTTGTTACAAGTAGATCCTACTATTTTTATTTTTTCTTTGTTTGTATTTAAAAATAGAAATGAGGTCTCACATGTTGCCTAGGCTGGTCTCAAACTCCTAAGCTCAAGCGATCCTCCAGCCTTGGGCTCCCAAAGTGCTAGGATTACAGGCGTGAGACACCACACTCTGCCAGATTTTTCATTTTTTTATATCACTTTCTCTCATTCATCTTTGCCTTACCTTATACTTGTCAGAGTCTTTTCTCCCTAAGGCTAGTGACCCTAAGGCTCATGAGACTCCAGAAAAACTATAATATATAATATGTAATATATGATATATAGCATAGTGGTTAAGAGGGTGGGCTCTGCAACTAGGCTGCCTGGGTTTGTATTCCAGCTCGCCTCTCACTGCCTGTGACCTTGGTCAAGTTATCTATGGTTTCTACATCTATAAAATGGAGATAATAATACTACTACCTCATAGAATTGTATCAAATGGGTACCTGCACACTCATTTGATACAACTGCACATAGTAAACTCAATAGCTTTTTGTTTTTTTAATTATTATTATAATTATTACTACTACTATTAATCTATTACTCATTTCTCAAGATCCCTCCCTGCTAATCTGGCCCCCAGGTCAAACATCAAGCCTTCAGTGACAGAGAAACAAAAAAGCTCACAACCGGCAATGGCCCAGAATTCAGATCAAGATGCACTCAAGACTTTTAGTTAAGTTTGGGCTCAAGGGGCCTTAGACGGTGTTGGGAGGAGTTTGAGAGCCACAGACAACTGGCCATACAAAGATGTCTCCTCGGGCAGATGCATGATAGGCCAGGGTACTCATTCACCCTGTTCTACTCCACACCAAACCCAGCTCCATTGCCTTTCTGCTCCCATCATTTTTTACAGCGTGGAGCTCTCTGGAAACAAAAGCGTTACGAGTAAGTGAGCTCTTCTAGGGGACTGGTGTGACTGAGGTCCTCTCAGCAGTCATTTGCCATGTCTTACAGGAGCATTGGCAAGATGGGAGTTCTCTCTTCAGACTCCATCTGAGGAAATCAAAACTGTCCTGCCGCAATGGCATGAAGGCTGGGAGTTGCTTCACAATCATCAAGTGTATGTGCATGTAGTGAGGGATGGGCAAGTAGATAAAGGCCAATATAAAACAAGATCATTGATAATTTTTGAAGTTGGGTAGTAGATACTTGCACATTGGGGTTTGCCTTACTATTTCCTCCATTTATTGCATGCTTGAAAGTGTTCATAATGAAACAGTAAAAAGTAAAATAAAACAAAGCCAAATTTTCTTGTCTAATGGATCTTTAAGAATTGAGAGCAAGATCCTCTTTTGTATTGTCCATGACTGAGTCCCTGGAACTCCACAGTTCCCCACAGAGAGTGGAGCTCAGTAAATAGACACTGACTGAATGAATGTCACAGTATAGAGGTCAGAGACAGAGTCAGTAAGCAGAAAGAGCAAGGAAGAGGAATGCACATGAGTATGTATCTACATGCACACACACACACACACACACACACACATAAACATGCTCTGGCATCAGGGATAAACAATGATGAAAAACACAGGCTCATGTCGCTTCTGCTGCTGCTGCATGTCTTTTTCTCGTGACCTCTTCAACCATTTGCCCATTTGATCAAGAGGCTCAGAGCAGAGCAGGATCCATGGAGAGAAGGATGCAGTTATAGGAATATACTCCAGGAATGAAATTACCAAGTTAGTCTTCTGCTTACAAGGCCAGGAGAAGATTGGAATTCAGGCCTGGCTGTGCTCCCAGTCCTGTATTTTGTTCATTAGACTTTCTTTCCTCTATTGAACATCGATCAAGCCCTTCTATTGATTACCTCCTGCATCACTTCAGGCTTCATTTGGAGATGAGTTGCATAATTCAGTGGCCAGACAACAGGCTGGCCAGCTAGTCTCCAGTATTGACTCAGATTCAAAAATTGCAAGAGAAAACATTTACCTAAGGGCTTATCTGAAAGAGCTGCTATGAGACTTACTAACTTAACATTTGTGAAGGTTTTTAAATACAAAGAAAATTGAAGTATGAAGTCTTGTTTTTACTAACCCAAGTTTGCTACAGGTTTGTGATTTTCTGGTTTGTTCTGGTGTGCTTTGGGAACAGGATGTTCTTGATGTCTAGTTTATATCTCTGCTTTTGTACTAGAGAAGACAATAATAGTATATATGTATCTCCATAAAAGTTAGTGTAAAATTGAAGAAATAGCTCCACAGCAAGGACATTCATTTCTACATGAAAATATAAATAAGCGGCCTCAAAAAATAGCAATATTGAGAAAAGAAAGAAGAAAGATGGAGATCACCCAGAAGATGGTGTTGCCTTTATCTTGTAAATATATACTAAGTATCTCTGACTGGGGACATTGCAGAGGGATAAGGTAAATTATACTTAAAGAGTATAATACAAATAAGAGTACCAAACATTACTCTTAACAAAATATGTAGGAATAGAGATGAAGAATGAGAGTCACAACCGCTATTTTGTTAAAGTATCTGATTACCCCATGCTAGGAGCTGCTAAGTGCTGGCATCTATATAATTTAATCTTCACAAGAGCTCTATGAGTTAATATGTTATTATTTCTATTTCACCACTGAAAAACTTACTGGCTGGGGACAGTGACTCCTGCCTATAATCCCAGTACTTTGGGAGGCCAAGGTGAGAGGATCATTTGAGGCAAGAAGTTTGAGAGACCAGCCGAGGCAACATAGAGAGACCCCATTTCTGGAAGGAAGGGAAGGGAAGGGGAGGGAAGGGGAGGGAAGGGGAGGGAAGGGGAGGGAATGGGAGGGAATGGAAGGGAAGGGGAGGAAAGGGGAGGGAAGGGGAGGGGAGGGAAGGGGAGGGGAGGGGAGGGAGTTGCTTTGATAATATTAAGCATCTTTCCCAAGATAATACCTAGTAGGTAATAGAGTTAGAATTCAAGCTCAGATCTCCAAAGTCCACACTTTAAACTGTTATACTACCTTGACTCCTGTGTTCTAGAGTACATTGATTAGGAGAATAGACATAGAAGAATCATCTTAAAAGAAAAAGCCCAATAGCACTAAAAGGCAGGAGAATGTGCAGGCTTCCCAGGAGCCACTCTGGGGAGGGTGTGTGGGCCCCTCCAGGGCTGGTGAGGTGAGCCAGGCAGCTGCCAGCACAACAGCCCCACCAGGATCCATGCAGGGTATGTTTCAGGCCTTCCCAGAGACTGAGGAAGGGCTAACGGTCTAGAGTTGTGGTGAGGAAGCAGAGTAGAACCAACAAAAAGAAATGAAGACTTATGGAAAGTTGTGCCAGATGCCAAAAAAGATCAGATGGTATTTTAAATGTTGAAAATCCATTCAATCTTCTATATTCAATATCCAATCACATTTATGATTTGCCTCAACTTCAGAGTTGAATACAACAAGCTTTATTGAGTACCTCTATATCCAAAGTACTAACCTAAGTATAATAGGGTTATATTGTTTTCATTTTTTTAATGAGACTTCCAAATTGTTTAAGAAAACAAGTATATATAATATATACATATAACATACATATTATATATATAAAATAATTTCACTGTAGGATAAAATATGATACATTATATAACAAATGTTCAAAAGATTTTGCAAATATGGAAAGGGGAGCTTAAATTCTACTGGGAGAATCTATGAGGAAGGAGGGTGATTTCAGCTGAGACATGAAGAATGTGTCGGACTTTGGGAGTCATAGTATGAGAAGGCATTCTAAGTAAAGAAAACAGGTTGAGCAATGGCTTAGCATCCCTTGACTGAAGGCTACATTTGGGAAATGGTGAGTGGATGATTGTGACTGAAGTTGGGTATATAGAGGCATATCCTGAGAATTAAGCATGAAAAGAAAAAGAAGTGCCAAATTGTAAAGCGCTTTAAATGCCAGGCTGAGGAGTTTGGTGATCTCAATCAATCGAGTCAATTGACTCTGAAATAATAGATTGCTACAGATGCAGTTACTAGACAAAGGTTACCCCTCAGCTCCACTGCCACCATATAGGTCAGAGGGGTCTGAGGGTGAGTTCTGCTATGCCTCAGAACACAAATCAATCAACTCCTCCTCCCACTGCTTCTTTAAGAACCTAACAGTGGGTCAACCCATGGCTGGACCTAAGCCCTACTCTCCAGAGATGGAACATGACTCTGAATGGCCTCCTTGAAGGAGATACAGGCTGCATGCCTGAGCATTCCTGTAATAGCCATTGATTTGGGCTCACTCAATCCTGGAGGAATCCAAACCAGCCAGTGCCACCTAGACTTTCTTAATTGAGACTCTTCTTTCAGTAATAAAATAATTTTCTTCAATGTTCATTGCTCCCTTCTTTAAATTTCCTCTCCTAGACCATACATAACACCTCCATCTCTCTGCACTCCTTCTATGTATTAAATTGTCACATCTGCTTTCCCTGCCAGAATGCTGTAGTTTCTACTTCTAGGCACACTCATCTCTCAGTAACAGCAATATTTTTCTGATACTTGCCTCTTTGCCAGAGAGTTAGGAATACCCTTGCGAGTGGTAACCAAGAAGACATTCCTAAAGTATCTAGTCATTTGTCACAATTTAGAATCTTGAGAAATTCTGTTCAGATTCTAAGAGTGAGAAAATTCAAATATCACAGAGAGGATATCAGAGATGCTAGAGTACCAGGCCTCAAGATTTGACGGGAAATCTGTAAGACTCAGCTGTCTCTTAGAAATCTGTGCACTCTCTGCACCTAAGAAGGTGACATGAGCAATAGAAACTGTATGCCTACATATATGCCTATGTAACAAACCTGTACAATCTGCACGTGTATCCCAGAACTTAAAGTGAAATTAAAAAAAAAAAACACCTAAGGCCTGAAACTATAAAAATTCTAGAAGATAACACTGGAGAAACCCTTCTAGACATTGGAATAGGCAAGGATTTCGTAACTGAGAACCCAAAAGCAAATGCAATAAAAACAACAGCACAATTCACATTTGCAAAATCATGGAACCAACCCAAATGCCCATTAATCAATGAGTGGATAAAGAAACTGTGAGATAGATATATATATCATATATAGATATAGATATAGATATCATATATCTAGATATATCATATATATCTAGATAGATATATCATATATATCTAGATAGATATATCATATATATCTAGATAGATATATCATATATATCTAGATAGATATATCATATATATCTAGATAGATATATCATATATCTCTAGATAGATATATCATATATCTCTAGATATATATATGATGGAATACTACTCAGCCATAAAAAGGAATAAATTAACAGCATTTGCAGAGACCTGGATGAGATTGGAGACTGCTGTTCTAAGTGAAGTAACTCAGTAATGGAAAACCAAACATTGTTATGTTCTCACTGATATGTGGGAGCTAAGCTATGAGGACACAAAAGCATAAAAATGATACAATGGGCTTTGGGGACTTGTAGGGAAGAGTGGGAGGCAGATGAGGGATAAAAGACTACAAATATGATGGAATGTATCCTGCTTGGGTGATGGGTGCACCAAAATCTCACAAATCACCACTAAAGAACTTACATAACCAAACACCACCTGTACCCCAATAACTTATGGAAAAATAAAATTAAATTAAAATTAAAAATATATATGAAATAAAATTAAAAAATAAAAAGACAAAAAAAAAAAAAGAAAACTGTATGCCTAAGAGACTGATTGATTAGCCACTCCCCCCAGGAAGGCAAAGAGAGTAGTCAAAAGATTAGAGACAAACATGTTTAGTCGGGGTCACAGAAAGGAAGCATCAGGCTGCCATCCAAAGCCCAGGACATTACTTTGTACAAGGAGGCTCCTCACAGAGAGGACAGGCAACTTCAGAAATGCTTAGCAATCACTCCCATGGGTCCCATGGACCTGGAACAACCCCAGGGGAGCTTTCACAGTACAGTATTTCTTTCATTATCTATCTTCAACAGTACTTGATAAGAAAAATTAAGTCACTCAGTGGAGGCTGAATGAAGGACACAATGACATTTAAATCCTTCAGCCCTGGGCAGGTCCAAGCTTCTTTGCCAGGAAAGTGTGAGCCAAACAGCTAGAGTTTCCTGGGAATAAGATTATTTCCTCAAAAGGCCTTCTTTCCTTAGGTGAAAAGCTCTTTAGTATGCATGCCACAAACAAACCCCATTCTCCACTTGGGTCTAGAGAAACCTGCAGAGCTACTCATACTAATGCAGAAGCCTAAAGCCATTAGAAGAGATTCATATTCAACTCCGTAGAAATGATGCTTGTTGTTTGACATAAAACTATCAAAAAACATCTTTCCATCTATTATGTTGTCATAAAAATATTACTTTAATAAAGCTCTTTACCCCAGAGATATAAAATATAAGGCAAAAAATGAATTTGATTTTATAAAAATTAAAGATTTTTGCTCAACAAAAGATGTCACGGTCAAAGTTAACAGAGTCATGACAAATTTGGAAAAGATATTTGCATTATCTAAAACTGACAAGAGACTCCAGCAATCAACATGAAAAAGACAGGAATCTCAATAGAGAATAGGCAAAGAAAAGTTAATTTACAGAAGATGCATCATGAAAAGTCAATATCTAAAGAGAAGCATTAGTAAAAACATGTAAATTAAAGCAATAATGGGAGATCACTTTATACCCATAGGACAAGCAAAAAGTAGAGAGCTGGATAATGCTGTGCTGGCAGAAATACAGGGATGGAGGAGCCCTCATCACTGCTGGGGAGAAGGAAGACTTGAAAGCCATTCTGGTGAGGAATTGGCTGCAGTTGATTAAAATAACTGTATAATTTTGCCCTTTTAACCTATTAATTTTAATCCTGGATATATATGCTACCCCAAATTATCGTACACCTCTGTAAAGGGACAAGTACCAGGATGTTTGCCACAACACCACTTTTGGAGCAGGATATCAAAGGCAATCCAAGTGTCCAACACTGAGGAGTAGATAGATCAAATAAAATGGATGCACCCCATAGTAGACTATGCACAGAGGAAAAAAAAGATGATGTTAGTAGAAAGAAGAAGATCTCTGTCGCAGTACAATGTAAATTAAAAAATAATGCACACAAAATATGACACACATTTTACAAAATATAAAAGCAAAGGGATCACACCAAACATGCACTTGGTCACATATGGAAGAGTGGGTAAAATAGGAATAGGAAATCGGGATGAAAACGAACAAGCAACATTAAAAAGTTCCTTGTTCTCATAAAAAGAGCTAGTTTTTATAAAGAACTCTGTATGCTTGGAATTTTTACAAGAGAACATTCTGAAAATCTAGTCAAAAAGGGCAGTGAGATGGAAGGAAATAGAGCAGTCTTGTTTCTTTTAATTCAACGACTTTCAGGTTATTGACTGTAATACAAATCAAGTCAGAACTGGTAAGCTTTGACATCCTTGATGTTTCTGAAAATCAAAGTAAAAAGAGCCTTTTCTTGCCATTTTCTCATTTACTCAAACATTATTAAGTGTCCCTTACATGTCTTCAGGTCTATGTGGGATGCTCCTCTTTTGGCTGCTACCTCGTGAAGCCTCAACACTGACAGAGAAATCCAAGAGCTGCCTGGCCCCCACTGCAAGGCTCATAGCCTGGGCCCTGCAACTTATGCCCAAAGTAGAAATCTGAGGAGTACGCTCCGCAAACACCTTCCCTTATCCCTGCTTATTCTCAGCACAGTTCAGCATTATATGTCTCCCATGAAGCTCTTAGAAATACTCCGAGAATCTGCTGATTTCTTAAACACAGCAGAATTTTTTCTCCCATGGTGCTGGAATAACATGTGCTAGGATACTGGAGAATGAGGAAGCCACTTCTTTTTCAGCCCTTTTTCTTCTCCCTTCCCTAAACTCATCCTAGATGAAGAAAAACATAGTTTGAAAAAGCAGATATATGTCAGAATCAAGCAGGAGGGAAGAGTCTTTCTCTCCTTTCTGCATCCCAGAGCGCTCCTGAGCCTAAAGAACTAAGAAAAAGGAAAGAAGAAAAGACAGCAGGGTATTATCCCACCCCCAAAGGCTATCTACTCTGTAGTAAACTTTTGCCTATTTAATCGTTTATGAAACTTTAAACTCAGGAAAGAAAATTCGATTTATACTTAAATCTTCTCCGTAAGCACTACTCAGTCATCCCTGTTTAATGGAGTTCATTAGCTGGTGTTCAGTTCTATGTAGGATTCCTCTTTCCATCGAGAAACAGAAATTGAGTGTAGTAATTACAATTGAGAGCTAAGTTAAGAAATGTAGATGTATGCTTGAAGTGAAATATTTTATTGTGCTGGTCAGTGGTACATGAATTATTCAATAAGTAAAACATAAATATCATATAGGCTAGCAAAAAAAAAAGAGCACATGAAGATTAATTTTAGAAATGGATATTTTAGCCCAAATTCAAACCTCTTCTTAATTTCCTCAATAGAAAATTAGTTCTCCATAAGAATCTCATTCCTGATAAATTATGTTTTGTGTGCTGCCCAAGATTTCCAATGATACATATTTTATAATCTTAGGTAGGAAACTGAAGGACTTAGGGGCACAGATAAAGTTCACCTCTCGTCTAGTTTTAAGTCATGGCTTTGGAAGAAAAAGATATGTCAGAAATGAAGGGCTAAGCTAAAAATATAGTCATAAGATGAGGATTTGGTCGTCTGGAACTGACCTATTAGAACGAGGGTCTCAGGATCAGATTCTTCAGAAACCTCTATACTGAAAGGGCAAAAGGAGAAAAAGAAGCCACAGCGAAGGAGCCCCAAGAGATGTACAGGAAGAGTTAAGAGAGTATATCATCTCAGGCGTCAAGGCATTGCAAGGAGTAGGAAGTCAAAGGGGGCAGACAGGCATCAGGGAATGAAAAATTAGAAAATTACACTGAATTCAACAGCTTGGGGGTCACTTTAAGAGAGTAGCCTCTGTAGAGTAAGACACAGAGCTGAAGGGATGGAGGATAACGTGCAGAGTGGGAAGCTGATGATTTATGAGTGTTAATACTGTAATTTCACCTCTCAGGAGGTAGAAGAGACAATGATGATGACAGTAAGAGTAACCACCACTTAGTGGGTACTTGCTGTGGACCAATAACTGTGCTAATTGTTTAATGCTTATTATATACTCATTAATTCAATAAATATTTATTAAGGACCCTTGCCTCCAACAATATCCCAAATTCATCCACTTTTCATCATGCCCGCTGTGGCCACACAAGTCTAAATTCCCTGTTTTGCAGTAGTTGAAATTTTCAGTTCCAACTTCTACAAAAGCCTCCATTGCCTCCACCCCATCCTCTCAGTGCATTATCTACAACAGCAGCCAAAGTGTTTAAACTAAATTAGATCAAATCAAAACCCCTCCAATGACTTCAATTTCATTGACATAAAACCCAAACTTCTTCAAAGCCCTGTGTGCTCTGGCCCCAACTTTTCTCTCCAACCCCATCTCCTACTAGTCTCTTTTCTTTTTCCCAATGCTCTAACCACACTGGCCTTCTTGTCACTTCTTGAACGTACCAAATTTATTCCTGCAGATAAAATATTTAGAAGTCAGGGTAAATAAGCAGAGACAGATGCCATGAATGGTACTAAGAAGGCCACAATCCAGAATGATTTCAAGATTTTTTTGACATTCCTTTCCCTAAGGTGGTATTGAAATGTGATGGTTAAGATGTCGGCTTCTGACACTGGGTAATCTGGATCCAAATTCTGGCTCTACTACTCATTGGCCATCTGATGTTGGTAACCTACTTAACCTCTCTAAGCCTCAGTTTGAAATAACAAAACCTCTTTAAAGAAAATAATGGGAGGTGTCTATTATTTTACTCAGAATATTAAATTAGAGAATGCAAATAAAACACTTTGCATATATGCCTTGCTATAAATATTAGCAATAGCATATTTAATGTTATTTAGCCTGAATAATTACATTTAATAAATACTTATTGAGCACAGTTTTGCACTCTATGCTGAACTCTGGGAAAAGGATATTTGCCCTCATGGAGCTTATAGTTTGTATTTTTTATGGGGGAGGGATTTTTAAATATTATATGCAATAGAAAAAGAAAAATAAGTTCATGATCTGTTCTCTGATGTAGAAAGATGTTATAATGTTCACAGATATTAGAGGAAAAAACTGAACTCAGTTTGATTTATCAAGAAGCACAATCAATTTTCAAAGGGCAGAAAATTAATTGAGAAGCTTACTTGATGTTCAAAACCCAATCATCCCTTGAAGACTACTATGTGACAGGCACACAGTACAGAGACGACCAAGAAAAAAGGAGCTCTACTTAAGAAGTTCAAAACATAAGGAGAAAAATAAAAAAATTGTTGCAATGCAATGTGTCCAGCCAGTGCTGTAACAGAGGAAACAAAGGGTAGTATAGGAACCCTGAGGAAGGAGCTTGAGCTGAGTCTTGAAGGACACAGAAGGGCTTCATCAAATGAGCAAGCAGAGTGGGTTCCCAGCAGAGGGACATGTGGCAAGAGTTTGACAAATTGATACTTAGAGGTGAAGATTAAAATATTTAACAGCCATTATGCGGTGGGTGCCAACTGACACTAGCATTCAATAGGCAATACAGTTGCACCAGTACTATTACACAAATGTGAGCCACATGCTTGGAGTTGATGGGGCTACCGGAAAGAGCCACACTCAGTTGTTTGAGCTTTCCCAAGCTAAGTCTCAGACATCTAAGAGACGAGCCCATCTCTACTACTTCCTCTATGAATTCGTAATCCACAGAATCAGTCAGCACACACACACACACACACACACACGCACACACAAATAGTGCAGTTTTATGCCACCAGCTTTAGGGTAGTTTGCTATGCAGCAACTATAACTGAAACACACCACATAACAGACTGGAACACAGCAGAATAACACAACAAAATGGACATGTCCTCAACATAATCTAAGAATACCAGGCAGATTTTAAGCTGTGGAGAGGGTAGGATGAGCTGAGAATATGAAATTTTTTAAGGAACATATGATGAGAAATGAGAAATTACATTTCCCCATGTTAAGAAAAATATGGATCAATTATGAGTTTAATGGCATGCCAATAAAGGGATGAGGAATTAGAAAATGAAAAGTGTGCCTTGAAAAAAGAATTATTGCATAAAAAGGAGAAACAGTATGAGGGAAAAGAGCTAAATGACTCAAAAGATATCATAGTGTTTGGGAACTCTGCTGGCAGCTTCTAACCTTGTGAAGACTAACTTCCTAGTTAATATCTGTGCAAATTAAGTGATGAAATTCAGTTAAACTGGTCTATTTTTGATAATGTGTTTACAATGATTTTTTTTAAGTCTAGCAACTCTCTACTACTTCAGGTAAATAAAAATCAAATTTCATTTTATTAAAGGAAGACTTCTACAATTATAGCAGCAAATACTTTGAGACTTGTCAAAATTATGCTGGCATAAGCACACTTCCAATGAACAATAAAAGAAAAAGCTGTTGGAAAAGAAAGTTTATAAACTGCTCATGAGGGAAAGTTTTTTTGAAAATTTTTTCACAGTGGTCTTCTTTAACAGTAGAGAAGAACATTCTAGTACCCCAAACTCCTCTAAGTGACAATATTTTCTATGTCTATTTGCTATCTAAAGGACAGTCTAGGGATAAAATTCTTCATCATTGCTTTGAACCAACTAAAAAGTTTCACATTTTGTGAGTTCAATAGGATTGAGAAAATGTCCAAAAATAGGTGTTTATATTTCCAGCATAGCTTATTTCCCCATAAAATGATAGAATAGATTCTTAGCTCAGCCACAATATAGCTTTCCATCTCCCTCTCACTATGACTTGAAAAACTCAATTATCTCAATGTCTGATATGGTCTGGGTCAGTTCTGTAATTACAGCTAAACTCAAAGTTCTAGCAGGTTCTGCAAACAAACACTGATAATTCTAAGGGTAAGGTTAAAGCTTTATTTCTTACTTTTAAAAAATATATATCCCCTATTTGGCTGCTGGAAGATGAAAAATATGGCAAAGACAGGTATTTAAAGGACCATACAATAACCACAAAAATTAAAAACAATTATTTTAATGACCTGGTGCCCCTGTTCTAGAGTCCACTGATTCTTGTAACTCTTATGTTCCACCAAAATCTACTCTATTCATTAACTTTTTGAGGAAATTGCTCTCATTCAATAGGGTTACCAAATAAAACACAAATATTGCATGGGACATACTTATACTAAAAAAATTATTCTTTATTTATCTGAAATTCTTACATAAATATGCATCCTGTAGTTTTGTTTTCTAGGTTCAGCAAGTACATGGAATATTACTGGAAGGACTCTTGTCCTTTCCCAGGAACCCTTCCCCTCCCTCCTGGGGATATCTAGGATTTTGACACTAATCTTGTTACCGCAGAGCTATACTAGAAGTTCAAACAAACAAAATCTATGTTACTCACATATAAAACCTTCAGTGTCCAGGTTTCATAGAGACAGGGATGTTTCCGGAGCTGTCTAGGTGTTTAACTCCTCCCTTCCCACTCACCCACACAGACACACACAAACACACACACACACACACACACACACACACACACACATAACACACAGAGGTAATAAGCTAATGTTCACCTCATTTTCCCCTCCAACAAGACAGAGTAGATCTTGTAAGCAGGAAGAAAAGCTGCTTCTATATGTCCCAGCACAATGGCCCTCCTGTGAGCACCATACAGGCTCCTTGGCCTGCACCATCATTGTCTGCTTTATTGGTTGCTTCCACTTGATAGGCCATGTCATTGTATCATTGAACATCCACATAAATAGACTCATGTTTATGCTGTAATTAAAAGGGAACAGTTTGGGTTACTGGAACAAGTCTCTCCTTGTCGCAGTTTTTTGCACACCAGCTAGAGAAGATCTCTGATCTACGCTGGGTCATTTTTCTCCTACTTAGTCCACCAAATCCCCAGCTGCTGGCTCAGGCCCACCCGTTGATTAGTACTGTCCTGTATGATACTCTTGTTGCGGTTAAAAGGAATTAACAGTCCTCTAGTCTAAACCCCGTGTTTGACAAACAGGGCTCTTGAAGTCCAGAGAGGTGATGTAACACATGGCGACCACGGAGATATTTAGCAGCCTGTACTGGACAAGGTCCCAGGTCTTCCAGCCATTCAGTGTTCTTTCCAGCACCACCCTGTGCCTCCCTCAACAACATACCTTTATCTAAGGCAGAACTGACAAAGTCGAGTCCGAGGAAAATAATTCTTGCTAGGCAGTATTATAGGAAATTGCTTTATAAAACAGACAATTAATTTGCTCACTTATAACAAATGACCATGTCCCTTGTGGAATAAATACTAACTCCTATCTAGAGCAGGGTTAGCAAACTTTTTCAATAAAGAGCCACACACTATCTGTGTGTCTCACTCAAATCTCCCTTTAGGAGAACCTGCTGTGAGGAACATAGCTTATTAAGAGGCTCCAACTGCCACATTTTTCAGTCCACCAGGAGGCATCATTTGCCCCATAACCACATTCTCCTAGGGCTATTCTCAGCCCATAACTGAATATGCTGGGGGTACTACAGTGGGCCATTTCTGTCTAACATGAGATTACTCTAAAGCAAAGGGTGGAAACTTTTCTATAAAGATCCAGATAATTAATATTTATATTTTTCCATCCACATGTTCTCTGTTGCAACACTTTAACTCTGCCAGTTAAGCATGAAATCAGTCATAGGCAATATGTATATGAATAGATATGACTGCATCTCAATAAAACTTTAATTACAAAATCAGGTAGCAGGCCAGATTTGTCCCATGGGCCAAATAGTTTGCCAACCCTAGCTTGAAAGAGCTCAGGGACTACCCCTTGACCTGGCAGAACATTTCTCAGAACTGTGCATGATCTGAGGCTCTTCCTACTCAGTCTTTCCCTCCATCTCTCCTTTCACTTCTTTCAGACCTGTCCACTCCTGCTCTCTACCTACTCCTCCTCCTTCCAGTTCTTATTCTTCACAGGTGTTTCACTCAATAAAATCTCTTGCATATTTCATTCCATGTTGGTATCTGCTACTTTGAAGATGCAACTGGCACTCCTTGTATTTATTTTAAATGTGATTGGCTGCCAGTAGATTCTGTGTAAGTTAGGAATAAAATGAGACACAAAGTAAAAATTGCTGCATTGGTCCCATTCAAGAAAAAAAAGTAACTAAAAATAAAATGATATACGTAAGTTAAATATATTATAAGGTGTGAAAGAGGGAGAGAGTATAATGTCATAGAAATTATAAAGGACTGCCCTCAAAAGATCTGGGACAAGCTCTTGCTTTGCCTTTTTCTAGCCCTATGGCCTTCACTCTTTAAACTCATCTCAGAAATGGCTTCATCCCACATTGCCTGCCTCACAGGATTATCAAAAGCAAATCACTAGCATTCACGTCATCACCTGTGTTTGTTATCACATTTGAATAGTTGCACCTCTTTTTATCCCTAGTTAGAGCCACATCATTTCATTGAGGAGCTGAATTTTTTATTTTATAGGAAATTTAAGGTTATTCCCTGTAGAGGTATAACAAAGCCTACGTACACTTCAAATAAGTTATCCTGGCTGGCCCTTGTCCTTAGTTGGAATATGATGATAATGCAGCCAATGTGGCAAACTTGATCCCCTCATTGACCAATTTACTTTGAACTGAGGACAAACAAGGCATGTCTCACCTGTGTCAACAGGCCTACTTCCAAAAGGAACAGATAAACCATCACCATTACAGAAATAAATACTCAAATTTCATCTTCTTTCTACAGTGGACTGACTAATAATGCCATCTTTTAATCTACCAGGCTCAAACCAAAGATTTCTCAGTGGCCCCTCCAGACTGAAATGGACTGGTATGAGTTACCCTTGATATGAAAGGAGGCAAGAGAAATAACTGAAAATATCCTCGAGTTTGGGTTTATTAGAGAGAGAGGCACAGAAGACAACAACCAGATTCATTCTGTACCTGTGTGATTTTCAACAGTCAACATTAGCGTATTGGTGCAGGATATGTAAGATAACTCCTTTGTCAAGAGATTGGAGTGACAATAACAGACTCAAGGACTCAAAGTGTAAAAAGAATCATACGAAAGGAGAAAGGTAAAAGGCTAAGAAAAGGCTTTCAAGAATACATATTAAATTGTGAGAAATAAATGTAAATCTATAAATCAGTCACAAAGTTTACTTATCATTTATTCAAAAATATTAATCACCTACTGTGTGCTAGCCGCTGCTCAAGATACAGAGATGTTGGGGTGACCAAGATAGGCAAGAGTCTGCTTACATTTCATCATGAGAAGATAGCCCAAAAAAGCAACCCATACTTAATTATTACTTTTAGAGGTTGATAACAGCTAAGAAAATAAACCCAAGTAAAACAAGACAGAGAGAGGAAAGGCGAATTTGGATAATGTGATTGGGAAAGTGTCCCAGAAGCAGTCACTTTTAAGCCTAGACACAAATGAAGAGAAGAAGACAGCCACAGGACACCCTGGGGGAAGAGGTTTGTGTATAAAGGAAATGGTAAGTGCAAAGGCCCTGAGGCAGGCACAAGCCCAGAAACAGAAAGAAGGCCTGTATGCCTGGAGCTTAGTGAACCAAAAAAGTAGTGTGAAATAAGATCACAGGGTAGGCAGGGGCCAGATCTGGCTTTCGAGGTCATAATAAGGAGCTCAGATTATTCCAAGTGAAATGGGAAGCCATTGGAGACTTTTATCATCAGATTAATAGATGGAGATAAGCAGATCAACCAAAATGACTCCTTAAAGGTATAGACTTTCTCTTGCTTACTCCTCCATCCCCTTGACAACTAGTCAGTGCTTAAAACACATGGTGCGTTCTCATTAATGCACATTGCATTGAATTAAGAAAAACAATTTATGTCCATCTTGCACTGATCCTTATGAGCCCCTTAAGGGATATAATTTAAAAAAAAAATAATTTCAGTGATGAGAAAAATATCCGGTATTGTAATTTTCAGAAATATCTGTGAATGAATGAATGATGCAGATACTGAAATTGGAGAGTGGAAGACACATTTGCTAGACTGATTTCATCCTGGGGAGAAAGGGTACTTTTAGGATCCACTATAGCTAGTGAACAATTTTGAGAGAGAAAGGGAGCTGCTGTAAATCATGTTGGGACAACAGGTGTGAAGTGGGACTATCTTGAATACTCCACAACATATGGTCACCCTGAATATAGTTTCTATTAAATAAATCTCCCCAAATCGTCAACTCTATCCACTGTTCATTAGCTCCAGACTTAAAAGAAAACTTCTGATTACTATTTTCTTAACTTACTTTGTTTTCAAACCAAGCTAACAAGAAGAACATTAATGTCTCGATCAATCCTTTAGTTAGAGATTAACATATGAATAAAACAGGTAGATTCTTCTCACTTCTTCCACTGAGATAGCAATGTGCTATTTTTCCCCCAAACTATTGTTTATTGATATATTAACCCAATCACAAAGTCAAGAATCATGGCATACTGTTCATAAAGTTATTTCACAATTATTAATGCATTTGAAATCAAGCCACCAGTCTAGTTTTTTTTTTATTTTCTCCTTTTAAAATAAGCCTCTGACCTCTCATTTTCAGGCAATACATTGTGGTTTATGATTTGTTTGTTTGTTTGTTTTCCCTTTGATGAAGACAGTGGTACAATATAGCACTTTATTATACTTTGCTTTCAAACATGAGTGATTTTCCTACAGTTTTGTCAGTTTCGGGAATGAGAAAATAGGTTTTGTCTAAACAAGTTCTCTAATAGAGTTATTCTGGTAGGCTGGATCCCTAGAATCATATGTATTTGCTTACATTTACTTTTCAGCTAAATTGCCAAAAAGCCTTGGCTTGTCAGAACAGAGCCTGAGCAAAAGGAAAGCTATGAAAGAGAAAACTAAAATGATAGAGTTGAAGTTTCCTATATGAGTTTGCGGTTTCCTCTATATTATTCTAAAGACTGGCATGGATCAAAGTGCAGCTTGAGGAATGGGGGATGCAAGAGAGTATACCTGCCCGGTGCAGCCTCGCAGAAGCTTGTTAAATTGAACTCCAATGCGGTAAGTTCAGCTTCACAAAGTAATGTGACTACCGAGGAATCTGGAGTTTCCCAAAGGCCACAGTTGTCCTCTAGTTACACACAGCAGGAGATGCCTGTTAATTCTCTGTGTCAGTTCTGTAGAAATGGAAACCAATCATGTCTTGAAAGTGACCCCACCATTTCTGCCCTAAACATCACAAGATTCGTTCTGTTTGGGGACATTTGCAATAGCTGATTCATCTACCTGAAACATCTTCCCCCAAATCTTCATGTGGCTGACTCCCTTTCTCCATTCAGGTCAGATTTTATCTCCATTGAGCAGCCTTTCCCAACATTATTCCCACTCATTACCCTCTTTTTTCTTGTTAGTAGCACATGTGTCTGTTCACTTACATGTCTATGCATGAACCACATGTTCTCTTCACCTTGCCGCAAACATTCACACACTCCCAACTTAGCTCTCCGAAGGAGGAAACTTATCTGTCTTGTTCACTCTTATAACCCTAATGTCTGGAGCACTGCCTGGCACAGGGTAGTGTACAATAAAACTTAGATAAATGATAAATGAATAAATGTATGTCCTTCAGGGTCAACATCCTGAGACCTTCTGCAATAGGTATCCCAGGTCCCTTCTTGCTAGAGCACCTGCTAGCTGCTGCCATCACTCTGGCACTGAAGCACTGACTATCTTGAATTCTGACCTACCTATTTTCATATGTCCTTGTCCTATCTTTAAACAACTAACTCATGGGCAACTCGGGACCACATGCTATGTCTGGTCTTCCAATGTCACATTATGTTTGGGTGCTGAAGTAACTACTTCCCTTTCTATATTGTATTTCATGTACCCTCAAACCACTTCTGATTCAACTATGTACACCTGCATCCAGCAATAGAGCCAATCAGGTTAGAGTGCTAACTGTATGTCTGTTGAACCACAGTTCTATTCCTTTAACCACTTGTTCAGTGTATGGTTTAAATATCTGTTCCCTCCAAAATGTATGTTGAAATCTAATTGCCATCTTAACAGTATTAAGAGGTGGGGTCTTTTAGAGGTGAGCTGGCCATTGAGGGCTCCACACTCATCAGTGTGATTAATGCTGTTATGAGTGGCAAGTCCGGCCTTCTTTGCCTCTTTGCCCTTCCACTTCCACCTTCTTCTTCTTTTTTTTTTTTTTTTTTTTTTTGACAGAGTCTTGCTCTGTTGCCCAGGCTAGGGTGCAGTGGCACAATCTCAGCTCACTGCAAACTCTGCCTCCCGGGTTCAAGTGATTCTTCTGTCTCAGCCTCCCAAGTAGCTGGGACTACAGGTGCACACCACTACACCCAGCTAATTTTTGTATTTTTAGTAGAGATGGGGTTTCACCATGTTGGCCAGGCTGGTCTCGAACTCTTGACCTCAGGTAATCTGCCCGCTTTGGCCTCCCTTCCTGGGATTACAGGCATTAGCCACTGCACCCGGACTGCCCTTCAAACTTCTGCCAGGTGATGACACAGCAAGAAGGACCTCACAGATGCTAGCACCTTGATCTTGGACTTCTCAGCCTCCAGGACTGAGAAAATAAATTTCTCTTCATTATAAATTACCCAGTCTCGGGTATTCTGTTATAGCAGCACAAAATGGACTGAAACACTCAGCATGGTAGATAGTAATGCTTCTGAAAGAAATATTCTTATTGCATTCCAAAATAATCCATTGTCTTCTAATTGGGAAAATCAAGAAGAGGTATTATACAATAAGAAAGCAAAGAAATGGTATTTTCCTTGAGAAGCTCTAAAGTTAAATATGAGTCTAATAAAACCGGTCTTTAATGGCATTCATTTATCCAGGATCAATTAAAGTCCTTTATTCTCTCATAGATAACAAAAGCAAGCTAAATTTTCTCATCTAGCAGGCTGTCTGTCATAGGCCCCTTGCAGTCCCACCTCCAATTGGGATGTGTGCTTACCGAGAGTATAATATATTTGTTCCCAAATCCTTTTTTTGCCAGTTATTATTATAATGGAACAATTTAATTAAACATTTGGTAAATTTATAAAATACGAATGAGAAAAAAAATTTTGTTTACATAAAAAAGTTAAAGACACTCAATAAATATCTTTTAAAAATCTCTGTTCAATTAAATCCAGTGAGATAATTATAAATAATCAAGGAAATTTTGTAAGAATCTAGAATTCTGCCCTCAAACTGTTTCACGAATGTCTTTAAGTTCTCCAATTTAAAGAAATTGGAACTGGAAATTGCAGGACATATATTTTGGGTATGGCTATTTCAAAAAAATAAAACTATACTAAATAGCCTTAACCCTGCATCAAAAGATGGCAGGTGAATATTCATGTGTATGGTGATCAAATAAAATTAAGATACATGCATGTCATTTTCTGGTATCCTCCACATTGACAGGCTTTTTGATCATCTTCCTAGCTAGCAGTACTAATCACAGTTTACATTAATATTTTTTGGTTATATGCAACAGGGATCAACTCTGTCCACTTAAGTCCAAAAAATGAATTGATTAGAAGAAAATGGATTACTCATCAAATCAAAAGAAAACCTGACAACCAGGCTTTAGAAATGACAGAAACCAGGAAATTTTCAGTGATCTGGAGAGAAACACCTACAGAATGGTATAGTCAGGGAGACACTGAGATGATTATTCAGTCCTAACCATTTTGTCTCCTCTATTCTAGATACAAATTTTAAGGTGAGAAACATTGCTTGTCTTAAATTGCATGTACTCTTTCACCCCTTGGAATGAGAAGGTCAGATATATTGACTAAGAATCCAACTTATATTGCATGCGATAGAAAAAACTAATTATCCAAAGGTAATGGAGGTGCTACTATTAGAAGGGGAAACATATTCTGGGAAGAAAAATAGATCAAAAGTCCAGTGGTTAAACATCCATTCAATGGCAGATGAGAGGAAAGACATTCTTTAATGCACTCCACGGTAGTTCCTCAGAATTATTTCTTTCATGCAACAAATACTTACTGAGCAGGTTCTCTGTGCCAGGCACTGTGCTAAGTGTCAGGGATCTAATATAAAGACATAGTCCTTGACCTACCAGGGCTTACAAGCCAGTGAAAGAGCATCCTGAATCAGCAGACATTACAATGTAATGTGGTGGAGATGTTCAAGATAAGGAATGAAACCCCTGGGAAGAGCACTCCTAACCCAGCCTGGAGATCTCAAGGAAGGCTTCCCAGAGGAGCTAAGATGTGAACTGAACCTTATGGCTGTTTTGGAAGGATGAGGCTATATTCCAGATAGAGGGGATACAGGAAAAGCCAAAATAATAAATGTTATGAAATAAAATAAAGCATAGAGAGAAGATAGAGAATGTTGAGTTAATGGGGGAGAGGGCTACTACTTTTTCAGATAAGGTGGTCAGGGAAAGTCTCATTAAGAAAGGGACATTTGAGCTGTTGCCTAACAAGGGTGACGAAGTGAGCCATGTAGATATCCCTGGGTAGAGTGCTCTAGGTAAAAATAGCAGGAAAAGTACTGAGGTGGGAGCATGCCTGGAAATTTCTACTTGGCTCTCTGTTGTCAATTCAACTAATATAAAACTGGTCTTATTGTTTCTCCTCTATGCCATCCCACAAACTTGTTCATCTTCCAAGGTTCCCTGGTTTAATAAATGGCACCAAAGCTAATCAATCCAACAATCTAAGAGTGATTCTTGACTCTCTCCTCTTTCTCTCTTCCATTATCTAGTCCTTGCCAATCTTAGTTTATCTACCTTCTAAATTTCTCTCAAATCTGTTCATATCTCCCTTTGTCCACATCCTTGTCAAAGTCACCATCATTGTTCTCTTGGATGTTACAATGGACATCATAATCACTCTCACTACCCCCTTCCAATTCACACAGCAGCCAGGATGCATTTTCAAAGATGCAGACTAGATCATGTCAATTACTTGTAAAAACAAAGCAAATTAGAAACTCTAAAGGCTTTTCATTGCCTATAGAATTAAATTCCAAATCTACGACATGGTTTATGAGGACATTTGGCTCCCTCCTGCCTTTTCAAACTCAACTCATGCCACGTCCTTCCCTGTTCACAATGGTCTACATTAAATTTTCAGTCTGTCAAACATACCACATTCTCTTTCACCTTTAAGGCTGTAATGTGTTCTTCTCTGTGCCTAGAACTTTCTCTTCACTTACGGCAGCTCCATCACCTTCACCTAGACAACCCTTCTTTATACCGTAAGACTTAAGCTTAAACAAGTCCTTCTGGGAGTCTCTGGTCACTTCCACCACATTCTGTATTTCTCCTCTCACAATACTCATCACATGAGGCTGTACACTACTGTACTTATGTAAACCATGTGGTAGGTTTCTGTCTTTACAGTCTTACAGGATGCTCCCCTGAGGAACAGAACCCCAAGAAACTTTCTCTATTTTGATCATGGTTTGCAGATATTTGCTCCTCACTTCTCTGCAGTTCACATCAGAAGTCCTAATTGTGACCATGGATGACCATGAAAGGAGAAGCTTCACCCCTGTCTATAGAAGTAACCAACTCTTAGTTCTCCAGTCCCTTCTTGTGTCCTACATACTGAATATCAGTGTTCTTTCTTCTCTGCCTAGTTCTTCTGGTTCTTCAATATAGAGGGAGATTCTGATCCTGTGAATGGAGAAAAAACAATGATTGCCCCTATTGGAGCTATTTTTCCACGGAAAATCCATTATCCAACACTGTCCTAAAGATTACTTTTCTTTGGAAAATTTTCCACTTGCAGGACTTAAACTTGGAGTTAAATATCACATTAAAATTTCAAGCTAAATTAACAAAAGAATAGAAATAGACTAAAAATTCCAAACCAGAAGAGAGAAAAAAGTTGAATGCACAAAGTACACTTAATCATTTTTTAAAAAAGAAGAAAATAGAAAAGAACATAATCTTCATAACCTTGAATTTACCAATGGGTTTTTAGGTATGACACCAAAAGCATAAGTAACAGAGGAAAAAAAAAGATAAATTGGACCTCATCAACATTAAAAAGTTTTGTGCATCAAAAGATATTATCATGAAAGTGAAAAAACAACCTACAAAATGAGAGAAAATATTTGCATATCATGTTTCTGATAAAGGTCTAGTACCCAGAGTACACAAAGAACTCTTACAATTCAACAACAAAAAGACAAACAGCTCAATATAAAAAATGGGCAAAGGTTTTGAATGGATGTGTCTCCAGAGAAAACATACAAATGGCCAACAAGCACAGGAACAGATGTTCAACATCATTTGCATTTGGGAAATGCAAAATGCAGATACCAGTTCACAGTTACCAGGGTGGCTATAACTGAAAAATAAAAAATAACAAGTGGTCTTTGGGACTCCTTTTGCATCCATTGAAGTACAGAATCAGAAAAAAAAATAAATTGTAATCCTTATACATAGTTACTGGAAATGTAAAATAGTACAGCTACTGTAGAAAACAGCTTGACATTTCCTCAAATGTTGAACATAGCATTACCATATTACCCAGCAATTCCACTCCTAAGGATATACCCCAAAGAATTGAAAACAGGTATGCAAACAAACACTTGTACATGTAATTTCATAGAAGTACTATTCACAATAATCAAAATTTAGAAGTAATCCAAACGTCCACCAACAGATGAATGAATATGAAACCACCATCACAAAATTATAACTGAGAAAATCATTACAGTGAGAGAGATCTGGCCTAACCAACTTCATCTTGTTTCTACTCTCCAAGCTGTCCTGCCTGAGGACTAGACTTCCTTTGTAGGACTAACACAGTAGCCACAAGATTAGAAATTACGGTTTAGGTGTCATGCAGCTAGAGGCTACAGAATTCTGATCCTCCTCCCCAGATTGCTCCTGGAGGGTATAACATCACTATTGTAAAACCTAACATCAGTGCTAGAGATATTTTGCAGACCTTGCATTGATGGATCAGTTGGCACCACCCAGGTCAATAAACTGGCTCATCTGGTCTTGTAGTCCCTACCCAGGAAATGACTCAGTGCAAGAGGATAGCTTCAACACCCTATCATTTCACCTCTGACCCAGCCAATCAGCACTACTGACTCACTGGCCCCTATCCACCAAATTGTCCTTAAAAACCCCAAATCCTGAATTCTTGAGGTGAATGATTTCAGTAATAATAAAACTCTGGTCTCCCGTGTAGCTGGCTCTACATAAATTATTTCTTCTCTATTGCAGTTTCCCTGTATTGATAAATTGGCTCTGTCTAGGAAGTGGACAAGGTGAACCCACTGGGTGGTTACAGATAAACAAAATGTAGCATATATATATATATATATATATATATATATATATATATATATATTCTACATTCTTCTTCATTCATATATATATATATATATATATATATTCTACATTCTTCTTCATTCCACAAGAAAACTCCATATCCATTAGTCAGTCACCCTCCACTTGCTCTTTCCCCCAGCCCCTGTCAACCATCAATCTGCTTTTTGTCTTGGTGGCCTGTTATACTTATTTCATATAATGGCATCATGCAATATGTGACTTTGGGTCTGGTTTATTTCACTTAGCATGTTTTTGAGGTTCATCCATGTTATAATGGGTAGCAGTACTTCATTCTTTTTTAGGGCTGAATAATAGTCATATATGACTATATATATAGTCTTATATATAGTCATATAGGACTATATATAGTCCTACATATATATAGTCCTATATATAGTCTCATATATATAGTCCTATATGACTGTATGTATATATAGTCCTATATGACTGTATGTATATATAGTCCTATAGGACTATATATATATATAGTCCTATATATAGTCTCATATATATAGTCCTATATATATATGACTATATATACAGTCCTATACATAGTCTCATACATATAGTCATATATATAGTCTCATATATATAGTATAGTCTCATATATATAGTCATATATGACTATTATTCAGACCTAAAAATGAATGAAGTACTGCTACCCATTATAACATGGATGAACCTCAAAAACATGCTAAGTGAAATCAACCAGACACAAAGTCACATATTGCATGATGCCATTATATGAAATAAGTATAACAGGCCACCAAGACAAAAAGCAGATTGATGGTTGACAGGGGCTGGGGGAAAGAGCAAGTGGAGGGTGACTGACTAATGGGTATGGAGTTTTCTTGTGGAATGACAAAAATGTTTTAGAACTTACTATAGGTGGTAGTTGCACAACATTGTGAATATACTAAATGTCACCAAATTGTCTAGGAGACACTGGAGAATCCTTATATATGTAATAAAGCATTGAAAACTGTAATATAATATGCAAATCAAAGGACAGTGATAATTTTATTATTAATCCCTTGTACCATATTGTATTAACGTTTGTAACTTATATCATATTAATGTTTGTATCTTATATTAATTCTCCTATTATTCAAAAATATAATTTTTGAAATTTATTTTACATTTAAATTAAAAACACTGTACTTCTTTCTCCCACTACTTCAAGCCTATCACCATTTACTTGGAGTCCTGGATGACCCACACTAGGCATTGCTACTCATTGAACTGTGCTATCTTTTAAGACTTGGGCCATCATTTTTCTGAGCTGACAACCGGGAAGGAACTTGGGACCAAATAGTTCAAAGAATATATTCAAACTGTTTCCCTTTAGAGAGTTCTAGATGAAATGATATTTTCTAACTAGCAGAAATGACAGATGATTACCAGGGTTAAAACATTTAGATTCTTGCTTTCCCCAAATGCAGTTCTACTTCTGGCTTTTCCCAAATGCAATGAAAATTGAGTTGAATTAGTCTTTATACAAACTGGGAAACATAGCCTCTACTTTAGTATTAAATTATATTAAAGAAAAAACTGTAAGTAGGTTTCTTTTTGAGGTTTTTCAATTTTTACATTTATTAAATGAACTAGAGTAGTAATTTTACTTCATGGGAAATACAATAACTATGATAGAAAAAGTTGTCTGGGAAATTGGGTTAAACTTGAACTATAAAAATCAGAACAATTTTGACTCTCAAACTCTAGATCATCAAAGCATTTCCCTACAACAAGTAAAACTTCAAAATATTTTTAAATTTGCTAACAAAAACTCAAGAAATGCTAATGGTTAAAACATCAACACTGAAATATTTATGCTAACACATCTCTGGTTAAGATATGGAAGCAGGAGAGATGGAAAAATTCATCAAAGTGTGCAATTTTAAACATGATAAAAGAAAGTCAGGATACCTAATTCTAACTAAATATAGAGAAATTAAACTCACTTCATTTTGTACCTATTTTTAAAGCAAAGAGACCTTGCTAGGTGGGGAAAAAAAAGTATGTCTAACACTATTTTTTTATTACAGTTTAAGTTCTGGGATACATGTGCAAGAACGTGCAGGTTTGTTACATAGGTATACACGTGCCATGATGGTTTGCTGCACCCATCAACCCGTCACCTACATTAGGTATTTCTCCTAATGCTATCCCTCCTGTAGCTCCCCCACCCCTCAACAAGTCCCTGTGTGTGATGTTCCCCTCCCTGTGTCCATGTGTTCTCATTGTTCAACTCCCACTTATGAGTGAGAATATGGGGTGCTTGGTTTTCTGTTCCTGTGCAGGAAACTCACAGTTTGCTGAGAATGATGGTTTCCAGCTTCATCCATGTCCCTGCAAAGGACATGAACTCACCCTTTTTAATGGCTGCATAGTGTATACGTGCCACATTTTCTTTATCTAGTCTATCATTGATGGCCATTTGCATTGGTTCCAAGTCTTTGCTATTGTGAACAGTACTACAATAAACATACGTGTGCATGTGTCTTTATCGTAGAATGATTTATAATCCTTTGGGTATATACCCAATAATGGGATTGCTGGGTCAAATGGTATTTCTGGTTCTAGATCCTTGAGGAATTGCCACACTGACTTCCACAATAGTTGAACTAATTTACACTCCCACCAACAGGGTAAAAGCGTTCCTGTTACTCCACATCCTCTCCAGCGTCTGTTGTTTCCAGATTTTTTAATGGAGTTGTTTTTTTCCTGTAAATTTGTTTAAGTTCCTTGTAGATTCTGGACATTAGCCTTTTGTCACATGGATAAATTGCCAAAATTTTCTCCCATTCTGTAAGTTGCCTGTTCACTCTGATGATAGTTACTTTTGCTGTGCAGAAGCTCTTTAGCTTAATTTGATCCCATTTGTCAATTTTGGCTTTTGTTGCCATTGCTTTTGATGTGTTAGTCAAGAAGTCCTTGCCCGTGCCTATGTCCTGAATGGTATTGCCCAGAGTTTCTTCTAGGGTTTTTAGAGTTTTAGATCTTAGGTTTAAGCCTTTAATCCATCTTGAGTTAATTTTTGTATAAGGCATAAGGAAGGGGTCCAGTTTCAGTTTCCTGCATATGGCTAGCCAGTATTCCTAACACCATTTATTAAATAGGGAATCCTTTCCCCATTGTTTGTTTTTGTCAGGTTTGTCAAAGATCAGATGGTTGTAGATGTGTGGTGTTATTTTTGAGGCCTCTATTCTGTTCCATTGGTCTATATATCTGTTTTGGTACCAGTACCATGGTGTTTTGGTTACTGTAGCCTTTTAGTATAGTTCGAAGTCAGGTAGCGTAATGCCTCCAGCTTTGTTCTTTTTGCTTAGGATTGTCTTGGCTATACGGGCCCTTTTTTGGTTCCATATGAAATTTAACGTAGTTTTTTCTAATTCTGTGGAGAAAATCAATGGTAGCTTGATAAGGATAGCACTGAATCTATAAATTACTTTGGGAAGTATGGCCATTTTCACAATATTGATTCTTCCTACCCATGAGCATGGAATGTTTATCCATTTGTGTCCTCTCTTATTTCCTTGAGTAGTGGTTTGCAGTTCTCCTTGAAGAGGTCCTTCACATCCCTTGTAAGTTGGATTCCTAGGTATTTTATTCTCATTGTAGCAATTGTGAATGGGAGTTCACTCATGATTTGGCCCTTTGTTTGTCTATTATTGGTGTATAGGACTGCTTGTGATTTTTGTACATTGATTTTGTATCCTGAGACTTTGCTGAAGTTGCTTATCAGCTTAAGGAAATTTTGGGCTGAGACAATGGGGTTTTTTAAATATACAATCATGTCATCTGCAAACAGAGACAATTTGACTTCCTCTCTTCCTATTTGAATACCATTCATTTCTTCTCTTGCCTGATTGCCCTGGCCAGAACTTCCAATACCATGTTGAATAGGAGTGGTGAGAGAGGGCATCCTTGTCCTGTGCCAGTTTTCAAATGGAATGCTTCCAGCTTTTGCCCATTATTATATTGGCTGTGGATTTGTCATAAATGGCTCTTATTATTTTTAGATACATTCCATCAATATCTAATTTATTGAGTTTTTAGCATGAAGCGGTGTTGAATTTTATCGAAGGCCTCTTCTGCATCTATTGAGATAATCATGTGGTTTTCGTTATTGGTTCTGTTTATGTGATGGATTATGTTTATTGATTTGCATATGCTGTACCAGCCTTGCATCCCAGGGATGAGGCCGACTTGATCGTGGTGCATAAGCTTTTTGATAGGCTGCTGGATTTGGTTTGCCAGTATTTTATGGAGAATTTTCACATTGATGTTCATCAGGGATATCAGCCTGAAATTTTCTTTTTTTGTTGTGTCTCTGCCAGGTTTTGATATCAGGATGATGCTGGCCTCATAAAATGAGTTAGGGAGGAGTCCCTCTTTTTCTATTGTTTGAAATAGTTTCAGAAGTAATGGTACCAGCTCCTCTTTGTACCTCTGGCAGAAGTTGGCTGTGAATCCGTCTGGTCCTAGGCTTTATTGGTTGGTAGGCTATTAATTACTGCCTCTATTTCAGAACTTGTTATTGGTCTATTCAGGTATTTAACTTCTTCCTGGTTTAGTCTTGGGAGGGTGTGTTGTGTCCAGGAATTTATCCATTTCTTCTAGATTTTCAGTTTATTTGCATATAGGTGTTTATAGTATTCTCTGATGGTAGTTTGTATTTCTGTGGGATCAGAGATGATCTCCCCTGTATCATTTTTTATTGCATCTATTTGATTCTTCTCTCTTTTCTTCTTTATTAGTCTGGCTAGCGGTCTATCTATTTTGTTAATCTTTTCAAAAAATCAGCTCCTGGATTCACTGATTTTTTGAAAGGTTTTTCATATCTCTATCTCCTTCAGTTCTGCTCTGATCTTAGTTATTTCTTGTCTTCTGCTAGATTTTGAAATTGTTTGCTCTTGCTTCTCTAGTTTTTTTAATTAGATCTTTCCTGCTTTCTCCTGTGGGCATTTAGTGCTATAAATTTCCTTCTAAACACTGCTTTAAATGTGTCCCAGAAATTCTGGTACGTTGTGTCTTTGTTCTCATTGGTTTCAAAGAACTTATTTATCTCTGCCTTAATTTTGTTATTTACCCAGTAGTCATTCAGGAGCAGGTTATTCAGTTTCCATGTAGTTGTGTGGTTTTGAGTGAGTTTCTTAATCTTGAGTTCTAATTTGATTGCACTGTGGTCTGAGAGACTGTTTGTTATTATTTACATTCTTTTGCATTGCTGAGGAGTGTTTTATTTCCATTTATGTGGTCAATTTTAGAATAAGTGCAATGTTGTACTGAGAAGAATATATATTCTGTTGATCTGGGGTGGAGAGTTCCATAGATGTCTATCAGGTCCGCTTGATCCAGAACTGAGTTCAAGTCCTGAATATCCTTGTTAATTTTCTGTCTCGTTGCTCTATTATTGACAGTGGGGTGTTAAAGTCTCCCACTATTATTGTGTGGGAGTCTAAGTCTCTTTGTAGGTCTCTAAGAACTTGCTTTATAAATCTGGGTGCTCCTGTATTGGGTACATATATATTTAGGATAGTTAGCTCTTCTTGTTGAATTCATCCCTTTACCATTATGTAATGCCCTTCTTTGTCTTTTTGATCTTTGTTGATTTAACGTCTGTCTTATCGGAGACTAGGATTGAAACTCCTGTTTTTTTTTCTTTTGCTTTCCATTTGCTTGGTAAATATTTCTCCATCCCTTTATTTTGATCCTATGTGTGTCTTTGCACTTGAGATGGGTCTCCTGAATACAGCACACCAATGGGTCTTGACTCTTTATCCAATTTGCCAGTCTGTGTCTTTTAATTGGGGCATTTAGCCCATTCACATTTAAGGGTAATATTGTTATGTGTGAATTTGATCCTGTCATTATGATGCTACCTGGTTATTTTGCCCATTAGTTGATGCAGTTTCTTCATAGTGTTGATGATCTTTACAATTTGGTATGTTTTTGCAGTGGCTGGTATGGGTTTTTCCTTTGCATATTTAGTGCTTCCTTCAAGAGGAGCTCTTGTAAGGCAGGCCTGATGGTGACAACATCTTTCAGCATTTGCCTGTCTGTAAAGGATTTCATTTCTCCTTCACTTATGAAGCTTAGTTTGGCTGGATATGAAATTCTGGCTTGAAAAATTCTTTTATATAAGAATGTTGAATATTGGCCCCCACTCTCTTCTAGCTTGTTAGGTTTCTGCAGAGAGATCCACTGTTAGTCTGATGAGCTTCCTTTTGTGGTAACCCGACCTTTCTCTGGCTGCCCTTAATATTTTTTCCTTCATTTCAAACTTGGCAAATCTGACTATTATGTGTCTTTGGGTTGCCCTTCTCAAGGAATATCCTTGTGGTGTTCTCTGTATTTCCTGAATTTGGATGTTGGCCTGTCTTCCTAGGTTGGGGAAGTTCTCCTGGATAATATCCTGAAGAGTGCTTTCCAACTTGGTTCCATTCTCCTTGTCACTTTCAGGTACACCAATCAAACATAGGTTTGGTCTTTTCACAAAGTCCCATATTTCTTGGAGGCTTTCTTCATTCCTTTTTATTCTTTTTTCTCTATTCTTGTCTTCACACTTTATTTCATTAAGTTGAACTTCAATCTCTGATATCCTTTCACCCACTTCACTGATTCAGCTATTGATACTTTGTATGCTTCACGAAGTTCTTGTGCTGTGTTTTTCAGCTCCTTCAGGTCATTTATGTTTTCTCTAAACTGGTTATTCTAGTTAGCAATTCCTCTAACCTTTTTTCAAGGTTCTTAGCTTCTTTGCATTGGGTTAGAACATGCTCCTTTAGCTCGGAGGAATTTGTTATTACCCACCTTCTGAAGCCTACTTCTGTCAATTCATCAGACTCATTCTCCATCCAGTTTTGTCCCCTTGCTGGTGAGGAGTTGTGATCCTTTGGAGGAGAAGAGGCGTTCTGCTTTTTGGAATTTTCACCCTTTTTGTGCTGGTTTTTCCTCATCTTCGTGGTTTTATCTACCTTTGGTTTTTCATGTTAGTGACCTTCAGATGGGGTTTCCGTGTGGACGTCCTTTTTCTTTATGTTTATGCTATTCCTTTCTATTTGTTAATTTTCCTTCTAACAGGCCCCTCTGATACAGGTCTGCTGGAGTTTGCTGGAGGTCCACTCCAGACCCTGTTTGCCTGGGTATCACTAGCAGAGGCTGCCAAACAGCAAAGATTGCTGCCTGTTCCTTCCTCTGGAAGCTTCGTCCCCCAGAGGGGCACCCACAAGATGCCAGCTGGAGCTCTCCTGTATGAGATGTCTGTCGACCCCTGCTGGGAGATGTCTCCCAGTCAGGAGGCATGGGGGTCAGGGACCCACTTGAGGAGGCAGTCTGTCCCTTAGCAGAGCTCAAGGGCTGTGCTGAGAGATCCTCTGCTTTCTTTAGAGCCAATGGGCAGGAATGTTTAAGTCTGCTGAAGCTGTGCCCACAGCCGCCCCTTTCCCCAGGTGTTCTGTCCCAGGGAGATGGGAGTTTTATCTATAAGCCCCTGACTGGGGCTGCTGCCTTTCTTTCAGAGATGCCCTGCCCAGAGAGGAGGAATCTAGAGAGGCAGTGTGGCTACAGAGGCTTTGTGGAGCTGCGGTGGGCTCCGCCCAGTTCGAACTTCCTGGCAGCTTTGTTTACACTCAGTTGGAAATGCAGAAATCACAGGCCTTCTGTGTTGATTTCACTGGGAACTGCAGACCAGAGCTGTTCCTATTCAGCCATACAGAGTCTCCCTCTTGGCAGCTCTTCAGAATAGAAGCCATGTCTCAGGCAGCAATGTGGCCAGATAGAAAGTTGGTGTTTCCTGTGCAAAAGAGTTAATCTTTGCAAGTGTGGTTCTGAGAAGTTGGTGGGAGACCCTATCTCTGCCAGTCATGGCAAAATACAGTCTGGGCAGGTTTCCAAGTTCAGCTGACATTCCTAAGCCAATGAGAAGTGTCCAAGATGGTTTCCAGCTTTCTCTCCAAGGGTAAGAGTTGAATGTGTTGACTGACCTTTACCAGCACGAACACATTTGCCATTTGACTCTGAGGAATAAATGGGTGACCTGACTGTGGGCACAGAGCTGAAGGCTGATTCTCCAGAAAACTCACCATCAGTTTGCTCAGCAACGCTGCTGACTCGGAACACATTTTGTTTTTTCTTTTTGAAACTGCACCATGCATTCTTGAAAGCATGACTCAACCTTACCAGCAGTCTCAGTGAGCTTGAAATGGCCTCAACTAGAGGATTTATAGCCTTTGCAAACACAGGGCACATTTCTTTGTTTCCTTTCAGAAACTGAGAAGTGATTCATTTTCAGTAAACAAAGAGAGGATTACCAACACATTTACTAGTCTGAAATTCAGCTTCCATTGAATGCAATTCCTTTAGTTCCTAGTAAAGGCATTGTGCATTTCAAACAGCTATCTTTCTTCTTTAATCCACTTTCTTTCTTCCTAGTGTGGAAAAGATATATAATTTAGCCCTCACTCAAATACAAATAAGATGAGTTTCAAAGGCCATTCAGGCCCTAATGTGTGTCCTTTGCAAGAACAAGAAACTGTGATTCTGAAGAATTTAAATACAGATACTGTTGGCAGCCAGAGATGTTTTCTGCTGTTGGAATGCAAAAGAAAATATTACTTTATAGCTGCACTGTGCCACTCCTGACATTGATGGGTCTTGTATTCACCAGAGGAGGGAAAATTAAAATATCTTACCTGTCTACACAGTATCCTTGGTGGTTACACAACAATAAAATATTCAGCAGTCTGATACCTTTACTGTTAAAACTGAAATACCAAATTGAAACTGGTTGAGAATGTGTGCAGTCTATTGTGTTCCTACTTTCTTTAGATTAGCTTTCTATCACAATAACTGCATTCAGTAGGGCTCATATTGTCTCAATTATAAAGTCAACTCCAGACATTAGCACTAGATTGCTTCAGCGAATCTCAAATATTTTTAACTGTTGACAAAAGTTTCAGTTTCATTATGCCAAGTTCCAGAGTAAAACTATGGTAATGTAATCACTTCTCAGACTTTCATTATTTGCATGTTCCCAGAAAATCATTATAACTTTCTAGAATTATCCTGAATGGTTCAAAGTAAGCAGTTTTCAAGTCAGTAGGAATTGCAGAGGCAGCTGATAGTCACTTATCCATTTGTTTATTAGAAATATGTCACAGCCAATTTTTGACATGAATCTTCTCATTTTCAGAAGAATGTTAGAAATAGCTCAGCTAATGTACCATAAAAGTTCAAATTTTGATAATGAAACTAAAAGCCATATTAACAAATGAACCCACTGCTTTATGCACCAGAAAGTGAGAATTTTATGTTCCCATTTTTTCCCTTGTATGGTATCCACAAATTTTCTTGACAGAAACTCAGCATCAATTCAGAAAAATTCTTTTTGACTGAATATTTTTAGTCATATGTTCCCTATTTAAGGTGTAGGACAGGAAAAAGGATTTTCTCTTTACTTTCATAGTTTTTAGTTGAATGGGCCCTTATAACAAAAGACAGATTGATAAGAAAAGAACACACAATTTTATTAACATGTAACCTCATGTATACATGGGAGCTATCTAGAGAAATCACTAAATCTCAAAGAGATGGTTTAGACTTGGGTTTACAGACAATCTACCACTGAAAGAAAGAAAGAATGGTATGGGAAAAGCATAGTAAATAAGAGAAAAGTTTGTTATGCAGATTTAAGTGGGTGCCTTCTCCATTGATAAGAGTCTTAAATGATTTATAATCATACATCTCTTCTTGGCTAGGGGTTGGGGGGCAGGGAGAGAGAGAGAGAGAGAGAGAGAGAGACAGACAGACAGAGAGATAGCTTTACAAATTGAGATTTTTTGTATAGATGTTAATTTCCCTCGCAAAAAGGGTAGCTTTAACTCTGTTTTCAGAGTTTCTCATGTGTCTGCCATTTCTCAAAATAATTAGTTCAAAATAACCCTTATGCCAAAAAGGCATATTTTAGGGTGGCATATTCTGTTCTCCTACAAAGGCTATTGTTGGGGCTCAGAAACAATACCCCCAAATATGGCATTTTTGACATGCTGCACTGAAGAAACCTTCAAGGTCTCTATGACCTCTCCTAGACATTGAAGTTCCTTTATCTGCCTAAGATCCAGACCTCCAAGGAGAACAATTTTTCTTGTTCCCCTCTGTGGCCATTACAGAAAAGATGACCAAGAATGAAACTACACCTGAACAAACCCCTTTTTTCAATAAGATAATGACTGTCTCCAAGGATCATTTAAATTTCAAACAGAAATATTTGCAAGTTAATTTCTGTTTCCCTGGATCCAGTCCTTCTCCCTAGTAATCATTTATTGCTGGTTAGTAGAATTCCTCTTCTCCCTTTCCTGTAACCTGTTCTGTCCATCCAACCCCCCATTCTTTCTGCAAGTTTCTGTACCTCATTGCGAGGTTGGGTCTTCATTCTGAAGGCTCCCATGCATACACATTAAATAAATTTGTGTGTCTTTTCTCCAACTAATCAATCTGCCTTATGTCAGTGATTTTTTCATCAAACCACTGGGTGGACAACGACCTTGGGCCCAACACTGTCTATTGGAGTTCAGGAATATCATCCGAAGAGGAAGGAGCATTTCACTTTATAATTTTTGGATTTTTAAACTGCTAGCTTCATTAGACTGAGTGTGGGGAGTAAAATCCTCTATTTTAAAATCCACATATTTCCATTTACTGACATAAGGTTTGATTGCATTGAATAATGAGATAGCTCTGTAGCCATGTAATAAAAATAGTGGGAGTAGCCACACAAGAATCTACTATCTGTAAGTGATCTGTTTTAGCCACAGGTTCATAAATGCCATTAAATAGCAAGAAGAACTTTATTTGCCAAAATACTAACAATATCAGAGTTTTTTTAATGGAAAGAATCTAAAAACACTTTCTAGAACATCTAATATTTCAAATATCTCAGACATTATTCTGATGTAAATTTGTGCTCCTGAATAAATTACCTATACCAGAGATTTCTATCATGTGGAAAGCTTTTTAAAAATGCAAGCTCCTGAAACTGACTTTGCAAAAATTATAACTGAGGATATTATGACAGTGAAAGAAGTCAGACCTAACCAACTCCATCTTGCTTTAAGCTGTCCTTGTTCATTCCTGGGTGTCCACCAAATTAACCTTGGGAAGGAAGTTAGTTTATAGTTTGACTCTGAAACAAAAGTGTTAATAGTCCTTTTCCAAAAAGACCCCCGTTTTGCCTGCGGACCAGTCTGCCTTTGTAAGACTAACAAATTAGCTACAAGATTGGAAACTACGGTTTAGGGGCCAGGCAGCAAGGGTCTGAACCTCCCCAGATTGCTCCTGGGGATAACATCACTATTGTAAAACCTAAGATCAGTGCTTGAGATATTTTGCAGACCCTGTGCTCAGTGGATCAGCTGACACCACCCAAACTGATAATCTGGCTCAACCAATTCTGTGATCCCACCCAGGAACAGAAGACAGCAAGAAAAACTCACTTCAACCCCACTATAATTCCATTTGCCACCTAACCAATCAGCACTCCCCACTTCCGGAGCCCCTACCTGCCAAATTATCCTTAAAAACTCTGATCCTCAATGCTTGGGGAGACTGACTGCAGTAATGATAAAACTCTGATCTCCCATACACAGCTGGCTTTGCATGAATTACTCTTTCTCCATTGCAATTCCCCTGTCTTGGTAAATTGGCTCTGCCTGGGCAGCGGGCAAGGTGAACCCACTGGGCAGTTACATTCCTAAGCCTTACACCAGATCCACAAAATCAGAATCTCCAAGGGTAGAGCCCGTGAATCACTTTTTTAAAATTCTCTATCATTCTGATCATTGCTAATCATTGGTCATAGATGGGATTTAAAATCTTAGTTTAATTTGTTATACAGATTTGATCTTAAATATTTAGATTCTGTTTATACCCTTAATTACATCTAGAATAATCCTAAAATGTACATTTTGTATTTTTTAAATAAATCATTAACAAAATTTAAATTTTGCACTTGAAAACTTTTCACAGGTTTTATTCTACTTATGATAGAATGTGTAGGTTTTAAAAATTATCATATGATATGATTAATAACACAATTCAAAGGTTTATATATGTCAGTGGTTTTATCACAACTCAAAAATTTCTAGTAATTACTGCTTTGAGCCCCATTTAGCCTAAGAGTGCTAATTTGGCCCTGTGTGTTATTGAGCTTTATTAATTAACTCATCACCATGCATTTTATAAGTTCACAATTTATTTAGTGTGGTAGGAAAACAGATAAGCAGCAGCAAACAAACTTATTAATGCCGGTATATGTTGTTTTATTTGTTGTTTGCTTTCATTTTTTTATGTGATTTTAGCTTGCACCACCATGAACCAGGAAACCTGGCCATACATTGTACACTAACTCGTGTTGATTCAGCACAATGAATGAACATCTCCTTTAAGTGGAATATAAATGACCATTTTAGATGGTGGCAATGACTGCTAATTGTCCTACCTGTCAGTCCCGGCCTCCAGCCTGTCCCCAAGATTATATGGGACAGAAATATCTGTCTTATTTAAGCCACTGCTATCTTGTCTCTGTTACAACCAACACCTAACTAATACACAGCGAATGGTACTCATTGTGTCCATTTTTAGGACGCTCTACATCCTTTTCTGTCATTTTGACATTGATAGCATTTGGGATGATGTCAATTCTGCACACACAACGTACAAAACATCTACTAAATAAGGCAATAGAGCTTATGCTGCTATAATATTTATGTTAATGAAGGTACTGTACACCTACAGCAGAGATGAAGCTAAACCGCAAGCTCATAATACATAAATGAATCTTAGATTTGGGGATTTAGACATTGAAAGAATTGCAGTCCTTCCCTGGGCTAACGGTATCTGTAACAACTCATTCTGAATAACATCCTAGGGAAGAGGAAAGGGAATAACTGGATAATCAGAAACCAAGAATTTTTAATGTGTATATGCATAAATTTATGAATACTAACTGAAACTCTCAGTTAAAAGACAGCTACAACTGTGCACATATTGAGCCAATTTTTAACTGGACCATTGGCCCTTGATGGAAATGATTAAAGTATCTTTGAGAGCTGTTGCACGGATCAGCAACAGGGTGTTTTCCACAGTAAAGGGGAGAACTAGACCACATTCTGCCCCGGGGAATGATACGTGGCAGATATGAATCTAGGTTGGAGGAACTTGGCTCCTGCTGGAAGATTTTCTTTCTAAAAATCATTTAGTAGCACAAATGAATGTTCAGTGTTTGTTTTGGATAAATGTTCACATGTGAGGTTACCCTGGGCAAAAGGACTAATCGCTCTTTCTTTCACCTGCTTTTTTCTTCTACTTTTATCTTGTACTCCAGCCTTAAAGGTGAATCTTTCAAATTTTGATTTACTGTATGATTTTCTTCTTTTTACCACATTTGAGTTTGGTTTTTGTCACTAATTTCTTTTATGTGGTTTCCAAGGCAATACATATTTTTGTAATGAATGTTTTTAAAACACCTCTTCTATTTTCCATTAGAGCTATCTACAGAACAATATCCTCTTATTTGCCTAGCAAACATATTTTATTGTGGATTGTTTGTGTTTTTCCATTTTAACCTACTTCTTTATACAATCAAACTTACAAAACGCCCTGTTTTATATAATGTGAGAAATAAAATACTGAGTGTTGGAAAGGTCCACTCCTGGTCTAATGCTCTATAGATCAGCACATCTCAGCTGCTCTTCCCCACATGTGCTGGCAAGATTCACTAGGGAAACTCCAGCATTTACTCAGTGAGCCAGTAAATGAAATGCTTCCTTAAAAATATCCAGATTACTTAGATAACCTAGAATGTTGCCATATAAAAGCACCTTTTCTGCTTAAAGGATCATCCTCCACCAGGTATAAGAATGTCTCTTTACTATGGAGTCACTTGTACATAGTCTAGTGCCTGACACTGGGTAAATGTTAAAATATTTGCTAAATGTTGCTGATTGCCAACAAATTACATGAGAAAAATGGTGGAGGTTTTTATTTTCTTAAAGAAGACACAAGTAAAATCTTCTTAAGTAGTATACTTCAATATCCTATCATTTATGCAAAGTCTTCCCCATTCTTCACTTTAATTACTTCTATTTCCTCCTATTGATGCAGGATATTTTCTTGACTCCTTCATGGGATTTGCAACAGGGGTGCCCCATTTACTCAGCCTACCCCACTCAACCCCTCGCATGAGAGTGTGCGAGAGTAAACAAGTGCAGGAACCAGCCGGCTGCTTTGGCACCGGCAGGAGAAAACTCCATTCACTTGGGTGCGCCCCACTCCACCCCTTGCAGGAGGGAGCACATAGGCAAGTGAGTGCAGGAACCAGTTGGCTGCTTTAGTGCCAGCAGGAGCAAACTTCATGCAGGCCCCATAGCAGCATACAGACCGGGGTGCCTGCGACCCCAAGGCCCCAGAGGGTGTGTTACAATGCTGTCTTATCTCTACCGTCCACGGACAGCAGTGTGTTATCAGCTCAGTGGGCCCTTTCCATTGTCACATGGGGCGGCTGCCCTCTGCCAGTGAGGGCAAAGGGCCAGTGTGACAGCCTTTTTGGGTACCTGCACTTGGTAGATCCCGAATTCTTGCCTGGAGCTCAACGAGAATGAGGTCGTGTGGATGAACTGAAGGGTGGTAAATGCATTTCTCAGCAGAGAGGGGAGCTGGAAGGGGACAGGAAGGGCAGTTCGCTTTCCCCTGAAGTCAAGTTGCCTCTTCCCAACGTCCAGCCGCTTCTCCTCTCTACTGGCTGAGTCTGGGGTCTTTTAGGCACAGGATGGTTGGCAGGTGGGCCATAGGCACTTTTGCAAAAGGCAACATTCGATTGGTAAAAAGGCCCTATTCAGAAAGATCCAATCAGGAAAGAGCGAGCACACTGGGATGGAAGTTCTCACGTTGAGCTGCGGGTTTAAGGCTTTTTGGCTTGAAGGTGGGGTTTTGCCAGGGACCCACCCCTGTCTGCCTAGAGTTTCTCTGCCTCCTGCCTCTATCACTATCAGTCCTTCTATTTTATCTATACATCTATTAGTCTCCTCCTTCTTCTATTATATCAGTTTTAACATCTTTATGGCGTTAGAAATTTTTATATTTTTTATATTTTTTATATTGAGAATAGCTACCAAATCCATGAGCTAGTACGTTGTTTATCACTCATCATCTTTTCCATCAGACTCTCTCTTTGAAGTACAGTAACATTTTTTAATTCAATAAAAAGCTGTCTTCATTTAGTTTTCAGTCTTGTTTTCTTATTGCAGAAGTATGTTTTAAAAATGTCAAATATAGTAAAGTCATCATAATGCATAAGCAAGTTTTGCACTGCAGAAAAATTGACCACAAATTCTTTTAGTTGCCACAATTGTTTTAATATGCAACATTTACAATCTCCCCCAGAACGTTTTAACTAACCAGATATTTTAAATATAAAATAAAGATGCCTTAATGCAAATACCTTTAACGATGCTTCATTGTTTAGTGAAAAATATAAATCCTTTAGGCTGGCAGCTACAACTTCGCACCGTAGGGCCCTGATGCTCCCTTCTAACCAAATCCAAGTACCTACGTTACAGCAAAAATGGACTATTCCTTATTCTTCAAACATACATTTCATTCTCTCATCTTTGTTCACTTTTTTCTACCTGGTACAACCTCTTCTGTCCCACTTCTACCTTCCATTATTTTCACTTCCTTTTAGTTCTGTTTTAATTGTCCCTCCTTCCACTTTGGCTCTCTTGATCCTACCAACTACCAACTAGCTCAAGAATCTCCCCTTCCACTGAATAAGCATAATGTATACTTGTTTCTCTTACAGCTTTAACATTTTGCCTTTATTGATATTTCTTGCTTTAATGTCCTCCTATATAAGGATAAATAAAGAGGAAAATACTAATCATTTTTACTTATCATTATAGGCCCAGCCATACCAACACAATCCCTTGAACACTGTAGGTCTTCAATAAGTATTTAGTGAGTGTATTAGTTTCCTGGGGATGCTGTAACAAAAAATAATAATAATAATAATACCACAAACTCAGAGCTTAAAACAACACAAATTTATTCTCTTATAGTTCAGGAGGCCAGAAGTCTGAAATCACTTTCACTAAGCTAAAATCAAGGTGTTGACAGGATTGCACTCTCACTGGAGACTCTATGAGAAAAATCTATTTCCTTGCCTTTTTCAATGTCTAGAGTTGCATTCCTTAGCTCATGGCCACTCCTTCCAACTTCACCATCAACAAGTAACATCTTCAGAATGCTTTCTGCACCTGTCTCATCACCTTCTCCTTCATATCAAATCTCCCTCAAATCTCCCACTGCCTCCCTACCATTTTTTTTTTGAAATAGAGTATTGCTCTGTCACCCAGGCTGGAGTGCAGTGGTGTAATCCTGGCCCACTGCAACCTCCACTTCCCGGGTTCCAGAGATTCTCCTGCCTCAGCCTCCTGGGTAGCTGGGATTACAGGCACACACCACTACACCCAGCTAATTTTTGTATTTTTAGTAGAGATGGGGTTTCACCATGTTAGCCAGGCTCACCTCCAACTTCTGACCTCAGGTGATCCACCCACCTCAGCCTCCCAAAGTGCTGGGATTACAGGTGTGCATCACCACACCCAGCTCTGCCTCCCTCTTAAAAGGACATGTGATTACTTTAGGGCCCACATGGATAATCCAGGATAGTTTCCCTCTTCCAAAATCCTTAATGTAATCACATATTTTGCCGTGTAAGGTAATATTCACCCTGTTGCCATTATTCCTAAGTTCTGGGGTTTAGGACATGGATATCTTTGGGAACCATTATTTAGCCTACCATGGTAAATTTAATGTAGCAGCCTTCACTAGTTCTGTCAGTTACTTTTGTCCCTAGATGGGATGATGTAATAAGGTTCTGAATAGTTTACAAAGTGCTTTTATATTTAACCATCAGGACAGCTCAGTGAGTTCAGTATTGTTATTATCTATGTTTTTTTGTTGTTTAATATTTTTTTAGAGACAGGGTGTTGCTCTGTTGCCTCGGCATGATCATAGCTTACTGCAGCCTTGAACTCCTGGGCTCAAGTGATCCTCCTGCCTCAGCCTCCCAAGTAGCTAGAATTACAGACGCATGCCACCACACCCAACTAATTGTTTTTTAATTTGTTGTAGATACAGGATCTTGCTATGTTGCCCAGGCTGATTTCAAACTCCTGCTCTCAAGCTATCCTCCCTCCTCATCCTCTGGAGTTACTGGGATCACAGTCATAAGCCACAGTGCCTGATTTATCTATGTCTTAAACCACAGAGAGGTCCTGTCCAAAGCTGCAGAGTTGCTCTGTGAGCAAGTCGGGTTAGGCAGACTTTTTCCCTGGGACTCCCAGAACCATCAGCCTTTGATTCCTTTCTGGGCATCTTTCCCATGTCCAAAGTGCCCCCTTCTGTTAAAACTTTGTAAGCCACATTCATTTAAAGACTTTTAAAATATAACCATCTGATGTAACATTCAAAATATTTATGCATGCTGAGTCTTCACCTAACAAGCAGTTTCCCCACTGACAGCATCTGATGTCCTCAGAGGTAGCAATTCTACCCCGACAACCTCAGCTTCTGCCTATCTGACCCTGCTGAGTCTTCTGACCCAAGTAACCCACTGGGTCTGCCTTCTATCTCTCCTAGCCTTGTTAGAGAGTTCATTTTCAGAAGCCTTACTTGAAAAAGCTGTTTCTTAGAAGGAAATGACTACCTTTCAGTTAGAACTCTCTACTAATCTGGTAGGAAAATGGTTGGATCTGTCTCTCCTCACTTTTGTACAGTCTGAGTTTTCCTGACAGTCAGATGTCTTAGGCACAGCACACTCCACAGTCTGGCTGCTTCCTGGGTCTCTAGCATCTTCCCACATGGAACTGTGTCTTAGCACAGTTTGCACAGGCATGCCCTCTAATTGGAACACTTACTCTCACCCCTCCTTTGTCTCCCTGACAATACCCACTCTTCCTCTAGGGTTTAGCTGCATCCACCTCCTCTTTACAACTTCCCCCAAGCAGAGCTGACCCTGCTTTATTTTGTCCCCCAGCATATCTGGGACATTTTGCCTACAGTATTTACCAACTGAATGGCATCATTGTTTATCTCCTCACATAGGAATTCCCAAGGGACAAACATTTTGTATAGTTCTTAATCTCCCTGGGTCTCAGTTTCCTTATCAAAAAATAGTGATGATGATAATTCCTGTCCCATAGGGTTATTAGAAGGATTAAATGGATAAATATATGCAAAATAGACTAGTTCCTGGCATATGGAAGTGATCAATAAGTGCTAGCTGTCGTTATTCATGACATTTATCACACTCTGGCATTATTTTAATACGTTTGCTTATAGTCTTTCAACCTGCTTAGAAAGTAAGCTCCATAATGGCAGATATTTTTGTCTGTTTTGTTCACTAGTGTATCTGCCAGAGCCTGGGGACTCTATCATATGCCTGGTATACAGTAGGCACTCATTAAAAATTTGGTGAACAAATACATAAGTCAATAAAACTTAAGCAGCTAACATTATGCCTTTTATATAGTAGGAACACAATACAAGTTTTCTTTAAGTAGATTTTTTTCTTTAGTATCATTTTTACCTACCAGATTCTGAAACTGCACAATTGCTTTTTCAGTGAAGTATTATCCTGAATTTAGATGAAAGACATACCGTCTTCATAACTAAAAGTTCCCTTCTACTAGTTCACTTTGGTTCAAGGTTTCCTCATCTCCTGTATTTTCTGTTCAGTTGCAAGGGGTTTTGGAATATTTTCTCTAGGTGTTAAAGAAATCCTTTAAAGTATCAGCCAGGATACTGTGAAAGATAAATAGAATCTCAGGACCCCAAACTCAGTATGCCAAAAGGAAAGTTAAGCTTGGAAACTGTCACCCATACTGTTTTCCTTTTATTTCCAGATTGCTGTAATTTCACAACCCATGTCATAGCCTCGCTTCCCCTACTCCCTACTTTCACATGTAAAATGTAGGTTTACTGAGGCTAATCAGAGTCTCACAAGAATGTAACCACGTGCCTCACTGCCTACCCTCCTTCCCTCCCCACCCCCCCACCCACTCCCCACCCACTCTACATGCTCTTTTTTCTTTAAATACCAAAGTTCACAAAATCCCCTTTGGAAAAAGCATAGATGACAGATGCTCCTGTGATTCATGTTTTTTCCCTGGTGAGTCCTCAACTTTGGCTAAGTAAACCTCTAATCAATTGAGACCTGACTCAGTCACTTTTTGGTTTACAATGCTTATTTAAATGAATTGAGACTAAATAAAATTAAACATTCTTTTCCTGAGTCACACCAGCCACACCTAAAGTGCTCAATAGCTGTATGTGGCTAGTGGCTACCATACCAGACAGTGCAGATACAGAACACTCCAATCATTATAGAAAGTTCTATTAGATAGGCCTGGTCTACTAAGTTTTGCTTCAGGAACAATCACCACCAAAATCTCAGAGGTTTAATGCAGCAAAAGTTTATTTCTGTGTACCCAAAGTTTACTTCAGGTCAGGATGACTCTAAGGTACTACCTTCCATGTGCTAGCTCAGAATTATAGGCCATTTGGTTTTTGTGGCACTTCTATATCCACATATATTTCCATGAGTGCAGTGGCAGGGAAGAAAACAGTTAAACATACACCAGTTCTTATGTGCTTCCACCTGGAAATGACAGCCATGCCTAACTTCAAGGACCTGGGAAGCCCAGTGCTCTTTGAACACAGAAAGAAAAGGAAATTAGTAAACATTAGTAATATCTGCCACATTTAGCATGACTAAGTTTGTGTTCAAACAACCTCCCTTAGAAACTGCTTATCTGACCAAGGATTTGACTGGAATGGCATGCTTTCCTTTAAGGAGTCAAACTTGACTTATAGGGCCAATAAAAGCCCCTTGGGAAAACTAGCTTCATACTTTGCCTACGCAGTCCCTGTACAGGGTTCCTGACCTGTGATAAGTACAGAATGTCACTTTCTTACAGTCCCAGGAGCCCCACATAACCTTGGGACCTCAAGAGAAAAGGAATTTACCCAGTTCATAGGTATTTAAGGGTACAAACCCATGGCTGAGCTTGGCTTTAAAAAAAGTCTTATCTGAGATTCCTTATGGAACAAAGTTCCATCAAAACCAATTTTAAAAGCCTATGTAAAAAAATTATTATTCTTGCTGCACTTTATACAAATAATCAGGCCAAGTATAATAAAGCAAATTGATCTTACCGTGATTTGTCTTTAGTAAAAATGGGAAACTGCACGGAGAAAAAAAAAATATGTTTCAAGAACTATGGTACATTCATTGTTAGATTCTAGTCTCATTTTTAAGCTTTTTAAAGCTTGTTTCCTGCAATTTAGACTAACCCTGCTTATTCCTGTAAACCAACCAGTGATCTCTGGCTATAGCTCAAAAGAAACAAGAGGGATGGGTAATGTAAAAAAATCTGGATCAATATTCTAATTCTGGGCACATATTGGAATCAGCTAGCAACCCCATATCAGCTTGGTTCCAACAGTTGCCCACTTCATGGAAAGCCTTCTAATTTGGTTTATTTGGGGTAATTTTGCTTATTTTGCTTTACTGTTATGAAATACATTTGCTGTTGTACTCTTTGTGTAGGAATACAGGATAAGTTTACTGAATGTTTTCTTAAATTGAACACTTATTAATCCTCCAGATATTACCTTTTGTCAGAGTTATGAATGGTCCTTACCATGCTGATGCTTTCTGACTAAGCTTGTCTCTCTCCTTAATACAAAGGACACTAATAGTTAGGCAGGAATATCATCACTCCTATTCAGCCTGAAGAATTTATAGAAGGTGGGTCTTCATCCTCCTACAACCCTTAGGATTAAGGGTTCTCTTATAAAAGGGAGGCGAGGGAATATGTCAGAGGTGTTTGAACCAGAGCAGCTCCATCTTGAATAGGGACTGGGTAAAACAAGGCTGAGACCTGCTGGGCTGCATTCCCAGTAGTTTACATACTCTAAGTCACAGGATGAGATAGGAGGTCAGCACAAGATAAAGGTCTTAAAGACCTTGCTGATAAAAACAGGTTGCAATAAAAAAGCCAGCCAACACCCACCAAAACCAGAGTGACCTCTGGTTGTCCTCACTCCACATTGTGCAATAATTATAATGCATTAGCATGCTAAAAGACACTCCCACCAGTGCTGTGACAGTTTACAGATGCCATGGCAATATCAGGAAGTTACCCTATACTGTCAAAAAGGGAGGAAAACCTTCAGTTCGGGGAATTGCCCATCCCTTTCCTGGAAAACTCATGAAAAATCCACCCCTTGTTTGGCATATAATCAAGAAGTGACAAAAAGTATCCTTAGTCAAGCAGCCCATGCTGCTGCTCTGGCTATGAAGTAGCCATTCTTTTATTCCTTTACTCTCTTAATAATCTTGCTTTCACTTTATGGAGGAAAAAAAAACTATCTCCTTGTATGTACCCTCCTGTAATGAAGACTATGGCATACTCACTGTCATTTTAGAAACACAGTAGAGACTGTCATAAATGCTACTTCTCTACATCTTTCTCTTTGCAATCATTTTTAAATCTGATGTCTCAGGTTTTGACCTCAGCATGATTTAACCCATTTTCTACAATACATCAGAATGACCAAATCATTTTTCTGCTCAAATCCTTCTGCAGTTCCTTACTGAATACAGATTAAAATGCAGTCTCTTGGCTGGGTGTGGTAGCTCACACCTGTAATCCCAGCACTGTGGGAGGCTGAGGTGGGAGGATTGCTTGAACCTAGGAGTTTGAGACCAGCCTAGGCAACACAGCAAGACCCCATCTCTATTCTAAAACAAATTTTTAAATTTGTTTAATTTTAAGAAATGCAATCTCTTTAACATGAGATTCAAGGTCTCCCAGAATCTGGCCCACCTGCTCTCCCGAACTTATCTCCCAACATGCCCTGCACTCCAGCATTACTGCACATATGGCTGTTTTACTCCCTGGTCTTTTGCATAATTCCCTCACCTTATGCTCTTACTCTCTCTGCCTGAATGTCCTTTCTCTCCTTCCTTATCCATCGTAGTTCTCTCAGCCTTTCAAATGCCACCTTCTGTGATTTCTTCAGTTAAAATTAACCTTCATCCCATATTCTCCCATAGCTTGTATCTGACTCTGCTTACGTATCTCTTATAAGCAGCTTGAGGAAAAAAATACAGTCTTATTCATCTTGATTGTCTTACCAAAAGCTAGGAACATAGAGCAGTCCGTGCTTAGTAAATGTTTGGTGAATTTAATAACACTTTCCCTGAGAAGACTTTCTTCAGAAATTTTCCACCCAAACTATTATCATCTTGCAGAAAAAACTATATTCACAGATTAGAAATGCAATCTTTTTTTTTCAATAAGCAACCAAATAGATTTGGGTTGAAAATATAAGGAGTGGATCAATACCTTAAAATTCAAAAAAATTACTCAGTGTTTCACTCCTAAGAAAAGTAAACATTTAAGTCGTTTTGAATCAATATTTTCTAAGACTTTAGAGAAATGAAAGATTATATTTTAAAGGTTTTTAATAGAAATCAGGAAAATTAAAGCATATTTAAAAATAGCCTACAGGAACTTCCTGTGTCCTTGAAATATATGCATATGCTTTAATGTGGTAAGAGAACATAATTGTGAATTACCTCTAAAATTTCAATATCATTAAGAAAGCATTGAAAAGAGATTCTGAAAAGAGATAACAAAGACTTAAACTAGAAAAAGGAAGTATAGGAAAGATGTGATTTAATTTGTTAAATTATACAAGAATAAGGGGAAATACTTGAAATAATAGAAAATGGAAAAAGGGAAGACATTATCTCAAAACATCTGGAGATGAATGATAATCATTTCCAAATAGGATGAAAATCTAGAAGAAATATTATCTCAATGATAGTCTACATAAAAGGAAAAATCTGGGAGGTTTTTCACAGTCACCTACAGAGATTATCTGTAAAATAAAAGGTAGATGACAAACTGATAACGACATAACAGGCTATTTCCTAAGAGAATGTTCTCTGTGGGAGAAAAGATATTACAGTTGATTTTTCAAATTTGAGTTTTTAAAAGTTTAGCTCTATTAAAAAATATGCCCTTCCTCATTTTCAAAGGATCACGGGGAACATATAATCACTCTTTCAAATACCCTTTTTGGAGTAAAACAGCTGCTTTTCTTACAGATGGCCCAAATCATCAAAACATCATGGTGGATGAGCTCTTTCCTAGAAAAGTCAAGGAAAAACATCAACACTCTCTGATGAGCCAATCATAAAGATGGTAAAGAGTCTATTTGTGCCCAGATGGCTGGCAGCATTCTTTAACCCTTACCTTTGATTCAGCTGTTGTGCCCATGCTAAATAGATCAGCTCAATTAATGTAGTATCCCCTGGGATCAGAGCCACAGGTGTCATCTCTATTCAGAGAAGTGAGCTGTGCTCAGAGAAAAACTGTGCTATAGCCACAGGAGGTTGCTCTGTGGTGGTCATCCAGCTCACAAATTAATGTCATTGGTTACAGAATCTGGGTCAAGATCCCCAATTCTTGAGGGTGGGAGAGAGAATATCTAAATTTCTTTTAAAAATGTATCCATGGACTCCAGTGAATGAGTTTCTACCCAGCCTAGAGGACAACCCAGATGGCTGAGTTCCAATTTGCCCTAAGATTTAAATATGCTGTAGGAAATGAAAAATGAGAGTCTCTGAGAAAATACAGAGAATGCAAGGTCCATTCTAGAAGAGCAGCAAGGCCTTAAAAGGTCTAATTCTTTAATGCCTAGAATAGATGTCTCAGAAGTGGGGCTGGCTGGGAATGACTCGTGCTGTCCCATATAAGACAGTAAGAATCTGCTCTATGCCCCTATGGGACACTAACCCAGATTCCGCCATCTGACTTTTTCTGACCTCTGTCTGATTACCAAGCCAGAGCTGGTCTGGAACACACATCTTTTCTTGGTATCTAATGCCTCAATCCATCGTATGACTAGCCCTCCTGACCTGTTCTTGCTTTGGCACTACCCAACACTTTGTCCCAATCTTCGCCTATCTCTTAGGCTCCAGGATACCATGTGCCCCATCAACCGTAGCCTGTTGGTTCACATCTCCAGCAGAAATGTGCAGAAATCACAGGAACAAAATGGCCCTTTGCTCCAACTGACCCAACAGGATAGCAGAAAGACACCCAAGCTATGCCCTGGGCAACAGAGAGAGAGACGCAAACATCACATTGCTCACAACATGTCTCTCACTTTGCCATGACTTGAACACAGCATCCACTCGAATATCCTGATATCTTCCTTCATGATGTCTTCTCTATAAAGGAAGCCTCTTTCCACCCACTTCCCCCTTAGTGCCCATCTCCACCTCTATTCCTACCACTCATTAAGCCAGTGTTAGGGCATGTGGGGTTCATATATTCCCTAACAGAAACAGAGTCATTGGGGATTTCCAAATTAGTTAAGATTATAACCTTGAAGTCGGGTAGAATCCCAACACCCCCACCTTCTAGCCATAGTAACATATTCATAAAATTAGTCTGATATTCATTTTTATTTTTAAATCTTCAAAAGACTATGATAACTAATCTCATAGGTTTGGCATGAAGATTGTATCAGATAATGTGTACAACGTACCCAATACAATACCCAGCTCATAGCAAGCAATTAATAAGGTAAAATATTATCCCAAGTCTAGACCATACAACAGAGACACCATCTATCATGTTCATCACTGTATCCCCAAAACTTAACACAGTGCCTGGTATAGAGTGGGCACTAAATAATTATTTGATGAATGAATCAATTAAACAGTAATGAAATGCATAATTGTATTCAGTATCCCTTCTCTCCCACCTGTTCGCATATAATAAGAAAAAGAGTAAAGTCAAGGTCCATTAGACATAATATCACTATTTAATAGATCTAGAACAGTCAGCTATAATTTAAACAAAACTAGTTCTCAGGGGGACATACAATTAGGTTTAAATAGAGAAAGGGACAATGTTCAAGGCATATTGTGAACACATGGACAGACTGTGCCAGTTGGCCTGCATAATGCACTCTCACTGTTCCTGTACTTCCTGAGCAAAGGCTTCCAAGGTCAGCAGACAAACCTCTGCACAGTCATGTCCTGGAGGAATGCTCTGGGACTCCCATGCCCAAGATGGATCTTCTGCCAGATTTCTCTTTCGTCCCTGAAGGCATTTGTGGCAGTTAAGAATTGGGTTTGTCTGCAAGTAAGAGAGATCTGTTTTCCATGGTTTAGACATGTAAGTTTATTATAAATTACAAAGTCTGAGGATAGCAGCTGCTGTCACTAGCACAGCAGCTCAAAGATTTCAGGGACACTGTCTCTGTGTGGCCTTTTACTCATTATCCCTAGCATCCAAATATCATGTCCACATTGTAGGCATGAAGGAGAGAATGGAAAAGCCAAAAAAGCACAGCATCTGTAGCAGAAAAACAACTGTTTTCAGAAACCAAACACTGTAGTTTATGCATTATTGGCCAAAATTTTATCACATGACCTCCTCTAGGTCAAGAGAGATTTGGGAATGTAGGTTGTTGTTGTTTTCAGCTAGGCATATTGATGCCCTAAAAAAAATTAATGAGTAAAGCAGGATGGGCAATGGATACAGGGTAATCAAACAGCACGCTCTGACCTAGCACTGTACATGTCCTGAGACTGGAATGAATGACAGCCAGGGTTTCTTACGGACATCTTCATTCTTAATTACTCCCTCTACCAAGCTATTTGAAAAATATCAAGTCTTTCAATGACTGCCTAAAGCTCAATTGTCCGTCATCCTCTTGAGTTAGAGAGCTATCCCTGCTGCCAGGTCAGTGACAGGTATTCACCTTGGAGAAAGATGCTTTTAATATAACAGTAGGGTCAGTCTCATCTCCGGTCAAGAAAAGCTGCTTCTCTCCCCTCATAAAAAGGCATCTCCAAATCAATAGAATAAACTGGATCAATATATTTTTCATTGCCTTACATATCAAGAAGGCAAAAGAGCTTTGCCCTTCTGCACAGTGGAATCTGTATAAGGAAGCTTCGCTACATCCTCGTTGCTTTCCAGTCAGTTAAAGATTCTCCTACACATAGAGGGGGAACAACAGACACTGGGGCCTTTAGCAGGGTGGAGGGTGGGAGGAGGGAGAGGACCAGGAAAAATAACTAAGAAGTACTAGGCTTAATACCTGGGCGATGAAATAATCTGTACAACAAATCGCCGTGACACACGTTTACTTATGTAACAAACCTGCACATGTACTCCTGAACTTAAACTTATATATATATATATAACTATTTAAATTATATATAATATATATTACATACATGTTATATAAATTATATATTATATACATATATTTAAATTATATATATTATTTAAATGCTCACAGAGCACCAATATCCCCAGGTGAGTTTGGAAATGTATCTAGAGCAGCCTCTCTAATCTCACAAGAACAAAACAGCCAAAACATAGGCCTCAATACATCTCTTGCAGTGGGAAACCAAAATATAACTCCCACTAAGCATCTCAGCTTCCTGGAAAGTTAGGCGATGAGTCCACTAAATGAAATTCCACTGAAGACACTCAATGAAAATTTCCAAACCCATAGCCTATGAGCCCTTTACTCTCCAAAAGCACAATTACTCCTTTCATATATTGAACCAGGCACAAAACCACACTCTCAGTTCACACACTCCCTCCTTCTAAAACTCAAGCTGATTCTTAAGAGCAGTGGAGATGGTGACTTTATACATACTAATGTGAATACAGCCTAGAGGCCTTGAGCCTTGTTCCCAGCTGTGTCCCTGGAAGGGAAGGTTGGGGAGTGGGGTAATGAGAAAAATATCACAGACCAGAAAAACAAACATTGAATGCCCATCTCACCAGGCTGAGTTCTAGAAGAAGAGTAGATGAGTTCAGTGAAGAAAATCAGACCTTTTGGGACCTGGTTCCACTTACCTCTCTGGCCTCCCCTCCTGAACTCCCCTCCTCCTTCTCTGCATTCAGCGTGCACATCAAGCGTGCTCCCTCTAGCCTCTGCTTTTATGCATGCTGCTCCCCTGCCTGGAACACTCCCCCACCTCATTCCTGCCCTCCGCTTGGCTAACTCCTATGTGTTCCTTAGGACACAACGTGGACATCACTTCCAGGTTAAAGATCTCACCTCTATGCTTCCGCCATTTCCCTTAGCAAGCACTTGCCATATGTACAGCTATAATACAACTCACACTTGCCTGTTGGTAACATCCTTCCTCTCGACCCCACAGTAAATTCCAAGATGGCGGCAGCTGCGTCAGCCTTGTCCACAGGTGCATCCCCCATGTCTGTGACTGTGCCTGCTACATAGTAGGCACTCATTAGAAGTTTACTGAATCAATGGGTATCTAAAAGCAGGTGCAGGTACAGACAGGTGGCCTCATGTTCTCTCTCAGAGCTGGCTGGCCAGAATTTTCTCCCAGTCACATACCTGGATTCACCCTGATACTAAGAACATGCAAATGAAGGGAATAAAATGTGGATAATTCATGGTATAGCGCCACAACCAGGGAAACAACTCATTAACAGCTCAACAGGTGAAAGGTCAGAAGCATCATATTGTACGCTGGCAATTGATGTGTCTGTGTGAGTTTCTTTGTAGATTTGAGGGAAGGGTTGTTTGTCTTTTCTTTTGTTTGCAAGTATTTCTGTATTATTTTCTTCCTCTGATAAGTTACAGCTGGTTTTGTTCCAGGAAATTTTAAACATTTTGTATAAATTCAACCACCAACATGACTTTAAAAACGGATAAGCATACCAAAATCACTGTGGTCCAAGAGAAATCACGACAGCCTTTTGTCATTAAAATAGAAGTACATACTATCACGTTGGGAGAATCTCAACAAGCCAGCGGGAGAAAAGAATGGGGAAAAAGCATAAAATGAGTTGTTTTGCTTCCGATTCAAGGCTGTCTCCCCACAGGCAGAACAAGTCTGGCTGAATCAAAATCTATGTTCCAGGGTATTAGTTTTCTTATCCGAATCAGGCTGTAGGTAACTTGGGGACATCTTTCTCTCTCCTTCAAATAACACCACTAACAGCACCCGTGAATGTTAATGTCGCACTCACAAGCCTTCCATAGCACTAGATCTAAAACTCTCTTAAAACAGTTACCACACCACTTGGCTTTGAAGACATAATAAGTATATGTATCTGTCGCTTCAACCAGTTGTGAACTCCTAGAGGGGAAGAGAGACCACTTCCTTCCACCTTTGAGTCCTACATAACACCCAGCCATTCAGCACATGGTATGCGTAGGTCTCCTGATACTTCTTTGGAGGTGGGAATGTCAAAGAGAATTGGAATTTTAAACATTTAATTGGGGCTCACTAAATATTTTTGACTTTTTAAATGATGTTTAATTCCATGAAAACAACAGCATTCAATTCTAGTAATTATGCTTTTGATTATTTCCCCCCCATATCTTATGACTGTTTTGACACTGTGTAGCTTGAGTATTTTTAAATAGTTATGAAATTGCTTCAAAATCCCATTAACTTTTACCTTTTATCTAGTGTGCTTATTCTTTTAATCCATGAAATTTGGCTAATGGAAATTGATTTATTTCTTCTAAGTGTAATTTTCTTGCCACATCTAACCCACATCCTATGTTACTAAGCTTATAGGTTTGTTATGTAGTCATTTCTGGTGTTAAGTTTGTAAATGATGCTTATATTTCTTATACCTGAAGAATATTGCTTTGCTATCTTTCCAGGAGTAATTAATCTATAATATCTCAGTTCATTTCAATGGGATTTTCACGGTTTTTTTTTTCAGCAGAAAACTAAGTCAGATCATTACTGTCTCATTCAACAAATATTTAAATGCTCCAGATCTCTAAAGGTGATTGTTGCCATTGCCATTTATTGCAATGATTTAGGAACTATTCACTATGTAAAACTGACCTTAGTACTACACTGTGGGAAGGAAGATACCTTGCTTATGCTTGTCTTTGAAAACTCTTACGTGCTATTAACTAGCCATGTGACCTTAGGCAAATCACTGGATATCTCTGAGCTTTAGTTTCCATATCTGTACCTAAGTCACAGATGTCCACTGCATAATAGGGGGTTAAATAAGAGTTTATCTTCTCTTATCATCTTCCTAAAGTAGCTCCTTTCTTCCTATTTCTATTTTATATCCTAAAGGTCTTATTGTCAGACTACTTAATGCTACTTTAATAGGGTCCTTTTAATGGGAGACTCTGAAAGTCTGAAAAAAAATTAATGTTCAAAAGATATGAATGTTGGGCATCAGGAGAGGTGAGAGGGGAGAATTCAGAGGCCAGAGGTACCTCCTGGCCCATCAAACTACATTGTATTGGGCTATGCTTTCTGCCCTTATCTAAGGGCCTGTCCTCTGGGCTCATTCTTACAGTCAAGCAAAAAGAGAACAAAAAGATTGGTTTTTCAGGATATTTGATAGTAAATGAGTCACTTGGGAAACAGTGCAACTTCCCTCTGAATTTTGGCCACAGGGTTCCATACCACTGTAATGAGGAGAAAAGAGAGCAAGATTTTTTAAAAATCTTTAAAAATTAAAGACATTATGGACTCTCAGAAGCAGGTGCCCTACTGGCTATCAGCACATTACTCTTTTGGGGTCCCATTGTCTTTAAAGCTTTAACATGGAGTACTTTGAAATTCAACGATAAAATAAGATGATGGGTGTGGTCAGGTGTATCTTATAGCTTTTCAATTCTCCTGTAATGTGGAGATTTTCTATGAGGATTTTTAAATGCTTCTTACTTTTATTAAGTGTCAGTTCTGCTGCTCAGCGGTAATTAAACTGAAAGAAAAATGTCAAGAATGATAAATTACTACTACAGGTTTATTCTTTCTTTTTTTTCAGAAACTAGTCAGCCCTGTATCATGAGATTCAAAAATATTAACTTTGAGGATATTGAAGAAGAAAGCCTTCCTACTATGTTATTTTCAACAAATGCTGTCTCAAATCCACGTAAATTTTAATGTCTAGGATTTAAATATAATCCATGGTGTCTGAATACCCCCATGTTTATTCAATTTCATTTGGAACTACTTGACCCTGCAGAAGTAAGCTACCACAGCTGAAACAGGCATACGTGGCCAAGTTCGTTATTTGACTAAGAGTCAATAACTTTATATTTCAATATTTAACATAGAGAATGAGGTGGGGGTTAGTGAATAATTTTTCTGAATCAAGTCAATCATCATTAAAGTTTTTTAGAGACAGTTTTCCAAGTGTCTCTGGTATTTTCATCCAAATAGAGCCTTAGGGATCATGAGTAAGAGCATTAAAAGCCAATTACTTTTCTAAGCATTATATTCCAGACTTGAAGTCTCCTTATTTGAGATAATTACATTTCGAGCTTATTTCTCAAACAAATAGAAGTCAAGATAATAAGCAGGATGGAAGTACAGAGCAATTTAAAGACCACCCCCCCCCCCAACAATTGATTAGTTTTGGATGATGGTATCCCATTTCAAGGAGGGAATATGTAAAATCTAGAAATATAGTTTTCAAATCATCAATATTAATAAAAATGTACCCATTTTTCTTACAGAAGCATTACATCAGTCCAATTGAGTTAGACACATCACTGCCTCACTCTCAGCCAAAACTAATTTCCAACATTTAGTTGGAGACAATAATTCCTGTAAAAGTAGCTGAGAGGTAAGAGAAACAACCTACAATAAGACATGGTTTCTGGGAAGTATAGACCCTCCACATGTAAAGATTTGTGTGTGGAAGCCAACAGAGAGGAGCCTTGGTGACTGTGTACATTGGGAATTGTGATGTTTCATGTGTTACATAAATCAAGGAGTTAAAAATATTAGGTAACAAGAATATTAGGAAATAAGAAAGATTTCTTTTCTTCCTTGGTATAATAGAGTTTTACTAGAAGAATACCTTCTGGATAATGAGAATTGAAATGGGAACTGTGCGCATGAAAGAACTTGGAAATGGATATGAAGGGATTTGAATATTACCAAGTTAATGGTCAATTAAAGACTATGCCTTTCCACCCACATCCAGCCGCTGTACGTTTGAGAAGCTCAAGACTAAATAAATCTCACTTTGACAATAAACAAAGAGGAAAAATTCACACTTGGAACTATAGAAAGAAATTTCAGAGAAATAAAAATTAAAAATATTCTAAAGACTACAAAGAAGAGTAGACTCTTAAAATGATTGACTTTTGTAAATAGAAGATATTGACTGATTTGATTGATTGATTTAAATCAGTATTTATTTCATAAAATATAGTCCACACTTGCACTACAATAAATGTTAAGAAAGTTCTACAAGTAGAAGGAAAATGATAACATTAAAATTCAGATTTACAGAAAGGAATAATGTGTGCTGGAGGTGGTAAATATGTAAGTAAATAAAAATATTTTTTCTCATTTGTTCATTTGTTTTATGCTTAAAGCAAAATAACAATAATGTATTGTGAAGTTTAGAACATATGCAGAAATAAAATATATGACAGTGAAAGCCCAAAGAATAGGGAGGGGATACTAAAATTTTGCTGCTGTAAGAGTCTGCATTTCATGTGAAGTAGTGTAATAGTATTTCATAGTAGGCTCTGATAAGTTTTAAAATGTGTATTCTAAACTCTAGAGCAACCACTAAGAAAAATAGCAAAAAGAATAGCAAATAAATCAATAGTTGAAATAAAATACTTAAAATTACTTAATATAAAACAAGGATTTTAAGGAGGAATATAAATAGTGTAACAAATAGAAAACAAATATGAGAAAGTTGATTTAAACTCAACCATATTAATAATTACATTAAATATAAATGGTCCACCACTCTGATTAAAAGCTAGAGATTATCATTTAACTGAAAAGCTTCATCATTGTCAGCTTCATTATCCTATTTAAAGAAATTCCTAACTGATACAGATAGATAAGTCAGTAGTTCTTTCTAGAACAATTAGTTTACCTTTCAGAAACGAAAAATGAAATTAGATCCCACCTTGGACATTAGAGAAACATAAACTTGAAATAAATAAATAAGTTGAATTTAAAAAGTAAAATCATGAATTAACTAGATCAGGATTTATTTGATATTAGGATACATTTTTTTAAGCAGTGATAAAAACAGAAACCATAAGGGCATACTTTTAATATAGCAAAACTTCAAATGTTTTGCCACTCCAAGCAGACAATGCAACAGAGAAGAAATACAGATGGCTAAAAAACAGGGACAAAATATGCTTCATCGAGAAGACAATTTTTAAATATCTAATTGGAAAAGATTTTTAAAAGCATGACATTATTCAATACTCATGAGAACATATGGAATCAGGCATTCTCATAAACCATGGAAGAAGCATGAACACATTCAATGCTTCCAGATGACTATTTACACTATTAATATGTGCTTTAAAATATTCACTCCTTTTTAAAACATTTTTGTCCAGTTTTTAAAGTCATTTAACAGTATTGAAGATGCCCACGAATATTTTTTAATAGATAAAATTTTAGGGTTGGTCATGGTGGTTCATGCTGGTAATCCCAGCACTTTCATAGGCAGAGGCAGGAGCATTGCTTGAGGCCAGGAGTTTGAGACCAGCTTGGTGAAAATAGTGAGATCCTGTCTCCAGCAAGCAATCACTCAATAAAATATTAATATAAAATAAAAGTATGCATATTCATACAACAGAATACTCTGAAATTATGCAAATTGTTTTATTTTTAAAAATTTATAGATTCAGAAGGTACATGTGTGCAGGTTTGTTACATGGATATATTGTGTATGGCAGAGTTTGGGCTTCTAATGTACTCATCACATGAATAATGAACATTGTTATATTGTGTATGGTGGAATTTGGGATTCTAGTGTACTCATCACATGAATAAAGAACATTGTATCCAACATGTAATTTTTCAACTCTCACCCTCTTCTGACCCTCATCCTTTTTGGAGCCTCCAGTATTTATTATTTCCATCTATATGTCCATGTCCAGGTGTACCCATTGTTTAGTTCCCACTTATAAGTGGTATTTGATTTTCTGTTTCTGAGTTATTTTACTTAGGATAATAGTCTCCAGCTCCACCCATGTTGCTGAAAAGACAAGATTTTATTCTTTTTTATGGCTGAGTAGTATTCCAGGGTATATAGATACCACATTTTCTTTATCCAGTCCTCCATTGATGGACACTTAGGTTGATTCCATATCTTTACTATTGTGAATTGTGCTGCAATAAACATACAAGTGCCAATATCTTTTTGATATAATAATTTCTTTCCCTTTTCATAGATGCCCTGTAGTGGGATTGCTGAATAAGAAGGTAGTTTTATTTTTGTTCTTTGAGAAATTTCCATACTGCTTTCCATGGTGATTGTGCTAATTTACATTCCCATCAACAGTGTATAAGCATTCTCTTTTCTCTGCATCCTTTTCAATATCTGTTGGGGTTTTTTTTCTTTAGTTTTTAGTAATAGCCATTGTGACTGGTGTGAGATGGTCTCTTATTGTGGTTTTAGTTTGCATTTCTCTGATAATAAATGATGTTCAGTATTTTTTCATGTTTGTTATCTGTTGAGAATTTTCTGTTCATGTCCTTTGCCCACTTTTTAATGAGGTTATTTCTTTTTTTCTTGTTGAGTTGTTTGAGTTTGTTGCAGATTCTGAATATTTAGTCCTTTGTCAGAAACACAGTTTCCAAATTTTTTCTCCCATTGTGTAAGTTGGATGTTTATTGATCATTTCTTTTGCTGTGCAGAAGCTTTTTAGTTTAATTAAATCCCATTTGTCTATTTTTGGGTTTGTCACATTTGCTTTTAAGGTCTTAGTCAATTATTCTGTGCATAGGCCAATGTCCTGAAGAGGTTTCCTTAAGTTTTCTTCTAGAATTTTTATAGTTTCAGGTTTTATATTTAAGTATTTAATCAATCTTGAGTTAGTTTTTATATATGTTGAGAGATAGGAATCCAATTTTATTCTTCTGCATATAGCTATCCAATTTTCCCAGCACCATTTTTTGAATAGGGTGTCCTTTCCCCATTGTATATCTCTGTCAACTTGCCAAAGATCGGGTGGTTATAGCTATGTGGCTTTATTTCTATTCTCTATTCTGTTCTGTTGATCTATGTGTCTATTTTTACACTAGTACTATGCTGTTTGGATTACAATAGCCTTGTAGTAAAATTTGAAATCAGGTAATGTGATGCCTCCAACTTTGCTCTTTTTGCTTAGGATTGCTTAATTCTACTAAAGGTAAAAAGAAGAGCTGGTACCATTCCTACTGAAACTATTCCAAAACATTGAAGAGGAAGGACTCCTTCCCAACTCATTCTTTGAGGCCAGCATCACCCTGATACCAAAACCTGGCAGAGACACAAAAATAAATGAAAACTTCAGGCCAATATCCTTGATAAAGATTGATATAAAGATCCTCAACAAAATACTTGCAAACTAAATCCAGCAGCACATCAAAAAACTAATCCATCACAGTCAAGTAGGCTTTATGCCTCGGATGCAAGGCTGGTTCAACATATGCAAATCAATGAATGTGATTCATCATATAAACAGAATGAAAGAGAAAAATCACATGATCTCAATAGATGCAGAAAAGGCCTTTGATAAAATTCACATCCCTTCATGTAAAAACTCTCAATAAACTAGGTATTGAAGGAACATACCCCAAAATAATAAGAGCCATCCATAACAAACCCACCGCCAACATAACACTGAATGAGCAAAAGCTAGAAGCATTCCCCTTGAAAACCAGCACAAAACAAAGATGCCCTCTCTCACCACTTCCATTCAACATAGTATTGGAAGTTCTGACCAGAGAAATCAGGCAAGAGAAAGAAATAAAGGGCATCCAAACAGGAAAAGAGGAAGTCAAACTATACCTGTTTGCGGACAACATGAGTCTATATCTAGAAAACCCCAGAGTCATAGCCCAAAATCTCCTTCAACTGTTAAACAACCTCAGTAAAGTTTCAGGATACAAAACCCATGTACAAAAATCACTAGCATTCCTATACACCAACAACAGCCAAACCAAGAGCCAAATCAGGAATGCAAACCCATTCACAATTGCCACAAAAAGAATAAAATACCCAGGAATACAGCTAACCAGGGAGATGAAAGATCCCTACAATGCGAATTACAAAATGCTGCTCAAATAAATCAGAGATGACACAAACAAATGGAAAAACATTCCATGCTCATGGATGGAAATAATCGATATTGTTAAAATAGCCGTACTACCCAAAGCAGTTTACAGATTTGATCCTATTCCTAATCAAATTACCAATGACATTCTTCACAAAACTAGAAAAAAACTATTTTAAAATTCATATGGAACCAAAGAAAAAGCTTGAATAGCCAAGGCAATCCTAAGCCAAAAGAACAGAGCTGGAGATATCATGTTACCTGATTTCCATACTACAGGGCTACAGTAATCCAAACAGCACAATACTAGTACAAAAATAGACACATAGACCAATGGAACAGAATAGAGAGCCCAGAAATAAGGCTGCACACCTACAACCATCCAATCTTCGACAAAGCTGACAAAAACAACCAATGGGAAAAGGACTGCCTAGTCAATAAATGTTGCTGGGATAATTGACTAGCCATATTCAGAAGATGAAACTGGACCCCTTCCTTACACCATATACAAAAATCAGCTCAAGATGGATTAAAGATTTAAATGTAAAACCCAAAACTATAAAAACCCTGGAAGACAACCTAGGCAATACCATAGGAACTGGCAAGGATTTCATGAGGAAGATCCCAAAACCAATTGCAACAAAAGCAAAAATTGACAAATGGGATCTAATTAAATTTAAGAGCTTCTGCATAGCAAAAGAAACTATTAACAGAGTAAACAGACAACTTACAGATTGGGAGAAAGTATCTGCAAATTATGCATCTGGCAAAAATCTAATATCCAGCATCTATAAGGGATTTAAATAAATTTACAAGAAAACAACAACCCCATTAAAAAGTGAGCAAAGGACATGAACAGACAGTTTTTAAAAGAAGACATAAATAGAGTCAACAAACATGGGGGGGAAAAAAGCTCAGTATCGCTCATAATCAGAGAAAGGCAAAGCAAAACCACAATGAGATACCATCTCACACCAGTCAGAATGGCTACTATTAAAAAGTCAAAACATAACAGATGCTGGCGAGGTTGTGAAGAAAAGGGAACACTTATATACTGTTGGTGAGAGTGTAAATTAGTTCAGCCATTGTGGAAAGCAGTGTGGTGATTCCTCAAAGAGCTAAAAACAGAACTACCATTCAGCCCAGCAATCCCATTACTGGGTGTATACCCAAAGGAGTATAAATTGTTCTACCATAAAGACACATGCACACATATGTTCACTGCAGCACTATTCACAATAGTAAACACATAGAATCAATCTAAATGCCCATTAATGACATATTAAAGAAAATGTGGTACATATATACCATGGAATACTATGCAGCCATAAAAAGATCAAGATCATGTCCTTTGCAGGAACATGGATAGAGCTGGAAGCCATAATCCTTAGCAAACTAATGCAGAAACAGAAAACCAAATGCCACATGTTGTGACTTATAAGTGGGAGCTAAATAATGAGATCAAATGGACACCAAGAGAAGAAGAGAACAACAAACATAGGGGCCTACTGGAGGGTAGAGTTTGGGAGAAGGGAGAGAAACAGAAAAAAATAACTGTTGGGCACTAGGTATAGTACCTGGGTGATGAAATCATTTACAGAACAAACTCCTGTGACACAAGTTTACCTATATAACAAACCTGCACATGTACCCCTAGACCTAAAATTAAAAAAAAAAGAAAGAAAACAGATGATCCTAGATTATCCAGTTATCACTAATGGAATCACAAGGTCCTTATTAGAGCTAGGCAGAAAGATCAGACTCAGTAGAAGGAGATATGAGGACAGAAGCGAAAGATTGGAGGTAAGGAATAGGAAAGGAAGGGGCCATCCTCAAACAATGCAGGTGACCTCTAGAAGCTGAAATAGGGAAGGAAACAGATTCTGCCCTGAAGCCTGCAGAAGGAGCATCGTCCTGAAAATACCTTGGTTTTCGACTTCTGGCCTCCCAAACTTTAAGAGAATAAATCCTGTGTTGTTTTAAGCTCCTGCACTTGTAGTAATTTGTCACAGAAGCCACAGGAAACTAGTACTTACAAAGTATTTTTAGTGGCCTCTTTGCCCACACTAAAACTTCCTCTGCTGTTGAGTTAAAAATTCCTCTCAATTCCATGCTTTAAACAGTCCTAAGCAGTCCCCTAATGCAGGGCATCTGGTGCCCTGAGTGGGTCCAAGATGTCCAGTCCGCTTCTAGCAGCTGTTCAGAAACTACACTGACAGCATAGTCAGCCAGGAAGACTCCCATATTTCAATGAGGAGAAAGTAAGTTTATGCGCAATTTTGCAAAGGGTAACTGTGTCATAATTGCAGCTTCAGTGTATCTGCTATGACAGAGGAGAAATCTATTTTGAAGAGCAATTATTTTCATTTTCTTTTATTAATTGTGTATTGAAACAAGTAAGATTCCCTGACATCAAACAGACCGGTTCTGAGGTTTTACCCAAGATAATTTAACAGCTCCAGCTTCTGCAGTATTCATCAAAATACAAAAGAAAAAGTAGAGGTCATCTTTTTTGATAGCAAATTGGACTCTTGCAAGCTAAGGGAGAGAAAGCTATGTCATACATGGAGATAGGGTGCTTCCAAGGGTCTGTAGGTTTAGAAGCATGGCCTGCCTGGCTCACACACACTCCTGCTGGTGATGCCAAAGACATCCCACCAATATGTCTGAGAGAGTGTCAGTTCTGGAGGCAATGAGCCCACTCTGGCCATATGCTTACCAAGGGACAGGTGGGGCCTGTGTCCCCTGAGCTGGCTGTGGGCAGGTGGATGGGCAGCTGACCAGCCTAGGGGAGAGTGGGCTGGCAATGGGTTCCTAGCCCAGCCCTTAGGAACCATGGAAGCACAGGGACAAGCATAAGGCTATAGGATGCAAAGTGACCCAAGAACAGGTGAGTCACAGGGATCTCTATTGCAATCATGCAGAATTGATGTGGTCTGACAGGCCACCACCTCACATTCCTGAGGGGAACAGCCAAGCTGATGACTAGCATCCAGGCCATAACTGCAAATCCACACTAGGCAGGGTCTCCCTTCTGTGTGTTCAAGTGTTCTCAACTTGGATTTTTAACCATTTTAAAAATGGCTGAGTTCAGGCTTAAAACCAACCACAAGAATGGATTTCAACATAGCTCTAAAGCCAGGGGTGCATCCAGTAATCCCAAAACAGTGATCAATCCCAGAGGCCAGGTGCCCACGGGCCTACAATCCCTCTCAGCACTGACCAGTGAGTTGATTTTATTTTTTACAATTAAAAAAAAAAGCTGAGTAATATTGCATGTGACTACCAGAAACTGTCTTGTTGGAAACAAAACCTATTTACATTTAATGAAAAGCCTGGCCACAGGCTGCTTCTGCCACATTTACAGCACAGTGCAACGCACACAATAAGCCAAACCACAAAGGCAGTTTCTGGCATTCACAGTACAGAGCTTTTTGCCACATGGGAGTAAAGAAGAGGTTTTAAGAGGACGAGGGAGATGGAGAAGGGTGTCACATTCACTTCCAGTTCTGGAGCTGACTGGACAGCCAGTCCAGTCCTTCATGGAGCTGGTCACCACAGGTGCCACAGGTGGCCTGAATGTATCAGTTCCTGTGGAGCAGGGAATGCAGCCCCAGCTTGTCTGTGATCTCAGTGGTGTTCATGGTGTTGAGAAGGGCCTACTTGTTGGGAACACCAGGGGGACCGCATTCCAGAGCTCATCCTCAGCCAACATCCTCATGAGCTCCTCATGGGCCTTGTTCATGTGCTCTCTGTCACTACTGTCCTCCATAAAGATCAGGCCTTATGTGTTCTGGAAGTAGTGGCACCACAGAGGCCAGATCTTGTGCTGGCCTGCCATGTCCCACACAGTGAAGCTGACGTTCCTAGACTCCATGTATCTGCATTGAAGCCTGTGATGGGAACAGTGGTCACAATCTCAACCAGCTTCAGCTTATACAGAATCATCATCTTGCCTGCAGCATCTAGGCCCACCATGAGGACAAGCGTTTCTTTTTTGCCAAAAACGACCTTAAAGAAGTTGGTAAAAGATAATCCCCATGGACCCTCAGCCTCCCAAGTAGCTGGTACTACAGATGAGCACCATGACGCCTGGCTAATGTATATATTTTTAGTAGAGATGGGGGTTTTGCCATGTTGGCCAGGCTGGTCTCGAACTCCTGGCCTCAAGTGATCCACCCACCTCAGCCTCCCAAAGTGTTGGGATTACAGGCATGGGCCACCATGACTGGCCTCCATCAAATAACTTTTTAAAAAAACAGTTCTCTCAACTTCCTTGCATCACTATCTTCCCTTCACACTCCCTGGAATGTGTCTCCACATCTAGACTTTCCCTGAGCTTCTGATCACATTGGCAAATATCACACAATTTTCCAATTGCTATCACTCTAAATCAAGGGTCTTATCTGGGCTCCCCTTCCTGCTCCACAACCCCTTCTTCTGTCTTTGGTCAAATCCCTTTTCCACTTCCTGAAGTGATGCTTCAAACTTCATTGTCTCCTTAGGCTTCCTACTCTACCCTCCGCAATCCCAGCCCTCCCTCAGGAAATTATCTCACTTCACACTTCATGTGAATTTCAACTTCTTGCCCCCTGTCTCACCACTACCTCCCTTTAAGGCCAAGCTTCCTTTCTTGCTTTGTCTCCTCAGAAGATGAGATGTTCCTCCTCTAGTTCAAAACTAACTTCTTTCTTTGGGTTATAATCTCATTCTGTTTTATTTCTACCTCAACTTACTCCGATTATTACCTGCTCTCTCTCTCCCATTCAATTGTCTGTTTTACCTCAATGTATACAGTTGCTCTAGTCATTCCTATCTTTGCAAAAAAAAAACAAAAAACAAAAAGTGTTTGGACTCCAAAATTCCCTCTTGCTTTGAGCCACACTTTCCAGACCACTCTTGATTCCTCTACTTCTTCGCCTCTCATTCACTCTTCAGTGTAATTTAATGTCTACTCCAAAAGCAGCCCTGAAATTACACTGGCAAATGTGACCAAGGAACTCCATGTTTCCAATTCCAACAGATATTCTCATTACTAGATTCCTTGTTAGAAAATGAGAGCAAGAAATTAGCTTAAACAGAAATAAAGAATTTTTTTTAGGATTATAGAAATGACCCCACAGGACTCAAAGGCAAAAATGCCTGAGCTTCAAGAAAGGCTAGAACCAAAAAGCGAAAAGTTACTGGCAATTTGGGCAGGTTTTCCTCTCTGCCTCCACTCCCCTCTACTGCCCTAGACTCTGTAGATGGGCTTTCTCCGCCTCTTCTGTTCACATAGCATCCCCAGTGAGTCATCATCAGTGCTACACTTCATTGCCTCTGGTAGAATTCATCCCTTCTGAGGTATCTATCTCATTTTAAATCGGCTCTAAGATGAAAAGTTATTTATGTTTCTACACTGTGTCTCCCTGCTTCTTCCAAATAACCTACATCCTACTTCTCAGACTACATAGAATAAACTTAATCTATTTTTATACATATCATTCCTACAAATACTTCAAAACAACTATCATGTCTTATTGAAGTTTCCTCTTCTATGAGAAAAGCATGCCCAGGTCCTGGTCCTCCCTAGCCTTATCCTGGTCTAAACCAGTGGCTCCCAAACCAGCAACAGCAACATTACCCTTGGGAACTTGTTAGAAATGTAAGTTTTGGGGTCCCAAGTCAAACCAATTGAATGAGAAACTCTGGGGCTTAGGATTCAGCAATCCGGCTTTTAAAAAGCCCTCCAGGTGTTCCTCATGCATGCTCAAGTTTGAAACCCATTGCGCTAAACTTTCTCTCATCTGTCTAATTCTCCAGAAGTGTGACTCACCTCAGCTGAGCACAATTCTATAGGCATGGGGTTGGGTGATAGATACAACAAAGAACAGTATGGTCTTCATCACTCTTGCTGTTCTTATTAACACTTAAGAGTAACTAAAAAGTATTTTATAGATTTGTTTGCTGGTTTTTATTTTACTAATCATGGGAATGTAAGTTCCTTTAAATGAGAAGACCATGCCTGCTTTACTCATCCTTGCGTTCTTAGTGACCAGTACAGCACCTGGTTTATGGTAGGCACTCAATAAATAATTAATGAATAAATGAACAAATAAATGAGTGAACAATATACTATGATAATTTGTTGTAGCCACATCATATCATTGATTCATATTGAATGTGTAGTCAACTAAAGGTTTCAGGACATTTTTCTCCCATCTGATACATATTCATTTGGGGGTTTGTAGCTAAATATGGGAATTTGCCTCTATTCCTTAACAAATCTCAGCTTGTTAAATTTAATCTATAATTTCAGGCTATAAAGATCCATTTTCTTTTAAGATATCACAATTCTATCATTTGGAATATATTTCAGCCCCATTAATATATTATAAATTTTATCAGGATTAGATAAATTTCTCTTCCAAGTACCTATTCATAAAACCAAATACCGTTTTCTAGCATTCCTTTGATAAATCATTTAAGTAGCTGCAAATTTATCCATGTACAGTGCTGCTCCAATCTTCTAAAGCCAGTGGTTCTCAAACTTGAGATGCATCAGTCTCCTGGAGGACTTGCTGAAATACAGATTTGCAGGGCTGCACTCCCAGAGAACCTGATTTGATAGGTCTGGTGTCAGACACAACAAATTGCAGTTCCAAAATTTTCCCAGGTGATGCTGATACTTCTCATCCAGGGACCACACTTAAGGAACCACTGCTTCACTTCACAGCACACCTACAATCACAGAAAAAGGGCCTCTTATAAGCTGGCATTTTTACAGCTTTAATCTCAATCTACTTGTTATTCCTTTGCACTCCACTTTCAAATTATCATGGGGATAAGGATCTTAGGGATTAAAGAAAGCTTGTATGAAAATAACAAATGATTCCTGAAGCTCTTGAAAACACTTGTTAAATTATTAGGTTCAGAATATTGAAGTGTATAAGCAAGTCGCTCCATAATTTTGCCTCCCCCACTCCGTTCACAATTTAGACTCCATACACTACTGTACTATTACATGTGTCTATATAGAATACAGAGCTTATGTAGCTATCTAATGTTGAGCTAAGATTTTATATTCTGCAACTAATTGCCACCTAGATATCATTCTTTGGATGACTTTGTGCATAAAACCTATTTGAGCAGTTTTCCCTCACGTGGTTGAACTTAGAGGTTGGGCTTACGTGAGCCAAAGGGTGCTCAGGAGAAACAGCTCTAAAGCCTGGTTATACCGTGGCTTTTTTCACTATTCTTGTAACACTGATGGAGGAAAGATGTGACTTTTCATGTTGCCAATAGCAACTATAAGCTTCTTATGGTCTGCACATGCATGAGTTTTTGAGGTGGTCTGTCAGCCCAGCTATGGCCCATATCTGTCCTATCTTGCAGGCTTTTGTCCTCAGAACTCATGTTCTCCTATATTCCATTCACCTCACCCTCTGCCCTTGAGCTTCGCATTGCTTTTCCGACTTGGACCTTTTGCCTTCCAATGCAGCCTGTCACTCTAACTACATTGCACTGCTTTTAAATGCCTAGAAGATTCTATTTTTTGGGATGGATTATGAGATGGGAAAAAGTAGAAATATAGAGTTTGAAATAGGGAAATAATACAGCAACATTCTGGGGGAGAAGGAAGGGATAGAATTAAAAGCAAGTCGGTGCATGCATGCAGGGGCTCACTGCATGCACAAGCTTACACTTGGGGTGGGAGGGGATGGGAGTACTGACTACACATGGAGAGAGGCTCACATCATCTATCCTCTATGACACTGAAAGAAAGAAGAAAAAATAGATACAAATGGGGTAATTCTGTAAGTGGTGAGTGGAGAGTTCAAGTTATTTCACAACTAATTACCTTGCTTTTCTTGTGAAAGTAGCAAAAGGCATACTCCGCAGAGAATTAGGAGATATGGGCAGATATATGACTTGAAACATTTAGAAATGATTTGTATTGCCTGAGGAGAAACATGGAAGAGGGAAATGATGAAGCATGAAGGTCCTACTGAGGCTGGAGACAAGTGTGTGTCCAGATATCTGTTCACATGGCAGTAAGATTTTCTTCAGCAGCATGGAGCAGCACTGCTAAAGGAGCAGAGAAGGTAAATTGTGGCATTGAGCTCAAATCCCCACACTCAAAATGCAGGTAACAGGATGAATGTTAGTAACAGAGTTATTGGGCTGATGCATGGAATCCAGATTAAGTACTGGAAAAAAAATCAATAAGTGAAGATAAAGAAGAATTCAAAGATTAAGGTCAAATCGTGGTTTTACTAGGAGTGAGGATATAAGAAAGCTGGAAGAAGTTGAGGTTGTAATCTGCAAATGGAATATTGACACTTAAGAACTTTAGAAGGATAGAAATTTCTTGTGCCAACAAGGTTTACTAGATGGCCGCAGTGTCAGTGCCTGAACTTTGGCGATGTTTGAGGTTGCTAGAGTTGGAAAGGGTAAAAATTTCTGAGACTATGCCACTAAATTGGCTATAAATAGGACACAAATAATAAAAGATACTTCCAAGACATGAACAAGAGACATAAGCCAAGTGCCAATGTTTTTACTTCATATAGGGGAAAGATCAGAAAATTAGCTGATGGCAAGTAAAGGGTAGAAAATAATTAACCCCAAAGATAGGATTATAATAGCTATCATTGAACATTTATTATATACCCAAATTTATCAATGTTTAAATCACATTGTATATTCACAACAACCTTTTTTACAGGTGAGGAACCTGAGACCCAGAGAGTCTAAGTAGCTTGCTCAGTGTCATCTAGCTAATAGTAAGTGATGTCAAGACTCAAACCCATGAGTCAGTCATCCAGTCAGTAGATCTGACCAGAGTCATCACTTGTAACCATAATTCAGTGTCTTCTTTCATTCCAGAAGGAGCAAGAATTACACCCAAGGTGGGGGAAATCATGTTCTGGAAATAGAGAGGGAACCAGCAGAGGAATTAAATTTGAGAAATATTACCAAATTCCCTTAAATATTAAATAAAAATATTAATATGAATTAAAGCAGTTTTTCAGATTCTGCCATGCAGACCCATGCCAGGTTGAGAGTTAATACAGTATGAAAAAGAAGGGACGGCTAACAATTAAGTGGCCTACTTTTCTTTTTTTTTTTTTGAGACAGAGTCTCACTCTGTTGCCCAGGCTGGAGTGCAGTGGTGCGATCTCGGCTCACGGCAAGCTCCGCCTCCTGGGTTCACACCATTTTACTGCCTCAGCCTCCTGAGTAGCTGGGACTACAGGCGTCCACCACCACGCCCGGCTAATTTTTTGTATTTTTAGTAGAGATGGGGTTTCGCCGTGTTAGCCAGGATGGTCTTGATCTCCTGACCTCGTGATCCACCCACCTCCGCCTCCCAAAGTGCTGGGATTACAGGCGTGAGGCACCGTGCCCGGCCTAAGTGGCCTACTTTTCTTAGAGACAACCACTGTTTTGGGCAAATATTATAGCTTGTAAATAGATCTGAGAGTATGTCAGTCCTTAGGGACAAAAGAATGTGATGAACAGAGGACCTGCATTTGAAACTTTCTTCTGTGTTTTTTCATATATGCATTACTCTTTTCCACCATAAAATTCACAGTTTATAGAGTTAGATTCTAAAAGCCTGCCGTATTACTATTCATGTATTTTATTATGCAGTTAAAATCAAGATTATAAAAATAAACATTTTATGTTCTATTTCACATCAAATTTTCTAACTAATCCTCTCAGTAAAAGAGGAGAAAACTGCACACACACCCATGCGTGCACACAGACACACACACACTGGTTTTGTTTGTTTTACAATGGAGCCTGGCTAAAATAGCAAGTCAGAGATAGGGTCAAGGACTTATGAATTTATGCTTCTTTTTTAAAGGAAATTAGTTAGAATAACTCCACTCCAGCAGCATCAATGTCTAACAGATTTCTAAAACACTAGCATTCCTGTCCCCACTTCCTCTCCAGAGCTCCCTATTCTCCTCCTATATCAAATCTTACCAATCCCCATGTATTAACAATCAACACAATACTCCAGCCCATAGGATCAATTGTTTTTGCCTCTGAACAAGGGCAAAAAAAAAAAATCAGTTGATCCGTTAGCATTTACATACTGTGGCAAACAGTCTCTAAGAAGGCCACCCAAGATCCCTACCTCCTGGTATTCATACCTCTGTGTAGTCACCTCCCCTTGAGTGTGGGCAGGAACTATGTGCCTTTCTACTAACCAACAACAGATGGTAAAGATTATGAGATGCTACTTCCTTAGTTACTTTAAGTTATATAAGACTCCATCTTGCCAGCAGACTCACACTCTAGAAACTCCTTGCTGGCTTGATGAACTAATTCACCACGTTGGGAAAGCCCATGGTGGGAAAGATATCCAGGAACCATGAGTTGCCACTAGGGATGACGGGTAGCTTCTAGGAACTATAAGTAGCCTCTAGGAACTATACACCAACTTTAGGAAGTAAAGATGGACTCCAGCTGACATCCTTCAAGAAGCTGGGGCCCTCAGTCCTAAAACTGCAAGGAAATGAATTCTGCCAACAATCTGAGTGAGTTTGGAAGTGATCACTTCCCCAGTTATGCCTCCAGATGAAAAGGCAGTCCAACTGACACATTTGTTACAACTTCGTGAGACACTAAGGAGTAGGCTTAGCTAAGCCATGTCCAACTCCTGATCCACAGAAATTGTAAGGTAATAAATGTGTGTACAACCTTCCATATTCAACTTAGACTCCATGGTCTCCCACTCATCCACTTTCTTGCCAATATCCCCAACAACCTGTTCTAAAGCAAATATCTACCAAATTCCCAAACTGGAATAAATCCAACAAATTTCCTTCTCCATTCTTACGCTGTACTCATTGAAAAAATGATTCAACTGTGCAAATTGGTGATACTGAAAATTCACGAGTATAGAAATATTTTCATTATTAAAAATAACCAATATGTGTGTGCATTTTGTGAAGAATATTGAAAAGGTGGCTGGTGAAGTACTGGATGCAAATTTAAGTGAAAATTATCTCACTGGTGGATAATGCATATAAAGGTGATTTCTTCCCTAAGTAGGTAAGAAAAATACAACTGTATTTTTAAGTCTTACAAACAATTATTCAGTCATTCCTGCTATGCCTGGCGGAAAGAAGGCAAAGGAAGTGGGGATTCCAAGAATTCTTCCTTGTGACTCAGTAGAAGTCATGTCATAGCCTTTCTGTTCTCATTTCAGAAACAGTAATGTCTTTGTGTCATTTGGTGAGAAAAGCTACTTTGATGTTCTAATTTGCTTTGGCTTAAGGTATTTTATTGGCTAGAATGCAAGTGGCTCTTGGGAGCATAATAGAATTGTTTAATGGCTTATGGTTCCTGAGTGCGGAACACATGGCTAGATATTTCATCAAATGTGTGAGACTGTTCTTTGTTACTGTCCTTGTCCTGTAGTAACAAAAACTCTCTTAATTGCTCTTCCCTTACAGGTATTCCCAAATCCATTATTTCTATATTTTTCTTTTTTTAGATACAGAAACTTCAGAAAATAGATAGCATTATTTTTTTAAATATCCATTTTATAATATTCATTTAACTGCTAACTAAAAACAATTATACCAAATAGCTAGCATTGTGTATTCAAGACAGCTTTGTCATCTGAGAGTTAGTGCTTCTTCACTTCTGAGAGTATATACTCTTTAAATAAGCAGAATTTTTGTATGGTGTTTGTGTTTGTCAGTATGGCATTAAATTTTTTTCTTTCTCATTTTTTACTTTCCTAAAATATCTTATACTCTTTCCTCTTCTAGCTTTAGCATTTTCTATCTTCTTCCCTGTCTTCCTTTTTGGCAACAGTTTCATAAAGATAGCCCTAGTATATCCAAATCTAGATCCCAAAGATAAATTTTACTCTCTTTTTTTATAGGAATTATGTTTAGTGGATAATGGGCCACAAAATAATGTTTAAAAATGAATACCGTATTCACTTATTCATCACTCCTTCTAGAGTAAGCTTTATGCAAAGCTATGAATTAGCTTCGGTTATGTTTCTGCCAGATTCTGTGAAGTAAGTGAAGTAAATCGTAAGTTTCTTTTATTCCCTGTCTACCCTCCTTTCATCCTTTCAGCAATCACCTCTTTATATCAAAGAAACAAACGCCATCCCCAACAGCTACCAGCCTTGGTTTTACTTTTTGAAAGGACCCAGTCATTTCAATGTCTACTGAATTCTTAATACGTGGAAGACATTGTGCAAGAGGAGCTGTACTCACTGCTAAGCCCTTACCTTCTGCCTTGACTGGCTTCTCTCCAGGCACTGTGCTTCACCTGCCTTGGACTAGTTGACTCCCATTCACCACTCAGGTCTGAAACTGGTCAAGATTTCCTCTAGGAAGCCACCCTTGAGCTCAGCATTGTTCCCAAAATCAACTTGCTCAAGGTGTTAATTGTATTTGAAGTTAAGCTCCTCCAAATTATTTGTTGTTGTTGTTTTTATAGTACCAAAAAAAGGGAGAGACTATTATTGGAATGAGATATGTTATCTTTAGTCATGCAGGCTTAGGGGGAAATCTTCTTTTATTCTTATTCATAGAAGGAGACATATGCAATGCCTCTTTTCAAAAGGTTTTGGCTTTCATCGCAAACCTTCTCTGCAGTTTTTGAAAAAGAAAAACCTTGGCTGGTAACCAGCATTCTGATTTCATAAATATACACAAGGAGTAATTGATTATCTTTCCCCTTATAGAAGCAGGGGGAAGTAAATTCCTACCCTCTAATGTATACACCAATTCAAAGCCTCTTGACTGACCTGCATGCTTAAGTTTTCCTTTTTGAAAATTTAACTAAAGCAATAAAATTTAACCAAATCGACTACATAGCCCAGTATAGTATTCATTCATCACATAAAAATTAAAGTCAATTTAGTCCCATCAATAGGGCCTCTATTGCAGTTGTCATCAGAAATAACTTTGCATATGTTAGTGAAGTCAGTCAGATTTTAATCATTTCAGCATTTGTTCATAGGAAATAAGCTATAGACTATTTCCCTTTGGATTATATAAGCAAGATGAAATGTGTAAAATAAAAATTCAAGGAGAAGAAAGCAGTTCAGATACAGAGAAAAACATTTCACTATTATACTATTTTACAGTGATGGTGGGGTGTGTGTGTGTGTGTGTGTGTGTGTGTGTGTGTGCGCCTGCACATGTACATGCTCTTGCTCCTTGTATCCTGTGGAGCTGATCTGAACAAGATGCCAGCTTTGAAAAGAAACATGCATGAGAGAGATACAGAGCTGGAAGGAAGCTGTAAAGCTGGCCTTTAGTTTAAAGATCTAGTTAAAAATACGTTCACATTTTTTTTAGTCTTTTACTTCCTAATATTTTGGATGAATGTACATTCATAGTATCAATCTCACTCTGTAAAATTAATTACATAATTTATAACCCTAATATAGTATCCAACCATGCATATTTCCTCCCAGATCAAATATATCCAGCCACAAAGAAATGACAAGTCAAAAAAATTCATACAATGTTCCTCCTTTGGTCCTGATAGTTTATGTCATTGCTTCAGTCTCAATTTCTCTTTGTCAACAAAAGAAGAACTGTTCTAAAAATGTACCCTAAACACTCAATCGGGATACATATCAGTATGCCAGAAAGATCTGATCACTCCCAAGACTGAGGGCTTGCAGACTTTTTCTTTATAGAGAGATGGAATAAAAATCCCCATCCCTGATAATAGAGGAGAAGCTAAGGTGTAAGAGAAAAACCACTGGAGTATGGGGCACTATTGTCTAAATGGCTCTAGCTGGGACATTTTCTGTAAAACCTATGGGAAGCCTTTCTAATGAAAGCCAGGTCAGGAGGTGAAAATGTGCTTTAATTTAATAAAGTCAGATTTATTATTTAGAGAGAAGGCTCAAAGTCACAGGGGAACTATGCATCCCTTATATAGACCAGACTATGCAATGTCCATAAGAAGATAAATTCTCACCATATCACGTATTTAACTGTAGATGAATGAAGACCTGCCATATCACTGGTAAGGAGTTAACTGGACTTAAGGCACTACTTCTTATTCAGCTCAACTACAAGCCCAGAGTTTCTCCCTGTCCCTCTGTGGAACAAGAAAACCCAAAAATTATAACAAAAATAAAAGCATAATCAAATGAATCCATTTATACTCAGTCAAAGCCTAAGGAGACAGAGTTTACAAGACAGAAAAAGGAACTAAGGGCAGGACAGTTATCATTTGGAGAAAGGAAGCATTTTATAGGGTGGGAGTGGAGGGTGCACAAAGATACCAAGAAAGGGTGGGCTGAAAGATAAGCTTGCTGGGAAACATGGGACCAATTACGGAGAAAATTGCTAAAGCCAGGGCACAAGGGAGATGTGAGTTTCTGTCCTGTTCCTTGGACAAAGAAATATGTTGGCTAAAGAAAAACAATTCCCAAATTTCTGGCACTATATTGCTCTGGAATACACACTTGAAACCTTCTCAAACCCCCACCAGAGTTTACTGTGAATTTAGTCTGGGGAAATAATGGCCAATGACTCTCTGGGGGTGTGGCTGGCACAGGGGAGATGGGAAGTGGGCAGTGGCAGCCTCAGCTCCTTATTCATCTAATAGGCACTGGCCTTGTGCAGATTCTACCCTGGCAGGATTTCCAACTACATTTCTTCTTTGCAGTGACTGTAAGATTAAACCCCTGACATCTACGACCCAGAGGATGGTGAAGACAGCCACAAAGGATAGGAAAGGACAGGATGGCCATAAAGATGGCATGAGATTTCATTCAGAGACATATCTTAAGTCTCCTATGCCTGAGAAAGATGGGCCAAAAGAGTCATCTTTCTTCAATATTTTTAAACTCCATTTTCCTAGGGACACAACTATTTTTTCAGACGTAACGTCATATGACACTTGCTTGAAAGGTGATCAGGAAACAAGAACTTTAAAAAAAAAATTCTAGACTTTTTAAAAGCTAAGGAGGAAATGCTTTTCCCCTTCCCTGGTAGGTGTCAAAATTTATGTCTAACTCTCTTATTTGAGCTAAGAGGCTCTGTATCCACCATTCCATTCTCTCCAACCATTCTAAGAAAGAAGAGCCTCAAGCAGCACTGTCTGCCTGAAGGTCTCCTTCTCCTCTTCTCCCCTCTGGGACATGTGCCTCTAGGAAACCCTGGGTCAAGTCTCCAGCTTGCATCCCCACTAGTAAGAACTAGGACCAAACAGCTATTTGCAGAGCACCAGGATCAGCTAGAAGACATTTCTGTAATTACTAATTTAGGTATAATTCATTATCTAATGATAAATCTATATTGATAGAAAACTAATTATGTACAATTATGAGAGCATAACACTTAAAGTTTAAAGAAACAAAATAACAAAGGTATAGCTCATATGCTTAGCATATAAATATAAATTGATTTTAATGACTGTGGAACTTAATCCAATCTTGGTTCTCTCTTTTCTGAAGAACAAAGTCCTCGGGTTCCAGACTCCCTTCAATGTAGGGGCACTTCTGTGTTCACTGAGGTTATTCCTGAAAAACTATGCAGACTTCCTCCATGCCTTCTCATAGGCCATGTGGGGGAGGGGGAGACCTTCCATTAATTATCTAACAATAAGTGGCTGGCCATTGCTTAGAAGGGTACCCCTTCCTGCATTGACACTTTGCTGATTGACGATTTTAAAACACATTTTCTCCTCTTCTGCTCCTTCTGCCTGCTCCAAACCAAAGACAGCAACCTCTTCTCAATGGGAGCTTGAGTTCCTCCTTCTAACTCCAGGTCCCTTCACCTCCCATCAACCTATGAAGACCTGAATCACTGAATCACTGGAATACATTTCCTCATTTGTTCCAATAAATTTAGATCGGGTCTTCTAGTGAAGAGCAACATAAATACCTAATGCACACAGAACAAAAGCGAAGTCATAAAACAGGTACTAAGTACATGTTTCTGTACACACCCCTTACTCCATTTTCATTCATTTCAAAAAGCTAAGCCTTCTGCATTCTCCAGAAAAGGCCTGGCTGCTTCCCCAGCCTAGTAGGGACAGAGTCCTGATGGCTACTTTTCTGGGTTCTCTTCTGAAATGTTTTCCAACCTTGTCTCCCCCAACTCCTACCCCATCATTTCTCACCAGTCCCAAAATAAATCCTCAGCTTTATGCAATTATATTTTTGTACGATGTGTTAATGTAATGACATTTTTCTTGATATCTATAAATATTTGTGTTGTATTACTATATGGTAGTTTGCAAATTTACAAAGGAAAAAATAAATTCTGAGTACGACCCTCTGTGTGGAGATTAGCACAGTAATACATGGAAAAAGGCATTTAATTAATGGTTTTCTGTCATAAAAAGAATCATGTTCATCCATCTAGAGCTCTTTCCATTAGCCTATACTGCCCTCTTCATAACCATCATGTATTTCAGAAAATGAGTAATCTCTCCATTTCCATGACTGACTACTCAGGGAAATGTGCTTGTCAATATAATAACTGTAGTGTGATGATAACATTTCCCACAGTTAGATTTAATGCCATGTGGACATGTAGAGATCAAAAATATGGATCCTGTCAGAACCAATGAATTCACTAAAGAAACGTGCAAGTAATACACAAGATCAAGAAGCTGGACAATAGTCACGATGATACAGAACCAGCAGACAGAAAGGGTACAGATTCAGTCTACGCTGGGTTCAATAAGGCAACACGACTTCAGGATAACTCTTTGCCAGGTGTTCTTCAAAACCAAATGCTTGGGAGACATAATAATGATGGAAGCGAGTCTGAATTACAACTCAAGTCTATGAGCATTAATTTGAATGTTTATTTTAGAATCCTTCGCTACATCATTTCTTTCGAGTTTCTCTTGGGGAAGCTGGAACGTGAGATCTGGCAACATGCTTACTCTGAAAATTCACTAGACAAGCAGTCTCTTCCCAATAAGATTCCCAAATCACCACTTATGCTGCAGCTAGAGGAGCTCAGTCAGACTGCCTAACCCTGTGAGGGCTGCAACTAGGAAGCAGACCATGTGTATTTAAAAACATAAATTGCTTATTTCCAAGTAATTGCTCCCTTAACTTCTCTCCCCACCACTGCCTAGCTCGAACTCTCAACATAAGGGGCAACTTGACCACTGCTCAGGATTAGGAGTGAGGAAAGCTAAGGAGGGATGTTTGCATCTGTATAACAGGCAGATGATATAAAATTTCATTTAACTAAAACCCAACTGGATGATCCTTCACTTACCAGTCCCACAGTCTACCCCAGCAATTGCTTTAAGCACAAAAGCAGTAAGTACACTCACAGGAGAAATTTAGTTTTTTAAAATAATACATTAGAGAGTACATTCTCAAACTGTGTAACGTCAACCCAATTTCCTCCACATTCTCTGTTTTTACATTGACTATTCATGTTCAGATTACTGACACCCAGGCCAGCCATGGTGGCTCACACCTGTAATCCCAGCTCTTTAAGAGGCCAAGGTAGGAGGATTGCCTGTGTACAGAAGTTCAAGACCAGCCTGGGCAACATAGCAAGATCCTGTCTCTACAGACTAATGACACCCAAAGTGATGCAAGATTTTCAATCTTCAAAGATTCAATATTGGTCATGAAACTCTACTTGTTAAATCAAGAAGCATTTTTGAAACTTTCAAAATAAAAACACCTGTTTCTTTAAACCTCTTGTCAAGCAAAAATTTTAATTAACCAAGAGTACTTTCCTTTCTTATCGATCACTGTGTTACTTTATAAATGATTTGAGAATTATCCATTTTTTGGTATAATCCATGTGTCTTTTACCCTTCATTTGAGTAGTCAAAATTGTCTGCATCTGACAATGAGCTTATGTGTTTTTAAATATACATTAACGTATGAATGGGTTCTATTTTCAGGAATTTTATGCTCAAGTCCTACAGAGAAAAGACTCACAAAAAGTATTTTTCAATAATGAATTCTAATAATATTGTTCAGTCCAAATTCTACAAGTATACTAAATGCTTGGCTTAAATGAAAGGCGGTATGAACAGTGATTGAGGTCTTAAATGACAAAATAATATGAAATTATAAGCTACTGTTAACAAAATACTCCCACTGTCTATTATATATTTTATATGTCTCACTGCTGTGCTTTATAACATATATTATCAACCAGTGAACCTCATTTCATAAACCACATACAATCATCAGACATGTCAATTGATAAGCACAGCTTGGGTATACCATTAGGGAAAAGCACAATATATTGAAACCCTCAATTAATTAAATTTCAGCTGTAATCTACTTTTATGAGAGAAGCCAATCACAAGAAAACTTAAGGAGCAAATGTTTTAAAATCCATTAAATCCTAGGGTCCAAAGAACATTCAGGCCAAACTCCTACATGGGTGGTTTTTAATCTTTTTTTAAGCAATAAAAAGGGTTTTGTCAAATAAAATTAAAAAAACAAAAACAAAAACAAAAAAAACAAAGAGGAGCTATTCCAGTTAAGGGGAAGGGTAGGGGAAAGGAGTTAATTCCAGAGCTCTGCCACTTCTGCCCTATGGATCTCCCAGGGCCTTCCCAAGACTGGGATATGTTGTGGTATCAAAAATCTCAAAATCTCAGTGGCTTAATAAAAGTGTATGCCTTATCCACCCATGCTGCAGAGTCTCCATCTTGACACATGCTTCTATGATTACCACAGAAGGAATACTCAAGCCTGACAATTAAAGGCTTTGATCTAGAGCAACATACATCACTTCTGTTTCTATTTCCTCAGAGACTGCACATAGCCATGCCTAATCTTAAGGTGGCAGAAAGTAGAATCTTTCTATGTGCCCCAAAGGAGAGTAGAATAAGACAGCAGTGGGCAGGAATAGTGTCTGACACGTGCCAACTAGCAGTGTCAAAACTACAAAACAGTTCAAAACCCTCACCCTCCAGGTTTTCACTTAGTGCCATGCAGAAGAAGACCTTGAAAGATGCAAATTTATGAGGAAAAATATTTTCTTTCATATGTGATATCTATTATGAAAGTTAAACAGATGCTATAGTAAGGAAAGATCTTAAGAAGATGAAGGATTTTCAGAATACCACTTCAGTAAGCTGTAAAATTCAATTAACCAGAACCACAATGTACTAAATGTATCATTTAACTCAGGTTTACCTGTTTTATTTATGAGGTTTGGTAACATTTAACATACAACTACCCTTCAAAAATTATAAGAGTACTAACACTCCTAATCTTTCTCTTTCCTCTCTTTTTTTAAAAAAACTTACTCTTTTCTATACCGTCAACAACTGCAGACACCCATATGACCAAAAACCAGAGGCAAGTGAAAATTAAAAAAGACTAAAGAATATTGGTGAAAACAACTTCAGTGGTCATCTATGTCACATTATAGCTATTAATTCACCCCTTAGTGAATGGATTTAGTATTGTGTGTAAAGTTGAGGTTATCAGCTTATAAAGCATGATTAACCTTAGTGACTCTCATTCCTTTCCTATCATACAGTAGACAGAAGATTAGAGGCAACAAGAATGATCAAAGAACTCCCAAAAGCAGCAGCAAAAAGCAACAACTAACTGGAAAAGACAGATGGAAAGCTATTTAGAAAAACACTTCCATTAGTGGGGGCAAATAGTCTGCATTTAATAATCTACCATACACATTACAGGACAATCTAATACTTAATGTTGATAATGATGACCCAAAGTCATGAATAAAATATTAAAACTATGACTACATAATCTAGCTTGTATCATCTAGCCTCATTATGTTTACCTTTATTATCTAAAAATAAGGGAGCAGGAATAACTGATCTCTGGTCATTTCGTGATCCTATGCAGTTATAAACAATTGATCAGCACTAATATAAATATAAATATAATATAAATATAAACTAGAAAGCTGAAATATAAACTAGAAAGCTGAAGAGAAAAAAAAATTTTTTTGAGATGGAGTCATGCTCTTGTCACCCAGGCTGGAGTGCAATGGCACAATCTCTCCTCACTGCAACGTCCGTCTCCTGGGTTCAAGCAATTCTTCTGCCTCAGCCTCCCAAGTAGCTGGGATTACAGGCACCTGCCATTATGCCAGGCTAATTTTTTTTTTTTTTGTATTTTTAGTAGAGACAGGGTTTTGCCGTGTTGGCCAGGCTGGTCTCAAACTCCTGACCTCGTGATCCACCCACCTCTGCCTCACAAAGTGCTGGGATTACAGGCGTGAGCCACCACACCCAGCCAAGAAACAATTTAAACTGAAACAGGGTAAAGAATTAGGCAAGGAGAAAAATTAATGAAGCAGACTGCCAAAATGCTTATATGATTAAATAGGCTGAAAATATAGTGCATCAGTTATAAGGATTTTGGGTGCAGTTGAAAGAAATCCAACACAAACAAGCTAAAACAATAAAGGAATGTATTGGTTCCCATCCCTGGATAATCTAAGGGTAAAGCGGATTTGAGGTTTGGTTTGAGCCAGCAGCACAAAAATGTCCATGAGGAAATTCAAACTCTGTCTCTGTGCTGCCTTTCGCAATGTCTACCTCATGCTCATAGTCACAGTTTTAATATTTTATTAATATATGAAATCACAGTTAATATTAAGTTATAGTGTAATATTTTATTCTTGATCTAGGGTCATCATTACCAACATTAATTGTTAGGTTGTTCTGTAATATGTAGAGGGTATGTTTCTAAGTGCAGACTATCTGCCCCCTGATGAAAGCTACTCCCCCAGTGGTCGCAATATCACTGCCAACAAATTCCACATGTTGCCCATATCCTACCTGAAAGAAAGGGCATCTCTGTCTCAGATTTCCAAAGAATAATCCTGAGATTCACTGCAGTTGGTCCAGGCTAGGTCTCCTGTTCGTTCCTTAACCAAACATTGTAGCCAGGTTATACAGTGTGATGCTTAGCCTAAAACAGTGAGGGCCTAATCCAGAAGCAAGGATAGGATCACCTTCTCCAGATGCATGCAGGCCACCAGCAGAAGGCTGGTGTGTTAGTTTGCTCTCGTATTGCTATAAAGAAGTACTTGGTTAATTTACAAAGAAAAGAGGCTTAATTGACTCACAGTTCAGCAGGCTGTACAGGAAACATGGCTGGGGAGGCCTCAGGAAATTTACAGCCATGGCAGAAGGTGAAGGGGAAGCAGGCATGTCTTACATGGCAGGAGCAGGAAAAAGAGAGCAAAGTGGGAGGTGCTACACACTTTTAAACAACCAGATCTCATGAGAATTCACTCACTATCATGAGAACAGCAAGGGGAAAGTCTGCCCCCATGATCCAATCACCTCCCACCAGGCCCCTCCTCCAACACTGAGGATTACAGTTCGGATATGAGATTTGCATGAGGACACAAATCCAAACCATACCAAGTGGATACCCAAATAAAAAAGGGGTACTGGCAAGAAGAGGAAAAGCAAAGGTCCACTACACACAGAAGAAAGCAAAATAGAACAGGAACAATATAACAAGTTATTTTAATTTATTGGGCAAATATTTAAATACTCAGATTTAGCAAAGTACTGTGCTAAACACTAGTGGAATGATACAGTAGTGACTAATACACAGTCCCGCCCTCCAAGGAACTTACAATCGAGTGATAGACAGCAGACATGCAAATAGTTGATTAATATAAGAATAAAAAGCATAGACTATATAACATCCATGTACTCTTTCCAAAAATAATTGCTTCAAAAAGAAAAAGAAAAATCTCAAAAAGTGCCAGGCATGGTGGCTCACGCCTGTAATCCCAGCACTTTGGGAGGCAGAGGTGGGTGGATGGTGAGGTCATGAGTTCAAGACCAGCCTGGTCAAGATGGTGAAACCCCATCGCTATTAAAAATACAAAAATTAGCTGGGCATGGTGGTGGGAGCCCATAATCCCAGCTACTCAGGAGGCTGAGGCAGGAGAATCGCTTGAACTCAGGAGGCAGAGGTTGCAGTGAGCTCAGGTCGTCCCACTGCACTCCAACCTGGGTGACAAGAGCAAGGCTCCATCTCAAAGAAAAAAAAAAAATCTCAAAAATTGATGTGTTGTGGTATTTTAAAAAAATATAATTGAATCAGGCCATTTAATATAGTTATACCTAAATAACAATAGATAACAGTATCATAAAATGTAATACATTTTTCAAAAATATTTCTTTAAATGAAAGAGCCATGATGTCAAAATAAAAGTGTAAAATAAAAATCTGCATCTAATATACCATATTATATCAAGAAAACCTAGAAAATAATGGTAGAAAGAAGACGGAAATGAAAGAATACTAAATGAGAGAAAAACTGATTTCAATATATTATAATTAATGGCATCTATGTTATAGACACGAGGATGGATTTCATCACTTGTTGGGTGACAGTCTGATGCCCACAACCAAGGAGGATTTAACAAAGGGATTTTATTTCTTGCAATAAGTAAGGAGGACATGGGAATGGTTCTCAAAGCAGTGTCTCCTCGAACAAAGGTGGAAACAGGCCTTTTAATGGGCTGATTAGCCGAGTTGTTGTATGTAGGGGTGGCATAAAGGCAGTGAAGGCATTGATTATGCTTCTACATACATCACATGTATAGAAAATGATGAATATATTTATAAAAAGTCTTCTGTATGGAGATTTTAGTGTGGTAATGAAGAGAGTTTGCCAAAGTTCATCCCCAACTCAGGCATCGCTAGACCCTTCCTGGAACTTTTTGAAACGAGAACTCAAGGAGCAACAGTTACAGGTGGGTACTTCTTCACAGTGCGTACCCCAAAACCCAGAGACACTGGGCTACATATGCAGTAACTATACTGAATAAAAATAGGGTTAAAAGTTTTTAAATTACTGAGGGGAGCAAAGAAAAATATTCCATATGGCAAAAAGAAATGTAAAGTAAGCATAAAATGTAAAAAGTGTAAAATAAAATTAGAGTGATACAAGCCTATCATTTGTGACAATAAATATGAATGGATTAAACTTCTTTAAGATGTGATTTTAAAATCCAATAAGAGTTTATTATTTGTGCTTTTCTTTAGTTTCCAAATGTATTTCAATAAAGATACTTCAATTTTATAATGATAAAAATAATATTGTTATAAAATATAGAAAAAAACTAACTAGATAATGGGGACTGTTTTGACACACACAAACATGGTAAGTTTGCCTATTCTTGCCCTGTCAGCTAGATGCTGCTGGGTGCTACACTGAACAAACATCAGAAGCCCCTTATAAGGCCAGCTGCCCATCTACAATCTCTACTAAAGAACCAGTGCTCTGCCCATAATGTGGTCCTGTCTTCCCTCCCTCTCAAGCACCCGGGCAGAGTTGATTGGACAGGATACTCAAAGTCAACAGATCCATGGGTTTGCTTATGGTCTGCTGGGAAAAAACGAGCTGGAGCAATTTGATTTCCTCTCTAGAATATGTGGGAAGGGAAGGATGAGAAGAAGTCAGTCAGCAGTGACAGCCAGAGCTACTCAGCTGACAGCTCCTTAGGTATCTTTAAAACAAATTCTCCTTTTTCCAGAGGCAACATTAGCCAATCTCTGCTCCAGCAGCCAAAAACGCCAAATGACAATATGGTGGAAAAGTGAAAGATTCTATTAATCAAATAATCTGCTCCACATCAAATAAAAAGTAATTTACTGAATTGACTGAGTCGATTCATTTTTAGCACATTCTGAGGATGTGATTTTCACTCCATATTGAACGGTTACTTAATTTATTAGAGTTCTGCCTAATAAGGTTCACTAAGGAACTTTGTGTTAAAATTGTTTAAATAGAGTGACTGAAACAATTACCAAGTTGACTAGTGTGTTCACATCTGTCTGAGTGAATGAGAGCATCCTCTCTCCATAGATAAGAGTGACACTGTTATTACATTCAGGCAAACACTTTTCAGGCCTATGCCTGTTGTAAATTTCTCGTTATCTTGTTTGAATTGAAGAAATAATAGCACATTGAATTTAATTCCTTACAACACAAGCTTTCTTTGCCTTATGTTTATGGTGGCTGATAGTTTTAAAAATTATAGTGTCTGTTTACTCCTTTTCAGATCCAGCCATTATTGTCATGTTTCTGATTAGCAGTAGATATGATCATTGGAAATGAATAAATAAAAGTACTTGAAGTGTTCGTTTACTTGCAGCCTTGCCAGTGTCCCCTGTAGTACCCATTTGTTAACCCAGAATTCTGTAAGGGGTGTTGCCTTCCATGTTTTCTAACTTTTGACAATCAGAGTCTTTGCTAGAACAATCAGGAAAGGTCTGCCAAGTATGGATAAATAAGAAAAAGAAAAATACTTGTGTTTCTATGAAAACAGTGAAATAATAAATAATGACTAGATGCACACTATAATTTTTACCTATTAAATGAATGAATGGATGGATGAACAAGTGAAGGAATGAGCAATAAAAATAAGAAATAAGTGAATAAGGGAATGACTTATTAACACGCAATGAAAACTTTAGAAACAGTTTACCTTCCAGTTAAACAATTATAACCGAACACAATGGATAGTTTACTGTAGTGTTAAATTAATTTCTAGCACCCTACAATGGAAATGGTGGAAAATATAAGTTTTTATATTATATATGTAGCGTCTTCTAACAAAGACGCTGCAAATACAGTTTTCCTTTTAGTTATTCTCTCTCCTCAGTTTCTGCTGACGCTTTTCAATATGTCCCACATTGTTCTGGTCAGAAATACTTGCTTCTTATTAAATAGTATTTCAGAGCCTACGTTACCAATAACAGAAAAATGTCAGTTCCTCCTTACACACTTGCTCAATGTGTACGATAAATGCAGTCTTTGTCGATGGCACTTGTAAAAAGAGATTATTCTATTAATATTGAAAATGGCAACTATGTCCTTTCTTTATTTCCCTGAGAATGGCTTTTTTCTCTGCCTATGGTCATAGTATTGTCCTCACTCCTTTCTCGTTCTCTCATGATGGTGCAGTACCATGGCATAGCAGAAAGATGGGGTTTTATATTTAGGTGTTTTGGACAGAAAATCAATTTTCTAAGCAGAAAACAGATTCCCCTATTGGATGAAAATATACCCACCATATCATTTCTTCCACAGCACATAAAATATTCCCTCCCCATGACTTAGCCTCCTAGAAGTTTGACTGTATAACAATTTCAGTACTGACATTTGAGTGTTTTCAACTTTTGGTAAAAATTTATCCTGTAATCTATTCTGCCTGTTTTGTGCTGTATTAAGTTAACTTAGAATATTCTACCATCCTCAACTCTTTGAATCTTTGAAAGCAGGAATTCTCATGGTACCTAAGTATCTTTATATATGTATATATATTAATTAAATTACATTGAAATGACTTAACATTGTTTGGGTTTTTAATGCAGCAAATAATAGAGTGTGTAATAGAAAGTAATCAAAATATTTAAGATATTCTATTGGGGAAATACTAGACATGAAACATTAAAAATATTAGTAGCAAATGCAGTCAAAAATATAATTTCTTATTACATGGATTTGGAGACATATTAACTGTTAAATCACATCTCTTGAAATATAACTTGATAGAGTAAAATCCTAAGGTAACCCAGTTATCCTCTGGGTTTTCTTCTCCTACCTCAGCTCTACGATGGGGTCTGACTTCATGGATTGGCCTTGCTAGCCAAGAAAATATAAGATAGAACTGATGCAAAGAAATATCTCGACAATGAGGTCTCCCATGTTAGAAAAATTTTTCTGAAATGGAATTGTGACAAGTATCAGCTCCTGGGGACATAGAAAATTAGTTTGCTCAAAATTCCAAAAGGCATGCTCGAATGAGGCAGTTTCAATCAATGCAAAAGAAGGGACATAGACTCAATAACCTGCTAGGTCTATTCCCTTCTTTATGTCTCCGAACGTGTCTGAAGCACATTAAGAAAACATTTATGTGCTGCTCACCTTGAATGCAAAGGCACACACTGCATCTCCCACACAGCTCGCACAGGACCTTTCATTTTCAAGTTTACAAAGAATAAAATAAAATTAGAGCTTGTCACCTTTAGGGGGAAGAAAACAGACTCAAATCATGCAGCAACCTGAACTGCTTTATCTTCAATTGAGAATAACCAGAAAGAGGAGCCCTTGGCAGCCTATTCTTAGGCTCGGAGAGTGATGGGGTTTTTCATGCATAATGTGAGTGGCATAATTGCTCTGAGAACCTGAAACTTTCTGTCACCTGACTCTAGACAGTCATAAAGTCCCACAGACTGTTCATAACATTGCAGCGTGTGGTCGTTAACCTACAAAGAGCTATATTCCTGACCCTCCCCTATCCAACATGGTGTACAATTTCCTCTACCCAGATTCCATGAGCAAAGAATTCTGGACACTTCAGAAAGTAATTTGGGCTGAAGCTTATCTTACCTATGGGGAAAAAAAGATTTATAAGATATTAGTGTTGTAAACAAAATTGCAGCAAAAATAAACAAATTCCATGGCAGAGACATAACCAAGCCTTAGCATTCTCCCCAGGTTGACTAAAGTTTAGACAGGCTTCTTTCTGACTATAAGACCTTGACCTCCCTTTTCTTACAGCATTTACTTTAGAAAACTTGCAGTTGTAAATTCTTTCTCTTACCCTTGAGATATAAGCATTCTGTAACCCAGGAATGGAACATCTTTCTCAAAGACCTGGGAGCCATCCTTCTGAAATGAAATCACCAAGAAAGATGGAGCCTCTGTATCCCAGTACCTGTGGGAGAGTAGGAGCCTAACACAGATGGTTTAATCACATTGACCAACATCCCCACTAACATCCTCCAGTACTTTTCCACCAGCTCACTGCTACATTTAAGAATCTTCCCTCATTTTCTTATAGCAGAGATAAGCTCAAGTTTCTCCCCTATTGCAGTAGTCTTGAATAAAGTCTTCCTTGTCTGTTTAACTGGCCTGGTGCAATTTTTCTTTTACAGACAATAGTTGGCTATCCCATTGTTCATCATTTCCTTCTTTCTTACTCTCAGAATCCAATTTTACTGAGGGCAGCCATACTCCCAGCTAAAAGACTAGGTGCTCCAGCCTTCCCTGCACCTTGGGGTGGGCATTTCTGCTGCAGCAGCTCTGTGTTAGAAATGGCTAGGGAGGGGGCATGACCAAGCCAGGGACCCTGATAACCTTGTGGAACTGCCATTAAGCCTCATCTCCTTACCTCCCCACTTCCTTTGCATGGGAGAGAAATACATTGACTGCAATTTGGGACAGTGTCTTAAGCAAAGGGAGGACTCAGATTGTACGACAGGATAAACTTTTCAAGCATCCTTCAAAACCTCAAAAACCTCTATTTCATACATATCTTAGGACTTGATGGGATGTTAATCCCCACTCAGTATTTTACAGATGACAAAGCAGAAGATGCAAATATTTCAATCAGCTTGACTAAAATCCTTTATATAGGCCAATAGACAAAATGCAGATCATTAATTTTCTCCAGTGCCCAACATGGTGCCTGACATCTGGCAGATGATTGATGTGTGTTTAGTGAGTAGAAGAGCATGTAAACAAATAATTACAATGCAGTGTGGTAACTGTTACAGTAGACAAATAAATGGAAGCAGAAGTCCAGAGGTGCATGCCTCTAACCATTCTACTTGCTAGTCACTGTGTATACCATCTTTAAAGTTGAAATACTCATGTTTAGAGACTTATTTATTATTAATTCTTTAAGTCAGACTTTTCACTAACAAGACCTGGCCTATGTATTAGTGCTTTTTACATTTTTCACAGCAGGTCACTTACTCAACACACAGAGTTTGGTGAAAATATTCTGTAAACCCAATTCTCTCTGTCCATGAACAGCACAATCTGAGTCCCAGACACCACTACTTTTGGGGATCTGTTCCTCAAGGTCTGTGTGAATTTATGGCAGTGAAATGAAAATATTAATTTCAATTGGATTAGTTCCGCTGTTGCATGTAAATCCACACCAAACGTGCCAAACCAAAATGTAAATTCTTTCATATGCCAGATTTGCAATCTTATTCATTGTATTTAAAAATTTTGCAGATATTTAAAGACAAAAACATGCATACAGACTTTCTACTGAGGCATAAGCTATATCAAACTGGCAGCCTGTTTTTCTTCCTGTTTTTTTTTCAGAGGTGTTAATATGCAGCAGACTTTACAGGGGAGCTCCCCCCAGACTCTGTTAATGCACTTTTGTGGGGCTGTTTTCTTATATATAATGATGGTGTTGGACCAGACAGCATTTCATGTCCCTGCCAGCTCTGATCATCTATAATACTATGATTTAACTTCTACAGTGTGTGATATAAGGATTGCTTACTTCTGCTCCCTCACATTCCAGAAACATAAGAAACTTCTCTACTTCCAAGGAAGGGGAGTACAGGAACAAATATTTGGGTTCCCTGTCTCCATCCCCTTACTCACTCCTCCCAGGGGAAGAAGGAGTAACTTATCCAATGGGTGAGGCAAGGAGCTCCTGAAATCCATGGGACCTTCTTTACCAAGAGTAAGGTCACAACATCAAAGTTTACACAGCCAAGCTCCTTGCTCTCTTGACTCATTTGTTCTTATGCTGGGTGCTCTCTCCACCTCTGCCTCCTGCCGCAAACAGCTGGGCCTCCACCAGGAGACCCAACATTCTCTAGCTTCTCTGCTGAGGACTTACAGGCAAGTTTCAGCTGGGATATAAGAGGCCAGGCCACCATTCTCTAAGTCAGCTTTCCTTGTATAAAACTGATAGTGTACTTGAATCCCTATTTGACAACTGGTACCCATTATCAATTATTTAAACATCACAGGCAATAATAGTCCCAAAATAAGAACCCAAGCTGGATATCATCTGCATATTCCAGAAAGTCAGGACATGTCCCCTCCTAGAGAAGAGGATATGACTAAACCTTGGAGCCCAGTGGTTGGGTCTCATCTTCTTGGCAACGTGTGGTAGAGTAAGAAATTCACAAACAGTGAATCAAGTCAAAGCAAAGAGGAAGCTCTCTAAGCATGGTCCACTGTGTGAGGATGTTTGTATTGTTTTCCAACCCTGCCCCAAGCGAATTTATCCCAAGAATTAATCAAAATAACAAACTTAAAGAGGAAGGTTAATGAACAACGTCTAGCATCAGGCAAACTATAACAAACAGAGTCAAATTATTTGGTTCCTTAAAGAAATAAATACATAAAGGCACTTGTAACAGATAGGGACCCTGTTTCCTCTCCCATTTACCAGCGATAGGAGTGGAGCAAAAGTAAGCCCTGTCTCAAGGCAATGACAGGAACAGCAGCTATAGCTAAGAGGGGCACAGCAAATATGGAGCAAAGACAGGAGAGTGGATACTGCCAGGAGTTATGGCTCAGAGGAGACACTTGGGATAGGATCCCTGAATGTCAGGACCTGGTGACTGGGGTTCCAATAACTTTTCACAGCTCACCATGGAATATCAAAGGATCATTTGTCACAATGAATATTCTTAAACCAGCATTGTCCAATAGAAATATGTGTAATATGTACATATATACATATATATTTTCTAGAGACATCAAATAAGTAAAAAAAAAGATGAAATTAACTTTAACCTGATATATCCTACATATATATATATATATATATATATATATATATATATATATATATATTTGAAGACAGAGTCTCACTCTGTTGCCCAAGCTAGAGTGCAATGGCACAATCTTGGCTCACTGCAACCTCCACCTCCTGGGTTCAAGAGATTCTCCTGCCTCAGCCTCCCAAGTAGCTAGGATTACAGGTGCCCACCACCATGCCTGGCTAATTTTTGTATTTTAGTGAGACAGGGTTTCACCATGTTTACCAGGCTGGTCTCGAACTCCTGACCTCATGTAATCCACCCATCTCAGCCTCCCAAAGTGCTGGATTACAGGCGTAAGCCACTGCACCTGGCCAGCAAAAATATCACTATTTTAATATGTACTCAATGTTTAAAATATTAATATATTTCCATTTTATAAAAATATTAATATATTTCCATTTTGAAATTTCATTTCCATTTGAAATACAGTGTGTATTTTATACTTACAGCATATCTGAATTTAGCCCAGAGAGAGTTTAAGTGCTCAGTAGCCACATGTATCTAATGGTCATGACGCTGGACAACATAGTCTTCAACAATACCTTAGAAGCTGAGTAGAGTGTGAAACCCAGATGTCATATATGTATGTATACAAGAAAATATTTCCTAATGGCTGTAGGAGTTATAAACTTTGAACTCTAAAGACATTACTACTTAGCCAAACTGTGGATGATTTCATCTCGCAAAGGAGATGATGTCTTAATCTATAGCCACTGTTTACCCTCATATTGTAGGTTTCATCTTAAGGCCCAAAAAAAAAAAGAAAAAAAACTTGTATTTCAGGATGTCAAAAACCTGGCCACAAAGCTGTATTTTAAAATCCACAGCTCTTACACATTCAAGATTGGCTTCTCCTGAGCAAACCTCCCTCTTCCCTACCACAGCTCTGGGTTCATGTGAATAATTGATGACAAATTTGCCTCTGCTCCCAGGAGCAAACCAGTGAACTGAACTGTTGTCCCTTGTCTCACTGGGCATCAAACAAAGCCTGATCTCATAAGTTTCCAAGAAAAATTACTCTTTTCTACCCAAGAAAACATTTTCAGATTTCTGCTAGTAAGAGATTAGCCAACAAGGGAAGGATTTTTTTTTCATCAAAATTTGAATCAACGAATCAGTTTCCTGTCCTTTACCTTTGCATACTTCCTTAGTAATCATGAAATTGGAGACACAGCTGATGATTTTTAAGAAAAATATATCCTCCTATTTCTATGAAAATGTGCTCGAGAGAATAAGATGGGTTGCCTAATATCAAAGAAAGTAATCTTATTTGAAGAATAGGCCTCCTGTCTTATATAGAGACAGCTGATAAATTAAAATGAAACAGAAGAATTAAGTAAAAGTTTGCTTATGTTTAAAGATACATAAATTAATGCAGCCTGAAGGCAATCTCAGCTTTAATGCCAACAAATCATACCATTTTTACAAGGTTTTGCCTACTGATTTTACATTAAAGAATGGATAGCTAATAAAGCAAAAACAAGCATCTTCTTACAAAAACATATATATAGCAAGGATAGAACAAATAGACCTTTTTTTCGCCATTGAATTAAATTCTTAGCTACAGCAATTAGCAGTTGCCAAATGATCAATACCTGAAATTGATTCGCTTGGGGAACTTGTGAAACTAGATCTTGACAGCAGGAGATTAGTGACCATCAGCGTGCTGGTGAGAAATCACAAATAAAGAGAACTTTGGATAAAGAGTGAATCGATGGTTTCACCATGTGTGAACACTGCTCCCTTTGCAATTTAGTTGTAGAAGCTCAAAATGACTGAGCACGACTCAACAGAAGTGACCTGACTTTTTGAAGTCCTGCAAGAAACACATCACCCCTGAACTCATAAGATCTTAAGCATACCCTCAAATTCTCAGGACTACAGTCATCCAGACAAGTCCAATCTCAAAAGATATACTCTGTTTGTTTATGTGCCCCTTCATCACTAGCACATTTTGTATTTAAGCCCTGAGGCTAATTTCTCCCAATGGTGGATATCAGTAAATGGTGTTTAAACTCTTTTGTATTAATGTTGGCATTCTCTGGAAATGGATCTCACTAATATTTAGGCCCTGTGGCCACAAAGGTACAGAACCTGTCTTTGCCATGCCTCCCCAGGAGCAACTTGCAGCCTCCTTTTTGAAATAGACTTATAAAGGATACAACTCTATTATTTTCTCCTCAGAAAGTGGGCAGAAAATATTTCAGGACTGAGCTTCATTTAGTAAACATAAAGGTGGTATAAAATTCCATACAAGAAATGCAGTAATTATTGTTTCAAGTGTCAAAAACTATTGAAGGCTACTTTTTTTTTTTTTTTTTTTTTTTTTTTTTGAGACAGAGTCTTGCTCTTTCGCCCAGGCCGGAGTGCAGTGGCACTATCTCGGCTCACTGCAACCTCCGCCTCCCGGGTTCACGAAGGCTAAATTCTTTAGTGGCCCATTTTAGGAAGTAGTCCATGACCTCTCCAGGCCAACCAGAAAAAATCCACCCAGAGAACGTACCTTCTGGGCACCTGGGACTTCAGTTTAGGCAGCAGCATTTGGATGCTCTAGATAGTGCCCTGGAACCTGAAAACAGATTTTGCTGGAGACAATTAATCACTTGCCTGTCCATATCCCCTGCCCTTTAAGTGTGGCTGAAAACCCCAGATGTCACTCCAAAGAGAGCACATAAAATCCAGCTGGGTGAGCATGGTAGTGCATGCCTGTAATCCTAGCTACTCGGGAGGCTGAGGCAGGAAAATCGCTTGAATCATGGAGTCGGAGGTTGTCGTGAGCCAAGATCATACCACTGCACTCCAGCCTGGCAACAGAGCAAGACTCCATTTCAAAAAAAACAAAACAAAAACAAACAAACAAAAAAAAAACAAAGAATCCAGCTGGGTCACATACTCTGTGTCTCAGGGACACACCAGGGTCAGCCTCCTGTCTGGACCCATGGTTTCTTGCTTCCATATATTTGGTGCTATGATTCCTCTGGTTTCACATTCAGGTTCCCAATATCGGCATCAAGCACTTTTACTTGTAGACAATTTGGACTCTCTTATCTGACTTACTACTGTCTCGCTCTACCCTAGTCATTGTCAGCCCTAGCCATACAGATTAGCCCCCTGTCTACATCGTCCATCTACAAGAGAATGATTGGACATTGCCTGCCTCAACTCCCAAACACCACATCTGACAGGTCCTCCTTCTCTGTGCTCCACCTCCCTGTGGGATACTTATCAGTTACTTGAGTTTGAGGTGGCCTTCCTGCCAGGCTTTAGCCTTTGGATCTTGTGTTGGGATGGGTAAAGCTAAATGTCAGTCAACACAAGCAGCTAAATCTATACCCCCTTCCCCAACTCCTCACCCACCCCTGTGAGCTGAACATTCCCATGCCTTATTTATACCCACTTTCTTCCCCACTCTACGCCATTTCTCTCCCACTTAGTCTGCCACATTGCTGGCATAGTTACTGGACCATTCCTAGCTCTTTTCTGTGAAAATAGCAGCTCTTAGAGTGACATGGATTTCAGAGAATTGAGTAGTAGTCCAGGAGGTGGACATCTTTTCGTCTCATCCTAAGTTTAGCCATCAGTGGTATTTCATTGTTCTTTTAAAGTAGTTTTCTAGAACATCAAATACATGCATATTCATCAGCTGCTATCTATATTAGATTATCCACGCTTCTGCCTTCTTACATCAGTGCAGTTAATCAGGAGCCTTAAAAAGTAGAGTTGCCCCGGGAAGTCTGAATTTTTTGGCAAAGTAAGTGTGTGCAGAGCTAGCAGATACCCTTGCTGTATGTGTTGACCTCTCATGAAGGTGCAAAGGAAACTGAAAAGCTTCAAATACTTCCAATGATTTGAAATGATTTGGGAGGAATTTTATTTGCTCATAAGACTTCTCTAAAGGGAATTGCATTTTGAACTGTTATATCACATATACATTTTTATTGCCATTTCTGTTCACTCAGTCATCCAAATACCAAGTTAGAGCATTGGACCACTGGACACAAGGATGAATTCCAAGAAGATTAGGGAACCAGAAAAGTGCAGAATGGGTTTAATGACTCGTGGGTAAAGCATTAGTCATTGGCCATAAACCAATAGGGAACCAGAGACACTGGGAACAAATTCAGGCTACAGAGCAACAGGCTCTGCAGATTCCACTCAACAGTAAAGGCAGCTGACTCAACACTTACACCAAGTTTACACAGCAGAAACCCTAGATGGTTTATTCTACTTCATCTTCAATTTAACCTTTTACAATCAAGGTCTCCTTTAGCATACTAGGAGGACAACACCAAAAAATGATTTATGAAAACATATAATTCCCAAGAAAGAGAACAGTGACTTTTAATACCCAAATACACATAATACTTTACTTACACATAAGTAAAAGGCTGCAATAATTAAGCTTAAAGTATTTTTAATGAATGCATTGAAATAAAGCTCCTAACATAAGGGAATATCTAGTGGTTTCATGGGTGACTAGGAACTAGGAATTTTAGCTCTGCCTAATTCTGCCTGAAATGCAGGTTCTAACTTAGTCTAGGTGGATCCCTTGTGTGTTCTGTCTCCCCATTTTAGACACATGGGGAGGAATGTGTACCATCTCAGGATCCTTTCCAGGCCTTACCACACCTCTGAAGGCTTGTCTGACCCTTCCACTTGCCATAAAGTAAATTATACTCCTCTCTGTACCACTTCTCCATCCTACAAGTATTTCCTTTTTTACACATATCCATTTGTATTAGTGGTTTACCAGGTGGTACTAACCTCCTGCCCACTACCCAGTTCCTCTTCATATGCTATTAACAGAGATTCATTATTACTTAAGGCTGACAAACACACTTTGTCAGGGATTGAATTGGGCAAGCCATATGAAGTTTAGAAAAGGCATAATGACTTTAGATTAACTGGCCAGAATTGTGGTTTCCAGAGTCTTGGGAATTCTGATCCAAATGTCTTTAGTTAATTAAACAACCAGTAGGATAATCATGCAAAGAGCATGGATTTTGAAATCAGAGAGGCTTGGATTCCAACTCCAATTCTGTCTCAGATATGCTTTAATTCCTTCATTCTACAAGTATATATTATGCACCTGCTCTGTTCCAGGGTTCCAGGCATGGTTCTAGATGCTGGAGGTATAGCAGTAAACAAAACAGATAAAAGAATTTAAAAATTGTGACTCCAAAAGAAAATTTAGGGATTCTCTAAGCAGCAATTCTACCCTCTTGTTTTACAAGTGAAGCAAAAGCAATTCATGGAAGTAAAGTATTTTCCACAAGTTCATGCAGCCACTTGGTAATTGAATCAGGGTTAGAATTCAGGTCTCCTGATTTTCAGGTTAATGCTCTTTGTACCAAACCAACACATAGTCAAATCATTAATCTTAAACAAAAAGTTAATCTCAAAGTATTTATGACACTGTTTTTTAAATGAAAGTAAATTTCTTTGACTATAATGTTCTATATCACTGTAGGATGACTACAGTTAACAATAATAGCTAGAAGGAGGATGTCGAATGTTCCCAACACAAAGAAATGACACATGTTTGAGATGATTTTTGGAAAAGCTATGTCAAGAAGGTCATCAGTTAGGGAGTCTCCGTGGGCAGCTTCTCATGTCTCTTGCAGTTCCCCCACACTGCAGCACTGGTCAGCCTATTTGTGACGGAGCTCCTGACATGTCCTGGGAAGCCCATGCCTGCAGCTGCTCCTTGAAACTCCTTATATGCCTACCAAAACTGCTTTCTCACCAGCCACATCTCCCCAACCTACACCTGAGATCCAGGTAACCTTTCTTGCTCTAACACACAGCGTCTTATTACTGCACTCGCCCTAGGTTATAAAATACCAATTAGGAGTCACAGCTTCTCAATTACACTACCACAAGATTAGGATAACTAGTCTGTGGGCTTGTGCTCTACTAAAAGGCCATTTATCTACCTGATCTTGGCCCATCGTATGCCATATGAAAAGGACATGAGCTTTAGTATCGGACAGTCCTGCATTCAAATTCTCCCTCTGCCATTTTCCAGTTGTTTGACTGTAGAGAACTTGCTTGAATTATCTTGGTTTTCTCATTCCTAAGGATAATGACACCTTATTATAATGACACCTTAGACATGCAACACAAATACACAAGTCTACTGTTTATCAAATTGTTCCTTGTAGCTGTCAGCATAGCTAAAGTCCATTGCACAATGTATAATGTGTTCACCTGTAACCTAATAGCATTTTGTTGTTGTCTCCTGTTGTGTGGGGTCTAGGGCACTGCTGCTCAATCAGTGTGTCCACAAGACTTTCTTAGTATTAGGAATACTTTTCTTCCTTTTTCCAATTCTTAACAAGCAAAGAAAAGAATAGAACTATGGTTCTCAGCTGCTGGTAAACATCAAAATCAACTGTAGAACTTTGTCAAAATACTCATGCCTGGGTCCCAATTCCAAAGACTCTGATAGGAGGTCGGGGGTATAGACAACCCTATGAGTTTTCAATAAGCTCTACAGATAACTGTAGGACACACCAATGGTTAAGAATCACTGGGGTAGCCAAGCACAGTGGCTCACACCTGTAATCCCAGCACTTTGGGAGGCCGAGGCAGGTGGATCACAAGGTCAAGAGATTAAGATCATCCTGGCCAACATGGTGAAACCCTGTCTCTACTAAAAATGCAAAAATTAGCTGGGCATGGTAGTGCACACCTGTAGTCCCAGCCACTCAGGAGGCTGAGGGAGGAGAATCTCTTGAACCCGGGAGACAGAGGTTGCAGTGAGCCAAGATAGCACTACTACACTCAGCCTGGCCACAGAGCAAGACTCCATCTCAAATAAAAGCAAAAAATAAATAAAAAAGAATCACTGGGGTGAAGAATGAACGTAGTGGTAACTGGCAACTGTGGTAAAGAGCAAAGGATGGATGTAACCCAATATGTGTTTGTGTCTCCATATATTCAAAAGATGCTCAATAATGGTTCAAAAGTAGAATCCCAGAAATAAGCTTTTATAGCCAACCAGGAGGTTTACAAATCATCTAGACTGAATATTTTCAATCATTTTTCAGCCCATGAATTCTTTGTTAAAGAAATGGCTCTGAAAGTTGCTTTTTTACCCCAACCTTAAATTTATGTACATGGAGCAAAACCTTATCCACCTCTCTGTCCCATGTCAATTGTGCGTGTGTGTATGTCTCTGTGTGTGTGTGTATATGCATGTAAAAGGATTCAGTGAGATGCCTGTTATTTTAGGATTACATATTTCAGGGATCATGTACACATCTGCTTTCATAATTGGCTATGGATAATTCTTTATTGAACTTCAGAATAGATTAATCTAAATTCCAATTATGAAGAATTATGGTCAAATATATTCTAATATAAATACAAATCAATGTGAATCACTGAGTTAGATAAAATCTTCTACTCACAGAGTAAAAATGGAGCAGTTGAGTTAGTTCAGGGAGGAGAGCTAAGCCCCTCATACCTACCTCTTCTCCTTCTCTACTCCCCCAGTGGCTTCTAAGGGGACTTCAAGGAACCCCTAAGAATTCTAAGGGGATAGGGAAGATGAGAATCTAATATAAGATTCTCAGTCTGATGTATATATTTTTTCTCTATAAGCAAATTATATGGGGAACTAAATTATGATCACAATATTTCATGAAATGTATAGAATCCATACAAAATGAATTTGTTATAGCTTTGAATGTATAATTACATTGGGCTGAGAGGGCCTGAGAGAGACATTTCACAGCGATGGATGGTCTTGCCAATGGGTAAGGAAAATTCCAAGTCCTTGAGCTAAGGCTCCTTCTCCCTGGATAGTCCTAGGAGGACACTTGCCAACATCTGCCTCTGACTTTCCATTTTCTGTTCTTCCACTGCTGGCCAACTGCAGTTTTGAACGATCAGTTCTTCTTTTAGATATGTTAATATAGTTAATCAAGTTACAGTCCAGTTTTGCTGATTCCATTTAAAGTTATTCTCAAAAGTGACTTTCATGTCTTTGTCCTAGCCTGCTAGGCGCAGAGGGAACTTTTATTCTCCCTGTTTTCAAATTCATGGCTTCGCTGTCCTCTCACCCCACTGTGGAGATAACAGTTTCTGATGTTCAAATGCTTGCCCTGCCCCAAGCTGCTTCTTGTCCCACAAGTTTCTAAAAGCTGGAGCAGGACTCGATTAAAACAGGATCTTATATATTCTCTAATTTCCTTGCTTTTTATTAAAATAAATTTTCCTGCATTTGAAATCTGGTTTAAGATATCATTAAAGCTCTTATATCCTTTACTGATTAAATTTCAAGATTACTTGGATGTAAGAGACAGAAATAACACTGCAATTTACATGGTGCTTGCTATTTACAGGCACTGGAGTAACCACTTTATACATATTATTTATTTTAAGCCTTTTAATACTCTATGATGAAAGTAGCACTACCCTTCACACAGGTACAGGGAAACTGATGCTCAAAGAAGGTAAGTGATTTACCCAAGATCACGAAGTGATACAGCCAGGATTCAAAATTAGGCCCATCAAATATCAAAGAATGTAAATCACCTTTCTGTGTTCACAAATATCGAAGAAGAATTAACCTGGTCTCTGTTAGGAACGTGGCTGTTTTTCTTCTTTACTACACCACTCAACCCATGCAGAAACTGAAAGATGAAGCATATTATATTTTGGTGGTAGTCTCCCTGGTTCCTCCAATTTTGTTTGGATCCATTTGCTGGTGGAAGTATGTTCAGGGACTCCTAACCTGTGCCTCTACATCTTTGACACTGGCAGCCCCCTGATGTGCCCCAACACTTTTACAGGTATATCATTGCCTAGGAAAAGGTTGGGAAACTTTGCTTTGTGCTGTTATGGTCTAGCTTTTTCTCATAACACGGTTCCAGACAGTAGTTAGTAATCAAGCCAAACCAGCTAATCCCACATTGTGGCAGGCTGCGTGGTTAGGTGGATTCTAACGCTTCCCAGGTGTGGCTCTGCTGGCCTTCAAAATACCCACTTGCCTATATCCCCAGGGTAAAGAAGAATTTGTACTGATTGGTGAGAGAATGATATTCTGTTTACCTTAACACAGTGGGTCCTAAACCAGGTTGATCATCATAATCACTTCAGATATTCCTTAATTATGTAGATTCTAAAGCCCACTCCAAGAATTGGTCAATTTAAAAGCTCCAGGGCTAATTTGGAAGCTCATCCAGGTTACAAACCCCAGTGCAGTGAATATGCCCATGGGTGCTGGGAGCAGAAGACTTGGGTTTAAATTCTCATCTGCCACAGTGTGATCTTGGGCAAATTAATCTCTTTGAGCAACCACTTTCTCCTAGGCAGAGGAAGGTTATAAAATACTTATTTATTAGTGTGTAGGGAAAGGATGAAATCAGAGAACTTAGGTGAAAAATCTTCATAAATTATTTTTATGTAGCATTAACATACCTCAATAATGACTTGAAATTAAAATGGACATGCAGTCCAATTTTAGATTCATTTTTTGGCATTTAGGGCATCTCAATATATTCATCCTTAAATTCAACAATTCCAGATTCATAACAAATATAACCATAGCTATCCCTTATAAAAACAAACATAAGTACTACAGTTATATTTAAAGAGAAGCCAAGAAGCTTGGGAAGCCTTTTTTGTCCTCAAGCTATTAATTTTTCTTTCTTTTGGGAAAGGGTGTTTTGGATTTCTTGTTATCAATTCTTCGCTTAATATAAAACTTAATGAATTCCAGCTGTTAGCCACATAATTTCTCTCAACATTTGATTTCTGGGCTTTTCCCTTGTCTCTAAATTCTTCCCATATGTTAGTCCGGGAGGCCCAGGCCTGGGGGTGCAGAGGACACAGAGGCTCAGAGCTTCCCCCTGTCCAAGGGCTAAAGTGATAGGCGGGACCACGTGACGGCCCGAGAGCGCCTGATTAGGAGGCACTCTTTGCCTTTATACCAGGCTTTCTGCCCTGCAGGCTGCGGCAGCTACCTGCTCCTTATTTTCCTGAACTATTCCTCAATTCACCATGTTAAAAAAAAAAAAAAAGTATACTTTTTTCAGCTGAAACCTCTCCTAGACTGTCTGCATTCTGGCTTTTGTTTACAAAGGCTCTGCGGTGTTCTTGCCAAGGGAAGAAGAGGAATAAAATACCATACTTCATCTTCAATTTAACCTTTTGCAATCAAGGTATCTTTTAGTATGTGAGTAAAATATAAAACAGTCATTCATATGGGAAAGATATGATTCCTAAGAGATGTGACAATGGCTTAAATTGCTCAAATACACATGTATGTAAAAGGTTGCAATTTCTAAGCTAGGAATATTTGTTTAAACTAAAACACATTGAATGCAGCCTCCAACATAAGGAGCATCTAGTGGTTTCATAGCTGACTTGTCAGGAATCCTCAGGCTGTTAAATGTTGCTGGTAATTCAGGTTGTGCCTCAGTCTGGGCACAGTGGATCCCTCATATGCTCTGCCTCTCCATCTAGGCACACATATGGAGGAGTCAGGGTACCTCAGAATCCTCTGTAAGTTTCACATCCTCTCTGAAGGTTTCTCTGACCTCTCCACCTGACATTCGTCTCTGGACCATTTCTTCATCCTCCAGCCATCTCTATTGTAGCCCATACCATTTTATTATAATTATTTGGCTACTTTTTCAGTCTCTCCAACTAGACTAAGCCCTCATTAACGTCAAGATTATCCCATATTCATCAGGATGCTCCCCGCCCTCCAGCACCTAGCACAGGATCTGCCAAATCCTGGGTGCTTGCTGCTGAACCTCACTAGTAGCAATGTGTGTTTGAAGAATGCAGGAGAGCATATGTGCCAATATTTGTGATAGGTTGATCTTAAATCTGTTTAACACAGCCATCACTCTTTCCTTCCTGTCTGCCCTAAAATCTTCTCTGGACAGAAGCTATTTGGAGAGCTTATTTAATTATGAGTACCAGCTCTTGAAAGGGATGTGGAGAGACCGCAACACATCCAGAGACCAGCAGGGAGCCTTGTGGACAGCAGATGCCGCAGATAATTCCTGTGCCCATTTCCGATTCTCTTAGGACTACCTGTCTCTTATCTCAGCCACTACCATAGGACCAGATCAGCTCCCTACAGGTACACCTGTCAGCACCTCTCTTAGCTCCCAGCCTTCTGCCTGTTGCTTCCTCCCCAGGGCTTCTCCACTGAGAAAGTGGTAAAGTTGTGGGGGACTCTTCTGCTCACGCACGTGCAACCCCACTATGCAACCTTCTCACCAATGGGAAATGGGAGCCAATGGATAAATTCTTCCCTTGGAAAGACAGCTCTGAGATACATTTCATACAGCTCCTCTGGCCCTGCTATTCAATGAATGGACTCTGTCATCCTGAGCAGTGGCCAACCTGAAAATGCATCTTTTATTGCCTCTCCCTCTTTCTCCACTTGGCCCCCACATCCCTCACTCCTGCTCCATAGATCATATTCTCCAATAAAAAAGAAAACATATACATAAGCTTTGGCTCTGGCTTTTCTTTCTGGAGAGCCAGGCATGCAAAACATAATACCTGAATGAATGGATCAGGATGACAAAAGTCTGTGAATGGTGTCACTTGGTGCATATAAAGAACCAGGGCAAGGTTCTCTTTAAAAAGGAAAGACCTGGAAAGAATGTATAACTTGTCATATGGAAAAGAGAGTAGACATACTCTGTGTTACTCCCATTAGGTTAGACTAGACTCATAAATAAAAGTAACAGTGAGGAAAACTTTGAGTCAATGTAGAATTAGAAAAAATATTAAACTGTTAGTACTGACCTCCCAGCTGCCAGCTCTCTCTTCTCAGAATCATTCTGCACAGGAGTCACAGAATAATTCTTTAATCAATAGCTTTTTAATCAAGTTATCCCTTGTTTGAACACTTCCAGTAACTTGCAAACAACTAAAGGACAAGGTTCAAACTTGAACATTGGAACTGTTTGTCAACACAGTGAACTATATATGTTGTGAGGTAAGGAGAGCTCTGGCAGAGGAAGTGGTCAGGAAGATCTGTTGTAAATAAGATTTTCACGAGAGAAGGTTAGACCAGAGGTCCTCGAGGGTTCCTTCCAACTTTAAGACCACGTGACTCAGTCATCTCCCTTCAAAGTCGCATCTGCTCTTCCAGGTTCAGAAATTCTCCCCAAAGCCGATGATTCTCAAATCTTGACCTCCAGCACTGACTGTCCTGCAAAATCCCAGTTCCATCTTCCAGCCATGTGCTGGACATTTCCACCATGGTGTGCCATTCTCACTTTGTACTTAGTCCATCTAAAATAGAATTCATGTCCTCCTCAACCTCCACCAACTTAATTTCTTGCCTTCTTTCTTTCTAAAGTGACACTTTCTCATTCCCTGTGGAATCCCTAACCATAGGCAAGACGCTGCTCAAATGCTACCTCCTCCAACAGGCCTTCCCAGCCCAGCCTCATTCATTTTTTTCATGTCTACATTAGGGCATTCATTGTCTACACTCTAACTCTACATTAACTCAAAGTTTTCCTCATTGTTACTTTAATTTATGAGTCTAGTTTAACAGCATTTTTGTTTTTAGCAATCTCAGCACCTATACAGTGCCCTGCCCTTGTAAGCACTCAAAGTATTTTGTAAATAAATCACTGAAAGAATAAAGCAATGTTAAGGGACGTGATCCTCAAGTCACCACAATGCAAAACCTGAGTCGTTGCCCCTCCCCTCAAATCCCGTATTCAGCCACCAATTCATTTTGCTTCTTCCTCCCCTGTCCCTTTCTCTCTCCTGGTTTATATCACCATCTCATCAATCCACCCTGAGCCTTGAATCACATTTGATAAATTCCCAGCCAGTGTTCCACCCTCTACACACTTTTAGCATATTTTAATGTCAATTCACTATGGATAAAAATACCAGAGTATTCTTTCGAAAAATTCCACTAATGGCTTCCCTCTACACATGAGATAGAATCCAAGTGCCAGGCCAGGCATGGTGGCTCATGCCTATAATCCCAACACTTTGGGAGGCTGAGAGAGGAGGACTGCTTGAGGCCAGGAGCTCAAGACCAGCCTGGGCAACAAAGCATTTCTGTGAAAAATTTAAAAAACTAGCCAGGCATAGCCATGTGTGCCGGTAGTCCTGGCTACTCAAGAGGCTGAGGTGGGAGGATTGCTTGAGCCTGGGATTGCGCCACTGAACTCCAGCCTGCACCACTGAACTCCAGCCTGGGCCACAGTGTGGGACCCTGTCTCAAAAAAAAAAACTAAATAAAAAATAAAATTCAAGTGCCCTGTCGAGGAAATCAGATCCTGTCTTTCCAGCTTTATTTCCCACATTGGCATGTTCTCCTCCTCATATCCCCGACCCTGGCTTCTGCCATTACAGTGTCTGGCCAAATCCTGCACTTTGCTAGGTACCTGTTCAAGTCCCCTTACCCCTCACCCCTATGAAGACATTCCTAATAACCCCAGTCCCAAGTGCCAACTCCATCTTCTAGTGAACCTCTTGCCTATAGCCATATACTCATTCCCAAAGGCTGCTTCAGGGAAAAATCATCTTCTATGATTTCCCCTCACCAAAACAAACAAACAAAAAGAACAAAAAATCTTCTGGGGTCAAATAAATTTAGGAGATATGCATCCATACATATAGCGATAATAGTTACCACATTGAGGGTATGGGTCAACCACTAGTTTTGTGTATGATGTTCCAGTTAATCTGTACAACAACCCCCTGTGGTACTCTTCATATCCTAGTCTACAGACAGTAAACTGAGGTGGACTAGTCTGTTTTCATACTGCTTAAAAGAACTACCCAAGACTAGGTAATTTATAAAGGAAAGAGGTTTAATTGACTCACAGTTCCGCATGGCTAGGGAGGCCTCAGGAAACTTACAGTCACGGTGGAAGGCAAAGGGGAAGCAAGGCACCTTCTTCACTAGGCTGCAGGAAGGAGAATGAACGCAGGAGGAATTACCAAACAGTTATAAAACCAACAGATTTCGTGAGAAGTCACTCACTATCACGAGAACAGCATGGGGAAACCACACCCATGATCCAATTACCTCCACCTGGTCTCTCCCTTGACACGTGGGGATTATAATTCAAGATGAGGTTTAGGTGGGGACACAAAGCCTAACCGTTATCATGAAGTGAACTATTTAACAACCCATAAGCCTCAATTTTCTCATCTGTAAACTAGGATTCAAACAAGGCCATCTAACTTCAGAGCTTGTGATATGCTCTCCTTGAATATGTATTGTCAGTTCAATTTTCAGGTATATAAAATGCTATGCAAATATAGGCACTTGTTTCCCTCAACTAGTCTGCAAGCTTTCTGGGGGCAAATGCCAGTGCTGAGGAAACGTTTGTATCTCCCACAGAGGAGTGCACACGGCCACAGCGAAGGCCCATCCTCCCAATAAAGTGGCTGATATTTAAAACTTTTCACATTAACGGACCATTTTCAATGTATAAAAACAATCTGTTATAATTTTTCAAGGCACTTTCCCATCTGTTATTCCATTTTATTTTCATAACAATATTCAGGTAGGTTAGTGTTTTTAGTGCTTTTTGTACACAAGAAAATTGAGAAACAGAAAAGTTAGATGACCTGCCCAAGAGTGGACAATGAAGATTTGGCCTCCTACCTCTCAGCTCAGCCAAACCACAGTCACAGTCCCTCTCGCCACTGACACAAGTGTCCCACCTGGCCTCTCTGGCAGGGGCCCACTGTCCACCTCAAGTGAGGCACCTTCAGTCTGCTCAATCACCCCCTGGACTGTCAACCTCAGAGACATAGAAAAATGTAACTTTTTTTTTAGAAAACACTAAATAAAAGCTTTCTGAAGCATCTGCCTTGAATCTATTCAGGCCGCTGTTTTGTGGAAATTAAGTCACTGCCTCTCTGAAGTGAATTACAGGAAGAATACATGATATTACACAAAATCAAGCTCCCATTCCTTTTGTGACTGCTTTCTTTTTCTTACACCTTTTGTTTATCCAATCATGTTGCCTGTTTGTTTCAATATTTGAACACTATAATTGGAACATAAACTATAATAGGTCTCTTTACATCTCCTTGTGGATATGTGTATGGAAATTGTTCACACACAGGCAGAGACGTAGCCTTTACTGGGTAGAACTCAGTCCTCTCACCTTTGCAAGGACACATTTTCTGTTCTCAAAACCTTTGCCCAAAGTAATGGGCTTCGGTATTTCTCTAGGCAGTAATCTACTTTTTCTCAAAAACTCCCTCTGGTCTGCAGGGGAGGCTGTTTTCAATGAATTTTTCCATCCTTTCCTTTCTCATCGTCTTTTTCCTGATCAATGTTTTAGTCTAACTGCTTGATTTTCAAATTACTTTGTAATTACAAAATGTTTAGCTAATTTTAGCTTAATTCCAAAAAGCGATTTTCATTGGTGCCATCTCTGTCTTTGTCTGTTTCTTTCCTTGGCAATATTGTAGCTAGATGTGAAATTAATTGTGCCCTGATTTTAACAATGCTACCTGAACTAGCTAGCTGTTCTTCTTTGAGGAAGCATCAATTAAAAGAAAAAAGCATTCAAGCTGATGGATAAAAGAATTAGGATCTCTTAGCCTGGGAAAATGTTGAGGGGTAACTATAATGGTCTTTAAGTACCTAGGAGATAATGGCTAGTTGTCGGCAACTGCAGGAAGAAAAGAACAAAAGGGAATCAGTTTTAAGAGGGAATGTGGAAATTCAGAACAGCGATAAGGAATAAATTACTACCTAAAGACAGGGCTGCTATAACTGCAAGTGAGACAAATTCATGGTACATCTGTTTTCCTGGAGTCCCTGGAAATCTCCTGCTCTCCTCCCCCAAATTCCCTTGTTGCCTTTAGCCAGCCCTCAATCTCCTCTACCATTATCACTTCCATATTCCTGAAAAACAGTCCTGAAGACATTTTTCTAAAATCAAATATTCACGTGGTTCATTAAGTCACAAACATATCAGTATGACTTAGATAGGACCAGAAACATAATTTGTAGGGTACAGTATAAAATGAAAATGTGGAGTCCATTGTTCAAAAACTAAAGACTTTTTTTTTTTTTTTTTTTGCCATGCCTACTCTTCTTCCACTTTGGTGAAGGTTTTGTTAAAAGACAGCAACAGTAGAGCATCAACACCAAATGTGGGGGACTTCTAAATGTAGGACCCTGTGCTTCTGCACAGGTCACACACCCATGACGCTGGCCCTGATGCCTTATTTTGATCACATGCTGAAAATAAGGAGGTTGGACCAGGTGGCTTGTAAGAACCCATAAGAATCTTTGAAGCCATGAACCTAGATTGAGTGCCTGATCATGGAGCAACAAGCTTCATGAGATCATGATGGTGGGAAGGGGGCACCATGAGGGGACGGGGAAAGAAAACTCAGAGGGAGATGAAAATGAGCCCATTCACTCTGCAGTTATGGAGGGGGGCCTGCCCTGAGCAAAAGATGATATGATGAGTACGTGGCCAAACTGCAAGGTAAGCCTTGAGTACTCGCTATCTCCTTGTTCATGCCCCTTTCTTCAATACCTGCAATTGGTCCTTGGCCTCCAGCAGCTGAGAGATCTCCATGGAAGGCCCTCTCTTCTCAGCATTGACCAGCTCCCACGTTTCCTCCATCCAAACCCATTAGTTCTGTGCCTCTATTCCTGCTCTCTGTACTGTAAAACTGATAAGCTGATATACAAGTTCAGATGTTAGTGGTCAATAATGTCTTAACACCTAAAGCTGTCATTTCTAAAATGGTTCACTTAAGAGGAAAGAAAAGATCAAACCCAACCCTTAACATCCTAGGAGAACAGCCTAAAAGGGAATGAGGTAAATCCAAAGTTTAATTTAAGGTTTTGTTTTATTTTTCAATCTTAAATATGTGAATGCTACTTTCTAGTCTATAATATCACTGGGTCAATTTTCATCTTTTTAAGGAAGTTTAATATGTCAAATTATTTACATCTAGAACAAAATAGGTCGTCTCCATTTTTGTTTTGCTCCAGGCATAAACAGAATATTCGATCCAGTGCAATTATGACCCGTGGAGCCAGTAGGTTTTTATTTTATTTTATTTTATTTTGATTAATTAGAAGTTAAACAAACACCTGTTCATAAGGTGACAAAACTCATTTTTCAAAGACTAACTGTGGGGTTTGCAAAGGCCAATGTAGAGTCTAAGGTCTGAAAACAGTGTACTAGCCCTTGGGACTAATAAAATTATTATATGTTCTCCCAAAACAGAACATCCACTTCATTTTGATGTAACCCATTTTCCAATAGCCAATAGTTTCTTGATAACACAAAAGTAATAAATATCAGCTTTTGCAATCATGTACTCTTTGTGTTGTCAAAAAAATGAGATTGGCTAACACAGAAAAGGTGGATTTGGTGGATTTCCTTGTGCATTCTGTGACCAAAACATTTAAGGGAACAGAAGTTCAAACTTAACCCCTGCACCACTGATTCCTACCTACACACATACAAGTTGATATTTCACATTTATGCTGTAGTTTCACTGCACCACTGGAGGGAAAATGCTGGTCAGTTTCTTGAGACACCATTTGCATGTTAATGTCTGGTTGACTTTTAGTAAATATTGGCAAGAAAATAATTGCCGTCGTTTGCTGACCACTTCTCACAGGAGAGGCGCAATGCCAAAGGCCACGTACCCATCCTCTCCTCTCCTCTCCACCACACTGATGCTAAGGAGGATGCTTATCTCACTGAGCCATTATGAGGATTAGGTGAGCTCATCATAATCTGCAATCAACTTTAGCTAATATTAACTAAGTTGCATATGCTATTTTCTTTAATCCCCCTGATAATCTCCTGATTAATAAATTACTGAGATCAGACTACTAAATAACAGAGCTGGAATCTCACCCCAGTCACTATAATGAAAATCCTGTGCTCACTCCTTCTGTTGCATTCTAAGCCCAGGCTGGCCAGGGAACTTTTTTCCAAGAATCACCTCTGCTTTCACCCCTTTGTGAAACCACCTCCACTGACCATCCCAGTGAGAAGTGCTTGCTTCCCTTTGTTGATAATACTCATCTGACATTTATTATATGTTTCTTTACTTCTTATGTGAATATAGTTTATCCTGGTTAAAAAACAAAAAGTAGGGGGTGGGGGTATGTAATACAGCCATTAAAGTAATGGCAAAAACTGCGATTACTTTTGCACCAACCTACTAGAAAACAGTGTTGGGTTGTCTCACAAAACCAAAAATAGAACTATCCCACTACTGAGTATTCCTTTCCCAATGGAAAGGAAATCAGTATGTCGAAGAGCTACCTGCAGTCCCATGTTTATTACAATACTATTCCCAATAGCCAGGATATGGAATCAACCTAAGTATCTGTCAGTAGATGAATGAAAACAGAAAATGTGGTATATATGCACAATGAAATTCTATTTGGCCATAAAAAATAATGAAATTCTGTCATTTGCAATGATATAGGTGAACCTGGAAGTCATCATATTAAGTGAAATAAGCCAGGCACAGAAAGACAAATATTGCAATGAACTCACTCATGAAGCTAAACAAGTGGATTTCATAGAAGTGGAGAGAAAAGTAGTGGTAACTAAAGGCTGAGAAGGGGAGTGGGTGGCAGGTAGGGGACAGAGAGAAATTGGTTAATGGATACAAAATTACAGCTAGATAGATAGTGTTAGATACCGCTGTAGGGTAACTATAGTTCACAACAATTTAATTTGTATTTTCAAATGACTAGAAGAGAGGATTTTTTTGAGACAGGGTCTTGCTATGTTGCCCAGGCTGATCTCAAACTCCTGAGCTCAAGCAATCCTCCCATCTCAGTCTTCCACAGAGCTGGGATTATAGGCGTGTCCCACTGCACCTGGCAAAGAGAATTTTTGAGAGTTTTCAACAGAAAGAAAAGATAATTGTTTGAGGTGATAGATATGCTAATTACCCTGATTTGGTTATTACACACAGTATACAGGTATACAGGTATTGAAATATCATACTGTAACCCATGAATATGTACAATTCCTATGTGTCCATTAAAAAACAAAGAAAAATAATTTTTAAGGAAATAAAAGGCATATTCTTGGTGCTGATTTGGAAGCATTCATATTCATCAAGTCATCTTCTGTTCACTCTTCTGGTGTGGTGTCTATTAGCTCTTGAATTTCTCCAAGATCCGTATTTTGAAAGCTTCCACCCACTACTTTTTTTTGCCATACCCACAATCTGGTTCATTAGTTCCTCGATTGCCTCTGTCACAAATCCTGTGAAGTCATGCACAACATCTGGACACAATTTTCTCTGGCAGGAATTTATTGTTTGGGGCTTGATCATTTTCACAGCTTTCTCTATAAGACAATGGCATCTTCAATGATGTACAATCCTTCTAGACTTGCATGATGTTCTCTCTGTCAGGGTTCTCTTCCTTGCATTGACACTCCTTTCCATAGAGTACCATATAATGAGCCATAAAGGTCCTTATGACCCCTGATCTAGAGGCTGAATTAGGACGTTATGTTTGGGGGCAATCAGACCACTTTGACTCCTTTGGGGATGAACTCATGGGATTTGGGGAGGCCAAGAGCATTATCCAATATCAAAAGAACTTTAAAAGGCAGCCCTTACTGGCAAGGTACTTCCTGACTTCAGGGACAAAGCATTGATGCAATCGATTCAGAAAAAGGTTTCTCATTGTCCAGGCCTTCTTGCTGTGCAACCAAAAGACCAGCAGCTGGTGTTTATTTTTCCCTTCAAGGCTCAAACGTTAACAGCTTTATAGATAAGTGTAGTCCTTATCATAAACCCAACTGCATCTGCACAAACAATAAAGTTAACCTATTCCTTCCTGCCTTAAACCTTGGTACTCACTTCCCTTCCTTACTAATAAGTGTTCTTTGTGGCATTTTTCCCCCCAGAATAGGGCACTTTTGTCTGCATTAGAAGCCTGTTCAGGCAGCTATCCTTTATCCTTAATGATTTTCTCAATCGTGTCTGGGAACTCTTGTCTGTTGCCTCTTGGTCGGCAGAAGCTGCTTCTCCTGTTATCTTGACATTTTTAAAGCCATGCCTCTTTCTAAAATTATCAAACCATCCTTTGCTGGCATTAAATTCTCTATCTTTAGATCTTTCACCTTCCTTTACTTTGTCACATAACTTTGCTTTTTCTCGAATCACATTAGATTCTATAGGTATGTCTTTCTTATAGCAATCTTAACACCCACATAAAAGCTCCATTTTTAATAGGAGATTATAAGGTATTTCAAAAAATGTACAAGGTTTTTGTGTCTGCTGGCATAGCCACAGTAATGGCTTCAGGAATTTTCTTTTTGACTTTTTGCAATAATTGTTATGCTAGATTCATTTATCTTGAAATAGCATCAACTGCAGCTGCAGCCCTCAATCTGTGGTACATATCAAGAAATCCAGCTTTTTCTTGTAACGTCATAACTTTTATCTGCTTCTTGTGAGCACCTCCAGCATCATTAGTGGCACTTTGTGTGGGTCCCACGATGTGACTTAAGGTTTACAAGGTTGCACTAAACATGATGAAAAATACACAAGAACTGTAACAGGTCACACTTTACTGTGATATGCAACTTACTGGAGATGATTAGCCACACAGTATTTTAAGCAGATACTTGCAACACTTGAGCCCACTGCAATAGCAACAGGAGGGAGCTACGAAATTATTACAGTTCTGAAGTATGTACTATGGTTAATTTTATGCAGTTGTGATTTAATGCTGCATCTTTACGTTTGTTTACATTTCTCTGGACTTGGAATGGTGCCTTGTACAGTCTGTAAGTTTGTATGCATAAGTTTTGATAAATTTCAACTTTTTATAATAGACTAAATTGTATGTACTTTATGGTAGCAAATGATAAAATATTCTCGTATCCACATATATTCTATGCATTCATCACATACTTAAGTTTTTCTTAATTTTTTTTCAATATTTCTAGGCTATACAGCTCATCTGCAAGGTTTTTCAAATCATTGCAAATCTCCAAAAACTTTCCAATATATTTATTGAAAAATATCCATGTATAAATGGACTCAAGACAGTTCAAATCCCTTTTGTTCAAGGTTCAACTGAACTACTATTAATCCCTACCACATGTTGAGTATTTATCATGTGTCAGACACGGTACTATTCATTTTATACACATTATCCTATTTACCATTGTTTGTATCTTCATTTTAATAAAAAAGATCCCAAAATTAATTTAATGAGGTTATAAAGCTTGAAAGTCATATGGCTAGTAAGTTGTAGAAGTAAGGCTCAAAAGCAGGTTTTTCTGACTCCAAAACCACCCTGACATACTTCCTTCCCTGCCAAAAATATGCATTTCCAAGTATATTATTTACAAGTTTGAGAAATACTGGACTAGGTAATAGAAACCACAACGGCAGAGAGCCCCAAGGAAATAATATTTCTAAATAGCCTTGGAGGACTCTGGATTAAAGACAGAAAGGTGAAAACACCCTTTGAAGGAAAAAAAGAAAGTGCTTTTCAAAAAAAAAGTCATAGCCAGCCAGTTATCTTTTGTTAATTGTATCAAGACAATTATTAATTATTCCACTTTAGAGATACCCAGTTGTAAAAGTTGCCTCCAAAAGCAAGAACAGAGATTGGGTTTGCAGGAAATGAAAAAGAAAGGCTTCAAACTGCAGCAGGATGCCCCATTGCAGTCAGCCTCATCTGCTGCTTACAGCCTGGGCCTCAGCATGTTCAGCAAACTTAGGGAACTGGAGCTGTGCATTCTAGTCAGAAGACGGGAGCAAAAGTTGTGCAGATTTTTCAAAGCATATTGTAGATTGCTGGAGTGGTCGGTGGGTTTCCAAAATGCCACTCATATCCAAATCTCTCTAGTACTGCTAAATTTAGGGTCCATAATAAATAATGGATAATCAACTTTGAAATTTATTGAGACACAATTTGAATTGGGGGAAATTACTGTGAATTTAGCAAGAATGCCCTAGGAATAAGAACACAACAGGAACCAAATAGCCCAGACTATGAAAAATAAATATGGTCTTGTGAGGTGATTGGGACCCCATTTTTCAAGGCTGCAAATAGCAAAAAGAGAATGAGAAGGAAAAATAAGGGTTTTCCAAACATTATAAAATGTAGAGCTTCTTGGTTTATAGTGAAATGGACTTGACTCCGGTAGGAAAACCAAGGACCTTGGTTATCATGTTGCTTAGACATTTTGGATGATGTTACACTCAGCATGCATCCTACTAATATTTGGAGCTATATTTCCTTTTTCTAATTCTTAATATTTAATCATTTTTCAAACAGAAAAACATAGCCTGTATTCCTACTGAATTTACCAGGGAGAAATTCTTTTAAAGACACAGTAGTTTATTGGTAGAATTTGTTGGATATCCTGCATTCACCTTCAAAATGGTGCTTATATGTGCACATCTCATGTGTCATTAATCGATTTTAATACTCCATGACTAACAAGTTCTTCTAGAAACCATGTTTCTGTACTGCTGGGAAACAATCTTCGAAAAAATAAAGCTGAACCAGAAATAGAAAGGGTTAGTCTTCTATTTTTTCACACATAGAAAGCATGGGTGCAATTCTGTTTTAATAGCAGAATAAATGGTATAGTGATAATGTTTCACGCTAATAAATTAAATTGGGGTCGCCAATGTAAAATAGAAATGTTTCTGATAGTTATGGCCTGGAAAACGAAATCTGAAAAGAAGTACAATTGCTCCGGAAAATGTTTCTTTGTATTTAAAAAAGGAGACTATCATTTTAACATTTCTCTTAACTTTGCTAAAAATAATAACCGTGACAGAATCCTTTTAGCCCTGCTAACAGGGATGCCAAACGGAAAAAAATAACTAAAGAACCACAGTGACCTCTAGTGGAAAGAAGCAGAATAGGTCTTCATTCACAGCAAGTAGTTAACCATGCAGAGAATGATTTTGCCCATAAAAACATTCTTTCTACAAATAAAATGGAAAGAAAATAATAGTTATTCTAGCCCCAAAAAAGAATTCATATTTATGCTTGGACCTGATTTTTTAGTTGCTAGCAGTTTCAGAGTTGTTTTAAACTATAGAATATGTGGTTGTAATCATGCTATATGCATACTTTTACATGCTCCAATTTAATTTTAACATGACAACACAAGTATTACCCTATGGTATTAAAAAAAAATCTTCCCAAGCACCTTTTTTGATGAGCCACAGTTTACTTAATCTTTCTTTTTTCTAAAAAAAACTTTAAAAGAAACAAACATTTTGCAAAGGAATCCAAATAGAATTAACAAAGCATTGCATAGTAAGGAAGGTTCTAGGGCAACTTACTAAACTCATTGAGATGATTTGTAATCCAAATATCGATTATTAAATGAGCATCTACTACATTCGATTTGCTGATATTAAAAGGACACCATGAAGGACCCAACAAAAAAGGTGATGCTGACAAAAGAAGTGATGCTGGAGGGATATGATCGAGATGATTGAAAGGCACATGCATATGAACAACACGAGGCAGTGCACTGCAATGGGTACCAAATGCCATGACTGACTAAGGAGATGAGAAAGGGGAAAGCATCCCAGCCCTCCAGAAAAGCAACTAGTGAAGCCGTCAAAGGATTGGAGAGTTGAAGAGGAGAAGGAAGATATATACAAGATAGAAGGAATAATAAGCAAAATTACAGAAGCAGGAATTCACAGGGTTTTCTCTAAAGGATGGAGAGTAGATTGTTCCAGCAGAGGACTTGGGAGAGCACACTTCTTGTAACACGAAGGGGGTGAAAAGAACAGGTGCAGAGCATCATCCCCCTCCCAGTCATGGTGCCAGGAGGTTCATGTGCTTTGTTTCAGTTACTCAGCCCAGCCTTGCAATTGCAGTAATGTCACTGATGCCATTTTAAGATGAGAAACCTGAGAGGCTCAAAGGAGGTAAATATTGGCCAGTAAGTGGAAAAGACAAGATTTGAACCTGATCAGTTGTCCTGCGTGGACTGCATTTTCTTAAGTGAGAAAATCTTATCCCTTACCATCATGTTTAATCTATTCCCTTACTTAGAAAAAGAAAACCCTTTTATTAAAGAGAGTGCGATACTGCACTTCAATCAAGACTCTGTCTTAACGATCACAAATATAGGATATTGGCCTCTGAATTAATTACAATCGCAATTAATGGCTTTAAATTCTTTCAGACTCCTCAACCCACAATTTCCTCATGTATGTGAAACTCATGTAGCTGGAAACTATGATACCAAGAATAAAGCTTCTGAACTAGCCTTGATAAAATTGCAGTGAGCCTGGGTGATGGGATCAATCACACCCCAAACCTCAGCATCATGCAATACGCCATGTAACAAATCTGCACCTGCACCCCCTGAATCTGAAATACAAGTTGAAAGTATAAAAAATGAAATAAAATAAAATTGCAGTGAGGTTGACTCCTCTCTTTCCCTTTCAATGCAGAGGAATGAAAGAGGTGGAGTCAGAACAAGAGCAGCAACGAGGCCCCTTGGAGTGGCCTTGGTTTTGTCCGGACTGCTCTCAGGCAGTCCCATGTGCCCACAGTGTTCCTATACAGAGCACACTCACATTTACAGCACCCCTACAAATTGCCTTATGCCCTTCGCATATGTTTATGTGATGCTCATATCCAGCCACCCAGAGTCACAGAGCACAGGAAAGCTGTGCCCACGCAGTTCAGGTGCCGAGTCCTCATATTCAAGTACAGTCCAACAACCACAACGTGGGTTCAGACTCACTCAAGTTCTTTACTTGCATTTCTCAAATATTCTGAAGGAAGTATGTAGGTCACAGCAATACTCTTTTAAAATTCCTTCTTCATCTCTCCTCTTCTTCCCTCACCAACCACAACTACTTTGGCACCTCTACTATTTCAACACGTCCCCCCCCAAAAACTTCCAAATTAAAAACTCCTGCTCTAAAAGATACTGTTAAGAAAACAAAAATACAAGCAATAGGCTAGGAGAAACATGCCTGCTGGGAGATATATTTGCAAAACACAAATCTAATAAAGGGCTTGTATTTAAAATATACAGATAACTCTTTAAAATTCAACAATAAGAAGACAAACAACCCCATTAAAGAGTGGGCAGGATCTGAACAGACGTCTCACAAAAGAAGATATATGGATGGCAAATAAGCACATTTCACATCAGGGAAATGTGAATTAAAACAACAATGAGATACCACTACATACCTATAGGAATGACTAAGACCCAAAACATCGACAACACCAAATGCTGGTGAGGATGTGAGGAAGTGGAGCACTGGGAACCTTCATCCATTGCCAGTGAGAATGCAAAATGGTACAGCTACTTTGGGAGACAATTTGTCAGTTTTGTACAAAACTAAATATATTCTTAACATACTATCCAGCATTGTATTTCTTGGTACTTACCCAAATAAGCTGAAAATTTGCATCCACAAAAAACTGCATACCGATCTCAATAGCAGTTTATTCATAATTGCCAAAATCAGAAGCAAACAAGTTGACCTTCAGTAGGTAAATGGATAAACAAAATGTGGTACATTCATAAAACTGAATATTATTCAGTCATAAAAAGAAAGGAGTTATCAAGCCACAAAAAGACACAGATGAAACCCAAATTCATATTGCTAAGTAAAAGAAACCAGTCTGAAACTGTATGATTCCAGCTATCTGGCATTCTGGAACAAGCAAAGCTATAGAGGTAGTAAAAGAATCAGTGATTCGCGGTTGCCAGGGGTTGGTAGGTGAGGGGTGGAAGAACAAATTGTATAGAGAGAGTACAAAGGATTTTTAGGACAATTAAACTATTCTATGTGATACTAAAGTGGTAAAAACATATCATTAGGCATCTGGCAAAAGCCATAGAATTTTGTAACATAAACAGTGAACTCTAATGTAAACTATGGATTTTAGTTTAATAATAATCTATCAATATTGGCTCATCAATTGTAGCAAATGTAGCACACCAATGCAATACGTTAACAAGAGGGAAATTGCAGGGAGGGGACACAGTATGTAGGAACTCCCTGTTCTTTCTATCTTTTTTCTGTAAACCTATAATCGCTCTACAAAGTCTATAAATGTTTTAAAAAGTTCTTTTCCTCTCCACTTAGAAGTGGTCACTAGAGCCAGCTGTTGTGGGTGCCAGAGGACTGGCAGAGATGTGTCATCCTCCTCATTGCAGTTCTCATGAGAATCTGCCCACATGCTCTTTGACACACTGTCTCTCCTCTTTGCCATTATTTTGTTTACTGGAGGTTAATTTTCATCTTGTTCCACATGGGCTTCTTCTTAAGCCCATGTCACCATCACACTGTGGTTTGTGTGATGCCACATGGCCTTAGAAGACGCCCAGAACAAGATGGTGCACCCATCACCAAGTGGGCTTCACCACGGAGAAACAGCTCACTGGGAGGTAGACATTGCTCCATGGGAAAGTAGTGGTGACATGGAGGAGACAGAACGCTCAGTACCTTCCCAGAGGGATGCCAAAAGGAGCTCCGAACTGATGTGAGCCTCAGGTGCCAGATCTAAAGAGGACCAGGGGCAAGGGTAGCCCACAGGGAAAATGACCTCGCTGCTCTGACTGGTTGTTCAGAGAAATCCTTCTTGGAACCTGTCCCTTCCTTTGATCTTTTGTGAAGCTTTCCTTAGAAAACCGAAACTCAGCGTCTAAGTCTCTTTCTTCAGATCTTCCTGAGTCTACTTCAGAAAGTTCTTTCAGGAAAGGCCTACTTTGGGAGTCCCCCAAAGCAGCCCCTATTAAAGCACTCTGTATTTTCTGAGACGAGATAAAACTTAAAAATAAATTATTTAACAAACTTCTTAAAGAAACCTGTGCAGAAGACTCTGGAGTAATTAAAGGAAGATATCAAACCCCAAACTGATACAAATCATCGGTCTCCCACAGTTGAGTTAAAAAATAACATCTTAGTTGGAGGAACTCACTTCTTCGTTTTGAGAGTTAAATATGCAAATAACTTCCTGCCTAGTTCCTTGTTTTCAAGGATTAAATTTTTCCTATGGCTCTGAACAACCTCACTTTTCTTGTCTGATAATTGTCAGTCTGCCAAATCACTCAGGAGGAAATGTTTACAATGCAGTGCATATGTTTTTAGTTTATCGCTTTGCCATCTGTTCATGGAAAACTCTCAGCACCAAAACATGCATACACATTGTCCTCTAGTCTTCCACTACCTAAGCAGTGAACACCAGCAGAAGTTTGCCAAAGATCTATTAGTGCAGATAACCTTTTCACTGAGATGCACAGAATATTGCCTAGACACACAGAATAAACTGGATTAGTTAGGTGCCAAGTCAATGGATACATTTCAAAGAGAAAACTATTTTCCTCATACAACCTCGATTAAAACAAAAAGGTAAAAATGTAGCCCTGGGATGTAAAAAGAAAAAGACATCTTTTCTCTAAGAACTATAGCCAAGGTGCCATTTAGAGCAATTCCTATTGATGTACAATATTTAGTGTGGACATATTTGCTTCATACTTTTCAAATTGTTACTTTGAAGCTTTTCTTTACTTTTACTAGAAGGAGTGGTATTAAATTTACTTAATGTTTCCTGAGTGCCTGTTTTGAGATCATTGCTCCTTAGATCCTGCTTGTAAACATATGGAGAATTTTACAGTCCCCTTAAAATATGGTAACTATATCAGAGAAAGAGTGTTCTGTGATAAACCCAACTGAAATTTCTCTGGGTTTTGATCTTTCATATTATTAAAGATTCATTTCTTTTATTATAGATTGGATTTAAACTTCAGCTGAACCTTTCTGAATGCAAAGCAAAGCTAGATCTGGACAGGATTGAGCAGGGTTCATTTGCAGGATTGCCAGCCTCACTGCCACAAGAAATGAACAAATTTTGCAGAGATGGCTAGTTCTAGCTTTATTGAATTTTGACTAAATTTCAGTTATTGCAAATCTCAAAAAAAAAAAAAGTGAGAATAAGATACCCTTACAGAGTAATTGTTTATTTCCTGGGCTGGTTCATTCGGCTTGATGATGACTGGGTGCTAATGATACCTGACGTGGGGATTGGAAGCTCAAACTGACCAGCTTGCTTTTCACCAAGAAAACCTCCCTTGATTGTCCCCATTAAGCTTCTCAAAGATGTACCATTTTGGTTGCCATGGATACCAGGAAAGAAGAATGGGCAAATCTGCACAAATCCATAATTGCTAATCACTTCTGGAAAAATCAACCAGAACTCCAGCCCTACTGAAAATGATCCATAGCATCATTTTGAATAGAAGAGACAAATGCAACTTTCTCTACATTGGAACAAAACTTCAAAAAGCTAAAGTTCACCATCACATTTTGGGCTCTGCCTTTCCCACCAACATGTATGCATATTCGTGGAAAAAAGAAATGTCAATCAATACCATGACTACCTTCACTTTCAGTTCTGAATCCAACTGGAAGAAAAGTGTTGCAAAACATACTTTATTTTCTAATATACTGGGAGCCTAGCTTGATTTTAGCCACAGAGACAAAATGAAAAATTAAAGCGTTAGTAGATTCTTTTTATAATCCAGCAGGGAACTATTTACCTCAAAAGCCCTCCAGGGTAAAGACAAAAGCAGATGATTTCTATAAAAGCACCATTTATGGAAAATATGAACATCACTAAATTAATATATATTTTTAAGCCCCCACCATGAGCCAAGCACTCAAGTTATGAAAGAAAATTCAAAACCTGCTGATATGGGTTGGATCTGTGCCTCCACCCGAATCTCATTTTGAATTGTAATCCCCAGTGTTGGAGGTGGAGCTTGGTGGGAGGTTATTGGATGATAGGGTGGTTTCTAATGGGTTAGCACCATGCCCCTAGTGCTATCTCCTGCTACAGTTCTCATGAGATCTGGTTGTTTAAAAGTGTGTGGCACTTTCCCCTTCACTCTCTGTCTTCCTCCTGCTCCAGCCATGTAGGACATGCTGGCTTCCCCTTAGCATTCTGCCATAATTGTAAATTTCCTGAGGTTTCCCCAACCATGCTTCCTGTACAGCCTGCGGAACCATGAGCCAATTAAACCTCTTTTGTTTACAATTGACCTAGTCTCAGGTAGTTCTTTACAGCAATGGGAGAATGGACTAATACACCTGCCATTTTCAAAAAGTTCACACTAGGCTGCGCACAGTGAGTGGCTCAAGCCTGTAAACCCAGCACTTTGGGAGGCTGAAGAGGGCAAACTTCTTGAGTCCAGGAGTTCGAGACCAGCCTGGCCTACGTAGCCAAACCCCGTCTCTACTATAGACACAAAAAATTAGCCAGCATGGTGGCACATGCCCATAATCCCAGCTACTCAGGAAGCTGAGGTGGAAGAATTACCTGAGCCCAAGAAGTCGAGGCTGTAGGGAGCTGAGATTGTGCCGCTGCACTCCAGCCTTGGCAACCAGAGACCCTGTCAAAAAAAAAAAAAAGCTTACTCTCTATGTAGGAAAACGAGGCATGCATACCAAACAACTTGACAGCAGCACAAGACTGGGTCTAGTATACTCATATTCTGGAAAAGTTGGCACAGGTAAGTCTTATGGAGATCAGGAAACAAAAAAAGTCTTTGTGGAGCAGAGTAATCCAGGAAAGTCTCTTCAGAGATAATAAGCCTTCAGGTAGATTTGATTTGATTTGGAGGTAAATAAAAGAATAGGCATTCCAGGTCAGAGGAGACTGCTTGCTTCCATCAGGGTGCTGAGGGAAGGCCGCTCTCAGGAGACGGTGTTTGTGCCAGAGGCATTTGAACCAGAGCGACTCCATCTTGAGTAGGGGCTGGGTAAAATAAGGCTGACACCTACCGGGCTGCCTTCCAGGATGGTTAGGCATTCTAAGTCACAGGATGAACTAGAAGAGCGGTACAAAATACAGGTCATAAAGACCTTGCTGATAAAACAGTTTGCAGTAAAGAAACCGGCCAAAACCAAGATGGCAATGAGAGTGACCTCTGGTCGTTCTTACTGCTACACTCCCACCAGTGCCATGACAGTTTACAAATGCCATGGCAACATCGGGAAGTTACCCTATCCGTTCTAAAAAGAGGAGGCATGAATAATCCACCCCTAATTTAGCATATAATCAAGAAATAACCATAAAAATAGGCAACCAGCAGCCCTCTGAGCTGCTCTGCCTATGGAATGGCTATTCTTGTATTCCTTTACTTTCTTAATAAACTTGCTTTCAATTTACTCTATGGGCTCACCTCAAATTCTTTTTTGCATGAGATCCAAGAACCCTCTCTGGAGTCTGAATTGGGACCTCTTTCCGGTAACGTTTGAGCTGAGACTTAAATTATGAGGATGGGTCAACCTGGAGGTATCAGGCAGAGGGAACAGCAAGAGCATTTGTCCTGAGGAGAAAAATCATTCACACGCACATTCAAAGACAGAAAGAAGGCTGACATGGCAGGCACACAGGGAAAGAGAGAGGGAGAGTGGTGGGCCACCTCAGTAGAGCAGGCAGGGACAGACTGTCAGCCCTTTTCTACCCTTTATTTTAATTGCAACAGAAACTCACTAAATTATTTTAGGTTTGGGCAAATAGTTCTGGTAAGCAAGTTAAGTGATGTAATTTATATTTTTTAAAGCTCACTGGTAGCTATGAGAAGAATGGATACTGGAGGGAGGGGTAAGGAAAGAAGCAGGGAGATGATCAGGAGAAGCCTGTAGCAAAGACATAGGCTGGACTTTTGGGGGTGGCCCCAAGAGTGAGAGAAGTGAACAGTCTAGAGGTGTATTTTGGAAGCAGAACATGCAGGACATGCTGGTGATTTTGATAGAAGAGGGAAGAAGGGAAAGAGAAGAACCAAGGTTGACATCTAGGCTTTTGACTTGAGCAGTCTGGAAGATGGTGAAACCTCTTACTGAAATGGGGATGACCTGAAAAAGAATTTGGTCAGTGGACAGGGGAAAATCAAGAGAGTTCCTTATTAGACATATTATTTTTTATGCCTGTTTTATACCTATATCTCTCATGGATAGGAACTACCTGCAGAAACTTGGTAGCAAGGGCCTAATCAGTAAGGCATTTATTTTTCTCATATGGCAAAAACAAAAAACAAAAAAAAAAACAGGAAGATGTAACCACATCATGGTTGATAGAGCTACTCAAGGATCCCTTTTTCTTCCTGCTCAAGCACCAAAAAAATAATGGCTTTCATTCTACAGCTGCCCCATGATTACAATATGTGTTCTATCTCCAACTTCTGGTCCAAGTTTCAGGCAGGAATAAGAAAGAAGCAAAATGAGGAAGTGTATTAGTCTGTTCTCATGCTGCTAATAAAGACATGCCAAAGATTGGGCAATTTATAAAGGAAAAAGGTTTAATTGACTCATAGTTCAGCATGGCTGGGGAGGCCTCAGGAAACTTACAATCATGGCGGAAGAGGAAGCAAACACATCCTTCTTCACATGGCATCAACAAGAAGCGCAGAGCAACAGTGGGGAAAGTCCCTTGCAAAACCGTCAGATCTCATGAGACTTATTCACTATCATGAGGACAGCATGGGAAAAACCCACCCACATGATTCAATTACCTCCCACCAGGTCCCTTCCATAATAGGTGGGGATTATGGGAGCTATAGTTCAAGATGAGATTTCGGTGGGGACACAGCCAAACCATATCAGTAATGATGTGTGTCTTTATCAAGGTTAAACAATTTCCAGAAAGCTCCAGAAGATTTTGGTTGGCATCTCCCATGGCTACCCATAGCTGGAAGAGAGTCTAGAAAATATTGTTCTTAGCTATGCCTATTGCTATCCCAAACAATCTCATGGTTCTAGTACGGAAAAGTGGATACTGAGAAGAGAGCTGACTGTGTTTAGCTATAATATCCAAGTAGAGATTGAAAGTACACTGTTGGCTACAGAAGTCTGGAGTCCAGGGGAGTCATTAAAGATATTTAAAAAATACTCATCAGCCTGTAAAGGATATTTAAAGTCATGGGACTGAGTACAGTTAGTCAGATAAAAAGTGACGAAAGAGAAGAAGTCTCTGGACTGAGCTTGGAAACCTTCCAACATTCCAAAGTCTAGTAGAAGAGGTAGCAAAAAAAAAAAAAAAAGCTGAAAGGAGCAGTAAGAGAGGAAAAAGGAAAACCAAAGGAACGTGCTGACCACTGGTGAGAGGTCAAGGTAGGGAGGACAAGGAAGTGGCCACTGGTTTTGGCAACATGGAGATTGTTGGTATGTGGGGAAAAGCAAGAGAGATCAGATTGTTACTGTGTCTGTGTAGAAAGAAGTAGACATAGGAGACTCCATTTTGTTATGTACTAAGAAAAATTCTTCTGCCTTGAGATTCTGTTAATCTATAACCTTACCCCCAACCCCGTGCTCTCTGAAACATGTGCTGTGTCAACTCAGAGTTAAATGGATTAAGGGCGGTGCAAGATGTGCTTTGTTAAACAGATGCTTGAAGGCAGCATGCTCCTTAAGAGTCATCACCACTCCCTAATCTCAAGTACCCAGGGACACAAAAACTGCGGAAGGCCACAGGGACCTCTGCCTAGGAAAGCCAGGTATTGTCCAAGGTTTCTCCCCATGTGATAGTCTGAAATATGGCCTCGTGGGAAGGGAAAGACCTGACCGTCCCCCAGCCCGACACCCGTAAAGGGTCTGTGCTGAGGAGGATTAGTAAAAGAGGAAGGAATGCCTCTTGCAGTTGAGACAAGAGGAAGGCATCTGTCTCCTGCCTGTCCCTGGGCAATGGAATGTCTCGGTATAAAACCTGACTGTATGCTCCATCTACTGAGATAGGGAAAAACCGCCTTAGGGCTGGAGGTGGGACCTGCGGGCAGCAATACTGCTTTGTAAAGCATTGAGATGTTTATGTGTATGCATATCTAAAAGCACAGCACTTAATCCTTTACATTGTCTATGATGCAAAGACCTTTGTTCACATGTTTGTCTGCTGACCCTCTCCCCACAATTGTCTTGTGACCCTGACACATCCCCCTCTTCGAGAAACACCCACAGATGATCAATAAATACTAAGGGAACTCAGAGGCTGGCGGGATCCTCCATATGCTGAATGCTGGTTCCCCGGGTCCCCTTATTTCTTTCTCTATACTTTGTCTCTGTGTCTTTTTCTTTTCCAAATCTCTCGTCCCACCTTACGAGAAACACCCACAGGTGTGTAGGGGCAACCCACCCCTACATCTGGTGCCCAACGTGGAGGCTTTTCTCTAGGGTGAAGGTACGCTCGAGCGTGGTCATTGAGGACAAGTCGACGAGAGATCCCGAGGACGTCTACAGTCAGCCTTACGGTAAGCTTGTGCTCTCGGAAGAAGCTAGGGTGATAATGGGGCAAACTAAAAGTAAAATTAAAAGTAAATATGCCTCTTATCTCAGCTTTATTAAAATTCTTTTAAAAAGAGGGGGAGTTAAAGTATCTACAAAAAATCTAATCAAGCTATTTCAAATAATAGAACAATTTTGCCCATGGTTTCCAGAACAAGGAACTTTAGATCTAAAAGATTGGAAAAGAATTGGTAAGGAACTAAAACAAGCAGGTAGGAAGGGTAATATCATTCCACTTACAGTATGGAATGATTGGGCCATTATTAAAGCAGCTTTAGAACCATTTCAAACAGAAGAAGATAGCATTTCAGTTTCTGATGCCCCTGGAAGCTGTATAATAGATTGTAATGAAAACACAAGGAAAAAATCCCAGAAAGAAACGGAAGGTTTACATTGCGAATATGCAGCAGAGCCGGTAATGGCTCAGTCAACGCAAAATGTTGACTATAATCAATTACAGGAGGTGATATATCCTGAAACGTTAAAATTAGAAGGAAAAGGTCCAGAATTAGTGGGGCCATCAGAGTCTAAACCACGAGGCACAAGTCCTCTTCCAGCAGGTCAGGTGCCCGTAACATTACAACCTCAAACGCAGGTTAAAGAAAATAAGACCCAACCACCAGTAGCTTATCAATACTGGCCGCCGGCTGAACTTCAGTATCGGCCACCCCCAGAAAGTCAGTATGGATATCCAGGAATGCCCCCAGCACCACAGGGCAGGGCGCCATACCCTCAGCCGCCCACTAGGAGACTTAATCCTACGGCACCACCTAGTAGACAGGGTAGTGAATTACATGAAATTATTGATAAATCAAGAAAGGAAGGAGATACTGAGGCATGGCAATTCCCAGTAATGTTAGAACCGATGCCACCTGGAGAAGGAGCCCAAGAGGGAGAGCCTCCCACAGTTGAGGCCAGATACAAGTCTTTTTCAATAAAAATGCTAAAAGATATGAAAGAAGGAGTAAAACAGTATGGACCCAACTCCCCTTATATGAGGACATTATTAGATTCCATTGCTCATGGACATAGACTCATTCCTTATGATTGGGAGATTCTGGCAAAATCGTCTCTCTTACCCTCTCAATTTTTACAATTTAAGACTTGGTGGATTGATGGGGTACAAGAACAGGTCCAAAGAAATAGGGCTGCCAATCCTCCAGTTAACATAGATGCAGATCAACTATTAGGAATAGGTCAAAATTGGAGTACTATTAGTCAACAAGCATTAATGCAAAATGAGGCCATTGAGCAAGTTAGAGCTATCTGCCTTAGAGCCTGGGAAAAAATCCAAGACCCAGGAAGTACCTGCCCCTCATTTAATACAGTAAGACAAAGTTCAAAAGAGCCCTATCCTGATTTTGTGGCAAGGCTCCAAGATGTTGCTCAAAAGTCAATTGCCGATGAAAAAGCCCGTAAGGTCATAGTGGAGTTGATGGCATATGAAAACGCCAATCCTGAGTGTCAATCAGCCATTAAGCCATTAAAAGGAAAGGTTCCTGCAGGATCAGATGTAATCTCAGAATATGTAAAAGCCTGTGATGGAATCGGAGGAGCTATGCATAAAGCTATGCTTATGGCTCAAGCAATAACAGGAGTTGTTTTAGGAGGACAAGTTAGAACATTTGGAGGAAAATGTTACAATTGTGGTCAAATTGGTCACTTAAAAAAGAATTGCCCAGTCTTAAACAAACAGAATATAACTATTCAAGCAACTACAACAGGTAGAGAGCCACCTGACTTATGTCCAAGATGTAAAAAAGGAAAACATTGGGCTAGTCAATGTCGTTCTAAATTTGATAAAAATGGGCAACCATTGTCGGGAAACGAGCAAAGGGGCCAGCCTCAGGCCCCACAACAAACTGGGGCATTCCCAATTCAGCCATTTGTTCCTCAGGGTTTTCAGGGACAACAACCCCCACTGTCCCAAGTGTTTCAGGGAATAAGCCAGTTACCACAATACAACAATTGTCCCCCACCACAAGCGGCAGTGCAGCAGTAGATTTATGTACTATACAAGCAGTCTCTCTGCTTCCAGGGGAGCCCCCACAAAAAATCCCCACAGGGGTATATGGCCCCCTGCCTGAGGGGACTGTAGGACTAATCTTGGGAAGATCAAGTCTAAATCTAAAAGGAGTTCAAATTCATACTAGTGTGGTTGATTCAGACTATAAAGGCGAAATTCAATTGGTTATTAGCTCTTCAATTCCTTGGAGTGCCAGTCCAGGAGACAGGATTGCTCAATTATTACTCCTGCCATATATTAAGGGTGGAAATAGTGAAATAAAAATAATAGGAGGGCTTGGAAGCACTGATCCAACAGGAAAGGCTGCATATTGGGCAAGTCAGGTCTCAGAGAACAGACCTGTGTGTAAGGCCATTATTCAAGGAAAACAGTTTGAAGGGTTGGTAGACACTGGAGCAGATGTCTCTATCATTGCTTTAAATCAGTGGCCAAAAAATTGGCCTAAACAAAAGGCTGTTACAGGACTTGTCGGCATAGGCACAGCCTCAGAAGTGTATCAAAGTACTGAGATTTTACATTGCTTAGGGCCAGATAATCAAGAAAGTACTGTTCAGCCAATGATTACTTCAATTCCTCTTAATCTGTGGGGTCGAGATTTATTACAACAATGGGGTGCGGAAATCACCATGCCCACTCCATTATATAGCCCCACGAGTCAAAAAATCATGACCAAGATGGGATATATACCAGGAAAGGGACTAGGGAAAAATGAAGATGGCATTAAAGTTCCAGTTGAGGCTAAAATAAATCAAAAAAGAGAAGGAATAGGGTATCCTTTTTAGGGGCGGCCACTCTAGAGCCTCCTAAACCCATACCATTAACTTGGAAAACAGAAAAACTGGTGTGGGTAAATCAGTGGCCGCTACCAAAACAAAAACTGGAGGCTTTACATTTATTAGCAAATGAACAGTTAGAAAAGGGTCATATTGAGCCTTCGTTCTCACCTTGGAATTTTCCTGTGTTTGTAATTCAGAAGAAATCAGGCAAATGGCGTATGTTAACTGACTTAAGGGCTGTAAACGCCATAATTCAACCCATGGGGCCTCTCCAACCTGGGTTGCCCTCTCCGGCCATGATCCCAAAAGATTGGCCTTTAATTATAATTGATCTAAAGGATTGCTTTTTTACCATCCCTCTGGCAGAGCAGGATTGTGAAAAATTTGCCTTTACTATACCAGCCATAAATAATAAAGAACCAGCCACCAGGTTTCAGTGGAAAGTGTTACCTCAGGGAATGCTTAATAGTCCAACTATTTGTCAGACTTTTGTAGGTCGAGCTCTTCAACCAGTTAGAGAAAAGTTTTCAGACTGTTATATTATTCATTATATTGATGATATTTTATGTGCTGCAGAAACGAAAGATAAATTAATTGACTGTTATACATTTCTGCAAGCAGAGGTTGCCAATGCAGGACTGGCAATAGCATCTGATAAGATCCAAACCTCTACTCCTTTTCATTATTTAGGGATACAGATAGAAAATAGAAAAATTAGCCACAAAAAATAGAAATAAGAAAAGACACATTAAAAACACTAAATGATTTTCAAAAATTACTAGGAGATATTAATTGGATTCGGCCAACTCTAGGCATTCCTACTTATGCCATGTCAAATTTGTTCTCTATCTTAAGAGGAGACTCAGACTTAAATAGTTAACCCCAGAGGCAACAAAAGAAATTAAATTAGTGGAAGAAAAAATTCAGTCAGCGCAAATAAATAGAATAGATCCCTTAGCCCCATCCAACTTTTGATTTTTGCCACTGCACATTCTCCAACAGGCATCATTATTCAAAATACTGATCTTGTGGAGTGGTCATTCCTTCCTCACAGTACAGTTAAGACTTTTACATTGTACTTGGATCAAATAGCTACATTAATTGGTCAGACAAGATTACGAATAATAAAATTATGTGGAAATGACCCAGACAAAATAGTTGTCCCTTTAACCAAGGAACAAGTTAGACAAGCCTTTATCAATTCTGGTGCATGGCAGATTGGTCTTGCTAATTTTGTGGGAATTATTGATAATCATTACCCAAAAACAAAGATCTTCCAGTTCTTAAAATTGACTACTTGGATTCTACCTAAAATTACCAGACGTGAACCTTTAGAAAATGCTCTAACAGTATTTACTGATGGTTCCAGCAATGGAAAAGCAGCTTACACAGGGCCGAAAGAACGAGTAATCAAAACTCCATATCAATCGGCTCAAAGAGCAGAGTTGGTTGCAGTCATTACAGTGTTACAAGATTTTGACCAACCTATCAGTATTATATCAGATTCTGCATATGTAGTACAAGCTACAAGGGATGTTGAGACAGCTCTAATTAAATATAGCATGGATGATCAGTTAAACCAGCTATTCAATTTATTACAACAAACTGTAAGAAAAAGAAATTTCCCATTTTATATTACTCATATTCGAGCACACACTAATTTACCAGGGCCTTTGACTAAAGCAAATGAACAAGTTGACTTACTGGCATCATCTGCACTCATAAAAGCACAAGAACTTCATGCTTTGACTCATGTAAATGCAGCAGGATTAAAAAACAAATTTGATGTCACATGGAAACAGGCAAAAGATATTGTACAACATTGCACCCAGTGTCAAGTCTTACACCTGCCCACTCAAGAGGCAGGAGTTAATCCCAGAGGTCTGTGTCCTAATGCGTTATGGCAAATGGATGTCACGCATGTACCTTCATTTGGAAGATTATCATATGTTCACGTAACAGTTGATACTTATTTACATTTCATATGGGCAACTTGCCAAACAGGAGAAAGTACTTCCCATGTTAAAAAACATTTATTGTCTTGTTTTGCTGTAATGGGAGTTCCAGAAAAAATCAAAACTGACAATGGACCAGGATATTGTAGTAAAGCTTTCCAAAAATTCTTAAGTCAGTGGAAAATTTCACATACAACAGGAATTCCTTATAATTCCCAAGGACAGGCCATAGTTGAAAGAACTAATAGAACACTCAAAACCCAATTAGTTAAACAAAAAGAAGGGGGAGACAGTAAGGAGTGTACCACTCCTCAGATGCAACTTAATCTAGCACTCTATACTTTAAATTTTTTAAACATTTATGGAAATCAGACTACTACTTCTGCAGAACAACATCTTACTGGTAAAAAGAACAGCCCACATGAAGGAAAACTAATTTGGTGGAAAGATAATAAAAATAAGACATGGGAAATAGGGAAGGTGATAACGTGGGGGAGAGGTTTTGCTTGTGTTTCACCAGGAGAAAATCAGCTTCCTGTTTGGATACCCACTAGACATTTGAAGTTCTACAATGCACCCATCGGAGATGCAAAGAAAAGCACCTCCGCGGAGACGGAGACACCGCAATCGAGCACCGTTGACTCACAAGATGAACAAAATGGTGACATCAGAACAGATGAAGTTGCCATCCACCAAGAAGGCAGAGCCGCCGACTTGGGCACAACTAAAGAAGCTGACGCAGTTAGCTACAAAATATCTAGAGAACACAAAGGTGACACAAACCCCAGAGAGTATGCTGCTTGCAGCCTTGATGATTGTATCAATGGTGGTAAGTCTCCCTATGCCTGCAGGAGCAGCTGCAGCTAACTATACCAACTGGGCCTATGTGCCTTTCCCGCCCTTAATTCGGGCAGTCACATGGATGGATAATCCTATAGAAGTATATGTTAATGATAGTGTATGGGTACATGGCCCCATAGATGATCGCTGCCCTGCCAAACCTGAGGAAGAAGGGATGATGATAAATATCTCCATTGGGTATCATTATCCTCCTATTTGCCTAGGGAGAGCACCAGGATGTTTAATGCCTGCAGTCCAAAATTGGTTGGTAGAAGTACCTACTGTCAGTCCCATCAGTAGATTCACTTATAACATGGTAAGCGGGATGTCACTCAGGCCACGGGTAAATTATTTACAAGACTTTTCTTATCAAAGATCATTAAAATTTAGACCTAAAGGGAAACCTTGCCCCAAGGAAATTCCCAAAGAATCAAAAAATACAGAAGTTTTAGTTTGGGAAGAATGTGTGGCCAATAGTGTGGTGATATTACAAAACAATGAATTTGGAACTATTATAGATTGGGCACCTCGAGGTCAATTCTACCACAATTGCTCAGGACAAACTCAGTCGTGTCCAAGTGCACAAGTGAGTCCAGCTGTTGATAGTGACTTAACAGAAAGTTTAGACAAACATAAGCATAAAAAATTGCAGTCTTTCTACCCTTGGGAATGGGGAGAAAAAGGAATCTCTACCCCAAGACCAAAAATAATAAGTCCTGTTTCTGGTCCTGAACATCCAGAATTATGGAGGCTTACTGTGGCCTCACACCACATTAGAATTTGGTCTGGAAATCAAACTTTAGAAACAAGAGATCGTAAGCCATTTTATACTGTTGACCTAAATTCCAGTCTAACAGTTCCTTTACAAAGTTGCGTAAAGCCCCCTTATATGCTAGTTGTAGGAAATATAGTTATTAAACCAGACTCTCAAACTATAACCTGTGAAAATTGTAGATTGCTTACTTGCATTGATTCAACTTTTAATTGGCAACACCGTATTCTGCTGGTGAGAGCAAGAGAGGGCGTGTGGATCCCTGTGTCCATGGACCGACCGTGGGAGGCCTCGCCATCCATCCATATTTTGACTGAAGTATTAAAAGGTGTTTTAAATAGATCCAAAAGATTCATTTTTACTTTAATTGCAGTGATTATGGGATTAATTGCAGTCACAGCTATGGCTGCTGTAGCAGGAGTTGCATTGCACTCTTTTGTTCAGTCAGTAAACTTTGTTAATGATTGGCAAAAAAATTCTACAAGATTGTGGAATTCACAATCTAGTATTGATCAAAAATTGGCAAATCAAATTAATGATCTTAGACAAACTGTCATTTGGATGGGAGACAGGCTCATGAGCTTAGAACATCGTTTCCAGTTACAGTGTGACTGGAATACGTCAGATTTTTGTATTACACCCCAAATTTATAATGAGTCTGAGCATCACTGGGACATGGTTAGACGCCATCTACAGGGAAGAGAAGATAATCTCACTTTAGACATTTCCAAATTAAAAGAACAAATTTTCGAAGCATCAAAAGCCCATTTAAATTTGGTGCCAGGAACTGAGGCAATTGCAGGAGTTGCTGATGGCCTCGCAAATCTTAACCCTGTCACTTGGGTTAAGACCATTGGAAGTACTACGATTATAAATCTCATATTAATCCTTGTGTGCCTGTTTTGTCTGTTGTTAGTCTGCAGGTGTACCCAACAGCTCCGAAGAGACAGCGACCATCGAGAACGGGCCATGATGACGATGGTGGTTTTGTCGAAAAGAAAAGGGGGAAATGTGGGGAAAAGCAAGAGAGATCAGATTGTTACTGTGTCTGTGTAGAAAGAAGTAGACATAGGAGACTCCATTTTGTTATGTACTAAGAAAAATTCTTCTGCCTTGAGATTCTGTTAATCTATAACCTTACCCCCAACCCCGTGCTCTCTGAAACATGTGCTGTGTCAACTCAGAGTTAAATGGATTAAGGGCGGTGCAAGATGTGCTTTGTTAAACAGATGCTTGAAGGCAGCATGCTCCTTAAGAGTCATCACCACTCCCTAATCTCAAGTACCCAGGGACACAAAAACTGCGGAAGGCCGCAGGGACCTCTGCCTAGGAAAGCCAGGTATTGTCCAAGGTTTCTCCCCATGTGATAGTCTGAAATATGGCCTCGTGGGAAGGGAAAGACCTGACCGTCCCCCAGCCCGACACCCGTAAAGGGTCTGTGCTGAGGAGGATTAGTAAAAGAGGAAGGAATGCCTCTTGCAGTTGAGACAAGAGGAAGGCATCTGTCTCCTGCCTGTCCCTGGGCAATGGAATGTCTCGGTATAAAACCCGATTGTATGCTCCATCTACTGAGATAGGGAAAAACCGCCTTAGGGCTGGAGGTGGGACCTGCGGGCAGCAATACTGCTTTGTAAAGCATTGAGATGTTTATGTGTATGCATATCTAAAAGCACAGCACTTAATCCTTTACATTGTCTATGATGCAAAGACCTTTGTTCACATGTTTGTCTGCTGACCCTCTCCCCACAATTGTCTTGTGACCCTGACACATCCCCCTCTTCGAGAAACACCCACAGATGATCAATAAATACTAAGGGAACTCAGAGGCTGGCGGGATCCTCCATATGCTGAACGCTGGTTCCCCGGGTCCCCTTATTTCTTTCTCTATACTTTGTCTCTGTGTCTTTTTCTTTTCCAAATCTCTCGTCCCACCTTACGAGAAACACCCACAGGTGTGTAGGGGCAACCCACCCCTACATTGGTAACCATGAAAAAGGTAGTTTTACTAGAGTGACAGGGGTCAGACTGGAGTGGGCTGAAAAGTGACTAGAAGGTAACAAAGTGGAGACTGAGTATAGAAAACCTTTCCAATAAACCTTGCTATAAAGAAAACAGATAAAGCAGTGATAGAGGATAGGTGACTTCAAGAGAAGTTTCTGGTAATTAGTCTGCTTGCTTTCTTGCTTGCTTGCTTGCTTGCTTGCTTGCTTGCTTGCTTGCATGCTTGGCAAGTGAAAGATACTAGAATATGTTTCTCTGCTGATAGAGAACCTTGAATTTCAAGCCGGGAGGTTAAAACTTAAGTTTAGAAACATTGTGAGTTTTTAACAAGAAAATGGTATGATGAAGTCAATGTTTTAGAAAGATTCATCTAAAAAGAGCTGTCCATAAATTGTGTAAAATTGGAAAAGTATACATAGCAATGAAAAGTGCTGTATGTCACCCAAAGGGAACCACTGATGCAACAGCAGATAGCCTTAAAGAGGCTCCCGAGGTAAGTCAGCCATGAGTCTTTCGATGGCTAAAGAATGGGCCCCAGAAGGAGCATTCAGAATTGATGCCTCTCCAAAAGGCAAAATTTAAACTTAAAGTCTGTCTCTGAGAGACCGTCATAAAAACTCCAAACACCATAAACTATCTGGGGATAAAATATTGAAGGCATCACTAAAATCTGCTAAATATTAAATGGATGAATGTGTTGCATCAGCACTTATTTTTATTCTTATAATTTATAGAGCTGTGTAAATCTATATGGTACTTTATGGAACATAAAGCACAAAAGACAGAATTCCTGTACTGTGAAGTTTACAGTCTCATTCAGACATAAACTAAAACACTGGATGATGACCCCTAAAATGTTCTTTCCAACCAAAGTGATTGGAGAAGCCACAAGCACCGCCAACACAACCCTGTCCTCAGCCCCAACAGAAAATTTTGTCAGTGACCACAGTTACTTACCAATTTTTGTTCATGTGTTGCACGTTTATTCCAAAATACTTGGAAATGAAAATGTGTTTATTTCTATGGCTTCTCTCTAATAAGTCTCTAATAACAATTAAGATTCTTGGAAAGACTCAAATCATACAGTCATGCACATTAAAAGCATGGAGGGCATAGCAGTCAATCAACTCAATCAATTTTCAGAAGGAGCTGATAGCCAGCAAGGTGCAGTGATTCACCCAAGGTCACTCCAACAAGTAGCAGAGCTGGGACTCGAACATGAGAACCCTAACACAGTCTAGTACTCTTCCCTCTTGTCTCCTTCAGAAGCCAGTCAACTCATAGATGTTCCATTTGTTTATTTCCCAGTGGATTTTCATGAAAATCATGAAGGGAATCATGTGACTCTTTCATGCTGTTTCCTCTGAACACTTTGTTTGGCATAATGCTGCACTTTGACAAAAAAACACATCTGCAAAGGAGAGCAGGAACTGCTTTCTAAGGTCCAAATCTCATATTCTGATACACCAGAGCCAAACATGAGCCATATCTAACATGGAGCTGTATCTGACAAAAGGCTCTTCTGGTTTTTTATTCAGTTTTTAAAGTGTTTTCCCCCACAAATCCAGTGCAAATCAGCAGTCACATTTAAATTAACCTAAAAAGGAAGAAAAAATTTGCAGTTTGTGAGATTTGGGTGCCTAGAACAGCAACCTACAGATACCAGCATACAATATGTGGTAGATTAATTGACTGTGAAATTACAGTTTAAGCAACAAAGCTTTCTTAAAGCGTTAGGGATGTAAAGAAGCATGTAAACAAACTGATTCTCATTATTTGTTGAAGAAAAACAGTTTGCCTTTTCCCCTTGCCTTTCTTTCTTTCTTTCTTTCTCTTTATAAATGTCTTACAAACACTTGCTCTGGGATGATTTCATTTGTAAAGCTTTCCTAAACACCACTCCCTGAAAAGGGAGATTTATTTGTAGAGGTGCTGAATGATTCCTAGCTCAAGCTATCTGCACAGTTTCTGTGGATGTTAAAAACGAATAAAGCATTATACAGATCAAGGCTATTGTATTAATATTATTATGATAAATTAGAAAGGTGAGTGGTCATTATTGTTAGGCAGGTTACTGATTGCCTGGCACTTTACAACTGCAGAGGACAATAGAGAAAATCAATCCAGCCCAATCATTTGAAAAATGGAAAAAATGAGGGCTAATCAGGGGAAGTGGTTTGTCCAGGATACCACAACTAGTTAGAGACTGAGCTAGAGGCAGAACCCTATAAAGTATAAGGAACTACAGCCCCCAGGAAGTTCACTTACGTGACAGTCTCAGACCATTGGATCTCACTCTCCACCAAACCACACCTGTGAGATCTCTTAGTCTTATCCAAGATGACTGAAGGTGTCCAGGACTAAAGCCAGCTACCAAGAAAGGCCAGTCATGACGAGACCCAGGTTCTCCAAAGCCAAAGCCAGGGGAGATGTGGGAATCAATTTGGAAGAGGGATGCTATTAGAATATTTATCCCATGGCGTTTTGCTATAATAACAGCAATACAGATAACATCAACTGCACTTAATCAGATACCCAAAACCCTCAATTGTCAAAACGTTCATTTTATTCCATCAGAATTCTACAGCATGCCCAATTTGGCTTTTCTGTTTCCAAACACCATACTGGTTTCCTAAATGATACTCCTTTGGTAGGGTACCAATATAATAATTGTGGACAGTCCATTTAGTGACAGTTGTTAAAAGAAAAACTTCAGCCTAATTAAATTTAAAGGTGTTTAATTGAGCAATGAACGATTCATGAATCAGGCAGCCCCCAGAATCACAGCAGATTCAAAGAGACTCTAGGGGCACCTCACGGTCAGAACAAAGTTATAGACAGAAAAAAGTAAAGTGATGTACAGGAATCGGAAGTGAGGTACAGGAATGGCTGGATTGGTTACAGGTCAGCATTTGCCTTATTTGAACAGTTTGAACACTCAGCAGTATATATGACTGGTTGAAGTATGGCTGATGTGATTGGCCAAGACTCAGGTATTGTTACAGGCGCAAACTCCTAAGTTAGGTTTTCAATCTTGTCTACCTATTAAGTTAGGTTGCAGTTCGTCCTCAAGGCCTCAAATATAGAAGTACAGAATCCTTCTCAGGCTACATTTAGTTCTCTTTTACACAGTCTATTTGTTATTGGCCTTCATATCATCTGTTGCCTCTTTTGTGTCACCTAGTAAGGAATAGCATATGCCAAAATTTCTAGCAAGCTGTGTGGGATCTTTTATATTCAGAATAAGAGAAGTTGCTGTAAATCTAAAGTCAAACTATAAAATAGTCCCCCCCAAAATAACTTAGGATTTTCAAAATATTGCCAATTCTACGGAGGGTAGGTACAGATAAAATGATGGGGTCAGCCTCCTAATTCACAGGAACATCTATAAGATAATGAAACTATCAATGTCTGATTTCTAGTATTAGTGGATATATGCTGATTAAGAGAGATGGAAACTCATGAATCTCAGGATACACACGTGTATCCATTCCCTTCGCATAAAATGCCTACTTTCTGGGTCATGGTATCTTCATTCCAGAGGCATGTGTCTCCCATTCCAGCTATAAAACAAGCTTCTCAGGGCTGTCTCATCCCAACGATACCCTCAGCAGAGTCCACTCAAATCAGGGGAAGTCCTACCATGAGGCAGGGGCAGAAAGAAGAAACAGTTCCCTGTGGGTTGTTTTCCTCACTTGGGTACTTGGCCAACACTTTCCAAACAAAGACTTGCTTTTCTCAGAGCAACAGGGTATGTCTCCTAAACTCTTTAGAAAATGAGGACAAGGACCTTCACAATGTCAGAAATGGAGCACCTGGAATTAAAATGAACTCTCTGAATCAGGGGGCTCGGGGGAAGAAGGATGACAAAGCCCAACCTCAGGAATTTCCAACCACATAAAGTAACAATAATGGTCATTTATTCATTTGTTCAGCAAATATTTATTGTCTACTCTGAACCAGGCACTGTTCTGGGTGCTGAGGATACAACAGTGAACGAACAGGCCAGGAAAGTGAAGAAAAGGTAGAGTATATTAAAGGGGTTATAAATACTATGGAGAAATGTAGAATAAAGCAAGGGAGAGAGACGGAGAGTTGGAAAGTTAGAACAGGTTGAATTTTCATTAAGGTATCCAAGGAAAGCTTTCTAAAAAGGTGACATTTGAGGAAAGGCCTGTAGGAGATGAGGGAGTAAACCAGACAACTATCTGGAACAACAGCTGAAGTAAGAACAAGTTCAAAGGCACTAGGCAGGAGCATACCTGGCATGTTGGAGGAAATGCAAGCAGGCCAGTGTGGCTGGAACAGAGAGAACGAGGAGAGAATAGCAAGGACACAGAGGACATGCAGGGCCTTGAAAATCATAGTAAGGGTTTTTATTTAGAGTGAATTAGGGGAGCCATTACAGAGTCTTGACCAGAGAAGTGGCATACTCTGACTTACATTGTAAAAGGATTATTCTGGCTGCTGTATTGAGAATAGACTGAATGGAGAGGCCACAGTGGGGTATGGTGGGTAGGTGGAGATAAAAGCAGGAAGATCAGTTAGGAAACTATTACAGATGATGGTGACCCAGGCCAGGAAAGTAGCAGTAGCAATTGTGAGAATGTGGAGTTGTGGATATATTTGCGGATAGAAACAATAAGATTGGCAGCTACATTAGATGTAGGGTATAAAAGAAAGGAGCCTCAGTCTTCAAGGTTTTGAACCTGAATAGCTGGAAAGATGAACTGAAGACTAAAAGAGAAGCAAGCTTGGAATCGATGACCAGAAGTTCCATTTGGGACATGTTAAATCTGAGTTGCTTCTTTAATCCAAATGATGCTGCTGGGTAAAAGGACCTAGATATGCAGGTCTAGAACTGGGGGAAGAGATTCAGGCTAGAGATATAAATGTCAGTCTTTACTATTAAGCTTTTCTACTTGCTGGTCCACTTTCCATGGTATCTCTTCATGCCCAGAACTAGATTGTTCTTTGATGCCTTTGACTTAAGGGGGCCCTACTCCTATGGAATTTAATCATTCAATGTTTGTCCTCCTGCAGAAATGTCTTCATTTCAGGGCTCAAATGAGTAACTTGAAAAGAAAGTTTTTATTATTGTTCTAATAATTCTAGAAGGAGAACTTTTAAGTTTTTCTCTATTAATCACTGAAGAACCTTGAAAAAGACTCTTTAAGAAGAAAATAAAGTAAGGAACCCTCTTGTGGAATTATTATAGATTTTAATTTGTGACTGTCTTCATAGTAGTTTGGTGAGATATTCTCAACATTTCATTGCTATGGAATTGAAAACATTGTCATTTTGTCTGCATTGTTATTACAACTTGCCTATAGACTCAGTTTCCTCCATATAAGAGCTTACATTTCTTTTGACTAGTTTCTAAAACTTAAGGATGCATTATTTCTACACTGGCATTTTAAGATCTAATAAGGCTTTCCCTGGTAACCCTGGCCACATTTATGCCTCCCTTTAGGAATTTGATAATCCAGAAATTGTTCAGTCTCTATCTTTAAACTCTGTTTCAGAAATCTCCTTAAATCTGTCTGTGGCTACATTGTAAGGAGGAGAATCTCTCCATACCAGACTAAGATATTCTTAAGAAAGCAATAAACCAGTAGTAGAACTACTAACCGTTTTCTACTAATTTTGTAAAATCTTAGGTTGTGTATGTCTTATATTGAGCACACCACACAGCTCAGGGAATGGCCATGTTGCACAAACGCAAGAGCCTTTGCCTAGACTTGGAGTCAGAAGATGCCTGTTCTGGGCATAATGATGTCTCGTGCTTGGTTTGTGATGATGACAGTTGCAAGTCACCACACCTCTCAGTTCCTCAATTCTAAATAAGTAAAAATGAATTCTACCCACCTAATAAAGAAGTTGTGAAACTTCCAAATTCCTAAAACCAAAGGAATTAATTTTTTCCCACCCACTCCCCATCTGCCAAATAAACATACTGAGCTTTCTTCTATATTCCCATTCCTAGTCAATTATGAGGTTGGTGCAAAAGTAATTGCAGTTTTTGCCATTACTTTCAATGGTAAAAATCACAAATACTTTAGCGCCAACCTAAAAACATAAATATATACATTCAATAAGATCTCTTTCTTATCATACTCACCCAAAAAATACCACTACATATAGGTAAAATGTAGTTTTCTAACTTACCCTGATTTTTAAATTTAGGACTTCAAAATGACCTCTAGAGCAGATATTAGCAATATAAAGGGCTAGGTAGTAAATATTTTAGGCTTTATGAGCCATAAGGTTTCTGTCATAACTACCCAACTCTGCCATTGTACCTGAAAAGTAGCTATAGAAAATACAAAAATAAATAGACACCGCTGTTTTTCGTTGGTTTGTTTGTTTTTTTGAGACAGAGCCTCGCTCTGTCACCCAGGCTGGAGTACGGTGGCACGATCTTGGCTCACTGCAACCTCTGCCTCCCGGGTTCAAGCGATTCTCCCTGCCTCAGCCTCCCAAGTAGCTGGGACTACAGGCACCTGCCACCATGCCCGGCTAATTTTTGTATTTTTTTAGTAAACATGGGGTTTTGTCATGTTGGCCAGGCTGGTCTTGAACTCCCAACCTCAGGTGATCCGCCCACCTTGGTCTCCCAAAGTCCTGAGATTACAGGCATGAGCCAGCTGTGTTTTAATAAAACATTATTTACAAAAAGAGGTGACAGGCTGGATTTGGCCCACAGACTATAGTTTGTTGGCCCTGCTCTAATGCTCAGGCCTTATTCTTCTGCACATACAAAACTCTAAGTCTTCAGAGAACAAACACTGAATTCATTCCTTACTTTATAAATCCTGGATAAATTAAAATTTCAGAAGTGGGATTCTTAAATAAGGAACATCAGTATAATCATGTATAATAAATATAACAGTTCTACCAAACAGTGTACAATGGATTAGGAAATATATATATACACATATATATATTTGCCTTGGTACAAGGCATTATTTGGGAATATATATATATGTATGTATATATATACATATACATATGTATATACATATACACATATATACATATGTATATACATATACACATATATACATATGTATATACATACATATATACATATACATACATGTGTATATGTATATATACATACATGTGTGTATATGTGTATATATATGTGTGTGTATATGTATATATGTATATGTGTATATATACACACATATATATTCCCAAATAACGCCTTGTGTGTATATATGTATATATGTATATGTGTATATATACACACACATATATATATTCCCAAATAATGCCTTGTACCAAACAAGAAGGCTCATTCAAAGAAAATATGTGTTTATGATATCATCTGCCAGAACAACAAAAGATTATTGCTACAGTTAAAACAGATCTCCAAGCTTTGGGAATTTACCTACAGGTTACAATTTCCCCTTTTGTTCAATTACAAAATATTATTAGCTTGTAAGTAGAGATGTCAGAAATAATATTTAGAGATTATAAAACATATATTCACATTTCAGTAACCCATTGGTAAGGACTTGAAATAGCAGTGATATGGTTTGGCTGTGTCCCCACTCAAATCTCATCTTGAATTGTAACTCCCACAGTTCCCACATATCGTGGGAGGATCCTGGTGGGAGGCAATTGAATCATAGGGGAAAGGTCTTTCCTGTGCTGTTCTTGTGATAGTGAATAAGTCTCATGAAATCTGATGGTTTTGAAAATGGGAGTTTTCCTGCACAAGCTCTCTTTGCCTGCTGTCATCCATGTGAGATGTGACTTGCTCCTCCTTGCCTTCCGCCATGTTCGTGAGACCTCTCCAGCCATGTGGAACTGTAAGGCCATTTAACCTCTTTTTCTTCCTTCTCTCAGATATGTCTTTATCAGCAGCATGAAAACAGACTAATACAGTAAATTGGTACCAGTAGAGTGGGGCACTGCTGAAAAGATACCTGAAAATGTGGAAACAACTTTGGGACTGAGTAACAGGCAGGGGATGGAACAATTTGGAGGGCTCAGAAGACAGGAAAATGTGGGAAAGTTTGGAACTTCCTAGAGACTTGTTGAATGGCTTTGCCCAAAATGCTGATAGCAATATTGACAATGAAATCCAGGCTGAGGTGGTCTCAGAGAGAGATGAGGAACTTTTTGGGAACTGGAGTAAAGGGGACTCTTGCTATGTTTTAGCAAAGAGACCTGGAGGCATTTTACCCTGCCCTAGACAGTTGTGGAACTTCGAACTCGAGAGAGATGATTTAGGGTATCTGGCAGAAGAAATTTTTAAGCAGCAAAGCATTCAAGAGGTGACTTGGGTGCTGTTAAAGGCATTCAGTTTTAAAAGGAGACAGAGCATAAAGGTTCAGAAGATTTGCAGCCTGGCAATGCAATAGAAAAGAAAATCCCATTTTCTGAGAAGAAATTCAAGTGAGCTGCAGAAATTCGCATAAGTAACAAGGAGCCGAATGTTAATCCCCAAGACAATGGGGAAAATGTTCCAGGGCATATCAGAGGTCTTCACAGCAGCCCCTCCCATCACAGGCCTGGACGCCTAGGAGGAAAAAGTGGTTTCTTGGGCTGGGCTTAGGGTCCCCGTGCAGTGTGCTGCCTAGGGACTTGGTGCCCTGCATCCTTGGCTCCAGCCAAGGCTGAAAGGGGCCAACATAGAGCTCGGGCCGTGTCTTCAGAGGGTGCAGCCCCCAAGCCTTAGCAGCTTCCATGTGATGTTGACCCTGTGAGTGCACAGAAGTCAAGAATTAGGGTTTGGGAAGTTCCACCTAAATTTCAAAAGATGTATGGAAACACCTGGATGCCCAGGCAGAAGTTTGCTGCAGGGGTGGAACCCTCATGGAGAACCTCTGCTAGGGCAGTGCAGAAGGGAAATGTGTGGTTGGAGCCCCCACACAGAGTCCCTACTGGGGCACCACCTAGTGGAGCTGTGAGAAGAGGGCCACCATCATCCAGACCCCAGAATGGTAGACGCACCAACAGCTTACACTGTGCACCTGGAAAAGCTGCAGACACTCAATGCCAGCCCGTGAAGGCAGCTGGGAGGGAGGCTGTACCCTGCAAAGCCACAGAGGCAGAGCTCCCCAAGACCATGGGAACCCAGCTCTTGCATCAGCATGACCTGGATGTGAGACATGGAGTCAAAGGAGATCATTTTGAAGCTTTAAGATTTGACTGCCCTGCTGGATTTTGGACTTGCCTGGGGCCTGTAGCCCCTTTGTTTTGACCAATGTCTCCCATTTGGAATGGCTGTATTTACCCAATGCCTGTACCCCCATTTTATCTAGGGAATAACTAACTTGCTTTTGATTTTATAGGCTCATAAGCTGAAGGGACTTGGCTTTTCTCGGATGAGACTTTAGACTGTGGACTTTTGAGTTAGTGCTGAAATGAGTTGAGACTTTGGGGGACAGTTGAGAGGGCATGATTGGCTTTGAAATGTGAGGACATGAGATTTGGGAGGGGCCAGGGGCAGAATGATATAATTTGGCTGTGCCTCCCCCCAAATCTCATCTTGAATTGTAACTTCCACAATTCCCACATGTTGTGGGAGGAACTTGGTAGGAGGTAATTGAATCATGGTGATGAGTCTTTCCTGTGTTGTTCTCATGATAGTGAATAAGTCTCACGAGATCTGATGGTTTTGAAAATGGGAGTTCTCCTGCACAAGCTCTCTTTGCCCACCACCATCCATGTAAGATGTGACTTGCTCCTCCTTGCCTTTCACCATGATTGTGAGGCCTCCCCAGCCATGTGTAAGTCCATTAAACCTCTTTTTCTTCCCAGCAGCATGAAAAGGGACTAATATAACCCATGAGTGCTTTCTGTTATAATCCTAAAATTCCTAGAACATTAGAATCACAAGACTAGAACACAGTTTCAAAGACTCTCTATGAGTCTGCAGTTGTTGGATGAGCTATCCTAACTCTTTCCTACTGAAACACTACATATGTATCAATGCTAATTTATATGGAAGTTATACAGACTGTGGTAGCCAGTCTCCAATATGGTCTCTGATAAACCCCACCCCCAGTATAGTTTCTTATCACGTTGTACCAGGGTTGGTCTGTGTGACCAACAAAATAAAGCATAGGTGAGGTTATGTGACTTCTGAAATTAAATTATAAAAGACACTACAGTTTCCATCTTGGTTGCTCTGTCTTGCTTTCACTCTCTCGGATCACATGCTCAGCATGTTCAACTGCCAAGTCATGACCTTCCCTATGAAGGGGCCCACATGGTGAGGAACTGAAGCCTCCTGCCAACATCTATATGAATGAGCTTGAAAGTGGATCCTTCATGCCATCAGAAGACTACAGCCTGGTCAACAGCTTCACTGTGACCTCATCAGGGACCCAGAGCCAGAACCAGCCAGCCACACTGCTCCTGGATTCCTGACCCTTATAAATGACGTGAGATAATAGATATTTGTTGCTGTAATATTCTAAACATCATGGTAATTAGTAACATATTCTAGAAAATTAAATAGAGATTAACAAATATCTAATACTTAAATTGGTTTCCATAAAAACAGATTGTAACCATTTGCAATAATTATAGACAAAACTGGTCATAGTCAAAGGCAGACAAGAAATAAAATCTCTCTGGTGTTGCAGCTAGACCCTGAGATGTGGTTCATTCTAATGGGATCCCGCTATTATCTGTGCATGTCAGCTCACGTAGTGAAAATTTGAGGCAGCTCTTTCTCTGCTTAGGCCATGTCCTGCTCTGGAAATTCTATCTGCCTTTCTTCTACCTGTGTCAATGTGCAGACTTTATTCATCTTTCATGGTCCAGGTCAGTGTTCAATTTCTTCCCAAAACCTTTTCAGACTACTCCAGCAACAACATGCCTCCCTGCCTTTTCTCAATACCTATTGCATTGAATTCCATACCACAGAGTTCATGACTGTTAACCAGGAATATGTTGAATCTCCCTAAGCACTTTGGGAGCAGAAGCCATGATTTTATAAGAATTCTCTACCTTTCACCTCACTCCAACCCACTCTTATCACCTGATGTTATTCATTCACTAGCATCAGGACACCGCGAAGAGACTAAGCTCTCACTGTTGCTTTAAGTGGGTCTGAATCAAAGCAAATACACTTATTACTTTGAAAAGGTAGAAGCAGTGAAAGCGGGGAAGCGGAGAATGTGAGGGTTAATTGTAACTATTTCTTAAATGCTTTGCAGTGGGACAAACTGCAGCCTTATTACCTTAAAATCTTCAACAACATTTCAGTAACTACTGCAGTACTTTGAGGCCAATATAAGGGAGTAGAATTATTTCCAATGTCTCTGCTTGCTACACCAAAATTCAGGAAGGAAAAAAGATGGCATTAGAAGAACTTCCTTGGACAGGGCTTTTAAGAACATGGGTCATCCCAATTATTCCAGCAGAGCCCTTCTACACTCCTAGAAGGCATAGAAAATTATTGCTAATTAAATATTTAATGTTAATCAAAGCTGTCATATTAGTTTTCAGTCAAATTTATGATAGAAGAGAATTATATTTTTAAGTGTTATGTATATACTTGATACTATATTAGAGCCTCAACTACCATCACAGTATATGGTACCTTTATGCTCATTTTTACAGCATTTTGGATTATAATTTTATTATTTGAAATGATTATAAGTATTTATGGTAGCTGTAGCTTTATCATATTGTTAATAATGTTTATAATGCTATGGTACTCAGAGCTGAATATGAAGCACATATCCAATTACAGCATGGTTTTTTTCTATGTGAAAATGATTTGTTTTATGCACTGGAACACATTGCAGTCAAACTCAGGCACTGCCTCTGCTGTTTTGTGCATCTTCCACAGGACGTGGAAGAGCAATGGGTGCAAAGAAGGTGTTAATATTTTCTTTTTACTCGACTACATGCTTCCAAGTGTGTATATTAGTAAAAACATTCTGCACCTGAAAAACTAGTGATTTTTTTGACTTGGCATGTTTTTTTCTTCAAACTGTTTAATTCATGTCCTTACACATATCAGAGGATCTCCTGACCTCAAGGACAGTCCAGGATGAACTACAGGAAACTAAAATCATGAATTTGGTAGAGATAGTAAAATAGCTTCCCCAGAAAATCTCCTCTTCATTCCAACCATCTCTATTCTAATGGAAACTTGTGTAATTGCTCTCTGAGCCTATACACCGGCCCACAATCAGGGGGGCCTCTCTGCCTCAGTGTTACCCTCCTCTATCATCCAGTCATTCACCCAACCATAATGCACTGAGGACTCACTATGCCAAGCACTAGTAAGGCAGTAGAGCATAAGATTAGGGAACAGGCTCTGAAGCCAGGCTGCCTGGGTGTTCATATCTTAGCTCTACCTGTTACTGGCTCTGTGGCCTTGAGTAAGTTGCTTAACCTCTCTGAGCCTCAGTTTCCTCACTGATATAATGGAGATTAAATACCTGCCTCACTAGGGTATTTTAAGAATTATGAAATTAATATAAGTCTTTTAGGATAGCATCAGGCACACTAGTCTCAGGGACACAAAGTTGAGTGAGTAATCCTGCTCTCAGGGAAATCACTATCTAATAAGGAAAGCAGTTCATGAGTCAATTACTCACAGCCTAAGTACCGCTGGAAAGGGTAGCACAGACAGAACAAGATGTTTCAATTAGACTGACACTCTGGGTAGGCTTCCTACAGGAGTCAATCCTATAGGGTCAACTGAACCAACCACGCTCTGACGAAAAATGTGGTTCGCTGGAGCCAGAGGCAACAACACTGAGAAGGCCTGGAGGCAGACGTCTGGAAATGGCCAGAGGGATGACCAAAGACTGAGTGCAGCTGCAGGGGGAGCTGAGGCCAGAGGGCCCAACAGGGGACAGATGTTGACAGGCCAGACATGCGCACTTGATGTGAACTTTAACAAAAAAGTCTGAGCTTCCATTTAATAATTGGGATTTTTAAAAGATCTCTGTGGCCTTAGGGTAGAAATTGAAGAGTGTCAGGAAACTCCCAATTTCAAGATCTGTGGAGATGAATTGGAAGCAGCCACCCTATCCACTTTCTCCTCACTGTCTGTTGTCATTGTACCCAGGAAGTGTTTGTCAAGTATTTGCTCTATGCCCTCTCTTTAAGCCAATACCCTGAATACCCTTAATGAAGTTGAGTCAAAAGAATAACTTTCAAATTAGACATGGACTCTAGATTCTATTATGTATGCTCTATTAAAAGAGAACTTCAGACCATCTATATTTGAACAGCTCTACTAGAAAATTAGTAATGTGGCAGCCTCCATTGTTCTATGAAATTTCCATTCATTCATGAGGGGAATCTGCCCAAAGATACAGATGAAGATCATAACTCTATTTTTAACTTCCTATTCTTCCCAAGTGAAAACAGGTTAATTATATTTCAGAAGTAACCTTTTCCTGCCTTTAGATTGGTAACGGTGTCAAATAATTTCATAATGGATAATAAAACTCCCATTAGTGTTATAAATTATATTAGTATGAATCCTTTCCAAAGACTTAAAATGTTTTAGCTGATATTTTAACTGTCTTAAAATGATGTTATAATGTACATTAAAAAAACTTCTCTCATGGTTCAATCTTAGCTCTCCAAAAATCACTGATCTTAATGACTGTGCTGTTTTAGTTCAAATTCTCCTCTTTCTTATATAAAGCATTCAGTAATTCTAAATCTAATACTCTTATTATTTCTGTTCCTGTATGTTCTTAAACATATTCTTACATTAGGGAAACATGACCTAATTGTCCAAGAGGCTCCCTGTGACTCAGAACACTCCAAGAATGCCTTCTAGGATGGTGAATGTTAAGTGGAGAAAAGAATTGTTTTCAGGCCAAGTGATGGTATTTAAATGTCCTTTCCTGTGTGGTTGTTTCTGGATTCCCATTACAACTGCTACGCATCACTTAAAAACTTTCCTTCCTCAACAAAATGCTGGCCTACCCAAACTTTGTCCCTTACAGATTCCATGCCTCCTATGAATGTCACAAATGCATTGATGGTGTAAACCAAAAATAAAATTCAAAGGCCCTCCACAACCGTCTGAATGGACTCCCTCCTCAGTCATGGTACCATAAAATTTAATCCAAAAGACTGGTCAGGCCATGTCAGGATGTAGGAGTTGGACATGCGTTATCATACCCCTCCACCACTAACATCAACACAAATCTTAAGTCTGATAAGAAATATTTACAGTCTTCTCTCTACTTAGAGGCTTCATCCACATGATAAAACCCAGACATTCCTTTCAACTGATAATAACTCTTTTAACCAATTGAAATTGAAATTGAAAGCAGAGTATGTTTAAATCTACCTGTGACCCGGATGCCCTGCCCCTACTCTTTGAGTTGTCCCACTCTTCCAAATCAAACCAGTGTAAATCATACACATAATGATTGATGTATTATGTCTCTTTAAAATGTATAAAAGCAAGCTGTACCCCAACCTCCTTGGGCACATATCAACAGGACGTCCTGAGGCTGTGTCATTGGTGTGCCCCTAACCGTGGCAAAATAAACTTTCTAAATTGACTGATACCTGTTTTAGATATTTGGGGTTCACAATGGCCATCAGTTATTTGAATGACTCTGAAATATCTATTCGGCATTCAAATGAGTAGCCTTAAACTATGACTACATAAATGCAAAATATTTATTGAAAATTTAAAAATTCAGTCAGCCCCTTTGACACTTAATCCTCCCAAGACAAGTAACAAATTTATTATACTTGTTACTAAGGGCAGAGAATTAATATGCTGTAGATTGAGTAGGATTTTTTTGCTTCACCAAACCTTAGTTGGGTTTCTCAATCTTCTCGTAGGCCCATCTATGAACTTCCTCATAAAATCCAGTTTTAGCAAGAACTCCTCACCCTCAGTATCTGACACCCTCCATGTCTGATCAAGGTTCCTTATCCTCCACTATCCCCCAGGTGGTTTCTGGTCAACCTGGCCTGTCTTTAGCCAAAATCCTATTAGGTGAGGTTAGCCAGAATCTCCCCTACTCCTGGTGTTACCTCTTAGAAATTTACCATCCAACTGGCCGGGCACAGTGGCTCATGCCTGTAATCCCAGCATTTTGGGAGGCCGAGGCAGGTGGATCACGAGGTCAGGAGATCAAGACCATCCTGACCAACATGGTGAAACCCCGTCTCTACTAAAAATACAAAAATTAGCTGGGCATGGTGGCGCACACCTGTAGTCTCAGCTACTTGGGAGGCTGAGGCAGGAGAATTGCTTGAACCCAGGAGGCAGACGCTGCAGTGAGCTGAGATCCCACCACTGTATTCCAGCCTAGGTGACAGAGTGAGACTCCATCTCAAAAAAAAAAAAAAAAAGAAAGAAAGAAAGAAATTTACCATCCAACAACTCCCCACTCTGCTTCTTGGCTATAAATTCCCACTTGCCCATCCTGTATTCAGAGTTAAGCCCAGTCTCTCTCCCTGTCTGTAAAATCCCATTGCTATGGTCCCTATACCAATCATGATGGTCCTGATTAAAGTCTGCCTTACCCATGCTTTAATAAGTATCATCAAATAATTTTTTCTTTAGCAAGAAAAAAAATTTGGTCTACAGTAGGTTGCATTGGTTTTTTTCTTGCTGCATAACAAATTACTGTGCTTAACTATTACTTTCTTCCATAGAATGTTTTCCACTTTTTCATGCAAAAGGGGATAGAGTTAGAATAATCTTACTGAAATTTTATTCATTGTTTTGGGATTTTACTACTGGAAAGTCATTAACATGGCACCTGAAATAAAATTATTTTAAAAGAAAAAATTATTCCAATTAGAACTCTCCCTCCTGTTTTGAGACACACTGCTGGGGCTTTAAAAAAATTGTAATCTCGTGACTTTGGCATTTTTCGGAAGAGCAAACAGGATTTTCAGGGTAGAAGAGCACCTACCATGCTTCTCACTTAACTTACTTAAGTCAGACTGGTAGCAATTAGCTCAAGAATTCATTGTGTTTCTATTGAGTGTGTCTTGCAGTTTCACCTCATTAGCATGCCTGCATTTTCTGCATAAATCTATCAAGGATGTTCTCCAAGGGGTTAAGCCTAGATGTGGAAGCAGTGCAGCCCTTTATCAAGAAATCCCTGACAAGATTCTCTTGGTTCAATTCAACTATTGTCCACCGTAGGAAAAAAAAAGATGAATTTGTTCTTCACAATGTAATTTTCCGGCATAAAAAACTTGCAGACTTCCTAGGAATATTTGGCACATTGACAACAGTGTGTCTGACAATTTCTGCTCTGGGATGTGCCGTGACTGGAATCCTCAATAATTTTTCAGATGAGAACTGAAAGCCACAAATAGAGCATAGTGTTTATCCTCACAATGTCTGGCTTTGCCAAACATGATTCAGAGCAAGAAATAGCTAGAGGTCTTATATTACTGCTTTCAACATAGGTTCAAAAAATAATAATAATCCTTAAGAACATATTCACTGGATTGCAAAAAAGACAATGACTCAGCATTCTTTAACTTTCATGACCTCTCCTTATGACTCAACATTACCACTGGCCAGATGACCTGGTTAAAGAAATATTCACAATTATCTGGGACATCTACACAAAGTAAACATGAGGCAATTTTCACAATGACTAAATAAAACCAAAGCAGAACCCTAAGAACATTTTCTTCTATTAAAAACTAAAAACCTGAAATAATTTTTTGCTTTAATAATGTAGATGTTACAAAAAATTGGGAGTAGAAACAATTATTATTTATTTTTTGATAATTATCTCAAATGTCTCCTTTACACCGCATGTATAACTAAATGTAACAAAAAAACTGAGCCAGGATTTAGAAAGTTGAAGATGCATTCTTCTTCACTCATTATTATACAAGCCTGCAAGGTTCTCTGCTGGGCATTCTAGTAACTACAATGATGAGTCATACAGGGGTCCTAGCCTCACATGTTTATGTAATGTGATTTATGAAATATGTGCTCAATTCTAATATATACTAAATTAAATAATAAGTGAACCCTAAATGTAACTCCACTGAAACATGTAGATCCATATTTGCATCCGCACCACCGGTGTCCAAAAGAATGGCTGGGCAGGGTTAAATGCGCATTTTGCTCTTTTCATTTATTCCTTATTTCATTTATTTCTTTTGAATGTGTATATTATTAGACATCAATTGCGCGTGAAATTCTCAGCTCAGAATAAATGTTGGCAAGCAAAATTTACCAAAGTGTTTACTTCTTATTTATTTCCATCCTCTATTTTAATCTACCATTAAAAATAATAGTCGAATATTGCTTTCAGTTAGCACATAATAACCAACACAGTCTTTAAAAGTAGATAGAGGCCAAAGTCAGAATTCTTCATTCAACTGTCAGATAATTCTGAGACGGGTTGGTTCCTTAACCTCTTGAGGCTGTTTGTGTGGGGTGGTGAGGTAGTGAGGCATGACGGAGAGGCAGGAGCAGGCTTGTGAAGAGGCATCAGACTGGGTGATGACAGAGATGAATCCCATTGTGCACCCTTGGGCACATTACTTCCCCTCTCTTGGACTCAGTGTTCTTTCATCTGTAAAAAGGGTGTAAATGCTACTGCAGAGGTAAATACTAAACGGGATAAAGTATCCATGTCTTGGCTGTTGTGAACAATGCTGCCCCAGAAGTGCAAATATCTTTACAAGGTACTGATTTCACTTCCTTTGGGTATATACCCAGAAGTAGAATTGCTGGATCATATAGTAATTCTATGTTTACTTTTTAATGCCTCCATAGTGTGCTCCATAATGGCCATACCAATTTACATTCCATCAACAGTGTACTAGGGTTCCCTTTTCTCCATGCCTTTGCTAACACTTGTTATCTCGTGTCATTTGGTAACAGTCATCCTAACATGTGTGAGGTGATATCCAGTTTGCATCTCCCAGATGATTAAGGATGTTGGTCATCTTTTCATATACCTTTTGGCCATTTGTATGTCTTCTCTAAAGAAATGCCTATTCAGGTCCTTTGCTTAATTTTTAATTGGATTGTCTTTATGTTACTGAGCTGTGTGAGTTACTTGTATATTTTGGTATTAACCACTTATCAGATATATGGTTCACAAATATTTTCTCCCTGTCCATAGGGTGCCTTTTCATATTATTGATTGTTGCTTTTGCTGGACAGAAGCTTTTTAGTTTGATGTAGTCCCATTTGTTTATTTTTGCATTTGTTGCCTGTGCTTCTGGTATTATATTTTAAAAATCATTGCCAAAACTAATATCACAGAACTTTTTCCTGTGTTTTCTTCTAGGAGTTCTACAGTCCAGGTCTTATGTAGGCCAAGATATGTGAACAACTTAAATGCCCACCAATGGATAACTAGATAAAGAAACTGTGGTGTGTATACATGTATATATTAAAATACTATTCAGCTTTCCAAGGATTAAAAAAAATACACTTTAGGTACAATGTACACTACTCGGGTGATGGGTGCACTAAAATCTCAGAATTCACCACTATACAATTCATCCATGTAACCAAAATCCACTTATACCCCAAAAGCTATTGAAATTAAAAAATAAATAAATATTTAAAACGAATATTATTCAGGTTTTAAAAAGGAGATCCTGCTATTTGTAATAACATAGATGAAATTGGAGGACAGGTTAAGTTAATAAAAATAAGCCAGACACAGAAAGAAAAATACTGCACGATCTCTTTTATATGTGGATTTTTTTTTAAGTCAAATACACAAAAATGGAGTAGAACAGTGCTTACTAGAGGTGGCAGGGAAGAAAAGAACAGATAGGAAAAGGTGGGTGAAAGATTACAAAGTTGTAGTTATGTAGAATGAATAAATCTAGGGCTCTAAACTACAGGCATACCTTGAAGACACTGCAGGTTTGATTTCAGATCATTGCAATAAAGCAAATGTGGCAATAAAGCAAGTCACATGAATTTTTTGGTTTCCTAGTGCATATAAAATCATTTACACTATACTTTAGCCTATTAAGTGTGCAATGGCATTATGTCTACACAAACCAATGTCCACACCTTAATTTTAAAATACTGTATTGCTAAAAAATGCTAATGATCATCTGAGTCTTTCAGCAAGTTGTAATCTTTTTGCTGATGGAGAGTTTTGCCTCAGTGTTAATGGCTGCTGACCAATGAGGGTGGGGATTGCTGAAGGTTCAGGTGGCTGGGGCAATTTTTTAAAACAAGACAATGAAGTTTGCCAAATGGATTGACTCTCCCTGTCATGAAAGTTTTCTCTGTAGCATTCAATGCTATTTGATAGCATTTTACCCACAGTAGAACTTCTTTCAGAATTAGAGTCAACCCTTTCAAACCACTGCTTTATCAACTAACTTTATGTAATACTCTAAATCCTTTATGGTCATTTGAACAATGTTCACAGCATCTTCACCAGAAGCAGATTGCACCTCAAGAAATCTTTGTTCATCCATAAGAAGTGACTCCTCAATTGTTCGTTTTATCATGAGATTGCAGCAATTCAGTCATATGCTTGGGCTCTGTTTAATTCTAGCTCTGTATTTCCGCATCTGCAGTACTTCCTCCACTGTAGTCCTGAACCCATCAAATTAATCCATGAGAGTTAAAAATCAGCTTCTTCCAAACTCCTGTTAAAGTTGATATTTGGACCTCCTCTCGTGAATCACGAAGTATGTTCTTACTGACATTTAAAATGCTGAATCCTTTCCAGAAGATTTTTAATTACTCCACCCAGATTTATTAGAGGAATCACTGTTTATGGCAGCTATAGTCTTATAAAATGTATCCCTTAAATAATAAGACTTGAAAGTCAGAATTACTTCTTAGTTCATGAGCTACAGAATGGATGTTGTGTTAGCAGGCATGAAAACATTAATTTCCTTGTATATCTCAATCAGAGCTGTTGGGCAACTTAGGTGCATTGTCAATGAGCAGTAACATTTTGAAAGGAATCTTTTTTCTGAACAGTAGGTCTCAACAATGGGCCTAAAATGTTCATTAAACCATGCTGTCAAGAGATGGGCTATCATTCAGGCTTTGTTGTTCCATTCAGAAAGCTCAGGGAGAGTATATTTGATATACTTCCTAAGAGCCCTAGAATTTTCAGAATGATAAATGAACATAGGCTTCAACTTAAAGTCACCAGCTGCATTAGTCCCTAACAAGAGAGTCAGCCTGTCCTTTGTCACTTTGAAGTCAGGCATTGCCTTCTCCTCTCTAGTGATGAAAGTCCTAGATGGCATCTTCTTTCAATAAAAGGGTGTTTCATCTTCATCGAAAATCTGCTGTCTAATGTAGCCACTTTCATCAATGATCCTAGCTAGATCTTCTAGAGAGCTTGCTGCAGCTTCTACATCAGCATTTGGTGCTTCACCTTGCACTTTTATGTTATAGAGATGGCTTCTTTCCTTAAACTTCACGAAACAACTGCTACTAGCTTCAAACTTTTCTTCTGCAGCTTCCTCACCTCACTCAGCCTTCACAGAATTGGAGAGAGTTAAAGCCTTTCTCTGAGTTAGGCTTTGTATTAAGAAAATGTTGTAGCTGGGTGGATCTCCTATTCAGACCACTCAAACTTTTCTCCATATAGGCAATAAGGCTGTTTTGCTTTCTTGTGTGTTTCCTGGAATAGAATTTTTAGTTTCCTCCAAGAACTTTCCCTTTACATTCACAACTTGGCTAACTGCTTGGCACAGACGTCTAGCTTTCAGCCTATCTCAGCTTTCAACATGTCTTCCAAGCTAAGCTTAATAATTTCTAGCTTTTCATTTAAAGACATACAGCTCTTTCTTTCACTTCAACACTTAGAGGATATTGTAGGGTTATTAACTGGCTTAATTTCAATATTGCTGTGTCTCAGGGAATAGGGAGACCCAAGGAGAGGGAGAGAGATGGGGGCACAAGCTGATGGAGCAGTCAAAACACACATATTTACTGAGTAAGTTTGTCATCTTAAATGGGCATAGTTCATGCAGCCTCAAAACAATTACCATAGTAACATCAAAGATGACTAATCACAGATCACCATAACAGATATAATAGTGAAAAAGTTTAAAATATTGCCAGAATTACCAAAATGTGAAACAGAGACATGAAGTCAGCACATGCTGTTGGAAAAATGGTGCCCATTGACTTGCTTGAAGCAGGGTTGCCACACAAACCTTTAATTGGTAAAAAACATAATATCTGTGAAGTGCAATAAAACAAGATATACCTGTCCAGCATGAAGACTATGGTTAATCATATTGTGCTGTATACTGCAAATTTCCTAAGAGAGTAGATTTTAGGTGCTCTTACGACATTAAAAAAGGTAATTATGTGAGACAATGGATATAGTAATTGGCTCGACTGTAGTAATTATTTCACTATGTCAAAACATCATGTTGTATGCCTTAAACATATACAATTTAAAAATTAGGAGATTTTTGGCAAGATAGAGGAATAGAAGTCTCTACCAATCATTCCCCAACAAGGACACCAATTTAACAACTATCTACACCCAAAAATCACCTTCATAAAAACCAAAAATTGTCCGAGTGCAGTGGCTCCTGCCTGTAATTCCAGCACTATGGGAGGCCGAGGCGGGCAGATCACCCAAGGTCAGGAGTTCAAGACCAGCCTAGCCAACATGGTAAAACCCCATCTCTACTAAAAATACAAAAATTAGCTGGGCATGGTGATGCGGGCCTGTAATCCCAGCTACTCAGGAGGCTGAGGCAGGAGAATCACTTGAACCCAGGAGGCAGATGTTGCAGTGAGCCAAGATCGCACCACTGCACTCCAGCCCAGGCCACACAGCGAGACTCTGTCTCAAAAAAAAAGCACTCAGTGTACCTGGCTTTAAAGATTAAAAACTAAATACATCAAAATACATACTTAAATAATGGAATGATGTATTTGAAGCACTCTATACATAGAGAGCACTCAAAAAATGGTCGCTGTTTCTTCATCTATAAGTTGGGGATAATAAAATACCCACCTCACAGATAGTGGTGGGGACCACATTAGTGAATGTGTAAGGAAATATACAAGCACGGCATCCAGTGCTTCATCAAAATCAAGAGACATTTACTATAGATGAGCAGGTGTGTGTGTGTGTACACACACATGTGTCTGCAAGAGTATGTTTAGTTTATTGTATTTTCCAAACCATCATACAGACTGGAAAAGAACTAACTTGTTACTTTGGGAAAGGCAGGAAATTAAAACGTCTAGCTTTGCCACATGTTTGATAGCCTATATGGTTGACATAGGCTAAAAACAAACTATGTAAGTAAGATAGTAAACATAGTAAAATTCCCTAGGAAGCTATGAAGTTGCAACCATCTAGTCTGTAAGGCAAGTTCATTTATTCTCATGGGTGTCTATCTCATAACTTTATCATCACACTCTGTAAGATTCATCACACTTTGGTTCCTCCTTCCTCGCTGTGAGATTCAGGCTTGCCCACCCTGGCTCCTAATCTCCTCACATAGTTTTCTTTTCCTAAGCTTTTCAATACAACACAAATTAAAAACGATGCATGAACATTTGCTTAATTTTAATTACAAAGTTTGAGATTTACTGCGACTTGAGATTGGCTTAAAGTCTTTTCAAACTATTAACAGGTCAGATATTCCTTCTAAAGCCCTCATCTTGAGAAGATAGAATTCCTCATTAACAGCAAGCATTCTTCTCTCAAACACGAGATAAATTAGATAGTTGATTGTTGTTGTCCGATGAAACAGTTCATCAGTAATGCCCATTGCTTGAAATATAGACCTGACCTGAATGAAATTATTATGGAAGACTTGAATACCTAGTTTTTTGGTGCTAATATGTAATAAAATAAATCTTGATTCACAGAGTTTTGAATTCTCTCTTTGCTTTTGTCCACCAACAGATATTCAAGTCATTATTGTAAGTTTAGCCACCATAGAATAGTCAGTATATGGACAAGATAATTTTCTTATTCTATTTTATCATTATTTTATTTCAAACTCATTTCTTTACTTTTTTTTTTTTTTTTTTTTTTTTTTTTTGAGACGGAGTCTCACTCTGTCACCCAGGGTGGAGTGCAGTGGCACAGTCTTGGCTCACCACAACCTCTGCCTCCCTGGTTCAAGTGATTCTCCTGCCTCAGCCTCCTGAATAACTGGAACTACAGGGACAGGCCACCACGCCCGGCTAATACTTTGTATTTTTAGTAGAGATGGGGTTTCACCGTGTTAGCCAGGATGGTCTCAATCTCCTGACCTCGTGATCCACCTGCCTCGGCCTCCCAAAGTGCTGTGATTACAGGCATGAGCCACCGTGCCCAGCCCTCAAACTCATTTCTGATCTGAAAATAATCTGCCACCTTCTCTGCATTTATATTGGGTATATATAAATTTGGCTATATGTTTAATAGGCCCAAAATAGCAGTGTCTTAAGACAGAAGTTCATTTCTTTCTAGTCATGAAAGCTGGTAGGACAGCCCTGTTTTGCAAATGCATTAAAAGATCTAGGCTCATCTGGATGTAGTGTCTCACACCTGTAGTCCTCACACTTTGGAAAACTGAGGCAGGATGGAAAACTTGAGACCAGGAGTTCAGGGCTGCAGTGAGCTATGATCATGCCACTGTACTCCAGCCTGGGCAACAGAGCAAAACCCCGTCACATGCAAAAAAAGACCCAGGTTCCAACAGCCTCAGGTTTCTGTTCTCATCTACCTGGTGCAAAGTAGCTCATCTTAATCCACATTTTGAGCAGCAGGATAAAGAAAGAGGGTGGGAAAAGGGGGAACATTATTCCCACCCGCTTTCAGGAGGTAAGAGTTTCAGAAGTCCAACACGTCTCTGCTCCTCATATCTCATTGGCCAGTGATTAGTCACATGGTCACACCTGGCTAAAAGGTAGGTTTGTAAATAAGAGTTTTTGTTCTAGAAGCCAGGTGCACAGCTAAAAACCAGTGGTTCTATTGTGGTAGAAAAAAGAGACTGAACATTGAATCTGAATTATTAGTCCCTGTCACAATTTTTTTTGAGAAATCTAGTGATAATTAAACAATTCTGCAAAGCATTTTCTCTCAGTAGGACTTTCTTGAGTTGGGAGAAAAAAAGTCAAACCTAGGGGAAAAAAATAAAGAATTACCATTGTGGATACAGGCAGGCCGATAAAATGAAAAGGTAAAAGAAAAAACTACTCCCAAAATTTTGAACTTCACAGATATCTTTCTTCAGTCTCTTTTTTGCCGTAACACTGAGTTTTCTAAAAGTCTGTTTATTCTTAAACATCAACGGGACATAAGTTCTTTTAATTTTTATTTTCACAGTTTGGGTGCTTGAGATTTTTTAAGGCAGATTTTTCCTGGAATTAGACAGTTCAGCAAACTTTAAGAGGCCAGATTTGCCTGGTTGAGTCTACAGAGAGGAAAGCTTGTGGTTAATCTGCTAGATTTAATATTAGTACTCTTCATTTGTATATATTACAGTCTGCCTACAACTATCAGGTACTTAACCTCATGATATATAACAACCTCTTGAAGTAAGAGCAGAAAACACAACTGCAGTTTTTCTAGCCCAGAGGCAGCTGGTAAATGTAAAGTACACTGGAGCAAAAGGCCTGGGCTCTGGCCTTGAACCTTCTTCCTGGCCATGTGGTCTTCAGCAAGCCAAGTAATCTCTCTGTAATCACTATCAATTTAATTGATTGTGACAGGTACAAGTGGAAATCTGGGTGCACGAGAACCTGATTTTCTTGTTGGATTAATGTCACATGGAGTCTAAAGGCACTATTGATTTAGATACTACAGGGAACCTGTACTCAAAGGGATGTGAATATTTTCTTAAAAGCAAATACAATAAAAACTGTTGTATTTGCCAACTGTCACAATTGGCACAACACCAACCTGGGTATCAGAAATATTTCCACCCCAAACTGCAATCCTTTCTGGCAGTAGGTGTCTCCCAAAGCCACAGGTTTGCTTTACTGCTTCCTCTTCCTGTGTTTTGTGATGGTTGGGGGAGAGTCTTAAAAGACCTTTTCAAAGATGAGTTTATTTAACTAGTCTCCTCTTTCTGTGTGAAGCCTGACAATTATTAAAAATGTTGATTCTATTTCTGAAGTTTTGTACTCCAAAAATGTGCATTAAAGAATAAAGTTATAAAATAGTAACTATTCAGGAGAGTAATCATTCACTAAACAAACGTTTATGAAGAGACAATTCTGTGCCAAGAAAATGGAAACTACCCACTAACGTAATCAAGGACCCCCCATTTTTCTAGGAAAAAAAGAATGAGTTATTTTTTAATTTTTTTTCTTCCTCTTTCCTCCTCTTCCCCTGTTCCCCACTTCCTACTTGGCTCTTTAGAAATGTAATTATAACCTTCTACCTTCCCTTCACCAGACACTCCCTACAAGGCAAGTTCATCTAACTGTGTGCTTAGAAGCTTCAGAGCTGAGACCTCTCCCACCAGGAGATTGCCTTGAGCAATTTACACTTAAAGTAAGCCTGCTATGAAACTCTTTCCCACTGGTAGAGCATCTTGAAACAATGGCCACTTTACAATCTAGTTCTGCCCTCAATGACGCCAGGCTGACCACTCGGTGGATAAGGCACGAAGTCACATAGATCCCCACCTGTTGCATCCCTCCCTGTGTGCCGTTCATGCCAAGTTCCCCTTTAAAAGCCCTTGCTTTCTGCCCCAGAAGAGAAGCAATACCTTTAAGGCAGGTAGCCTGTACTTCTTCCCCTAAGCTAGCTTTGGAATAAATAATTGCTTTGTTTTTAATTTTGTTCTTGTTTTTTTGTTTTGTTTTGTTTTTTGAGATAGGGTCACACTCTGTTGCCCAGACTCAGACTGGAGTGCAGTAGCATGATCATGGCTCACTGCAGCCTCGATCCATCTCCCGGGTTCACATGATCCTTCTGAGTATCTGGGACTACAGGTGCACACCATCACACCTGGCTTATTTATTTATTTATTTATTTATTTATTTATTTATTTTGGGTAGAGATGAGGTTTCACCATGTTGCCCAGGTTGCTCTTGAATTTCTAGCCTCAAGCAGTCTGCCCATCCTGGCCTCCTAAAATGCTCAAATTACAGGCATGAGGCACCGCACTGGCCAAAAGTCACTTTCTTTATGTCAGACCTTGCTGTTAATCGGACTGTGCAAGTAACAAGTGACTGAATCTGCATTTCTGTTACATTCATGGCTTAAAATACAGTAATATATAAGGCATTGACCATATTTTCAAAGACATGACAGCCCAGCAGGTGGGACCATCACATATACAGAGAGCTACAAATCGGAACAGATGTGTCATGATGAGGAAATTCTGCAAGAAGCGGCAATTAGCTGGCCTGGAGTGAGTGCTGGGTGGGTGGAGAAGGAGGGTCAAAGAAACAATATAATACGGTGGTTAGGAAAGCTTGGGCTCTGGGCTCAGAAAGACGGGAGTTGGGTTTAAGGCTTTGTTGTACAGTAGCTCGGTGACAGCAATTAACAATATTATAATGGTTAATAATCCTAATAATAATAATATGCTATCTGTATTTTAGTGTTCCTGAAGTACCATCAGCTTCTTAAAACACAATTATGATTCAGCTGGGTAACAAAGTTGTCTCATCTCTCTTTTAGTTTTAAATTTCCTACTAGAATGCCTCTGTCCCCGAACATCTCTGACAAGGTGCCAATGGCATCACTGAAATAAGAATAACTCAGATAGGTAAAGGGGTGACTGAAGATATTTCAAAATCCTACTTAAACCTTTTGCTGGTGAAAATATGCATGAAAGAGCTATTTTCACTATCATATGAAAAATCCTTTTTTGGCACATACTTTGAGGATTAAACAGAGATTAAACAGCTACCTTTTTTAACCTCCTGCCTACAGAAAGCTGACAGAAAATTTTAGGAATCACCAAATTAGGTTTGTACGTGGGTGCACAAAACCTGGGTTATTTTTCTTTGTCACAACAAAATCTGAGATGTCTTAAAGTGACCTCACAGGCTGTGAATGCCAGAACTTGAATGAAACGGAAGGATTTTGTCTTTAAACTTAACCTTGGAAGGAAAGAGAGTGCTTCTCAAGAATAAAGCCTGTCCTCATCAAATGGCTACTTCTCATTAAGCCAGGTGATGCCAGAGAAAAAACACAATAGAAAGTAAAATCGAGGCTGTAAACTTGTATTTAATCTTGTCAGTTCTTCATCCTCTGCCCACTCTTCAGAAAACCAGATGGACAAGAAGATGGTAATCTTGAAAAGCAACAAAAAATTAAAAACTTGTCACGTGCCCAAATAAACAGCATTTCAAAGCCTCCTCTGACTTTGATACATAATTATTTTCGTGCTTTCTTTTGTGGTTCTTGATTTGTTTATTTTTAATATAAAAGGAATTGTTTTGTTGAGCCTTTTTCCCTCAAGTTTATCTCACCCATTTCAATGTGTTACAAAATTTACTAAACACTGAATAAATTTAAACATGAATCACCATAGTGTCCTATTTTAGTTGAGATAGTTGAGAAGGTCGGTGCTAAGGCCTTGTGCCTATTGTGGGAAAATTGTTTTTCTCCAGTTCTTCCGAAAGAAAAACCAGCTCAGCCACTGTGGAGCTGCAGCCCCCAACAAATCCTACTAAATGTGTGATTTTGGGTAAGCCTCTTGACTTTTTTAAGATTCCATTTCTGGTCAGCAAATGGGATCATAATACCCACCTCATGGGCTGTTGTAAGGTTCAAAATAATTAATAAATGTAAAATGCTTAATCCACAGTAAACACTGAACAAATATTAATTTCCTCTTTTTCCTCTCCACACATTTTCTTCTAATGTTCTCAGTCTTTTCTTCCAATAGAATAAGACTATTTTTATAGAATAGGATTAAATGACTTATAGCTACTAATAAAACATACCACATAATCCCACAAGTTATTTAAATATAAGACCTATCTCAAATTTCACAACATGTTGTAAACCAGAGACACATAAGACTTACTATGTTAAGAAAATAGAACTTCTCCAGAGACAGGCCTAATGTGCACCTAAAAATTTGATTGTCTTTTGTTCTGTTCTATCTGGTACATCATCTGTATCATTTGTTCAATCAATGTCTGCTCTCAAGAAGAAAAAATTGATTAGCTATTGCTTCTTAATAACATATGAAGCTTCAGTGAGAGTCCCTAATTTGGAATTAAAAAAGCAATTTCTGGTGTAAGAAACACTGCTATTCTATCCCTTTCCGGGAGAAGAATGCCTCATCTAATAACCAGTGTCTTGAGATAAATGAATGCATTAAAGTTCTTAACACTCTTTTGATGGACTGCAAATGGTCACAATACAGGACAATATTTGAACAGTAATGATTTGTGCTTTCTTCTTAAATGTAAGCTGATTGCAAAGGCTCCTAGACCGTGAGAAGTAAATAACTAAAGGGGTCATGAATCTTAATAGCTTCCAAATCAGAAAGATCTGCAACTTATACGCTCTGACTGGAGTGTGAATGGAATGTATAAATATTAATAGGTCTGGCAGAGCCTCTGCAGACAAGCTGTCTAAAATTTCACAGTGGGAAGATTGAAGTTGCAGTGTATGGGGCAGACATGAGGCTCCCACCTGGAAATGAACTGTCAGCATGGGTGTAAATACATTTTTCCTAAAGCGATATTTAGCAGGCGGTCCTGCCCTGGCATCCGGCAACACTGTGCATTGATGTTTAACACCACTGTGCTATTTAACATTATGAACATGCACACCAGGTCCATCTTTGGAAACAGTAAGACAGAGTACCCAAGTTTAAGAGCCTCAAAATACAACTTCGAAAACAGCACTGTGAAACTCTAAACAATACTTACTCCCATCACCCTAGGACTTGCTGGCTATTGGGGCACAACTTTGTTCTGTAACATCCAAGACAGTGATTCTGTTTTCAATGGACAAGACATAGAGGAATTAATTGGTCTGATTAAAATGGGTATATTGTGTTATGGGTAATACTCTGAACTACAAAAAATAAACATTAGTAAAACTGATATATAACCAAGAAATTTTGTTTAAAATGAAGGAGGTCTATGTTGAATAATGAACAAGTTTTTGTCTTTTCTAACCTATAGCATCCTTCAAAGAATTGAACCTGTATATTAACTTTTCTATACTGCTTCCTGTAAGCACGGACCTTTCTCAGAACCAAGTATGTGAAGCTTATTTTACTATTCATAGATGAAAAGATAAAAGAAGGAATGGAAAGATGACATATTCTTAGGAGTAGTGAAGAGAATGTGGTCAAATTAAAAAATTCAAACTTTTTTTGTAGTTTCAATATTTGTGAGGGAAACAGAAATGCATGGGGATTTTTCTTTATATTTGCTTAAGGATGTTTTGTTTGTTTGTTTGCATGAAGTGAACACGGTATTAATTTAAAATTTTTCTGACTTTTGCTTATCTTGAACAAAATCAAAGCCAAAGAATTTTCCACCAGCCATTCCTCTTCCCCACACAAACAGTATTGATTATTATTTGCCCTCAAATGAGAGAGATATGGAAGTCCTCCGGAAAAAGCAAGTACTTCTTAGGTTGAAAAATTTATGAATTTAACTCCTGTTAGATTTTACCAAAAATTTGTCTTCACCAATTTGGGTCTTTCAAAAGAAATTACGTATGATTTGTTAGATTTTTCCAACCAAAGGTTGTGGTGGGCAACCAAACCAACAAAGCCAAGTCTACCACTGATTCACATAAAAGCAGTTTAAAATAATTAATTATTACCCCAAAGTAACTCAGGCCAAAATCAAAATCTGAATCCAAACAGTAGTCTTCATGTAGCGATCACAATCGCCCTGGCCAATCACAATCATGTAACAATTACAATCAGGTAATCACAATCATGTAACACACACAAATCACCTACATTGGCCAAAGAAGGTACCAAGAGGTGCCATCATGTGGTCAGTTACACATTGCCTGTCCTACAGGAAGCGCTCAACATCATAAATTAGCTACTGGAAATTGAGCACATGTCAAACCTGATTCTTCCACTTAATTTCAGGCATATTTTGTTTTCATCTGCAATAGATCACCCGATGTGAATAATTTCTAACACTTTAGGTTAAGTTTCTCTGTCTTTACCCTACCTCCCCTAGTATCTGATAATTGTTAGAGGATCCAAGAAGCTCCATAGTAAAACTTTCATAAAACTAAATAATCCTTTAATAATAATCAGCCCTCAGTTATCTGCTTGTTCCATTTGGAATTTTTAAAGTTGCTACACCCCTGTGTGGACATTTATCAGAGACTGGAATTTCATTAGCAATTTCTGACTTCGAGTTTCCCAAGGAAATTTCAACTCTACTAAAAAGAGAAGAGTGTCTTATGAAAGCATAGTTAACAATCCTGGTTAAACCACATTTGGCAATCAAAATCCTAGAGCAATTAACACCTCAATCATCCCCAAAATTACAGACCTGTGTGATTAGATCTGCATTCCAAAACTGTCTGCCTTCAGCCTGCAGACTGCAGATAAAAGAACGGCCCTCAGAAGTCACTGTGGAAGGCTTTACATGTTAATTACAGCCATCCCAGGTCGTGATGTCCCTGTGGCTTTTTATGTTTTCAGCCAAACTTTATTTTTGAAATACCCGTCTTTATCCCCCTAACTTCTGAAACTTACTTCTTTCTTTTGAGTGATATGTAGGGCACAGGTGTCATTTTTATCCCCAGGTTTAGATTTTTTGACTATACAAAGACAACTTTAATTTCAACTTTATATGTGACCTCTTTCACTGTGTATTGATGCGTTTGTTCATGACATGGTTACTGGAACAAAGATTTGTGGTTAATATTATGCTCCATTTATTAAAAATACAAAAGTCAATGGTCCATCAGCATAGAGTTACATTTCTGGGAATTACAATTGCAGGTATGTGTATCCCAAACAAAGGTTTTCTTGTCCTGGGCACTTTCAAAGCCCTTGAAGAACCACCCTCAGCTGAATGACAAATGTCAGTTACCCCAAATGCCCCTCTTGTAATCTTGCTTTTTACTACTGCAAAAAGCAGATGCTTTTGGCAATGGGGGGTGAATTGATAACTAGCTGTGATGAGTAATGAAATCATTAGAACACCAGCAAGAGCACAGGCTTATTACACAACAAAGATGGTTCAGAAACATTAAACTAAGCAAATGCCATTCTATGTCTATGGATCTGAATCTTTATATTTGGGGAAATACAAGGGTCTGATCAAGTAATCACAGATGATAAATTCTATCACTCTATTTTTCTATTTTTTCTATTATAAATTGGTCAGAATTCAGTTGAATGTCAAGTATACCCCCAAGAGGTTTTGGAGTTAGGGTATAGAATTACGTACCCCCATGTAGGTAGAGAGGAGAAAAAGTAATTTCTTCTCCTCACTCATCACAAGGGTCATGGCTGATACCCCTGTAACAAACACAGATTAATAAGAGAAAAGCATAACAAATTTATCTGAACAATTTTTCCCATGACACGGGAGCCTTCACAGTTGAAGACCCAAAGAGCCAGTGAAAACAGACAACTCAATTTCATATTTATATGTGGCCTCTTTCAATGTGTATTGATGTATTTTAATGTTTGGGTTTGATGAAGAATGGAAAGTCATGTAGAAGTATGACTAGACAAAAAGAGTGTATGACCTACTGATGATCAACTGAAGGGAGCTTAGCAAGGCCTGTTTGTTCAGATTCTTCTTGGCCTCTCTGTGTAACACTCCTTCCCTCTGTGGACAGGGCGGGACCCTGTCACATAAGGGTCTATAAGAGAGAAGTTCAGAGAGACTTTTCTACTCTGAGATTTTCTAAATACCCTTCAGCTTAACATACTCAATATGTCAAGAAGCCCACACTTTGGGGTTGCATTTTCTGTACTCTGTCATTGGCCAGGGGAATCTTAACTACTGCAGGTCACCATAAAACTCTCTCGTGTGCTCATTTCAGCTGCCAATTCTCTTACAAAACTCCAGAGTTGGTGCAAAAGTAACTTTACTGAAAAGTAATTATAATTACATACCTCAGCATTTTTAGAACCTATTTCAACCAGAGCATTTCCAAAACCAGTGTGCATCTTCTTTTTATTTTTCATATACATGCTAAAATAGTTTTACAGAGTTTAAGTACAATGTTCAAGCAGAGATCTACATCAGTTTCCCAGAATAAACCATTAAGACAGTACTTAAATGTCTAGGCAATACTACAGAGCCTATATTTACATATAAATTAGGCCCAGCACATCAAACAATATGTCGTGACTTTCAAATAGTGCCATTAAATTCCACTCAATAACTTAATATTCTTGACTTTGATAATTAGTATGTCTGAATCTGCATTTACTGCAATTATGCACTTTAAAAATAGTTTCGCCTATCTTTATTTTTTATTAAATGCTTCCTCTCATCCTAGGAATTTAAAGTACTTTCACGACTTTAAGATACTTTAGTTTCCCCATATTACTGTAAAGAAAAGACTAGGGTATTTTTGCTATTCTTGCTGTTTTATTTTAGTTTTTCCCCCCTTCAAACATGAACAGAAGTTTGTCCATGGCTAAACAATGTCAGACAACTGTAAGCACAGAAAAACAGTTTGTCTCTATTTCACAAAGGAGGAAATTGAGGATTGAAGAGAAGAAATGACCTTTCTATAATACAGTTACATGGCTAAGAAAGGCTTAGCAGATCCCCTACTTCCTACTCCAAAGCTCTTTTAATCATTTAAGTCCCCTCCTCAATTTAGTCAGTCAAAATAGCCAAAAATATAAAAATACAAAAACAATAATTATTTCTAAAAAAAAACAAATCCCTGGGAATTCTGATGTGAATAAAACACATTCTATAAAATGCTATCAAGAGGATCATCAGTAAATTCAAGACATAATTAGGTCCTATAACATCTTGCAATGACATTTACATCTTGCAAATGTCATTGCAAGACGTTATAAGACCTAATTATTTCTTCCGTCCTAAGAAAAACTATTCAATTATAGTCACACTCACAGTACGGTTAAAAATTCGTCTTTCACTGTCATTCTTAACTATATTAGACTATTCCAAAGGCAATATTTACCTTGACACAAACATTTTGGCCAGGAAACAAGATGGCAAAGAAGTGGGGAGAATTTTGAATATGGAATTAAAACATCTAACTTGTCTTAGGAAAGGTAATTTAGCAATATGTTTCAGGAGACTTAAAAATATTCATGTCCTTCACCCAGCAATTTAGCTTCTAAGAATGCATACTAAATTAATAATCCTGATTTTCAAATGAAATAATTTGAGCACAAATATGTGTTACTAGCATTGTGTTTATAATAGTGAAAAATTGAATGCAATCTAGATGAAAAAATATAAGACAATTGTTACATGAACTGAAGTATATCCAATGAGTATATCATGCAGTTAGCAAAATGGTAATTAATAGCCTATTAAATATCAGCAAACAAAAATTAGTGAACTATACTGTAAGTCAGAAGAAACTAACCAGAATAAAGCACAGAGAGACAAAAGAATGAAAAATACAGACGAGAGAGTAAAAGACATAGAGGATACATACGTCTAACATACACTTAGTTGTAATCTCAGAAAGAAAAGAGTGAATAGGACAGAAGCAATATTTAAGATTTAATGGCAAAAAAATTTCCAAACAGATAAAGATATCAATCCATAGATTTAATAACCCTATCAAAAAGGAAAATTAAAAACTCAGGATTTTTGCTGATTCAGCTCTGTACTTATGAGCATTTTAACCTCCCTGCATATCTGTTTTCTTATTTATAAAGCAAGGGCATTGAATTATATAACTTCTAAGAATTTATCAAATATTCTCCTAAGAACTGGTATAATTCTCAGGTCTTTATTATAATGTAATCTTATAGGTATTTCAAAACCCCTGCACAAACACATGTCCCATATCAATCAGCAATGTTATGAGCCCACATTTCTACTAGTCTTTAAAATCCTACTGTAGACATCCTTTGGATTGTGCAACAAAACTAGGTCATTTTTTCTTAAAGGATAGTATTAAAGTGTCCATATGCTATGTGAGATGAATGAGTAAGCAACTCCAGGCCTTTAATGAGGTAATATGAACTGAATTTGTTTATTATATTGTATTACCTTCAATTGACAAAGAAGGTATGCTAAGGTATACCAAAAAAGTAAGTTTCAATGAAAGAAATTACCAAATACAGTAAGTATATAGTATAAATATAATAAAAGTAAAATACTATTATTAAATTTCCCAAATTTAACTAGATTCTGATAGTCAATTAAATATAAAATTATAATATTTATCAGTGTGTCAGCTCATTAATGGTACCAAGTTGTAAACACAGAAACAAAAATTGAAGTTACAAGTAGTGTTTTATCACTCAATTATTTAGAACAACTCCTGTGACCCCTAAATCATATTTTATTTTTAAAAAATAGCTATGGGTAACAGAAAAGAAAAAAAAACATAAGAAAAGCACAAATAAATTATATTAGTTAATATTCTACTTGCACATCATAAGCAACATGACTTTTTAAAAATGTGTACATATAAATTAGAACTGTGTCTCATGAGTCTTCCATGTTCATGAGCTAAAGATAAGGTATAATATTTCTGTTACCATTGATGAAAGCTGAATAACTTTACCACTAAACTAGTTTTAAGATTCACTGATCCTTTATAATCAATTCCTATAGCCCTTGTAAATAAGAAATATTATATATAATTTTATAAATTTGGAGAATGTACTGGAATTTCTTAAATAGATGATTGAAAGGTAATTTCATAAGTTTTTTAATAAGAAAAACACTAGTATCCCATCTGATTTCTAATATTTAATGAAATGCAAATTGAATGCTTCTCTCTGTTAAACATCAGAAGGGTCGACGTATAAGTTATTCTCTAATATTTGGATTCATGTTGTGAATTTTAAATTCTAATTCCATAGTTCATTTCTCTCTCACCTCACCACTGACAATATCAGCTCAGCCCTTCCCTGGAATAAGGTTCATTTTCTTTGGTGATAAAGGGATTGAAATTTGGCTTTTCCCAGCTTCCCTGGAGCACAGCATTTGCCATTTCCATTTGAGGTCTAGCAAGTCCTACTAATCATGCAAATTTGCAAAAAATAAAAAGCTCTGCAAATTGTTTGGGGTAAGTTCAAGAAAATTAGGTTATCTCGAGCTAATATTAATGAAGGGAGCATTGAAGCTAAGCAGATAAATAGGGATAGGGTCTTTTACAGTCATTTATGTAGAATGCGGCTTACAAATGAATGTCATCTGTAAAGACCCAAATATAAAATTTCAAATTCAGTATTGTGAACAATTGCTATTCAGCAAATACAAACCCAGTGCAACTGTTATGTAGGTGTCATTATGTACTTTATATTAGAATGATAGAGAGGGAGCATTGCAAAGTAATGCACTTGAGGAAAAAATGTTAGGGATAGGTCCTCCCAGCTGAGAATATTTACATGTAAAGTAAATGGTAAAGAGGTCAAAGTACTATAGGTAGAAGCTGTAACAATAGTCAGTAGATAAAACTATGGCTATGTAATTTATTGAGATTTTTTAAAAATTTGACTTAGTAAAAATTCATCTCTATATCATCAAATATATAGTCATTTAGAAATTCCAAAATAACAATACATTTTTAAATTGTTTTATTCAGGGTTCCAATACTTTATAGAAATGGCCTGAGACAAGAAGACTTAAAATGTTAAAGCACTAAAAACTATAGGGAATAAATGGGAAAAAAGTGTTTTGGTCATGTAGAGGCTGACAAGTTACAAGAACATATACTTGGAAACTGTCACATCTTGGTTAGAATGTCGGGTGCATGCCCTTGTTTTTGCTCTCAGCACCTATTCAATCTTCCTCTGGAAATGGTGCTTTTGTTTCCTACTTAAGAATCACTCCTTTTGCTCACCTCAGTCCAAGTGGTTTCTGCAGGAGTGGAGCTGATTACCCAGGCCTATACCAATCAGCATGTTTTACCCAGCCAAAGCCAATAATACAAACAGAATTTTTTTCCCTGGGATTTTGGGATCTTCATTTTTTCCCTCTAGGCCTGAACCTGAAAGGATGGTAGGTTTGGATTCATTGCACATGGTTGCAGCTGTATGAAGCTAGCACAACAGAAGGCAGAGCTGAGAGATGAAGGGAAATCACCTTCTCATAAATATCCTTTGATCTCTGAACTCGGACATGTTTGAAGTCAGCCCTGTCTCTGAACCTTCTTTCATGTTAGTGACAAATCCTCTTTTTGCTTAAGCCAGTAGGTTTTGGCTTCCTGTCACATACAATCAATTGAATTCCAACTAACATAGTATGAAATATGTTAACAGGAATAAAAATGAAGCTAGGATTGCCAATAATCCTTAAGAATATGGGTTTAAATCTAGGGACTTGCATTATAGATAGTTGTTTTCACAGCCAACTCTTCCATTAGATTATAAACTCTTTGAGGGCAGGGACCATAGCTCATTCATCTTTTTATTCATCTTACCACTCAGTACTATTCATGAAAATAGTAGGTGCTCAACAAACATGTATTTAATTACAGTAAAAGAAGACTATAAAATGTATTCAAAACAGAGCTGCAATCGAGAAAAATCAAACTCTGGTAACCTAAGCAAATTATCTTCTGATTTTATTGATAAAAATGTAAAAAGAAATAGCCAAAAATACACAAATATAGGCTAGGTTCCTAGAAAATTCATTTGTATGGAAGACCCTTCCTCAACATTGCTGAATAAATAATTTCTCTACTTCAGGAAACTGAAATTTGACACTTGTTATTTACACAAGGTTTTAGGAAAAATAGTTTATCCAGCAATTATATCTAGGGCAGTACACTCAAATAGTTACTATTATCAATACAGTGCATGGTTAATAATTGTGTGTTTGAACTATATCTTCTTTGAACTGTGTTTTACGGTCTAAGCTTTGGTAAGTAAATTGCTATGGACAATAGAATGACCAAACCCACTATCTAGAAGGGCCCTGAATCTTAATTTCAACTATTACAAATATGTCTTATAAAGAGAAATTGTTTCTTGCAGCATAAGGTGTTTACTTTGGTGAACTTTACACCATGAAATTTTAGTAAAACGTGTCTGGAAGAAAGTTATAAGAAGCTGACTATAAAGATTTTTAAATATACCAGTAATTAATGGTAGCATTAAAACACTGAGCTATCTACTGCAAAGTTAAAAATGGCTTTTGTCAGTAATTCTGAAGTAAACGCTAAAACCTGGAAGGGGGAAGAGGCCTACTGAGTTTTGGTTTGGTTTGGTTTGGTTGTTTTATTATCTTTTACGCTAGTTTTCAAACTTCAGGGGGCATCAGAATCACCTGAAGGGTCGTTAGAGCACATTGCTTGATTGGCGTCACCCCCAGTGTTTCTGACACAGTGGAGCTGGGTGGGACCCTCGGTTTGCGTTTCTAACAAGTTCCCAGGAGGTGCCTATACTGCTCGTCAGGGGACGCACTTTGAGAACCACTGTTCTGTACAGTTGCTAAAAATTTATTATAAGAACGTAATTTCCTGAAATATTTTCTAAACTGGGAACGCTGAGAAAAAATCCACATTTAATACCTTTGTAAAATTGGTGTACAGGACCCATTTGTATGTGTCAAATGTCATCATCATATGCCCATATTAGAAATTGTTTATTATTTTATAAAATGTATGATGGATTTGTGTGAAAAGTGAAAAATCTTTTAGTAAATCAAAAAATCATTGTAGAGTCCTCAGTGGAAGAAAGTGTACTTTTATTGATTTTATCACCCATGGAACACATTTATGGACACATAAAAATTGCGTAATTCCATTTTGTATGGAAGATACAGATTTTGGTTTTTATAAACCTAGTTTACTTTAAACACGTTTTCCTGAAACATTTTCCTGCACCCATTATATGGAATGTTTTGACTCCAAAATCACCACCTACTGCCTCCCAGCCCTTCTTCTCTCCTCTAATTTCACCTTCACTTCAACCATATCAAAACCTTCAGTTCCTCCAGCTGTCCATTTTCTCACCATCTTTCAGCTTCTTTGGATTTCAAGTCCTTCCTTCCAGCTCCACGATACATTACCTCAATCATTTCCCCAATATTTTTTAGGACTATCCTGGCTGTTTCTGCCTGGTCCACATCCTTTTAACAAAAGCCCTATCCTGGATCACACCAATCATCCAGTGTCCTCATTTCTGCTTCATTACACCTGAGAGAGAAAAATCACACAACGAGGCACACTGGTGCTTCTGCACATTTTTGATTTCCCACCTCAGCTGAGCTCTCCATTCTACCTGACCATTCTACACATAAAAGGGCCACCTTTCCCATGCTCCTGAATGGTGACTCCAAACCTCACTCTCCCTCCCCAGTCTGCCTCTCCCGCCTTCTCACTTTCAGGGCATCACTTTACTTTCCACTTCACTGAGAAAACTGGGGCCACTGGCCAGCGTCTCTCTCAGCTTTCTCCCCTTTCACACTCCTTTCATACAAAGCAAAGATATTCTTTTTGAGTTCTGGGGTAGGCAGTCTCTGAGATGAACCCCAGTGATCCCTGTCTCCTGGGATTCATATTCTATAGTCACTTCTCACATTGTAGCAAAGTGGATCTGAGTGAACAACAGAACATGACAGAACTGATGGCGGTTACTCCATGACTGGGTTATAAAAGACGCCACTACAGGCCGGGCGCGGTGGCTCATGCCTGTAATCTCAGCACTTTGGGAGGCCAAGGCGGGCGGATCACGAGGTCAATAGATGAGACCATCCTGGCTAACACGGTGAAACCCTGTCTCTACTGAAAAAAATACAAAACAATTAGCCGGGCGTGGTGGCGGGTGCCTGTAATCCCAGCTACTCGGGAGGCTGAGGCAGGAGAATGGCGTGAACCCGGGAGGCGGAGCTTGCAGTGAGTCGAGATTGCGCCACTGCACTCTAGCCCGGGCCACAGAGCTAGACTCCATCTTAAAAAAAAAAAAAAAAATGGCTCTCTCACTGTCTCTTGAGTCACGTGCTCTAGGTTAAACCTTCTCATAAGCAGCCCTTATGGGGAGCTCTGCCCGTGGGGTGAGGAAGCTTCTTGCCAACAGCTTGCAAGCAGATGCTCTGGCTCCAGCCCAGTTTTCAGAGACCGTAACTCAGCCAACAGCCTGACTGCAACCTCCCAAGAGCTCCTGAGCCACAACAGCCCAACTAAGCACCTCCCAGATTCCTGATCTCCAGAAATTGTGTGAGATAATATTGTTTTAAACTGCTTAATTTTCAGGTAATTTGTTACATAACAAGAGATAGCTATTGCAGAGCCTAAGACTAAATCACTCACCACTTCTTGCCCCCTCAGTGACATTACTCAATCATCTCCTTGTCCTCATGTGTGAAGTTTTCCTATTCTTTCTCCTTCTCTACTTAAGTTTGCTTACGTCTTTAGGTCTTTTCAAAAAAACCCACTGCCTTAACCCCTACAACCTCTCTTGTTGCCTCCTATCTCTCTCCTCCTTTTCATATCCGGCTTTCTGAAGTAATGACTTGTTAGCCACAACTTATAACTGCTATTAGCTCCTCTACCCTCAGCATGCTGCTGCCCACTCGCACAACTCCACTAAAATGTCTCATAGGAGCTTCTAATGAGCTCCATGTTGCCAAGGCCAATGGTGATGGTAAGGAGTGTTTATTTTATTCTAAGTGCAGTGAGAAGCAGAGAGAGGCCAGAACAACGTTTACCCAATTGTTCATCCCATGATATCTTACTCAAGCGCTCAACAGAAAAAACTCATCAATCTCTCCCCAACCAACATATCCTCAGAAAATTTTAACATATCACCTCCTGCAGCTGTTAGAAGCATATACTCTAGGGCGGGGAGAATAATTCAAGAGAGGGCTACTGTGGCCAGGGAGATGACTTCCTCCAAGGCTGTGGCAGAAGACCTGGAAAGAAAAAGAAAGACTCCGAATTTTTTTTTTTTTTTTTTGAGATTGAAACAGTAAGATTTGCTGATGGGTTGCTTACAGGAGGCTAGGGAAAGGAAGAAATTTAAAAGGACTTCTAAGTTTTGGGCATGAGTAACTGGTGGCTGGTGATGATTCCACTGAGATATAAAGTTTGGGGAAAATAGGTCAGGGTGAGGGAGGGTAAAATTAAGAGTCTGTTTTGGCGTTGTTTGAAATGTCTATCAGACATTCAAATGGAGATATCATTAAATTAAATGGAATGTGTGGTATAGTATGCCAACCATTAATAATTCCTGTCCATTTAAAAAATGACAGCTGAATTCAGAAACATCTCTCAGAAACTGTTCATTATTTGCATTTTTCAGTAACTGTAAAAAAAAAAAAAAACTACTTCCCATAGTTCAGCAGTTCTTGAAATCCGCGTTTACAGAGTTTGGTTCATATTTCTTGAAATTAAGGCTCAACTAGGGTTTAATATTACATGAGCAATCAGACACAGCAACAGAGTTCAAAATCGGTGACTTGCAGAAGCAAATTCTGCAGGGATTTTAAGCTTCTGATTAAAATATATAGACAGCATATAATTTAGGGTTAAGTTTATCTCATGTTCTGGTCCCATAACTTTAGCCCCTGAGGAGAAACAAGACCCAGCATATTAAGCATCCATCAGGGAGTCTGTATACCAAGATCCAATTTGAGTAAGTCTGTTGCAGGATCACCTTATCCTAACACTCATGCAAACAATTTAAACTCTCCCTTTAAGCGTTAGAAAAGCAATCACAGTGAAAATAGAAGAAATAAAATAAGTCACTTGAATATTTGGTTTCCTAGACCACAGAAGATCACAAATAGCAAGTTAGCAGGGGAGAGAAGGACATTGTTATAAATGCAAAGATGTAACAGGGTGACAGCCCAACAAGGGCAAAAACAGAAATAACTAAGCCAGTAAATGTGCAGTGGCTTGGAGTCATTGAGGAAAGAGGCAAAGAGGCTTGCAAGTATTAAGGAGGATTTCATGTACAATAGCAGTTGTTTATTATGATAATTCAATACATACTGGCTACCTTCTGTCTACTGGGCATTGTGTTACCACAGATAAAAGAATAAATTAACCACAGATAAAAGAAAATGATAAAAGAAAATGGGCACTGTGTTACCACTGATAAAAGAAAATGATAAAGTCCATGTTTGGAAATTTTCCATTAAAAATGAAATGTTTTAATACCTTTATTTGGACGATTAGCTTGAGAGAATGTGTCGTTTCCCCACAATGATGCTTTGTAAGGTGATTTTCTGTTTTTCTTTTCAAGATCATTTTATAACCTATGGTTAATTTGAGTACAGACTACTAGCACTAACTAAATAAAAGATAGAGATGAACTTCTGCAAAAAAAAAAAAAATGAAACTGGTAAGGTATGATTTACATTGGTTTACTCCATTCACAACTGTGTGATTGGGGCAAGTTGTTTACATAATGAGACTCTTGTTTTTCTTGCCAGAGAAATGGGAATAATCCTATTCATCAAAGTGAAACTGTGACATTCAAATAAATAGTGAATAAAAAAGGACTTTCAAACCATAAAGCACGGTGTAACTCCAAAGTTATAATGGAATTTTCATGCCTACTTCAGCTACTCCAAAGTTATAATGGAATTTTCATGCCTACTTCAGCTCCTCAAGAACATCCTTTCAAACCTATCACTCCTTGGGAATTTTCTACTACGTCGCTGTGGCCATCAACATTCCCACCCCTCCCTCCTGTAGCCAGATCCCTCACTATGGGTGGTACAGCCCTTCCCCCGCCACAGATGTCTCTACATGCCACACCGAAAGACAGCCAGGCTGGCTTAGACACAGAGAAGAGGACCAGAGTGCATATGGGTAGCAGGAAAGCTCCTAGTCGTAGGTGCCTTGCCTTGGTATATCAGTTAATAGAGACTAACCTTTATTATTACAATTAAATGCTGGTTGTCTACATTTCTTGAACTTTAAAGCTATTGTGCTGAAGTGATAACATTAAACTGAGACTTGAAATCTGAGAAATCAACAGCCACAAGCCAGAATTTTTATTTTGATAAATTATAAATGTCTTTCTCTTTATTCCCCTATTATAATTCTTTCCCCCTTCCTCCATTCTTATTCCCAGTAAAAGAGTACATAATTATACAATTTAATTTATTTTAGTGAATCTATTACTTGTATTACAATACCAGTGAATAACTACATTATGAAATAAGCATTTTTAAAAATTTGCTATTCATCTGAGAACAATGTTTACCCAATTGTTCATCCCATGATACCTTGCCTATTGCTCAGCAGAAAACTCATCTCTCCCCAATCAACTTAGCCTCAGAAATTTTTAATGCAAATATAATCGTATCCATCACCTCCTGAAAAACCCTTTAATGCTTCTTATTGTTCTTAGAAAAACTTTCAATTTCTTAACATAGTATTAATGTAGTGCATGACTGACAACCCTACAAACTTACCTCTCAGTATTCCTCACCTTTATGCTCCAGCCACACTGAATTTATGTTCCTCAGCTACACCACAGTTTCCTCCACGTCCAAATCTTTGTGTATATTGTTAATTTACTTTATCTGGTAAACTTCTATTGATTTTATTATTAACTTTATCTGGTAAACTTTTATTGATTCATCAGGTCTCAGATGCAATGTCACTTCCTCCAGGAAGCCCTCTCTGATGCACCCCCCCACCCTGCAATATCAAGACTGGTTTAAGTTTCCATCTATGTGTTCCCTCCCACCCCATACTTCCTCAGTTAAAGCACTTGTACTACTTTGTAATCACTTGTATTACTCTTAAGACTACAGGCTCTGCAAGGGCAGCAACCATGTCTGTCTTGGCTCATAGTTATATTTCTAACATCTAGCAGAGTCTGGCTATAGGCACTAAATAAATACTTGTATGAATGAAAGAAAAATGAATGAATCTCAAACTATCAGACACAATGCCAGATACAGGATGTGTAGTGGTGAGAAAAATTACATAATGGCTTTGCCCTTGTAGGACTTAAAACCTATGGTGAAAGATACTAGCAAGTAAATAAGTAACTACCAAATGTTACTTGGTTCTGTGAAGAAAACAAGTAGTCTGCTGACACAGAAAAACATGATGTAGAGGAGATCTGGGAGGGGTCCTATTATAATTCCATGGTTAAGGAAGGCATCACTGTGGCATAGCATTTAAAGTGAGATTTGAAAGCTGAGAGGGCCGGGCGTGGTGACTCAAGCCTGTAATCCCAGCACTTCGGGAGGCCGAGGCAGGCAGATCACGAGGTCAGGAGATCGAGACCATCCTGGCTAACATGGTGAAACCCTGTCTCTAATAATAATACAAAAAGTTAGCCGGGCGTGGTGGTGGGCGCCTGTAGTCCCAGCTACTCAGGAGGCTGAGGCAGGAGAATGGCGTGAACCCGGGAGGCAGAGCTTGCAGCGAGCCGGATCGTGCCACTGTACTCCAGCCTGGGCGACAGAGCGAGACTCCGTCTCAAAAAAAAACAAAAAGAGAAAAAAGAAAAGAAAGCTGAGAAACAGCCACTATGTAAAGATTTGGGAGAAGTATTTCAGGTAAGGAGGGCATCAAGTGACATGGTAACACAGGGGGAATGTGGGAAATGGCTAAAATAGGGCAGGAACATATGATCAAGGGGAAGAGAGCTGAAAAGAAGTGGGCAAGAGACAGACCACACAGGACCTTGAAGACCAAAGAATTCTGAAGGAGGAGAATTGTATGCCAAGTGCAGTTCAAGTACAAGCCATTGAAGAATTTTAAGCATGTTAGTGATATGATTTAATTTCTATTTTTAGACGATTGTTCCATTGGCCATGTTGATTATAAGAGGCAAGAGTGGACACAGGGAGGCTGGTTATGAGCCAACTGCAGTCTTCCAGGTAAGAGATGAAAATGGTTTTGTGGGAGCAGAGAGAGAAAGTAGAAGCTAAAAGCATTAAAGCTGGCAAAAGAGGTAGTTGTAGGCAGAAAGGGAGTAAAAGGAATTCAGGATGAAGTCTCAGACTCTGGCTTGATCTCCAGAGGAATAGTAGCGTCACTTACTGAGATGAGGAGGAGTCAGGGGGAAAGTCTTCCAAGAGAAATACAGAGTTTCATTTTGGACATTTTAAGTCTGAGATGTCTATTTAACATATAAGTCACAAAGGAATTGGGTATCTGTATAAGTCAGAAACTTAAGAGAAAGGTCTAGGCCAAAGATATAAAACTAAGTCATCAACCACTGGAAATAAACAAGATCATCTAGAGAGAGAGTATGCAAACAGAGAAGGCAACAGGATTCTGGGCACAGGCATGATGTACTGCCATTTTAGAATTGAAAAATACAGCCACTAAATTAAGACCTCAGGGGATGGGACAAACATGTAAAGAGCTAAATGGATTGGTATAACTATGGAAAGAATAATCAGTTGAAATAAACCTGATTAAATAACTCCGAATGAAGCAAAAGAGATGGAAAGTATGAGAGAAAATTTGAGAGGAAACCCAGAATGAGTAGGTCCAACATACATCTAATCAGAATTCCAAAAATGATAGTACAGGATATGGAGAAAATACAGTATTCAAAGGAACTGAAAGAAGATAATGAGTTCTGAATAGGATAAATAGAAAAACAAATCCAGATTAAAATTTTCCTTCTGGCACTGCAGTAGTTGACATAAAGAGACCTTAAAAGTATTCTAGAGAAAAAGCAGGCAACCTACAGAATGGGAGAAAATTTTTGCAATCTACTCATCTGACAAAGGGCTAATATCCAGAATCTACAAAGAACTCAAACAAATTTACAAGAAAAAAACAAACAACCCATCACAAAGTGGGCGAAGGATATGAACAGACACTTCTCAAAAGAAGAAATTTATGCGGCCAACAGACACATGAAAAAATGTTCATTATCACTGGCCATCAGAGAAATGCAAATCAAAACCACAATGAGATACCATCTCACACCAGTTAGAATGGCAATCATTAAAAAGTCAGGAAACAACAGGTGCTGGAAAGGATGTGGAGAAATAGGAACACTTTTACACTGTTGGCGGGACTATAAACTAGTTCAACCATTGTGGAAGACAGTGTGGCAATTCCTCAAGGATCTAGAACTAGAAATACCATTTGACCCAGCCATCCCATTACTTGGTATATACCCAAAGGATTATAAATCATGCTGCTATAAAGACACATGCACACATATGTTTATTGTGGCACTATTCACAATAGCAAAGACTTGGAACCAACCCAAATGTCCAACAATGATAGACTGGATTAAGAAAGTGTGGCACATATACACCATGGAATACTATGCAGCCATAAAAAAGGATGAGTTCATGTCCTTTGCAGAGACATGGATGAAGCTGGAAACCATCATTCTCAGCAAACTATCGCAAGGACAAAAAACCAAACACCGCATGTTCTCACTCATAGGTGGGAATTGAACAATGAGAACACCTGGACACAGGAAGGGGAACATCACACACCAGGGCCTGTCCTGGGGTAGGGGGAGGGGGGAAGGATAGCATTAGGAGACATACCTAATGTAAATGACGAGTTAATGGGTGCAGCACACCAACATGGCACATGTATACATATGTAACAAACCTGCACGTTGTGCACATGTACCCTAGAACTTAAAGTATAATAAATAAATTTTTTAAAAAAGAGAGAAAAAGCATTACTTATCATGAAATGATAATTAGATTCAAGATCTGCAATAATAAAAACCAGAAAACAATAAAATAATAGCTTAAAAGTACTCATGGGAGCCAACAGGCATATGAAAAAAATGTTCAACATCACTATTTGATACGGTTTGGCTCTGTGTCTCCAACCACATCTCATCTCAAATTGTAATCCCGACATGTTGGAGGAGGTGCCTGGTGGGAGGTGATTGGATCATAGGGGCAGGTTTCCCCCACGCTGTTCTGGTCATAGTGAGTGAGTTTTCACAAAAACCGATGGTTTTGAGAGTGTGTAGCACTTCCCTTTGCTCACTCTCTCCTGCCACCATGTGAAGAAAGTCCTTGCTTCCCCTTTGCCTTCTGCCATGATTGTAAGTTTCCTAAGGCCTCCCATCATGATTCCTGTTAAGTCCAGGAAACTGTGAGTCAATTAAACCTCTTTTTTTCATAAATTACCCAGTCTCAGGTATTTATAGCAGTGTGAAAATGAACACACTAATTATCAGAGAAATGCGAATTAAAACCACAATGAGATATCCCTTCACATCTGTTAGAATAGCTATTAGCAAAAAGACAGAAGATAATAAGTGTTGGCAAGAATGTGGGGAAAAGGGAACTCTTATACACTGTTGGTAAGAATGTAAATTGATATAAGCATTATGGAAAACACTATGGTGATTCTTCAAAAAATCATAAATAGATGTGAGCCAACCATCTCACAATTGGGTATATATCCAAAGAAATATCCAAAGGAAATGAAATCACTATGTCAAAGAGATATCTGCACTGCCATGTTCATTGCAGCACTATTCACAATAGCCAAGATATAAAATCAACATGTGTGTTCATCAAAAGATGAATGGATAAAGAAAATGTGGTATATAAACACAATCGAATATTATTCAGCCTTAAAAAAAAACAAGGAAATTCTGTTATCTGTGGCAACATGAATGAACCTGGAGAACATTATGTGAAGTAAAATAAGCCAGGCACAGCAAGACAAATACTGCATGACCTCACTTATATAAAGAATCTATCATTGAACTCACAGAAATAGAGAGTAGAATGGTGATTACAAGGGGCTGAGAGTAGTCAGTTGAGAAGATATTAGTCAAAGGATACAAAATTCCATTTACACAGGAGGAATAATTTCAATAGATCTATTGTACAACATGGTAACTATAGTTAATAGCAATGCATTGTATTCTTGAAAGTTTCTGAGAGTAAATTTTAAGTGTTCTCACCACAAACAATAAGTATGTGAAGTAATGCATAGGTTAATTAGCTCAATTTAGCTATTCTACAATGTGTACATAGTTCAAAACATGTTGTATATAATATATAAAACTTTTGTCAATTTTAAAAACATATGTATAAAGTACTCATGAGAAATAAATCAACCTTGAATTTTATTTTTCTCTAAATTAGGGCAAAGGAATTCATGTGAAATAAAAGCATTTTCAAAATACCAGAGACTAAGAGCATTTACACTCACAGACCCTCCCTGAAAGAAATACTAAAGGATACACTTCAGCAAAAATAAAATTGAAAACAGAAAGAAGGATAAGAGAATAAGAAGCAATAGTGACCAAAACATTTATAAGCATGTGGGTAAATGTAAATAAACATTAAATTACTTATTATAATAATTGGCTATTTTGAGAAGGGTATAAAAAACAAAACTGAACATAACAGACAAAAATCACATGAAATATTAGTCTGGAGGCTGAAGAATAAAGCTTAAAACTTTCTAAGACTCCCTTAAGTCATTCCAAAAGAAAACAGAGATGCTGATTAATTTTAAATATTGTAAATTTAAGAGTAAATATACATTATAAGGAAAACATGTATAAAAATAAAAATAGAATATTTAACTTTCAAAACAGCAAAGGAGAAAACAAAGAATTCTTTATCCATGGCTATTAAATACATATTCTTTTCAGGTATACATGATGTGTTCACAAATTGACCAAGTAATAAAAATCAAAAGAAGTTTTGCAGGGCACGGTGGCTCATGCCTGTAATCCCAGCACTTTGGAAGACTGAGGCAGGCAAATCACAAGGTCAGGAGATCAAGACCATCCTGGCTAACACAGTGAAACCCCATCTCTACTAAAAATACAAAAAATTAGCTGGGTGTGGTGGCGGGTGCCTGTAGTCCCAGCTACTCGGGAGGCTGAGGCAGGAAAATAGCGTGAACCTGGGAGATGGAGCTTGCAGTGAGCCGAGATCATGCCACTGCACTGAAGCCTGGGCAACAGAGCAAGACTCCATCTCAAAAAAAAAAAAAAAAAGTTTTAACAAATTCTAAAGAATTCATTCTTTAGAATGAAAAAATTCCCTGATACCATGTTATTAAAGTAGAAATAAATAGTTTTAAAAATGTTTACTGTTCTTTGTGATGCCATAAAAAACTGCAAGCAACTTAAAAGTCCAAAAATGGTAGAATAAATCAATTATGATATATAAGTATAATTGAATACCACAGAAAAGCTAAAATAAATTAATTAGAACTATATGTCAACATAAATAGATCTCCAAAATATAATGTTAAGTGGATGAGGCTGAATGATAAATATGGTAAATCTATGGATATTTATGTTAATATGAAAACACATAAAAAAACTTTATTTTTTGTGGTGGAATATATATGCCATAAAATGTCAAAACATTATGGGAAGGACATGTGCTAAAATAATGGTAACAGTGGCTTTGAAAATGGAGGAAGATGTTTGGAGCTGTGGAGAAGTTTTACATATAATGTTCTGTTCTCAAGAGGCAGTAGTTTCACTATTAAGAGCACAGTCTCTGGGGCTGGACTGCCTGGGTTCAAATCTTGATCTTGCTACTCTCTGCTTCTCAATTTCCTCATCTGTAAAATTTAGTTAATATTTCCTACCCAGTGGTGCTGTTTGTGAATTAAACAAACAAATACATGTAAAACAGTGCCTGGCACACTGTAGCCACTCAATAAATAAATGTTAGCTTTTATTTCTTAGTTGATAATTTCTAAAGGTAATAAATAAAAGATGAGAAATTGGAGAAAGCATTATAGACAACTCTTTGGAAAAATTTGGCTATGAAAAGTAAAGGAAAATGGTTTACAGCTAATGCAATATGTGGGGTCCAGGGAGAGTTTATTTAAAATGGGAGATAGTCAAGTATGTTTATAAACTAATGAAAATGAACCAAATGAGAAGGGGAAAAATGCAAGAAACAGAGGAAATGGCAAAAGGACAGAGTCTTTGATGAGGATAAAAGAAAAGGGCTATGGCACACATGGAAAAATAAATCTTTGAGTGGAGGAGAAACAAACTTTCATTGTTTCTGGAAAAGAGAAAATAGATATGGAAGTTTGCGAGGAAAGGCTGATGAATTTCCCCATTGTTGATTTATGTTTTCTCAGTGAATCTGAGGCAAGTTCTTCAGTGGGAGTTTGAGAAATGAAAAGATGTGAGAGTCCATGTGATGAATAGAAGCATGAGCTTACTAGAAAAAAACAACAGAATGGCATGCCAGTGCTGATTTTACACTGAGGGTGTTGTCTTAGTCTGTTTGGGCTACTATCACAAAATACCTTAGATTTGGTAATTTATAAAGTACAGAAATACATCACTCACAGTTCTGAAAGATTCCAAAATCTCATCTGAGACAATGCAAGTCCCTTCTGCCTATGAGCCTGTAAAACCAAAGCCAAGTTAGTTACTTCCTAGATACAACAGGGGTACAGACGTTGGGTAAATATACCCACTCCAAATGGGAGAAATAGGCCAAAGCAAAGGGGCTACAGGCCCCATGCAATTCTGAAATCCAGTGGGGCAGTCAAATCTTAAAGCTTCAAAATGATCTCCTTTGACTCCATGTCTCACATCCAGGTCACAGTACAAGAGGTGGGCTCCCATGGCCTCAGGCAGTTTGAAGGGTACAGCCCCCCTCCCAGATGCTTTCAACAGCTGGTATTGAGTTTCTATGGCTTTTCTAGGTGCATGGTGCAAGCTGTCAGTGGATCTGGAAGACAGTGGCCCTCTTCTCACAGCTCCACTAGGCAGTGCCCCAGTTGGGACTCTGTTTGGGGGCTCCGACCCCACATTTTCCTTCTGTACTGCCCTAGCAGAGGCACTCCATGAGGGCCCTACCCCTGCAACAAACTTCTGCGGAGACACCCAGGTGCTTCCATACATCCTCTGAAATCTAGGCAGAGGTTCCCAAACCCTAATTCTTGACTTCTGTGTAGCTTGTGGAAGCTCAACACCACATGGAAGCTGACAAGCTTGGGGCTTGCACCCTCTAAAGTCATGGCCATAGCTCTATATTGGCCCCTTTTGGCCATGGCTGGGACAGAGGGCACCAATTCCCAAGACTGCACAAAGAAGCAAAGCCCTGGGCCAGCTCAGGAAACCATTTTATCCTCCTAGGCCTCTGGGCCTGTGATGGGAGGGGCTGCTGAGAAGACCTCCGACAATCCATGGGAACATTTTCCCCATAGTCTTAGTGATTAACATTTGGCTCCTTGTTACTTATACAAATTTCTGCAGCCAGCTTGAATTTCTCCTCAGAAAGTGGGTTTTCTTTTCTATCACATCATCAGGCTGCAAATTTTCTGAACTCTTATCTTCTGCTTCCCTTTTAAACATAAGTTCCAATTCCAAACCATATCTTTGTGAATACATAAAACTGAATGCTTTTAACAGTTCCCAAGTCACCTCTTGAACACTTTGCTGCTTAGAGATTTCTTCTGCCAGATGCCCTAAATCATCTCTCTCAAGTTCAAAGTTCCACAGATTTCTAGGGCAGGGGCAAAATGCCTCCAGTCTCTTTGCTAAAACATAGCAACAGTCACCTTTGCTCTAGTTCCCAACAAGTTCTGGACTTTATTGTCCCTATCACTATCAGCATTTTGGTCAAAGCCATTCAACAAGTCTCTAGGAAGTTCCAAACTTTTCCACATCTTCCTGTCTTCTTCGGAGCTCTCCAAACTGTTCCAACCTCTGCCTGTTACCCAGTTCCAAAGTTGCTTCCACGTTTTTGGGTATCTTTACAGCAGCATCCCACTCTACTGGTACCAATTTATTGTATTAGTCAGTTCTCACGTTGCTGCAAAGATACTACCACAGACTGAGTAATCTATAAAAAAAAGAGGTTTAATTGACTCAAAGTTCAGCATGGCTGGGGAGGCCTCACAATCATGAAGGAAGGCAAAGGAGAAGCAAAGGCACATCTTACATGGTGGCAGGCAAGATAGAGAGCATGGGCAGGAGACCTGCCCTTTATAAAACCATCAGACCTCATGAGACTTATTCACTATCACAAGAACAGAACACGGAAAACCCACTCCAATGAGTCACTGACCTCCCCCCAGGTCCCTCCCAGGACACATGGAGATTATTACCATTCAAGGTGAGACTTGGGTGGGAACATAGGGCCAAACCATATCAAGCACTAATCTCTTTCATGAAGGCTCTGCCCTCATGATGTAATCACCTCCCAAAGTCCCCACTTCTTAATACTACTACATTGGATGGGGATTTTTTCAACATGAGTTTTGGAGGAAGACAAACATTCAGGTAGGTGGTGATCACAAATTTATGTTTACTCCAACCTGCCTGCCATATGGCTTCTCTGTCCAACACTTGGATATGTGGGCATATGCTTGGAGAAGATGGAAGGCTAGACCTTACAGGGGTGTAGATTTCCCAGAGTACAATTATAATTACTCATTTGCATAAAAATTGTATAGTTATTATGGTGGATTCAAAGTGTATAAGGAAGAAAAGTGAAGACGAGAGGGCTGAAGATTAGGAAGAAAATTGATTAAAGCATTCAGTGTCTTTAAAGAATTGTTTTCATAGATAATTGAGGAAATAAACTAAAAATATAGGACATCGTGTTCAGGGAATGAAATGTATGAACGTATGATTTTGAACTTGGAGCAGTGGAGAGAATGCTGAATTGGAGTGAAGGAAATATTCATTGCAGATGAAATGGCTAAGGTACTACAAGACCAGAATATTCATTAAACCATCTACAGGATGTTGAAGATACTCAAAATTGAAAAGGAGTAGATGGAACACTGTGGTCAGCTTTGTATTTCAGCAAGATTCCTTTAGCTACCATGAGGAGAATGGGTTGGAAGATATCGGCACTAGAGAAAGAGAGACCATTGCTGAAATCCTGAGATTATGGTGATTCAGACTAAGGCAGTGGTAGGAAAGATGGAAAGAAATTGATGTTTTCAAGAAAACTGAGGTCATAGAAGGACTAGGTGTGTGACTGGGAGTAAGGAAGGAGTCAAGGCATCAGGATCATGTGATGGGCAGATGCTATTGCCATTCTCTGAAACAGGAAAAAGAGAAGAAAAAGCTGATCTGGGGACCACCTAAACCACTAGTGATAAATCACCTAATTCATATAGGTATAAATATGTCACAGAAAAGATAACAATTAACATCTCTATATTAAAATTCCAGCTCACATTTACAGTTTGAATGTTGATAATATACTTTCATGGGAGCCCAGTGGTTTGATACAGTTTCTATAGCAGCATCACACAATGAAGGCTTTCAAGTCTAGAAGAAAAACTAAATTATTAATAAAGTTGATCTTGACAAAACTGCTCTGCCTGAAGATTAAAGGAGTCCCAAACATCATCAAAATTAAATATTAAAGTAAGCTATTTCAATTTCTTAATAGACAAGGCAATATCTGGTTTTTAAATTTACATTTAAAAAATCAGTTAAAAAGCATAACATCAGTGAAACTTGGTTGAATTAATAAAGAAATTAACATTGTGCTCTGCAACAGACAACCTGAATATTAAAAATATTTAATAAATGAATATAATTTTGTTGCCTACTATACTTTCTCAGTGACAAGTTCTTGTTTACAAGTTCATATGAACTGTGAGCACAGGTTTTAGGAAAAGCTCTTTTTCCAGAAAGTTACTTTCATACATCTCTACTTTCTATTTGCTGAATCTTAACCTTCTGAATCTCATGTAACAATCAACCTATCAACCTACATAGTAAGAATTTGTGATTCATTCAAATCATAACCCAATATCCATGTTAATTACTGTGATTTAATTATAGCTTCTTCCCCATTTCCAGAATATGTGTGAATTATTCTTTGTGTAATCCCAAGGTACATTATTAATGCACATCAAAGGACAGTTTAGTTATAAATATTAATGACCTGCAAAAAGTAATTTTGGGCACGAAATTTTATAACACTGCCATTTTTTGTATTTAATTCCTCATATTGCTTGATTATAGATGAGTTTCAATTAGGCATGAGTATTATTTTATTCTTTTTTGGTGGCAGATTAGAAATTACAGTATTAGAATAACCAAATTTTTAAAAATACAACATAATCCATGGCAATTCTTGAAATTTCCATTTGGTTGTAAAATATGGCTTTTTGTAATAAATAAGTACATAATGACTTAAGGGCTAGAGAACAGTTGCTTGATCACATTTACAAGAAGTAATTTATATTATCGAGAGGAAGTAAGAAATTTTTAACATAAATGTAACTCGGATCTGCTGGATCTCTTTTCCATTAGTCTTGTAAAGACAGGTCTATCTGACACAAACTTTCCAATAATTATTACAGAAATCTATTGTGCTTTCCTTCCCCACTTACAGGGCAAGTGTTTAAGGATATGCAAACTTCTTAAAGCACTTTACTTTCAGGCTTCCATGACTAATTATCAGGGTAGCTATTTATAACTAATCTAGTTTCAATAATTTATAACTGTTTCTCAATTATTATCATATGCAGCTCAAGTCTAAACATGGCAGTACACTCTAGGAAAGTCTGCTAGTAAACCTTACTCATCATTTTACTACTTAGAGTGCTACAATTTAATACGGATGTTAACAACTTAAAGAGCTCTGAGAGGGCTAGAAATGAACTAAAATTTAGTAAATATTTTCAATAAAGATTTCCAGATGCTGAATTAATTTTCCCCCAAGTAATTAAACTATGCTTAGTAAAAATAATAAATATTTGAAATTGTATTAAAGTTTTTGATCATTTGGGTTGCTCCTACCATGACAGAGCAGAAAACATGGATATAAAGCTCATTATAAGTAGCATTCACTGGGGGCTGACGATGTGCTGGACATTATGCTAAGCACTTTGTTATATATTATCTTAATCAGTCCTTATAATTAACCTATCAAGTGGATATTATTATTGCACCCATTTGAGAGATGAAGAAACTGAGCCTTGTACAGGAGGAGTTTGCCAGGGTCTCCAGAGCTGGTCTCCAGAAGGCCATTGCTCTTTAATCCCTCGTTTTTCTTCTCCCCAGGCAGGATAGAATGGTGGTTAAGAACACAGACAGGATGCTCTCCCCAATTCTTCTGTAGTCATTTTTAAAGACAAGATATGCCCATGGTTGTTTAAAAAAATAAAAAATAAAATAAAAAACTAGGGAATAGGCTAAATGACTGCATAGGGTCCTTTCCAAGTCTGATCCAATCATCAAGAAACTTGATCCTAGCATCATGAATGTTCTTGACTTCAGAAGTCAATAGTAGCAAAGGATGATTCACAATCAACAGGATGCAATGAGAAAACTGCAGCCACTTTTTTTACAGCCTTTTTTCTACTTTGAGCGCCCAATCCTTAGAGCCTCTGTCTGGCCACACCTTTCACAGCCTCCTTGGTCAAAGGACACCTATTCCTGAGATCCAGTGGAAGCAGACACACTTTTGCAGAAATTTTTCATTCATTTTTGGAAGCACTAGGGATTCCACTTGCTTCAAGACTGCTCATATTTTATTTCTGTCCTTGTAGAATGTTTATTAAATTTTAGATTTAAAAAGCTGGAATAACCTACTAAGGTTATCTGCTTAACAATTCTAACTCCAGGAAAAAATGCCCTCAGCATCTGTTATTACTGTGTTACAACTTACCTGTGAATATTCCAGGAACAGGAGTCCAACTAGCTTATAGAGAAAGCCATCTGAACTTATAGCAGCTCTAATTATTAGCATCCTCGTTCTGAGCCATAATATGCTTCCTTGTCATTTTCAACAATTGCATCCAGGCACATTTCTCATTCACTATCAACCCTTCAACTTTTGAAGACAGCAATCAAATCTCCTTTTAGTCTCAAATGTTCCAACTAATCCCCAGTTCCTTCAAACATTTCTCATTTGGCATGAATAGCAAGACCTTCTGCCAATTCTGTCAACCTATTATAATATGTCGGTGCTATGGTTTGAATGTGCCTCCTCTCAAATTCAGGCGTTTCAATGTGATAGTATTAAGAGGTGGGGCCTTTAAGAGATAATTAGGCCATGAGAGCTACTCCCCTCATGAATGGGATTAGGTACCCTTATAAAAAAGACTTGACAGAGGGGGTTCATCCCTTTTCCCCTTCCACCTACTGCCATGTGAGGACACAGTCTTCCTCCCCACTGGATGATGCCATGTCAAGGTGCCATCTTGGAAGTGGAGAGCAGCCCTCTTCAGACAACTGAACTGGCTGGTACCTTGATCTTGGACTTCGCAGCCTCCAGACGTTAAAAAAATAAATTTCTGTTGTTTACAAATTATCCAGTCTCAGATATTTTGTTATAGCAGCATGAAATTGACCAAGATGGTCAATTATCTTCTTAAAATGTGTTCTACCCCCACAACTGTTCAGAATGCAGAACTGAGACATCATATAATGAGAGTCAAGTACAATAGAGGTACTACCTTATAAGCTGGACATAGTGCTTTCGGGGATGCAACCTAAGATTGTATTGGAGTCTCAGGTAGACAAATTACACAGGTCAGGCATAGAGCTCACAAAGTGCTTACCATGAATCCATGTTAAGGCATTTACAGCTGTTTTATTATTATGTATGTGGTATGAATTATCAATGATCTAAGCAGCCTCCAGCTCTACAGCCAAAGCTTTTACCCAAAATTTACTTTCCCATTATTTTAACCTATAAATTACTAGGATCTTCCCTTGGTATAAAACTAAAAGCTCAGATATATTGAACTCTTACTATGTGTTGTGCCAACCAGTGATATGCCTCATCTCCCCATAGCCCCACAGAATAGGGACTATCTCATCATATCCATTTTTTAGATGAGGAAAGTAAGGCTTAAAGAGATTAAGTGACTTGCCCAAGGTCACAAAGCTGGTAAATGGCAAATCTGGATTTAAGGCCAGTTGCATCAAAGCGCCAGAGGCTCCACCAATCTTGTTCTTTCTGTGTCACGTGAGTGCCATCCTCCAACATGTTCTGTTTTGCAGTTACAGCTGCTTATATTCTCCTTCCCCCTTAAGTTACAATGTAGAGCCCTCTGGATCCATTTGGAGATCTGCCCAGCTCTTCTCTGATCCTCCAGGAATTGTCTGAAAATAGCAGGAAACTAACGTGGGACAGACTGAACCACCACTATAGAATGAATACCTCAAGCTGTTTACTATACTTTTAGCCCAAACAATATTAAGTACAATAAATTATCAACAGTATATAGAGTGTACTAGTATAATTAATGCCTATTTCTTAGTCCACGAAAACTCTTGTCCAGCAGCCTAAGCCAAATTGTCTCCATGATGAAATATTCTGGATTTTTTGTTTGCTTGTTTTGCTCAGGTTTTCCTGAGCCTCATCTGCTCTTGTCATTTGACAGCCTGCTCTGGGACATTCACAGCCAAGTATCTGGGACTTGGTACTTTTGTCCAAAGTTGGCATTCTCTACATCTGCGTTTGTAAGTACATGATATTTGCCAACAATATTACTAAGAAGGCTTTCCTTCCCTACCGCATGCTTTGCAAGACAGACATAGCACTAATTTTGTATCTCTTCAGTTTGTGGGGCTGTGGCTCTGCTGTCTAGGGTTCTCTGGTTCAATTACTTCTGTGTTTTGTCCCACTCCTTGACAAGGAGAGAGATTATGTTAACTCCTCCATGTGGAAGAGAGAGAAATCTTAAAAATTGGATGCCAGCTAAGACAGATTCCCCATTGGGCAAAAATTCAATGAAATCTTACTTCCTCTGTATTAAAATTCAACATCTTGCTGACCACAGCAGTCCAAAGTTTTGATAGTTTAACCATTTTATGCCCAGTGCTTATGTGGGTTACTTATGCAACATTGAGTTGTCTAATATGCAATGATAAAAGTATTTTCTCATTCTCTCCCTGTGCCCTGCCCATCTTCTGACAAATTACATAGACTGTGAACTAACAGCTTGATATGGTTTGGCCATGTCCCCACCCAAATCTCACCTTTAATTGTAATAATCCCCACATGTCAAGGGTGGGGCCAGTGGAGATAATTGAATGATGGGGGCAGTTTCCCCACAACTGTTGTCATGGTAATGAATAAGTCATGAGATCTGATGGTTTTATAAATGGGAGTTCTCCTGCACAAGGTCTCTTGCCTGTTGCTATGTAAGACATGACTTTGCTTCTCCTTTGCCTTCTGCCATGATTGTGAGGCATCCCCAGCCATATGGAATTATGAGTACATTAAACCTCTTTCCTTTATAAATTAACCCATTTTGGGTATGTCTTTATTAGCTGTGTGAGAACAGACTAATATAAAGCTATAAAAAATATAAAATCAATAATACATTACACTGTGCAGTGGACAATTATTTCTTTGGGCTGATGAGCATGCGTCCCCCCACTTTTGGTTACTGCACTCTGGTCTTACACTAGGAAATCATCTCTCCTCCACTAGGCAAAATGTGGTAAGATCATTAATTAAGAAACCATGTGAGCCATGAGGTGGAGGGAAGGTATGACCATAGTGGTCCATTCAGATGTCTCTTCCTGGAACTTGACCCCTGAGCCTCCATTCATTCTAGTGGGAGCACTCTGATGAGCTCAAAGAGGAGTTCCTGCCCCATGGATTCCTGGAGTTCACTCAGTTCTTTTCCTGCTCTGAACCCCATTTTCCAGTATTCCTGTTGCTTCATAGCCTTCCAACAAATTTTCTTTTGACCCAGAGTCAGTTTCTGTTGTCTGCATCTAAATAACCTTGGCTGTTGCACATCTCCATAGTGCTACCTCTTGTGGACATTGTTTACATTTTAAATAGCATCATGCATACTATATCACGTCTTCACTCATGCATGATTTGCAGCATTTGTGGAAAGAAAATAAAAACTAAGCTAACTATTTCCATCAGCCTTAGCATTTTGCGCAATTTAAGCTAAATGTCATGTGAAATTTACCAGCTGCTCCTATAGGGCTTTTCTTAAGAAGAACATTATTTTGTGTTTTAGTTTATTTATGCACTGTACCCACTACTTAAAGATCCTCTTGGGAAGGGGCATCTCCCATCCTAATTTACATTCTCATAAGAGTCACCCATATTTGAATTCTGAGCTTGCTGTTTATTTGTCCCTCATTCTGGAAACAAAAGTGGTAGCATGAGGAAAAGAAAGAAACACTTATGGCCTATTCCATTGTAAGTAACAGGCAATGTTAAAAAAAAAAATCTTTATTTGTAAGAGTAAAGTGGAGATTAGGAGTGGAGAATGGGAAGATCTTATTACCTCTTATTTGTTTAACTCGCTTCAAAAAGTCTAATGCTATTAAACATCTCCAGATACGTTGAATTTCTGTTTCTATCAAGATAACCTTTTCCCAATTTTAAAGTCCAAAACAAGCCTGTACAAACAGCCTGCTAGTGATCTCCTTACCATCATCTACCTCTGAGTTTGTAGCTATTTCACCCTAAGTTGTTCCTAAGTGAAACACGAATTAGTGTCCAATGTCATAGCCAGAGGCCAGGAAGTCCCCGGGACTGGTGGAAGTGAGAGTTTAGCCAGCATTTGTACATCTTATTTGTGTGTGTCAGAATGTTTATATTTATTCCATACTATTTCCTCCCCGTCAGAGAAGTTTCAAAGCCAAGAACTCATTTTATTAATTCAGTGTGATCTGTTTTTCATCTTCTTCCTCACACCTGAAACACCTGCTGTCAGCTTATATCTCTACTGCCACATATGGGAAACCTTGGCCATTTATAGAATGCAAGAAAACTGTGTCCATGGTCTTATAAAAGAAGTCTTATTTTTACCCAGTTGAATATTTTTCTGCTTTACTTGTGTAACTTTGAGAGAAATATAGCCTAAGAGTATTGCAGTGTAGTAAGGCAATTAATAATACTAGGGTCCAACAAGAGATGTAATGTGATGTTATGCTTCCTTCACCTAATGTAACACATTAGGTTTAAGCTGTAGAATATGAACTATGGTTGTCTTTATCTTTATGCCACCGAAGAAACCCATAAAGATAAAGAATGACAGCATCTGCAAAAGAGTTAGCATTTCCAAACATACCTGTCATTTCAATGGCAGATGAAACACGCAATCAACCTCAAATGAAAGCCAGCAGACAGAAGAATAGAATTGGGAGAAAATCTGATTTCTCTCATTTCTTAAAAAGAATGGTTTTAATATCATATAGTCTTACATTCATTACAAAGGAAATTAGAACAATATGCCTTCACACACCAAAAAGGAAGAAAGAGGGAAAGGGGAAGTTGTGGGGGTGGAAAAACTGGCAAGGAAATCTGGGAAGATCTATCACAGACATTTCCTGAAAGAATGAGATCACTGCCTTCCAAGCCCTGATGTAGCCTGTGCTGTTGCTGCATAAACTGTCATGATTGGTGCAGATATTTACTTATGCCTCATTTTTTGATAGTCTTGTCCTATGATACCTTCCATTTTAGAGAACTGGAATAAAGTCTGACTTTGGAACACATTAAGACACACAGCACATTGTGCATCCTTTACCATCATATCATTTAAAATTACAGAGGCTAGCAGCTGCCCACTCTTTTATCAAAAACAGCAACTAATATAGTTACATCTGCAAAAAAACCCACAAAAGTTTGATTCTTATAGCAAAAGAGAAAATAATGTTTAATAAGAATTTGAGCCCTGTGGACCAAGAGCCCTTCCTTTATTTTTTTTTTAAGAAAATAAGAAACAATCCCATGTGGAATATAGCTGGGTACCGCTTGGTAAACACGTGGTGGCTCTTAGAAAACTAAGCACCTTGCCCCTGCTCATTTCTTTCAAATAAGCATCACTACCCCACCCCCACTCTATTTTCAGACTATAGTAATTTGACAACTTTCTTTTCTTTCTCTTGTCCAGTATGCATAATATTTATTTTAGAAGTTATAGCCTAATTACTGTGGCAAGGCTAATACAATATTCTGTGTCAATAATGTGTACTACACTAAACAGAATCAATACGTTCATATTTTACAGCTTGGCTTCTTTCAACTATTTAGTACCTAAACCTATTGTTGAAAGTTAATTTTGATAATCCTTTGCACTTTCTATTCTCTTCTTCAATAGCTGTCATTTTACTCAACAGTCTGAGCATTCAATTTTTAAAAATAATTTTTAAATAATTTCTAGATGTAAAGGTATTTCTGGATGTATTTTTTCACTTAATAAGATACAAAATGTGTAAAACAACTAACTTTCCAAGTTTAGAAATACATTAAAACAGTGGTCCCCAACCTTTCTGGCACAGGGCAGGGTGGCGGTGGTAGTGGTTTTGTGATGCAACTGTTCCACCTCAGATCACCAGACATTAGCATTAGTTAAGGAGCACATAACCTAGATCCTCACATGCACAGTTCACAATAGGGTTCATGGTCCTATGAGACTCTGACACCACCACTGATCTGACAGGAGGCAGAGCTCAGGCTGTAACGCTTGCTTGGCTACTTGGCCACTGATCACCGCCAGCCATGTGGCTGGAGGGTTGCGGACTCCTGCATTGTAACACACTAACAGGACTGTGTGGCCCAGCAGCTAAAGGTCCAGACTTTGGGGTGAACTGATCTGAGATCAAATTTAAGCTCTACCATTTATTAAAATTATGTGACAAATTACTAAACTTCCCCAAACCTTTATTTTCTCCAAGTAACTTTTCTTTGGTAACTTACGTGACAAGTTACTAAACTTTCTCCGAGCCTTTGTTTTGTAATCAGAATGGTTGGGATGATGCTTATACCACAAGGTATCGTAAAGCTTATGTGAGAAAATGGAGTAACAGGCTCAATACAGTGTCTGGCACAGAGTAAGCAATCAAGAAAGGCAGTAGAGGTGGCTGGTACAGGCTAACAAGAAGAGCTGGGAGTTGGACCCAGAAAACGTGGTTCTATTCCTGACCCCACCATTAACTGAGAATGCAGCCTAAGTTTTCTCATGTGCAGAGTGAAAAGGCATAGGCTAGGTGGTGTCTAAGGACCCTGTTGGGACTGAAATTCTATGGATCTTTGCTAAATACCGATTATACTCTACCATATTGTACCATGCTTTTTCCTCCACCTGAGAGCTCTTCCATGGGCTCTTCACAAGGCCAGCTCCTCCAGTATTTGGGGTCTCAGTTCAATGTTGATATGATTTGGCTGTGTCCCCACCCAAATCTCATCTTGAATTGTAGCTCCCATAATTCCCACATGTTGTGGGAGGAACTCAGTGGGAGATAATTGAATCATAGGGGCAGTTTCCCCCATACTGTTTTCATGGGAGCAAATAAGTCTCACAAGATATGATGGTTTTATAAGGGGAAATCCCTTTTGCTTGGCTCTCATTCTCTCTCTCTCTTGCTTGCTGCCATGTAAGACATGCCTTTCGCCTTCCACCATGATTGTGAAGCCTCTTCAGCCATGTGGAACTGTGAGTCCATTAAGTCTCTTTTTCTTTATAATTTACCTAGTCTTGGGTATGTCTTTATCAGAAGTGTGAAAACGAACTAATACAAATGTCATCTCAGAGAGGGCTTCCTTGACCACTCTGTGTGAAATAACAATCTTCTGCTCCCTCTTCCCTACCTCCTCACCATCACCTACTCACTCTTCCTCACATCGCCCCCATTTTCTTCATAATGTTTATCACCTGCTCCCATTAGATTGTTAGCCTCATGAGCGCAGATATCTTTTCAGCTTAATCGCCATCTTATTGCTAATGCTAACAGCAGTCCCTGGCACATAGCAGTTGCTCAGTAAATATGTATTGAATGAGTAGGTATCACGCCCAGTTGTAAATCCAAGAGAAATGAGTGTACATATTCACAAAATATTTCCACGAGAATGTTCTTAGCACCCTTATTCAGAATAGCCCCAAACTGGAAATGACCAAAATGTCTATCAACAGGAGAATGAATAAGCAAACTATTTGGATTTTCAGTAATATTTAATGTCTTTTTTAAGTAGGCAAAGAACTGGAGCATTTTATTTGGCTGATATACATAGGAGATAATTACTGAGCTCCTGGACTTCAGTATGCATGCTTTCATATAGCAATGTCCATTTAAATCATAGACCTATGAGTTTTATGGAGCCTTGGCAGCATTTGGTCCAGCCCTCTCATCAATGTGAAATGACAACGACATTCCATTCCTAGAGTTATACAGCTATTGGCTGAAAAAAAGGTAAAAGCCCAGGCTTCCTGACTCACAATTCAGTGCTCTTTCTGCTGCATTCATCCCTCTGCCTATTCCATGAGGCAATGCAACTTAATGGAAAGAGACTGGGAATCAAACCTTGGTTCCGCCACTGACCAGCGGTGTGGCCTCCGTGTGACCTCACCCTCTCTTAACCTGCATATCTCCCTCTGTGTCATGGAGTGTAATAGTACCAACCTCAGAAATTTCCTGTGAGGTTAAGTGAGATACTGCGAGTCAGTGGCATAGTAGTCACTCAGTGAATATTACAATCATGATGGAAACCAAGTGTGCTATATCCTTTGGGAAAAAGCTCCACCTGGTGTGAAGTAAGATGGGAACTGAGCCACTGCCACTTCATGAAAGCCAGTAATATCTTCAGAAGACCAGAAAATTTCACACCGTTCTACTTGAAAGTTAAATGTATTTAAATATCAGTTTGCATTGGTCCTTTCAAAGAAAACTTCCCAGCTTCTTTTAAAAGTAAATAAGTATTTAAATAAGCCACTACATATTGTATTTTATGTTCTAACTAAAGAAGTTGGTTTACAAATCTTTCACAAAGTAATATATTCACATTTTAAAAGTCGTACTAGATTACCTATAGATACATGGCATTTTGAAAAGCTGTTAAAATCTCTAGTACATTTATTTTCTGTACAAAGGTGAATGGTCTGGTTTTCAACAAAACCATTGGAATTTTTATTTTATATTTTTATCAAGTTGAGCTTCAGTGTTTCAAAAACAAAGCTGTTTGGTTGAGATAAGTATGTGGAATTAGTAGGGGATGGGAAAACACTTTGAAAAAGCCACCCAAGGAAAACAGATATACATATACACATACACATAGTTGTCATCTAAAGCCGTAAGTAGAAATCAACAACACCTTCCCCGCAAAATACAAATGGTTTTTCATAAAATCATTTGATTCTGCAAATGGTCCCATTTCTTCATCTCTGCAAACTCTGGAGTTGTCTTTTGTTTTTACTAAACAAAATCTAAAGCTGACTGATATACAGAGCATTCTTTGATGTTAAAACATCAAAAAATGGCATTGTATTATTGTATGACTCTTTTGGAGCCTGCAATGGCGACAGGGGTGGGGGTCGGGGGGTGGAGGCGTGGGGGCAAGTATGGAAGAGCTGGAAGGAGAAAATCCCAGCACAGTTTTAAAGGGCATCACCAGACATGTGTGGTCCTATGAATGAGCCACATCAGTACATTAAGAGCTAAGTGCTTTTCTTGTCACAGGACAATTTGATGGTGGTGAAGGCTTTATATTTCCTCTGTTGTTTCTGAAAAGAAATGGGAAATATACTATTTAGATTCTGAGGCAACTAAAATAGAGGCATTTTGTGGCAGATGGGATTTTTATGAGTTGTTTGTCACCATATACCAGTCTTGTTAAGAAGCAATCGTTTTCTGCTTCATTACACTAAGATAGCTCTGTTTAGGGTTCCACTCAGCTGTGAAATGATTTTAAAACTTCTATAAGGAATAGAGATGGGTTTTTTTATATATATAATAAAAGACTGTTGACAAAAATATACTAAAACACACAAAAAAGTGGTCAAACACACTATTTCTGTGTCAGGGAAATAGAGATATGCTGAATCTCCTACTTATGCTTAATCTGCTCATTTATGCCAACAGAGAAAACTACATAACACTCTTATTTTCTTCACCTAAGAAAAGTAAGAGTTCCTTTTATGTTTTTACATAGTCTTCATGGCATATATCACATAAATAGAAAGGGGTGAGGACTTGAGTGAGGAGCAATTTCAACTTAAAGTATGTAAAAGGAAAAACAAATTTAGTAAATGTAAGAAATACACTACATTTTTTAATAGCTTTACATCCCTCAAAGCTAATCTACTTTTAGGTTGTATTCATATTTGACTATGTTTTAAAGGATCAGCATTGGGACCAGGAGGAGCATAAGCTTATTGTTTTAGAAATTATGAATTTATCATATCATCTTTCCTGGCTCTAATCCCTTGAATGTAATTTGGGGTCATCAGAAGACCTTGGATCACACTCTGACCCAGCCACTTTCTTATGTGACCTTAGGTATATTAATTAACCTTTCTGAGCCTCATTGTCTTCAGCTATTAAAAAAACAATTAATAACACAAACCTTGCAGCACTGGTTATTTATTGCCCCAATAATGCTGCATAACAAATAACCACCAAACCTCAGTGGCAGACAGCAATTCACATTTATTTAGCTCATGAGTTTGTGGGGTTCAGGTGATTGAGCTGAGCTCAATCAGGCTTAGTTGTACACATCTATGTGCCTGCAATGTGGCTGGCCTGCTCATGAGTCTGTGGTTGGCTCTGCCAGGGCTAGACTACCTGCTAGTTGATCTAAGATGGCCTCAGCTTGCACAATTGGGGCCATTTTGTCCTGCTTCGTATGTCTCCCAACCTCCAGCTGGCTAGCCTGGGCTTGTTCTAATGACATGGCAAAGATGCTGAAAGAGAACAAGCCCAGTGTCAAAGTCAAAATATAGAGACAAATCTCTAAATTTAAAACAGTTTATCTGGAAAGCAAGAAAATTATAATCTGGGGCATACACACAGACTTGGTAGTCTTCCATATGTCCAAAGAACAAAGAGGCAGTTGGAGGTTTTATAAAAAGGAGAAATATGAATTGTTTTGAAAGAAAGTTCATTGGCATTAGTAAAGTTTTAGGGAGCAGGCAAGCTCTGATTGGTGAGTGACAGCCATAGATAGAACTAGTCTTAGAGCAGCAGCAGGTTGTTTCAGTAACATTAGATAAAACCAGTTTCAGATTATAATAGGCAGTTTCAGCAGCCAGGCTTGCAGAAAATTACATTCTTGGATCAATGCTACATGCCCTGAGTGCTTTCTCTCCCTGGTCTCTTGCCCCTATTTTAATTGGGTATGACAAGAATGACCCAATTTGTCTGATTAACTTCCACACCAATCACACAATATTTTTTCATCCCTTGCTTGCATCACGTTTGCTTGCATTCACTTGGTCAAAGCAAGTCACAGAGCCCATATATAGTCAAGTGGAAGGGTGCTACACAGTTACATGACAAAGAGTTAAGAATCCTGCCATTAACACCAGCAACCTGCATGCTTGTTGCCTCTTGTAAAGACTGAGATATCTTGTGAACACTTATGAAGCCACTGATTTAACACCTCGCACCCAGTAGGTACTGAGTGTTAATTTCCTTCCCTCCCACATGTACCCGTCTCCTTAAGCCCCACCTCAATTAATCCCCTAAGATTTTAATTTGTCTGTTCAAAAGGCCAAATGAAAACAAAAGTAATATGAAGGACTTATAGTTTTCTCTCCTTTCCAGGGTATTCACTCTCAGGGAGACAAATCATGTGATGCTCCATCATTAAACATTTCATGAAAAGACTGGGGAAATGAGATACAATTTTTACACTGAACTACATGTTGATATTGCATTGTCTACTTTGGAATCCACTGAAGAAAAGTTTGACAAGCTTGAGAGCTGAACCTCTAAGTTAAGCCTGTTCTGTAGAGGCAGATATTCTTTATATACGCTGCTTCTTAAACATTTCCCCCAAATCCCAAAGCTTAAACTAGTAAAATCGGCTCTAAAACAAAGTCAAATATTGACAGAGGGAAAAGCACACCTATATTTTTCTTGGAAACAAATGAAGTTTGGCTAAATGGTTGTAGGATTCTGGAAAGGGCTTATTCAGAGGAGAGTGGAGCATGCTTTTTGTCTCAGAAGGTGGGAGCAAGCTCACCAAAGAAAAGACTGTAGACTCACTAGTCCTGGGTGCTGCTGTGGGAGCTTCCAAAGCCCCCCAAGAAGCTGGAGAAGACCATCTCTACCCATCCCACCCACACACACAACACTCCTGCTATTCCTTGGCTGGCCAGGTCCTTCCACCCTGGGAGTGAAATGTTTTGGCTGCAAATGCTTAGATCCATGGACTACAATAGCCCATAGAGGCAAGGATGAAGAGAAGGACCCAGCGCTTCCGAAGACGGGACACACCAAAGGCCACCCTCCCTTCTCACTCAACCCCTCTTCTAAACCTCTTTAAGGCCTCTTTTATAACATACTTGTAAATTCTGAATTTCACTTTGTAGAGCTGGTTGTTTTAATAATATAAATTTCTTTCCAATCTTTGAGAAAAACAGAATCACCAAGAAGAAGAAATAATAACTTTGCCTGTGCTTTCCCTGGGTGCCAGAATAAGCAGTAAACTCCAAAGCTAGAATAAAAGAACAAAAACTCGAGAAAAGTAAGATTAGTATTCCCAACAGATTATCAAGAAAAAGGAGCAAGAAAGAGTTTTTGGAGATGAAAAACAAGGTTGCCAAAATAAAAATATTTAATATGTATAGCATGGTCTGATTTTGTTACTTGTATGTGTGTACATATGTATCTATAATATGTAAATATACATACACACAACATATATGTGTATATGTTAGTTGTGTGTATATATGTATATAGTTGTGTGTATGTATATACACACATAGTAGATGTATGTATACATATAGTATATACACACATAGTAGATGTATGTATACATATAGTATATACGCACATAGTAGATGTATGTATACATATAGTATATACGCACATAGTAGATGTATGTATACATATAGTATATACGCACATAGTAGATGTATGTATACATATAGTATATACACACATAGTAGATGTATGTATACATATACTATATATACAACTAACATGTTAGTTGTATATATAGTATATGTATATATGTTAGTTGTATAAACATACATATATACAAGATACAACATGTTAGTTGTATATATATGTATGTATATATGTTAGTTGTATATATATACACACAGCAACTAACTAGTTGTGCATAACTAGTTGCGTGTATATATATATACACACACAACTGTTATATTAGTTGTATATATATGCACATATATGTGCAAATATACATATATGTACATATAGTTTGCACATGGACAGATCTAAAGTTTATAACCCAAACTATTGACAGAAAGTTACCTGTGAGAAGTGGAATAGGATTAGTGGTGTGAGAAGAGGGCAAAGGGGAGATTTTACTACTTAATGTAGTACTTAAGAACACAGGGTCTACAGCAAACCTGTCATTGTCCACATCCCTGAACTTGCAGCAAGTTACTTAATTTCTCTATGCTTCTATTTCCTTATCCATAAACATGAGACTATTCATACTACCTAGTTTATAGGACTGAGGTTGAAGTTTAAATGAGTTCATTTAAAGCACTCAACAGAGCTTAGTATATAAATGTTAGCCATAATTCTCAATATTGCTATCATTGTTTTAATGAAAATGTATACATATACACAGTAGATAGAATTATTGGCCCCAGTTCTTCACGCCTCCTTATTCTACTCCTTTTGCCATGCAACTAGGCTGCTCCTCCCACTTTTGCTATTCCCCACCCCTTGACTCTTGGCTCCTCTGTGATTTGCTTTGGCCAATGGAATCTTAACAGATGTGATGCAAGAAGACTTGAAACATGCTCGAGTTATTGCTTGCATGCTTCCGCCATAGCCATTAGATGAGCTGCCTCTTATGGACTGTTTATGTGCTCCCCAAATTCACATATTGAATTCCTACCCTTCAATGTGTTGGGGGTGGAGATGGGACCTCTAGGGGTAATTAAGGTTAGATAAGATCATGAGGGTAGGGCCCTGGTATGGTAAGATTAGTGCCCTTATAAGAAGAAACACCAGTGAGTTTGCTCTCTCTCTCCCTGAGTGCACACACTGAGGAAAGGCCCTATGTGAGCACACAGCAAGATGGTGGCCATCTGCAAGACAGGAAGACAGCCTTCACCAAAACCTGACCATGCTGGCAGCCTGATCTTGGACATCCAGCCTCCAGAATGGTGAGAAAATAAATTCTATTATTTAAGTCACCCAGTCTATGGTATTTTGTTATGGCAGCCTGAGCTAATACACTGCTCTTTAAGCCTAGACTCAAAAGTGAATACACATGGAGCATACCTGAGCTCAGTCTCGGTGAGGACCAAGGTGTAATTGGACCTGCAGTATGAAGCAGAGCTTCAGCCAAGCCAAGTCCAAACTGACCAATATGCAGTTAACCTGAACTCTTCCAAGAACACGAGAATAAAATGGGTATTATTGTATCTCACTATGTTTGAGGGTAGTTTGTTATGTAGTATTTTTAAATTATAGCTAACTGATATATTTTTCTGTGATTTTAAAAATAAAAGATTGTAGGCCAGGGGCAGTGGCTCATGCCTGTAATCCCAGCACTTTGGGAGGCCAAGGCAGGCGGATGACCTGAGGTCAGGAGTTCAAGACCGGCCTGGCCAACATGGCGAAACCCCATTTCTACTAAAAATACAAAAATAAGCCGAATGTAATGGCATGTGCCTGTAGTTCCAGCTGCTCAGGAGGTTGAGGCAGGAGAATCACTTGAAACTGGGAGGCAAAGGTTTCCGTAAGCTGAGATCATGCCACTGCACTCCAGCCTGGGCAACAGAGTGAGATTGTCTCAAAAAAAAAAAAAGATTGTAAGTGTGTATACTAAAATGCTTACCTTTAAATGGCAGGATTACAGTTTTTTCCTTTGCTTTTTGGGTTTATGTTTCCCAAGTATTTTATAATTAAAATTATAAGGAAATGTTATTTCAAAAGTAAAATATAAAAAGGTCAAGTGTTTGGGGAGCTAAAAATGTAAGGAGGAAGAGAAATAAAAACATAGTTAAAAAATCTGAGTTTTTAAGTGCATCATAGATAAAACCATTAAGATTCTTAAAAAATAAGTTCTCAGATTAATTTATACAGTCATTATATACCCTTGATTTCCTTATTTTCTTACACTTTATCTTCTTTCAGGCCATCTTTACTAGAGAGGGGACAAAGGAAAGACATCGTTTGTTTTACCCTTTTTTACTAATAGATTTAGAGAAAAGTTCAAATCAGGAGAAAATAGTATTTCCTTCCAGAGTGTCAGAGAGAAAGAGAGAGAAAGGAAGCTAGCTGACAGAGCCTGACTCCTCGTTTTTGGTTCTGTCGCAACAGCAGAAATCACACCTCTACAGAAACTGCAGGTTCTAAAACTTTGCTTAAACTCTTGGCCCAGCAGGGATTGCAGGATCATCTGAGGATGCCCTTTATCCAGATCATTATCACATAGAAGCAAGTTTGTACCAAGTTCATATGTGCAACTAGAGCTCCTCCTCACTCTCTGCAAGGTGCTCCTGAAAGTTCTGGGTAGTTACCATTGTTTAAAGCTAGCACATATTGCCATTGCTTTTGGTGTTTTAGTCATGAAGTCTTTGACCATGCCTACATCCTCAATGGTATTGCCTAAGTTTTCTTCTAGGGTTTTTATGGTTTTAGGTTTTACATTTAAGTCTTTAATCCATCTTAATTTTTGTATAAGGTGTAAGGAAGGACTCCAGTTTCTGTTTTCTGCATACGGCTAGCCAGTTTTCCCAGTATCATTTATTAAATAGAGAATCCTTTCCCCATTGCTTGTTTTTGTCAGGTTTGTCAAAGATCAGATGGTTGTAGATGTGTGGTGTTATTTCTGAGGCCTCTGTTCTGTTCCATTGGTCTATATATCTGTTTTGATACCAGTACCATGCTGTTTTGGTTACTGTAGCCTTGCAGTATAGTTTGAAGTCAGGTAGCGTAATGCCTCCAGCTTTGTTCTTTTGCTTAGGATTGTCTTGGCTATACAGGCTCTTTTTTGGTTGCATATGAAATTTAAAGTAGTTTCTTCTAGTTCTGTGAAGAAAGTCAGCGGTAGCTTGATGGGAATACTATGCAGCCATAAAAAAGAATGAGTTCATGTCCTTTGCAGGGACATGGATGAAGCTGATCATCCTCACAAACACACACAGGAACAGAAAACCAAACACCATATGTTCTCACTCATAAGTGGGAGTTGAACAATGAGAACACATGGACACAGGGAGGGGAACATCACACACTGGGTCCTGTCGTGGGGTGGAGAGCAAGCGGAGGGAGAGCACTGGGACAAATACCTAATGCATGTGGGGCTTAAAACCTAGATGACGGGCTGATAGGTGCAGCAAACCACCATGGCACATGTATACCTGTGTAACAAACCTGCACATTCAGCACATGTATCCCAGAACTTAAATAAAGTAAAATAAAATAAAATTAAAAAGCTAGCACATATGAAATATGCTAGGAGAGTTTGCATTTTAAATAATCATATGGTGAATCTTTTTATAAAGCAAGTTATTAATGCTTAATTTGTTTTGTAAAAATCGGATTTTGATATGTGACATGTTTAAAGTGGGATAAATCTACAGTTCTGCTTCATAAAGTGTGTTTCCTAGAAAAGTTCTGAGACTGCAAGTGTTAATACTCATGACTCCATGAGATATGCATCCTCATGCCTTGAATTAAGCAGGTGCATTTTTACATGTCTAAGGGCAGAGAGATGGTGGCCTGCTGTTTCCCTCCTTCAATCCCACTTTGCCTAGGGACTGTCAAGTACTTGTAGAAAACTACACAAACATTCCTGCTTCCCTGTGCCTTAGGCACCTGAAACCCAAATTCGACAACAGGGAATTAACCTCACTCCACTGGGACCCTTCCACCTCCTTTCTTGTTTTAAATCAGTTTCTTTACTACTCTTAAGTTTCTATTTCCAATTATTAAAGAAAACAAGCACCTTACCAAACCCAAATATCCTTTCATTAAAAAAAAAAAAACTTATGCCTACTCTTCACTAGGAACAAAGCACACATTTTGTAATGCTTGTTGGTTTGAGAATTAGGTACCTGGCTGAATTGCCAGAATATATTGTGTATATGTATACAGTATTCTTAAAATTAGAATACAATAATACTCACTTAACTCAAGAGCCCTAGTCAATATAATTCAATGTTTTAATTTACTGAGACAAACACATTTTAAAAGCTAACCTAAGCTAGATAGTCCAAAAGGGAGAAAATGTCACTAAAGAAAAAGAAACTGGCTGAGTGCAGTGGCTCACACCTGTAATCCCAGCACTTTGGGAGGCCAAGGCGGGTGGATCACTTGAGGTCAGGAGTTCAAAACCAGCCTGGCCAAAATGGTGAAACCTTGCCTCTAGTAAAAATAGGAAAAAAAAATAGCCAGATGTGGTGGTGCACACCTGTAATCCCAGCTACTCGGGAGGCTGAGGCACGAGAATTGCTTGGACTTGGGAGGTAGAGGTTGCAGTGAGCTGAGATCGCACGAATGCACTCCAGCCTGGGTGACACAGCGAGACTCCATCTCAAAAAAATAAAAGATAAAGAAAAAGAAACCAAGGCAGTAATGGAGAAAAGTAGACAAAGTGTTACATATTATAAAGGCAGAAGACAGCTCGTTCATGGTCCAGAAACCCCTTCTGTGCCCAGTGCCCAGTGCCTTAGGACCACCACTTCAGACATTTATGGCCATCTATTGGGTACTGCTTTGAGGGGGGAAATGTCATTAGGTCTCCTGTATTATGCGTACTGTGATTTTTTAAATGAAATTAGCTACAGCTAGTTTTTACATGAAAAAAAAATTAACCCAGAGTCAAATTGGCTTAAAACCTCTAACTAGTACCATAAGGCAACTGATGCCTTTGTGTGCTGACCTTGATTTTGAATGTTGCCCTTAAAAAATTCATTATGGGAAGGAAGGGACCTGAAGGAATTCCTTCCAGCATATTAATAGCTTTCACCAAGACAATTAGGTCATGGCTAAATCAAGTCAGAAGCATCTCCATCTCTAGAATATATTGAACTTTTAAAAGGATTTTGCAGTAGTAAGTTTTGTAAAACATCCTCAAATGTGAGTCCTGTCTCACCCTGAGAGACTGGGTTCTTTTGGACTTTGCAGAGAATTGGTAAGCCAGCATCCTCATGTAGCTCTGCTGAGCACTTCGTATGGGGAATGACATGGCCATGGGTGTTTCAGGAGATAATTCAAATAACAATGTAGAGATAATAAAGTTCTGAACTAGGGCATTATCCATGGGAATGGCACAGAGGGAATGAGTCAAGAAATCTTGAAGAGGGAAAATGAACATGGTTTCTTACTAACTGGATGCAAGAAGTAAGGGAGATAACAACAACATTTCAAGGTTGAGTTAATCAAGGAAAGGCAGGACCATGAAATTTAAGATACAGAACAAAGGAAAAGGAAGATCAGACTTGAGGAAGGAAATTAATTCCCTCTTGGGCATGATGAATTGGAAGGCCTTTTAGGACATACAACAAACAAATGGAAATTCAGATCTGAAGTTCAACAGAGAGAAATAAGTTCTGAAGAACAAGTTCTGGAAGCTATACACATGGTATCATAAAGTTCAACCCAGGAAGAAGAGGTGATCACCTGAGGGAAAGATAAAGGATGACAGCTTAGAACAGAAGTTTGGAAATGCCTAAATGGAATGAGCAGGAGGAGAGGACAAGTCATTCACTCATTCATTTATTCAACAAACATCTTCAATTAAGCAACCTCTCCCTTCTACATTATGCAAGAATTTGTTTGGTGGAGGAGAAGGGATTCCTAGTGGAAGTTTCCTGACTGGCTTTCACCACCCTCTCCCCCTAGCACAGCTCTCCTCTCTATTCCATCACTGGGGCTTGATTCTGATATATCTCATGCCTTTGGTTTCTCCATGCATCTGAATGGCCATTTCCAGATTAGCTGCCTGCTGTGCTTGCCTCTGCATCTCTGTATCTCCATCCATGCCTAGCTCCCTGCTCTTGTTCCTCACTCAACACCTGTGTTGACCCTGAAATGTACACAAGGCTGTAGGCAACTGTTAGCACATGTGTAATGTATACAAATCAGCTAGTTACATCTGTCAGAGGAGGTGTTCCTCCGCACCCAGCTGCAAGGAGGGTACAATAGAGAGCAGATAATGTTGGGATTAATCCTAGCATTAAAAATCCAGAGTGGCATTGTAGCCCAAGCTAAAGCAACTCCGAAAATACACTAGAAATAAGCAGCTTTGGAGAGTCATATTGCTCTGAAGACATATATAATTTTCTGAAGTAGAACCTCCTTTTTATGAGCTAAAGCATAAATTCCAATTTTTGCCAATTGTTCAGGATTATCAGGTCAGAATAACTAGTTTAAGTAAACATTCATAACATTTCCATTATTTTGTGTTTGAAGAGCTGTTCTGATTCAAATATATGCCCTATATCTTTGCAAAGCATTGTTTTTATTATTACCATACTTGTATTTTTACTACAAAAGTTCATTGTTGCTGATGTATGGTATTTTTCTTGCCATCAAATTATTTGCTACATCTATCTAATCCTTTTGCCCTGTGTATAATATTTCAATTTAGAAAAGAATATCAATATGCAGTTTCCTGTGCTGAGAATACTTTTATAGTGAAAAAATCTAATGGCATATTCAATCACCTTATTATTGTTATCAGTATATCTTTATACAATGGTAAATGTCAGAGAATGCTAAAGTTCTGAGGGAAAAAAAAGGGAGGTCATCCACAGGGGATACATATATAGTGATTATTACTGGGTTCATGTTTTCAGTTTAATCACTTCCTATGACCCATTCGCCCTGAGGATATGACTGTTGAAACAAAATTATTTCACTTACATTCCTGTTAATGGGAACTGTAATTCTAGTCAGCAGCTTTTTGTGTTACAAAAGACTACACCTCCTACCAATCATTCACAAGGTTTAGAAATGCCTTATAATTCAAATACAATTTCTCTTGTAAGGCAATGGAGCATGTGACCCTTTTATGATAAACTATAATTTTTGGGTGCATAATACAATTGCTCCATCATTTGGTGTTCCTGGAGGTAAAACAGAGCTTAATATTAAAATGTCCTGCTCTATGTATTCCATACAACATTACCCAGTAACACATCCCTTTGTTTTCTTGACAGTGATTTAAAAGTGTTACAAACCTCTGCTATAACCAAGGAAGAACATTTTAATAATCCCCTTAATCTCTCTGAAATCTCTCTAGCAGATTGTTCCTCAGAATTATTCTTCACCACAAGCCAAACTAAATAGGCCCCCCCAAAAGGAGTCTAGGTAATCTTCTATACCTCTTATTTCTCTATTTACTTTGCTCCTATAAAGTAAATGCAGTAGGATTAGCGCTAAGTAAAACAAGACATCTTTGGAGTGACTTTCCTGTTGTCCCAGCCAATCTGCCAGAAGTAGAACACCTTCCCATTAGTCATGCAACCAAGAGACAGACAGGATCCTGAGTCTCTAAATCCAAGACCATCTGTCTGTCATGACCATGGCCAGCCACTTCCTCCAGCACCATGGCAGTTCACCCACCCCGTGTTCTCCCAGAGATCCATGTAAGAAGACACTCCAGGAAAATGTGCTCTGGGTCCTGGTGCCTGAGTCTGCTTGCATCCCACCCCAGTGAAGTGAGTGGGAGCTAGCTATGAGGCTCAGGATCTCTCTTGCCTTTTGACACTGGTCTGGATGATGGCCAGCTTTTGTCCCTTCCCATCTGGGTCCCACTGTGGTCTTACTTCTTCCCAAGGGTGCCTCTAGGTAGGGGGTATTCCCAGCATCAGCCTCCCAAGATAGAAACAAGCAGAAATAAACATAAGCAAATGTCTTTAGCCAACTCACTGATCAAAGTAGGATCAAACTGTCCACTTCCTGCTTCTTTTCCTCACATGTCAGTCAATCCCCAAACCAACCTTCATCCTGACCACATATTGCTTGGCCCTCCAAGTTTCTGATAACCTGACATTGAGAAGTATTTTCCAACCCATCTTATCACAACTTACCTCACCATAACTGCTGCATGGAGGGAAAAATATGAGAGGGAGAAAAAGAAAGGAAGGAAGGAAGGAAGGAAGGATGGAAGGAAGGAAGGAAGGAAAAATAGGCAGGGAGGGAAGGAGGAGGGAAGGAAAGAAAGCAGACAGGCAGAAAGATATTGTTACTATTTCCAATTTCTCCATTCCTCCAATTAAAAGCTATATTTCTTACTTTCCATACCACCCATTTAGTGACTTTATTATTTGCCCTTTATCCTTATCTCCTCAACAGGACAAGTGAGGGGGCTGGAGAGAATGTTGACCTCCCACTAAAGATGGGAGTACATGACACAGACCCTCCTGTCCCAGCACCCTCGGATAAGATCAGCCCTCAACCCCCAAGCATCTTTCACTGGCTGAGATGGAGCTGTTTGGAGCTCCAACAGGAGCAGTCCCTTCTAGGTCCACAGTCTCCTTGCTCACATGAGAGGGAAACTAGGACAAATATGTTCAAAATCTTTAGCTGTTTTCCTTTTATCAAAAGAAGGGGGGAAACAAAAAAATTAAAAAGGAAAACATTTGAAATGAAAAGGGAAACACTGAACTCAAGGTATGCTAGTTTGGCCAAAGCCTATAAGTTTATTAAAATTATACTTCAGGTAGGCAGACTGCATTTCAGACCTAGAAGATTCCAGAAATCATTCACTCTCAGTTAAGTTTACTGAGAACTAAACTTAATGAGAGTCACTGGGGAGAAAAGAGAAGGAATCAGATACCCACTCTCTGAGTCAGGGTTCAACCAAGCAAGCAGAACCAGTAGGGGTGTGTGTGTGTGTGTGTGTGTGTGTGTGTGTGTGTGTGTGTGTGTGTGTGTGTGTGCATGTATATGTATTTGTTACAAGGAATTGGTTTACCCCATCATGAGGGTGGTTAAACAAGTCTAAAGTTTATAAAAGTTCATAGGCTAGACATTTAGAGAAGAAATGAGAAAGCAGTTACCCATGGGCACAGGCTAAAGCTCCTTCCACAGGCAGTTGGGAAGGAAAGATCATAAGTAGGTTGGAACTCCACAGGCACGGCTGAGGCTTATTGGCCATCAGGTAGGGAAAGTAATAAGCAGACTAGAACCCCATGATTCAGAGTAGGGGGAGATGAATTGTGGACCCAGCAGCCATTTGCAGTCTCTAAGCACAAGGGATGGCTTCTTTGACAGGGCTCACCTAATTAGGTCACCCAGGATAATCTCTTGATTAATTTAAAGTCAACTGATTAGAGGCTTTAATGTGCAAAATCCCTTCATGGTGGCACCTAAATTAGTGTTTGATTGAATAACTAGGGACTATAATTCAGCCTCACCAAGTTGACATATGAAAAAGCCATCATACCCATTGTCCCCTAGAAGTAGTTAGGGAACGCTGTTAGTACACTAACATTTATTCTGCTGTAAACAAAGCCCTATGCTGCGCACTAGACAAAAGCTAACTTATTGCATAGAAACCTACAGAATGTAATAACAAGCAGTAGCAAGAGCAAAAATACCCTCCCTGAAACAAACAAATTAATGACAAGGAGGGACGAATTTAAAACTACGATAAAAACAGACTTTTAAAATTATGTTAGAAACCAGTGCAAAAAAAAAAACCCTGGAATCTGTTTTTTTAATTAAAAAAAGGAAAAGGAAAAGATATTCACATTAGAATAGTATCAAAATTATGTTAATGTTGTTGTGTAATAGTACCTTCAGAGTACAGACTGGGACTTAGCTGATTTTTTTAACGAAGATTTCTCGACTTATAAAAATTTATAAATATATAAATATGTTAAAGGAGAAAGTATACTTAGTTCCTGAAAGAAGCCACTCTAATGCCAGACTATAAAAATTAAATTTCACCCTCAATAGAATTGTATGTTATAAAGGCAATATATCTATCATTGTTGTTTAAGTTGCTTGAGTTGCTCAACAGAATTTAAAAAATGCAAAAATACACTACAGAAAAGACATGAGTAAAAAAGTCATGAAGATTTTGTATATATTTATAGTGAGAATGGTCATACTCTTATAAATGCTGAACCCTCTATGTTTAGTAGCATAACCTGCATAAAGCTGGACTTCCTGGAATCCAGACTCAGCACATAATGCATCCAAAGTCTCACTATCAGCAACTCTTCATCATCCTCTTCCCCTCCCCATATTTCTCCTCCCTTCCTGCATCTCTGCCCTTGAATCTCCTTGTCCACTCTTCTCCTCCCTCATCTTTTCTAACTTAGAGTAATCTGCCCTGTTTGCAACTTGGCTGCTACCATTCGCCTCCCCGCCCCTCATTCGGCACAACCGAGGCCCAGTTTCCAGGCCAAGAGAACAAAAAAGTCCCTCCTCCATGGATGGCAAGGGGAAGGCACAATTGCAAATACTCATTACGTAAAATAATTTATCCTGACAGAGCAGTAAATCTCCAGTGTATTTGCAAGTAATGAATCAGAACCAGTTCTTTCATTTCTTAAATGCAAAACAAGTCAGAAAAAAAGATAAATATACTCATCCCAGGTGTCACACTTAAATCCAAAAAATATGCTCTATTGCCAAACTGCTCTTAAGATTTTTATTTCTCTGGATAAAAGGCAAGGTATTTGGGGCCAGAAAAAATAAAGGTTTATTTTTATTTGATTATTTTTAAAGTAATAGAAATGAAATATTATAGTGGGGGATGGTCTTGAGAGAGAAAATAAATACAGAGTTGATGCCTGGCATTATTTGCCTCTGAGATAAAAGCCAGATTTGTTACAGCTGACTCTCAGTTATTCCAGGAGCTGACTGGGAAATGTGTGAACTAACTGGAATCTGTTTCCTGTTGTAGCTCCCACTGCCAAGCTGTGACCACTGCACTGCAGGTCAGGACCTCTGTGGGAGGGTGAACGGGGACTAGGGAAGACGGCACTCAAGTCAGTTGACTGCTTACCTGTTACTAAAAATCTTAGTGTGAGATACTGAGATAAATTATTGAAATTAGAGGTATAGGTCTGGGGATCATTTTAATTACCTCTGCTATTCCTGTCCCTCGGTATTTTTCATATTCAAGAGTGGGCCTCATATTCAGGCATGCAAATTTAATCATCCAAATTCATTGTTCAGGCTGAATTAACTGAAAAAATATATATGGTAATAACACAAGTTAATATTTTGGGTCATAATTTCAACATCATAAGTCAAACGAATAAGGCTTAAAAGTTTTTTTAATTTTTTATTTTTGGAAGGATCAAGATGATCCATTCTACTTATTCACCCCAGGTTTTCTCTCGAGATTTGTATTTCTAAGGGTGAAATGCAAAATTTCCCTGTTTATTAAAAAATTTGTAGTTAAAATTCTCAATATCTTTAATGCCTGCCTTTATTCAAGCACAAAATATATCCATAGTAATAAAATACAAGAATGAAATAAAAAGTCCTGAGAACTCAATTTACAAAACATAAAATGGAGAATAAAAATAGAAATGGTGATATGTTTGCATGCAAAAAAAAAAAAAGTTGGTGTCAGAGACACACAATGCTTAGCACTTTCCCTATTGACCCTATCAGTATGTGCCCACGTCGTATGTCTCCCATGCATTCATTTATTCAAGAAATAAGCATTTCTTGAACATCAACTCTATCCAAAGCCGGGCACTTCGCTAGGCACTGAGGATACAGATATGAAATAAGACATTGATATGGTTTGGATTTGCATCCTCACCCAAATCTCATGTTGAAGTGTAATTCCCAATGTTGGGGGAGGGACCTGGTGGGAAGTGATTGGATCATGGGAGTGGATTTCCCCCTTGCTATTCTTGTGATAGTGAGTTCTCACGAGATGTTGTTTAAAAGTGTGCAGCACTTCCCCCTTCAGTCTCTTCCTCCTGCTCCTGTTATGTAAGACAGCGTGCTGGCTTCCCCTTCTTCTGCCATGATTGTAAGTTTCCTGAAGCATCCCCAAACATGCTTCCTATACAGCCTGTGGAACTGTGAGTCAATTAAGCCTCTTTTCTTCACAAATTACCCAGTCTCAGGTGTGTCTTCATAGCAGTGTGAGAACAGACTAATACAGACATGATCTCTAGTGAGAGTGTGAGAGGCCACAGAAGGCAATAAGTGATAGCAGTGATGGTTTTCAGTAGCATGATGATAGAAGCTGATTAAGGAAGATTCCCAGCTACCTCAGTACACAGTGCCTTGTTGAGTTAAAGAAATGGGGCCACCAGGCATGGTGGCTCATGCCTGTAATCCCAGCACTTTGGGAGGCCGAGGTGGGCGGATCACGAGGTCAGGAGAGCAAGACCACTCTAGCTAACACGGTGAAACCCCATCTCTACTAAAAATACAAAAAATTAGCCGGGCGTGGTGGCGAGCACCTGTAGTCCCAGCTACTCGGGAGTCTGAGGCAGGAGAATGGTGTGAACCCAGGAGGCAGAGCTTGCAGTGAGCTGAGATCATGCCACTGCACTCCACTCCAGCCTGGGCGACAGAGCGAGACTCTGTCTCAAAAAAAAAAAAAGGAAATAGGGCAAATGTGTCCACAGCTAATGCCCTGCATGTGTGTAGAGTCTAGGCTTCCATGCAAGGCTGAAGCAAATGATTAGCCTTGCCTGTAAAGAAGCTAAAGGGAGACTATAAAACAGCTGCAAGAGACCTGCCTCAGACTTCTGCTTCTAAGAATGGCAGACTAGGGAATTTTGACCAGTTCTCCTAACTTTGTCTTTTCTACAAAGTCTACCCACAAACCCGTTTGCTCTCGGTTACACTAGACTACACCAGGAGCAGGAAGTATATCCAGGGTCTTCCGCCATCTGGTGGTGCTTTTCACTGCACAGTGCTGGATAATCTGCCAGATTTATCCAACAGACCTGGCACCTGGTTGATAAGGCACTGAGCCTAAGCATCTAAGTGGCCTTATTTTGACACCTCACCCCATAGTCCGCCCAATACCATTGCCTCCTCCTCTTCAGTCATTAATTCATGTCTTCATTCAATAAACATTTATTGAGCACTCAGTATGTGCCAAGTACCATGCCAGTGCTGGGGATATAAAGGTAAACAAAGCTGAGACAGTACATGTCCTCATGGTGCCTTCAGTTAGGCGGACAGGTTCTAGAACTCCATCCTCAATCCTAAGTCATTTGGCTCAACACTGAAATCAAATCATCTGACCCAACTCTGATCATGTTCTTGCCAGCATTCTGCCCTAGAAAGTGGGAATGAATGGATCCTATCCAAACTTGCTCCCTTATACAGTTGGGCCAGGCAATAATATAAAGCTAAGGGAGGAAAGAGAAAAAAAGGGGTCATGTTTAATTTTAGCCATGGGCAATGCTATATCACCAAGCCAAGAAAATAATCTGAAAACAAATCCAAATGTACATGGAATCCATGAGCCAAGTGGTTCACGCAAAAGCTAGGTCACCAAAACTGAGAAGAGTTTCCAATGACAAGTCAGGTGACACCAGGCCAAAATCAAGAGTTAAGTCTAGCATCCAAGTGGCAGAGGAGAAGAAAGGGCTCTAAACCAGTGTAGTTGGAAAGCCAGGCCCTACCCCTACCAGCTATGTGAGTTTGATCACATTTCTTAACCTCCCTGTACCTCAGCCTCCCCATCTATAAAATGGAAACAATAATAGTACTACTCTCATGAGGCCATTCTAAGTTTTCAGTGACTTAATGCATCAAAATTTTGGTGACTAGAACACTGTAAGTACCTTAATAAATGTAGCTCTTACAATTACGCTCCCTGAAGAGGTCAGAGAAACTTCCCCACCCCCTCCCACCCCCCACCACCACCCCCTCCCCCAAAAGGAAAACCTTTATTTTTATGTTTAGGTTTGATGAATGAATAGCCATGCAGAAATGTGATTGGACACAAAGGATCTGGCCTAACAGTGACAGACGGAGTGAGGAATCCCAGCAAGGCTGTTCTGTACAATTCCCCTTCCCCTGGGTATGGGGCAGGACCCCTCGGGAATGAAGGTCTTCCAGGGAGAAGGGAGAGAGTGACCTTGCTATGTTTTATGGCTGGCTTTGGGAGAGAGGAGTTCTAGTTTCTATGACCTGCCTTGGGGAAAAATAATTCTGGTTTCTGTGACTCACTCTGGGGGAGTAAAAGGGGCAGGAACCAGGAGGGAAGGACAAAACCTGGCTACTAAGGCCTTCCAGTCTCCTCTGGGTCAGAGTAGTCTGCATGCCAAGATGCCATACTTTGGGGTTTAATGAGCCCTGACAGCAGGTCCTTGCAGATTTCACAGGCAACTTGTGATCCAAGTAATTGGCTTTCAGTCCCCCAATTTCAGAGGACTTTAGCAAAGCCTGGTTGAAATGGCCAAGTTGTTAGAAGAACCTCTTCGAAGTTGAAATTCATCGAGTTCTTCAGCTGAGGGCGTAAGAATCCCAGATGTAAGGTTAGCAAGAGTTAGGAGTTCTGGAGTCTTCCCTACATGCCCTGGCTCTTGAACATCAACTGACCAGAAGCTCACAGTATCTGATCCTCCTGTGGCTCAGCAGGGATGTGTTTTAGAGCAGCATGTTCAGAATGAAACCAGCACACTTAGTTGAGCCTCGAGGGCCTTTTGAAGTCATGAGTGGCCCACGGTGGCCTCATGGGAACACAGGTGCTACAGCACCTTATGTCTTCAGGACTAGGTGGGGGGAAACTTCCACCCTGAAAACATCCTCCTTCTGTCTAGGCCAGCCTGCCCCATGGCCAAGGGCAGTGAGAACCCTAGCCACCCCTTGGGTTGCACCCCTGCTGGTGCTAGAATTTTGCCCTTCTTGGGCAGAAAAGCTCAACATTTGGCTCAGGGCATAACTGGAAAGAAATACCCCCCATGTTTTTTGCTGTGGGGCATGAAAATGCAGGGAGGCGGGAGCCTGAGGTGTCTGCGGCCACCCAGCTGGAAACGGATGGGATGCGCTTCTCAGATTGCTTTGAGGAACGTTCCTTTAGTTGGGAGGGAGTGCCTTTCCTGAAGAAGTCCTTGGGCAGAACATGCTCATCCTGAACGAGTCCTAAGACGTACAGGTTTCCCAAGACCCAGAGAAGACAGCAAGCCTGTCTTCCAAGCCGGCACTGGTGGCAGATGGGTTCTGGGCAGGTGGAGCCGACATGGCCTCGAGCCCGCAGCCACACTGGTCAGAAAAACTTTCTAAGAAGGCTTCTTGAGCTCAGTTTTGAGGGACATTTATCTTCTGTTCCACAAACTGCATACTGCATTCATATTCATGGGGAAACAATTAGGGTATAATAGGTTCTCTTGTTAAGTGACATGGCTGATGGGTAGTCGGAATCTTCAGGCAAAATGATAAAGAGGTCTTTGATAAAATGTGAAATATTACTAATGTTCATAGAGGGTGTTCTGCAGTGGGGAGGTCTATGCAAACCTACCCCCAAAAGTCTGAGGAAGCTGAGGGGCCAAAGAAAGAGGCTGACAAATTCAGTTTTTTTGTTTTTTAGGGGTTTTTCTGTAATTATTTTATTTCTTCCATGATGATTTAGTCCCAAGAGGGACTATCTTCAAACCAGTATAAATATTTCATAAATAATATCTGGCCATTTTCTAACCAATTGAGTAATTTGTTGCACAATAAGCCACCTCACATCTTTCAGTGAGAAAAACATTAAATTTGAATGGTAAAGACATTAATGAATTAGAACACAATTAAAATTTGCTTTAAATATTTATTTGGGGGATGGAACACCACACTTCTACTTAATGAAGAGAAACGTTTTTGCAGTCCAGAGGTCTTCTATTATTATTATTTTTTACACCTACTATGTCATGAATTCATAAGGAATAGGTTCCAGCAGCTCAGGCTCCTTCCCACTGGTTCTTTCAGAATGCATTTCTCTAGGTAGAACACGCTGGTGCTTTGGTTGAACCCAGGTACCTTTCTCTTTGGCTTCCTTCTTTTTCTGATCATTTTCCTTCATGCATTTCAGGAAGGTATCTCATTTCTTAGAGTGCTTAATGTGCTTAATATGCACATTAATTCTCTTCACAAGAATCTTGCCCTTACTTGTTTTTTATACAACAATGCCAACAGCATGCTGGGTAGCACTATAGAGTGTTCCGGTTTTGCCATGGCAGCATTAGTGGGGCATTCCTTTTTGAACAGTACCCATTCCCTTATGTCTACAATATCGTCTTTCTTAGAAATTCACATATACGTGGCCAAACAAACAACTCCACGTTTCTAAACAACTCCATGTTATACAGAACATATACAGATGCCTTTTCTCTTTTCCTTTGTGTTCGTCATTTTGGTGAATTACTGGAAGATGACCATTCCGGCCTCCAGTTTCTTAGGAAGAAACATTTAATAGGGATTTATGAACAGAGGCCATGTCTGGTCTCAGGCAGCTACAAGACAAGATGATGGATCCCCCCAACTACCCCCTAGACCCAGGGATTATAGACCACAGGGAAAAGAATGACCCAGAAGGGATTTATAGGGCAATTGAAGTATGATAATGATAACGTCAAGATTATTTTACCTAAGGGAAGGATTTACAGTACCTGCTCTTACACAAGGAACAGTAGACAAACTGGAAGCTTTAAAGGCCTTCCCGGAACAAGAATTAGTCAGAAGCCAACATGGTGGACAGATTAGCTTCCAAGATGGAGTTGCTTTGGCCTCCACAGTGGACAACACGGAAGAGAATATTGAAAAATAGGGAAGTTAGGGACAATGTGAAAGGTTTACGATGAGAAGTAGCCCTAAGGGAGCAAAACAGAGGAGCCCATAATGGGAAGCCCAACTGAAATCTCACCTGAGAGACCCAGCTTTAGCCCTACTGGAATGGAATTGCTAATGGCTGATCTTTCTGAAGAGAACTTTTATTTTTAGTTGCCCAACACTTACGGGGATTGATCTATTTTAAAAATCAAATAAGGCCAAGTTGTACCTCAATCTTTTTGCTTGGTCCACTCTCCTATTTCTTGCTTCATTCAACTCCATGAAGTCTTTCCTCCATAAAGAATTTTCGAGCACTTTAGTCTGTCCTACAAGTCCCTGGCTTCTGTTTCCCCCTCAGTGACCTGCTTATGGATCTTGTTATGAATCCAATTCTGTGGCTCACAAACAAAATCTCCTCAGAAATGTCCTGTGAAGCAGTCTCAATGGGGCTGCCTGGGACTTGAGAGCTTTCATTTCCTCCCCCATGGAGCTCTGCATGATCATGCACAGAGAACAGAATGGGGAGGATGGGAGGGAGGGGAAGGAGGTTACATTTAGCTGTCAGAGCTTATGTTTGGCAGTTTGCACTCCTAGCTACAATTCCTCAGCTCTTTTCTGGGGTTATGAAATAAATTTTGACCTCACATCTTAATTGGCATATAAACATAAATTTACTAGAAAATAAGGCATGTTTTAAGGGGCAGCTGAATTTTTACCTTATTCATGATACCTATTTACATTATTTAAGGTGATTCAGTTCAATTGCGGTTTTGCAAATAGATGGAATCATTTCCGGAAAAGTAATAATAACAAATCAATGTCTTATTTCAGTATTATAAAAGCATAAGCTCTTTTTAAATGACTACAGTTGCATGTCAGAAAATCTAAACAAATGTGTAGTTAAAAATGATTGTTATACCTTAGGGACTTAGTTTATACAAGACAGATTAGCAAGATATGAGCCTCATTATGCATGAAGTCATTTGTTTTTCCATGAATACAGCATAGCACAAGTTCTGGGGTTGCAATTCATAAAGACAATGAACGTGAAGACTGAGTACTGTTACGACATTAATCTTCATGAATATGGAAAGAAGTGAATTATTATCTTTTTCTTTATGAGGTGAAGAGAACTGTCACAATAAATTTGAATCTTGGTGTATATTGGAATGTGAGAGCTGGAAGAGCCTCAGAGAATTAGTCTAACCCCTTCTAATTACCAAAAGGCAATTGAGAATCAACATTTTCAAGGGACTCATTCCCCTTTATGTGGTGAGTTAATGGCAAAGATGGTACAGACCTCCAGGCTCCCAAAATTAGGACCTTTTCACTTACCCACAAAAGGGGCAAATTTTCCCCTAATTCCAATTTTTTTAAACATTCAAGAGTCTTTCTTTTATCTGATTGTTTTTTTAAATGCACTTAACAAGAGCTCCTAAACGACGTATAAATATCCAGTTAATCAATTTTTGAGCACTTATTATGGCCTAATCCATTTCTTGGTATTTATCTACTTTTTGTTTATATGCATACTATGTGAATTCCACTATTAATAAGTTCTTGGCTCTGTTAACATTGTCTATAGTTATAAATCTGAGCATTTCTATGTAGGTGTTTAGTGTTATGACCTTACAATGAAAGCTTCCAGGCTACTCACCATTGGCTGTGTCCTCATGTATTTAATGCCTGTGTTTAAAAGTTCCACTGAAAATCCATTGGCATTCCATTGCATGTAAGGAATTGCAATCTCTGAGGTTGTTAGAGCCCTTTTTGGAGAAGCAATACTCCTTAACAAAGAAATAGGAAATATTTTAACAAATTAAAGCAAACAGTCATTTCAAAATTCCTTATGTTGAAATAGAGTTCTCTATCAATAGAACAATTACTAGTTATAAACATGCGTTCTACTAATTGTTGCCAGACATATTAACTCATTAAAAGTATATACTTGTATAAAGGCATTTGGAAACTAGAATTGAAATCAAAAGACTTTAATGTTAAGCATTGGTTTCCTTGACAGGGAATAGAGTGAAGGAAGGCTCCCAAGTCCAACCTCACCACCTACTGCTTATACAACTTTGAGCCCATGTCTTAACCCCTAAAGCTCAGTTTCCTCCTCATTGGTAAAAGGGGATATAATTTCTATCTCAAGAGTGGTTGTAAGAATTAAACCAGATAAAATATACGAAGCACCAAGTAGAGTGCCACAACCATAACTGGTACTCAGTAAATGTTAGTGTATTACCTCTTCACACATCCCAACCTTCACTGCCCCTAATCTCTCTGCCTTGGCTCCTAATCTGAATAATCTGCATTACAAGAAAACTGGAAGAATTAATTATAGGATAATGCAAGAAAATATTGGGAGCATCTGATTCATTGCAAAAATCCTTCCATAGGAAAAAGGATTGCTGAAATAAAACTACATAGCAAAAAGATCTCCTTCCAAGACTTAAGACAAGTGGGAGAGGCACAGGTAATAGAATTCATTGGTAACTGTGCAAGAAGTAGCAAAGAGAACTTCTGGGAGATGGGGGAGGGTCTTGCGACTTAGGCTCTGAGTGAACAAAAGTGTCTTGCACTGAGGTAAGCAAGGAAGAGGATAGGATGAGTAGAGGATGTAAGGAAGGATGGCAACAGGTTCAGCTTTGGATGGTAACAGGTTGAATTTTAGACACGTTGGGTTTGGACTTTGTGATTCTCTTCATTTTGGTGGTGGTTTTGTTTTCATTTTGAGACAGGGTCTTACTCTGTCGGCCAGGCTGGAGTGCAGTGGCGTGATCATGACTCACTGCAGCCTCAACCTCCCTGAGCTCAGCTGATCTTCCCACCTCAGCTTCTAGAGTAGCCGGCAGTACAGGTGTGCATCAACAGGCTTGGCTAATTTTTGTGTTTGTTGTACAGACAGGGTTTCGCCATGTTGCCCAGGCTGGTCTCAAACCACTGGGCTCAAGCGATCTGCTCACCTCAGCCTCCCAAAGTTCTGGGATTACAGGGGTGAGCCACACCACCCCCAGCCTGGACTTTGTGATTCTCTAATCATCTCCCCATCTCTTCCCCCTCCAATTAGACAGTGGCTTCTAAACAAATGCTTCAAGCATGTGTGCTCCTTTAAAATGACTTAATTTTCAAGAAACCCCTTTTATAAAGCAAAGAATTGTTTGATAAAGCAACTCTTTAACATAGCTATTTTGTGAATTCCAATTTCAATGTATCTGATTTTCAAGGAAAGCACATCTGCACATATGTTCATGATGATTATTAGAATAGATTTTCTAACTCATTGCTTGGGGAATGATGACTACCAACTCTGAAACTTATTTGAGTTGTACATCACGACTTCTATTTAATCCCATGTATCATTTCAAAGTTAAGTTGTGGTCTTTGTTCAAAAAGAAACAATTTGGTCTTTAGCAGCACTTTTGGAAATTGCATATGAGTTTCTTGAAAATTATCATATTGAACAATACCACTTTTAATTTTGGCCAAAAGCTTTTAAGAACTTTTTCCTCTCCTCCCTGCACCCTATGCCACCCCCAACCCCTATCCCCACACACACACACCAAATTTTAAGATATTTGAAAGATCTAGTGCTTCTTACTTTGGAAGTACCACCCCCATAATATATCAAATGTATTAAAATAATTTATGAAATTATTTATAATTTTACAAGTTGAATTGCAGTAGACTGATATAATTTTATATTTTAAAGATATTTAAATTAAATATCAATTAATCTCAATTTTTCAGGATATTGTTGTTTTAATTTTGGAGCCAACAAAGGAATTTAAATTTTTAAACGTTTTTTTCTAGGCTCTTGAAAAGCTTATTTAAGCTTTAGACCCTTGAAAAGTACTTGTTCATTAAGTACTTTTTCTGTCATTGCCAATGAATAAAATAGTCCCAATAATAAATCTCCACTCAAAGAAAAAAATAAGACATTAGTGCTTTAAGAATATTTTTGCTGGTTTTTCCCCCTCACAATATAAAGCATTTATATCATTTTAAATATTTCTTATCATGTGTTCTTTTTTCCTCCTGCAATAGTTAGAACGGAACCAAGATGTTTGGGAATTACCGATTAGCTAGCTTGTCCTGGCAGTGAGGGTGTCACCTCTTTTCCTGCCATGGGGTTTACTACGTACTCAGGCATGGTCTGAAATAAGGGTACCCCTGGCCAGTCTTATGCACCTGTGTCCTCTTATAAGACTTTCAGAAAGCTCATTAGGGCCATCCAGATGGTCCAACCAAGACCTAAGATAGATCTTAGTCATCCATGGACTTTGCTCCAATTTCTATACATTTTGGAATGTATTAACAGGAAAGACATTACCAAAAGCAAAATGTGACTATTTAAAATACTTATTTCACCAAATTGTCAAATATGAAACATAAAATATATAAATATGCCTTAGTTATTTGCCTTGACAGCAAACTACTAAGTTTCTCGAAGTTTATAATGAATTTCAGAAGATCTCCTTCGCTAGTTTCTCCCGGCTAAAAAGCCAAAGGCAAGAAGAACCATCAGTTGTTCCCTCTGTTTCTCCTTCTTCACCCAGTGCAACCACTCTGCTAATCTAAGTAACACCTGGAAAAAAAGAGAGCAGAAGGAAAGAAAAGGCATGGGATAAATGGAAGCGGATTTAATGCTGCATGAGAAGGAGCCCTTCCCTACACAGCACATGTCCAAATCTACATCCTTCTTTATGGAGGCAACTTGAATTAAGACAGAAAGAAGCAAAAGCCTATTTAGCCAATAATTTGACAATATTCTCTGGACACCCTTTTCCTCAAATTTGAATAGCCACTTTCTTTTGACAATGAAAGAAATGTACCCCTTATAATATTAATTTCTTGAATAGCAAAGTTGTGTTGAATTTAATGTGTTCACTTAAGATCTGCTTTTTATTCCACAGACAGTATTAGATAATTAATTTAAAAAACTGTAGCACACAATAATTGCAATTTATTGATGGTGTTAATTATTTCTTTACAAAATTTTATCATTTTGTGTGCATTTTTAAAGACTTAACAACTTACATGTGGAAGAAGGGAAATTATTTTAAAGCAAAGCTAGTTATTTATTTTGACAAAAGATAAAAAATCAAAGAGGGATTTTTTCTTTTTTTTAATTTTGTTATTGTTCTTCTTAATTTTTTTGGGCCAAAGGCAGGAATTTTTTTTCTTATCTATGAATAGAAATTCTGTGCAATGTTATAGCTAACAAATAGAGTGTTGGCTTTTTCCCCCTTTCCACTTTTGCAACGTGCTTTTGGAACTGCCTTTTATGTATTCTAAATATGGAAGTCTGCGTTACATTTGGGGAAACATACATATACTGAAAATATATTCTCCCAAATGGGCCTAGGTATTTCAGTTGCCAGAAATCTATTTCACACACGTTAGTCTAGCATCAGTCTAACTGTGATGCCTGTAAAAAGAATAAGTTGAAATTGGAGAATTCAGCAATAACTGCCCAATAAAAAAGATTGATTTTATACCAGAAATAAAGTTAACCTGATTTTTAATTAAAGGCAAAAGATACATGGAGATGACCAAGAATACTTACACATCTTGAGATGCTTTTCCATTTTCTCTCTTCACTCCCCCGCCCCAATCATATTATTTGCACACTGTAAAATAATTAGCTTTAGTGGCAAGGCTGGCAGGCCCTGAAACTGACATCTCCAATCTTCTTACCAATTCAATCTCTAAGGACAAAAATGTAGGATGTAAAATATATATACATATGGAAAGAGGAAAGGATTACATATTTGAAATGAGACTTTGTAAAGTAACAAAAGCTAAGTGTGATCTCTTTGTATAAACTTGACCCAGAGCCCCCAGCTTCTAACTTAATTCCTTCCTCTTTATTCCCCCCAACACTTAACATGGTGCCCTGCAAAGTAGAAGCACCTGATAATTCGTGTGTGTGTGAATAGATGATTATGTGAAATTTCCCATAAGAGCGTTATCCTTTCCCCAGGATACTATCACAGAAACATTCTTTTTCCAAGGGGTGAGAGTGGAATAACTAGTATAACCAAGAAACATGATGAACAGGGACCCCTCAAGAATCTCATTTATTCCACTCAGAGGCAACAAATTAAAATAGGATATTTTAGTATTCTTCCTAACTTAAGAATAATGGCACAGTTTGTAACTGGGAGAAACTCCCAGTTAGCAGATGATGTTGCTCATCTTCCCAGCTACACCCAAAATGACTGATGATCACCCAAAAGGAACTTGCATGCTAATAATTATTAACTCTATGGGTGCCTCAAAAGCTTTCCACCAAGATTGTTACCTTGGTTAATGAAGTTTCCTTGCAAATAAGAGGTTTTAATCTCCAGCAAAGTAGTCATAGAATTACAGAAAAATTTCTTTATCATGAGGCTTAAACACTTTTTTCTTTCAAAATAAGCTTAACTTTCAAGGAAAAAAGGACATTTAAATAGAAGGGAGGAAATCTTTTCCAAACACAGTTTTTCGGTTTTCACAGTGAAATAACTGAAACTAAAGCTCCACTTGATTTAAAAGTAAGTAGAATCCTAAATCTGAGCCATGCCTATTGCAACGTGCAATCGGTTTATTCTCCAGAGAATGCCCTCGTGAGGAGATTGGGAGGTCTCTTATTTGTCAGTCAGGATGAAAGACAAATCACCAAGGTGTCACTTAGAAAAACATATTCATGCTTCTCCAATGCCTTCTAAAAGTCCCCTGTCAGGAAAACTACACACATTCTAGCCTTGTTCATTTTATCTCCTTAAACATCACATATCATTAATCATCTCAGTCTGTCAAGACAAAGAGCTAAAAAACACTTATATTCCAAAATCTCTCAAATATCAAATAGGTCTCAAACACAAAATACACTCTGGCTACCAATTACTATTGGGTATTCAAGGTGACAAGTTCTATTCCAGGCTCTTAGCTTCACCCTCCCACCATAAGGCTCAGAGGACGGTACATCACAGACAAAAAAATAGCCATGCTCATGCAAGTGATGAACTTCACCCTACAGCCTCTTTCCTGTGATACGGAGACAAATGTACCACCCACTGTGACCATGACTCCTCCTGGGGAGATGCCCAACACTCCCCTGAATGCATAGCTGGCTCTAAGAGGAGGAGCCCACGTTCTTCCTCCCCCTCAGCCAAAGCTGCCTCCCCTGATGGCCTGCCACACATGAGACACTCTTTGAGACAGCTTTTCCCATAACCAAACATTCAAGACATCGCACTGCTAGTAAGGACAAAGTTAGGTGGACATGCCAGTGAAAGGGTCTGGACGGCCAGCACAGAACAATGGGTGTCTGCTGAGGGAGGAAGCAAAAAGGAAGGACACGGCGTTGACTAAAGATAAACTTATCCTACTCTATAACTTCTCCCTGAACCTGCAGCTCTGAGATCTGGAAGGGTGATGAGAATAGCACCAGGAATCTTTGGATATGCACGTGGTAAACATGGAAACTGCTGCCTTCTACGTGCCTGCTTCAGGGCTTTTCCAACCATCACTCCAAAACAATTTTGAGTTGTGTCACTACACCCCTTTTAGTACTCAACTCCCAAATTCAAACAGGTAATCTTCTTAGTTTATAACATAGCTTTTTCACTTCTAAATATATTTTTTCCCAAATAGCCACGTGTTTTCTCATCTTTCTACCTCTGCTGATTGTGTTCATTCTGCAATAAAGGCCCCTCCAACCATAATAGCTTCGCTAAATAGTGCCCATCATGTAAGACCCAAAGTGTAAAGGGGAAGGATCATCATCAAACCTGCACAGAATTCTCCTGTCATCTAAATTCTGGATGCAGACTGGCTGGACCAGCAGAACATTGAATATGCCCCATCTCAGTTCCAACAATAACCCACAGCAGGACATTCAATACATGCTAGTACAGACAGCTAGCTCTGACCAATTCTGCAAGGAATGGCTTTCTAGAATCCTGATATCATACAGTTCTAAACAAAGTTACTTTAGCCTTGAGCTAATCATAGCAAATAACTTTTGCCAAAATTAAAATGAGACTGCTTCCTTATAATTGGGAATATATATCTTCTCTATGGTTGCTCTTCTCTGTGGTTATATTGCTTTCACTTCATTTTATATGCCAGTTCCGCTATTTTCTCTTTCATTAGCCTACTACCAGATCTTTCAAATGAAAGAGATAAGGTAGATAATTTTCTATATTTTTCCTTAAAAATTCACTTCAGATTTATATGTAGTTATTAAATGAAAATAATTAAATACTATTTCCACAATACAGTATTTTTTGGGTAGCAAGATAATCACTTTTTAAATGTTTCTGATTTGGTTCAGCTCTAAGGAATTAGGTGTTTCCTATCTATAATCTATTATATGACTAATGTGTACAGTGTTCACCTTCAAAAGCATCCAAAATGAGGAATTCAGTATGTTAGCTCATTATTTATATTCCCACTAGCCAGGCAATTAAATTGGCTTTTTGCTTTTCACAGTTTTTTCAAGTCTTCGATTCCTACTACTACGCTTCTTAATGGTTACGTGTTTTCATTGACAATATTAATCTGAAAAAGAAATAAAAAATGCTAAAGCTTTAAAGATAAAAATGACAATATAAAAACATAAACTACATTAAGAATAAGGAACTCATGATACTCAACCTTTTGTAAAGGAAAGAACAGCATATTCACGAATTTATATACATCCATAGTAAAGTTTATAAAAGGTTTAAACACTATCTTCATAAAATAAACCCAGATTTTAAAAAGAGCTTTTGTTATACTCATATAAATCCTTCTCATCATTATGATGGATCGTGTAAATGTTGCCATTTAAATACAGCAGATGAATTTCTTACATTTTAGATACCAAATAATATTAGTTCTAATGAGGAGGAAGAGGATTTACATTAATTGGGCACTGACTGGAGCTTGTCAGTCACTTTTAACATATTATCTCATTGCAAAACCATCTGCAATGAATATTTCACTCTACATTTTACAGGTTTAAAAATTGAGGATCAGAGTGACATCCCTAAGTGGTTGAACTAAAGTTTGCATTTAGTCTGACCCCAAAGGTGATGATCTTTTCACTACACCATGTGGCCTGCTTCAATTGAGCCTTTCTTGTCATAAGCCTGTGAGGACAGATATAATGTGATACCTAGGAGGAGACAAGGAGAACCTAAGAGGAGATAATCAATGTTTTTCCCAAATATTTAGTCCACAAAAACCCTGGGAGATTTCAACCCAATTATGAGGCCATAAATTAAAACTTGCAAATTATCTAGTTTACCATGGAATTACAGAATCACAAAATGATTTATAATACTTCTTCATCTAACCATATATTACATGATGAACTCTAGAGTATTTTCCAGAACAAGACCCCACTCAAAGCAACTACTATTAAAACCATCTAAAAATAAAATAAGTCTCTGTTGATGGTGATGTAGGGCTATCTTCCTTGTGAAGGTAAACCAAACATTAAAGTTTAGAGGCAATATTCCTTTACTGTGCATGCCTGTTCTTTTACCTAAAACCAGTAGAAAGGAAAGATATAGAGAATGAAGGGTCGTGATCCTAGAATAAACAACACATTCATCAGCACAATTAGACACCTGTTACAATGTGGCTTTTCCCAATTCAATGTCTGTCTCCAGTCTCCGGAGTAGTTGCCAAGAACTAGGCCCTATATAACACACTGGAGATCTGGAGTGGACTCAGACAGTCCTGGCCTTCCAAGATCCCACAGTCCAATAAGAGAGATAGATCAATTACACTAACCACTGCAGTTGTAGATAAAGCAACATACATGTCATAAAGATATATAAGTGTTCAAAGGTAACGATGACCCCATGGTGAGTATATCAACAGGTGGTGAGTATATCAACAGGTGGAGGTGGGGCCCCAGCAAAGGAAGAAAAGGGCTGCTGTCTTCCAGATCTGGCATTTGGCTTCCTGGGCCGCAAGCTGCAATAGATCTGCAATGCAGTTAATTAGTTCCACACTGGGCAGGGCCTAGCACATGGCAGTAAGGATTCTTCATCAAACTGATGACCTTTGAAAGAGCTGTTTCTATAGAAAGGAAAGGTCTAAAATTAAACTACAAAGTGTGATTTGCTTTTATGAATCCAATGACCAAGACTCCCACTCTCTCCTTTTCTCTTGTCAGCTGCTGCCAATATCTGAAGTTTCATTCAACACCTTGAAAGTCATTTCCTTACTCCTCATGCCCCTTGGAAGATTTAATTAGAGATACATTCAAAGTAGAATAAACAGAGCAATAAAGAGAGAAATTAAAGTAGTGTCAGGAAGTGTCAGTAGCAGAAGATTGGCCAAGGGAAGAAATCAATGGATCTTCAGGATGAGAAGGAAAAGTCTGTACACCCAGCCATTCCTGCCCACCCCCACCCTTCATACTTCCCTGCAGAAAGTGAGAATCAACCAGTGAAAAAAAAAGGGAGGTTCCAGGCTTCTTAGGAAGTCACAGGCAGTGAGCACAATAGTTTAAAGCCTCAATTTGAAGTCAGACAGATGGATATCCACTTACTGGCTGTGTGAACCTCAGCAAGTCACAACTTCTCTGATCCTTGCATTTTGCCTATAAAATAGAAAGACTACCAGTACCACCCTTACAGGGTTGTTGGAAAGAAGAAAAGAGATGATGAAAGAAAAAGAGCCTGGCCCAGTGAGCCCTGTGGTGGACTTCTATTATTAGCTGGAACTCTAGATGAAAACAGAGGTCAGCTACCCAATCCTCTACTGCATTCAGATAATGGAAGACACAAACCCTCCCAACCCCAGTGTGTGCATGCATGCCTGTGTGTGTATAAGTAGAAAAATTCCATTCTCAAACTGATTATTGTTTTCTTATAAGACAAAACGCGGAGGTGGAGCCAAGATGGCCGAATAGGAACAGCTCCAGTCTACAGCTCCCAGCGTGAGCAATGCAAAAGACGAATGATTTCTGCATTTCCAACCAAGGTACCGGGTTCATCTCACTGGGGATTGCCGGACAGTGAGTGCAGGATAGTGGGTGCAGTGCACCGAGCATGAGCCGAAGCAGGGCGAGGCTTGCCTCACATGGGAAGTGCAAGGGGTCAGGGAATTCCCTTTCCTAGCCAAGAAAAGGGGTGACAGATGGCACCTGGAAAATTGGGTCACTCCCACCCTAATACTGCGCTTTTCCAGTGGTCTTAGCAAACGGCACACCAGGAGATTGTATCCCACGCCTGGCTCAGAGGGTCCTACGCCCACAGAGCCTTGCTCATTGATAGCATAGCAGTCTGAGATCAAACTGCAAGGCGGCAGAGGGGCTGGGGGAGGGGCGCCCACCATTGCCAAGGCTTGAGTAGGTAAACAAAGTGGCCAGGAAGCTCAAACTGGGTGGAGCCCACTGCAGCTCAAGGAGGCCTGCCTGCCTCTGCAGGCTCCACCTCTGGGGGCAGGGCATAGCCAAAGAAAAGGCAGCAGAAACCTCTGCAGACTTAAATGTCCCTGTCTGACAGCTTTGAATAGAGTAGTGGTTCTCCCAGCATGCAGCTTGAGATCTGAGAACGGGCAGACTGCCTCCTCAAGTGGGTCCCCGACCCCCAAGTAGCCTAACTGGGAGAAACCCCCCAGTAGGGGCAGACTGACACCTCACACGGCTGGGTACTCCTCTGAGACAAAACTTCCAGAGGTAAGATCAGGCAGCAACATTTGCTGTTCACCAATAGCCACTGTTCTGTAGCCTCCACTGCTGATACCCAGACAAACAGGGTCTGGAGTGGACCTCCAGCAAACTCCAACAGACCTGCAGCAGAGGGTCCTGACTGTTAGAAGGAAAACTAACAAACAGAAAGGACATCCACACCAAAAACACATCTGTACGTCACCATCATCAAAGACCAAAGGTAGATAAAACCACAAAGATGGGGAAAAAACAGAGCAGAAAAACTGAAAATTCTAAAAACCAGAGCACCTCTCCTCCTCCAAAGGAACACAGCTCCTCACCAGCAATGGAACAAAGCTGGATGCAGAATGACTTTGACGAGTTGAGAGAAGAGGGCTTCAGACGATCAAACTACTCCGAGCTAAGGGAGGAAGTTCAAACCCATGGCAAAGAACTTAAAAAACTTGAAAAAAGATTAGATGAATGGCTAACTAGAATAACCAATGCAGAGAAGTCCTTAAAGGACCTGATGGAGCTGAAAACCATGGCACGAGAACTACGTGATGAATGCACAAGACTCAGTAGCCGATTCAATCAACTGGAAGAAAGGGTATCAGTGATGGAAGATCAAGTGAATGAAATGAAGTGAGAAGAGAAGTTTAGAGAAAAAAGAATAAAAAGAAACGAACGAAGCCTCCAAGAAATATGGGACTATGTGAAAAGACCAAATCTACTTCTGATTGGTGTACCTGAAAGTGACGGGGAGAATGGAACCAAGTTGGAAAACATTCTGCAGGATATTATCCAGGAGAACTTCCCCAATCTAGCAAGGCAGGCCAACATTCAAATTCAGGAAATGCAGAGAATGCCACAAAGATACTCCTCGAGAAGAGCAACTCCAAGACACATAATTGTCAGATTCACCAAAGTTGAAATGAAGGAAAAAATGTTAAGGGCAGGCAGAGAGAAAGGTCCGGTTACCCACAAAGGGAAGCCCATCAGACTAACAGCTGATCTCTCGGCAGAAACTCTACAAACCAGAAGAGAGTGGGGGCCAATATTCAACATTCTTAAAGAAAAGAATTTTCAACCCAGAATTTCATATCCAGCCAAACTAAGCTTCATAAGTGAAGGAGGAATAAAATAATTTACAGACAAGCAAATGCTGAGAGATTTTGTCACCACCAGGCCTGCCCTAAAAGAGCTCCTAAAGGAAGCTCTAAACATGGAAAGGAACAACTGGTACCAGCCACTGCAAAAACATGCCAAATTGTAAAGACCATCAAGGCTAGGAAGAAACTGCATCAACTAACGAGCAAAATAACCAGCTAGCATCATAATGACAGGATCAAATTCACACATAACAATATTAACCTTAAATGTAAATGGGCTAAATGCTCCAATTAAAAGACACAGACTGGCAAATTGGATAAAGTGTCAAGACCCATCAGTGCGCTGTATTCAGGAAACCCATCTCACCTGCAGAGACACACATAGGCTCAAAATAAAGGGATGGAGGAAGATCTACCAAGCAAGTGGAAAACAAAAAAAGGCAGGGGTTGCAATCCCAGTCTCTGATAAAACAGACTTTAAATCAAAGATCAAAAGAGACAAAGAAGGCCACTATATAATGGTAAAGGGATCAATTCAACAAGAAGAGCTACCTATCCTAAATATATATGCACCTAATACAGGACCACCCAGATTCACAAAGCAAGTTCTTAGAGACCTACAAAGAGACTTAGACTCCCACAGAATAATAATGGGAGACTTTAACACCCCACTGTCAACATTAGACAGATCAATGAGACAGAAAGTCAACAAGGATACCCAGGAATTGAACTCAGCTCTGCACCAAGAGGACCTAATAAACATCTACAGAACTCTCCACCCCAAATCAACAGAATATACATTCTTTTCAGCACCACACCACACCTATTCCAAAACTGACCATATAGTTGGAAGTAAAGCAGTCCTCAGCAAATGTAAAAGAACAGAAATTATAACAAACTGTCTCTCAGACCACAGTGCAATCAAACTAGAACTCAGTATTAAGAAACTCACTCAAAAGCGCTCAACTACGTGGAAACTGAACAACCTGCTCCTGAATGACTACTGGGTACATAACGAAATGAAGGCAGAAAGAAAGATGTTCTTTGAAACCAACAAGAACAAAGACACAACATACCAGAATCTCTGGGACACATTCAAAGCAGTGTGTAGAGGCAAATTTATAGCACTAAATGCCCACAAAAGAAAGCAGGAAAGATCCAAAATTGACACCCTAACATCACAATTAAAAGAACTAGAGAAGCAAGCGCAAACACATTCAAAAGCTGGCAGAAGGCAATAAATAACTAAGATCAGAGCATAACCAAAGGAAATAGAGACACAAAAAAACCTTCAAAAAATCAATGAATCCAGGAGCTGGTTTTTTGAAAACATCAACAAAATTGATAGACTTCTAGCAAATAATAAAGAAGAAAAGAGAGAAGAATCAAAAGGACACAATGAAAAATGATAAAGGGGATATCACCACCTATCCCACAGAAATACAAACTACCATCAGAGAATACTATAAACACCTCTACGCAAAGAAACTAGAAAATCTAGAAGAAATGGATAAATTCCTCGACATATACATCCTCCCAAGACTAAACCAGGAAGAAGTTGAATCTCTGAATAGAACAATAACAGGCTCTGAAATTGAGGCAATAATTAATAGCTTACCAACCAAAAAAAAAAATCCAGGACCAGATGGATTCACAGCCAAATTCTACCAGAGGTACAAGGAGGAGCTGGTACCATTCCTTCTGAAACTATTCCAATCAATAGAAAAAGAGGGAATCCTCCCTAACTCATTTTATGAGGCCAGCGTCATCCTGATACCAAAGCCTGGCAGAGACACAATAAAAAAAGAGAATTTTAGACCAATATCCCTGATGAACATCGATGCAAAAACCCTCAATAAAATACTGGCAACTGAATCCAGCAGCATATCAAAAAGTTTATCCACCATGATCAAGTGGGCTTCCTCCCTGGGATGCAAGGCTGGTTCAACATACACAAATCAATAAACGTAATCCAGCATATAAACAGAACCAATGACAATAACTACATGATTATCTCAATAGATGCAGAAAAGGCCCTTGACAAAATTCAACAATGCTTCATGCTAAAAACTCTCAATAAATTAGGTATTGATGGGACGTATCTCAAAACAATAAGAGCTATCTATGACAAACCCACAGCCAATATCATACTGAATGGGCAAAAACTGGAAGCATTCCCTTTGAAAACTGGCACAAGACAGGGATGCCCTCTCTCACCGCTCCTATTCAACATAGTGCTGGAAGTTCTGGCCAGGGCAATCAGGCAGGAGAAGGAAATAAAGGGTATTCAATCAGGAAAAGATGAAGTCAAATTGTCCCTGTTTGCAGATGACATGATTGTATATCTAGAAAACCCCATCGTCTCAGCCCAAAATCTCCTTAAGCTGATAGGCAACTTCAGCAAAGTCTCAGGATATAAAATCAATGTGCAAAAATCACAAGCATTCTTATACACCAATAACAGACAAACAGAGAGCCAAATCATGAGTGAACTCCCATTCACAATTGCTTCAAAGAGAATAAAATACCTAGGAATCCAACTTACAAGGGATGTGAAGGACCTCTTCAAGGAGAACTACAAACCACTGCTCAAGGAAATAAAAGAGGACACAAACAAATGGAAGAACATTCCATGCTCATGGGTAGGAAGAATCAATATCGTGAAAATGGCCATACTGCCCAAGGTAATTTATAGATTCAATGCCATCCCCATCAAGCTACCAATGACTTTCTTCACAGAATTGGAAAAAACTACTTTAAAGTTCATATGGAACCAAAAAAGAGCCCGCATCGCCAAGTCAATCTTAAGTCAAAAGAACAAAGCTGGAGGCATCATGCTACCTGACTTCAAACTATACTACAAGGCTACAGTAACCAAAACAGCATGATACTGGTACCAAAACAGAGATATAAACCAACAGAACAGAACAGAGCCCTCAGAAATAATGCCACATATCTACAACTATCTGATCTTTGACAAAACTGACAAAATCAAGAAATGGGGAAAGGATTCCCTATTTAATAAATGGTGCTGGGAAAACTGGCTAGCTGTATGTAGAAAGCTGAAACTGGATCCCTTCCTTACACCTTATACAAAAATTAATTCAAGATGGATTAAAGACTTACATGTTAGACCTAAAACCATAAAAACCCTAGAAGAAGACCTAGGCAATACCACTCAGGACATAAGCATGAGCAAGGACTTCATGTCTAAAGCACCAAAAGCAATGGCAGCAAAAGCCAAAATTGACAAATGGGAGCTAATTAAACTAAAGAGCTTCTGCACAGCAAAAGAAACTACCATCAGAGTGAACAGGCAACCTAAAAAATGGGAGAAAATTTTTGCAATCTACTCATCTGACACAGGGCTAACATCCAGAATCTACAATGAACTCAAACAAATTTACAAGAAAAAAACAAACAACCCCATCAACAAGTGGGCAAAGGATATGAACATACACTTCTCAAAAGAAGACATTTATGCAGCCAAAAGACACATGAAAAAATGCTCATCATCACTGGCCATCAGAGAAATGCAAATCAAAACCACAATGAGATACCATCTCACACCAGTTAGAATGGCAATCATTAAAAAGTCAGGAAACAACAGGTGCTGGAGAGGATGTGGAGAAATAGGAACACTTTTACACTGTTGGTGGGACTGTAAACTAGTTCAACCATTGTGGAAGTCGGTGTGGCGATTCCTCAGGGATCTAGAACTAGAGATACCATTTGATCCAGCCATCCTATTACTGGGTATATACCCAAAGGATTATAAATCATGCTGCTATAAAGACACATGCACACATATGTTTATTGCAGCACTATTCACAATAGCAAAGACTTGGAACCATCCAAATGTCCAACAATGATAGACCGGATTAAGAAAATGTGGCACATATACACCATGGAATACTATGCAGCCATGAAAAAGGATGAGTTCATGTCCTTTGTAGGGACATGGATGAAGCTGGAAACCATCATTCTCAGCAAACTATCGCAAGGACAAAAAACCAAACACCACATGTTCTCACCCATAGGTGGGAATTGAACAATGAGAACACATGGACACAGGAAGGGGAACATCACACACCAGGGCCTGTCCTGGGGTGGGGGGAGGGGGGAGGGATAGCATTAGGAGATATATCTAACGTTAGATGATGAGTTAATGGGTGCAGCACACCAACATGGCACATGTATACATATGTAACAAACCTGCACATTGTGCACGTGTACCCTAAAACTTAAAGTATAATAAGAAAGAAAGAAAGAAAGAAAAAGAAAAAGAGAAAACACTCCCCAGAGCCACAAGCACCTTAATGTCATTCTGGAGAAGAGTTCAAAATAAAACCACCACTTAGTTTAAAAAAAAAAAAAAAGGAGATAGAAAAAAATTAAGAATTTATTCTTGTGGAAATTTGGCATCCAAAGCACAGGAATAGTAAAAGCTAAGTTGACAGAAGTAGAATTCTCAGGATGTGAAAAGTGGATATGCACTCTTTTCTGCTAAAGAGGCACTATGCTTAGTACCCTGGTTTAACTCTTAAGGACCTCTATGTTTACAACCAATATGTGCTTTCACCACATACAGTCTCTCTCTCACACACACACACACACACAGAGGCCCATATCCAGCTCACACCTGTTCACTGTATTACTTTCACTGTATTACTTTGTGTTTCAATGTATTACTTTGTATTTCATTGTAACACTTTGTAGTTCAATGTATCACTTTTGCCATTACTTTCAATGACAAAAACTGCAATTACTTTTTCACCAACCTAATATTATTTGGAATACCAGATGTCATGGGTCTCCAGAACGCACCAAGTGAGGCCAGAGAGCACTAAGAAGACCAAATGTGCAGGAGGAGTACAGAGAGACCAGCAGTCACAGGAGCGGCGGTATGATGGTATCAAGGCTGCATAGGAGGATCAGGGCTGGGCAATTCACCTTGGGAAGTGGGGGCAACAACTCTGTTTAGAGCAAACTAGGACTATGGGTCTAGAACCCATTCCTATAGATGGAGGCCTAAGGGGCTTTGTATAAGGCCCCATTTAACTCATAGGTTCCTTCACAAACACCTCTGGCCATGACTTGAGGAGCTCAGTACCTAGAGTTTGAATCTCACTGTGTCTTGGCTTTTTTTCTTTTTAAAGTACCCACGGCTAAAGCACTTTAGAAAATTTAAATAACCCAAGAATGACTACCCATGAAAATTCAAAAACGCTACTTCAGCCTACTCTTCAGAAATAGTTGTATTCAAAGAACTAAAATGCAAATGGTCACTAACAAGTATTTCTCCAAAGAGCCTAGTGTTTGACTGAATGCTATATTTTTCAAGAAATTTTATCTGTGTGTAGACAGAGCTTTGGTCTTGTTTACATAAAGCATTCAAACATTTTGACAAATTAACTGTCATCTGCCAAGCCAAAGTCCAAGAACTTCCTCAGGGAAGAAGTTGGACACAATTAGCAGCTTAACAAAACACAGCTGCAATACAGAAAGTACCTTAATTCTAATCCCCTTAGGCTTTCAACAGAGGAAAAAAAAGAATGCAACCAAAAACATCCCAAGGGTCCCTAATATTGAGGTCACAATATTAAAGGGAAGTTTCTGACAGGTCCTGGAAACACCTGCCATATCAGAGGAATACTGACAGCCCACATCCCCATTCAATACACAGCAACTTTGCTCTTCTCCTGAACCTTAGTCTGTGGTTTGAATTCATGATTTACTTAGTTAACATTCCTAACATACCCTTTCCCAGACAAGGTGAATATATCAGTGTAGTCCATCCATGAGAAGAAACTATTGATTTTTATTATATTTTTATTATGGAAAAGCAGACTTGGTGAATTGTACACTTGGATTTAATTACTTTGGTCAGCAGTCCAATGACTTCAAGGATAAAGCTGGAAGAGACATCTATAGCAAATAAGTGGAAAATATCCAGCAGCTCTGACTTACTCTAGTAGGGTATGACCTCAATTCAGCTGGAGTCAGATTTTACCTTCAGTGCTGTTTTTATGAGTCTGTTTGAGGAATGAAGAATCAATTATTAAAAGATCTTAAACTTGGAATGAAAAATCACAACTTAACATAGTGATTTTGGCTTTTATATACTGAAACCTGTTAAAGCTAAAAGAGTCCTTTGAAATCATCTCATCCAGTTCTTTCATTTTACAGATGAGGAAGGTGGGATCCAAGGAGCATTGACGACTTGCCCAAGGTCACTTCTTTCCTTAGAGACGCTCTTTCCAGTACACAACAGGGACTTCAGATTGAAATTTCCTAAGTAAAATGCCATTCCCAGGGCACCCCTTTACTGTTGTACTAAATGACCACAGGCTCTGACATATTGGCTTCACCTTTTTCTACTAAAGAGCTACTATGCTCATACCCTGGTTTACCCGTTAAGGACTTCTGCATTACAACCAAGTTGTGCTCACAGTCTTGGCAAAGCAGTGGGTTAGAATTTGAATGTCATTGTTCCCATAGAAACAAGTTAGAAGTGGAGGGCTGGTGCCAAGACAACTCATAGAAATATATTTAAATTACTATAAAACTGCAATACAATTTACTATATTATAGAAAATATAGTAAAAAGCAATATTTTTGCAATTCTCATGATTAACAATTCAGAGAAAACAGAAAAACAATCTATTCCAAAGTAAACTTTCAGATTTCCGTTATCTTGAATGTTGATAGTTAAAGAAAAGAAGTTTTAATAAGTATTCATTTAACAAGAATATCCTCGTTTCCACCAGATTGACAGCCTGCCACCAAGAAGCTACAGAAGCCTGGAGGGGTGGGGGGATGACAAGAAAACAGAATGAGAAGCCTAGAGATATGCCCTAACCACTAAAGAAGTCGAGGTGACTTCTAATTCTACAAAATGAAGAAAGGAATATCACCCCAGACAGGAGATAGAAACATGTTGAAGTTATTCTGATGAGAATTGGAGTACTCTCGGGGACTAATTATTTCTCATTTCACTTGAGAATGCAGAGCTTCCCTTTTTGCTTCATACAGATATTTCACCAGCATTGTTGATGCTCCTCAGTCATAACAAAGGTTGTACTTAGCTATGAATGAAAGGGCAAAAAAGGAGCAAAAGAAGAAAAGGTAACTGAGGAAGAACTGAAAAGAAGACAGGACCACCCAGCTCGGATACCATGCATTTGCCCTCTCTGCAGGAAGCCAGGTTCTTCATTCGTTTATAGTTTAATCTTCCAGAGCACAGTGTGCAGCATGTATTAGTATTCAGCAAATGTTTATTTGTTTGGGTTAAAAGTCATAAGATTCCACAGTGAGATACTACTCCACACCCACAAGGATGGCTGTAATCAAAAAGACAGATAATAACAAGTGTGAGTATAAGGGGATATGGAAAAAGTGGGACCGTCATACACTGCCGGTGGGAATGTAAAGTGGTGTGGGCTCTTTGGAAAACAGTTTTTCACTTCCCCAAAATGTTACACAGAGAGTTACCAAATGACCCAGCAATTCCACTCCTATAAATATATCCAAAAGAAATAAAAATAAAAATGTGTACCTCAATGCTCTTAGTAGCATTATTTAAAATAGCCAAAGAGTGGAAACAACCAAATGCCCATCAACTAATGAATGGATAAATGAAATGTGCTTTATCTATACAACATAATATGATTAGACCATTAAAAAGAATGAAGTACTGATACATGCTACCACTTAGATGAACCTGAAAATGTTAAGTCAGAGAAGCAAGTTACAGATCACATATGGTATGATTTCATTTATATGAAATGTCCAGAATAGGAAAATCTTTAGAGACAGAAAGTAGATTAGTGTTTGCCTAGGGCCGGGGGTTTGGGGGAAATGGAAAATGACTGCTAATGAGTACAGGGTTTCTTTGGGGGATAATGAAATGTTCTAAAGTTAATCATGGTGGTGGTTATATGACTCTGTGACTATACTATAAACCATCCAACTCTACACTTTAAATGGTGAACTATATGGTATGTAAATTACATTTTAATGAACTTTTTAAAAAAGTCACAAAGTTACTATACCTATGAAATTCCTTTACCCATTTATTCAACAAATATTTTAAGTCCCTACTCTGTGCCAAGTATGTTAGAGGCCTGTACAAAATGATAAACACAACAAAATTCCTGCCTGCTCTCAAGGCATTTATACTTTAAGGAGATGGGGAACAGACAATAAGTAAAATCTCAAGGAACTAGATAAACACAGTGAATTTAACACAGGCCCTTTGGTATGCCACCCTCTCCCAAATTCCAGTAAAGTGACTGCCAAGGACTTAAAAGGTCTAAAAAGAAGAGACAAACAGAACAAAACAGAAAATAACCCCAGAAAAGCCATGACAACAAAAATTTTAACTACGGAAAACTGATAAGTAGTATCTGATTTAGAAGAGCTGAGAAATATGAAACCCAATTGCTTACAGTGTGAAAAGTAATAAGAAGCAAGTTTCAAAGCCCCAGAAAGTCTTGGGATGGAAGCACAGGGCATCTCTTAAGGTTGAGCTTCAGGGGGGTACTGAAAACAGGAGCTGGGTTGAAAGTTGAAGGAGCAGTGAGACAGCCATCTCTAGATTTCATTCCCCAGGCTTCCACTTCTCCTCCTCTGGCCAGGAAACAGGAGTTTACGCTTTGCAGAGGTTGAAGCAGAGAGAGTCTGGACTTAGGGACAAAATCTGGAGCAGGGCAGAGACACTATATCGAAAATGGGTGTTGAGTAAAAGTAGGCATACTGAACAGCGAGGTCCCAGTTCCCTTCCCCTGATCAGCCCCCAGAACCTTGGCAGTTGGCCTCAAACATCCCAGGCAAAGGCTGGATGATTCCTTTCTGGGGAAAATGAGCCCACCAATAGAAAAGAACTACAGATACTGTCATTAGTGGGTGTCCCAATAAAACCATAGGTAATCTATCAGTTAGCAAACTCTGCCCATACAAGCATAACTGCCAATTTGAGTTTTAGTGCCTCACCCCTAAAGTAATGATACAGAAATCTTAGGCATAAATAGATAGCCAAAGATCATAGGATATTTAAGTAAATTGTCTATCATAGAAGACAGAAATCAAACACGAAACAGGGAAAACCTGGAAGAAGTTTAAACAATTCAGGGGACAGAAAAAAACTTTTTAAAAAAATTCATAATGAATAGCTTCAAAGAAATAAGGGAAGATATCACATCCATTAATAGAACAAATCACTACAGAAAAACATTCAGGGAATAAGAAAGTGTTCTTTAGAAATTACATATATTAAAGCTAAAATGTTAAAATATCAAAGATTTGAAGACAACATTAGGAAACTCTCCCTGAAAGAAAAACAAAAGCTGAAGAGATGGAAAATAGCTGATAAAAGATAAAGAAATTAGTGAATCAATCCAGGACTAACAGAAGTTGTAGACAGAGCAAGCAGAGAAAATGGCAGAAAGGAAAGTATTTGAGAAATAAGTTACATAAAAGATATTCTAAGAACTGAAGAACATAAATCACCAGATTGAAAAGGCCCAGCAAATGCGTTGTGCAATTAGTAGAAAAGACCTCCATTAAGGCACATCCAATGAAGTTTCAGAACACAAGGGAAGAAGGGGAGTTATTTATAAAAGGTCAGGAATCCAGATGACAGAATTTCAACAGCCATACTGGAACTCAGTAACTTCAGAGTTCTGAGGGGCAGTACATCCAATCTAGAATTTTATAACTAACTAAAATATCAAGAATGAAGGTAGATTACAGACATGTAACATCACAGATATAATAGTGCCTTTCATACACTGTTCTTAAGATATTAAAAGATGTACTTCGCTGAAATGAAGACATAAACAATAAAGATGGCAATGGAATTTAGAAAACAAAAATTCCAACCTAGGAAAGAAGTAAAGGAAATATCCAGAATGATAGGAAAGGTAGTCCCAGAACCACAACTGACCAACAACACAGACTGGGCAGGAAAAGAGAGGACTCCATCATGGAGAGTTCCAAGCTGGGGAGAGAAAAAAAATGAGTTAAAAGAGTGCCTGATGTATTTGCCTATTCTGAGAGGACATTTGTAGGTTTTGCTTTGTTTTGTTTTGTTTTGTTTTTTCCCCCAGACATTTAGAGGCTAAATTAGGGGATAAATCAAATGAAACAAAAAAAGCAAAGCTCATGCTTCTGTAAGAAAGGAAATCTGGTCTTTACATTTTGAAGATCAGTTATGAAACAATATTTACAAAATCATCAGGTAAGATTATTTAGAATTTTGAAAGAAAATACAAGAAATCTAAGTATATGCCTCTAAGGAAAAGGCATGAGGAAGAATGGAGGAGAGAATGAGAGGATTACCATTTTTTGACCTAGATCTTGTATTACTGTTTAGCTTTTTAAACTATGTGTGCATATTTACTAAAAACAAAAATCAAGTTTAAAAATCAAGTAAATGAAAAACAAGACAAAAGTTTCAAATTGGGGTGTTGAAAAGGAAATAATGAAGATGATTTGAAGGTAAGTAAGTGGGAATGAATAATCCTATGTTAAATAGGATGATCAGGGAAGAACCCTCAAAGGGGTAATGTTTGAGCTGAGACAAGAAAGATGAAAGGATTCAACCATGACACAAGCCTGGGGAAAGAGTTCCAGGAAGCTGCAATAGCCAGTGCTAAGGTGCTGAAACTGGAATGCACTCAGAGTGTTTGAGAACAGAAAGGAGCCCAGCACAGCTGGAGCTTAGAGAGGAGGGCCAAGTGGTGAGGAATGAAGAGGAAGAGGTAGGCAGAAGCCATAGCATAGAGGAGCTCAGTAGCCAAGGAGAGCAGTTTCTATTTTATTAAAAATGTGATGGGAAGTCACTAAAAGTTTTCAAGCAAGTGGAGTGAATTGAATTAACATTGAGACAATTGCTCTGGCTGCTCTGCAGAGAATGGAAAATGGAGCAAGAGAGTTGAAGCTGGTAGAATAATTCAATGCTATTACCATAATTCTAATAGGTGAAGATGCTACTTGGACAGTGAAGACAAAAAAATGGAGTTGGATTTGAGATATGTCTTGAAAGTAGAACCAATGGGACTTGCTGAATGATTGACTGTAGGGCATGAGGAGAGAGACAAATCAAAAATGACCATTAGATATTTTAGCGGAGCACTTAAGTGGAAGATGTACCATTTACTCAGATGAAGATGCAGTGCGGTGGAGGACGAAAGCTTTAGGGATGGGGGTAAGGCATTAGGAATCAAGTATTCCATTTTGGATGGGTTAAGTCCAATACGCCTGTAAGATATCCAAGTGTCCAAGATGAGTACCAAGTAAAATTGTTTATATAAGTTTGGAATGGAGATACAGATCTGGGAGTCATAAGCACATAGATGGTGTTGAAAGCCATGGAACTAGGAGAAGAGAGCCAAGATCCAAGCCCGGAAGCATTAAGAGGTGAACCAAGGGCCTTTTACCGGACACTGGATAACAGACTTGCTCACAGTAAGCAATTATTTATGGAATGGAATTGGCTAAGACATATTAGACCCAGCACTTAAACAGAATACATTCATAGCTGTTCAAAGCTACTCAAGGAATTTGAGGACAGAAGAGCCTGAGATGAGATGTAAAGGCGTAGTCAGCAACGAAATGGCCATTTGCTTAAGAATGTGGGAGAATTTAAACATTAGATTTTCACAGAGAATTCCTGTGAAAGAGAATGAAAATGGAACATTATTCTTTACTCGATATTTTATTATACAGAAAGGAAAACTGTGATGCCATGTTGTCTTTGGAAATTATTTAATCTTTTTAATCCTTGATTTCCTCATCTATAAAATGGGAATAATAACAATATTTACCTCAGTTCATGAGGAATAGAAGTACATGTAACAGGCTTAACCCAGTGGCTGGCCCATAGTCAGCACTCAATAAATATTGCCTATCACAATAATCATTATCATCAGTATCATTTCTCATGGACAATGCAAAATGCTTCATAGGCATCTGAAAATATTTATTCTTAATTTATTGGACAAATATATAAATTGTATAAAAATTGATTATTCGATCATTCCAGGCATGTATAGACCACTTCTTTTTAATTTATTTAATCCATTAGTTTCTGAACAAGATGTATTAAAGTGTTCTAATATGAATCTTCTTATATTTCTAATAGCTTTTGCAAATATTGTTTTAAAGTCTTCTTTTGGACGTTAATTTTGCTGGTGAAATATGTCATTCTACAAAAGTTTTAAATCATTCTTTCATGCTTCTACTTTTAATGCCATGCTAAGCCTTCTTCATTCAATATAAGAAAAGTATTTCTCTTTCATCTTTCCATATTTTTTTTTTTTTTTTTTTTTTTTTTGAGACGGAGTCTCGCTCTGTCGCCCAGGCCGGACTGCGGACTGCAGTGGCGCAATCTCGGCTCACTGCAAGCTCCGCTTCCCGGGTTCACGCCATTCTCCTGCCTCAGCCTCCCGAGTAGCTGGGACTACAGGCGCCCGCCACCGCGCCCGGCTAATTTTTTGTATTTTTAGTAGAGACGGGGTTTCACCTTGTTAGCCAGGATGGTCTCGATCTCCTGACCTCATGATCCACCCGCCTCGGCCTCCCAAAGTGCTGGGATTACAGGCGTGAGCCACCGCGCCCGGCCCATCTTTCCATATTTATATGTATATCTGTGACACAGTAAGTGAGCCAAAGATCTGAACAGACACCAAAGACAAAAAGTTGGAGCAATTATAGAATTCACCCCATCTGGGGTGGGTGCAGTGGCTCAGACCTGTAATGCCAACACTGGGAGGCCAAGGCAGGAGGATCGCTTGAGACCAAGAGTTCAAAACTAGCCTGGGCAACATAGCAAGATCATCTCTACGAAAAATAATAATAATAATCCAATGTGGTAGTGGTCACCTGTAGTCCTAGCTACTCGAGAGGCTGAGGCAGGAAGATCACTTGAGCTCAGGAGTTTGAGGCTTCCATGAGCCATGATCACACCACTGTGCTCCAACCTGGGCAACAGTGTGAGACCCTACCTCAAACAAACAAACCAAAACAGAATTTACTTCATCTTTTCCCTGTTTTTCCAGGATCCCTGAACTTTGCTGTCTGATGTCCAGTCTTGAAAGCTGACCCACATATGTTTCTAACACACTTAATGTAAATGAGAATGTGCTAAATATATTGTATAATTTCATTTTTATATACAATATACATGCATAAATACATACATACTAATAAATGTGCACATATGTTTCTAAGTGCATTGAAAATAAACAGAAATGATATATACCAAATTACTAACAATGCTTACCCTCATGAGTGAAAGAATAAAAGTGAAGCAGGGATCACTTTTTATTTTACTTCATATATCCCTTCAAGGCATTAATTTTCTATAGTGTTCATATATTACCTTTATAAATTATTGTAAAATAATAAAAAGTGTCAATAAGAATGTCTTGACTCATTCTCCCTGACTACCCCTCTTCAACTCAGTAAGCTGTGTTGAAGCAGAGGTGTTTGTCTGTGACTGACTGGCTCACATATCAGTTCAAATGACATTGTTTCCTTCACATTGTGATTTCTTGTTAAGGTTTCTTAGACTTTATCTGTCTCCCATGTTTTGAAAAGCTCATCATTTAATTCAAATAATATGAGAATGAGGACAATTTAAATCAACAAATATATGATTTTAAATTCAGTTTGAGAAAAATAACTCTATCAACCATAATTTGAAATATAGCTATGGATATTACCATCTCCATTGAAACTTTCTTGCTGGTAGAAGAGCTGTTTTGTCTCCAGAGAAAATTGAGAGGCTGTCAAGCAATTCCACTACATGGTACAACCCATCTCTACCATCTCTGAAAGTCTGATTTCTTGTTTTGAATACTGTATTTAAATTAGATGACAGGTTTTGCATTGTAAATTGAGGGAACAAATTCTTGTGCAACCAAATGTCAATCTTATTTCCAGAGCTAGAGCCCAAAATGTAAATTCCACTATGTATTTTGAATGCCCTTTGAATAAAAAAAGTTTAGCAAAAGCATTTGGTCCAGATGTAAAGAAATGCTTCTTAATGTGTCTCCAGGTGGGATGTTAATCCGTCAAGTGTTTTGACCTAGGGCAGGTCACCACATAAAGTAAGTCAAGTTTTTCCTTTCTATAGTCAGAGAGGTGACATGGATGCTCTCTGGAGGGCCCCTTAAACTTTAGGTTCTCTTTAAATCTATCATGTATTTTGTACTCCCATACACACACACACACACACACACACACACTTACACACATACACATATTTACCTCTGTCTTACTCAGGGTTCTCCAGAGAAACAGAACCAGTGGCATATATAGAGATATATGTGAGAAGATTTATTATAGGAATTGGCTCACATGATGATGGAGGACAAGAGGTCCCAAGATATGCCACGTGCAAACTGAAGAACCATGAAGCCAGTGGTGTAATTTGGTCCCATGTCTGCAGGCTGAGAATCAGGGGGAACGATGTGCAAGTTCTGATCTGAGTCCAAAGGCTCAAGAACCCAGAACACTGCTGTCCAAGGGCAGGAGAAGACGGATATCCCAGCTCCAGCAGAGTGAGAAGTTGCTCTTTTTCTGCCTTTTTGCTCTATGCGGGCCCTAAAGAGACTGGATGATGCCCACCCACATTGGGGAGGGCAGCCTGAGTTACGCAGTCCATGAACTCAAATGCTAATCTCTTCCAGAAACACCTTTACAAATACACCCAGAAATAATGTTTTATTGGCTATGTGGACATCCCTCAGCCCTATCAAGTTGACACATAAGATTAACCATCACGATTCCTGACTTTTAACCTCCAACTACTGTAAGAAGTCCTAGCCAGAGCAATCAATCAAGAGAAAGAAATAAAAGGCATCCAAATAGGAAAAGAGGAACTCAAACTATCTCTTTTCATAGACAATATGATGCTATTCCTAGAAAACCCCATAGTCTCTGCCCAAAGGCTCCTAGATCCAATAAAGAACTTCAAAGTTTCAAGATACAAAATCAATGTAAAAATTAGTAACATTTCTATACACCAACAACATCCAAGCTGAGAGCCAAATCAAGAATATAATCCCATTCACAATAGCCACAGAAAGAATAAAATACCTAGGAATATGGCTAACTAGGGAGGTGAAAGATTTCTACAATGAGAATTAGGAAACACTGCAGAAAGAAATCAGAGACAACACATATAAATGGAAAATCATTCCATGCTCAGGATAGGAAGACTCAATATTGTTAAAATGGCCATACTGCCCAAAACAATTTACAGATTCAGTGCTATTTCTATTGAACTACCGATGACCCTTTTCACATAATTAGAAAAAAACTATTCTAAAATTCATTTGGAACCAAAAAAGAGCCTGAATAGCCAAAGCAATTCTAAGAAAAAGAACAAAGCTGGAGGCATGACACTACCTAACTTCAAACTATGCTACAAGGCTACAGTAACTAAAACACAAACAGTAACTAAAATACAAACTGTACTACAAGTCTACAGTAACTAAAACAGCATGGTACTGATACAAAAACAGGCACATAGACCAATGGAACACTTTAGAGAATCCAGAAATAAAGCCACACACCTAAAACCATCTGATTTTTGACAAATCCAACACAAACAAGCAACAGGGAAAGGATTCTCTATTCAATAAATGGTGCTGGAATAACTAGCTAGCCATATGCAGCTGGTCAAAACTGGATCCCTATCTTTCAGAAGGTGAAAACTGGACCCCTATCTTTCACCATTTACAAAAATCGGGTCAAGATGGATTAAAGACTTTAAAACCTAAAACTATGAAGACCATAGAAGAAAATCTAGGAAATACCATTCCAGTCACCAGCCCAGGCAAAGATTCTATAATGAAGACTCCAAAAGCAACTGCAACAAAAAACAAAAAATGACAGGTGGGACCTAATTAAAATAAAGAGCTTCTGTACAGCAAAAGAAACTATTGACATAGTAAACAGACAACCTACAGAATGGGAGAAAATACTTGCCAACTATGCATCTGATAAAGGTCTGATATCCAGAATCTATAAGAAACTCAAATCAAGCAAAAAGCAACCCCACTAAAAAAAAATGGGCAAAGGACATGAACTGACACTTCTCAAAAGAAGACACACACATGACCAACAAGCATATGAAAAACTGCTCAATATCACTAATCATTAAGAAAATGCCAATCAAAACCACAATGAGATACTATCTCATACCAGTCAGAATGGCTATAATTAAAGAGTCAAAAAATTGCAGACGCTGGCCACCTTGCAGAGAAAAGGGAAGACTTATACACTGCTGGTCGGAATGTAAATTAGTTCAGCCACTGTGGAAAGCAGTCCAGAGATTTCTCAAAGAACTCAAAATAGAATTACCATTTCACCCAGCAATTCCATTACTGGGGATATACCCAAAGGAATACAAATCACTCTACCATAAAGACACCTGCACATATATGTTCATCATAGCACTATTCACAATAGCGAAGACATGGAGGCAACCTAGATGGCCATCAATGGTGGACTGGATAAAGAAAACGTAGTGCATATACAATATGGAATACTATGCAGCTATAAGAAAAAATGAGATCGTGACCTTTGCAGCAACATGGATGGAGATACAGTCCATAATCCTTAGCAAACCAACACAGGGACAAAAAACCAAACACCACATGTTTTCACTTATAAGTGGGAGCTAAATATTGAGTACACATGGACACAAAGAAGGGAACAACAGACACTAGGGCCTATTTGAGGGTGGAGGGTAGGAGGAGGGTGAGGACTGAATAACTCCCTATGAGGTATTATGCTGATTACCTGAGTGACAAAAGTATCTGTACCTCAAACCCCTACAACACGCAATTTACCCATGCAACAAACCTGCACATGTACCCTTTGAACCCAAAATAAAAGTTGGAAACAACAACAAAACACTACTATAGATTTTGAGTAGATCCTAAACTTTCAAAAGTGCCAGAGCTATAGCCATCAGGATTGTAGGAGAAAATATAATTTAATACTGAAACCCAAATGATTAACTTTTGTGAAAGCACTTAGAACAGTGCCCAGAACCTGATAGAAGCCAGGGATGACATTCAAAATATTTTACCATCAATATGGCATAGTCACCTACCAATCAGAACACAGACCAGCAATAAAATTTTAGGATTATACCACAGCATACTGCCTAAATTGTTGTTAATAAAAGTTCAATAAACGTTTGGAATTTTTATGTGTGCCTTTATTCACAGATTGCCAAAATAAATTTAATATTTATAAGACATTATAATAATAAATATGCTTTTTAATTGAGTTACAGTTTGGTGCAAAAGTAATTGCAGTTTTGGCCATTAAAAGTAATACAATATTTAAATGTATTTATATTTTATCTGCTAGTCTCATTGATACTGGAAGACTGCAGAAAGCTATCTCCCAAGAATTTGAAATAAGAGAAATAAGATCTGCCTCTGAGGGTTAAACTACGAAATCAACTTTTGCTGGGAGAAATTATCTGTCATAGTAGCTGGAGAACTTCCTCAAATTAAGTAATTGGAGGGTAACTCAAAAAAGTTTATTATTATGTTAAAGCTGTGGAATATCTAAAGTCCAGAAAGAGAGAGAAATAGAGAAAAACTCCATAGAAAACATTCAGAACTGCCCCATAGAAAAAAAAAAAAAAAGAGCAGACGCTGACCTGGAGTAACTTGGCCCACATCACAGCTGCCTCTAGAGGTGGGGAGGCCCTGGAGCAATATCGTTAAGGGATGTTACCCTGTGATTAACTACATTTCTTTCATTTTGACCTGCTTACTGATTTGGTACCCAAAAATGGGGGGGCAGGGGGGTGGAGGGGAATGATCTGCTCATATGGACCTAATCATACACTCTGGCTCCTGTGAAGCTCCTTCTCACTGTAAATTAGTAAATTGACATTCTGGTGCCCCAATCAGCCCCAGGTACATTCTAATTAATAAATGCCAGCCACTCAGGGCCTGATGACCTTCCGGTACTGATTAGAGAGAGAGGTGGTAGAGCCTAGTGCTGAAGACTACAAGATTTTAAATCATATAGAGCTAGATTCAAATGCCAGTTCTGCCTTTCACTATGCCTACGATTCTGGGCAAGTTTTAACTTCCCTACATCTTGTTTTACACATTGATAAAATATATACACTAGTTCTTCCATATAGGGTGATTAATGGATTAAAAGTGCTAAAGTTCATGAAGTGCTGTCATCATTAAGGGAGTCTCTGGGCTTTCAGAGCAGGAGACACATCCCTATGACCAGACCCCAACACACACTCACTTTTACCTGTCATCTGCAAATGCCTAAAAATGCACTGAATTATGTTTACATGGTATCTCTTTTGATGGACTCTGATCTCATATTCATCTTTTTCTCCTCAGTGTCTCACTCACAATAGGTTTGCTTAGTTCTGCTAAATTGTTTTAAATCCTGAGAAAACAACTACAGTGCATGCACAATGAAGCTACAGCATATCTGTAGAGCTTTTTCTACAATTTTAATAATATAACAATTGTTACTGTAGCACAGTGATTATTTAGAAATGGAAGGATGTACACAATGACTGATAGCCATATTATTAGCATTTGCTTATTTTGATTCTCACAGAAACTTGTGCTGTCGCTTTATTATTGACCCTTTATTTCTAGATTTTTTTTTAAAAAGTCATAAAAGCTAAGTAGCTTACAAATATCAGTCAGATGCGAAACAGATGTTCTCAGGTGCTTCCCATGTGCTTTTGACATCACAGCACTACCCACAATATGCATACCTGCACGTGTGTGTGTGTGTGCGCGCGCACACACACACACACACACACACCCCAGCTGGCTGGTAAGAATCTAAAGTTGCCAAAACAAACATCTATCAGGAGAGATCAGTTGGCAAGAAAGAAAGAGAAGCAGATTCTTAACAAAGCAAGAAAACAGAAACTGAGTCGATATCTTACAAATATTAAGAGCGTATGTTAGGTCAAGGCAGCTGCTGGGGAAACACTTCTTTATTTCTGGCTATTCTATCTATGGGAAGAGAGCTGAATGGTGTAACTCTTGGACTCTCTGTGCCTCTGTATTCACTTCATCTCTGGAGAGCTGAAGGGATGCATCTGATTGGTAAATTGGGGGAAATCAAGGCATGCTCTGCTCTGCTTCCTCATGGGAATCAAGCTGCTTGAAGGATGCAGTATTCTCTACCGCTTTTCCTCAAACACTGAGTCTTCCAGGCCCATGGCTGCCATGACTGCAAGGGCTAGTCTATCCAATTTGTGCATTCAGTCTTCAGGTCTCTTTGGCTCTCACAATAAGCCATATTTCCTAACCTTGCCCTTATTAGTAATTAAGGTGATCATCTGGCCTCCACCTGTCATTCCTTTGTCTTATCTGGAACTCAGGCAGGAAAAAGGAATATTATTTATTGAACTTAAACACTCCTAAGTATAAATTCTGATATTAGCAACGTCACCTTGGACAAGTTGGTTATCCACCTGGTAACATGGGACAAATTACTTAATCTCTCTGGGCCTCAGTGTCAACATCTATAAAGAATACAAAACATCACTCAGGTTAGGCCTAAGCATGAAACAAGATTTTAAATAGATTTATATATTTGCTATGGTGTGGCTCTGTCTCCAGCCAAATCTCACCTCGAATTGTAGTTCCCACAATCCCCATGTGTCATGGGAGGGACCTGGTGGGAGAGAATTTAATCATGGGGGTTCTCGTGCTGTTCTCGTGAGAGCGAGCGAGTTATCACGAGATCTAATGGTTTTATAAGGGGCTTCCCCATTTTGCTCGGCACTTCCCCTTCTTGCCGCCATGAGAGGGATGTGTTTGCTTCACCTCCCGCCATGATTGTAAGTTTCCTGAGGCCTCCCCAACCATACTAAACTGAGTTAATTAAACCTCCTTCCTTTATAAATTACCCAGTCTTGGGCAGTTCTTTATATCAGTGTGTGAACAGACTAATATTATATATTGTACATTATATATTTTATATACCATATTTTCATATATATATATACATATATATATATATATATATATCAAAGGTTCTGAAACTCTCAACCTGAATCAAGCATCAGAATCACCTGGAAGGCTTGCTAAAAAGATTTCTGGGCCCACTCCTCCCTGCCAACCTCCAGCTTCCGCTTTGGCGGGTAGGGCCTAGAATTTACTAATGCTGTTAAATTAGGAACCACACTTTGAGAACCACAGAGATTATGTACACACACACACACACACACACACAGAGAGCTCTTAGTATAGCACCTGTCTCATGGAATATATTCAATAAAATATTTAATAAAATATTCCATAAAGCAGCTACCAGTGGTTTTCTTTTGTTGTTATAACAAATAGCAGTAGTGATTCTCAACCAATGGAGATTTTGCACACACATACATATACACACACCTGCAAGGACATTTGGCCTATATTTTTATTGTCCCAACTGAAGCGTGGGCAAACTGCTCCTAGCATCTATTGGCCTACTGAGTAGAGGCCAGAGATGCTGCTAAACATCCTACAGTGCACAAGACAGCCCACCACAATAAAGAATGGTCTGGCCCAAAATGTCAATAGTGCCGAGACTGAGAAATCCTGCTCCAATGCCTGTCCTAAAACCCTCCATCTATAATTCAAGCATCTATGGCTACCTATTTTCACACACAGCCTCTCTTACCATTTGATAGAGATTTGACCCATTAGAGACTCATTAGGCTAAGCAGAAACACCACGTGTAATAGTCAAAAAGGAAGCTTCCATTTGTTTTATCAGATTATTTTCTTATATAAAAAATGTCAGTTCAAGAGGGGTTTTGATAAAGGAGAACAAGTCTTGGAACCATTGGTGTGTGGGTTGAGAAATTTTTTAAGAAAATTGAGAGAGTTTTTAAGAGAAATTTGTGAATAAAGACTTATAAATATCCAGGATAGTCATAAAATCACTGTTTAAATGCAGAAATAAAAACAAATTATGTACAAGTTTCTTGCTCATTAAATTTTCATGCTTGAATATTTAGAAATGTTAAGATGCTAAGGAAGAATATATTTTTCTCCCTGAAGATTCCCTGAGTTTTTCTACCAGCAAATAAACAAGACACAATTTTAGTGGTCAGCAGTTTTAGGAATATAGAGTTGTTTGTACTTTTTTCCATCTATTTGAGAAAATTAGATGGGCCTTCTGAAATAATTATTTTGAGTGATTTCTTCTCATTCACAGCTTTTAAGACCTAGCACAGTTTTACTACTTCTGTTGCAACCTCTCTGAGCTTTCATTTTTTTATTAATGTAGAACACAAGATTCAGAAATTATAAATTGACAGTGCATGGGCAAATCTCGTCTTCACAATTGCTATTTTTTCACCTACCAACTTTTCTCAAACTTTGCACCTTAGGGCATCTGAGTTTGATCCCCAGCCTAGATTCAGTACCCACTGAAAATCCAGGGAAGTTGAGTCAGGCCACGTTAGGTATTAACATGCAGCCTCTTTAGCCTCCTGGGAGAGACAATGACCAGTCAGATTGGACTAAGGCTATTCCCCAAGTTCTGGTTCCCAAGCCATCAGGAAGCAGTCCCCTGATTGCTGTACCTGGGACAGAAGGAACTCAACCAGAGGGAAGAGAAAGTTCAGTGAACAGTCTTGGTCTGTAGCTATTGTTTGCCAGCAACTGAAGAAGTGTAACAGTAGGAAAGCACATGCAGTTTCAAATAGCCATCTCATACCCCCAAGGAAAATCTGCAGGCTCCCTAATGAGAAATTGGCTGTAATCAATTAGGAGGGGCTCAGATTTTTTTTTAAGTGCTAACAACTGAGATTCAGTAAAAAGGGAGAGCCAAATGACTTAATTGTATGGCCCAATGCCAGACTCCAGCCAGATAGGGGCAGGGCTAACACAGGTGAGAAAAAGAGAGCTGTTTCATCTCTAAGGGCCCCAATTTAATTTGGTATGCAGTCTCCAAATTAAGCTTAAAGCATAATCAGTGTATCTGTTACATGAAAAGTGTTAATGTATTAAAAGTAAAACTTTTAAGTGTTTTCTTAGTCCAATTTTCTTAATCATATTTGGCTACTTCTTCACTTCTTCATATAGAAAGATCTTTTAAAAATTGGCCTGGGGCTTTTCTTAACCTCTGAACAAGCCCATTTGGAGTTAGACAGTGAAGCAGAGCAAAGGAACAGCTAATGGACCAAAGTGCTGAGCCAGCCCATCTGCTAGTCCTGCCCTCGAAGAGCGGCAACTACCGTGAGAAAATGGAGAAGCCCTGAGAGACCCTGGGGTAAGAGGAAGAAGCCCTGAGAGACCCTGGGGTAAGAGGAAGAAGCCCTGCTCTGGACTACCCCACACCCTCCTCGCCACTGCCCTAGGACGCAGTGCCTGCCCCACACCTGGCCCAGGTGTCTAATGGAGTAAAATCAACGCCGAATGGAACCCCTAGGCTTACAAGAGGAGCGAAGGAAAATGGGCGAAGACTGACTGCTCCTGGCAGTTGTTTCCCCATCCTTGCCAACACAGCCCCAGGGCTATGAATAACCCTGGAGGGAGAGTGTCTTCCCAAGGTATCTTATTATACCGGGAGGGGAAAAGGGTGAAGTTCTGACCTGGCGAGTTGTTTTGTGGGTAAGGGGAAAACATAAAACCAAGAAGAAATATGAGATATAAAATACATAATAGTGAAATAAAGAATGCAATAGGAAAATAAGTGGCAGGATGGAAACAGCCAGGGGACCAATTGGAGAGCTGGAAGAATTGATTGTGGCAACCTCCTGCAAAAAAGAAAAGACAAAGCAATGGCAAATAGAGCTAAGAAAAATGGAAGGTACAAGTAGAAGTGCTAATATCCAAATAATAGGAATCTCCGACAGAGAAAAACATGAAAATGAAGAAGATATTTCAATTTTTGTGTGGGTTTGAAGTTTCAAAGATAAAATGTTTTTCAAAGGTGATTAGAAGTATTTGAAGAAATAATGAAAATAAATTTTCTGAAATTAAAAAAAAAAAAATGAAAGACCTTAGATTGAAAGTGCCATAGGGTAGGGTGTCAATGGGGAGAGAGAGAGAGAAAAAAAAGTCTCTTTTCGTGTAATTTGAGGATGTCGACACAAAAAAAAAAAAAAACTCTAAATCTTACAGAAAGAATGAGCAACCAGTATAAGAAAAGATCAAGAAAGATTGATATCTGATTTTTCAACAGTTACATTGGATATAAGACAATAGAGCAATATTTTCAAGATATCCCCCAATATGCCATTATCAAGTTAGGGTTTTCCCAATTTTCATCTTAGAAAATCCATAGAGTTTACAACATTAAAGGAGAAATACCACATAACTCTCTTAATAAATGCAGAAAATGATTTGATAAAATTTAACATCAATCCATGATTTTTAAAAAACACCTAACATATTTGTAATCAAAGACCACATTCTTGGCCTGATAAAGAGATGAAAAGCCTACAGCAAATACTATCTTAATGGGGAAATGTTTGTGGATCGACAACATGATCCCTTAGATCTCCTTTGGCACTAATATGTAAGGCTGCTCCAGAAAGCGGGGGAGGTGATTTTGGAGCATGGGCCTCTTTGAGGAAAGCAGATTTGAGGGAGCCTCGGAATTGGGAGCTTTATATATGCAGGAGACAGCATGAGAGGATGGGGCAAAGGGGCTCTCTAAGTGGCAAGGAGACGGGGGCACAGAGACAGATCTGAGAAGGAGCCTTCTTCAAAATATTCCCTAAGGTGAGTTCTGTCCTTTCTCCCCAGCTCCGTGTATTAGTCTGTTCTCACACTGCTAATAAAGACATACCTGAGACTGGGTAATTTATAAAGGAAAGAGGTTTAATTGACTCAGTGCAGCAGAGAGGCCTCAGGAAACTTACAATCCTGGGGAAGGTGAAAGGGAAGAAAGGCACCTTCTTCACAAGGCAGCAGGAGGAATTGCCCAGAGAAGGCGGAAAGACCCCTCATAAAACCATCAGATCTCCTGAGAACTCACTTACTATTATGAGAACAGCATGGGGGAAACCACCTCCTTGATCCAATTACTGGCACCTGGTCTCTCCTTTGAAAACATGGGGATTATGGGGATTACAATTCAAGATTAGAATCGGGTGGGGACAAAAAGCCAAACCATATCACCTGCCTTCCCTCACATTCCATTAGCTGTGATGACAGGAGGCTCTTGGAAAGGGTCAAAGAGACTCATGCCTGGAAAGTTTTCCCAAGGGGGCCCAGGATCCTAACAGGCTCACACCTAGGGACAGGAGACTTGAAGGACTGAGCACGTGCACCATATAGCAGAAACTTGGATGCTCAAACTTCAGTCGCTAAGAACTCTGGAAAGATCTTCAAGTGCCAGGCTTGCTTTTGTCTTTTTTGTTCTCATTACCCTTCCATAGCTTAGGAAATCCAAGTGCAAAATTCAGAACTGTAGGAAAGAAGGTGGATTCGTTATATCTGGAATGGCACTTTGGGCTCTAACCTTGTAAAGCGATGACTCTTTTCCCCGTATAGCAGATGAGGTAGCATATGTTCTGAAGCTGTCAAGCATGCAGTGTAAAATCGAAGCTAGAAGGGAAAAAATGCTTTTCCAAGGAGAAGACAACCTGTGTTAATTGTGATTCTTAAACAAAAAAATACCATGGAAGAGGGTGCTTAAGTCTTGGAAGTTTGGAGTCTACTAAACTATTTCTTTTGTTCATTTTCTTTTCCTAATAATGAGGCTCTTAGGATGGGCTAAAATATAGAAAACCCAGCACTTCCCATTTATGTTATTAAATACCATATTTATTTTATAAGAAGAAAAATTCCATTATTGAGCCAGTGTGTATTAAGAGAAAGAGAGAGTGAGAAGGCACTTAGGGCCTCTCTGAAGAGACATCTAGAATTTGGCACTACTTATCAGAGTGCTCCATGTTTTTAATTTCCACAATTGAGTTGCATTATATTTCATTTGGGGAGAAAAAGTCTAACTCTGCAAAGGAGAAGAGATTGAGTAGGGAATTTAACAGCGTTACAACTGGATGACTTGTTATATGTTTGGGGAAAAAAAATTAAGCCCTGGAACAAAAGAAAATAACCATGGATGTAATTCAGTCACTTGTGAGGTGACATTTAAACTGTGTATTTAAAAATAAGTAGGTTTTCATCAGATAGACCAGATGAAGAAGAACATTCCAGAATGTCCACAGGAGAGGGCACGCTGTGCACAGAGGAAGATAGCACAAGACAGCACAGTGTGTTCAGTGACCAGCATGACTTGCAATGTGACAGAGGCATGGGATGCTCCCATGAACTAGTAAGGGATGAGGCCAGAGAAGTACAAGGAATGGCCATGTCATAAGGAACCTTCAATGCCCAATTTATCATTCAAGAACTTTTCTGCTGTGAGTAAAAAAGACTGGTTTAAGCAAAAAATACAAATAAATAACTAAAAGGAGGATATTCGTCATTTTATGAAACTGAAAGATCCAAGTGTAGGCTTCAGGCACAGTTCAAGTCACGGTTCAAATGATGACATCAGGGCTTAAGTTCTCCCCAGTCTTCGTCTGGGTTGCCTTCATTTTCAGATTCCACATAGAAATTTCCAGAATCACACCCAGGACCTGGACTAGGGTAAGGCAAGTGAGGCACTGGCCACATCATACACAAAATTTGAAGGGGCACCCAAAAACTCTGTAATCAAAATAAATATTATTTTAGTGCAATATTTTTTTAAATCTAAATTAATGCAAGGAAATCTGTGATGAACAAAATATCAAGATTTTAAATAAAGACAGGATCCATCTTACTGATCTCTCCTTTTGCACCTGGCTTCACTGTGGCTCTAATTTTACATAGAGAGTCAGTAACGGTGCTACTGATACTAGAAGAGCAAATGGATGCTGGGGGTGGGAGGGCACAATTTGATGGACACCACATTATGGTTAGAAGCATAACTTGGAGAAATTGGGAATGAGAAATGTTGGGTAGTTAGGGACAGTGCTCTGACTTCTGGCTCTAGCAGCTGGCTGAATGGTAGTACCAATAACCAAGATCAAGAATATGAGCAGTTTGATGATTGTCCCAAGGAAGGCAAGGGTGGGAAACAGATACAGTTCTGGACATGTTTTGACACCGAGGTGGCAGTATCCAGCAGATAACAGGATCTGAACCTTGCAAGAGAGGTGTGGGCTGGAGAAATGGTTTTGAAAGGTACACAGATATGGGATAACGGAAGCCCTAGGAATTACTGCATTTGTCCAAGAAGCAGGTACAGAAGGAGGAGAGAAGAAGACGGAGAATGGAGCTGTTTTCACGTGGAGTTCTCTCTAGTGTAAATTCTTCCCTACTGATCTTGCAACAACTCCTAGAATTTTCACCTTACTCCTGCCTTGGGTTAAGATACCAAAGGCTTTTTAAAGTAATACAGATGTTACATATGTAATTTTAAATTTTGCATATACATGTTAAAATGGCTAGGATAACCACTGACTGAATGGATTTAGAGCACATAACTTCCAAAAAGGACAGAGGGGAAATGGAATGAGGTAACAGGTACTACCTATTGAGTATGTGACCACCCTAAAAACCCTTGGTTTATAGTTAATTCCCTAGGTTGGGCCTAAAGGAATTACAGAGAATTAAAGACTCCCTGATGTATCTTTCGGACACTCTATATATGATCACCTTGAAGAGTTAAGGGAAACAGAAGCAAGAAATATTCACTGCAAAGAAAGAAGGAAGGCCTCAAGCTTTGGGGTCTGGGCCCACAGTAGGTTTCTGTACTCTTTTCACCCTCCCTTCAAGTTAGGAGGGGAAAAAAATCAGTCATCTCTGCATGCCCCTTGATGGTGCCAACCATAGGGAAAAATAAGAAGCCATCACGTGGCTCTCACAGAGAGAACAGACAGAGAGCAGACTCACTCCTCTTCCTGCAAAGTGAAGGAAAGCATCTGAAATATTTGAGTACTTCATCAGGAAATGCATGATTCAATAACAGGGTGCAATGTAACTTTTTTAAAAGCCCAGCAAGATCTACAACAAGAAGAAAGATTACTTTCATTTGCAGCTAAGGCTGGAATCATTATTTTTATAGTGTAAGGTTTAGTGGATTTTTAAAATCTCTTGTTATTTTAAAACTTTAGCCTGTTTTTAATTAAGACACCCATGTCAGTTGAAAAATATGACACATTTGCATAGAAATAACTATGGAAAACCAAAATCTTAATTTTAAGCCATTTTAATCACTTTTCCAGATACACTGGTAATTACTTCTGGTTGACACCACTGAAGTGCTTTCCGGCAGCATAGAATATATCATATCAATTGAAATGTTCCCTTGTGCAGAAAGATGAGATGCCCAGAATAAGTCTGGGAGTGCACAAATCACATTTTTCATCAGTGCCTAATAATTAGCAGAAATTCATTACTCTGTGTTTGTTTGAGCCTGAACAATATCAGCTTGTAATTACTGGTAGCTTAGGGCAAGGTAAATATTTGATGTGATGCTGGTAAATCAGTTTTAGTAATACCAGGAGTTAGCTGATCATGTATTTCTTTAACCTTTAATAAGATTGTAAGTATTAACAACAAAGGTGAGGCTGAACCTCCCCCATCTGCTATTGTGCCTTCATGCTGCTAACAAATAACAGGAAAGAGACTGCCCATGGAACACCAAGCTAATGAACCCCTTGGGGACCAGGGCTGTCTACTTGGGTTAAAAACAGGAAATTGCTTTCAGCAGATTCAATGCAGGAAAACTGACTATAGTGGCCTTATCGCGCAAGCTCTATCACCAGTTACAGGGCTAAGCTTTGGCCTAGTTTTGATTTAAATCTTTAATTTTTTTTTTTTTTTGAGTCTGTATCTCTGACACTAGAGGTGAATTCAAGATTTCCTGGGTGGTTTACTAGATATTTTTTAAGCCTTAAAATTAAGCAATATTCTTTATGCAATAACACAGCAGATAAGTTCCAGGACAATCTTCTCTGATGGTAAATATAAAAGTGACAATAAAAGTACATAGGACTTTTTAACAGTCAAAACACAAACACACGTCTCATTTGAGCTCACTATAGCTCTGCCAGGTAGACAGAGCTGGTGGCATTATGCCCATTTAAGAATGATAAAACTGAGTCTCAGAGAGATTAAGGCATTGACATGAGGTCAGAGTTTTAATTAGTGGTGGAGTTAGGCTGAGAACACAGACCATCTAACTCTTAGTTCAGATGATACCACATTTACTTCTAGGTCAACATCAAGAGCAAATCAGCAGTAATGGGTTCAGAGCCAGAGATAACTGCCTCTCTCAAGGTTTAGGAACACTGCCAGTGCATTGTACATCACTGAGGGGCACCATGTCAATAGCTGCCTCCGATGTTTAATCTTATATGTCAATTTGACTGGGTTATGGGATGCACAGATCTCTGGTTAAACATTATTTGGGGGCATGTCTCTGAGTATTTCTGGAAGAGATGAGCATTTGAATTGGTAGACTAAGTTAAAGCAGACGGTCCTCTCCAGTGTGGTCGGGTATCATCCAATTCATTGAGGGCCTGAATTGAACAAAAAGATGGAGGAAGGCTGAATTTGTTCTCTGCCTGACTGCTTCAGCTGGGACATCTATCTTCTCCTGCTCTCAGTGTGCCTGGTTCTCAGGCCTGCAAATCCAGACTGGAGTTCACACCATCGACTCTCTAGCTCTCAGGCCTTCAAACTATACCATCCACTCTCCGGAGTCTCCAGCTTGCAGACAGCAGGTTGTGGGACTTCTCAATCTCCATAATCATGTGAGCCAATACCTTATAATAAATCTCTTTCTGGATGCATAAAGATACCAATACATATACTCCACAGAATGCCACATAAATACTGCCTAACAGTATTGAAGGCAAACCAGAGGAAGGCACCAATTTGGGAAGTGACTGGTGAGCATCAGAATAAGCTCCTTGAACACAAGGATTATATGTCTCTCTTCCTGATATCCTACATCCTAGCACAGCATCCATGCAGCAGAGGCTTAATAAACATGTGTCATATTCATGAGCCCAGTTGAGAGGAAAGGGAAAAGCAGAGGCAAAGGGAGGTACAGCGTACTGATCCATTCTCAAACTGACATCAGATTCTTCCTATAACAAGTTCCAATCAGGCCAGGCAGAGTGGCTCGCACCTGTAATCCCAGCACTTTGGGAGGCTGAGGCAGAAGCATCGCTTGAGCCCAGAAGTACAAGATCAGCCTGGGCAACACAGTGAGACTTCATCTCCATTTAAAAAAATAAATTAATAAATGAAAAACAAAAGAAATTCCAGTCAAATCTTTCCTCTGCTCAGAAATTATCAAGGGCTCCACATTGCCCACCATTGGCCTCACTTTCAAAGTCCTCATCAGCAACCCCTGTCGCCACTAAGATCCAGCCAGAATGGTTTATTGTTTCTTCCAGAACATGCCCTAGGGGTTCTTACTTCTGCAGAACTGGCTTAAGCTGCCCTCTTGATGCTGTCTCTGCAGCTGATATCCTGCCCTCTTTTCACCCTCATTTGAAAGGCTGTCTACCCCATGAAGACCTTTCTGGTTTCTCCACCTGAATAAGATTTCATTCTCCCTTGAACTCCCAAACTTTCTTGTGTTTACTCTCTTACCCTGCCTTGAACAGGTTGAAGTAAATGAAACTGCCAAAATTCAGGTGCTTCAACCTAAAATTGTTGTTTGTCTTACGTTTGAGAGCTTTGGAGAACTGGAACTTATTCCTTTTAGTCGGTATCCTCCATAATGCCTGGGCTGTAACAACTGAACAAGAATTTTCAGTCAACAGAGGTTATTGATTGTTCCTCAAACTCTTCAGTTTTCTTTTACATGATATTCATTCTATAAGACAGGTCAGGTCTCAGCCCCGCCACCTCCACTCCTCTCTCTCCTCTCTTTCTTTCTCTCCCCCTCCATTGACTCCATTCTAGAAATTCTTCCTCCTCAATAGTTCCTGAACTAATGCTGAAGAGGATTGATTCCCATATCTAATCACAATTTGTAGAATAAATAGGAGCTCCGTATTCCATTTGTCCATCTATTCAACTAACATGCATTGAGGATTGCCACTTTGCCAGACACTTGGAGCCCCCAGATAAACACAGCTAAAATATTCCATCTCTGTCTTCCAATCACAGTCCAGTGGGGAATAAAGCAAGCAAGAAATCCAGGGATTGCCAAAGAATGTGGCAGGTAGAATGAAAGGGCTTCACAGGGTCTTGTAGGGACACAGAGGATGGGCTGCTCCTGAGTTATTCTATAGGTGGCAGAGGGAGGGTAAAGTCAAAGAATTCTTCCCAAAGAAACTATTACAACTGAATCTTGAGAGATATGTTAACTGGGTGGGAAAAAATAGGAAAATTTTTCCAGGGAGACAGAGTAATGTTCAAAGGCAGAGACCTGTGTCAAAACATGCATTTTGGTGGAACATTAAGTGGTTTGTAAGGCATACATTTATAATTCTATGTACAAATATTTATTTGAAAATTAGTTTTTCTTACTATCAACCCTAATACGTAGTCTTTAGCTGCTATATATACTTAGACTCCCTCTCCACATGTATTTATAATTTATAAATACACACACACACACACACACAGAGAGAGAGAGAGAGAGAGAGAGAGAATTCTAATGACTTCTGATTATTTTCAGGATAAAGCCAACATTTCTTGCCTTGGCACACAAGGTCCACCATGATCTAGTTTTGCTCACTTCTCCAGTCCCCTCTCTTGTCTTAGCAAGGTTGTCAATATCTCAAATAGCTTATATAATAAATCGAATTTCAATATGAGCTATATCCCGATAGGAATAAATAAGTTTTCCATGATAGGAATAAAGCACAATCAGAGTGGTGTCATTAAGAAGTCACAGACAATGTCATAGACATTGCCCACATCAGCTTTGGAACTCCTCATTTCGATGCCTCTGAAACATCTGGAGGGAGCACAGCACAGTCATTAAGCGTTGGCCTCTTGAGTCCCAGAGTGTCTAGGTTCAATCTTGGCTCTGCCCCTTACAAGGTGAGTGATCTGAGCAAGTTGCTTAACTGCTTTGTGTCTCAGTTTCCCCATGCAGGGAAAGAAGAATAATTATACTTACCTCTAGAGTTGTTATGAGGATTAAATGAATTACAATTTATAATGGTGAGAATAGTGACAGGCACATGAGAGACATTACATAAGCATGTTAACCATTCCGTCAAATATGAATATTTATTCTTTTATTTGTTCAATGTTTATTGTTTAATTGTTGGCAAATCTCTTATTTGTCTGTTTACATGTTTAAAACCTCAAATGACAAAAACCATGCTCTCTGAACCTACTCTCTAAGGTGCCCAATGCGAGTGAACACTTTTAATGATGAGGACTAAGGTAAATAAACAAGTACCTTTTCTTTCTCTGTCAGCTTTATTTGGCTTTTCTATTTTTTTGGCCTGTTATGCATTTCCTTGGCATTTACTTTATTTTGCTTCTCTTTTGAATGGGGAGGGATAGTGGGAAGATAGTTTCCCCCTGATTTTGGTGATCTGTAAGATCGCTGCATTCCCCAACTAGGTGTAATCTGCCTCTTGGCTATTTTATTGCTGACTGGGTCTTCAGTAGGTCATTGAAGACATGAGGCAGCTTCATTTAGAGGTGAGACTGGGAGAGACCTACATAGGAGGAGAGGCAATTATCTCACAGCAGCACACTGTTTCCCACCTGATCAAAAGGGCTTGCTCCTTGGATCAACCCAGAGAGCCTTGATGTCATGCTCCAATCATTGTGATGAGGTAAATAATATAAAATAGAATGCTGAAATGAAACACAGTGGTTCTGTATTTTGTAGGAAATAACTTACCAAAACACACAAAGGAAAGGACATGTCAGGGAAAAAATGGTTCTGGATACAGATAGAATTAAAACCACTTTTTAAAATCCCCAAAACAAAACATCACAAATCTAGCTATTTCAATTCCACTTCTTGAACTACCTACATATACCTTAAATTATTAAGTGCTTTGTAGGGCAAAATCTACACATCAGGCTTTTCAAATAGGAGAAAATTGTTTCAAGAAAAATTTTGCAAAGAAAAAAACATGAAATCTCCCACACAATACTTCTGGAAATAAGAATGAGGCAAGGTCAACATGTTGAACTTCAACCAATATATAATAACATGTGTTTAACTGAAAGCAAAAAGCAGGTTGTGAATAAGATAAAACACCTGAAACTAAAGGATCCTCTTAAGCATGTCCATATTTATAATAAGTAATATTTCTGTCAGCGATGAATGAAACTAGTGAGAAGCTAGATTGGTTCCAGAGTTATAGACATGTCATAGCCCTCACCAAGCCCGGAGCTTACTGATCCAGTGGAACATTTGTAGCACAAGTTGTTGAGTTAATTAGTACAGACAGTATAGCATAATGAAAATATTCTCTTAAAGTGGGAATGCTTCTGTGTAATCTATTTGGACAATAAGAAAAGAGCATTTTTATGAGCTTCCAAAGGTTGAAAAAGGTCAAAGGAAAAGAACTACATAAGAGGTATATTAGGACAGCTAAGCATAGTGCTCATACCTGTAATCCTAGCTACTCAAGAGGCTAAAGCAAGAGGATTGCTTGAGCGCAGGAGTTGGAGGCTGCAGTGAGCTATGATCATACCACTGCACTCCAGCCTATCTGACAGTGAGATCATGTCTCTGAAAAAAAAAAAAAGACATATATATATTAGGATAATGAGATGAAATCTTTCCTGCTGTCAGTACCTACCTAGCAGACACTAAATGTCAAGTACAAAGTCTGTGTTGTCAATGGGCAGCCTCTCCCACAATGTGAGTTTGGTACTTCAGAAGCGTCTTTACTGTTATTTGTAAGAAAGTCTCAGAATTGCACCAAATCTGCTATTAATGCATAAGATGTGTATTTTCAGTGTGCCAAGGAAATATGATAATATTGAATTGCCTACATTCAAGTAAATAAATCATTTCTCTGTGGTGATATTACAATGGCTCCCTCCTTTTTTCACGAGCTACTTCACACCTTCAAAGATCAAATCAATTAGGAATTAAGAAATTCACCGGTATTATTTCAAGAAATGCAACAAATATAATTCTTTTTTTAAAAACGTTCAGCAAGTCTATTTAAAAAAAAAGTCCTTGCTATCAATTTGTCAAGAATGTCTAAAAAGAGTGATTTGTGACCAAAAGGTCTTTCATAGAAAATACATACATTCCCTCTCTGTTTCATGTCTGACAGGAATAGCCAGCATTAATACACCTAATTATTTATGGTTTGACCTTTACTTTTCACAGAAATTCAAAGAGCACCTTTCCTTATAAATTCAAGATAATAACCATACTAACTTTTTGAATATAAATCAACTTTTTAAAATTAAAAGTGTGCCTACTACCATTTTGATTTCTTGTAAATAATCCTATGAGAGAAGAACAAAAGAAATAAATTTCAATATACCTCATTATCTCTTTAATTTCATCTCTTCAACAAGTGTGTATGCAGTTTCTCCTAAAAGCAGCACACTGTGCTGTATATAACATGAAGGAGGAGAATTAAGAAAAATAAAATACAATGAAAACTTCACTTTGAGGAAGCACAATTTTTATTAAGAAGTACTAGGAACTTGCCTCTGAAGGCAAAATTATTAATAACGTGATGTTAAAAGTGCAAAGTAGTATATCTACAAGGGCAAAACCATTTGATACAAAGAGTGTCTCTAACAGCTGGGAGAATGACAAATAACGGAATGATTTCTGTAGAATTAGAGAGCAGGCAGGCTGTTATTCTGGGAAAGGTTTTTGAACAAGTCAGATTTTAAATTGAGTCTAGAGGGGAGTAGCTCATCAAAATCTTGCTTTTCTATGACCTTCTGCTCACCTTTCTAAATTGTCTCTTTGAATTAACTCTCATTTGTTCATTCACTACTTAATATGTGCCAGTTACTGTGCTGGGTTATACAAATACAGAAAGTAAAATACCTGAATCCTAACCTCAAAGAGGGAAGTAGGAGTGAATCTCCTAAATTTAAAGTAATGATAGTGGGGGAGTGACATCTGCAAGATGGTTGAATAGGAAGTGCCAGGCTTCACTACCCCCAAAGAAAGTTCAACTAGTAACTATCCAAAGACAAGAACACCTTGGTGAAAACAATTTAAAAAAAAATAGAAATAACCCTGAATCACCTGCATGATCCACAAAATGGAATAAAAACTACAGAGAAAGTGTAGGAGAAATGGTCTCACTTTGACTATGTCACCTCTCTCATCTCAACCCCCAAGTCAGCACAGTGCCACACACACACACACACACACACACACACACACACACAAAGAATTCCCTAGGGCCCATGGTTTCTACAAAGAAAAAAGAGAACCAGAGGTGGACACCCAGCTTCCCTAGCATTCCAAGATACTTCCTAGGAAACCCACTCCCATTGTACCTCAAAGAAAACACAAGAAAAAATAGCATGGCTAGACCACCTGGGTTCAGGTAGAAACAAACCAAGGAGGCAGAGCTCACAGTACCATGCAGATCTTGGTGATAGCTCTATGTACCTGACATCAACACTGCCCAATCAGAAGTTCTAGCTAAGAACACAGCCCACCCACAAAGCTGATCTGGTTGCTCCCAGAAGCAGAGGGAAGTGCTACCTTGCTTGAATCCCTAGACAAGTAGCCTCCAAGACCAGCCTTAGATCTTACCTCAGGATCTTGCCCAGGGAAGAAAATGACTGCTGCAACAAATTATAGAAAAGAACAAGAGCTAGTTGTGCCATACTCAGGAGTTTCATAGCACCCCATGCAACCTCAGAGTCCACCCCCAGACTCCACCCAGGGAGGGAGACAACTATCACAGAGAATTTTGGCAAAGGGCAGAGATAGGTCTGCCAGACACAGGAGTTTAAACAGTCTTCAGCTAGCCTCAAAGCCCACCCTAAGACTTCAAATAGGCAAGGAGGCAAACCTCAATAATATATTTCCACAGAGAAGGCAACTGGTCCTGTGCATCCCAATCGGTAACTTCACCTAAGTTTGGGGCCCTTCCATAGTCTTGGCCAAAAAGCTCCTCCAGCTGATAAACAGCTTCACAAAGTTTCAGAGTACAAAATCAATTTATAGAAACCACTAGCACTCCTGTGCACCAACAACAGCCAAACCAAGAACCAAATCAGAAAGGCAATTCCTTTCACAATTGCCACAGAAATAACAAAATACCTAGGAATACAGCTAACCACAGAGGTGAAAGGTCTCTACAATGAGAACTACAAAACATTGCTCAAAGAAATCAGAAAAGACACCAACAAATGGAAAAACATCCCATGTTCATGAATAGGAAGAATCAATATCATTAAAATGGCCATACTACCCAAAACAATTTACATATTCAATGCTATTCCTATCAAACTACCAACCACATTATTCAAAGAATGAGAAAAACCTATTTTAAAATTTATACGTAACCAACAAAAAGAGCCCAAATAGCTATGGCAGTCCTAAGCAAAAGGAACAAAGCTGGAGGAATCATGTTACTCAACTTCAAACTATACTACAGGACTAGAATAACCAAAACAGCGTGGTACTGGTACAAAAACAGGCACATAGACCAATGGAACAGAAATGAGAGCCCAGAAAAAAAGGCCACACATCTATGACCACCTGAACTTCAATAAAGGAGACAAAAACAAGCAATAGAGAAAAGAATCTATATTCAATAAATGGTGCCGGGATAACTGGCTAGCCATATGCAGAAGATTGAAGCTGGACCCCTTTCTTATACTATATGTAAAAACCAACTCAAGATACCTTAAAGATTTGAATGTAAAACCCAAAAGTATAAAAACTTTGAAAGACAACCAGGCAATACTATCCTGGACGCAGGAATGGACAAAGCCTTCACGGCAAAAACACCAAAAGTAATTGCAACAAAAACAAAAATTGACAAGTGGGATCTAATTAAACTTAAGAGCTTCTGCACAGCAAAATAAACTATCAACAGAGTAAACAAACAACCTACAGAATAGGAGAAACTTTTTGCAAACTATGCATCTGACAAAGGTCTAATATCCAGCATGTATAAGGAGCTTAAACAAATTTACAAGAAAAGAAACAAACAACCCCATTAAAAAGTGGGCAAAGGACATGAACAGACACTTCTCTAAAGAAGATATACATGCAGCCAATAAGCATGTGAAAAAAAGCTCAATATCACAAGGTTGTGGAGAAAAGGGAATCTTATATACTGTTGGTGAGAGTGTAAATTAGTTCAACCACCTAGGAAAGCAATATGGCAATTCCTCAAAGAGCTAAAAGCAGAATTATCATTTGACCCATACAATCCCATTCATCCCAGATGAATAGAAATCATTCTACCATAAAGACACATGCACACCAATGTTCATTGCAGCACTGTTCACAATAACAAAGACATGGAATCAACCTAAATGCCACCAATGACAGATTGGATAAAGAAAACGTGGTACATTTACACCACGGAATAGTATGCAGCCATAAAAATGAGATCATGTCATTTACAGAAACGTGGATGGAGCTGGAGGCCATTATCCTTAGCAAACTAACATAGGAACAGAAAATCAAATGCCACATGTTCTCACTTATAAGTGGGAGCTAAATGATGAGAACTTATGAACACAAAGAAGGAAACAACAGACACTGGGGTCTATTTGAGGGTGGAGGGTGGGAGGAGGGAGAGGAGCAGAAAAGGTAACTGTTGGATACTAGGCTTAACACCTGGGTGATAAAATAATCTGCACAACATACCCCCATGACAGGAGTTTACCTATGTAACAAACCCTTACATGGACCCCTGAACCTAAAATAAAAGTTAAAAAAATAAAGTATACAATACAGTGTTTTTTACATACTCACTTGTATGTGCAAGTAACACCACAGTCAATTTTAGAATATTTTTATTACCTCAAAAGAAGCCTGTATTATTTAAGTATCACACTTCTATTCCCTCCCATCAACTCCCCCAGACCTAAGCAACAAATAACCTACTTTGTCTGCATTTCTCTGTACTGGACATTTTATATAAATAAAATTACATATGGGGGGGAAAAGGCCAATGAAGAGTTAGCTTCTTGAAAAAATAAACAAAATAGAAAAAAATTAGCTAGACTAAGAAAAAAAGAAGACTCAAGTAAATAAAACCAGAAATGAAAAAGGAAATATTACAACTGATACCACAGAATTCAAAGGGTCATAAGAGACTATTATGGACAATTATATACCAAAAAAATGGATAGCCTGGAAATAAATAAATAAGACACATATAACCTACCAAGACTGAATGATGAAGAAACAGAAAATATGAACAGGCTAATAACAAGTAAGGTTATTTAAACAGTAATAAAAAGTCTCCCATAAAGTCCAGGACCTAATGGTCTTACAGCTTAATTCTACCAAACATTTAAAGAACAAATATCAATCTTTCACAAACTCCTCCAAAAAATTGAAGAGAAGGAAATACTTTCAAACTATTTTTACAAAGCCCTGTAACCAAGGCCAAACAAGAACATCACAAGAAAATAAAACTACAGGCCATTATTCACAATGAATATAGATGAAAAAGTCCTCAACAAAATACAAGCAACCTGAATTCTACAAAACATTAAAAAGATCATACACCATGATCAAATGTGGTTTATCCCTGGGATATGAGGATGATTCAACATACACAAATCAATAAACATGATAGATCACATTAACAGAATAAAGTACAAAAACCATATGATCATCTCATCAGCTGCAGAAAAAAGCATTTGACAAAACACTCAATAGATCAGATACAGAGAGAATGCATCTCAACACAATAAAGTCTATATATAAGAAGCCCACAGCTAACATTATACTCAACAGTTAAAATTTGAAACTTTTTCCTCCAAGATCCAGAACAAGACAAAAATGCCCACCCTCACCTTTTCTATTCAATATAGTACTAGAAGTTCTTGCCAGAGCAATCAGGCAAGAGAAGGAAATAAAAGGCATCCAAAAAAAGAAATAAAGAAGTGAAATTATTATTGTTTGCTGACATGACCTCACATATAGAAAATCCTAGAGATTTCATTATTAGAACTAATAAACAAAATTAAGTCACAGGATACAAAGTGAACACACAAAATAAGTAACATTTCTATACACTAAAAATGAACTATCTTAAAAAGAAACCAAGAGAACAATCTTATTTATAATAGCTACAAAAAAACCTTAGAAATAAATTTAACCAAAGAACGAAAGACTTGTACACTGAAAACTATAAAATGATGATGAAAGAAATTGAAGAAAACACAAATAAATGAAAAGATATCCCATGTTCATGGATCAGAAGAATTAATATTGCTAACATCTCCATACTACCCAACACAATCTACAGATTCAATGCAATCCCTATCAAAACTCCAAAATCATTTTTATAGAAATAGAAAAACTAATCCTCAAATTCATATGGAACCACAAAAAAACCTGACTAGCCAAGGAAATTGTGAGCAAAAAAGAACAAGACTGCAGGCACCACACTACCTGATTTCAAACTATACCACAAGTGATAATCATTAAAACAGCATGTTACTAATATAAAAATAGACTCATCGACCAATGGAACAGAATAAAGAGCCCAGTAGTGAACCCACATATGTATGGTCATTTGATTTTCAACAGAGGTGACAAGTATACATATTGGGGAAAAGACAGTCTCTTCAATAAATGGTGTTGGGAAAACTAGATATTCATATACAGAAAAACAAAATTGGACACATTTCACATCACATACAAAAACAACTCAAAATGGATTAAAAACTTAAATACAAGACTGGAATCTGTAAAACTGCTGGAAGAAAACAAGGGGGGAAACTACATGGCATTGGTCTGGATTTTAGATTTAACCCCAAAAGCACAGGCAACAAAAGCAAAAATAGACAATCAAAATTAAAAGCTTCTGCACAATAAAGGAAATAATTCATGGGATAAAGAGACAACCTACAGATTGGGAGAAAATATCTGCAAGCCACACATCTAATAAGAGGTTAATATCAAAAGTAGTAGGAACTCAACTCTATAGAAAGAAAACAAATAATTTAATTTAGGAATGGGCTAGAGATCTGATTAGATATTTACATTTCTCAAAAGAATACATACAAAAGGTCAACAGACATATGAAAAATGCTCAACATCACTAATAGTTAGAGAAATGCAAATTAAAACCACGATGAGATATCACCTCACATCTGTCATAATGGCTATCACGAAAAAAACAAAAGGTAACAAAAGTTGGCGAGGATGTGGAGAAAAGGAAGCCATCATACACTGATGGCAGGAATGTTAATTAGGATAGCCATTGTAAAAAACGGTATGGAGGTTCCTCAAAAACCTAAAAATAGGATTACCATATGATCCAGCAATCTCGCTTTTGGATATTTACCCAAAAGGTTTGAAATCAGTATGTCAAAGAGCTATCTGCCCTTCTGTATGTATTGCAATGCTATTCACTATAGCCAAGTTATGGAATAAACCTAAGTGTCCATGAACTGATGAATGGGTAAAGAAAACGTGGTATATATACACAATGGAATACTAGTCAGCCTTTAAAAAGAAAAAAATGTTATCATTTATGACAACATGGATGGAATTGGAGAACATTATGTTAAGTGAAATAAGCCAGGCACAGAAGGACAAATACTATAACATCTCACTTACATGTGGAATCTAAAACAATCAAACTCAAAGAAGCAGAGAGTAGAATGGTGGTTACAAGAGACTGGGTGGGGTGGGGATGGGAGGCAGAGGAGGCAGATGGTGGTCAAATAGTCCAAAGCCTCAATTACCCAGAGGGAGTATGGGTTTTTTTAATTTTGAGATATATTGCACAGGGTAGTGAATATTGCAAATAATAATATATTGTATGTCTCCAAATCCCAAGAAAATAAATTTCAAATGTTCTCATCACAAAACATGTTAAGTATTTGGAGTGATGGATATGTTAATTACTTTAATTATTCCACATTGTATTCATGAATCATATCATCACTTTGTGCGCCATAAATATATACAACCATAATTTATCAACTTGCAATTAAAAAATAAAAATTTTTAAAGAAATTTTCTTTTCATTAAAAAAATGCAAAAACAAAGGGATGATGGTGGTAACAGTGTAATCAAATTAAAAGAGAAAAATGGTTCTCCCCTGCAAATTAGAGATGTTTTCAAAAGGCAGAAACTAAGTTTAGTGTTGAGAGAGGAACAAAAGTCCCACCAGAAGAGTGGGAGAAAAGGCCATTCCATGCATACAACCATCAAAATTTGCAAAGCGTGGGGCATCCAGAGTGCAGCAGGGAGCTCTGTGTGGCTGGCTGGGCCGGAGAGCCGGGAGAAATGTCTGTGAGCTATCGGGGAGGCGGGGTGGTAACAGAAGATCTACAGGAAAGCTGGTCTGGGCCAGAATGTAAGAATTATTTATTTTTCAAGTCTGTTTCCTCCTCAGCACTAAAAGCATTTCAAGAACAGCAGCTATTTTATTTTTTATAATTTATTATTATGATTGTATTTACTCTTTTTTTTTTTTTTTTACCTCCAGCATGATTATCCAGTTGGTCTGTGGGGAGCCAAGGAGGGAAATAATATCAGATACTTACATTTTGTTACTTAGCATTGTTCTAAAATTAATCTTGTGAGGGAAAAAGAAGCACATATATAAGTATTTTTGTGTGGGATATTGGCTTGCAGTACTAATTTCAGTTCTTAAATAGGGCAATCTTTATTATTCAGAAAAGACTAATGTATAATAGAGGATAAAAACTGCATTTATTAGCAAGCACTTCGCTTAATCAGCCTGATAGTTACCATTGGCCAGACAAGAGCTTATGAATTATGGCATTGCTTTTGGCAAAACTATTTATCTGTGTGACACGATATGTCACTTTTGAACTTCAACTTGACATCCATAAAATTACATTTTCATCAAACTGAAAGATCAAGCTTTCTGTGCTGACTTACTTGGGTCAACATTTTGCAAATGCCTAGATTTACCACTTGAACCATAAACCCTTTGTGAATAATTTTGTGTACTGATGTCTGATAGCCTAGGGCACAGATCATAATTTCTGAGCAGAAGAAGAGGTGTCAAAGCAAAATGCATTTCCTTTCTGCATACAGGATGACTTACTCCAAAGTGTATTCTCATCAAGTCATTTTAAAATCACTGGATAAATACTAACTTTGTTGAGATCCGAAACAGAGTAAACAACACCCGTGGTGTATCCTTTATTTCTTAGAGATTAGGAAGGCACATCACCTCCACTGCCAGAGGATTTTCACTGATGCAATAGATGCCTGCTACAACTTGGTGATTCTCTTCTAAGGTTAGACCTAATTTTAGGTTCTTTAAAAATAAGCAATGAGGGTCAGATGTGGTGGTTCACACCTGTAATCCCAGCACTTTGGGAGGCCGAGGCAGGCAGATCGCTTGAGGCCACGAGTTCAAGACCAGCCTGGCCAACATGCCAAAACCCCTTCTCTATGAAAAATAAAAAATTTAGCCAGATGTAGTGGCACACACCTGTAATCCCAGCTACTCGGTTGGCTAAAGCCTGAGAATCACCTGAAACTGGGAGGCAGAGGTTGCAATAAGCCGAGATAGTGCCACTGCACTCCAGCCTGGGCAACAGAGCAAGACTCTGTCTCAAAAAATAAATAAATAAATAAGCAATGAGGTAGAAATTTCAGGACTGACCAAAAGACCTGGAGGTGAGTCAAGAGTTATTCTATCCTTACTTCTTTCCTCAAAATAATCTTACACAGCTTTCAGGTATTACCACCCTTGTCTAAGCCCTCTGTGAGGTGATTCTTTATCTCACATGAACAAGCAGATTTCAACCTGTCACCCTGGTAAGTAGATGTAGAAGATTTAGCCCTTAGACAAGTGCCTGCTTGAAAAAGAAATTGATCCAATGCCTCTTGTAATCTGTTTAGACAGAAATGACTGGCTGTGATGAACTCCATTCATAACTCAGTCACCCCATTCAAGAATTATTGAATGAATCATGTTCCTCGCTGATCTTTGCTAACCATGTTAAAGAGAAATCTGGCACCATTTTTGGAACAAGATTTTTCACAGTAATTTTGCAAGTATTATATATGCCATTTGATGCAATGACGTATATCTCCTGAAAAAGGAACAAACCAATTTTGGTGATACTTATATGACAACAGTTTGTTAGCTCCAAATCTTTCCCAAGAGGTGGGAAATATTAAATATGGTGATTTTTATGGTGACTTCACTAAGGGCTCCTGGAACAAGTGGTAGCAGAAGTTCTCACGGAAGATGGAATGTTTGAAGGCAAACCTTTGGGGAGGACATTGCCCCAGGAAGCACCTGAAATTAGACTGTTAGTAACAGGGTTGACTGGGATAACTATAAAGGTGAAAGAGAAGGTACCTGGGGTTTTAGAGATATCTACAAGAACCACTCAGATCTTAACTAAGAGGATATTGAATTTTGGGGAGAAGGTTGGACTTAGTGTCAGATATTCAGCACTTAAAATCTCTCATTGACAAGACTTGTCATAATCAGTTTGGGTAATATTGGTACAGACCTTGCAGAATCTCAAATGTTAAAAGGCCCACCTTCTAAATTAGGTGATTGACAAAAAGATATGTCACTTATGATACTTTATGTTGCAACTAACAGAAAATTTAATTGGACCTGGATTAAATAGCAAAGATTTATTAGCTCACCTAACTAGAAAGTTCAGAGATAAACAGGGGCTTAGATTGGGCTTGATATATAGCAGCTCAACTATATCACGAAACATCCAATTTCTTGCCATCTCTCTTCTCTGTCTCTCACAGAGTCCACTTTATCCTAAGCCTGCTTCCCTCATTGTCACAGGTAGCTTCTAGGGCTACATGCTAGCTTAGTTAAGCCCAGGGACAAACAGCAGCTTTCTAGGTACCACCCACAGAACATCAGGTAAATTCCCCTTCCAGAAGATTCCAGAAACTTCTTTTTTAATTCTCGTTGGTGTGAATCCTGTGCCTAACCCAGAACCAACCAATGTGACTAGTAACCGAGGCAGAGATCTTGTCAAGTCATAGACTTTGAGTCTAAGACTGGGAATTTTTCTCTTCTAACAATCTTCTATAGTCCTTTATTTAATGGTCTTTACCTTGGGCCAATTTCAAATAGACTGTGCAGGGAAGGCACCACTAAAAGACATCCCCGAAGGTTGCATCCTACTGCAGCTTCATGAAAGAAATCACCGTTTCTGCTCTCAGCAGGGAGAACACAGCAGAGGTTCCTGAGAGGAGTTGGAGGAATCAGGCCTCTCTCAGCTCTGACCTTATCTTCAGCTGAGTGTTTTACTTTCTTTGCTTTTGCTTGCACTAACTTTAGCTTGGAAAGGAAGCTTTTCAGACTGCTAGACCTTAAGCCACTTTGGATTATAGACTACCACATAAAAGGCCTCTCTTCACAAAGCTGTGGGATTTTTTCCCTTTCTTTTCGATTTCAGGCTAAGCATACTACTGCCTTTATAGGCAAAAGATCTAAGCACCAAACTACAGCAAGCCTTAGGCCAATCAGCTATTCTACTACTAGAAATAAGAATAGATAATTTTCCAGACTTGAATAGTGAGACCTGCAGTTCACTCAACTTCCTGGGTTCAGACAATTCCACATTTTTAGGTGTCTTCACTTCAAATACATTAACAGTTGCAAACAACAAAAGTAGTTTTTGACAATCCTAAATAAAAAGGGAAATTGTTGGAAAGTTATTGAGGGCTCATGGAACAAAAGGAGGTTAGAGTACGAGGCTTAGAAAATAAATAGGTACTGTACTAATTAGGATATGAATTCTGCTTCTTCAGCAGAGGCCAAATAACAGTGACTTAAACAAGATAGAAGATTCACTTCTGGATCATGTTAGGAGAAAGGGTGCAAGGGGTGTGGGCTGTTCTTCCCTGGGTCCCTTCCACCTGTCTTTTCATTGTCTAAGATGTTGTTTTCATTTGCCTGGCTGCGTCACCAGCATCACATCCAGGCTCCAGCCCACGGAAAGAAGAAGAGGAAGTAAAGAGTAAACCACTTCCTTTTAAAGATGGGACCTAAAAGTTATTCACATTACTTCCACTTACAGCCAACTGGCCAAAAATAGTCACATGGTCACCTCTAGCTGCAAGGGAGCCAGAAAAATCTAGCCACTAGCTAGGTAGCTAAATACCCAGCTAATATTTGGGGTGTACGAAGTCTACTTCAAAAAGGAAAAAAAGGGGAATGGATGTGGGAGAATTGGCAGTCTCTGCCACAGTAACCCAGGAAGCTCTGGATGACAAAGAAGAAGAAACAATATCTTTAAGGAAGAACAGTCAGCTGGGGTACCTAAGAGCACTACCGTCATTAACATAATACATTGCTTCCTACTGCCGTGAATAAATTCTAGCTATCTATTTATCCTTTTAGTCACTTACTTGAGAGCCAGAGTCCTGGGCCACAGTATCTGATTGCCCATGCCTAATTCATGTGCTCATGTCCTGGCATCCAAGAATGGTGTAATGGAGATCCTGTCTCCCACCAAGACTACATCTAATGAGGGATTCTCCAAAAATAAGAAAGGAGATTAGATACTAGACGACCAAATAAAAAGAACAAATGTCCACTACAGATGAATATATAGTTTCTCTTAACTATCTTTTATCATCTCATTAATCTGCTTAAAGTTAATGGATCTTAAAGGGGTCGTAGTTCTGGTTCATGGCCTAGAAAACAAGTAGATGTAACTCTAGTAACAGCAGGGAACTCTACCAGGTTATTTAAGAAATTTATGGGAATATTATGGGGGAATGATTCATGAGTCAAGGAAGGAGTTTTTGTACTCCTATAATGTCAAGATTTCACATATGCAGAGAGGGGTTTCCATTTGTTTTAGAAAACATGATTTTCTTTTATCTAAATAAATCTTAGAAAACACATCACATTCCACATCTCCAATTAAAGAATCTCTCTCTGAAAATGCTGCTTAAAATTTTTAGTTAATGAAAAGAACGTCATCATTTCAGCTAACCAACACTCTCTATAAGCAGGATACCAGGCTTGATAAAGATACAGAAAGTTTATAAAAAGATTTTGCCCTAGATCTGTTTGCAACCATGTTTCTAGAGGAGGGTACTATAACCATTTTGGGTGAAACAATTTTCCATTGTGCAGGCCTATCCCACACGTTGGGCAATATTTAATACTCCAGGCCTCTGGATAATAAATGCCAGTGGCACCTCATTATAATATACATGACAGTCATTATAATGACAAAGATTGCCATACATTTTCCAGTGTTCTCTAAAGTGACAGCACCACCACTGGTTCAGAACAATTGGTTTATAATCTAGAGGAAGATAAATATACAATAGATGATATGGCCATCAGGAAACAGCATAGACTGGGAAATGATTCCTAGTGGCATCTAGCACAGTGCCTGCAATATGCAAGCAATGTTAAATGAATGGATGAATGGGTAAATGAGTGAAGATGGACTTAACTGGATCTTACAGAGTGGTAGTATATACACAAAATCCTGATGGAGAGGTTGGAGAACAGTAAATAGACTTATAGGGTCAGAGTGAGGAGTTTCCTAACAGGATCCATATGGAAAAAGGCTTTAAATATCAGGCATGAGTTTGATTTTCTCACTCTGCCACTTAACATGTGACTTTGGACAAGTTCATCGCTTCACTACACCTCATCTTTTGTTAATTTGTGAAATGAGGGTATCTGCCTTGTAGAGTAGTTGTAAGAATGAAATGTCAGAAAGCCTAACGTAGTGCTTAGTATATAGTTAGCTAACAATAAATGGTAACTATTATTGTGTTATGATAGCAAGTTAGATTTAAACTTAAAATGCTGACTGGGAAACAGGGAGGTGGGGAATGCAATATGTGCCAAGTAGTGCATGGGACTACTTGGCTGGACAGAAAAGGCTGGAACTGAAGACTAGTTAATCCTAAGAACTCATTCCAGCTTTTTTTTTTTTTAACTGAGATAGGGTCTGTCTCTGCTGTCCAGGCTAGAGTGCAGTGGTGCAATCACAGTTCATTGCAGCCTTGACTTCCTGGGCTCAAGCCATCCTCCTACCTCAGCCTCCTGAATAGCTGAGACCACAGACACGTGTGCCACCATGCCTGGCTAATTTTTTTATTTTTTGTGGAGACAGGGTCTCACTATGTTGCCTAGGCTTGTCTTGAACTCCTGGGTTCAAGAGATCCTCCACCTCAGCCTCCCAAATTGCTGCAAATTATTGGGAGGACAATCATGAGCCACTGTGCCTGGCCAGCATTTTTCATTTAAAGCAATATGGTACCATTCCAGGTTTTCTCTTAGTTCCAAGACCATATGTTTTTTTAAAGTCCTCATAATAAGATATATACTATGATGTAGTATTTATGAATTAAAGGTGTGATTGTGGGTTCTATTTACATTCATTTTTTAATATTTTTTTACAGTAAATCTCTTAAATCTGTTTTCTTTTTATAATTTTCATGTAGAAAGACTTACAATGAAACAAAAACCAGGAACTCTCTAATAAAGTCTTCTGATGATAGTTAGCATTCATTGAACAGCCTAGATGGACTGGCAAAATCTTGCCACTAATGTCTGTCCCAAATGACCAGCAACCCACAGGGAGCCACTGAGAGGGACCAAGTGGTTTCTCCATGAAGCTAATGTACTTTCTGGAGCAGGAATAATGGAGCCCCAGAGCCTGTGGGTACCCAGGGGAGCCAAGGGCAGAGGAGAGGGCCAGAGCTTTGTTCTCAGGCTGTTGGAGCTCAATTGCTTTCTCCATCCCTTTTCACATCATGTGAAAAACTATCAGAGAGAGTTTATTTCACTATTGAGTAATTGTTTGAACTGGGTTAAAATAAAAAGCCATTTATTTAAGGCAAGTTTTGGGAGAATTGCCTTAAGCTTCCTTCTGAGTTTATCAAGCTACTTTGCATGTTAAATGCAATCAGTATTTGTTAATGTAATACAATATGCAAAATATAGTGGTTGTTACAGCTACAAGACAGCTGTATACAATACTGTACATGTAATTATGTTCTCACCTCACAACAGTTTACCAGTGTGACACACAAAATTGTGGACAAATTATCCACAATAGTGATTTTTGTATTTAAATATGTATATAGCTTAATTTATACCTTAGTTTGAGTAACATGGTAACAAATCAACTGTTTGAAAAGCAAAATAATTTCATCAAACTGGTGATTAAGAAAATGTAGATTTTTTAATCGTATGTGCATAGACACAGCCCTATAATGATATTTTTGCACATGCTGTGAACTGGAATGTTCATGTTCTTATACTTCAGCTGTAATTTGGTCTAATTTGTCAAAAGGTTTCCCACATACTCTGAATGATTGAATTTAACTAGCCAACATGCAATTAACATTAGTAACTTTTTAAGACATTATTTCAGCAAAGGATTTGTTTGGGTATTTTTTAACCTTACACTCAGAGAAAATACAGAAATAACAGGGAAAAAATATTTTACTCATTTTTACTCAAATCTTTTGGATTGTCTCCTTCTAGGACTTAGCCACAATAATAAAAACCTAACTTTTATTGAGCACTTACCATGGACCAGGTAAAGTGCAAAGTGCTATCCTATCCCTCTTCAATCCCCCAGGTGATCCTTTCCATGGCTCAGAAGGGGTAAGTGATCTGCTCAAGGCCACGCAGCTTACAAGTGGCAGAGCTGAGATTTAATTCCTGAGCCGTTGGACTCCAAAGCCCTCATCGGTGGCAACACCACCCCAGTCTCCATTCACGTGAGCCATCCTGAGAGATAAATGGCACAACTAGCGACTACTTCAGGCCATTTGGCGGGATGCTGTATATCTCTCAGGCCATCTTAGGGGTGCTGTATGTCTTTCACTAATGTTCACATCACGTAAAAACCATGCCTTAGAGAAGAATGCCAAATAATTATAGCCAGCTCTTGATGTTTGCATTTATTTTGTGTCAGGCACTGTAAAATATAATACAGGTTTATTTTTAATTCTCAAAACCCTGCAAGTTAACTATTATTATTGTCAACCCTAATTTACAGATAGTAATTTGAGACATGGGGAAATTAAGTAAAGGTGACATGGCTGGCAAGTGGAGGAGCTGCGATTCAAATGGAGGAGCTGAGATTCAAATGCAGCCAGGCTGGGGCCAGGGCCAGAGTCTTCACCACCATTCTACACCAGCTCTCACAGAGACTGCGCTCTCATCTGCATATTCCCACTGTCTGTGTAAAGCAATGGCTGAGGCTTTCAGAAGTAGCTTTACTAACTGAGGTTTGGAATAACACACTTCTTGGCAAAGTATTTTGGGAGGTAGAGGTGAATGATTCAATTCAATAAATAGATATTCCATTCATATACTCATGTTCTTTTTTGTTCAAAACACTCTTAGACTTGCATTGTCTTTGCTAAGCCATAAAGGGGCAATAAAGAGGAAAGAAAATCTTATGATGAGAAAAATCTTATAACCATATAAAATGGCTTTTTAAATATATACAAACTGCAAGACCTTTCTTTTAGTCAGATAATATCTAAGTGGCCATAAGATTAACAAGTAGAAGACAATACATTTGAATTGTAGAGAATTAATATTAAATTTGGTGTCCATGGTCCATTCTCAGGCATAGGAAAAGGTTATTTTAAAAAGCAAAATAAAGAGATAGTATAGTTCACATAACACTCAATTGCTATGAGCCACCTCTAAGACCAGATTTACATGACTTAATCAGTCAATTAGTTCAATAATTTCACCACCTGTATTAATCCTTTTCCTAATACAATCTCATAACCTTTGGTCCCATGAAAACAAAACTCATTCAACTCTATTAAGCTTCTGCACATTGGCTACCTCAGGCAGAAAGAAAATCTCTCATCCCACAATGTTCCAGCGCAGGAGAGAGAGGCTGGAGGCTGGAAGAGAAGCGGTTTGCCTGAATGTCTCCTCTCTCCTGATTTAATTGTACTGCACTGAATTGACTAACGAGACCAAAATGAGAAAACCCATCTAATTATTAAGATTTGGGTGTATCCGTTGCCCTTCATACACTATTGGCTTGATTCACTTTGGAAAGCAATGCAGATCCAAGGAATTCAAATATTTAAGTAGACTCTTCTGTCTGGGAGAGACATGCTCTTGTCATAGGGCTGAAATTACCCTGCGATATGAGAGAGGTACATACTACAGAAGACTGGGACCCCAGGAACTAAAAAGAGTTCTAAGATAATCCAAACCAAGAGAAGAGGTCTGCTTTATACCATGTATGGTTACAGAAATAAAAGTAACTATCATTTACTGAATAGTTACTACGTGTGAAGCACCTGCTAAGCATTAGGGGCCATGTATCCCATTTGGGATGGATGCAGTATTAACAATCAGAAAACCTGGGCTCAGCTTCAGGCACCTCCTGCATGGCCTCCTTGATGTTTGCTTTCCTTATTTGTCAAAAGGGGTCAACAATGTCCATCTGACTGAGCTAATGTGAGGATCATGTGACATCAGGTACATGTGGCTGATGATTGCTGTAAGGGCTCCCAATTTTTAGCTAGGCACTGGGCTACCTGAAATAAATGCTGCATTTCCCAGGCTCCCTTTCAGTGGAGTCTTGGCCGGTGACTATCATGGCCATGGAAAGCAGATAGCAGTCAGGCAGTAGTTGTCATTCACCATCCTTAAGAGAAAGCGTCTGAGGGTGCCCTTTGCTTGTTCTTTGCCTCTTTCTCCTGCAACTTAGAATACAAGCCTGGCATCTTGGATCTCAAGGTTGCAGTCACACATGGTCAAACAACAAGACAGCAGAAGCCTTCGTCTCTGACACCGTGGAGTGGCATACCTCTGAACCAGCTACCCAGACTTGATCAGAAAGTGAAATAAGCTTATATCTTCTGTACTTTACTGTTATATTTTGGCTTTCTATACAACTCTATTCTTGTCATTTGTTGTTGTTGTTTATAAAATACCATCCAAGCATATATCTCATTGGGGTGGTGAAGAATGAAGGGAGGGAGAAGAGGGATTTATAGCCCAACAAACAAAAAGCAAACCAGGTCCTTCCCAAATGTACCTTGAGTATCCCAGTTTGTAAATGTATATAGCCTCTTCTCTTTTTATTTATATCACCTTCACATGGCCTGGATTCCAGCTCTAAAATGCTAGGATTCTATCTTCCCAATGTTGTTACTCCCATGGAATGTCAGCTCAGAGGAAGAGTCTAAACAATAAACCTTACCAGGGAGGTGTAAGGCTCACAGAAGCACTGCCTCCTCAATGTAGCATTAGCTCCCTGGAATACCTAGGAGGAGAAACCTGCAGCAGCCTGGAACTAGGCTGATATAGGGCTCCAGAGATGTGTTTACCATTTGGAGGTAGAGGCTTTAAGCCAGATGAAAAGGGTAGTCAAGATCCCAAAGATCTATCTCTGCCCACACTAAGCACAATTGTGAAAATGAAAGATAATGGCAATGTATTGCTGATGCTGATGTGTGGTCCCTGCCAGATTCACCCTCCTCAACACCTAAGTATTGACAAAATCCAGCCCCTTTCCCACCCTCCTTCATTCTCCAGAAGTGCCACAGACCAAATGGCTAGTCATTTGCCTTTATCACTGTCACTCTCAGTCCAGACTGCTAGCCAAGAAAGCATGCACACCAGTCCCCACTCAATGGTGTAGCATTGGGCGAGTCACTCGTTTTCTTCCGCTCTAAAATTAGAGAACTAGAAAATTGCTTAACACACCTTTCAACGGCATAATCAGTGATCCTGTGCAGCCATGTTCAAAGATGCACTGAATTCAGAGAGCAGCCCTAGTGCAGAGCAATGGCACTCAGTGGTGTCAGGGCCTCCCAGGCCTCAAGGACCCTGAAATTCCTCTCACCGGAAGTTGGCACCCTGTGGATTCTGCATCTTTGTGATCTTTACTTTCAAAAACAATCTGCCATTATCTGCCCACCTCAGACAGCCTGCTTCGTTTTCACCTGGGCTAATATCAGGCACAGGTGTATGATGGGAAAACCTATCTGCTCTCTCTCCCATTTTACCCACCTTTAATGGCACCTTTTCTGCCCTAGGCCACAGTGCTGACATATATGTGTAGGTCAGAAGACAGATAAAGGATTTTTCCCAAAGGCCCACCTCCTGAAGTACTACCTGTCTTCAGGGATCAACTCAGCATCACTTCCTCTAGGAGACCTTGCCTAACCCACACAGGTTTTTTTGTGCACCGTCTGCTGCTTCTCTGGCACCATGTCCATGACTGTGATAACTCACCACCTTATGTGTTACCTGTGTGAAGCTCAAAACAGTATGTTGAATGGGAAAAAATAGTCAGTAAAAAAGTAAATATTGTATTCTTTCATTTAAGTGAAGTTGAAGACAACGCAAAAAAAAAAAAAAAAAAAAAAAAAAAAAACACCGTATCTATAGTGGTTGTCTTTAGTGAGAGAATTTGACTAAAAAGACCACACAGAAAATTTTGAGGATGATAAAAATGTTTTGTATCTCAATTTCAATAATGATATATGGGTGCATATATTTGTCAGAAGTCATTGAACTTAAGGTCTGTGCATGTAAATTATTTCTCAATAAAGCAAAAGATTTTGAAGATTACTGTTTTATAAGAACTATGCACTTCAAGAAGTAATGCTATGAGCATTTTTCCTTGGGAGATGGAAAACTTCAGGTATGTTCTATTTGAGAAACCACCTCATAGGAGAGAATATATGGCATTATACCTAGCATAATGACAGTGCAAAATATAAGCCCTTTTAAAAATGACAAACCATCAGTCATTTGAGGAATCAAAGAGGAAAAAGTGTTGTTCCAAGCCCTCATTAAAATTTCACTTTTGCTTACCTGTCATAATAGGTCTTAAATCAATTCTCTGATTACGAATTGCCTGTTGTAATATTGTCTATTAATTTTAGCCTCTGTTTCAGAAGAGTAGAGAAAAATATTTTAACTCAAAGAAGGAATCAGGGAAATGTGATTGCAAGCCAAGGTGAACAAAGGCATTTTATGAAGCCAGAGTGATTGGTAAGTGTTCTGAGATCTAAGAATTAAGAGCTATGCCACTTGTGCCTGGTTGCTCAATAAGAAAATGCTTTCATTTTTGACAATTTGCAAAAAGACTTCGACTGGCAACAGCAGTCCATAAATGTATTCAAAATATATATCTTACATAGGCTTGTAGGACTCAAGCCAATGTTTCTCAGCTCTTTATTACTGGACACCCCTCTCAGTGAATATTGCAGATTCCGAAGCTCCTTCATTTGTGCGTGCGCACACACACACACACACACACACATTTATCTTTCACCCACTGAGTGGGTTTTGGAGTCATGTTTCATCTTCCATTTATTAGTCCCATGACTTTGAGCAAGTTACTTAACCTCTCTGCTTTCCAGTTTCCTCATCTGTAAAATAGAATAATAACAGAATATACCTCAGAATTCCTTAAAGGTTAAATATGATTATGTATTTAGAATAGAATCTAGCTAAAAGTAAATCTTAGTGAATGCTAGAAGGAAAGCAGCAATTCAGTGGAGATTTAGAAATGAAAGAGACTTTAGATATTATCAATTTATAAATGAGAACACTAATGTTTAGAAAGGCAAATTGACTCCCTAAAATTACACAGATATTTGATGGCAGAGCTGGTACTAGAACATAAATTTTCTGACTCCCAAAACAATACTCTTTCCAATACTCCTAGTCTTTTCTCCTCTGCCCCCCAGCTTTTGCTATGCCAGGCACCCATGAATAAGAAGATATGGTGATGAACAGAATTAAGAGACCCATATTCTACTCCCAGACTGATGCCTCCTTCAACTTCTTATTTCTCTTTTATGAAATGAAGGGATTGGAACCATATGATTGCAAAGATTCTGATCAGTAATAGCAGCATTCTATGATCCTACTGACAAATCTAAGTTCTGCACCATTTTTATGGGTGAAGAGTGAGACAGGAATCACTTTCACCACCTTCTACAGTCCTCTGCTCTGTCTAATCACTTTGTGAAGTTGTCCAGTCTTGCGCTCACCTCCTTGCTATCTCCTGCCCCGATGTTTTCACCTTCTGCCTGGAGCAATGTGGGGAGAATGTAATGAACACAGATGAAGTAGGGAAAGGAGATCTAGGGAAGCATCTCTAGCAGGAGATTAGAGAACTAGTGTGTTCCTCATGCCTGATGGTTCACACAACAGGTATCTAAGTTAAAGAGCAACCAGTAGTTCCATAAGGGCATGGATCACATTTTGTGGAAATAAGCCACAGAAGAAATCTAAGAAATTATTTTAATTCTGTTTCTAGAACAAAGTATATCTTTATCATTAGAAGGGTGCTCATTTACAGTAATACATGAGTTCTATAAGAACAACAAAGGGTCAGGCATGGTGGCTCATGCCTGTAGTCCCAGCACTTTGGGAGGCTGAGGCAGATGGATGGCTTGAGCCTAGGCATTTGAGACCAGCCTGGGCAACATGGCAAAACTCTATCTCTACAAAAATACAAAAAATTAGCCAGACATCATGGTGCACACCTGTTGTGCCAGCTGCTTGGAAAGCTGAGGCGGTAAACTCACTTGAGCCTGGGAGGTCAAGTCTTGGGAAAAAAAAATACAGGATGTGGTAAGCATATCTATCCCCCAGGTTAAAGGAAGCATGAAGGTGAGCTAGACCACTGTGATTAGATAAAGAAAGCAGACTCAGTGGCCTCTACACCTGCTTTTGCATAACGTGAGACAGACCCAGATGCACAGAGAGCTCTGAAATGTCATGAAGGAAGCAGATGAAGAAGACAGTACAGGACAGAGGTAAAATGAACAGGATGGGATCACACTTGTTCTTCAGGTAGAACTGGGAACACGAAATGGTTGCCTATTTGGTCCCTCAGTTTCTTTTCCTATAAACCCCTCTTAAGCCCATCATGTCAAAGGGCAGAGCCAGAGAAGCTAATCCACACAGGTAGAAACAACTAGTTGAACAGTTCATCAAACATGAAGTCAAAGTCTGGACACTGAGTAGTCCTACCCTTCACCCAAAAAGGGGACAATGCAGGGATCCACCTCATATGATGAACAGAGGAAAGAAATAAGGATGCTTGACTTAGAGAAGAGATCCATCTGGGGCAGAGAAGAAAGTTTCAAATGTGAAGGGATAAGATGTGGTAAAGAAAAGAGGTTGCTTGTCCTTAACTAGAGTGAATATCATTCTCCTCATCCCTGGGCCAGCACTGGCTTATGCCTGTTGACCCAGGACTAGTTTAGCATTTGTCCCATTTGAGGAATTTTTATTAAAGCTGCATTAAAATAAGTCAGGATAGGTTTGGTAGACTTCCACTTTGTACTTCCAGCTTCTGCCATAATTCTTACTTGGCTTTGTGTAAGGCACACAGGGCAGTGAACAGAGATCTAACTTTAACACATGGTTTAAAACGAAAAGATGATCAACAATCCATCTCTCTTTTCCCAGCCCTTTTCAGAGCAACGTGATTAATAGCTCACTTTCAAGAACAGCATGCAGGGTGCATGCTTGCCCACATGACAAAAGATACTCAGATACAAGCCCACATGACAAAAGATACTCAGATCCAAGCACTCGCGAACTTCCAGTGTCGGGTGGTAGGAGACTACTCATCATTCCTCCCTCTGCTGGCGATTTCATGAATAAGCCAGGTGGACCAGCCTGTGTGAAATGCCTAAATGCATAGAGACGCCAGGCTCCCAGCTAACCATTGAGAGGGAAATGTGGGAAATTACATTACATATCAGAGTACAGTCTGAACAGTTTCACCATAGAATGTATCATAGAAAGTAGTCTGAAAGCTCTTACCAAAGTGATTTTGTCATTTATAATATGGTGTTCAGTAATTTTTTTATTTTGTAATAAACTCTTCAGCTGCAATGATCTTTTTAAAAGTGCCTATTAATAAAAAATTAAGTATTGAATTTCTACGTCTCAAGAACATTTGTTAAGACTTACTTACCATCCACCATGAGGGCCATCGTGATATCACTGACCACATGAAAACCTGAAGACAAACCTAAGAAGCATCCTCATCTACTTCAAAAGTTAATTATTTTAAGACGACTATGCCCAGAGATGAAGATTTAGCACTTTCAGCTGCAGAACATGTGTTTATGTATTATTCTGTGAGGCATGACTTTTTATTTATATCAAATGACTGTTCTTCTAAATAAATTTCACTTACTTTTTATTCCAAATATTTCTGTGCATATACAAAAGGTAAAGTGAAAGCTGTGTGGAGTGACTCCATAAGCAGAAAAAAACTTCAAAAGTTGAAACTGTCAGTTTTATGTCATTGTCATTACTGAAGTTTCAAATACAATATCAGTTAATTCCAAAAATAGCTCCAGTATTTCCAGTATTTCTGTCTATCTCATGAAAAAATTCAACAGTGAAACTAAAAACTTTTGTAGTAGACATAGGATTTTTGGAGTACAGTGCTATGGTAAAAGCAATATTCTTACTAAGTTAAATCAGACCAGACATGGTAGCTCAAGCTTATAATTTCAGCACTTTGGGAGGCCAAGGCAGAAGGATTGCTTGAGGCCAAGAGTTCAAGACCAGCCAGGGTAACAGAGTGAGATGTCTCTACCAAAAGAAAAAATTGTTTTAAAAACCAACTGAAAAGGAAATAGTAGTGATGATTCTATGGCATAATAATTGTATGACACTTTAACAATTGCCTTATATCTGCGTCCCAGAAAAATGGGTCAATAGGTCAACAGTAGTGAGAAGTGTGAAAATAAGTATGTGAAAATGCTGTGAAAACAGTCAAGGGCAACACAGATGCAAGCTATCATTATTAATAAATTGAAGCATATATTTACATTTTTAGTATATCCTATATTTGATCATTGGCTATGCAAATCACTGTTTTATATACTCTAAGATTTTGGTCTTCTGTGTTCAGGTTTTCAGATTTCTGTTTCTTAGGCTGGGCACACTTTAATTTGTGTTAACTTGCATTTAGTCCTTCCACAGAAGCATGTTTTACCCCCCAAAACAGCTCATATGAATGTTAAGGTAAGGGTCCCATCTCGCATTTTCCTGTTCAGCCCTCACAGTGTTTAGATCAATGTTTAGCAACTCAGAGGTCTCAGGAGACAAGACTGGCATCATAAAAATACTTTCTTCCACATTTGGTAACAATAAAGTCTCAAATCTTTAGCACATTTTTTTCTCATAAAGAGTAAGCTCCATTCTGTGAGCCTTCCCTGCTACCTCCTATTATTCCCCCATGAAGTGAAATGTTACTATGACCAGGATTCAACAAACAAAACTAACATGGCTCAAATCCTTAAAACCCTAAGAATACTTCTCAATATAATAGAATTCAGATCCACTGGTGTGCCCAGCAGCTTTTGATCCCAAGGAAGATAAAATGTGTGCCTTACTATCTAATTCTTTTTCACTCCCTTCAATTGCAGTGGGATCCTTTTATCATTATTTTAATGTTTCTTTGCCTAAATGGCTGAAAGCCTTCATTCCGTGCTCTTGAGAGCTGATCCGAATCACACCCACAGAGCATATTGTGTGAACTTGCAATTATTTCCTGTGAATGCTCTGTAAATGTGTTGAAATCAAGCATGAACATTTCCAGCCAAACTGCAAAAATTTTTTTCAGGACCTTTGCAACATCCCAAGCTCTGAAAACAAAGAGGGTTAATGGTAGTTTGTAACACAAAAATTGCAGATGCTCAATTTACAGAGGCAAAGGTTTCTGTTTCCACATTCATAGTTTTAATGTTTAAATAGTAAACCATAAATAGTATTTGAGCAATCACCAGTCCTATTCCATTTCTGGACAACTGTTACAAAAGAAAACTTCCATAACAATTGTAAGGACAAAGGGGCTCACCACTGTCTCCTGATACACATAATGGGAAAAATATTTGTGAAACCATTACTGATGTATGGTGAGGGTTCCCTGGCAGTCATTTCATCATTACGCTGTGGTGGGAGGGAAAGTACATGCCACCGCAAGAAGAAGGAGAGTATAGGGTCAAGAAAGTTCCGACCAGACAGGAAGAGAAAATGGAAGCCCTTCGTGTTTCAAACCCCAGTGGAATATGGGGAGGAGAGAGAAGCAATAACAGATAAAATACTCATGATTTCACTTATCGCCTCTGAAGCGAAACCCTGGGAGGAAAAGACACGGTAGAAGCATCCAGGTAGATATGGGCGAGCACATGAGTTAGTGGGATTTGTACTGGCAAGCTCCCCTCGGCATAGTTTGGGGAGCCTGCAAGGCACAAGAGTAAACATACCCAGGGCCTCATCCCAAATAGCATGGGAACAAAAGTTCAGACTGGTAGAGAGAGGAGGCTAAACAGAAGGGCCCTGGCAGCGCTCCTGGCTTCCCAAGGCCCAGGAAGGTTCACAAGAGATCTGGGACCTCCTGTCCGCCCTGGATCAGGTGTTCCAGGACAGGAGGGCCTGTGGAGGATTGCAATCAGGATAAAACGGTTACAGCATCCAAGAACTGCATGGCCAGAGGCAAAAGCATGAACTCGGTGCTAGGTACCTGATCTCCAAGTAGCCAGATAGGCCCATCTCCAACAGCAGCTCAGGGAACAGACTAGTTCAGCTATCACGCAGTAAAGACCAGTGAGGATGCAAAGGGCCCCGCATGCATCGGAAACTCCCGTGTCTACCCTGCTAACGTGAGGTCACACATGCCCCACACCCTGATCTATCCAGGGGCCATCCTAGAGGGGGAGGGGCATGAGGTGGAAATATAAACGACTAAACACTTACCCAAAAGAAACTAAGTCATCCGAGAGCGACTATTTAAATCCCAAGGTTCTGGAATAGCGTTAATTGGCAAGTTTAAAGTTGGTTTCCGCGTCTTTCCCTAACTACTACCATCCAGGAGAGTGCGGTCGGTAAGGAAGATCGCGTAAGTTTTAAGAAACAAACTCTATTTCCTTTGCACATCTGTGTGAGACATGTGAGTGTGTCCTACCACTACCCACAGTCCTGAGTGTTCCTTTGCCACGCCCTGATTCTAAGATGATTGATTTTATTTCAAATGCTTTTTTTCGATCCCAGGTTAAGGTTTCTTTTCTTTTGCTGGGTCTCATCTCATCGAGATGCACCTGAGAAAAAAAATTGAGAGCTGGAAAAAGATGGCCAAACAATGTCCACACTGCCCTAGGAGAACCAGTGGGGTGGTGTTTCCACACCGTGGGGTCCCGGGGCTGTGCTGACTTGAGAACTGGCAGAGGGAGGAAGTGCGTGCGCGGTTCCACCTGATGACGTCAAGCGTCCTGAGACCTCCTCAGAAGCATTCATGACCAGACTAGGAGACAGCAGGGCGTCTAAATGTTAGGGAAGTACCCCATATATCCCCATTCTCTGGGTCCTAAGTGAAACACATACTCCCTTCCAAATCTGTGAAGCCTAGTGATAGGTGGTTAAGGCAAACCACTCCTACACACAAACACGCACACACACAGCGATCACGTGTTAAACAGCTCCTGTTCCCACCGCCGCCATCGCACGCTATCACCAAAGCAACGAGGCAAATCCATCCCCTCCACCGGTCCTAGGGCAGAAACTCCTACTTGAGACCCCCACATTGTCCCTTTGTGAGTTATTTGCCTTCGTTTAAGCTTGCCCTTAATGTTCTATTAACTCTTCAAACCGTTTTTGGAAAGAGAAAGTGAATGAATACATTTATTTTATTTTTATGAGAATAAAACCACTCCAATTGCTCTGGGAAAGGAGGAAGAGGGCATAACTCTGCCTTTTCCAGGCGGGCTAGGGCCCTGCTGGAGAGGACCCTATGACTTGCCTTCTCTGTTCTTTAGCCTGCTTGAGGCAAAGTTGACTCCCACTCACAATTTGATTTGCTTTCATCTGTCCAAGGCCTGCTGTTGTTTCAGATTTAATCGTTCAGCCTGAGACTCCATTCCGTATAGTGATCTCAAAGACCTCTGCCTCCTTCTTCTAATTAGTCTTACTCCAATTGCAGAAGCCAACTTATATTTTCCTTCTGCATTCTTTTCTGGGCAGCATGCCCAAGGTTAAAGAACACACACAGTTGTACTCTGGCTTGATCTTTAAAAGTGCTTGTTCTTTCTTCCCTTCTGCCTTGTAAAATGTCTCCTTTCTCTCACAGCTCAGACAATAGTCAGCACCTGGGAGGTCTCTTATTAAAAATCAAAAAGAAAAGCATTCTTCTCCCAAATAATTTTCTTCCTCCTTGAGACCTGGTGCCCGTTGGATGATAAGTCCAGGACACATTGATTATATTTCCCAGAGTTCTTTCCTCTATTTCTACTTCTAGAAATTTAAAAAAAAAACAGCTATGCTCTATCAATATTTAATGATAGCAATTATCTTGAACTGGCAAAAGTGCCTTCCATTATATAAGGTAGAAGGACAGCATTTGTATAGTCCTTGTATAAAGATTCTTGTTCCATTACATCTACTAGGGGGAACAATGTAATAAATAATTAACTAACTAAAATTGTTGCAATGAATAATAACATGGTCAGGAAGGACTTCCATCAATATACAAAGTCAATCCTGTGAGGATGCCACCACCAGTAATCATACACACCCTCCACTCCTCTTCACTCCTGATGCAGGCCCAAAGGACCCGTTTCCATCCTGATTGCATCTTGAACTTGCAGCAATGTTAAAAAATGAGGCCTGAGCAAGGAAAAATGTTTTCTACAGGGAAATTTTGGCTACAGGCAGAGCCCTGCCCTCGGCCTAGTATTGCACCGTTGGTTACAGGTGCTGTGAGCTCAGGCCTCTCACCTGACTTCTACAGGGCTCTTCCCAAGGACTGACCACGGGGCTTCCACCAACACAGAATAAGCTAAGTTTTCATATGAAAAATAGATTGAACACTTATGTCTTGCTAAATACTTCTAGAACTCTAACCTATCACGTAAATTCATAAAAATTATTGATTAAAAACGTGAGAAGCTGCCATCTTAGCACCACAGCTGACTAGTTGTGCCATCTGGGCCACAGGGGTACTGCAGCCACTGCCTGGCCTCTCAACACTTTGTCCCACGTGTCTGATGTCTGCTACCATCATTGCAGCTTCCTCCCTGAAAAGCACAGCTCTCCCTGAAAGGGGAGTAAAGAAGACTGTATTAGTCTGTTCTCACACTGCTAATAAAGACATACCAGAGACTGGGTAATTTCTGAAGGAAAGAGGTTTAATGGACTCTCAGTTCCACATGGCTGAGGAGGCCTCACAAACATAGTGGAAGGCAAATAAGAAGCAATGTCATATCTTATATGGCAGCAGGCAAGAGAGCGTTTGCAGGGGAACCCCCCTTTACAAACCATCAGATCTCACTATCACAAGAACAGCACAGGGAAAACCCGCCCCCATGATTCAATTACCTCCCACCAGGTCCCTCCCATGATGTGGGAATTATGGGAGCTACAATTCAAGATGAGATTTGGGTGGGAATACAGCCAAACTATATCAAAGACTAAGGCTCTGCTACACCAGGCTGTCATATCTCACCTGTTATCACCTCTTCCTGAACATGAAGGAAAAGTAGATGAATAATAACAAGAAAGGAGATCCCTGAGGATTTCTTCCAGCTTCATCCTAAAACTGAAGTCCAGCACCTTACGTGCTTTGTACTGGGTTTATCATGTATTTTCTAATCGAAGAAATTTCTGTGGTTATTTTGATGACTTTCTCTACCGCAGTAACATTTTGTTGCTCATCGATGTAGCTGAAAAAATAGGGATCCTATCTAGAATTCACTGATAAAATCAGTCAGCAACAATTCACCTAGCTAGCAGAGTGACACAAGCTTCAATCAAACACATCCAGGATTTAGTCATTTTGGAAAAGACAGCAGGCCTTGCTTCAGATGCTCACTGTTTGATGTCCATAAGAAAAATATTTCTCCTGTTCTTGAAGGATTCTTGCCAAAAATGGCTGCATAATAAAGAATACAAGAAAGCACAGAATTGCCTGAGCTACCAGAACTCGGTGCAGAATATGACGTACCAAAAGGAACAGAATCACATGGCCAATGGGTAGAGCAAAAATGCATTGTCTCAGCTTGGCAGGAAAGAAGACAAATGACAAGAGCAATTCAGATTTAAAGCTGCAAACAAAGAAGGTTCTGTAAATGCATCTCAGCCTACCCAAGACAGCAGGAAGTAGTTTGTGGACTAATTAGAAACTAGACTGTATGACAATAAAATCTTTCTCTGTATAATGTTGTATAATGTTGGGACTGAAACTAAACTTTAACTTTCCTAAAAATGAAAATGTAGACCTTGACAATACTTACTCAAGTGTCTCTCCTACCCCTCCTCACTCTATATTTTTTGTTTTTTCCATGATTACTTATGAATAAATTGATTTTAACTAAATTTCTTGTTATTAAAGATTTTCAAGTTATAATTTAAATTTGTAACCCAATCTGCCATCTTGAAAATAAGGAATAACTGAATTGAGGTTTACAAAATTCAAAGAAAGAAGGAAAGGAAAGAGAATGGAAGCAATTCACTTGCACAAAAGTAGGGGAATTAGGTCATCTAAATAATGGAATGTTGTAGGGCCATTATAAATCATTTTCACAAGAAAGACCCCAAAGATGTCAGGGGAAATGTTCATGATATATTAAGTGAAACAAAAACATTATAATACAAATTTTCTAAAAAGAAAACAACTTAGCCTGGGTTAAAATATCCCCAATGTTAACTTTTTTTCTTGAACATATGTTACGGAAATGTTTAACATCTTTATATTTGTCTGTATTTTCTACAATGCATACATGTAACTTTTATATTCAAAACAAAAGATGGTATTTTTAAAAGAGTACAATCATAGAGAGTTGGTCAAGGATTGAAGCATATAAACAGATCAAAGAGACAAACATTGAAAGTGACCTTCCAGGTGCCATCTGGGGTGAAATGGCCTCAGCTTAAGAGCTTGCCTGTCTGGTACTAGGGAACACCACAGCAGACTATCACGACCTGAGGTTATTAAGGATTCAGATTATAACAAACTCTCCATTTTTTGGTTCATTCTTTACTTCATTGCTAGAAAGTTCATTGTAGGTTCAGTTGTATCTGACTTGATTAAAATGGGTAAATTTATAACCTATAATTAATTATCTTCTACCCCAGCCATGTTTTATGATTTCTGCAATGATTAAAATAGGCTTTACAAGCATAGAAGTTTAGTCTTGTAACAAGACAATTTGATAGCAGGACAGTCCTTATCTCTTTATATTACATGGAAGAAAAACCCAGTGAAGAAAATTGACCCTATGGTAGAGGACAGTAATTATAATCAAATTTCAATCTTCCTCAAAAATCTTCATCTCACTTAATTATTGCACTACCCAAAACTCTTTGGTTTACCAAGTCACAAATCAAATTTAATAGCACACAGAAACTAAGTAATATAGGTCCAATAGATGGTTTGCTAGTTTCCCTTTAATTTAAGATGATGTCCTTCTTAGAAGAGATTCATGTTTTTAATTGTATGTTTTATTTCTCCAAGAGGGAGCTTATATTGTCTCTACAAACAGCTTACCTGTTGGCAATAACAGTGTTCAAGTGTGCTATACAGTAGCCTTCCAGTTGTAGTTTTCAAGGTGCTAGAGACAACTGTTAAGTATGTTTTACACGAGGAAGGAGAGTGTTGGCTAATGCAGTAGGTCAATTAGGTAGGGAGGTTTAAGAATGCTTCCACTGTACTTATCCTGTAGCACTTACATACTGTAATTACCCATTAGGGTATGTGGCTAAGAGAGTGCACTCTGACATCTGAGTTCAAAACCTGGCTTTGCTACTTCCAAGTCACATAACTTTAGACAAGTTATATAACAGCTCTGTGTCTCAGTTTCTTCATCTGGAAAATAATCATAATAACAGAATCTACCTCGAAGTTATTAGGAGAATTAAGTGAGATAGTTCATTTGTATCAGTTGGAGGGGTTCCTAGTGTGTAGGAATTCTTCAATAAATATTTATTATTGTTATAATTACTGTTGGTGGTGGTGATGTTTCCTCCATAATGGCAGGGACTTGATCTCATTCAACACTGTGTGGCTACTTAGGTGGAAAACCAGAAATGGACTAAACTCTTACCTACCATTTTGAATGTAATGCTCTTCAAAATTCCTCATTTCTTTTGCCACAATTAGTGGGGGGCAATTAGTAATTCAGGCCCCTAAGTCTGGCTTGTTTAAATGCAGTTCCAGCACAGCTGTGTGGCAAGGGCTTCACTACAGTTAGCCACCTGCATAGAGGTCAGCTTTCATATTTAAAATCCACCTGCCCCCAAAAGCAAGTTTCAATATGCAACAGCAGCAGCTTCACACACTGAGGAATGAGCTGTATGCACTTCCTTCAAATCACTAATAAATAGCCCCTGCATTGTTTGGGGTTCATGAACAACAGGTTACACTTTACAACACATGACAGTGAGCTTCACTGGAGTGAGGCTTGAATGTGGACCGTAGAACTACATAGTGGTCATTCAGACAGTAAAACCACTGATTTCCAAGGAAGTGGGATTCTTTACACAGATTTCCAGACCTCTTCGAAGGGCAGAAAACTCCTGGTAATGTAGTCAGAATCCTTATTTAAATGAAGTCATCTTCTGAAACCTTGTAAGATTGTCCATTTTGAATTCAAAATCCTTCACTTACAGGTTTTCTCCCCAAAGTTTACTTTAAATATTTAAAAAATCCATCCCATTTTCCTCTTGAATGCCATGATAAAATTGAGAGTTTTCTCTAAACTTCCTAATAGAGTTGAAAGCTTTTGTCAACTAGTGGCCAGGACTATGACATGCTGAGTATTGAATCGTGGGATTATTTGAACTATTTGTCCTCAGCATCTTTGTCACAGATAGGTATAAGTGGGGCAGGAGGGCTCTCCCACCCACTAGGAATGACTGATGGTTCTGCAATTATCACATTGCCTCTCTAAAAGTGATAAATTGGCAGCCAGCATCAGGAAGAGGCCATTTCCTGATGGTCTACACCTGTTGCACTAAAATGTTAATTGAATGCAGATGCCAGTGAGAAGCAACTTCCTGGGCATGTGCATTAAGAGACAAAATGGCAGACTAGACCTTCCAGGGGCAGTTCACCGGAAAAGGGAAGAACGCCTCAGATGGGCAAGTGTACAACTTCCTAAACACATTGTACATGTTCACTTGCCAAGGGTAAGGAGGGCACTGTGCATGCAAGCAGCCCATGCTAAGGGAAGAATCACGGGAAAAAGGCCAGCCTGTAAAGTGCTGAATCATGGTTAAACATCATGCTTTTATTCAAGGTGACCACTTGGCCTTTTTAAATAAACTTTCACTCCTGCTCTGAAACTTGCTTCAGTCTCTTTTTCTGCTTTATGTCCCTCAGTTGAATTCTTTCTTCTGAGGAGACAAGAATTGAGGTTGCTATAGACCCGTATGGATTTGCCACTGATAACTAAGCATGCCTTCCACCGGTAACATCTCTGCCCAGAAATTGTCCCCGACACCCTACTCCTCTCCAAAGCACCGACATTTCCCCATTGTCTGACATTTGCAGCCTGCGAGGCTTAGCATTCCTCTCAATATTTATCTGTGTTTTCCCAGTGCCTAATAGAAACCTCATTCATTAAACAAAAGCTTTATGAGCACCTCCAACTGAACAGGTACTGGAACAGGTGCTGGTGATAAGGCACTGAACAAGACAGACTCGGTTCCCATTCTCATGAAACTTTCATTCAATAGGGAGAAATAGATGAATAAACATACAAACTCAATTTCACCTGGTAAAAGATCAATAAAAAAATTGTATTAGTTCATTCTCACACTGCTATAAAGCAATACCCAAAACTGGGTAATTTATAAAGGAAAGAGGTATAATTGACTCACAGTTCCACATGGCTGCTGAGGCCTCAGGAAACTTACAATCATGGAGGAAAGGGAAGCAAGGACCTTCTTCACATGGTGGCAGGAGATAGAATTGAAAGCAGGGGAAATGCCAGATGCCTATAAAACCATCAGCTCTCATGAGAACGAACTCACTATCATGAGAACAGCATGGGGGAAGCCACCCCCATGATTCAGTTACCTACCTCCCTCCACATGTGGGGATTACAATTTAAGATAAGATTTGGGTGGGGACCCAGAGCCAAACCATATCATTTCATCCCTGCCCCCTCCCAAATCTCATGCCTTTTCAACAGTCCCCCAAAGTCTTAACTCTTTCCAGCATTAACCCAAAAGTCCAAGTCCAAAGTCTCATCTGAGACAGAGCAAGCCCCTTCCACCTAGAAGCCCGTAAAATCAAAAGTAAGTTAGTTACTTCCAAGATACAAATGGGGGTACAGGCATTGGATAAATGCTCCCATTCCACATGGGAGAAACTGGCCAAAACAAAGGCGCTAAAGGCCTCATGCAAGTCTGAAATCCAACAGGGCAGTCATTAAATCTTAAAGCTCCAAAATAATCTCCTTTGACTCCATGTCTCACATCCAGGGTGCACTGATGGAAAAGGTGGGCTCCCACGGCCTTTGGTAAAAATAAAGGAAAGTAATGGAATGGAATGGAATGGGGCTGAATACTTAAAGTGGGTGAACAGGGAAGGTCCCACTGACGAAGTGAGATTTAAGCACAAACCTCACACAAAGCTGCCAAAAAGAGTGCAAGGGAGGAGCACATCAGGAAGAGGGCTTCAAGTTAAAAAGGCCTGAGGCAGAAGCAAGTCCGGATTGTGAGAGGAACCAGGAGGAAGCCAGCCTAGCTGGAATCTAGGAAGAAGAGTGCCAGATGACATTAGGGAGGTTGGCTGAGGCCAAATCATGCAAGATCTTGTGAGAAGGAAGTTTGGATCTTTTAAATGTGAATAGGAAAATACTAAAGGATGCAGTATTACAGCCTGAAGAAGCTACCATTAGATCTATAAGATTTTATAAGATTTTAGAAGGATGATCTCTCCTTCAGTAGGAGGGCATTGAAGAGTCATGGTCTCTATTATTTTACTTCAAGCCAACCCCAGCACTGGGGTTTTCTATCAGACACAGCTCCCCAGGATCATGAATCAGAGGCACATGGATTAGTTTTTCTGTACTCATTTTTCACCGAAAATGTTTCTGCTTTCTCTTTACCCTTTGAAGATACTACAAATTTTAATTATGGTTAAGGGAGAGCCTAACAAAGGCCCATTTGCCCAACTACCTACTCAGCATCTCTGTGGGTACCTCAGACTCAACCACAACCCACTCCCACCTGCTCCTATCTGAAACCCAGTTCTCCTCTAGTGTTGCCAACCTGCGGAAAAAACACCCTACATCTCTAGTTTCACAAGCCAAGTATTGGGGAATTATCTACACCTTGCACTCTTTCACCCCTGTATCCAATCCTCACCAAGTTCTCCTCAAAGTGTCTCAACTCCATTTTCTTCTCTCAATCTCAACTAACGCTGAGATCCCTGATTCAAACCACCATCATACAGCAAGAATCTCTGAACTGGCCTTCTTCCAATCACTTTTGTTCTCCACAATATGTTGCATGCAACCTGAGTTACATTAAAGATGCTTAAAGCTCTGCAATGGCTTCTCATTATGCTTAGAACAACCCCAAATCTGGTCTACAAGGTTCCAAGTAGCCAGGCCCTTGTCATTCTCTCCAGACTCATTTGTGTAACTGTGTTCCAGCCCTCCTGGCCCCTACCAATTCCTCAAGTGCATCTGCTTTCTTTCATCTCATGACTCTGGCCATGTTCTTCCCTCCACTCCCCATCTTTCTTTCACCTGATTAACACTTTTTTATATATATCTTGCCACAAACATCACTTGCTTAGGAAAACCTTCTTTGGTTTCCCTATTTTACACCTTCATTATATCAGTACCTTTTCTTTATATCATTTACTGTAGTTTATGTAAACAAAATGTGACTCTACTCTCATGAAGCTTTAAAGATGAAGACGGACATGTAGCAAAGGGCAGGAAATGAGAAGCACATGGATAACAGAAGTAGCCAAAGAGAGATTAAGTCCCCAAAGGAGATGGAGGCAAAGTTAGAAATGTGGTCTAAGTCCCCAACTTTTATCTATCCCTTGCTTAATCTCCTAAAGGGTTTTATTTTATATCCAACTCAACATTTCAGCTTTCCAAAATGAAGATCTAATTATTTGATCTATTATCTATTAACCTATATATTGGGCCAAAGTATTAAGAAGTGAAATGGGAAAAATTAAATGCTTTCCTTTTTAAATGTAAGCCAATATTCTCATTCTTTTCCCACCCAATGCTGTTTGAAATGCCTTCAGAAGATCTGGATGCCAGAGCTCACTTTGCCCCTAACTTGCTGTGGGTGTTAGCTCAGGTGGCCATAACAAAATGCCATAGACTGGGTGGCTTAAACAACGGAAATTTATTTTTTCACAGTACTGGAGGCTGGAAGTCTGAGGTCAGCGTGCCAGCATAGTCTGGGGAGGGCTCTCTTCCTGGATTGTTGATGGCCACCTTCTCACCGTGTGCTCACATGGCAGAAAGAGACAAAGAGTGCTCTGGTGTCTCTTCTTCTAACTACACAATTCTATCATATCAGGGCTCTGCTCTTACACCTTCATTTAACTTAAATTACCTCTTGGTAGGCCCTATCTCTAAATACTGCCACATTGTGGGGTAGGGCTTCAACGTGGTTTTTTGGGAGACACAATTCAGTCCATAGCTCTGTGTGACCTTGATCAACCCCCTTCACTAACCTGGATTGCATTCACATCGAGGTTCAACAACTGCAGCCCACCAGCCAAATCCAGCCTGCCTCCTGTTTTTGTACATAAAGTTGTATTGGAACACAGCCGCATCCAGTTATTTACATATTGTCTACGCTGCTTTTGTGCTACAACAGCAGAGTTGAATAGTTGCAGCATGATCTAATGGCCCCCAAAGCCTAAAATATTTACTATCTGGCCCTTTACAGAAAAAGTTTGCTGACCCTAGACTTAAATGATCCCTTAGGACTCTTCTAGCTCTAACATGCTAGGATCCTATTCGTGCCTTCAGCCTGAAACATTTTTTAGTTCAAGTCTTCAAGTTCTGCAAAGGCATTAGTAATCTAATGATTATTTCAATAAGTATTAAATGCTTACATCGACAGAGATGTTTTCATTAATCTCACGTTGTAGCTAACCTCTGCAATGTTATTAAGGGAGCTTAAGTAGACAGAACAAGTCCTTCCATGTAGTAAATGCATTTTAAATCTCTATAGCCAAATGCATTCTCATTAAATCATTATTTTAGGGGCTCTATTGAGTGCCTAATGTAGCAAGAAAAAACAGAGAGCTAGAAGTGCACCAGCCTCATTGGTTTCCCCTCTCTGCACTTGTATAGCCCCTCTAATCTGCACCACACAATTTGACACACAGATATGTGCCATTTCAATTGCTGGCTAGTTATGTCGTTTGCAATAGGCTTGTACCCCAAGGCAGTTATCACCTTGGGATCAGGGATCATGCTTTTTAAATTAAAAAAGCGTAGAATTAAAGATGTGGGAGAGACAATAGTAATCATAATTCAATCTTCCTGTTTCACAAATGAATAAACTGAGATCCAGACCAAACAAATAACTTGTCTTATTTATCTTTAAGTGCCATGGTACATTACAATGACTTGGCTCAGAAGTGTTCACGGGCAGGTGTGGTGGTTCAGTCTGTAATCCCAGCATTTTGGAAGGCCGAAACTCGAGGATCGCTTCAAAGCAGGAGTTCAAGACCAGCCTAAGCAACAGAGCAAGACCCTGTCTCTATCAAAAAGAAAAAAAAATAAAATTTAGCCAGGCATGGTGGCATGTGCCTATAGTCCCAGAGAGTTGGAAGGCTAAGGCAGGAGGATCACTTTAGCCCAAGAGTTCTAGATTGCAGTTGAGCTAGGATCCTGCCACTGCACTCCAGCCTGGGTGACAGAGAAAAACCTTTTCTCTATAAGAAAAAAAAAAAAAAAGAACTTCTGTTTGGTAAGGACTTGAAGAAAGAAATTAGAAAAGAAAACTGGGAAGAAAAGGAAGTTTCCTGTGTCCTGATTTTGTTACAGTAGGTAGCTAGTCAGGTATCTGCAGAAAAGGAGAGGGCTCCCCACACACACATGCCAGGAATGTTGGATGACAATCAGGTGATGGTCAGGCTGTGGTTAACTGTTTCTCTAAAATAATAATTGCTCACAGCCGGCACCAGGGAAAGGCAGGCTCCTACTAGATAGAAAACACCTGAAACTGACCAGCAGCTTTCCAATAAGATCTCAGGAGTAGGTGAGAAGTAAGGCAAGATCCCGGAAGTATGCCAATATATATAAAACCCCAAGTCAAGAGGTCAAACTGTGCACTTGGTTCCTCAAGTCGTCTGCTTGACCCTCTTCCAAGTTGTACTTTCCTTCTTTTCTTTCCTTCCTTTTGTTACTGTTCTAAAGCTTTTCAATAAACTTTCACTCCTGCTCTGAAGCCTGCCTCGGTCTCTCCTGCCTTATACCCCTCAGTTGAATTCTTTCTTCTGAGGGGGCGAAGAGCTGAAGTTGCTGCAGACCTATAAGAATTCGCGGCTGGTAACTTGGAGTAACTCGGAATAACTCGGATCTTTTCCACCGCTAGCGTTTGAGAGGCTTTAAGTGGAGTGTTCTAGAAAACAATCTAAAGTCTACACCACTTTCATGTGTCTCTAACACATGGTTTCTTAACATGCACTCCATGAAGCACTGAACATGGTTCTGTATTAAACAAGTTTGGAAAGGGCTAATACTGTGCACCCATCTTAAACACATATTTTTCATAGAACACCTATTAACATTCTGAGAAGAATGAAACAAGTGTTTCTCAGGACTCACTTTAGAAAAAATTCTTTCTAGTCCCAGGCATATTCTACCTAAGAATATTTCCCAAAACAATTTTTCATGTTTGCCCATGCATTTCTCATGTTTGCCCATGCATTTCTCCCACTGCGTGCCACGAATCTGAGAGGGAAAGAACCTACGGTATTTTTCTCTTCGTAAAACCTCTCCACACTGAGCTCCTATCCTTCCCTTCATGATGAGTAACCTGCCTCCTGGACGCACCAGGTGCAAACTCCAGACCACCCAGGAATCCATCCTTGCTTGGAGCTTTCTCTTTGAGAGTGGCAGGTGGAAGAGAATGGATAGGAAGAGGTCACGAAATCTGCACTGTCATTATTGGTAACGGTTGAAAACTGATGGATTTTTCCCTAGGGAATTCCTCCTCTCCATTTTAATGATATTCATAGAACAGAGAGAATTATGCAAGCAATTTTTTTAGTCATTTTACTCCTTGGCATCTCTTTTAGAGATAATAAGTTGTAGACCTAATTTCTTAATGAATTGTATTTACAATCATCTGTAAGCCTACTTGTCTGATACAAGTATCAAGGAGAAATGGTTTGGAAAGACTAACTCATTTCTTAACCTAAGCTGACCATTTTTAGCTGACTGATACTTCTAATTTCATCTACTTCCCATCTCTCATCATTTAGCAACCCAATGTACAAAGTCTAAATACAATTATTCTTCTGGCTTCTTATTATAGAAATGGGATCTTCACTCCCCCACCTCAGCCAACACACACATAACCAGGCCTGGTGCTCAGCTAGAAATCCTGTGTGACAGGGCTAAGCTCCGCATTAAGCAGCAGCAGGGGTGAGTGCTCTCACTTCTTCCACCCTTTTTCACTTTCATAGGACCTAAAGAAAATGATAACATTTGTCTGATACACTGAAAATAAACAGAGAACATTATTTATGACGTTATTAATAACTACTCTGGCAATTCAGCCACCTCCAGGGTTAAGAGGAAACTCAATACCTTGGCACACCTAGAACCAACTCAGGGCATATTTTTAAATCCCTGGGACAAATTGGAGAGCTTTGGCAAACCAGTTTGGAGGTTCTATGCCAAACCCTGTGTCTCTCAGAGTATGCAACTGACACTCATCTCAGCAGTTCTCAGCCCTGACTATGTTCATTGGCAGTGCTGTAACAAAGTACCACAGACTACGTGGCTTAAACCACAGAAGTTATCTCACAGCTCTGGAGGCTACAAGTCCGAAATGAGGTTGCCAGTATGGTCAGGTTTTGGTGAGAGCTCTCTTCCTGGCTTGCACATGGCTGCCTTCACACTGTTCTCAGCTAGTGGAGAGTGCTGTGATCTCTCTTCCTCTTCTTTTAAGCATCCTTGGCTTTCAAAAAATACTGATGGACAGACCCTGCACCTTTGCATATTAAAGCTGCCTAACTTCTATACCCCATAGAAAACCAAGGCAGAACTCAGAGCAGCCAGCTGTTCTGTGTGAGGCAGCCTCCCGGCTGTGGACCCTGAAATGTGGCTCCAGTTTCTGACTTGAACTCCATTCCCCATATCTTTCTGTGTTAGTCCATTTTCACACTGCTTATAAAGACATACTTGAGACTGGGTAATTTATAAAGAAAAAGAGGTTTAATGGACGCATGTGGCCAATTGCACATGGCATGGGAGGCCTCACAATCATGGCAGAAGGCAAAAGCACATCTTATGTGGCGGCAGGCAAGAGAAAATGAGAGCCAAGTGAAAGAGGAAACCCCTTATAAAACCATCAGATCTTGTGAGACTTATTCACTACCATGAGAATAGTATGGGGAAAACTGCCCCATGATTCAATTATCTTCCACTGGGTCCCTCCCACAACATGTGGGAATTATGGGAGCTACAATTCAAGATGAGATTTGGGTGGGGACACAACCAAACCATATCACTCTCCTCCTGGGAGACTAAACAGGGCCTGTGTGGCTATCCCCTGCATCCACCCACATCTCTGTCCTCGCACAGTCACACCCCTCAACTTATACAAGGACTTCTCAGATGCACTCAGCACTGCCACAGCCCCTGCTTATGTCCCGGGCTCTCTCTGGGGATCCAAGCCTATGCTTTCCACAAGTTCGATCCCTCCTACCCATCTGACCTAGACCTCTCACCTGTCATCATCTAACAAGCAAGCATACATTAAGCCTAAACAGAATCACTCTGTCCTTCTCTTCTTTAGGTCTTACTTTCTAACCCTCTGCTTCTGTGATTCCTTCAAAGTGATTCTTTTCTTGGAAAATGAGAATGCCAAAGCTACTTAAAACCTCAAATCAGGCCCAGGCCAGCATTTACTAAAGCCAAACGTGAACCTTCCCTATGACCTGGCAATTGCATCCCTGAGTATTTACCCAAGAGAAATGAGTACATATGTCCACCAAAAGATACACAAAAGAATGTTCATAACCATGATAGCCAAAAGCTAGAAACAACCCAAAAGCTGATAGACTGGTAAATAGGTAAATAGATCATTGTATGTTCACACAAAGGAACACTAACAGCAATTTTTAAAAGAAAGCACTATTAATACATACAACAGCAGGATTGCATTCAGTGAACAAAGCCAGGCCCAAAAGCAAATGCACTGTATGATTACATTTGTATAAAGTTCAAGAGAAATGGAGTAAAAACTGCCTGGAAAGAGGCAAATTTCCTGTTTGCCTCTTGAGTAGGGTGCTGACCATGTGGGTATCTTCACATCGTCCAAGGAATTAATTCATCTTCATCCAAGGAATTAGTTCACCTTCATGGTGTGTCAAAAGACTTATTCTTTTGTATGTGTTCTTAAAAATCTGTACTCTGAACCATAGGTCCCAAAAGTCATTGATATGTCCTAGAATGTTAGAAATTAGTGGTCAACCTTATTTTACAGATTAAGAATGTGAGACTTAGAGAAGTTTGTTAGCTTGCCCAAGGTTAAATGGTTAATTATGGGCAAAACTGGGTATAGGAATCAGCTCTCCTGAGTCCCACTCTGATGCTTTTTCTTTTATGTCATTCTGTCACAACAAATGTATGATAAAATAATATTTTATCTTCTCAGAAATGGAGGGAAATATTCAAGAAAGACAAAGTGAGAAAAACTGGGAGCTCAGTTAAACCAGTGGATAATTTCCCACTCTCTAGTGACAGGTGAACTCTTTCAACTCAGGACAGTACACTGAATAGATTTTCAATCCCACATATTAAATGGAAGTGAAACATTGATGTTCTTCCAAAAAAGAGAGTAATTTTTTTCTTCTCAAAATGGCCACAATAATATCTTTTCAATTAAAGGTAGAATCCACTCAACTGGCCCCCTGCTAAAGAGCAAATTGATTTAATAAAGACAGGAAAATATCAGAATAATCATAGATGTCAAGTGATAAAAGTAAAAAATTAATGGATTACTATGTTGAGAGAAGAAAAGGTCTACTTAGGAGCTACATGTAACTTAGTCTTCAGGTTTGGTGACAAGGCTAATGAAGAAAGTCCATGTTTTAAAACACTCCTCAGAGACTCCAACTGCTGGCCAAGATTAGATAGCAGAGACCAGATTTACCTTCCCACTTAAAATAACTCCAAAAATTGACAAGAATGTGGAATTAAATTTTTTAAGACATGGGACATAAGGCAACAAAGGACACTGGTCACTGAAAGAAGACATTGAGATGAAACATATGATTGCTCCAACTCACTGCCTGAAAGAGTTTCCAGGCCCCAGCACTGGGATGGGGAATCTGAACAGAGCCTAGCAGACTCCCTTAAATAAGCAGACAGAGCTAGACATGTGGGAAGACTGAGGCAGCTGGAGTTTGAGGGACAGAGCATTGGAAGGGAGAGTGATGCAGAGAGACATAATTCCAGATATCTGCAATTGGTCCCCCCCTAGTACTCAGCTGAGTACTGATCATTGTATGTGTGTGAAGAAACTGCCTGGGTTGCCAGGGAAAGATCACCTGAAAGGATTAAAGGTAACTGTGTCTGGAACTTACACATGGTGGGATTGGTGCCTATTTTTACCAGCCAGACAGAAAAACCTTATGATTCTCAGGGCACTGGGTAACACAGAAGGGACTTTCATCAACAGTGTGGAATAGTTAGCCCTAGACTAAATACTTCTCCATACCTGAAAACAAGCCTTAAAAGCAAGACCAAAAAATACCAAATGTTTTCAAGTAACTTAACTTTGCCAATAAACAAAACTCAAGAATATTAATAAGAATAAAAAGATATCCAGCACCCAACAAGGAAAAAGTCACAATATTTTCTTTCCCGTGAAAAAAAATTACCAGACAGGAAAAGAACTAGGAAAATACAACCAAAAATGAAGAAAAAGAACAATCCATCAAAACCAAGCCAAAATTGACATATATGTTAGAATTAGCTGACAAGGCATTTAAAAGTTATTATAACTGTATTCCATATGTTCAAAACGTTAAGTAGAGAAGTGAAGATCTGAAAAGATTCAAACTGAATGTCTATAGATGTGTATTGCAATGTCTGAGATGAAAAATGCACTGGATGAAATTAATGGCAAATTAGACATCACAGAAGAAAAGGTTTAGTGAGCTTGAAAACAACTAAATAGAAACTATCCAGAATCAAACACAGAGAGAAAAGTGAATTTTAAAATATGAACACAGCATCAGTGAGCTGTGGGAAAGTTTCAAGTGGAATCCCTCAGTGGAGAAGCTAGAGGAAAAAAAATTTGAAGAAATAGTAGACAAAATTTTTTCAAACCTGATAAAAACTACAGACCACTGCGGTGATTAATTTTAGGTGTCAAATTGAGTGGGATAAGGATTGTCCAGACAGCTGGTAGAACACTATTTCTTGGTGTATCTGTGAGGGTGTTTCCAAAAGAGGTTAACATTTGAATCAGTAGAGTAAGTAAAGATCACCCTCACCAATGAGGCTGGGCATCATCCTATCTGTTAAGGACCTGAATAGAACAAAAAGCAAAGAAAGATGAATTTGCTATCTCCTTCACTGGGACATCCATCTTCTCCTGCCCTCAGAGAGCAGTGCTCTTGTTTCTCAGGCCTTCAGACCCAGACTGGGACTTACACCATTGTCTCCCCCAGTTCTTGAGCCTTTGGACTTGGACTGGGACTTACACCACTGGCTCCTTGGGTTCTCAGGCTTTGGGATTTGAATTGGAAGTATACCACGGGCTTTCCTAGGCCTCCAGCTTGCAGGTGGTAAATTGCAGAACTTCTCAGCCCCGATAATCACTTGAGTCAGTCTCTCATAATACTTCTCTTTCGATAAATCTATATAGAACCTTTGGTTCTTTTTCTCTGGAGAACCCTGATTAATATAGAGTGTGGTACTGAGAATAGTTCAAGAAAAACAGAATTTTAAGGATGAGTTTTCTAAGTTAGTTCTAGGATTTCTGTAATTGGCTGTCTAATCTGCTTAGATTTAAAGATGCTAATGATGCTATTTCCAGTAGTAAAGAGAGCACTGATAGTCCATAGTGTGAACTGCTTATAAAAACATGCAAAGTATCTGCAATTGGAAACTCTAATCAACCACTTTTAAGAAGCAAGTAACTAGGTGACCCTGTATATATTTTTAAACATTTTTTTAAAATTAATGAATACAGTGATGTTGGTTGATTGCTCCTAATGTTGCTGGACAAAATGGTGAGTGAAAAGGATGAGCTCAGGGATTTGAATTCCTAGGTCGATCTCTGTATAAATGACCTAAGACCTTCTATATGTGCCGTGAGGGAGTCCCTTATCTCCTATAGACACAGGATTGAAATTGCTGAAAATCAAATGCAGAACCTGATCCTGTGATAGGCTGAATTGCAATGCCAGTTAAACTCCTATCCTTGCAGGGTGACTACTGTTAAAGTGGGGGCATTGGTTTGGAAGGAACTGGATCTATAGTTGTGATGGGGATGTGTGGGAAGAACCTGATGAAGCTGAAGACATTGAGCTCCTAAATGCTGATGAGTCTTTACCAGTGAAATTGGCCTCACCACTCCCAGCAGAAGTGGCCTTCTCAAACTCAGTGGCAGCACACACCCCCACCCAGTGGCAGGGTCTCTCCACTCCAGTGGTATTGGCCTCTCTTCCCCCACTGTATCAGTCTTTCCACCTCAATGTGAGGGGATTAACCCTTCATTGCCTGAGGAAATGGTAATGGCTTCCCCCAGGGCAGTTGCCATGGAAGAATGCAAGACAATGTTGATTCTCCTCAGGACCCACCCCCACCACCCCACCTTTGCTTCTAGACCTATAACTAGACTCAAGCAGGTCCCTAAAGGTGAGGTACCAGTATGACCCATGAGGAGGTTTGCCACACTACAAAAGAACTACTTGAGTTTTCCAATTCATATGAGCAGAAATCTGGGGAACTTGTGTGGGAATGGATATTAGGGGGGTAGGATAATGGTGAAAGTAACATAATAGACTGTCAACCTGAAATAACAAACAGAGAAAGGCTCTCTAAAAGAAAATGATATTTATTCAGGAATAGAACATTGCAATGTGAATACATGAGCCATAATAAACTATGTGTGTGTTCAGGGAGGTAAAGGAAGACAAAGGTTTTTAAAGGAAAAATGAAAAGGATTACATAAGTGTTTTGATATGATTATACTTGGTTACCAGGATCAATAACAAGGGGTAACATCAGTCCAAGGTTGGGCAGGCAGTGGCTGGACAGATGTTCTTATAGAAGTATTTTTTGTGTAATGTCATGGTAGCCTTTGTGCAAGGTTGCACTTTTCGCAGAGCCTTTTTGATAGTTTTTGCTATTGGGCATTTGTACATGAGAACCCTTCTCTTCATGGGCTTCTCCATGCTATTTGTCAGAGTTGTTTTTATTTCATTTTGTTTTGTTTTATTTTGTCTTGTAACATAAGTGAATCCATTCTGAATATGACAACTTTCATAAGTTATATCAGGCCAAAGTTATTGATATGGTCCCACTAAGCAAAGAGTCTACATTTAATGTTGGACCTCTGAGGGCTAGAAATGGCGCTAACATTTTGGTTGGTTGGCTGAAATATGGATCAGAAGATGGCCCACAGTGAGCAAACTAGAAATGCTGGACATGCCTTGGTTTAACATAGAGGAAGGGATTCAAAGCTTAGGCAGACTGGAATGTTATAGCAGAACTATCATTTAAGATATACTCAGCCATACTCAGAGGATTCAGAAGACATGACTTTCACCACTACTGTGAGAAATAAATTTATGAGAGGAGCCCAACATCTTCGAAGATCTCTGTGATTACTCTTCTCTGTAGGACAGAACTTACAGTGGGAACTGGAATCACTAAATCTGGAAAACTAAATGCATACAGTAATTATATCCTGGGGTGGCCGGAGCTAAGTGGCAGGACTTAACCACCAAGTCAAGGTGAGTGTTGTTACCATAATGGACAGCAGAGTTGAAGCAGCAATCAGAATAGTCTGATTCACACAGAATGTGACATTGTCTAGTTGATCATCGTGTTCCCAGAAGTGAAGTAGATAGGAACTCTACTAAATTCTCGTTTGATCTGTATTAGCAGAAAATTTCTAGGCTAAGTGAATAGAAGTCTAATTCAAATAATAAAAACTGAGTGTCAGGGCCCCTCAATCAATTCTCAGACTTGAGCCAGTTTACAGACCCAGAACCTCTTGAAGGTAGAGGACACCAGGCCCCTTGAAGAAAGACCTTAGAATACTACAAAAAATTTATTCTGTTAATCTTTCTCCAAGCCTTTCCCAAAAGAACATAGGACCCTTTACCTGGGTGACTGTGCATTTGGGGAAAAGAAATAATCAGACCTTTTGGGGACTACTGGACACTGGCTCTGAACTGACACTAATTCCAGGAAACTCAAAACTTTACTCAAAAGCCCACCAGTCAGAGTAGAGGCTTGTGAAGGGTCAGGTGGTCAATAGAGTTCTAGCTCAGGTCCATCTCACAGTGGGTTCAGTGGATCCTTGAACCCATCCTGTGGTTATTTCCCCAGTTCCAGAATGCATAATTGAAATAGCCAGAGCCACTGGAAGAATCCCCACGTTGATTTCTTGACCTGTAGAGTGAGTGCTATTATGATGAGAAAAGCCAAGTGGAAGCCATTAGAACTGCATCTACCTAGAAAGTAAATTATACTATACTACATTCCTAGAGGGATTTCAGAGGTTAATGCCACTACAAGGACTTGAAAATTGCAGGGGTGTTGTTTCCCACCACATCCCCATTCAACTTTCCTATTTGACTTGTAGAGAAGACAGGTGCTTGAAAATGTCAGTGGATTATTGTAAGCTTAACCAGGTGGTGACACTAATTGTAGCTGCTGTACCAGATGTTTAATTGCTTGAGCAAATTAACATATCCCCCGGTACCTGATATGTAGCTACTGGTCTTGCAAACGCCCTTTCTCCATTCTTGTCCATAAAGCCTACCGGAAGCAGTTTGCTTTCAGCTGACAAGCCCAGCAATACACCTTCACTGTCCTGCCTCAAGGGCATATAGTTCTTCAGCCCCATGTCATAATTTACTTCACAGGGATATTGATCACTTTCTCTTCCACAAGATATCACACTGGTTCATTACATTGATCACATGATGCTGATTGGACCTAGTGAGAAATAAGTAGCAAATATTCCAGACTTATTGGTAAGACATTTGTGTGTCATAAGGTGGGAAATAAATCCAACTAAAATTTATGGGCCTTCTCTCTCAGTCACATTTCTATAGGAGTCCAGAGGTGTCAGGCATGTCACGATATCCCTTCTAAGGTAAAGGATAAATTGTTGCACGTGGTCCCTCCTACAACCAAGAAAGAGGAAAAACACCTAGTAGGTATCTTTGGATTTTGGAGGCAACATATCCCTCACTTGGGTGTGTTACTCTGGCCCATTTAACCAAATTACCCAAAGAACTGCTAGTTTTGAGCAGAGCCCAGAACAAGAAAAGACTCTGTAATAGGTCTAGGCTTCTATGCAGGCTGCTGTGCTACTTAGGCCATATGATCTACAGATCCAGTGGTGCTTGCAGAATCAGTGGCAGATAGGGATGTTATTTTGAGACTTTGGAAGGGCCCTATAGGTGAATCACAGATCATGCTTTTAGAATTTTAGAGCAAGACCCTACCATCATCCATAGATAACAACTGTCCTTCTAAGGAACAGCCCTTGGTCTGCTACTGGGCCTGAGTAGAGACTGAACACTTGACATGAGCCATCAAGTTACCATGTGACCTGAGCTGCCCATCATGAATTGAGTATTATCTGACCTACCAAGCCATAAAAATAGGCATGCATAGGAACACTCAGTCATCAAATGGAAATGGCACATAAGTGATCAGCCTCAAGCAAGCCTTAATGGCACAAAAATGTTGCATGAAAAAGTGGCCTAAATGCTTATGGTCCCCACTCCTGTCTCTCTCTCTCCCACCTGCACTTATGGCGTCATAAGGGGTTCCCTACAATCAGTTAACAGAGAAAGAGAAGACAGTCCTATCTTACAGATTGTTCTGCACGATATGCAGGCACCGCTCAAAAGCGGACAGCCACAGCACTACAGCCACTTTCTGGGATACCCCTGAAGAATGGTAGTGAAGGGAAATCCTCCCAGTGGGCAGAAATCTGGGCAGTACACCTTGTTGTGCACTTTGCTTGAAATGACAGTGAATTGCTGTAAGCTTGAACTTACAATAAATGGACTAATATGCAATTGTATACCAATTAGTGGTCTGTAGCCAGTGATTTGGCTGGATGGTCAGAGACTTAGAAAAAATGTGATTGGAAAACTGGTCACAAAGATTTGAGGGAAGAGGTACGTGGATACACCTTTCTGAATGCATAAAAAATATAAAGATATCTGTGACCCATGTGAATGCTCACCCAAGTGTGACCTCAGCAGAGGAGAATTTTCATAATCAAGTGGATAGAATGGCCCATTCTGTGGATAGCAATCAGCTTCTTTTCCCATCCACCCTTGTCCTCACCCAATGAGCTCATAAACAAAGTAGCCATGATGGCAGGGATGGAGGTTATGTGTGGAGATAGCAAAATGGACTTCAGAATAGAAATGAGGACTAAAATTGCCATGAGTCTTTTCTCCTTATTTTGTTATGAATACGTATATGTACATAAAATACCTTTGTTTTATTCCATTATTCCCTTACCATGTAACAACATAAGATGTATTGACTATAAAATACCTTTGTTTTATTCCATTATTCCCTTACCATGTAACAACATAAGATGTATTGACTATAAAATACCTTTGTTTTATTCCATTATTCCCTTACCATGTAACAACATAAGATGTATTGACTATATGGAATAATATTTAAGTATAGTTAATTTTATATCACAGTATTTAAGTTATGAGATACCAGGGAAAGAGTAACCGTCACTCAAAGACTACCTCCTCTTCTGGGAAAGAGTTAGGGCATTTTCAGTTGTACACAGGGCAGTTGTATCATATTTGGTGTAACTATGACCTTGTCTGTTATTGCATGCATTTGGAGATTAAGTATGATTTTAAAAATGTGTATGTATGGGTGCCAAGTTAACAATGGGTAGGCTTATATGTGTCAACTTGACTACACATGAGGTGCCCAGATATTTGGTTAAACATAATTTTGTGGGTGTCTTTTAGGGTGTTTTAGATGAGATTGACATTCAAATTAGTAAACTAAGTAAAGAAAATTTCCCTTCCTAATTTGGATGGGCCTCATTCAATCAGTTGAAGGCCTGGCTTAAAAAAAAAGGGACCATCCTCTCCTCCTTCAAGTAAAGGGGAGCTCCTCCTGCCTGGCTGCCCTGAATTGGAACTTTGGTATTTTCCTGCCTTCAGACACAAACAGAAACATCAGCTCTTGTTAGGTCTCAAGTTTGCCAGCATTTGGACTGGAACTATACCATCAGTTCTCCCAGGTCTCCAGCTTACTGATTGCAAATCTTGGAACTTGTCAGCCTCCATAGTCTTGTGAGCCAATTCCTTATAATAAATCTCCAAGTTATCTGGGGAACCCTGATTAATACAACTACTCAAGGAAAAAAAAAGGAATGAACTATTGATAAACTCTATGACATGAAGGAATCTCAAAATAATTATTCTGAGTGAAAAAATCCAGACCCCCCCCCCAAAAAAGAGTACACACTCTATGATTCCATTTCTGTAAAATTCTAGAAAATGCAAACTAATCTATAGTGACAGAATGCAGATCAGTAGCTTCCTGGAAGGGAAGAAAGAAACAGTTTGGAAGAATTACAAAGAGCATGGGCACTTCTAGGGGTAGGAATATGGTCACTATCTTAATTTTAGTGATGGATTCCTTGGTATATACATATGTCAAGACTTACCAAACCGTATACTTCAAAATAATGCAGTTTATTATATATATGCAGTTTATTTATTATATGCAGTTTATTATATATCAATTATATCTAAATAGTTTTTATCAATTAATTAATAAACAAACTCCCCATGATGTTACCCTCTGCTTCCTGAATCATACAATTGAGACTCCCTATTTCTAATAAACATGTTTAACATAAACACAACTTAGAAATATTATGGTTTTTTGGCCAGGCACAGTGGTTCATCCCTGTAATCCCAGCACTTTGGGATGCCGAGGAGGGCAGATCACCTAAGGTCAGGAGTTCGAAACCAGCCTGGCCAACATGGTGAAACCCCACCTCTACTTAAAAAATACAAAAATTAGCTGGGTGTGGTGGCAGGCCCCTGTAATCCCAGCTACTCCGGAGGCTGAGGCAGGAGAATCGCTTGAACCCAGGAGGTGGAGGTTTCAGTGAGCCGAGGTCGTGCCACTGCACTCCACCCTGGGCAGCAGAGCAAGAGGAAAGAAAGAAAGAAAGAAAAGAAAAGAAAAGAAAAGAAAAGAAAAGAAAGAAAGAAAGAAAGAAAGAAAGAAAGAAAGAAAGAAAGAAAGAAAGAAAGAAAGAAGAGAGAGAGAGAGAAAGAAAGAAAGAAAAGAAAAGAGAGACAGAAAGAAAGAAAGAAAGAAAGGAGAGAGAGAGAGAAAGGAAGGAGAGAGAGAGAGAAAGGAAGGAAGGAAGGAAAGAAGGAAAAGAAAGAGCAAGAAAGAGAGAGGGAGGAAGGAAGAAAGGAAAGGAAGGGAGGGAGGGAGAGAGGAAGGAAGGAAGGAAAAGAAAGAGCAAGAAAGAGAGAAAGAGAGAGAGGGAGGGAGGGAGGGAGGGAGGAAGAAAGGAAAGGGAGAGAGGAAGGATGGAAGGAAGGAAGGAAAAGAAAAGAAAGAGAGAGAGAAAGAGAGGAAGAAAAAGAGGGAGAAAGAAAGGAGAAAGAAAAGAAAAGGAAGGAAGGAAGGAGAGAGAAAGAAAGAAAGAAATGTTATGTGGTTTTTTTTACTGTTATCATCTTAAATACACCAAAACTGAGATCTATTTATACGATGCATCCAGAGAGAACCTGTGACCACCTAACCAATTTCTAATGAGCTCCTTTCATTTGAGAAAGCCAATTAATTGAATTCTACTGAAGACTTGCTGAGCTCACAGCTTAACAATCTATTTCTCTCTGGCAGAGAACTGGAATGGTGCCCATGTGGCCTAATATCCTACCATGCCTTTCTCTTCCAGAAGATTTATTTAAAATCTCACAGCTTCTCAGGCAAGAGAATGTTAATTCACCAACCAGGAAATACTCCACACTCCAGCAGGACCAGAGACCATCTGAGACCAGAGATAACATCACTGTCTGTGTCTGAGTCACACTCACCAGTCCTGGCAACCCATACCTATTTTGTACACAAGAGGCAGATGGCCATATGGCAGAGAGAGTCTGTAAATTACCATCTTTGAGACTAAAAAGATGAATGATGACAAAACTGCTGACATTTCACTCACCTAAAATGATCATTTCCAGTGAGTAAGAAATGAATACCTTGCAGTACATATATATGTTTACGCAGTTTAATGTTTTCTATCCTTTCAAAGCATTCAAGATTAAAGTTTTTTCATTTACACATTTTCCTGAAGTTTGACTACTTAGCACTTTTTGTGAAAACAATTGAGGTGATGCTTTTAAGTTTAAATATTTACAAAATTAAGTGCTTTCTTAGTTTCTTGCTGGCAATTTTCAATTTACCAATGAGTTCTCAAACTCCAAAAGGTTTTTTGGTCAATCAGCAGTTTGTAATTGGGAATGTATTTGCCCAATGCTCTAGAGCTAGAGAAGCAAGAGAAAACAATACTCTCATTTATTGACTCATTCAGCAAATATGACTATATTTATTTATATTTTATATATTTATATAAAACTGAAGCCCTTGGGGATTCACAGGGTACAGGAATTGCTTCTGTCCATGAAGAGTTATTATTCCAGTAGGGAAGATAGGGATATGCAAAAATTATAGTAATAATAACTATAGATACATAGGTAATATAAATTTGGTATATGGTAAGTACTGTGAATATCATTTAGATGGACATTTCTTAAAATTTGGTCCATGAGCCAGTAACACCCCAAATCCCCTAGAACTTGTTTAAAATGCAGATCCTTGGGCCCCCCCATAGATGTCCAGAATACAGATTTCTGGGGGTTATTAGTATGAGCACCTACATCTAAGAAAAATGATGTAAGTGGTATATGCAATGTACCATAGAATTAAGCTGTTACGGTGAGAGAAGTGTTTAGAAATTCAGTATTAACAAATAAGATTTTGTTAGGTAAAAATTGGAAGTCAAAGTATTCCATACAGTGATTCTATGTTTTAGAATGATGAGATAAGGACCTCCAAAAACGTGCTCTTCCCATAAAAGTAATGAGAATACTAGAAAAATGATCAAAATCAACTTTCTAAGAGCTCTAGAAATTAGTCAAAGGCTTGTAACAATCCAAAAAGTGTTTATTCAAGAAAAGTGGTTGAATCTTATTAAGAACAAGGAGGTTTGTCATTTTTTTAATGTACCCACGTCTCATTCCCCCCAACCCCTGCTCTTCAGTAGCCTTGAAAACCAGCAGCCTCACAATCACAATAGTGATGAAAACCAGCCACCTAGCACCTACTGGAAGGAACAGAATATTTTAGGATTGTCCAAAAGTCACATCCCACTGTTTGACCTGTCTAGAAGTTCCCTGGAAACCCCCACTTCCAAGGCTTATCTTTATTTGACCTGACTCAGAGATCATTAAGTGAAAATAGCCCTTCCCCTTGCAACATCAATCAAAAATAATCAGTGGCAATTGTTTAGCATTATAGCTGCCATAGGTGACAATAACAAGACAAATAAAAGGCTGAAAAAAAACTTAAAAGGAAAATCTAGGAAATCCGATGTCCCTTTAAAGTGGTAGACTTCAACGCCCCAGTGGCAGTATTAGAAAGATCATTGAGGCAGAAAATTAACTAAGATATTTAGGACCTGAACTCAACATTGGACTAAATGGATCTGATATACCTCTACAGAACTCTCCATCCAAAAACAACAGACTATACATTCTTCTCATCACCACATGGCACACACTCTAAAATCAACCACACAATCAGACATAAAATAATCCTAAGCCAATGCAAAAGAACTGAAATCATACCAAACACATTGCATACCAACAGTGCAATGAAAATAGAAATCAAGACTTAAAAAATCACCAAAACCATGTAATTACATGGACATTAAACAACCTGCTCCTGAATGACTTTTGGGTAAATTATGAAATTAAGGCAGAAATCAAGAAGTTCTTTGAAACTAATGAGAACAAAGATACAACATACCAGAATCTCTGGGACACAGCTGAGGCAGTGTTAAGAGGAAACTTTATAGCACTAAATGCCCACATTAAAAAGTTAGAAAGATCTCAAATTAACAACAACCTAACATCACAACTAAAAGAACTAGAGAAGCAAGAGCAAACCAACCCCAAATCTAGCAGAACACAAGAAATAACCAAAATCAGAGCTGAACTGAAGAAGATCAAGACATGAAAAAACATTCAAACGATCAACAAATCCAGGAGTTGGTATTTTGCAAAAAATAATGGAATAGATAGGTCACTAGTTAGACTAATAAGAAAAGAGAGAGGATCCAAATAAACAATCAGAAATGACAAAACCTGGCAGACACACACACACACACACACACACACACACACACACACACACAAAGAAAAACACTCAGGACAATATCGTTGATTAACATCAATGCAAAAATCCTCAACAAAATACTCCCAAACTGAATCTAGCAGCACATCGAAAAGATAATCCACCATGATCAAGTAAACTTCATCCCCAGGATGCAAGGTTGTTTCAATATACAGAAATCAATAAATGTGATTCATCACATAAATAGAACTAAAGACAAAAACCACATGATTATCTCAATAGATGCAGAAAAGGCTTTCAATAAAATTCAACACCCGTTCATGTTAAAAACTCTCAATAAACTAGATATTGAATGAACATACCTCAAAATAATAACAGCCATGTAAGACAAACCCACAGTCAACATCATACTGAATGGGCATAAGCGGCAAGCATTCCTCTTGAAAACCGGCACAAGACAAGGATGCTCTCTCTCACCACAAATATTCAACATAGTATTGGAAGTCCTGGCCAAAGCAATCAGGCAAGAGAAAGAAATAAAGAGCATCCAAATAGGAAGAGAGGAACTCAAACTACCCGTTTGCTGATGACATGATTCTATAGCTAGAAAAACCCCATAGTCTCAGCTCAAAAGCTCCTTCAGCTGATAAACAACTTCAGTAAAGTTTCAGGATACGAAATCAATGTACAAAAATCACTAGCATTCCTATACACCAATAATGGGTAAGCAAAGAGCCAATCAGGAATGCAATCCCATTCACAATTGCCACAAAAAGAATAAAATACCTAGGAACGCAGATAACTAGGGAGGTGAAAGAGCTCTACTATGAGAACTACAAGACACTACTCAAAGAAATCAGAGATGACACAAACAAACAGAAAAAACTTTTCATGCTCATGGATCAGAAGAATCAACATCATTAAAATGGCCATATTGAACACTTATACACTGTTGGTGGGAGTGTAAATCAGTTTGACCATTGTGGAAAGCAAAGTAGAAATTCCTTAAAGAGCTAAAAACAAATCTACTATTTGACCCAGGAATCCCATTACTGGGTATATACCCAAAGGAGTATAATCATTCTACCTTCAAGGCATATGCAGTGAATGTTCACTGCAGCACTATTTACAATAGCAAAGACATGAAATCAACCTAAATGCTGAGGGATAGCAGACTGCATAAAGAAAATGTGATACATATACACCATGGAATACTATGCAGCCATAAAAAAGAGAGAGATTGTGTCTTTTGTAGGAACATGGATGGAACTGGAGGCTATTATCCTTAGCAAACTAATACAGGAGCAGAAAACCAAATACTGCATGTTCTCACTTATAAGTGAGAGCTAAATGATAAGAATTTATGGGCCCAAAGAAGGGAACACTGGGGCCTACTTGAGGGCTGAGGGTGGAGGAGAGAGAGGATCCGAAAAAGCAACTATTGGATGGCAGTCTTAGTACCCGAGTTATAAACTAATCTGTAAAACAAACACTCATGACATGAGTTTATCTATACAGCAAACCTGCACATGTACCCCTGAACCTAAAAGAAAAGTTTAAAAAAAAAAGTACAAAAACTAAAGTGAAAAATTCACTAAAGAGGCTTAATAGTAAATTTGAGCCGGCAGAATAAAGAATCTGTGAACCCGAAGACAGGTCAGTTGAAATTTTCTAGTCTGAGGAAGAGAAATGAAAAATAATATAAATATAAAAACTTTCAGAGACCTATAGAATACCACCAAAAATAGCCATATACTCATAATGAGAATCTCAGAAGGATGCAAGAAAAAGAATGAATATTTAAAGAACTAATGACCAAAAACTTTCCCAATTTGACGAAAAATACATTAATCACATTCAAGAAGCTCAATGAACTTCAAGTAGGACAAACTCAAAGACATTCATATAAAGACACATCATATTCAAACAAAAGCCAAAGTAATCCATGCAGGACAGGAGACAGGAAAGGGTCTATATTAGATATGCATAGAGTTCTAGAACAAGTAGGAGAAGATACAGATAAAAAGTTGGTTGGGATCAGACTACCACAGTAATTCTGGCTTGAAGTGATAAAGGCCTGAACTAAATAGCAGCACTGAAAATCAAAAAGAAGGAATGAAGTAAAACATTATAAAAGCCAAATCAATAGACCTGAAGACTGATGCCATGGACAGTGTGTATGAGAGACATTCGGAAATGACCCAGGTTGTCACATCTCAGGCATTGCAGGATGGCAGCTCCCTCAGAAGCAGAGAATTCAGGAATTGTTGATTAGAAAAGAAAAAAAGAAAAGAGTCTGAGTTAGGATATCTAAAGCTGAAAGCCCTGAACACACAAGTAGAAACCACTAGCAAAGGGTTGGAAATGTGGAACCGAGGAAGATTTGGGAAAAATCGCAGTCCTGGTTTACTCTGGTTGCCCTGGCATCACATCCAGTTTGGCATTTGTCCCAGACAATAGTGTCCCAGTTTGGGCAATAAATTCTATGGCCACCCTATCACTGAGAAAGAAGGTAAAAAGACTAGAGACAAGCCTACAGGACAGAACACCAGGCAATGCCAATGTATGAACAAGAGGAGAAGGAGTAAAGTTCAGTCGTGGGGACAGAAAAGCACACTCAGAGACGTAGGGGAGCATATTCAGAGAAGTGAAGGACAGCCATGACGGGAAAGACACAGTTTCAGGGACGCCATGAGAGAAGAGCCCATCAAGAGGTGGATTATTAAAGATCCACATGTTTTTTTTAATTTTGTGCTTCAAGGAAGTACAAGTTAGAGGATAATAGGGTTTTTTTAATGTTCAGCCTGTTTGTTTATTGAGGGAAAGGAGCTAGCAAAGACGAAGATCAAAGTAAAAGTCAAGGTAATGAAAAGGGCATTGTCTCAGAGCATGTGAGAACAAGAGGAAGGAAAACAGTAAAAACAGGAATTAAAATACCATAGAAATATTAAATAGTTGACTTTGAAAAGTCAAGGAAATTTTCTTAAGAATGGATGAAAGCCAAAAATGTTTGAAGCAGTAACAGATTAGTAACAAAAGAAGAAAACAAAGGTATCGTCACTCCCTGAGAGCAGAAATGGGCCTTATTTATCGAGTGTAGTTATGCCTACCCACTTGGATTCAACTCCCAGTTCTGTTATTTCAAGTAAGTGATTTGATCTCTTTATGCTTCCATTTCCTCATCTGTAAAATGAGGATAATGATGGTATTGTTGTGAAATAAAGTTTACACAAGTAAATGTGCTACAATAAGGTCTTACACATAGTAAGTATTCAATTATTATCTTCATAGTATTGTTTGTAGCTACACTGTCACACATGAGCAATGGAATTCTCTAAATGTTCCATGAACGGATGAACAATGGAGCTCTCTAAATGTTCCATGAATGGATGACGTTAGAATCAAGGTAATAGGCTGGGAGCTAGAATGTGGAAATGTTGTTGAAGAATCATGATAAAAAAGATGAGACTTCTAGAATTCCACAAAATGCAACATTTAAATGATTAATAATTGAAGTCCAGGTTAGTGGGCAGGCTCCTGAAGCCAAAAAGAAGGTAATGGTGACTGGCACATGACAAGAATAAAGAGAAGATTGGGTAGTCCTGAAGGCAAGATTAGAGCAGGATAAATGATTAGTCATCTTCCATATTTCTACAAAATGAAATGCTTTACTTACCCCCCACAGTATCTGGGAGACAACATTAGGACAGGCCATTACAAAAAAAGCATTAGCCAGTTATGTACACACACAAAACCCAGAGAAAGATGCAAAATGTCTTTACTGTCGCCCCTAAGTTCATTCAGTTCACCTGAGATAAGCATCTAAATTCTCTCTCTTTCTCTCTGGACTTCCTCCCTTTTCCCTCCTTCTCTCCTCTACCCTATCTCCTTGGCCTCTTTCTACTTCCTTTCCCTCTTTCTGAGTCCCAGCTCCTCGCAGGAGAGGCAATGTTTCTGGTGAGCAAGCTTCAAGGCTTGTCAATCTTTCTTGAGTTAACATGACCTGCTTCATAGAGCAAGTTTTTTGCTATTCCATTTTAAAAAAGACCCCCTCCATATCTCAGATGAGAGAAGAAGAAATAGAAGATGTGGAGCCCAAAGAAAAGCCTGTTTCACCAGGTAACCATTTTAAGCACAAAGTTTGTCTTAGTCTCTACAATAGTGTCTAAACGTAATAGACCTAATAAAAGCTGGATGGATGAATAAATGAATAAATACAAACTTCAAAGAAAAATAGTACTGATTTGAACAACAAAGACTATTGATATTTGTCTTAGTCTGTTTTCTGCTGCTATAACAGAATACCACAGGCTGGATAATTAATAAACAATAGAAGTTTATTTGGCTCATGGTTCTGGAGGCTGGGGAGCCCAAGATCAAGGGGCTGCATCTGGTGAGGGTCTTGTTATTATCCCATGGCAGAAGGCATCACATGGCAAGAAAGGATGAGAGCGCATGAGACAGAAAGAAAAAGGGAGCCGAACCTCATCCTTTTATCAGGTTCCCACTGCAGCAATACTAACCTATTCTCATGACAACAGTTCCACCCTCATAACCGAATTACCTCTTTAAGGTCCTACCTCTTGATACCATCACAATGGCAATTAAATTTCAACTTGAGTTTTGGAGGGGACATTCAAACCAGAGCAACATTCATGATCCTCTCTTTGAGACTTTTGTTTGCTAACTCACTCTCTGTGTTAGACTGGTTGCATTAAGAGTCTGAATTTTTTGTATCTCTCTATATCCACACCCTTTGAAACTACCTTCCCACATGACTTTGGACTTCACCATGTGATTTGCTTTGGCCAATGAAAAAGCAGCAAACTTGACAAAGCAGACTGTGTTAGATTGTCCTTGCATTGCTATAAAGAACTACCTGAAGTTGGATAACTTATTTTAAAAAGAGGTTTAATTGGCTCATGGTTTTACAGGCTTTACAGAAAGCATGGTGCTAGCATCTGCTTCTAGTGAGGTCCCAGGAAGCTTACAAACATGGTGGAAGGCAACAAGGAGCCAGCATGTCACATGGCAAAAGTGGGAGCAAGAGAAAGAGGGCAAAGGTGCCACACACTCTTAAACAACCAGATCTCACATGAACTGAGCAAGAACTCACTCATCACCACGGAAATGGTGCTAAGCCATTCATGAGGGATCTGCCCCCATGATCCAATCACCTCCCACCAGACCTCTCCTCCAACATTGGGAATTACATTTCAACATAAGATTTGTAGGGGACAAACATCCAAACCATATCCCATCGATGAAAAAGTGAAAAAACACTTGCACATTAACTATCACTAACAAGAATAAGCTTTAGCTAGCCTGTTAGAGGATGTGAAAAACACATGGAGGACAAATGAACTGTCCCTGTCAAGGTCATCCTAGACCTACCGCCACCAGCCTATTCACCAGCTGACCACAGAGATGCAGAGCACAGTCCATCAGCAGAACCTCCCAGGTGATCCTTTAACTCATGAAATATAATAAAGGACTATTATTTTAAACCACAAAGTTTTGGGATATCAAGTAGCAATAGTTAACTAACACACTTTCAAACCCCAAATTCCCATCTGGCTACAGCACTGGACTGACAGCCTTGTCACACCACTTTGGAAGGCGCCATCCCCATCATAATCTGTATGTTGTGCAATGCAGAGCCTGTATAGCCACATGCAGCAGCACTCAGGAGAGCACCAGCATAAGTTAAAAACTCTCTCTCCTGCTTGCCCTTCACCTTTAATTATATAGGGAGGAAGGGAAAAGAAAGTTAAAGGCAGCATGAGCTACCAAGACAAACTGCATATTGCAAAAGGAAACATTTCACTTGACTGAATATTTCCAAACAAGTTTCAACTTCTGAGCATTTTAAACACAAAGAGAGAACAATATAAATAATGTGCATGTGTTTATGTGTACAAATGCATATAAATCTATATACATAGATATGCATTTATATCTATATGGCTCTTAATGAATCATTTCAAGGGACACTTTGAATGTTAAAATGGTGTGAATTTCTACACTCCTATCTGGCTTTCCAGGCACCAGTCCCATCAATCTCTAAACACTGACACCAGGCAGTTCATTGTTTTTCAAATTTACAACATTTTTCAGTCCATTGTTTTTAAACTGTCACCCTCAGTGGGTAGCTGGCACAACTCATTGCTACTCTGAGCTCCCACGGAGCTCATCACCCTAGGACTGATGTGCTAGCAACATTTTCAGTTCACTGATCTCCAGGATGGTAAATACTCTCTGTGTGCTTTCTCTGGTGACATCATTAGTTTTGCCTTCCACCCTTACCCCAAAAAGAAATCATTGCAATTGTGATTGTCCATCCCAAACACAGATAATGAAAATGAGGAGAATTGAAAATAGAACCAATCAGTCTATCCAACCTCTCGGTGGGATGGAAGACTCACTCTCCCCCAGATATCCCAATAGTTTTATGTCATCACTACAGAAATGTCCCTAATATTGCAGACTCTATCTAGTCTCTTGAGAAACTATTCTCTATCTGGTTCTCAACGTAAACAGGCTTATGTGATCGCTAAGCTCCCTTGTTTGTTTTCTGAATTGCATTATGGGCTTCCTTCTTATCTCAGGTAAATGTCCCAAAATGATTTCTTTCAGGGTTCTTAAAGTAATTGCTTGGGATTCAATGAACGTGGAAGTCAAGTCCCACTCTCTGTCTTTGTTGGACATTGGGTGTGATGTAAGGGTAGGGTATACACCTGGAGGAAGGAATTAGAAAACCAGGATCAGCTGACTCCCCTAACCAAGAGTGTGGCTCTGCACAAGTCGCAACCATTTTAGATCTTCATAGTCCTCATCTACAAAATGAAGATTCAGATGATTTCTAAAGCTCGTTTTAGCACTGAAACCTTATTATATTATCCACATGTTCTCCTGATTTTTCCTTTAACTACAGTAGAGTGGTTAGGCTTATTTCAACATTTATGGCATTTCCATTCACTATATTTCCTTATATAAATTGTTTGCCTGTAAAAATGTCATAATATGTTTTTAGTTCTCCATTCCATCTAGGGTTGGAAGGAATGAAAAGTAATCGAGTGATTTAATCACTCAACAAACATTTATTGAGCACTTATTATGTGCCAGGCCCTAAGTAGCAGGCCTGAGAAAATAAAATGAAAGTGATGATAATACTGATGTTCCTAATTATTTCTCTACAAAAACACTGAGTGAAAACCTTGGTCTCAACCTCAAACCAAAGTACACATTTAGTCTATTAAAATGTTTTAATCAACAGATCACTGCATTATACCAGACCTAAGAAGAAGCTAAAACCTTTTGCTAAAATTGTGTTTATACACACAGCCTTCAGTTCATCCTACAGAGATCATGTGAAAGTTGCATTCTGAGAGTTGTTTAAATTAATTAAAATGCCTTGCACTGTGTCTGGTATAGGAGAGAAGAGCTATTATAATCTTTATCTTCCTATCCCTCTTCCTATCTTTTCTTCTCCTTTCCCTAAATCTGCCTTTTCTTTCACTCCTACTATTCCAACTGTACTCAAAAGAAACACTATTGAAGCAGCAGAATTTCTTCATCCCCACTTTCAACAATGGTGAAAGGCAACTGCCTTCTTTGGCTCTAATCCAACTTCTTTCTTAACCCTCTACTGAGTATATGCTTATAACAAAAATGACCTGAAAATCAAGTAGGTGATAGGAAATCTGGTATTGTCCATAGGTTGCTGAGGGATCGTATTTAAAAATTTACAGAAGCCGGCAGCTCAATAACTCACATTGGCAGAAAAATTCTGCATCTGCTATTCACTCCCTGACAAGTTTCTTCAAGATAAAGTCCATTGTGACCATGTATTTACATAACAGATTTTCCTCTGGTTTTTGTTGCTTCAACTAATTAATTTAGAACACAACTCTAATCTCTAGCACCTCTCCCCCAGAGGAACCAGGTCTATTAGAATGAAAACCTTGCTTTTTCAAGTATAATGAGGACTCATTAGTTGTGTTGTATAAGTCATTAGAAAAGATAATTTACCACACAGAAAAAAGAAATAACTCAAATGGCTTTAAGACACAGTATATGGGCCATATTTATTTAATGAGTTATTTTTAAGGGCAAAAAAAAAAAAAAAAAAAAACCTTAAACAATTTAGTAATCTAACTGTTAGTAGTAGTATTGGTATTATTATTTTTAACTATTTATACTTATACATTATATATATGGAAGATAAAGCTATAAAAATATCTTGTTATTAGGAATTAAGATTTTCACTGAAAAGGAAAGAAGCAAATGTATAATTTCGTAAGTTAAGTAAAAACCCTATTAAATTTAAATTGGAATTGGAAATTTCACAATTAACTTATGGGTGTTTTAATACAGATTCCCTAGCTCTTGTCTACTAAAAAGGCTTGAAAGCAATAACAGCTCAGGAATTAGCATGTTCACTGACGAGATTTGGGATTCAAATATTATATACCACTGAAAGGAACCAGGACTCCTTGAAGAAAAAGCTGATTCCCCAGCTAAAAAGGGAAGTGAAGGACCTCTTCAAGGAGAACTACAAACCACTGCTAAAGGAAGTAAGAGAGGACACAAATAAATGGAAAAACATTTCATCCTCATGGATAGGAAGAATCAATATCATGAAAATGGTCATACTGCCAATTTATATATTCAATGCTATTCCCATGAAACTACCATTGACATTCTTCACAGAATTAGAAAAAAACTACTTCAAAATTCATACAGAATCAAAAAAGAGCCCACATAGCCAAGACAATCCTAAGCAAAAAGAACAAAGTTGAAGGCATCATGCTACCTGACTTCAAACTATACTGCAAGGCTACAGTAACCAAAACAGCATGGTACTGGTACCAAAACAGACATATAGACTAATGCAACAGAATGGAGACCTCAGAAATAAGACCACACATCTGCAAGCATCTGATCTTCAACAAACCTGACAAAAACAAGCAATGGGGAAAGGATTGCCTGTGTAATAAATGATGCTGGGAAAATTGGCTAGCCATATGCAGAAAACTGAAACTGGATCCCTTCCTTATACCTTATACAAAAATTAACTCAATATGGATTAAAGACTTAAATGTAAAACCCAAAACCATAAAAACTCTAGAAGAAAACCTAGGTAATACCATTCAGGACATAGGCATGGGCAAAGATTTTATGATGAGATCACCAAAAGTAATTACAACAAAAGCTAAAATTGCCAAAGGGATCCAATTAAACTAAAGAGCTTCTCCACAGCAAAAGAAACTATCATCAGAGTGGACAGGCAACCTACAGAATGGGAGAAAATTTTTGCAATCTACCCATCTGACAAAGGGCTAATACTCAGAATCTACAAGGAACTTAAACAATTTTACAAGAAAAAAAAACCCCATCAAAAAGTGGCCAAAGGATATGAACAGACACTTCTTAAAAGAAGACATTTGAGAAAAGGCTCAATATCACAGATCATTAGAGAAATGAAAACCAAAACCACAATGAGATACCATCTCATGCCAGTCACAATGAGGATCATTATGATCATTAAAAAGTCAAGAAACAACAGATGCTGGCGAGGCTGTGCAGAAATAGGAACGCTTTTACACTGTTGGTGGGAATGTAAATGAGTTCAACCATTGTGGAAGACAGTGTGGTGATTCCTCAAGGATCTAGAACCAGAAATACCATTTGACCCAGCAATACCATTACTGGGTGTATACCCAAAGGAATATAAATCATTCAGTTATAAAGATACATGCACACATACGTTTACTGCAGCACTATTCACAATAGCAAAGACATGGAACCAACCCAAATGCCCATCAATCACAGACTGGATAAAGAAAATGTGGTACATATGGAATACTATGTAGCCATAAAAAGAAATGAAATCATGTCCTTTGCAGGGACATGGATGAAGCTGGAAGCCATCATCCTCAGCAAACTAACACAGGAACAGAAAACTAAACACCACTTGTTCTCACTCATAAGTGGGAGTTGAACACTGAGAACACATGGACACAGGGAGGGGAACAACACACACCAGGGCCTATTGAGGGGGCAGTGGAAGGGAGAGAATCATGACAATAGCTAATGCATGTGGGGCTTAAGACCTAGGTGACAGGTTGAGTAGGTGCAGCAAACCACCATGGCACACGTATACCTATGTAACAAACCTGCACATTCTGCAGAGTATCCCGGAACTTAAAGTAAAGAAAAAAAAAAAAAGAAAAGAAAAAGCTGTTTCCAGGTCTGGGGCATGAAACATACAAGATGAGCTTGGAGCATTTTGTGCTCCAGAAAGTAAGGAAGCTATCAAAGTTTAATGAGACTCTTCAAAAGTGTTTGAAAGCAACTTAAAGGGGCTTCAACTGGCCAGAGATGGAACAATTTGAGCATCAAAATGAATAATGATTGTGATTGGTTGGAATACACTGACTATATAAAAATCCATGATGAATCTTTTTTTAAAAGACAAAAGAAAATCTCTTTAAAGAGAATGAATTTAGAATTCATCTTGCCTTTCTTATTTAAAAAAAAGTATTTCAGAACACCAAATAGTTCTAGTTTAGGTAGAAAAAAACTCTGTAGAAGAATTTCAACTAATAAATGTAGCAAGAATTACTGCATTAAAAAATCACCGTTTTGCAATCCCTAATGAAATAATTGCTTAAGCAACCTTTAATAGTTGCTAAAAACAATTAGATGAAAGGATAACAATAACTGTACCAAAGTGACAAACCACTGATTTGACATAAGCATAAGTAAGTGGTGGCAGTGTGGGGTGGGGGGCTGCAACTTTATTACAGAAGTACGAGATGATCACTCTTAGCATCCCTAAAACTAGAAAGCAGCATGTGCTTCTGATAGGTTGTAATATGGTGTACCCAGCTCTAGCTATGAAGTATCCTTGTTGAAAATGTTGAATCTGAACTTAATCAAGACTCTAGCTCTAACTTCCAATTCATGGGAAATACAAGGGAAAGAAGGATAGGTTAAATGACATCATTTGGAAGCAACCAAACATATCCCAAATGAGAAGTATTCTACACGACAAATGACCCAGTCTTCAACATGTTGATGGCATGTGTTAAAAAGGAGTGGTGGCTGTAAGAGTACCTTTATAAATCAAAAGGAGTCAAGAGACATGGCAATCAAATGTGTGTACCTTATTTGCACTCTGATTAAAACAAACTAACTGTTAAAAAAAAAAAAAGGACACTTTGGAGAAATTCCAAGTATGGGCTGGGTGTTAAATAATATTATAGAAATATTGCTAATACTGTTGGGTTCTACAGTAGTATAGTGATTATGAAGAAAATGTCCTTATTTTTAAAGATGTGTAAATGTATTGAACTATTTAAGCACAAAAAGTATCAGATTTTCCTGGATATGCTTTAAAGTTCTTCAACCAAAAAATAAAAATAAAAACAAGTATGATGACATGTTAATAGGTATTTAAGATGAGCGTGTGGAGCTTCATTATACTATTTTCAACTTCTATTTTCCCATGATAAAAAATGTTCTTCAAATATGAGAAAAACAAAGCCCCTTACCTCCTGGAGAGTATCTCATGATAGCTACAATTATTTTTGGTATAGTGAAATAACTGTTAGTCTTCAGACTCCCTATACAAATGTTTGAAGGCTTAATCCCAAAATGAATATTTTGGTATTATTTATTGTTGATTTTCCCAAATTGGGTGTTAAATTTCTTCCAAAGTCTTCCTCCTCTAAGACCTATATTAGCTGCCACCTGCTCCACTAAATCTATTTATTCATTCATTTAACAAATAGCTATTGGATGATTTAACCTGCTGAATCTGGTCCTAGACACAGGAGATATTGTGGACACACTAAAGACAAGTTCTTGACTCTCTGTGAGCTGACAGTCTACATGACAGAGACAGGTAAATAAGAAATTACAGTGTACAAAGATGCATGCTATAATAGGGGAACTGAAGGGTACCGTAGGAGAGGGATCTGACCAAGTCTGGAAGGGTTAGACTTGTGAACTGAGACTGGAACAGCCAGTAGAAGTGGACCAGGCGTCAGGAGACCAAGAGTAGCCTAGGCAGAGGGAACTGCATGTGCAAAGGGACAGATGTAAAACAGAACATGTCGTGCTCTTGGAATTTGTGATGGTTAATTTTGTGTGTCAACTTGACTGGGCCATAGGATGCCCAGACATTCAACCAAACATTATCATGGGTGTATCTGTGAGGGTGTTTCTGGATGAAATAAACATCTGCATTGGTGGACTGAATAAAGCAGATTACCCTCCCTGATGTGAGTGGGTTTCATTCAATCAAATGAAGACCTGAATAGAACAAAAGTTTGATCAAGAGGGAATTTTGCCAGCCAGACTACTTGAACTGGAACATTGTCTTCTTCTGCCCTTAGATAGAAACTTAACAACCATCTGTCCTAGGTCTCCAGCTTGCCAACTGCAGATCCTGGGACTTCTCAAACTCCATAATTGTGTGAGCCAATTCTTTATTTTATGTGTATATATATATATATATATGTATATGTATACACACACACACACACACATATATGTATATATATATATCCTATTGGTTCTGTTTCTGTGTAGAACCCTAACTAACCTGGAACTGAAAAAAGGTTTAGTAAGGCTAGCCCATGAACTGTATTTTTGGGGATGGGTAAGGCAGAAGGAAGAAGAGAGATGAAGTTGGAAATTTAAGCTGGAGTTCACATACTAAACACTTTGTCACAAAGGGAATGAAAAGTCATGGCAGTATTTTACCATGAGATTGATGTGATCAGATCCACGTTTAAGAAAGACTATGTTAGCTGTTAATGAAGAGTAGACTAGAGTGGGCAAGACGGTAGTCAGGGAGACCAATTAGGAGGTTGCTGCAATACCCCAGCCAATAGGTTCCCTTCATAGCACTCTCATCAAGGCACTTTGAAGCTCCTTTATGGCCTTTATCCTTTCTGCTTGAAGCACAAATATTTGTTCATATGTTTTCTCTCCCATTGTAGAACAAGCTCCTTAAAGATGGGAACCACGTCTCGCCTTAATTACCCCCACATAGCTTAGTAATAATAGTCATCATTCAACACACTATATTCAGGCACTCTGTATACATAACGTCTAATTCTCAGTAACCATACAAGCAAGGTAGCTATTATCTCCATTCAAAAAAAAGTATGCCAAAATTTAGAAATATTAAGTACTGGCTCAGGCCCAGAGAGCTGGTAAATGGTGGAGCTTGAATTCCCACCCCAGTCTGTCCTGCTCCAGTTCTTATATTCTTTCCACCATATCATGCTTTCCTAAACAATGTCTTTTATCTTGTGTATGATCAATAAGTGTGTGTACAATTGAGTTGCAAGATGTTTGAGTCCAATCTTATTAAACCATAGACATGTTCTTATGATGTGTGCTTGTCTACAGATGAATGGGAAAATGTTAGCTACACTTCAGTTTTTTTAACTTCTAGAGTACTCTAGCTGGGCCTTTTTATTCTTATAATGAATGTGAAGGTACATTTCAAGGCTTTGCCATAAATGATCTAAGTAGTGAACTGACCAGTGATTACAGGAAGAGTCAGAGGATGCTGGAGCCAAAGAGGAGAACCGAGGCCAGCCAAGAGCATCAGCAGCAGGTCCAGATGCAGTTCAAGAAGAAACATTAAAGGCTGGCATCGCTCTCCACTTAATCTATAATGTGACCGAGCTGCGATCCCAGTGGTGTTGAGAAACAAGAATCAGCAGAATTTTGCAGTTCTAATAGAATGTATAAGCAACTAAAGGTTTCAGAGAAGTCTTCACTTTATTACCTCAGAGTCGTATTCTGACCTTGTGGCTGCTCTTTGTAAAAAACCCTTTTATGCTTTCTCACATAAGTAGAATTAACATTTTTCCCTCCATGACATGAACTCATGGTAGATGAATGCTTTAGTAGTTTGCAAGTAGTTTTTCAATGTCACATTTCTATAACAGTGTTATGGAACAAAACTAATTGGTGTCTGTATTGAAGGCAATTCTATTCACAGCAAGATAAATTGGATTTCTAAACTGTGATTTCCATTGTGTTACCTCTATGTACCATGAAACTTATCTTGATGTGCACAGCAGTCAGGCTACTTACTAATACAGTGAAGTCCAGCTTTATGCTGAATCCATCATCTCTCTCTCCCCAAGGGAGAACAGAAGCACAGCAGAAGCATAATTGTTGACCACCATCTAATGGAAGGGGTTAATGAGGATACACTACACTAAATAAAAGTGTGAACATTCAAAGACTAGAAGAAAATAATCCTTATCTAAAAGGACTATACACCATTGTGAATTATCCAGTCTGCCACCGTGGACTTTTGTGTGTACATGAGGTTTTTGTCTCTTTTATGCTTTTTTAGTAATATTTTTTAGAGATACAAATACACATAACTACTATTTTAGAATATAAGCCACCATCAGTAAAAAACAATCCTATCCTGCAATTTGTAAATTTGGACCCTGCTAATCTTAACTTTTAATAAATTAGACAGTGTCTTGGGTGGCACTTTCACAATTTATGAAGAAAAGATTTGCTGAGTGAATTAATGGGGTAAAAATGTTATGAAAAATAAGATTAAAAGCTTGAATGTTCATACCATTATAATTAAAAGACAATCTTAAGACAATAAAGCTTAAAAGCATGGATTCTGGAGCCAGTCCACCTGAATTAGAATCTTGCCCCCACCACTATCGTGACCTTAGACAAATTAGTTAGCCGCACTGTGCCTAAGTTTTCTTGTCTGTGAAATGGAGATACTATGTTGGTACAAAAGTAATTGAAGTTTTTGCCATTAAAACTAATGGCAATATAATAGTGTATTCTTCATAGCAGGTTGTCATAAAATTTATAGTTAACAATGCACTTAGAAAAGTTCCTGGAATACAATAAACACTCAGTGGTACCAGCTATTATTGTTGTTATTCTTATTATCTAAAAGCATCATTATTTTAACAAAGTGACAAACTAGTTACAGTTCTATCATACTGAGTCAGTCCAGCAAATTTCCTTAGAATCTTTAGCAGATTCTAGTAATTCCTTATTGTGTTGCTTCATTTACATTATTAGGTGTCTTTGAAAGTAAGAAAACCGCATTCCTTTAAAAAACACACACACACAAAACTCTCTCCGTAGATTAGTTTCCCCACAGTTATTTATGCTGGTGTCTAAAGTCAACCCTAGGCTGTTCGACCAGTGCCTGAGCCTTCTTCCTTTTTGTTCAGCCAAATCCTTTCCGGATCTTGGAAAATTGCACCATGTGCAAAAACCCCCACTGCAGGGATGTAAGATAAAGTTCCTTTGTTTGCGGCATGGGTCATTTCTGTATATTGGAAATCATATTTACATCTTATTTGTTAAATGCTAAAGGGAAAGGAGACATTATACCTTACTCTGTTTCAGAAAGAAGTACAATAGAAGAATGAATTTTAAAAAGCAATATTTTCCTAGTTCAATTGGAGTAAGTGATTACACAAAGTGTAATAATTACATAAAGTATAGTTCAGTTGCTTGTACATTCTATTAAAGCTGCAAAATTCTGCTGATTCTTGTTTCTCAAAACCACTGGGGTTGCAGCTCAGTCACATAATTATACAAAGTGTAGTTTTCACAAGCAGCAAGTCAAAGTGGCTATATCCAATATTTTGTGTCAGTGTAAAACTGCCAAATAATTTCTCCTAAAATTTAAAATTTTATCTCTAATTAAACTGTGATGTTCTTGTGACAAGAATGCACATTATTCATTCAGGTAGTATCTAGCAAACACAGAGTGTGCAATACATGCTCATTAACTTCAATGAGCACATAGCACAGCCCTGGGCTCACAGGACACACTCAAATATTTTTAAATGAATAAACCAGAGGAAAGTAATGGAAACTGGTTCCAGGTGATCTGCCTCCAAGGTTGTAATCAAGTTTAGGAAAGAAACAAGTATAAAGGACAAAATGGATACCACCCCTAAGTGATACACAGATATATATCTGATACATGCATTCACATATATAACCTGAAGCAATCTCAATTATTAGCATTCAAAAGTAGCAGGAACTTCAACTATAGATGAAAGATCAGCAATTTATATGGATAATGACAATAATAAACAAATTTTTTTTGGATCAAAGCCACCATTTAGAATGTCCTTGATTAGAGGATGTAGAACTAGAAATACCATTTGACATAGCAATCCCATTACTGGGTATATACCCAAAGGATTATAAATCATTCTACTATAAAGACTCATGCACACATATGTTTATTGCGGCACTGTTCACAATAGCAAAGACTTGGAACCAACCCAAATGTCCATCAATGACAGAGTGGATAAAGAAAATGTGGCACATATACACCATGGAATACTATGCAGCCATAAAAAAGAATGAGTTCATGTCCTTTGCAGGGACATGGATGTAGCTGGAAACCATCATTCTCAGCAAACTAACACAGGAACAGAAAACCAAACACTGCATGTTCTCACTCATAAGTGGGAATTGAACAGTGAGAACACATGGACACAGGGAGGGAAACATTACACACCAGGGCCTGTGAGTGGGTGGGGGACTAGGAGAGGGATAGCATTAGGAGAAATGTGTAATGTAAATAATGGGTTGATGGGTGCAGCAAACCACCACGGCACATGTATACCTATGTAACAAATCTGCATGTTCTGCACATGTACTCAAGAACTTAAAGTATAATAAAAAATAAAAATAAAAATAAGCCCCTAAAATATGCATTAAAAAAGAATGTCCTTGATTAGCTCTGGGGGCAGAAAATTTCCCCAAAGCCTTCATGCAGTTTGGGCTTTAACATTTGAAAAAAAGAAAAGAAGTTTCTGAAATGTCCACTGGGATTTGAACTCTTGTATTCCCACTGACCAAATTCAAATGTAGGGTAGCCACACGTCAGCATCATTTCTCATCACCAGACCTGAGAGCTGAGCTCATCTTCCCCTGCGACGTTATTATTGTTATCTTTCAAGACAGTCTCCAGTTCTGGAGACTGTAAAGTTCAAGATTAAGGTGCCAACAGGTTCAGTGTCTAGTGAAGGCCCATTCCTCTTAGATAGGACCTTCTCATTGCATCCTCACATGGGGGAAGGAGGCACGGCAGCTCTCTGGGGTATCTTTCATAAGGGCACTAATATCATTCATGAGGGCCCACTCTCTGATCTAATCACCCCCCAAAGGCTCCACCTAATACCTTCACATTGGTAATTAGGTTTTCAACATGCAAAACTTGAGGGGACACACACACTTTCAGGCCATAGCAAATCTCAAACCACAGAAACATATGAGGCATCATGACTAAGAGCCAGCAGAAGCAATAGACAACATAAACTAACCTCTGTACTTCAGATATAGGAACAAACAGACAAGTATGTTTACTATGTTTAAGAAATAAGAGGGGATAAATACGTTTTGTTATTTCATATAATAGAATTCTTTGCCACTGTGAATTACTGCTACATGCAACAAACTGGATGAATCTTAGAAACATGTTGAATGGAAAAAGTCACCAAAGGATAGTTATAGTATGATTCCATTTATATAAAGGTCAAAACATGTGAACTAAATACTGTTTCTGGACACATATGTTTGTAGTAAAAGTATAAAGAAAAATGAGAATAATAAACACAAATTTCAGGGTTTCATTTATTTACTCTAATGTGGAAGGAAATGAGTGGACTTCAAAGGTGATGAGAATGTACAAATTCTTTGGATGATGAATTCTCGGTAATTTATTGTATTCTCATTTTTTAGAGTTTGAGCGTATTTCATATATACTCTTTTGTATCTCTGTAATATCTAATAAAAATTATTTTTAAAAGAAGGAAAGACAAATAAATGACCATATTTATCAAGCGTAAAACAGACAAGAAAAGCATAAAATAAAATGATCCCTTGCCAACTACTAAGAAAAAAGGAAAACACAAGAGAAAAATAAGCAAAGGACACGAACATGTGATTACACAATAAGAAATACAAATGGCCAATGAATATATGAAAAGATATTCAACTTCACTAATCATAGTAATGCAAATGAAACAGAACTATATTTCACCCACCACATTGGAAGCATTTTTTAAAATGACATACTATCAGAATTGTAAGAATATGAAGAATGAATGGATGAAGTCTTGTAGAGGGCAATTTGATATTATTTATCAAAACTTTAAATGTAAATACTCTTCCACCCAACAATTTCATTTCTAAGAATCTATCTGATTAGAACACACATACAGTTGGTCAAGTTTTATATAAGATGTTCGTTGTAGCATTATTTGGAAAATTAGAAACAACTTAAATGCCCATCAATAAAGAAAGAGTTAAATTAGAATACAACTGCATTTTATCGTTTTGGAATGTTTTCAACAGCAAGTAGAAATTGTGCCTTAAATAAACAAGGGCTCATTGTTATCTTATAACAAAAGCCTAGAAAAAACTAGTGCCATTGTTGGCACAGCTGCTCCATGTTCTCATTAAGGACCCAGGGTCTCATCCTTCTGCTCCTCCATCCTTTTATTTCAATTTGATTATTATTATTTTTTTTTTTTTTTTTTTTTTTGAGACGGAGTCTCGCTGTCGCCCAGGCTGGAGTGCAGTGGCGCAATCTCGGCTCACTGCAGGCTCCGCCCCCTGGGGTTCACGCCATTCTCCTGTCTCAGCCTCCCGAGTAGCTGGGACTACAGGCGCCCGCCACCTCGCCCGGCTAATTTTTTGTATTTTTAGTAGAGACGGGGTTTCACCATGTTAGCCAGGATGGTCTGGATCTCCTGACCTCGTGATCCGCCCGCCTCGGCCTCCCAAAGTGCTGGGATTACAGGCGTGAGCCACCGCGCCCGGCCCTCAATTTGATTATTGTTCTCAGCTCTCTACCCCTTTTATCTGCAGTATAACCTTGCAGTGTGCTAGAATGGGCTGATGTTGGAGTTGGCCTTGCAACATGCATTGGCCAACTGAATGTGGGTAAAAGTAATTGCGTATGTGCCAGTTCCAGGACAAGGTCTTAATAGGATCTCATGTTTCTACCAACTCTCTTGCACTCCTGTGATCCATGATAAGAATTATTTCTTAGGAAACCTCTGACCCAAGAGGAATGAAGAAATACAAAGCTGAACCAAACTCACAGGTTAGAGCCAAGCCCAGCCAATCCTGGATAAGCCGAGCAGAGCCAGAGCTAACTCAAATACCCGTGAGCAATAAAATAAATATTTTTGTTGTAAGCCACTGAGATTTTGAGGTTGTTTGTTAGACAGCAAAGCTAACTAACAAATTTTGAGTGTTGACTTTCCATCCTTAGGCCTGTGGCCTGTGGTCTCAAGATGGTTTCAAACTCCAGAAATCACATCTCCATTCAAAGGCAGGAAGTTAGGGGTGTGGGGAGGGCAGCCAGGGCAGAGAAAACCCTTTTTTTGTAACACTCTTGCTTTTTCATCAAAGAACACTGAAATTTCCCAGAAGCCTGTATGCTGGCGTTCCCTTACATTTCATAGACCAGAACTGTGTCACATGGTCACTGTAGCTATTAGGGAGGTTTGGAAGTAAATACCCCGCAAAAAGGACCACAACTGGTTGGAAAAAAGGCCTTGCCTGAGATCAAGGGATATCTGCCCTCTGCCTGGCAAATCAAGGGATTATTGGAAAAGCATATATAACTATGCTATCTACCATACATGTTATATAACACTGGGCAAAAGTCAAATAGAATAAGGTGGATTTATACGTAGTAACATGAAAAGAAATGCCAAAGAGCTATTATTCAGAAAAGAATAGCAAATTACAAAGCAATATATGTAATATTCTGATTTATGTTATAAAAATAGAAACTACAAGCTTGCATGGGTGCATATATATATATGTGAATACACAGAACAAGGGCTGAGGAGTCTGCATCACTCACAGTAGTCACTGCTGAGGACGAGGTAGTGAACTAGCAGGACGTGCTAAAAGAACTTAATTCCCTCTATATACTTCTGTATTATTTGAGTTTTTAAGAACATAGAATAATTTGTGGATTGCTTCTTTAAAAATTTACTTTTCATTAAAAAATTAAAAGCTATGTAATTGAAAGAACTGAACACAAACATGAGATACAAAAGGTCTATTTTTTTTTCATTAAGGGGTTAAAAAAGTTTTCTCTATAACCCAATTAATTTCTGGCTCCTAGGAAGAAAACAGAATTTTTCAGACATGAGGCTGTGTTTGTCCATTGCCAGGCCTTTAAAACAGAAATTCCCTTTGAAATCCTGTCTGTCTTGTAAACTTCCATGCTTCTAACACTTTCACTGGAAATGGCCATACTGCCAAAAGTAATTTATAGATTCAATGCTATTCCCATCAAGCTACCACTGACTTTCTTCACAGAATTAGAAAAAAAACTACTTTAAATGTCATATGGAACCAAAAAAAGTCCACATAGCCAAGACAATCCTAAGCAAAAAGAACAAAGCTGGAGGCAATACAGTACAATACAAGCTACAGTAACCAAAACAGCATGGTACTGGTACCAAAACAGACATATAGACCAATGGAACAGGACAGAGAGAGACCTCAGAAATAACACCACACATCTACAACCATCGGATCTTCAACAAACCTGACAAAAACAAGCAATGAGGAAAGGACTCCCTATTTAATATATGGTGCTGGGAAAACTGGCTAGCCATATGCAGAAAACTGAAACTGGATCCCTTCCTTATACCTTATACAAAAATTAATTCATGATGGATTAAAGACTTAAATGTAAAACCTAAAACCATAAAAACCCTAGAAGAAAACCTAGGCAATACCATTCAGAACATAGGCATAGGCAAAGACTTTATGACTAAAACACCAAAAGCAATTGCAACAAAAGCCAAAATTGACAAATGGGATCTAATTAAACTAAAGAGCTTCTGCACAGCAAAAGAAACTATCATCAGAGTGAACAGGCAACCTACAGAATGGGAGAAAATTTTTGCAATCTATCCATCTGACAAAGCTCTAATGTCCAGAATCTACAAAGAACTTAAACAAATTTACAAGAAAAAAACGACCCCATCAAAAGTGGTTGAAGGATATGAATAGATACTTCTAAAAAGAAGACATTTATGCAGCCAACAAACATATGAAAAAAAGCTCATCATCACTGGTCATTAGAGAAATGCAAATCAAAACCACAATGAGATACCATCTCATGCCAGTTAGAATGGAGATCACTAAAAAGTCAGGAAACAACAGATGCTGGAGAGGATGTGGAGAAATAGGAAGGCTTTTACACTGTTGGTGAGAGTGTAAATGAGTTCAACCATTGTGGAAGACAGTGTGGCGATTCCTCAAGGATCTAGAACTAGAAATACCATTTGACCCAGCCATACCATTACTGGGTATATACCCAAAGGATCATAAATCATTCTACTGTAAAGACACATGCACACGTATGTTTACTGCAGCACTGTTTACAATAGCAAAGACTTGGAACCAACCCAAATGCCCATCAATGATAGACTGGATAAAGAAAATGTGGCACATATACACCATGGAATACTATGTAGCCATAAAAAAGAATGAGTTCATGTCCTCTGCGGGAACATGGATGAAGTTGGAAACCATCACCCTCAGCAAACTAACACAGGAACAGAAAACCAAACACCACATGTTCTCACTTACAAGTGGGAGCTGAACAATGAGGGCACATGGACACAGGGAGGGGAACATCACACACTGGGGCCTGTCAGGGGGTTGGGGTAAAGAGGAGGGAGAGCATTAGGACAAATACCTAATGCATGCCAAGCTTAAAACCTAGATGACGGGTTGATAGGTGCAGCAAACCACCATGGCACATGTATACCTGTGTAACAGATCTGCACATTCAGCACATGTATCCCAGAATTTAAACTTAAAAATATATATATATATATATACACACACAAAAACACTTCATATATAAGCTTTGAATAAAGACTAACCATTTTTTAATACAAAAACAAAGAATGCTCAGCTACACAGAATTAATTTCCATACACCCCAGCCTTTCCTAAGTGGCTAATTCAGAGAATAGCTTATTTATCATTTGAATTGTTTGTTGCAAAATGCATTATCTTAAACTCACCTTTGCCACCACCCATGAGAGACCTAAACACATTTGCTTAAATTCAATGTGCCCAAAAGGCAACCATTGCCCATTTTTAAAGTCATGTGTATAAAATCAAAGGCATTAAAAAATCCAAGTGCCAAAAATAACTAAAGTAGACTATCTCTGGAGTTCAAAAAATAGTTTTTATAGAAAATATTTCTATATTCTAAGTACTTTTCTTACTGTAAGACAGATTTCTGAATGAACCAAATGAGAAAGAGTAGGGCACTTGTTTCTTTTATAAAAGTTCTTGTAACAATTCTTATGGAAACTTAATTTTATAAAAAAAATTAGAAAACTGAAACTAAAATACTTTCATTTCAACTCCATTTATTAAGAGCTGTACTAAGATCCAAACTTGGATCTGGGTTCCAAAAAAGAGGAATAAGTTACACTTCCTCCCTTCAAACAACTTATAATTTGGTAAGAGATACAGAAGTAAAAATAGATGAATGTAATAAAATCAATAACCAAGTTTAAAAACCTGGAAATGTAATGAGACAGAGACGATTGTATTTCCCTGAACCCCTCTCCGGGAGAATATTAGAGGTTAGAAGAAATACTTGGCTAAGCTGCTGTGGGGAGACAGCAGTGGGGGTGAGGAGAGCGATGAGAACCAGGGAGCAAACTTGAGTGGCACCAGGCGGTTGTTCAGCCGCCTCTGGACCTCAGTGCATGCCTCCAAGGTTGCTGAGTGGAGCGTGCAAGTTGGGGCGCTGCCCGCTGCTGGTCCGAATTTTGGCTCACCTTTGAAAACCTCGGCTTCTCCAAACAAGCGTGGAAAAAGCAACAGGAGAGATTAACGTCATGTTTTAAGGTTTTATTTTCATCACTGCTGTGAAGATACAGACTGGGTGACTTAGTGTCAGAAACACACTGAGGTCTGTATTGTGTCAACAAAATGCTTCTTTTTTTTTTTATTTTTTTGAGACAGAGTTTCACCCCGTCACCAGGCTGGAGTGCAGTGGCGCGCGCTCGGCTCACTGCAACCTCCGCCTCCCGGGTTCAAGCAATTCTCCTGCCTCAGCCTCCCGAGTAGCTGGGACTACAGGCGAGCACCGCCACGGCCCAGCTAATTTTTGTACTTTTAGTAGTCACGGGATTTCACCATGTTGGCCAGAATGGTCTCGATCTCTTGAGCTCGTGATCCGCCCGCCTCGGCCTCCCAAAGTGCTGGGATTAGAGGCTTGAGCCACTACGCCCAGCCCAAAATGCTTCTTTAAAAGATGTTAGGCCGGGCGCGGTGGTTCATGCCTGTAATCCCAACACTTTGGGAGGCCGAGGCGGGCGGATCACCTGAGGTCGGGAGTTCAAGACCAGCCTGACCAACTTGGAGAAACCCCGTCTCTACTAAAAATACAAAAATATTAGCCAGGCGGTGCATGCCTGTAATCCCAGCTACTAGGGAGGCTGAGACAGGAGAATCGCTTGAACCCAGGAAGCAGATGTTGCGGTGAGCCGAGATGGCGCCACTGCACTCCAGCCCGGGGAACAAGAGCGAAACTCCATCTCAAAAAAAAAAGAAAAAAAAATGTTAAATTTGTGAACTTCCACTACACTGTCTCCTCCCTGAGGGGCTGGCGCTTCTCTCTTGAGCTCCAGACCCACATCCATCATCTCAAGAGTCAATCTCCTGGTTTTCACCCAGCCAGCTTGCCTTCCTTATCTTAGCAAACAAAAGACCATCAACCACTTTACCCACTGCAGGAACTCAGGAGTCAGCCTTCACTCCTCTGTCACCGTTTAACTAAGTCCACCCCTGAGCATCTTCCAAATGCAACTCTGTGATCGCCATCCTCCATGTCACTGCCTTAGTGGGATCCCTATCATCAGCGCCTTCCTTTCCACCAGGGCTCTGTGTGCTGTCTCCACTCCAGTCTCATCGGCTTCTAGCTGTTCGTCTTTCATCTGTTGCCAAATGGTTTTCCTAAAGTGGTAATTTGATTATGTTATTTTAAAATTCTTCAGGGCTGTCATCTACCAACGCAAAGTTCCAACCCTTTAACACGGTGTACAAAGTGTGTGAGGGTTTGTCCCTGCCAGCCTCTTCAGTGTCTCATCTCCTGTCACTCCCCCATATTAATCTTGCACCAGAGCCACACTGGACACTCACATGCCAAACTCTCCTTTCCATGTCAGATGCTGCAAAAAACCTGGGGATACTACAGGGAACAAGAAGCCACAGCCATGCTCATGGCTGAAACAGATCCCTTTGGCCTCTGGGCCTTCACACATGCTCCTCATCTGCCCCAAATCCTGGCTTAGTGGTGAAGAGACATAACTTTGCTGGCCCAGTCAAAGGCTCACTGGGTGACCTTAAGCAAATTACAGTCAGCCCTCTGTACTGTAGGGGTTTAGAAGAAATACCTGGCTATCCCTGGTACTCTCTATCCATGGAGTCAACCAATGGCAAATTGAAAATATTTTGTGGGGGGGCAGATTATATCTGTACTGAACAGGTACAGACTTTTTTCTTGTCATTATTGAATTTTTTCTTGTCATTATTCCCTCAATAATACAGTATAACCACTATTTATATAGCATTTACATTGTATTAGGTAATGTAAGTAATCTAGAGAAGGTTTAAAGTACATGGGAGAGTGTGCATAGGTTATGTGCAAATACAACACCATTTTATATCAGGGACTTGAGCACCCGTGGATTTTGGTATCCATGGGGTCCTGGACCCAATCCCGCCAGCTTACCGAGGGATGACTGTACTTCACTTCTCTAGACCTCAGTTCCTCATGTGTATCTTGAGTAGATACCGCAATTGATTTCAAAATTTTCTCCCAATTTTTACAAGTTATGAACCTAAATAATAATTTTAAATTTCAAAACTGGACAAGAAGGAATCCTCAGAAATATTCCAACAAACATTTAAACTGCTGTAAGCAACACTGTTACTATGTCAAAATTGCTAAGTTTTTCTCTGCTATCACAAAAGAAGGAATTCATATTCTAAGCAAGATATGCCCTCCACTGATTCTTAGGTTCAGACATCCCATTACATGGTAGTTTTATTTAACTAAAGTACTTTGTAAATTAGAAAGTACTAAAAATGTTTTTGTCATTCCTGTTAGCTCTGTTCTATGCTAGTTTTCCATGGACTCATTATGTAAGTGCATTGCCTGCATTCCAAGGGAAACGAAGGTGACCCCATCTCTGAGGTTGTTTCTTTTGCATTTAACAAAAGTGGGCCTTTGGCATTATTTTTTTCTGGACACCCAGAATCCACACTTAAACCACTGAATTACAAATAAGTGTTCTGGAACAGGATCAGACAGTGCCAATTCTATCTTCAGCTCAAAATAAAGCTACTTTGATGTATTTTAACCTAGGTTCATAAATTAATTTTCAGAGAAAAATTCTTATTTTGAGGTGGAACAAATTTATGAAAGTCACATGTAATTAGCCAAATTATGAACAGTTTTTTATGACTCACTGGACTTTTAAAAGAAAAATGTTCTTATCAGAACACATTTAAAAGTGTATGATTATTCTACTGGTGCCAATTTCCCTGTTTTGATATTGAACTAGGGTTACATGTTCTTTACATAGATAAGGGAAGGTAGGTGAAGGGTACATGTGACTCTATACTATTTTTCCAACTTCCTATGAGTTTATATTTATTTCAAAATAAAAAGTCAGCAGCTTTTTATTTTGAATTAATAATCTGTCTAGTCAGTGATCTCCCCTGTAGTCTGTAGTTGCTTCCATCACACACACACACACGACAACTAGACATCATGTACTTCCTGATGGGAACACAGAGCACTGTCTAGGAAGGAGTCTTGCCAAAAGGCAACTATGAATCTGATCAAGCCTGCATCCAACTACTAATTCATGAGAAATACAAAGAACTGAGGAACATGCTAAAAGGCATCACAGAGATGCAGTCAGCAAGATCCAGACTGTAAGAAACTCTGCAGAACAAATGACCTCATTTCTTCAACCAATAAAACTGCAAGAGGAGACATTGAGACAGAGAGGCATAGGAATGGGGAGAGCCTGTAGATTAAAAAAGGCTTAAATGCACATCAATCAATCACAATGTGTGAAACTTAATGACATCCTGACTCAAGCAAAGAGTAACACTATTTAAACAAAGAGTAAGACAACAATTCTTTAATAAATAAATTTTAAAATTTATTAGATATCCTTTTTAGATATCTTTATCAATTCGTTAATATCATAGCTAATAAATTTTAAAATTTATTATATATAATTTATTAGATGTGTTATGATATTAAAGAATTGTTATTTTTAAATAAATGTTTTTAAAATATTAAATAAATTATCAGTGGGTCTAAATATACGTACATATATTATATATATATAACATTTTTCTTTAAGTCTATTAATGGCATCTTCCCAAATGCTTAAATTAAGTGCTTTTGTATGGCAGGTGCAGTTCCTGTACAGACAAAATAATGAACCAAAGCACTAGACAGCAGGGAGTACCAGGTCACCATGATGAAATGAAAAAAGAAGGCTGAGAATTAGACACTGGTTTAAATTTGTCCTCCTTTTCAAGTGAGATTCCACAGCTTTTCATTTGGAATATTAAACACTGCTTGGCAAAACTAAATACTACTATAGATCAGTTTCTTTCATCAGCCTGGGTGGTTCCAGATGCAGAATGAAAAATGCCCAACCAGAAAGCACTCGGCTCCATTAGCCTGAGATATGGTTGAGAAAAAACTTTGATTGCTGCTCTTGTTCTTAACGTGTTTATTACCTGGACAAATTGCCACCTCCACCTAAGTGTCCTGCAGTTCTTCTCAGCAAAAAAAAAGTGAGTGTTTTTAGGGAAGTGCTGACTAAATTTTGATTTTAGAAGTCTCAGTAAGTTAAGTGTGTTTCCCTGAAGCTCTTCCCACCAAAAAGGTGAGCTTTTTTAGAGAAGTGCTGACGAATTTTAATTTTAGAAGTCTTGATATGTTGCGTGTTTCCCCTTTGCCCAAGAATTTTTCTGCAAAACTGTTGACATCAACCTCTTACAAAAATATTTTTCTTCATTATATTCAATATTTTGGGGGAATTTGGTGGTAGAGTTCAAAGTTTGGTAAACATAGTTATCAGAAAACAGCTAAGATTTTATAAACACAATGAGCCTTCCTGAGCGTAGACTGAATTAGGGTGATTGCCTTAATCCTTCCATTTAAGAGAGATGATTAGCTTTAATAAAGAACTTGAGATGGCAGCAAGAGAGAGAAAAGGAGGTGGCTCTGATGGCTGATGTTTAAATCTGAGGAAGAACTATAAAGATATATATGGAATTCATTGCTTTGCATGTAAACCCATATACCAGCCTCCACCTGCCACCTACCCACCCATTCTAAGGTGACCTCCCTGCACTATATTTTTCCTTTCATCAGCTCCTGCAAGCAATTCAAGTTGTAGCTGCTTCTCTGCATCAGGAATAATTCATTCACTACCAACCACAGCCTGGAACTCCTGGACCACAACCCCTCCTGCTACCCCAACATAAGCGTCAGCAGACTGATGAATGGTGGCAGCCACATCACCCCTAAATATGGTTCTATGGGTCTATCAGAATTTGCTAAAAGGATTATTTGCAGCAATGCAAACAACCAGCAATTAAATGCTAAATATCCTGTTCTTCAATGAGAACACATGGACACAGGGAGGGGAACATGACACACCAGGGCCTGTCGGGGGGTGGGGGGCTAGGGGAGGGGATAGCATTAGGAGAAATACCTAATGTAAATGATGGGTTGATGGATGCAGCAAACCACCATGGCACGTGTATACCTATGTAACAAACCTGCACGTTCTGCATATGTATCCCAGAACTTAAAGTATAATAAAAAATATATATTTTGTTCTTAAAAGACCTTTAGCCATTCTGCTTAAATTAATTAATAAAAGAAATATTATTGATCCTCTACAATACATCAGATACTCTGCTGAGCTTAGGGGTTATAGTAGTCAGGGTTCAACCACCAGTAACAGAAACTGTACAAGCTAGTTTAAGGTGAGTGATTTGAAACAGAATTTCGATGCTCTAAAAACAAAAAATCATTAGAAAAACAGAAGAAGAAGGCTCCAGGCTGAGTTAGAAAACCCTGGGACTGTGCTGCTCAGATCTCTCTTCGAGAAAGAACCTGCCCTGAGATCAGTTGGCTGGCAGTTGCCACTTTCAGCACCTACCCCAGCATCCAGACGAGGCCACGCCTTACACAGCCTGCTCCAAACTGGTGACCCCAAGTCAGGGAGTAGTTAGTACAGTGGGAGTTCTAGAGCCAGGCTCCTCCTGCCCAGTGCAGGACCCCTCTGACAAGCAGGCTGTGCTTGGGTACTGTCCATCAGCCTAGCCGAGACTTTTCTCAGAGCTGCACTGCAATCCAGGTCTCTTCCTGCTCAACCCTCCTTCCTTCCCCTCTCATTTTATGGGTGATGTCAGAGCCTCATCTCCCTGCCCACTCCTGCTCCCTCCTGGCTTTATTCTTCACAGGCATTTTCCTCCATAAATCTCTCACATTTATTGGGAGAAATTTCCATCTTGACATCTGCTTCTCAGCCGACCTGAATTGACACACTAAACTTCCAGGAACAACTCCCTGAACAATGGGACAAAACTGATCCACCAAAGGAGCTACAATCCGCATGATCAGGAAGTGGGAAACTGGGTAGCCACCACCTCTACTGCTGGCTTCAAGGAATCCTCTGATACTGTCTGAGCCACCACATCCTGCTTCTCAACACTCATAAAGTTAGAGAAGAGGTTTTGAGGCTTCTACTAAGCTGCCATGATGGAAAGAAAAAAAAAAAAAAAACACAGGACCATGCTTACCAGGAAACAAATAACGGGAACAGCAGCAGAATCACAGCAACTTCCTCATAGTGTTCATGGTGGGTACTTCACATCACATAGTAACTCAGTGATCCATGGTCAATGTTTAATTTCTACTAAGGCCCACTAGCAAGCCAGGTGTTTCTCAAAAGAAGACTGGTTATTGGAAGAGGATGGCAGAGCTTTGTTTCAAAACCCTAAAGGCCTACACTAGTATTTATCTATAGGGGTCTGCCACGGACACTTCAAAAATCATTGAATGACTTGAGCCATATTTTTCTTATTGATTTTAGGAACTCTGTATGAACTGCAAAAAAAACCTTTGCCCAGTTACGTAGAGTTGAAATTATCTTCTCTTAAGTTGTGTCTTACCTTTTCATCCTATTTGTGTGCTTTTTAATGAACAGAAGTTATTTGTAATGTATAGTTTAATTTATCAGTCATTTCCTTTATGTACATGCTCTCTGTGTCTTGTTTTTAAAAACCTTTCCAACCCTGAGGAAATAAAAATATTCTCCAATATTTTTTTCCAAAAGTTTTAAACTTTCATCTTTAACATTTAGGTCCTTAACTGATTTTGTGTATGGTAAGAGTAGTAATGCACTGTTTCCCATAAAGACAGCATTTCCCACTGAGTGGTTCATTTTTCACCACTGATCTGAAATACATATTTTTTATTATATCTCTCCTTACATAGATGTGTCTGTTTCTGGACTCTCTATTCTGTTGCATTGTCCTATTGTCTACCCATGCACCAATGTCACATCATCTACAATATTATAGTACAATCAGTTCCCCAACCTCATGTTCTTCAGGAATATATTAGCTGTTCTTGGTTCTTTGCTTCTCAATTTCTATTTTAGAGTAAGTTTTTCAAGATTCACAAAAACACCTTTCCTTTTTTACTGAAATTTTATTAAATCTATTGACTAATTTGGAGATAGATTACTTCTTAATGATATTGAGTCTTCTTGTCTTTGAAAACGATATGGCTGCTCATTTTTAAATGTCTTTCAATAAAGTTTCATGATTTTTTCTATAAAGATTTCACACATCTTTGATGAGATTTTTACCTAGGTACCTTTTATTTTCTAAACTATTATAAATGCTAAGTGTTAAAATTTTGTTTTTTAACTATTCATTGTTGATGTATGGAAGTGTATTCGATTTTTGTATAATAGTCATATCAAGCAACCTTGTAAAACTCTTATTAAGTCTAATAATTTGTCTACAGACCCTTGGAAGTTAAGTTATAGCATTTAAAAATAGTTCTAATCTTTCTATATCTTCTCAAATTTTTATACTTTTTATTTCTCTTTTCTGGCCTGCTAGACTAGACAAGATATAAAGTTGAATAGAAGTGGTAATAGTGTACATTTTTGTCTTTTAAACAGAATTTTTTAACAATCCATCCTTACATATTGTGCCAGCTAATTACCTTTGTCTCAATAGCAAAAAGCAAAACAAAACAAATAATTCAATCAAAAAGTGGTCAAAAGATCTGAACATTTCTCAAAAGAAGACATACAAATGGCCAACAGTATATGAAAAAAATACTCAACACCTTTAATCGTTACGAAAATTCAAATCAAAACCATAACAGGATATCACCTCACTCTACTTAAAATGCCTTGTATCAAAAAGACAGGGAATAGATGCTGGTAAGGATGTGGAAAAAGAGGAACCCTCACACACTATTGGTGGGAATGTAAATTCATGCAACCAATATGGAGAACAGTATGGAGGTTTCTCAAAAAAGCTAAAAGTAGAACTTTCATGTGATGATCCAGCAATTTCACTACTGGGAATATATTCAAAATAAAGAAAATTAATGCCGGGCACGGTGGCTCACACCTGTAATCCCAACACTTTAGGAGGCCAATGCGGGCAGATCACGAGGTCAGCAACTTGAGACCAGCCTGGCCAACATAGTGAAGCCCCATCTCTACTGAAAATACAAAAATTAGTGGGGAGGAGCCAAGATGGCCGAATAGGAACAGCTCCGGTCTACAGCTCCCAGCGTGAGCGACGCAGAAGACGGGTGATTTCTGCATTTCCATCTGAGGTACCGGGTTCATCTCATTAGGGAGTGCCAGACAGTGGGTGCAGGTCAGTGGGTGCGTGCACCATGTGCGAGCCAAAGCAGGGCGAGGCATTGCCTCACTTGGGAAGCGCAAGGGGTCAGCGAGCTCCCTTTCTGAGTCAAAGAAAGGGGTGACAGACGGCACCTGGAAAATCGGGTCACTCCCACCCAAATACTGCGCTTTTCTGACGGGCTTAAAAAACGGCACACCAGGAGATTATATCCCGCACATGGCTCGGAGGGTCCTACGCCCACGGAGTCTCGCTGATTGCTAGCACAGCAGTCTGAGATCAAACTGCAAGGCAGCAGCGAGGCTGGCGGAGGGGTGCCCGCCATTGCCCAGGCTTGCTTAGGTAAACAAAGCAGCCTGGAAGCTCGAACTGGGTGGAGCCCACCACAGCTCAAGGAGGCCTGCCTGCCTCTGTAGGCTCCACCTCTGGGGGCAGGGCACAGACAAACAAAAAGACAGCAGTAATCTCTGCAGACTTAAATGTCCCTGTCTGACAGCTTTGAAGAGAGCAGTGGTTCTCCCAGCACGCAGCTGGAGATCTGAGAACGGGCAGACTGCCTCCTCAAGTGGGTCCCTGACCCCTGACACCCAGGAAGCCTAACTGGGAGGCACCCCCTAGCAGGGGCACACTGACACCTCACACGGCAGGTTATTCCAACAGACCTGCAGCTGAGGGTCCTCTCTGTTAGAAGGAAAACTAACAAACAGAAAGGACATCCACACCAAAAACCCATCTGTACATCACCATCATCAAAGAACAAAAGTAGATAAAACCACAAAGATGGGGAAAAAACAGAACAGAAAAAGTGGAAACTCCAAAAAGCAGAGCACCTCTCCTCCTCCAAAGGAATGCAGTTCCTCACCAGCAATGGAACAAACCTGGATGGAGAATGACTTTGATGAGTTGAGAGAAGAAGGCTTCAGACGATCAAATTACTCTGAGCTACGGGAAGACATTCAAACCAAAGGCAAAGAAGTTGAAAACATTGAAAAAAATTTAGAAGAATGTATAACTAGAATAACCAATACAGAGAAGTGCTTAAAGGAGCTGACGGAGCTGAAAACCAAGGCTCAAGAATTACGTGAAGAATGCAGAAGCCTCAGGAGCCGATGCGATCAACTGGAAGAAAGGGTATCAGTGATGGAAGATGAAATGAATGAAATGAAGCGAGAAGGGAAGTTTAGAGAAAAAAGAATAAAAAGAAATGAGCAAAGCCTCCAAGAAATATGGGACTATGTGAAAAGACCAAATCTACGTCTGATTGGTGTACCTGAAAGTGATGCAGAGAATGGAACCAAGTTGGAAAACACTCTGCAGGATATTATCCAGGAGAACTTCCCCAATCTAGCAAGGCAGGCCAACGTTCAGATTCAGGAAATACAGAGAACGCCACAAAGATACTCCTCGAGAAGAGCAACTCCAAGACACATAATTGTCAGATTCACCAAAGGTGAAATGAAGGAAAAAATGTTAAGGGCAGCCAGAGAGAAAGGTCGGGTTACCCTCAAAGGAAAGCCCATCAGAATAACAGCGGATCTCTCGGCAGACACCCTACAAGCCAGAAGAGAGGGGGGGCCAATATTCAACATTCTTAAAGAAAAGAATTTTCAACCCAGAATTTCATATCCAGCCAAACTAAGCTTCAAAAGTAAAGGAGAAATAAAATCCTTTACAGACAAGCAAATACTGAGAGATTTTGTCACCACCAGGCATGCCTTATAGGAGCTCCTGAAGGAAGCACTAAACATGGAAAGGAACAACCGGTACCAGCCGCTGCAAAATCATGCCAAAATGTAAAGACCATCGAGACTAGGAAGAAACTGCATCAACTAACGAGCAAAATAACCAGCTAACATCATAATGACAGGATCAAATTTACACATAACAATATTAACTTTAAATGTACATGGACTAAATGCTCCAATTAAAAGACACAGACTGGGAAATTGGATAAAGAGTCAAGATCCATCAGTGTGCTGTATTCAGGAAACCCATCTCACGTGCAGAGACACACATAGGCTCAAAATAAAAGGATGGAGGAAGATCTACCAAGCCAATGGAAAACAAAAAAAGGCAGGGGTTGCAATCCTAGTCTCTGATAAAACAGACTTTCAACCAACAAAGATCAAAAGAGACAAAGAAGGCCATTACATAATGGTAAAGGGATCAATTCAACAAGAAGAGCTAACTATCCTAAATATATATGCACCCAATACAGGAGCACCCAGATTCATAAAGCAAGTCCTCAGTGACCTACAAAGAGACTTAGACTCCCACACATTAATAATGGGAGACTTTAACACCCCACTGTCAACATTAGATAGATCAACGAGACAGAAAGTCAACAAGGATACCCAGGAATTGAACTCAGCTCTGCACCAAGCGGACCTAATAGACATCTACAGAACTCTCCACCCCAAATCAACAGAATATACATTTTTTTCAGCACCACACCACACCTATTCCAAAATTGACCACATACTGGGAAGTAAAGCTCTCCTCAGCAAATGTAAAAGAACAGAAATTATAACAAACTATCTCTCAGACCACAGTGCAATCAAACTAGAACTCAGGATTAAGAATCTCACTCAAAACTGCTCAACTACATGGAAACTGAACAACCTGCTCCTGAATGACTACTGGGTACATAACAAAATGAAGGCAGAAATAAAGATGTTCTTTGAAACCAACGAGAACAAAGACACAACATACCAGAATCTCTGGGACACATTCAAAGCAGTGTGTAGAGGGAAATTTATAGCACTAAATGCCCACAAGAGAAATCAGGAAAGATCCAAAATTGACACCCTAACATCACAATTAAAAGAACTAGAAAAGCAAGAGCAAACACATTCAACAGCTAGCAGAAGGCAAGAAATAACTAAAATCAGAGCAGAACTGAAGGAAATAGAGACACAAAAAACCCTTCCAAAAATTAATGAATCCAGGAGCTCGTTTTTTGAAAGGATCAACAAAATTGATAGACCGCTAGCAAGACTAATAAAGAAAAAAAGAGAGAAGAATCAAATAGATGCAATAAAAAATTATAAAGGGGATATCACCACCAATCCCACAGAAATATAAACTACCATCAGAGAATACTACAAACACCTCTACGCAAATAAACTAGAAAATCTAGAAGAAATGGATAAATTCCTTGACACATACACTCTCCCAAAACTAAACCAGGATGAAGTTGAGTCTCTGAATAGACCAATAACAGGAGCTGAAGTTGTGGCAATAATCAATAGCTTACCAACCAAAAAGAGTACAGGACCAGATGGATTCACAGCCGAATTCTACCAGAGGTACAAGGAGGAACTGGTACCATTCCTTCTGAAACTATTCCAATCAATAGAAAAAGAGGGAATCCTCCCTAACTCATTTTATGAGGCCAGCATCATTCTGATACCAAAGCCAGGCAGAGACACAACCAAAAAAGAGAATTTTAGACCAATATCCTTGATGAACATTGATGCAAAAATCCTCAATAAAATACTGGCAACATGAATCCAGCAGCACATCAAAAAGCTTATCGACCATGATCAAGTGGGCTTCATCCCTGGGATGCAAGGCTGGTTCAATATACACAAATCAATAAATGTAATCCAGCTTATAAACAGAGCCAAAGACAAAAACCACATGATTATCTCAATGGATGCAGAAAAAGCCTTTGACAAAATTCAACAACCCTTCATGCTAAAAACTCTCAATAAATTAGGTATTGATGGGACGTATTTCAAAATAATAAGAGCTATCTATGACAAACCCACAGCCAATATCATACTGAATGGGCAAAAACTGGAAGCATTCCCTTTGAAAACTGGCACAAGACAGGGATGCCCTCTCTCACCACTCCTATTCAACATAGGGTTGGAAGTTCTGGCCAGGGCAATTAGGCAGGAGAAGGAAATAAAGGGTATTCAATTAGGAAAAAAGGAAGTCAAATTGTCCCTGTTTGCAGATGACATGATTGTATATCTAGAAAACCCCATTGTCTCAGCCCAAAATCTCATTAAGCTGATAAGCAACTTCAGCAAAGTCTCAGGATACAAAATCAATGTACAAAAATCACAAGCATTCTTATACACCAACAACAGACAGAGAGCCAAATCATGAGTGAACTCCCATTCACAATTGCTTCAAAGAGAATAAAATACCTAGGAATCCAACTTACAAGGGATGTGAAGGACCTCTTCAAGGACAACTACAAACCACTGCTCAAGGAAATAAAAGAGGGTACAAACAAATGGAAGAACATTCCATGCTCATGGGTAGGAAGAATCAATATTGTGAAAATGGCCATACTGCCCAAGGTAATTTACAGATTCAATGCCATCCCCATCAAGCTACCAATGACTTTCTTCACAGAATTGGAAAAAACTACTTTAAAGTTCATATGGAACCAAAAAAGAGCCCGCATCGCCAAGTCAATCCTAAGCCAAAAGAACAAAGCCGGAGGCATCACACTACCTGACTTCAAACTATACTACAAGGCTACAGTAACCAAAACAGAATGGTACTGGTACCAAAACAGAGATATAGATCAATGGAACAGAACAGAGCCCTCAGAAATAACGCCGCATATCTACAACTATCTGATCTTTGACAAACCTGAGAAAAACAAGCAATGGGGAAAGGATTCCCTATTTAATAAATGGTGCTGGAAAAACTGGCTAGCCATATGTAGAAAGTTGAAACTGGATCCCTTCCTTACACCTTATACAAAAATCAATTCAAGATGGATTAAAGACTTAAACGTTAGACCTAAAACCATAAAAACCCTAGAAGAAAACCTAGGCATTACCATTCAGGACATAGGCGTGGGCAAGGACTTCATGTCTAAAACACCAAAAGCAATGGCAACAAAAGACAAAATTGACAAATGGGATCTAATTAAACTAAAGAGCTTCTGCACAGCAAAAGAAACTACCATCAGAGTGAACAGGCAACCTACAAAATGGGAGAAAATTTTCGCAACCTACTCATCTGACAAAGGGCTAATATCCAGAATCTACAATGAACTCAAACAAATTTACAAGAAAAAAACAAACAACCCCATCAAAAAGTGGGCGAAGGACATGAACAGACACTTCTCAAAAGAAGACATTTATGCAGCCAAAAAACACATGAAAAAATGCTCATCATCACTGGCCATCAGAGAAATGCAAATCAAAACCACAATGGGATACCATCTCACACCAGTTAGAATGGCAATCATTAAAAAGTCAGGAAACAACAGGTGCTGGAGAGGATGTGGAGAAATAGGAACACTTTTACACTGTTGGTGGGACTGTAAACTAGTTCAACCATTGTGGAAGTCAGTGTGGCGATTCCTCAGGGATCTAGAACTGGAAATACCATTTGACCCAGCCATCCCATTACTGGGTATATACCCAAAGGACTATAAATCATGCTGCTATAAAGACACATGCACACATATGTTTAAGACACATGCACACATATGTTTATTGCGGCATTATTCACAATAGTAAAGACTTGGAACCAACCCAAATGTCCAACAATGATAGACTGGATTAAGAAAATGTGGCACATATACACCATGGAATACTATGCAGCCATAAAAAATGATGAGTTCATGTCCTTTGTAGGGACATGGATGAAACTGGAAATCATCATTCTCAGTAAACTATTGCAAGAACAAAAAACCAAACACGGCATATTCTCACTCATAGGTGGGAATTGAACAATGAGATCACATGGACACATGTGAAGGGGAATATTACACTCTGGGGACTGTTGTGGGGTGGGGGGAGGGGGGAGGGATAGCATTGGGAGATATACCTAATGCTAGATGATGAGTTAGTGGGTGCAGTGCACCAGCATGGTACATGTATACATATGTAACTAACCTGCACAATGTGCACATGTACCCTAAAACTTAAAGTATAAAAAAAAAAAAAAAAGAAAATACAAAAATTAGCTGGGTGTGGTGGCGGGCACCTGTAATCCCAGCTACTCAGGAGGCCGAGGCAGGAGAATCACTTGAACCCAGGAGGCGGAGGTTGCAGTGAGCCCAGACCGCGCCATTGCACTCCAGCCTGGGCAACAGAGCAAGACTCCATCTCAAAAAAAAAAAAAAAGAAAGAAAGAAAGAAAAATATATCAAAGAGATATCTCATTCTCATGTTTATTGCAGCACTATTCACAAATAGCCAAAATATGGAATCAACCTAAGTGATCATCAATAAATGAATGGATAAAGAAAATGTATGTATATGTACATATGTATGTGTGTATATGTACCTACACACACGCACACACACAATGGAATATTATTTAGCCATAAAAAATGAAATTCTGTCATTTGCAGCAACATGGATGGAACTGGAGGTCATCATATTAAATGAAATAAGCCAAGCACAGAAAAACACATATTGTATGTTCTCACTCATACGTGCAAGCTAAAAAAGTGAATCTCCTGGAATTAGAGATTGGTGGTTACTAGAGGCCCGGAAGGGGAAGGGGGAAGATGATAAGGGAAAAAAAGATTATAAATGTATTTACTATCACTGAACAGTACACTTTGAAATGGTAAAGATGACAAATTGCATATGGATATTTTCCCTGAATAAAAAAAAATAAAATTTAAGTGGAGTCAAGAGAAGGAGAAAGGAGCAGATATAATGACATAAGTCCCTGAATTCAGCTGTGTCTTAAGTCCATTCTTGTACATCCAGTTACATGAGTCAACAAATTATTTTTCTCCAAAACAAAAACAAGAAACAAGCAAACAAAAAAGGATCCATTTTGGCTAAAAAAAATCTATAGGCAAAATGTTGTTCATTATGTTCTTAAACTTTCTTTTTTAATTTCCACATCACCTATGGTTATGCTGTTTTGTTCACCCAAGCAACTTCTATTTGTGCCTTCTCTCCTTTTTTGATTGTTCTTCCCAGAGGAAGACTGTTAATTTTATTAATCTTTTCAAAAATACAACAGTTATCTTTCTTGAGTCTTTCTGTGGTATCTTTATTTACTTTTTCATTAATATATGCTATCTTTATTATAATCTTCCTCCTTGTTGAAGAAATTTGTTTTGCTACTATTTTTCTAATGTCTTAAGTTGCATGCTTAGTTCTTTAATTTTTAGCCTTTCTTCTTTTTTTAATATATACATTCATGGCTGTCCATTTTCTTCAAAGCGTTGTTTTGATGCATCTTATAAATTATTTGTTGTATATTCATTATTGCTCAATATTTTGTTTTTCACTATAATTTTTGCTTTAATCCATAAATTACATAAAGTATGTTCCAAAATTTCCTAAGACTGCTGGTGCAGTGATCTGTGAATGTCTGTTGGACCAATAACACAATTAGTGTTATTAAAATTTTCTATATCCTTTTTGATTTTTTAACTGCTGTATTAATTACTGAGAAAACTAGATTAAAATCTCCCACTCACCTACCAGATATGTCTGGCATGGTTGTCTCTTTACAGTTCTGTCAACTTTTGTTTTATGTATTTTAAAATGATATTAGTGTATATCAGTTTAAGTTTTTATATCTCCCTGGTGAATCGAAACTTTATTGTTATGTAGAAACCCTCTTCATCTCTAATACTCTTTTTCTTGAAGCCTCTTCTGTCTGACTTAATTTTGCTACATCATCTTTTTCTAATCATGTGGACTTTATTACAGTCTATGCTAAGAAATTGAAAATGGGTGACCATGTTCTGACCTCTTTGTTCAAGAGGCCCAAATGACTCCAGCCACATTTTTTTTTCCTTGATAGAATATGATAGCTTCTGAATTACTTACAGGTGGATTCTCCTTGCAGACAGCCTCCAGATAATCATATCTGCCATAACAGCAACATGGCAGGCTTTCCCACTCGGTGGTCCTACAAGCAGCCATAATAGCTTCTGTTCAGTGGCCCTATAAACTACTATATATCAATATGGGCATTGCTCCTTTATCTCTGGTGGCTAAATTGTTATTATCTGAAAGTTTGATTGACAGGATTCCATCTGCCCTGAGCACTGAGGCCCCAAAAAGGATCCTATAGTAACAATTACTTTTTATCCATTAAAACATACAAATAACCACTTCAAAAATGTCTTCAGTTGCAACAGTATCCTTTTACCAACTCATTTATCAAGTTCATTATCAACATGAATCTACTAACCTTACTTAAATAAGATTGCTACCATAGCTGATTAAACGAATGTGTTAGAAGACAGTTAAATGAACTTGAAGTTGGATATCAAAGAGCTTTTATTTTAATCATGCATCTGTGCATGATGGGCATGATGGCATACTGTGGGTATGAGACATGACAGAGATGACACCATAAAGTGGAAGGCAAAAGTATGCTTTAAAATCAAGCCTCAGTTGTGTTATTTGGCAGCTATGTAACCTTGGGCACGTCAATTAATCTGCCTTGCCCTAGATTTCTTCTTCTATAACATAGAGATACAAAGATCTACCTCAAAAGGTTGGTGTGGGGACTAAATTAAAATTTAAAGTATGTGAAAAAAATAGGTACTCAATAAATAAGTGTTCTCTTCACATTTCCTCCTAGTCTAGAGGAAAGAGCCATCTTGAAAGCACTGATCTAATTGAGCTGATGTCTGTCAAATGAAAATCCAGGCCCTTTTTTTTTTTGAAGAATCAGTCTTCTCCTACTACCCAGCAAACCAGTGGACCCAAAAGTTGAAACAAACTGATGACAGACAACAAGCATGAAGATGGCATATTTGATGGCACTTTGGTTCTTTTTCCCAGAAGGCTTATACAGTGACTTAGTCGGGAAGCTTTCCAGCTTCCAGCTCTTGAATGTGAAGTGTCATTGGCATGTCTGGCAGTAGTCTCTCATTCACTCCTCAATAAACAACATTGAATACAAAAGAGGCTGTGTAAAAACTCAAAAAAAAAAAAAGAATCAGTCTTCTAATAATGAACCAGTTTCACCCCTTTTCTAGCTTTACTGGATTCAAATCCACACCATCTCTAAGCGGAACACGGAACTGAGTTAAAGACCAAAGTCTTACAATGTCCATAGGATTGAACTATAAAATGAAACTTTTATCATCAGATTTTAAGTAACAAAACTCTGCTGGTATTCCTCCATGTTAAATAAATTCCATGCACACATTTTGGAATTGTTAAAGCTAAAATCTAATAATTATTACATAGCCCAAAACCTCCTAGAGAGTTTTAAAGCTAGAATTCAGATGTTAGAGAGCAGCACCTGGTGGCAAGTTGTGATACTGGAGTCCACTGAGTCATTTAAGAAGTCAAACCACTGTGGCCACTGAAAATTCCAGTGACCCAGAAGCAGTTCTACATTCAGAGAGCAATCTTCCTTCCCATCTCTCTGTCACCCATTCCTGCCCCCTCCCCACCGACCGTGGAATCACCAAGACCCATCAATTTGCCTCCCAAGCAGCTCACAGAGTCTTCCATGTTTCATCCCCATGCTCACTGCCCCAGTACAGGCCACCATCTTTTATTGCCTGGATTCCAGGAACAGCCTCCTAGGTGACTTCCCAGATTCCAACCTATGCTCCACACAGCAACCACATGGCCCTTTTTATACAACACCGTCACGATCACGTCACTCCTTGTCCAGTAGTTCCTTGATGCCTTCAGAATAGAGAGGTAAGTATTTTATTACAGAATTACCAGATTCTTCTCTTCACCATGGGGCCTTTCTTCCCTCCCAGCATCATCTGTCTACACAGCCTCCCTCCACTCTGAGTGTCGCTCAGCTCCCGTCATGTCACACACCCCTGCTCTATTGCTCTTACCTCCCTGTCTTCACACTGCTGTTCCTATTGCCAGAAGCCTCTTCGCCCCTGTTCTACTCTTCCATTTAACTCTTCCTCATCCTTCAAGCTCAGCTTAGCTTTCATTCCTCTGGGAAGATTCTTTTGACCACTCTAAAATGGATTAGCTTCCCTCGCTCTGAATTCACACAGTAACTGTCCTTCCGCTATCAAAGCAGTGGTTTGTCTGCCACCACTTCTAGACTGTAAGCTTTGTGAAGACAAGACCCATGACTATTTTGTTCATCCTTGTAGCTTCAACACTTAACATAGTACCTCAGCAGGAACTTAATATTTGTTAAAGTATTAGATTGAATTGAAATATAGTATATATTCAGTTGGACCATACAAAATTGCCTTCTTTAAGGTAAAAACTGTCAACTATTGGCAATTATATATGTGCAACCTGATAGTTGCTACCAATATGGGAAAAGAAAGGTATCTTAACAATTTATATATATTCCTAATCAATAAATGTCTTTTTAAAAAATACAATCTTCTTGATTTTCCCTGAAATCCATTTTCCTAGCCATAGACACAGTTAGAAACCCATTAATTCAGAAAATGACCTTCAAAAGGAAAACCCAAAGACCTGTGCCAGCAGATCTTTAAAAACACAACAGACAATCAAAAGTTAACTTTCTGACCTTGGAGAGTGTTTTGGCTGATAAATGACACTGACCTTATCGTGCCAACCTGCTAATCATTCCCTGGACATGCATGCAAGGGAGCTAAATCTAGAACATTTTCCATTCTGCCAAATGCTCATTGCAGCTGTTACATTATCCATCATTCAATATTTCCCACAAGTGGACATTGCCACTCATTGTAACCAGCCCCAAAACTCTTGCCTCCATTTTAAAAGAGCAGTTCCAAAGAAACAAGCAGCGAGTTAAATAAATGCATCTGTGCTTCCACTGGAATCTGCTCGTACTTTCCAATAAACATGTTCAGTGAGATAGAACGGAATGGTGGGCTCCAGGACTAAAGGAAATCTGCCAAGCAGATGTTGCTTTTGTGCAGTTGACTATCCCTTAAAAGCTTCATATAAGACTAACAGAAAACAGGAGGCAAGGGTAAAGAGGTAATTTTCTTTAGCCTGTTTAGTGCTTTCTCCACTTTTATATGAAGAGATAGCCTGGTTTAATTTCCAGGTGCAATGGATACCTCACAAGCATTCAGTGATTTGAATAGTTTATGTATTACACATTCCATATAAAAATTCCATACAAGAGCTGGGTGCAGTGGCACATGCCTGTAGTCCCAGCTACTCAGGAGGTTGAAGCAGGAGGCTCGCTTGAGCCCAGAGTTCAAGTCCAGCTTCAGCAACATAGCGAGAGCCTGTCCCTTAAAAAAAAATCATATGTATTCTTGCTGAAATACACTGACTTGCTACTTCTACTTATTACTATTCTGGCTCAGAATGTCCTTTCTTACTTAACCTTTGTTTTCTGCATCGTATTGGCTCCCAAATAATTATATTTTATGCTAAAACTTCTCCCATTTTCTTCTCAGCTAGATGTGATTTGAGGCAAAGTGTTTAGAAAATCCATTTGCCTACAGCTTTGTTTTTGTTTATTTGAGGATGGCATTTTTAAATGCAATTTTAAATTTAGTAGTTTTGCCTCTTCTTGTTAAATTTTTTTTCTTGAGAAAAAAAAATGAGAAGTTTAAATCAATGTCCCACTGTATGCCAAACTAAAGATCCACAAATGTCTTGACTGTCTCTTCTCCTGCAGTCATCTCTCCTAATGTGAATATACAGTGTTTGAGGCAGGGAGAAATTTATCTCCTTCCAATGTATTAATTTGATATCTGTTTAAGACCTAGGCAAAACTATAATAGGTTGTTTAGAAATAGGCATGTTTTTGCCAGAAATCAAAATGCATAGTTGAAGAATATGGTATAATTTTGGTATTAAAAAAGGATCTATTCAATTATTACAACACAATTTCAGGGTAGTGGAAAAGTCAGAAAACCTGGGTCCAAGCCATGACCCTCCATTTACCTGCTGTGTAGCTCTGAGCAAGTCTCTTAAACTCTCTGACCAGGTCTCCCTGCTCATGGCAGTAAGATTAATGTGATCATTGATGCTGTGTGGAAACAGAATGTAATAAATGTCACATTTATTTTTCTTCATTTTCCCAAATCAAATTATATCTGACCCTCTCCCTGTCAGGGACACCACTGGTGGCCTGCACAACATCCATTCCAATGTTCTCCCTAGCTGAGCCCTGATTTTTGTTCAGATGTCCATCATTTGCCACCCCAGCTCTAGCCCAGGTGAGTGAATCCTGAGTAGTCCCAACAGAGCACCCTGTCAGAAGGAGGATGGGGTACAATTCTGGCCTGAGACACACAGGAAAGCAGAAAGCTTCTGGGAAACATTTCCTTCCGTCTTTCAAGGAGACACAGAATGAGATGGTCTCTTCTCCATTGGATACAGGCATCTCTAGATGTGAAAACAAGGCAGCAACTTAAAGCCACAAGGGACCATAGCCTGAAGACAAGACCAGTCAGTTGAAGATGGCAGAGAAGAAAGAGAGAAGAATCTAGGTCTCTGGTGGCATTTTTGAGCCACAGGGTTAACCAACTCTTCATCCTCCAGACCTTTGTACTTTGTGTTGTCTACAATAACAGAGGTTATTATTATTAAGCCAGCTGAACCCAAGCTTTTGTTATTTGTAGCTAAAAGCATCATAACTGCTACATACCCCAGCTCTCCAAGTTTGGCCAGAAGTCCAATACCAGTCATTTTTCCAAATCCTCTATCTTTGGATCACAGAAGAATCCTGGGGCTTATGAGGCCACCACTGCTGTGACTCCTTCCCAGGCCCTTGAGATTTATTCAAGAGTCTCCAGCTCCACTGACAACTTTGTACCCTCTGTACCAAGTTTGGCCAAAGGGATGATCACTGAGGTTCTTAAGGCCTCGGTCTAAAAAGTAACCCAAATAGTAATTCCCATGTGTGGCAGGCAAAATTTTGACTCCCAAGATCTTTACCCCCTGGTGTTACTCCTGTGTATGTTACATTATATGGCAAAAGGGTCTTTGCAGATAAAATTAAGGTTGCAGACCTTAAAATAGGGAGATTATCCTGGATTACCCAGCAGCTCCAATGTATTCACATGAGCCCTTAAAAATGAAAGACGAAGGCAGAACAGTTTGTCAGAGGTGAGGTGGGAAAAGAGGCAGGAAAGATTCAAAACCTGAGAGGGACTCACCCTGCCATTGCTGGCTTTGAAGATGGAGGCATAGAACCAGGAGCCAAGGAATGCAGGCAGCCTCTGAAAGCTAACAGCCTTTAGATGGCAGCCAACAAGGAATTGGGGACCTCAGTCCTACAACCACAAGGAACTGAATTCTGCCAACAACATGAATGAACAAGGAAACAGATTCTCCCTGAGAGCCTCCAGAAAGGAAAGCAGGCCTGCCAACACCTTGATTTTAGCCTGGAGAGCCTCAGGTGAGCCCGCTAGACTTCTGGCACACAGAAGAACTGTAAGGTAACAAATTTGTATTGCTTTAAGTCATTAAGTTTATGGTAATCTATTCTAAGCAGCAATAGAAAACTAACACACTACACGAGGCTCTGCCACATCTGGGTGCCCTGCTCCAGAAGGCTCATGTCTCTGTCACCCTCAGAATCTCCAGCCCTCCATTCCTCTTCACACTCTTGGGGATCAAACCACACACAAGCCATTCTCCTCCTCTACCTTTATGATATAAAATCTCCAAATACCCTACAGTCACAAATAGTTACACACATCCACACACTCACATAAACACACTGACCTCCCAAATTCAAAACACAGTGACAGGGTTGTCTTCCCTCTGCCAGACAAATATCCTCCCTCCAAAACACACCTCAAAATTAAAACTCTTACTTCTTTCCCTGGAAACTAGGAAAGAAACAGAAAAACAAAACAAAACAAAACAAAAGGCCACATTTTTCTGAATTAACTATGGAAATACCATTCATGATATTCTGTAATTCTTGATATTAAAGGTTCTATTAACTTCTTCTTAATAAGGAACCAATATAATACTTTTGGGCATCTCATCTGTGAAAAGTTATCATATATTTCTTTTCAGGCTCAGAGAAACAGTTAGAGCCATTAAGAGTGTTAACTTTACTTTGAATAAACACAATAAATCCTGGCACCCAATGTAGTTTTTACTATTTTTCTTCTATCCTTTCTTACTGAAAAAAAAAAAAGGAAAGAAAAAGCAACAATAAAAAAAAAACACCTGACTGCCTTACAATATCTTCTGGTGCTATTTTTTATGCTCTCCACAAGTGCAATGGGCTTTATGATATTAGCCTGACCATATTCAAATTAGGTTGGGCCATTTGTTGCTTTTTAATGACCTTTACCGCTTTCACATTTTTCTGCATGTGACCGACATGATCAGTATCGATGACAATAAAAACTCCAATCACCAATTGATTTCTGTTTATGCAAATGTTTACACACAACACACACATACACAGGCATATATCTGATGGTTATAATATATATAATACTGCTTATGTGTGTATATTAATGTTAATATATAATATATAAAATTTAATCTACCTATATTGCTATTATGAGTAAATATTATTTGCACATCCAATACCTATCTTGTTTATGCATTGCCTGTGTTTTCCCAAGCCTGGTCTGAAAGGTAAAAAGAAGATCGCATTAAAGTGAACAGTATTTCTCTGATTTTTCCTTCACACACTATTGTGGCCCCTTCACTTCCCCTTGGTGTCTTCCCAACTGTTCCCAGGAGCCATGGAGATGTCCTGTGTGTGCCCAAGAGCTCAGGCCTCCCAGTAGCCATGTAGTAATAACTGAAGCTGGGGCTCCCAAGACTTATAGAAGGAGCCTTATGGTTGTTGCTGGTGTCAGGCTCCCACTGTGCTCCTCAGAGTCACTTAGCCAAAACTACAGCACCTTAATGCTACCCTGCTAGGCCAAAGCTACAAAGCATGATGCTAGGTCAATGGTGCCCCAACACAGCAGCACCACCTGCATCCCTACCACATTAAGATGTGGCCACTTTGGGCTGAGTGTCTAACACCACAGTCTCCAAAGCAGTGTTCCCAGGTGCTCCTGTGTCATCCAAATTCTTTAATGAATTCTAATTTCAGCTTCTCCTTCCAAGGACACAGTTCACAGTGGGGCAGAGGGCAAACTGAGTGACAGATCAAAAACTGGACTCCAAGTGATCTCCTTGCCTGGAATTTTTTTTTTTTTTTTGAGACAGGGTCTTGCTCTGTCACCCAGGCTAGAGCTCACTGCAGCCTCCACTTCCTGGGCTCAAGCAATCCTCCCACCACAGCCTCCCAAGTACCTGGGAGTACAGACACATGCCACCACACCCAGCTAATTTTTTATTTTTTGTAGAGACCAGGTTTCACCATGTTGCCCAGGCTGGTCTCCAACTCCTGGGCTCAAGCAATCTTCCCACCTCAGCTTCCCCAAATGCTGGGATTACAGCCGTGAGCCACTGCACCTGGCCTGGAATTTTCATATTGCACTAAAATTGTGTGCCTGACTCCCTGTTCCCTTGGGTTGAGTTCTTTCTCATGGGACTGCACAGCTTCTGCTGCAAATAGGATCATTCCCTAATTTGTTCAACAAGTATTGGGGCCCATCAGGTGGCAGGCACTATGCTGACTGTACGTACAGTGGTTAAAAAAAAATGGACTCGGACAGCTCTGGCTCCATGACTCAGCAGTGCCCCAGACGTGTTTAAATCCTGGGGTGAGGGAGAAAACCTAGGACTCAAGCTGGGACCGTGGAAAGAGAAAGAAAGGAAGAAACAAGAAAATAGAGAAGATTTTCAAATACATGATAGAGGAATACAGGTATATCAAAAGAGATGCATGGAGCTTGCTGTATTTATATGTATTTAGTTGTTCAGAATTACATTTTTATTTGTGTTCTAGGTACATAAATAATGCTACAAGCAGTATGAGCATTGTTAGTGGGACTTACGAGCTAAGCAACAGCTTAGCACCCCATTAACTTTGTGTTATAATCTTATGAACAAGCTGTATGGCTTTGAGCAAATTTATTAACTCATTGCTTCAAACTTTATATGAATTATTGTTTGCAGACATAGAAGTCACATCCACATATATTGTAAAGTTTTAGGAATAGAGATGAGGAAGTGAAGAAGACAGCAAGCCTCCCATTGTAACCGGGTGGAGCTCATCTGTATGCTCATATTTTTCAACTTATGACTTTCTGAGCTTGCTTTAATCATTCCCTTCATGTCCAATATCTTTCTTTCTTTCTTCCCATCTATTATCCAGACCCTAGCGTAAGTCCTGTATAGCTAAAAAAAAAAACAGTCCCCAAAAATGTCCATGCCTAATTATTAGAATCTGTTAATATATTACCTGTCATGGCAAAAGAAACTTTGCAGATGTGATTAAGAATCTTGAGATGGAAAGATTGTCCTGGTTATCCAAGTGGGATCAATGTCATGACAGGAGTGTTTATAAAGGGAAGCAGGAGGGTCAAAGTGAGAGAAGGTGATGTGACAGCAAAAGCAGAGAGAGATTTGAAGATGCTATGCTGCTGGTTTTGAAGATAAACATGTATTCTTACATAATAATATATATTTTATTTGTTTGATTGGGGTAGGGATGGAAAAGGTGCTCCAAGTCTGCAAACCTAAGGGCCTGTCTAGCAATGCCCTCAGAGTTCAGCCCATGGAGGTCCAGCCTAGACTGGCCTTAACCTCTCACTAAGTTATGTTTTGTAGGTTGTACTAGAAGTCACTGAGGTTTGGAGAACTATAAACATTTTTAATTCAAATATGTTATCTGGCAAAATAATATGTTATGCCAGCATTTTTCAAATATTTTAGCCATAGAAACCTTTATTTAAATAAAGTACTTTGATATACGTTATGATTGGCCAATTAAATATAATATGAATTTTAATTTTTTTATTAAAAATAATAAATAAAATATTTTAGGAAACCCCAAAGAGATTAAAGTGGATCTACTGAAATTGAAGGGAGTGGGGAGAAAGTGGACCCCAATCAGTTCAAGTTACAAAGCGGTCCTCAAGAGAAGAAAAACAGCGTCAGAACAAGAGAGAGGAAGTGTAATATTGTGATACAAGAAGAAATATATATTTGGTCTCTGTCCCCATTTCTGGAGCTAATATTTGGTCTCTACCACAGTTCCTGACACAGATCTCCTAAGACCTCTGTAATTTCCTGAGTGGTAGGAGCTTCTGGCACAGAGGTCCAAAATCCCTTGGAATTTCTTGGGCGATAGGAGCATCTTCTGTTCTAATGAGGTAACAGTTGGTGGAGGCTGGTCGCTAGGGGAACCAACAATGTGATTGGAGGGTTGGAACTTTCAGCCTCACTCCGTGACTTCCTGGAAGGGGAGAGGTACTGAGGTTGAGTCTATCCCCAATGGCCAATGATGTCATCAATCATGCCTAAATAATGAAGCCTCCATAAAAACTCAAAAGGATGGGATTTGGAGAACTTCTGGAATGCTGAGCATGTGGAGGTGCCTGGAGAGGGCATGGAAGCTCCACATGCCTGCCCACATACTTTGCACTGTGCATCCCTTCCATCTGGCTGTTCATCTGTATCCTTTGTAATATCCTTTATAATAAATAGGTATTATGGTTTGGATGTATGTGTCCCTCCAAAATTCATATGCTGGAACTTAAACTCTAACGTAATAGTGTTAAAAGGTGGGATCTTTGGTGAAGTGATTAAGTCAAGAGGGTTGTACCCTTATGAATGGGATTAATGCCCTTATAAAAGAAAATGAAGGGAGTGCCCAGCCCTTTCAGCCCCTTCTACCATGTGAGGATGCAGCAAGAAAATGCCATGTTGGAAGGAGAGAGTAGCCCTCACCAGACACTGAATCTGCTGGTGCCTTGATCTTGAACTTCCCAGTCTCTAGAACTGTAAAAAAAAAAGTGTTTATTATTTATAAATTACCCAATCTAAGGTATCTTTTATAGCAGCCCTAACAGACTGAGACAATAAGTAAATATAAGTGTTTTTCCCCGAGTTCTGTGAGTCACTCTAGTTAACTAATCGAATCCAGGGAAAGGGCAGTGAGAACCCCCAATTTATATAAAGCCAGTTGGTCAGAAATACAGGTCACAACCTGGGACTTGTGCTTGGCATCTGAAGTGTGGGGCAGTCTTGTGGGGCTAAGCTGTTGGATCTGATGCTAACTCTGGATAGACAGTGTCAGAGTTGAATTATAGAACATCCAGCTGGTGTCCACTGGAAAACTGATTCTGGCTGGTGGGGAGAAATCCCTACATATTTTGGTGACCAGAGGGGAAGTATTCTGCAATGACGATGATAGAAGGAAAAGCAGTTTGGTTTTTTTTCCTTGGGACATATCACATAATGGTAAGGGCTCATGATCTGGAGCAGACTACCTGAGTTCAAATCCCAGCTTCACCACTAACCAGTTATGTAATTTGTTGAGCACTTATTATCTGCCAGGCACTGTGCTAAGTGCCTTGCATGTATTAATATTATCTCATGAGTAAAGAGACACAGAGAGGTTGAGTATCTTATCCTAGATCTCACAGAAGAGCAGGGATCTTAACACAGGCATCTGATTTCAGAGCCCACATTCTTAACCACTGCACTGAAGTACTTTTTTTTTTTTTTTTTTTTGAGACGGAGTGTCGCTCTGTCGCCCAGGCTGGAGTGCAGTGGCGGGATCTCAGCTCACTGCAAACTCCGCCTCCCGGGTTCACGCCATTCTCCCGCCTCAGCCTCCCGGGTAGCTAGGACTAGAGGCTCCTGCCACAACACTCGGCTAATTTTTTGTATTTTTAGTAGAGATGGGGTTTCACTGTGTTAGCCAGGATGTTCTCGATCTCCTGACCTCGTGATCCGCCCGCCTCGGCCTCCCAAAGTGCTGGGATTACAGGCGTGAGCCACCGCGCCCGGCCCCAGTACAATTCTTTTACAACCATTGTTTTAAGCTATATACATCTCTATTAGTGAGGGTTCTACAGAGAAACAAAACTAATAGGGTACAAATTCACATAGAAAGAGATTTATGTTAAGAAACTGGCTAGTGTAATTAAGCTGGCAAGTTTGAAATCTGCAAGGTGGACCATCAGGCTGGAGACCCAGGAAAAGCTGATATTGCAGTTCACGTCCAAAGGCCATGGCAGAATTCCCTCTCGCTTGGGGGAGGTCAATTTTTTGTTCTATTTAGGCCTTCAGCTGATTGGATAAGGCCCACCGAAATTTGGGAGGGCAACCTGCTTGACTCAAAGTCCCCCAATTTAAATGTTAATATTGGCCTAGCATGGTGGCTCACGCCTGTAATCCCAGCACTTCAGGAGGCTGAGGCAGGCTGAGGTCAGGAGTTCAAGACCAGCCAAGCCAACATACAGTGAAACCCTGTCTCTACTAAAAATACAAAAATTAGCTAGGCGTGGTGGCACACACCTGTGGTCTCAGCTACTTGGGAAGCTGAGGCAGGAGAATCACTTGAACCCAGGAGGCAGAGGTTGCAGTGAGCCAAGATCACGACACTGCACTCTAGCCTGGTTGACAGAGCGAGATTCTGTCTCTCAAAATAAATAAATATATAAATGTTTATCTTATCCAAAAACAGCCTCACAGAAACACCCAGAATAATGTTTGACCAGGTATCTGGGCACTGTGGCCCAGCGAAGTTGGCACATAAAATTAACTATCACAGCTTCCATCCATCAAAATAGGTAAAAAGACTCAGAGAAGGTGGTAATGGGGAGACAGGGAAATGTTTGGACATGGAGTAGCCCAGCAGGACCAGCCTGAGAGGCCCCTATTACATGGTGATGGCCAGGGACCCACTAAACACACCAACACCCAGTGAAAGCAACAACAATAGGGGTGGGGGTAGAATAGCAGACTCATTTGGCCCACACACTCTCTCAGGCCCTTCTTACTAAACCTCCTATCTGTAGGGATAGTGTGAAAGGATTTGGCAGGGTCCTGTATGAGAAACCTCACAAAGTTTGGATTGTCTTTTACAACCATGAGCTGAAGGCCCATTTGGTCAGGGACTCTTCAGTTTGGGATGTGACACTCTTGGATTAGGGGGATCTGAAGATCTTCTGTAAAGCACTACTTGGTTTCCATCAAGCTGTGGAGGGAGTGCTCTTGGACACTAAAAAAAAAAAAAACACCTTCTCACTTCCTCATTTGGGACTGTCAAGCCAAGAATGCAAGGAGAGGTATACAGAAAACACCTCATTTGGAGTTATTTACTTTAACTGCTCAGCATTGTGAGAACAAGCTCATTCTTGTACCTTTCCTCCGTGGATTTGGTGATCACAACAAGGGACTTATCCATCATTGGAGTGGCCACAATCTGAACAAGTTCCACCCACTGCCTGAGAGTCCTGCCCTGAATTTTAGACTTTGATCATAAAAAAATGGATAATATAATTTAACAGTGAATAAATTAGATATCAATGAAGTTGGCATCAAAGCAAAATGTACCCATGTCGGTTGAAATATTGTGCTAAGTTGTCAGTGTACTAGCTTCCTTTCCAACCAAATGGGTGCAGGAAAAGCTGCATCTGGAAGAGTACAGGATTCAAAGGAGAGGGTAGAGTTAGACACAGAGACCATGAAACCTGACATGAGTTCAAACCTTGGCTTTGCCACCAACTGTATGACATTAGGCAAGTCACCTAGCCTCCTTGTCCCCATCTGAAAAATGCACCGCAAGGATAACGCCAGCATAAGGGCCCTGCCAGGCAGCTGAGGACATGGCGTGGCTTCCCCACCAGGCATATGTCAAGGTCATAGGGGAAAGCAGAGGAATCCCAGGTACCAAGCAGAATCAGGAAGAAAGGGTCAGGTAAGGAGACACCACGGGGATAATCAGGGGAGGGCCTCATCTCAGAAACTTCAGATGGTGCCTGAGAACTAGTTCATGGTGACAGAGCAGTCATGGAGCCATTTCCAGACCTGCTGGCCTTTTCATACATAATTATACTGAGCAATTATTATAAATAATTGGAATGGCCCTGGAGAGGTAACAGGACCAAAAGAAGTTGCCTCTTGATAGCAATTTCATATGTAGCAGGGTTGCAATTCACTTACACTACCTTCATAAATCCAGAGAAAATGAAGTTTCAGTATTTTCTTATAAATTACTCTCTCTAAATTCCCCATTCCCCTTGCAAGCAGAAAGAGGGAACTAGAGATTTTAGTTCAACTCTAAAATTACAGGCCATCCCAAAATCTGAACAGAGTCCTTAAGTAATGTGATGTCTTTGGGATAAAAGCCACTCCATGTCCTCAGCTGCCTGGCAGGGCCCATATGCTGGCGTTATCCTTGCAGTGCATTTAGGTGACTTGCCTAATGTCATTCAGTCTTTCAGATGCCTGATCTTCCTTCCTTCCTTCCTTCCTTCTCTTCCCCAAGATGATGTTCAAGGAAGGGAAAGGTCCTTGATTCCACATGGCATCCCTTGCAGCAAAATGCCTAGACTGGGCTGCTCCTGGAGAGTGACCCTCATGGAGCAGCCAATATCTGGAGGAGTGTTAGTGTCTCCTGCAGAAGCTGGGCTGGGCTGGACTGGGCCAGACTGGCCCCTTGCATCTCCACAATGGCCTGGTGATTCTCCCTGGCTACTCACTCAAGCTCTGCCACATCCTTCAACCAGCTGCTGGAGGTCACCTTCCTCGTGTCTTGCTGGGTTCTAAAGCAGGCTTGTTTGGATCTTGTCCAGTCCCTTTCACTACCCCTCCTGGGGCTGGGAGAGGTACCTGGGCACATCTGGGTCTCCTCCACACCTCACCACATGAATTGGTACAAGAGTTGTCTGGGAGAAGAGAGTAATCCAGTTCCCTTCTAGAGTCTCACACCTAAACTGAAACAAATCTCCTCCACCCCATTCTTGAATGTCTTATCCCACATACCCATCTCCCCACTGCCTCCCAAACCTCTATCTTTTTCTTCCCACAATTCCCCAAGTAAGTGAACTTTCACTTACTTCTGTAGGGGAAGAAAGATTTCTTTTCTCATTCTTCACCAGGTTCATGGCTGAGGCACCTATAAGAAAAGGCTGATTAACAAAGAAAAAGCACACGTTTATCTAATATAAGTTTTATGTGACATGAGAGCCTTCAGAAATGAAGACCCAGAGAAACAAGAAAACCTGTATATTTTTACACTTGACTTTGTTGAAGAATGGACAGTCATGGGGAAGTATGATTGGACAAAGGAGGTATAACCTAATGGGAATAAACTTGGAGGAACTTAGTAAGGCAGGTTTGTTTGTTCAGATTCTTCTGTGTCTTCAGAGATAAGGATGTTCCTTTCTTCCGGGTATAGGGAGGGTACTTCCTGAATGAGGATGTTATGACCTGCTTTAGAGAAGAAGGATCCAAGAAAGTCAGAGAGTGCCCTTCCTGGGTTTTATGACCTGCTTCAGGGGAGAGGGGGAAGGGTAAGTTGAGGGAGACATTCCACTTCTGCAGTTTTCTCAAATGTCAGGCTGCCATATTTTGATGTTCCTGTGCCCCATCACTTCCCTTTCCTCTCTTACTGAGACTCGGCTGTTGCCACTTTCTCCTCCTCCTCCCAGGTTCTTAGCTCATGGCTAAGTCTTACTAATAAGTAGAATTCAGGGGAGAAAAAGATGACAGGAGCTAAATTTGGATCTTTCTCATAAATATGAAACTCATTATCCTGAGAACAAAAGATCTCTCCCAAATTCTCAGAAAGCCCCCTTAAAAACAGGCAAGGAATTATTTCAGGGTGTCCTTGTAAAAGTCAGCACAGATGGCATTTGAATTTGTACATCACTGGCATGCATAAGTATACGTATAGCAACAAGGTGTGCAAAACTTGTAATTCCCTAGACTTTGACCACAGGAGAATAGGATGTGACTGTTATGCTAATGATCTCATTAATATCATGAATACAATTAACAAATGAAGTCAATTATCACTGGCAAGCATTCATTACAAAGAGATAAGTTGCTGTGCTCCAACCACACAAGTAACTATTTTGCTGCATTTGTCCGGAAGCTCTCTTTTCATCTTTGCTCATTTATTACCACTAAATGTATAAATGCCTGGGAATGTGGACTCAGCTCATTACTTATATATATTACCTTGATTATAATTTGACCTCATGTACACTTCAGTTTGAAGAACCCTACAAAATGCCACTTCTATTTATAACACAGCCTCATCTGCCAAGCCTACAGGAGAAAGCCTAATTGGAAAGAATAAAAGGTTACATTTGTGTGTAAACTGCACATTCATTTAGTCATCGATTTTATTCTTTCTAATTATCAGTGGTTGTGCATCTCCCAGTAGCTTGGATATAGTTGGTTTTCCTCCTAATAATTCCTGAGAAATAGAAACTCTAATGATCAGATCAGTCGTTGGGAAGTGTGGTCTCAATGTGCAGTTTATTGGGGCTGTCAAAAATTAATTTCAGCATTCAAACTTAAACTGCCATAAGACTGTGGTTCAGAGGCCAAATGCCTATTTTTATGTGACTCTTTCACTATCTGTATCATAAGAGCTGCATGTTCTTTGTAGTTTAAAACAAAATAATGGTCTTACCAGAAGTCCCACAATTAAATCTTGTTGCAGGCAGCTTTTCTTGCTGCCCCTCCATAAGAAGTGAAACGGTTCTCAGACGTGGATTTTAAACTGTTTGAAGAAATGACTGAAGCTGACCTCTACTGGGAGCCATCTCAGTTCCCAACCTGCAGCATGCACAGCTGCCTCTCTCTCTCCTTCTGCCCACCTCGGCTTGCCTCCCCATCCCTAAGTCTCCCTGGTATTAATTAGTCATTTCTTGCTGCCCTAACAAAGTACCACAGACTGGTGGCTTAAACCAGGGGTCCCCCCACCCCCAGGGCCACAAACCGGTACCAGTCCCTGCATGGCCTGTTAGGAACTGAGTCACACAATGAGCTGCACGCAAGTACGCTAAGCTTCATCTGTATTTGCAGCCACTCCCCACTGCATGAATTACCAGCTGAGCTCTGCCACCTGTCCGATCAGCAGCAGCATTAGATTCTCATAGGAGTGCAAACCCTATGGTAAATTGTGCATGCAAGGGATCTAGGTTGTGCATTACTTATGAGAATCTAATGCCTGATGATCTGTCACTGTCTCTCATCATCCCCAGATAGGACCATCTAGTTGCAGGAAAACAAGCTCAGGGCTCCCACTGATTCTACATTATGGTGAGCTGTATAATTATTTCATTATGTATTACAATGTAATAATAATAGAAATAAAGTGCACAGTAAATGTAATGTGCATGAATCATCCCAAAACCATCTCACCCCCTCCACGAGTCCATGGAAACTCTGTCTTCCACAAAACTGGTCCCTGGTGTCAAAAAAGTTGGGGACTGCTGGCTTAAACAACAGAAATTTATTTTCTCACAGTTCTGGAGGCTAAAAGTCCAAGATCAGCCAGCCAGCACGACTGGGTTCTGGTGAGGGCTCTGTTTCTGGCTTGCAGATGTCTGCCTTCCCACGGTGCCCTCGCATGGTGAGAGAGAACTCTGCTATCTCTTCCTTTTCTTCTAAGAGCACCCGTTCTCCCAGGTCAGGCTCCAGCCTTATGACCCCATTTAACCTTCATTACTTTCTTCAAGGCCCTCTCTCCAGTATAGCCCACATGAAGGGTTAGGGCTCCAACATATGAATTTAGGGATGGGACACCATTTAGTTTATGGCACCCCTGGCCCCGGCACATTGATGCTCTTATTCACCATGACGCAACATCTTTTCAAACAAAAAAGTTTTGAGGAAGCTGTGCTGGGAGAGTGGCTGGTGAGTAGCAGGGCTCCCCCAGTTCACAGGCTGTGTCCTTTTTGCAATATGCCTCCTCATATCGCTTTGTCAGGTGGGTCCTTTGCAGAGGCCAAGGCAGAAATTTCTCAGGGAGGTTGTAGGGGTTGAAAGAGTAGGGAAAGGGCTGTTTCTCCAGAAGTGTCTGTGGTTATCTGAGCAAAGAATGGCTCTGATTAGGAAAGGTGGAGTAAACTGAAAAGATGGACTCCTAAGGGGCTGGCCTTAAGAGGGGACTGTCATCTGCATCATGGGATCTGAGGAACACTGAAAATGTCTGTTCAAAATGCCTCACTCCTTGGCCTGATGCTGACACTAAAACTTCACCACTAGAGATAAGGAAAAGAGGATCCATGTAGTTGTCAGCTAATAGAAAATGGAGGGAGGAGAAAAAAACATTGCTTGTCATTTTTTCCCAGACTATAAGAGCCAAAGGGAAAGAAGAAGCATTTTGCTCACTTTTGAACTCCCACCAAACTTAGTACGGTTGCCTGCGTAAAAGCGGGTGCTCAGTATATCTTGAGTGACCCCAGAGGATTTGGGTTCCTTTTGCATTCACATGCCAAGTGCTGAGTAAAACCTATTAACTTTAATGTTATTTATGTCACCAAATATATTTGTCCATTTCATTTTCGTCACCTGAGCCAAACTGGGCGTGGATGCCATACAAGGCCAAGCATTAAAACAGCCCCACAAAAGTCACATTTATACATTCAGTTCTTTCTAGTCCTCTCCCCACTTCATGAATATTTTAAATAATAGAATACAAGCTATTTTCTATTTAGTGTTGCTATAATTAGAAATTATTCTGGGCTACAGTAAAAGCACAACTGATGTGTGATTCACTTTGCAAATAAATTTACTGTTTAGCATTTTAACCGTGGATTCATTTACTGTATTTTCAGATTGTTTTTATATGAAACAGCTAACTGTTCTGCTTTCTTCACTTTGCAGTATTGGAGGTGTTTCCATTTTGAAACCACATCTCTTAACTAAACGAGTTGATTAGAGAAATGAGCAAATTAACAAGGTCAAAAGAAGGTCTTGCCCTGAAGGCACAGACTTGAAGTGTTCAGCTGATGGAGAGGTAAGGAAGAAAGAGAAAGCTGCCAGGCCATAGTCAGGGGGAGGCAGAGTCTGGTTATTTGTACCTCATACACGCCTAACCTGTGGACTCCTCTAAATACTGATGTATCTGTTTCTTGAACTAGCAAGGGCTCATCTGGCTGCAAGAATAGGGTAGAATCCCCACAAATTAGCTCAGAAAAGGGGCTCCGTTCAAAGGACACATCTCTTGTGGAATCCATGGAAGTGCAGGGGGAAAATAAAAATGGGAAAAACAGGACTCAGAGGACAAATTAGGGCTTGTCTGGGATCCTCTGCACCAGAAGCTCCCAGATATTCACATCAGCTACACAATTAAGGTGTCTGGGCTCTTAAATCCCCCTGTCTCTGTAACTTGGTCCCTTGCTACTCAAAGTGTGACCCTGGGACCAGCAGCCTTGGCATCACCTGGAAACTAGTTAGAAATGCGGAGTCTCAGATTTCACCCCTGCACTATTGAATCAAGATCTTTATTTTAGCAAGGTTCCTAGTAATAGGCTAGCCGCTTGGCAGCAGACTTGCCACCACTATGGCAAGAGGCTACTCCTGATCGAATTCTGGGGAGATAAATGAACCAAAGTCATAGGGCATAAAGAATAGTTAGGCATTGCAGACAAACTGTCCTACTGCATATGTTAAGTGTGTTTTGAGCTAAATTAAACCTGTGTCCATTCTGAGTGTTCAGTTCCCCAGAGAGTCTACACTGTGTACCCATTGGTACCATCTTGATGCACATCTCTTGAAATTAAGCATCCTTGTTTATTGGATGACTAGAAATGTCAACTTTCATTAGCAAAGTGAATGTTTGGTCCTTTATAAACACTGTTGTCACACCAAAAAAATGAATGTAGTGCACATATACAAGAAAAGAAAAAGGCGAGCTCTTTATAATTCTTACCAGTTCAGTGATCCAGTAATGAGCTCTCATGACCTCCTTTCTTCTCTAAAATCTGAATTCCTCCTAAGCAGCATCTTCACTGATGCTTTAATCCCAGGCGGTGGTTTCCATACCTGGAGGTATAGAACAGAGCTGTATGTCATTTTCTCCTCAGGATTTAAATTTAACTGGAGAAGGCAAGACTGTGGGTAGCTAATTAATAGATTTTTTTTTTTACAATTGCATGTACCTGGCATTATTCTGATTAAATTTCCAAGCCGATTAAAAATGAGTCCAAAAGATTGGCAAGCATGGTTTCCCGCCTTGAGGAGCACAGAACTGGCTGGGGAAGTCCCCAAGCAAACTTCCGAGTTGAGAGACATGCCAAAAAAGAAAGGAAGGTGGTGAGCACAGGTTCAGAAACAAGATTTGCAGTTTCTCTCTCTTTCCATCTCTCACCTCATATAACAAGCACCAATCTTTCTGTGCTCTAGTTTTCAGCACACAGAAATTTCTGGTTCTTATCTACCAGCAGCCAGAAATACACAAACCCCTCCGGTATCACAGATGCGGGATTTCCACTACAGCCCATTTACTGAGTGTTCTGCATTTCACACATATTCAATGGGCCCTGCTTCTCAGGGCTACCCGGCCTGAGCCCTGCCCTGGGCTCCCGGGGCGCCTGCCATAAGCACATCCTCCTTGTTAAAAGAGACATTGGCCACTCCCCTTTGTTATTCAGACGCTACCACTCGGTAGAGAGATTAGGACCTAAGAAAGGCTCTGTCTTTGATGTCATTTTACAAATACATAAATATAAGGAAATAGAGGGAAGGAAAACTTCACGGAAAAAAATGTTTTAAAACAGTGCCCAGAACAGCATCTTTAGGTAGATGCCTTTTCAAACCAGGTGGTTCTGGTGAGCGTTTCCAACATGTGCCAAGAGGTGGGCACTTGATCCAGTTGGACCAATCATAAAGTCTCACACTTTGGTCACTGTGATTGGGCCAGGAATAAACACGTGACCCCCCCTCAATCCAGCCAATCAGGATTCTCCTCTGTTTTTTTCAAACTTGAGCTTAGGAGAGAGTACCTTTCCTCTCTAGTCTTGGAACTGTAAACGTGGGAGGCTAGAGCTGTAGCAACCATGGCTCCAGCCACATGAGAAGCCAATGTGCGCAGACAAGCTGATGCTCAAAGAAGCCAAGACAAGCAGGAAGAGAATTCCTCACAATGTTCAAGTCCCTGGTTCCAGTTGTCCCTAATGTTGACATCGCCCCTCCCTTCCAGTTCCATTAACCAGTAAATCCTCTTTTCCGCTTTCTCTAGTTCAGTTTCTTTCACTTGCCACAGCTAGCAATTATTTCCAGTCACTCTCCTGCTGTGATAGCTGCCCTCAGCAAACCCCTCTTTTTAAAATAGAAATGCCTCCTCAGAAGCCAGGAGAGTTGCTAGCGTAAACAGATCCACACCATGATGCAGTCAGAAGATCTGGACGGCTACAAAAGGCAGGAAAGGGGAAATAGAAACAACTGGCAAGCATTTTATGTCGGGATCAAATTGCCATTTTTACACAAATCTTTGTTATTAATGGAATATAGTATTCCTGGATTCTTCTCATTATAAGGATTGCACGCTCCACACTCACATCTGTGTGTGGAACAAGCCAGAGGGTGACCTACACTCACTATGGAAAGCGTTCAGTAGGCCCTTGCCAATGCAGAGGACGGCAGACTGAACTAGACCTCAAAGACTATGTGATCTGGCCCGGCGTGGTGGCTCACGCCTGTAATCCCAGCACTTTGGGAGGCCAAGGCAGGCGGATCACGAGATCAGGAGTTCAAGACCAGCCTGACCATGCAAACTGCTACCCCAAGGCCTTTGGATATGCTATCCCTTCTGACTAGAAGGATCTCTGCTTATTGCCTCCCACCCACAAATTAATCTCACTCTTCCCGAAGACTTCAATCAATTATTATTTTTTTCACAGAGGACTTTGTTAATGCCCATGACTGCATCAATTCTCCTGACTATATACACTCATTTCACCATGCACCTCTCCTCTAGAGGATTTAGCATGTATCACAATTGTAATTATATTTTGTCTGCTTCCCCTGGTGAATTTTAAGCTTGCCATTGTATCCTCATCATCTTTCACAGAACCTGATATATAGTTCAGTAAATATTTGTTGGATAGATAAGCATATTTAGGTTAAGGGTAAAATGATAAAACAAAGAAACTCAACAATAATTCAAAGATTGAGAAAAGATAGCTTGTTATTTACCTAAAAATTAGTGGTGAGCATTCCATGTCAGTGGGTGGCTTTGCTCCACATAGTCATTCAGAGACCCATGATATGAGTCATTCAGAGACCCAAAGGTTGAGTTGATAAATTCCAGCCAGTAGAGAGGAAAAAGAGAGCATGAAGATGCATATCGGGTGTATAAAGTCCCAGCGTTGCAAGAAGCACAAATCACTTCTCACATTCCACATGACAACACCTAACTACAAGGGAAGCTTAAAAACATAGGATATCTTGGCAGCCACATGCCAACTACAATTTTGTTACTACAGAAAAGAAAAACATAAGTCATGGACAATGAAGACTGCCCACCACAGAGTGAATTAATAAATGGGTGAATATGGTCCTCCCAGCTTCCACATAGCAAGCACCATTTGCCCATCTCCTCTGGTTTTCTGCCAAGTCCACCAAAATCAACAATGGGGCACCCAATGCCCAACATCCTAGGTCAGATGCGTCCTTATGTGGCCAAGGCAGTCAATACCAGTGCTGCTGAACCCATTGACTTATATTCCCAAGGCCCCAAGGAAGAGCAACTGAAGCACTCTTTTCTTTTCCTCTTTCTTGCACTGTAATTCCTCTCTCTGTGGGATTCAGGGATAGGTCTATGGTGGCTGGGCTGGAAGGCAAGTCAAGTGATGGTACTGGACTATTCTCAAAGTTGACCAGCCCTGGAACATTAGACTATTACCCTGGCACCAACTTCTTGAGCAGAGAGTCTCTTTACTCAGGTTGAGTTCTTTCTCAAAAGGTTTGTTGGTCTTCCATACAAAGACTCCTAGAGAAATTACCTGACAGGCAGGCTCTTCTGACTACCCAGGCATGCTTGAATTAAAAGACTTCACAGAGATATTTCTCAAATTAGGACCTTGATGATATAGGATAAAGAAAATGTCTTCAAATAGATTCATTTATAAAACATTTCTAGATGATCAAAAATCACTGAGTTGTTACCAAACCAGAAAAAGTTGTTATATGCTGTTCCAGTTGCTACTGCTGCATAGCAAACACCCTAAAACTCAGTGGTATAGAACAGCCATTTTATTATGCTCACAGATTCTGTGGGTCAAAAATTTGAACAGAGCACAGAGGGAGGGCTTGTCTTTGACCTCTGATAGCTGTGTATTCAAGGAGGAAGACTCAAAGACTGAGGGTTACTCAACAGCCGAGGAGTGGAATCATCTGGCCTGCTCACATGTCTGGTGGTTGATGCTGGTGGTCAGCTGGGATCTCAGCTAGGCTGTTAGCTGAAATACCTGTATATGGCCTTTCCATATGGCCTCTGCATGTGAGCTAGCTGGGCTTTCTTATAGCATGGTGGTTAGATGCCAAGAACAAATGTGCCAACAGAGCAAAGCAGAGCTGCATGGCATTTTCATGATCTACCTTTGGAAGTCACAGAGAGTCATTTCCACCACACGCTATTGATCAGTGCAATCACAATATCCACCCACGTTCAAGAGGAGGGACACTGGCTCCACTATTTTATAAGTGAAATGTCACAGTCACATTATAAGAGAACAAGGGGTAGGAGAGACAATTGTCATCATCTTTGGAAAATACAATCTGCAACATATTGCCTCAGTTGCCTCTGATGAAAAACAGATGTTTTTTAACAAATAAGCCAATTAGCAATATTTTTGAAACAGTAAGGATTTGAGTTTTGCTTTAATGACTTGAAAGGCAGAGTAGTTAATTCAGACAAAAAAATACTTTATTCTATTAAAATAAAATCAGCACTAATAATCCTCAATGGTTTTGTAGATCTACTGGCCAAACAGATTGTCACATGTGTTTATATCACATATATACCATCAAAATGCAAGGGTGGAATGATGAATAACTTGTACACAATTAGGGCCATGGAAAACTATAGGGTAAAGGAAGTGTTCTCATTGAAATATATGTATTTCTTTCAATATCTTTTTTTCCTATCCCTATGTAATCCAAATGTCCTCAGGCTTCACTAGCCTGTGAGGCCACCATAACAACAGTGCTCACATCTTGCTGTTTTATGTCCTCTACTTGCATTCATAAGGTTTTTGTAGCCACCGTCACCTCCTCAGCCTTAAAGTCTTACCCATTCTGAGAATCTCCAAGTGTTGAGTTCAGAAACAAGTTTGTTCACACCTTCTGCTTTCAATGTCCACTAACAAAGAGCCAGCCACTTCAAGGAGGTATCTGGGCCCAGCCATATCTGCCAGTATCATCCATGAGGACATTTCTCTGAGGTCCACAGTCTCACACAACATTCTATCCCCACCCTGAGCCCTCATGTGGCCAACCTGCATCTAAGAAAATGGACTCCTTGCAAACGCTGACACACAGACATACAAGCACATGGCTTGCCAAGGTTCATTACATTTCTCATTATAGTAACCCTTTTCTTCTGCTGTCTCCCTCTGCTTCTGTCTGAAACGGAACACCTTTTACTATTGGAGTTAGACCTTTAGAAACATATGGGAAGGCCAGTGTCCACACCATTCCCAAGCCACCATCTTTAAGGAGCCAAAGCAGGGTTGGGTTCTGTGCAGAGATGTGGAAAATGGATTACAGGAGAGAGTGACAGAGGAGTGGGGACAGGGAGAGAGAGCGAGAGATTCACACAGAGAAAGAAAGCTCGCAAAGTGTTAGCAACTGATCAATCTAGAAGGTGAGATTTATATATGTGTTTATTGTTTTGTTATTTCAACTTTTCTGCCGATTTGAAATATTTGAAAATTAAAAGTTGAGAGAACAATTTTAAAATAAAGGACTACAGAAGACAAAAAATAAAATTGCTTTAGTGACTACATCTTATGAGCCTGCTGGTTAGATGTATAGGTTATAGTCATTAAAACAAAAGGTGATGATGGCCCAGACTAAGGCGGTGGGAGTGGGAGCAAATGTAGAATCTAGATATGAGAGAGAAATTTCTGGCTGGAAACAAAAAGGTATGGCTGATTGGATATGGGTGTGAGGGAGGGAGGAGTGAGGGCTGTCACTATGATATTCAAGAAGAGCATGAGAGATAAACTCTATTTGAACACGTAGAGTTCAGGTTCCTAGGAGACATCCAGGCAGAGATGGCCAGAGGGCAGACTGAACCATGGGCAAGAGGTCAGCACTGAAGTTACAAATACTTAGGAATTAATAGAAGCTGAAGCATGTACATGCATGAGCTCAGCCGGAAAAAGTAAGAAGTAAAGTGGAAGGAGGAGAAGACAAGGACAGGCTGTTTGAGGTGTCATAGGAAATTGATATCCAGGATGAAGCACTCAGTGTTAATCCCACACTCCATACTGTCTCCTGGTATAATTCATTCCTGGGCAAATTCCATTCCTCAATAACATTTTTTTCTTTCCTTGGGTTGTGTTTTATTATTTTAGTTTTATTATGCTGGTACAAATGCCAAGTACTTCTCCTAATAAATGGCCTTTTTCATCTGTTATATCACCCAAATGAATCCAAGCACTTATAATTAGCAAGGTTTACATAACAGGTATAATTTCTTGATAATAAAGTCTAACCATTATCATTGATTTTTCTTAATGGAACATTTTGTTTTTGAAATAAACAGCAGGCATTAACCAAATATATCTGGATAGCAATAATACTCAACTCTGATCATAACCTGTTTGCTACTCTCTTGAAACTAATCATAATTCTAGAACAAAATAAAAACATTAGAAGATTAATAAAAGCCATTTTATCAGACAAGGCTCATTCTTCTTTAGTGCTATATTTATCTCACAAGGGAAAATTACTTTATTACATGAGTAGCAATGCATTTATGACAAGGCACTTGAAAAATAAGTCTGATGCTCATTTTGAAATTCTATTTCTTAGTAGTCGTAGGCCATGCAGTCATCAGAAATACTTTCAAAAAGAAAAAACTAGCACATGCTTTTAAGTGCTTTGCTTCCAATAATAAAAGGACTGGCAGGTGTATATATTAGAGTTTAGACTGTCGGTATTTGGTTTATGTTAAATCATAAATGAAATTCAGTACTATGGCCATACCAGATCTAAATATAGTCGTGCCCTGCATAACAATGTTTTGGTCAGTGATAGACTGCACGTATGACTGTGGTCCCCTAAGATCATACCATGATTTTACTGTACCATTTCTATGTTTAAATATGTTTAGATATGCAAATATATCATGTTATAATTGCCTACAGTATTGAGTACAGTAATATGCTGTACAGGTTTGTAACCTAGGAACAATAGGTTATAGCATAGGCGTGTAGTAGGCTACACCATCTAGGTTTCTGTAAGCACACTCTGATGTTCACACAATTACAAAATCACTTATTGAACACTTTTCTCAGAATGTATCCTTGTCGTTAAGCAACACATGACTGTAGTTAGACAAAAGAGAGGGTTTTTCAATTATTCAGTAATTTGATATAGTCAAGCAAATAATTCCAAGGAATGGGGGGGAAATGCCCCCTACTGCCTAAACTACTCTAATTGGCAACACTTAGAAGATCCATGGGTAAATCACTGGCCTTGTTACCTCTGTGTCACCAGCTTACCCCACCAACTAGCTCAGAACCCTAAGATTCTGCAAAGTATCTGCCCCACCCCAATCCCACCGCAAAACAAGTATCATATTTCCAAGAGTACCTGGCTGGCAGAGATTGCCTATCATATTTCATTCTCCTATTTCAAGATATAACCTGGAGCAGCTGCCTAGCCAGGGAAACCCATTGCCCACTCCATTTGCAGTTAGGTAGAAACATATAACTCCTTTCCACTGTGAAGTAGAAGGGGGGTAATTTGTGCCACTTCTAGACTGAGGTTTTTAAGAAGCAGGCATATCTCCCCCATGCTCTTTTTTCTTCTACCAGCTGAATGCCATGACAACCAGGTGCCAAGGAACTTCAGAATCTCCAAATGGAAGTCTCCAAAGCCCCTGATTCACCAGAAAGAGAGAAAACCATCCACTGGCCACCACACTGTTATATGAGCAGAACACAAACTCCTGTTGTGTTTGAGCCTGTAAACATTCTGGGCAGCAGATTATCCTCTTTAACATACAAAATGATGCCTCAAATATGCCTACAAACAAGTAAAATCAGCTATCCAGAAAGCTACTCTGTGCCATAGTTTCTTTATTTCTATTTCTGCAACATGAGGCACCCCAGTGTCAACCAGGGACCGCTACATCTGCTGGGCTTCCCCACTCACGTTACTTCAGTCTGGCACATCTGCCTCTTCTGCCAGGATTGCCAGACATTATTGCCATAGCCTCTGGGCACCACTGCCTCCACTGGCACTTCCACTGCTTATTTTGGGTACTCATGCTCTGGCTTAACACGCTCACTCTTCCTGAATTCTGCTACCTCTTCGGCTGAGGCCCTCGAATTACTGAAAGTCCTCCAAGCTTTGTGGTGAATTAAACAAATGCATTAATCCATTTTGATGTTACACTCATTTGATTTCAAGCAGCTGAAAGAAGAGAAAACCCAGCTCACAGTGGCTTAAGCAATAAAAGCATTTACTGATCTCGTGATATAAGAATTCTGAAGATGTGGAGCTCCAAGTTTGGTGCAGCAGCTCCACAGCACCATCCATCATCTAATTTCTTTCTGCCTCAACCATGCCATTCTCAACTGTGAGCTTTTCATTCTTGGACATGCCATCTCTTGATCACAAGATGACTGCCACAGATACAAGCTGCACATCTTCACACAATATCAGGTGGGCAAAATGGTAAGAGAGTTTCTCCCAGAAGCCCAGCTGCAGCCTTCTCCTTGCACAGCATTGAGTAGAACTAGGTCACATGGTCATCATAGCTCTGGGACCCCTGGGAAAGGGAGACTGTCAAAGTAATGAAATTGCCATTAATGACTTAAACCAATCATGATTTTAGCCCTCATAGTGGGGCATAAGGCTACCCCCTCCCCCTCAAAGAAAACAAGATTGTGTTTACAAAAAGGAGGGGAAATCGCTATTGGGGTTAGGAGGGCAACTAACAGTGTCCGCCACAGATTCTGATTCCGCCGTATCACCTTCCATACACAGAAAATCTAGTCAAGGTCTTCTCTCTTCTACAGCCCAGATTTGAGTCCATCGGGGACTGGCCAGGTATAAGGCTAAGTGGTGGGCATCTGTCCCCTGTGTCATCCACACATACACTGGCTGTGACTATGGTTTTGATAATGGATGAAGCTTTTCAAGCCTGTCTCCTTCTCTCTGAATGAGTGCTCATCCAGTACCTGTAGTGATCAAAAAAGGCTTCGTTGCAGCAGTGCTCCACCAGTTTGACAGACAAGCTTATACATGTTTATATTCCATAATAGTCATTGTTTGGGCTTAAGCTGCAATTTACCAGCCTTATCCCACCACTTTTCATTTTGTCTTTACTGGACTTCAAATTAAGAAGCACATCATTTTTGATACATACTCAATACTGGTCAGAATGTTTTAGATAAAATCTTATCTTGGAACATGTACATATCTTTAAACATTTCAAAAAGGAAATTCTGCAAGTGTTCAAGTCACATTAACAATAAATACTAAGAAAGACAACAGGCCATTTATTCAATATTAACCGCATTTAAATGTGAGAAAAATCAAAGATTGTTAAAGGAAACACACTACTTGTCAGAAATGGTATGTGTTAATAATTCTGAGAGAAAAATTCTAATTCATCTACAACTTCAAAGGGTAACATTTCCCAGGGGAACTTAAATTAATCATAGAAAAGGAAAATGCAATGGCATTACATGCATTTTTTAGGCTCTTGATATTTTCCTTCTACCTATTTAAATGAATTTCCAAAATGATGGACTCTCTCTGGAGTAAACCTCCAGAACAATCTGAGATGAGGCTTTCTGATTGTCCATATTTCATACTTAGGGCAGTTCAGATGCCTCTGTGATAAGAGAGGCTTGCAGCTGACACAAAGTTTCTGATAGAGAAACTGAATTTATTAAAATACAATATCTATCGATGTGCTAACACGTAAGATGTCTTCAGGGCTTCAGTTAAGGTCGATGATTTCTAGTCTACATAAATTTCCCTGGAACTGACTGTAAACTAGTTAAATGGCTGACTGGTGACAAAAAGATGAGGAAAATAATGAATGCATATAAAGCAGCACAAAAGATTTGGAGGCAATTGTATCTGCTCTGTAATTATGTTGGTGCACGGGAAATTAAAATTCTTGCTGGCCTCCTCCTTCCCTTCCACCCTTTCCCCAGGCCTCCTCATCTTGTCTCAATAAAAAAGCTCTTGAAGTAAATGGGAATGGTAGTTTGAGGTCAAAGAAAACAAAAAGAAAGAAAGATAAGAAGAGAGATGAAAAGAATGGGCAGGAGGGATCTCCATGGCCCCCAGTGAAGTAAAGGGCTCTTGCACGACCAAGAAAGGCTGTCTTAACTAAAGTGTCTGGTCAAGGAAGGAAATCGTTCAGATGAATTTTTTTGCCTCTTACTTCTATCCTGCACATTGGGGTGTGATTATCTGTGTATATTATATTATTCCTCCAGAGCAGGGTTGGACAACGACAGCAAGGCCAAATCTAACCTACCACTTGTTTTTATACCACCCACAAGAATGGGTTTTACATTTTCTAATGGTTACATTTTTAAATGTTACATAAATACCTACATAATTCACTCAATTTTGCCTCACAAAATCTGAAATATTTACTCTCTGGCCCCTTAAGAGTTTTTCAGCCCCTCATTAGATGAGACCTCCAGAAGCAGCTCTGTTCGTTTATACTGTTCTCCCTTGGATGGAATAAAGCCTGGTGGTTGGATGGATAAAAAAGAGTTTTGAGAGCATCCTGGAACAGGGGCAAAAACTTTTTTTTTTCATTTGCAAATGAAGAAACCAAGATCTATGGATGCCAATCAACTGACCTAAAGTCCAGCTGCTTTTTAGTGGCAGAGCTAAAGCTAGAATCCCCTCCACAGCATACCACCTTGATCTGGTGCTGCCAACAAGGCATTACAACACCTTTCGAGCTCTGTCTTTCAATCCAACTGATCAACCTCTGTGCATCAGTAAGATGCAAAAGCATGGCTATTCAGCGTGTGCTTTGATGAAGAGGGACAAATGCAGTTAGTAGAGAGAAAAAACAACAACAACAACAACAAAAACTAATCTTATTCCTAAAGAGAGGTACAGTTTGAAACTCAGTACCTGGGTAAGTGACAAACCTGATACTGTCCTAAGCAATTAATCTATGACTATATGGACCTATTGAGGAGACCCTGAAAAACATGACTGTGTTTACTGTGAAATTCAAAACTGATTTGTAATGCACTTAATGGTAAACTGAGAGTAAAAAACACACTGATGAAACAATTTTTTTCATTATGTATGCTAGTAAAAAACACACTGATAAAAAGAATTTTTTCATTATGCATGCTCAGAATAACATCAGAGAGAAAATAATTTCCTTGACACATTTTATGGCCATTTTGAATGTCTCTAGTGATAAGAGTTTCTAACTCTTCTCAGGAAGGCTACTCCCTAAATGAATACTTTTTGTTGTCATTTAGGTTTTCCAAGGCAATATCTCAAGGTCTAATGGGTTTATTCAACACTCAACACAGATGCTAAGTTGAAACCTTTCTAACCATTTTCTAATCCAAACTGTATTATGATTTTTTGCTATGTTTTTAAAAGCTTGGGGATTTGAAATCTTGACATGTATATTTTAAGAAATATTGATGCTTCCTTAGGAATTTAAGAGGAAAGAGTCAATCAGTTGGGCATAACTAGACACTCTGACCAGCTCTCTGGGAATAATTAGCCTAATGCTATTGCATAGGTGATGTGTGGCTTTATATTATCTACACAATGTGAAAGAAAAACCCTTCCTTCCTCTCTCTGGAGGGTTCTTTTGAAAGTCTTACTGCTCTAGTTAGTTCAATGCTATTTATTTTTACTGTGTTCATTATTTTAGTGCTCAAGAGTAATGTTCAATGTTTAGTAACAATAAATTTTATTTCCCATATGTCAGTCTTGTTACAAAGCTAATACAAATCCCTCTAAATCTTCTGCGCCATTTAGTATGCATTCATTACTTTCTTCATCTTTTTTTTTTGTCACCAGCCAATCATTTAACTAGTTTATAGTCAGTTCCAAAGTAATCTGTGTAGATTAGAAATCAAAAGTGTTGTCCAAGGCCCTCAAGGCATCTCACCTGGCCCTCTCTGTAGTGAATTGGGTTTTTTCTCTATCAAATCAACCACACATATATTCTATGTAGACCTGTGGTGTTGGCTTTATTTAACCTCCAACTTCAGAACACATACTCTCCAGTCATAATCAATCAACCAACAATTATTTCTACCCATGTAACGCTCTTCTAAGGAGTTGCTCTGGGTGAAAAAATAAAACCAGAATAAATGACAGCGGATGGCAAAAAAAAAAAAAAAAAGACAGTATTAAACAAGTGATTTTTCTGAGTTGATTTAAACTTGGCTAAGGATTTTAGAAAGTCTTGTCATTTCACAAGTGAATGTCACACACAAAGAGTAGAGGGAACAAAGTGATTCTCAACAGAAATGTCTAGTTTTAATTTATAGAAGGATGAACCAAAGACAACCTACATTAAAATACATTTTACTCTTTACGTTATGTGGGACACGCTGTAAATATTGCCCCAACAAAACAAAATCTTGTGTCTATTTAGGCTATATTCAAATTTTCTCTAAAATAAATCAAGTAACGAATGTTTATTGAGTCCCACAGTTTACTCTGTAGGCCCTTCAACACAAAGATGTTGGAGATCAAGGAGAAGGCCAAATCCAGAAGGCAAGAAAGCATAGAGGGAAATGGAAGAATATCTATGCACTCTTTTTCTCTGTGTCTTTCCCACCCACTACCAGGGCAGCAAAGCTTTACCTTGACCTATTAGGACATGCTTATCATGAAAGATTTTAGAATAGAGTGAGACCATAGAAGCCAACTTTTCTTACAAACAATGTTTCAGGACACTGTTCACAAATCTCTGTCTGAATTTTCTAAGGCTATAATGAAGTAAATACCTCCCACCAAAAAAAAACCCCACAAAAACAAAAACAAACCACACAACAACCCTGCCTTCTGGTAAGATTGTATCTAGGTCAGGTCAACAGGTTCCTGTTTTATTTATGCCTTTTTAATTACATTAATTTCTAAATGACCTCTGAGCAGCACCAAATTTATAAATAGTAAAACCATCCTTTTAGAAATGTGTTCATGGGAGGTTAAGTCAGAACAAAAGATCAGGCTGCCCAACTCAAATGAGCCAGACAATACAACCAAAACCTTTATCAAGTACAAACAAAAATTCACCCAAACAAAATTGTGTTGTTAGGTAGACAAAACCTACAAACAACACACAGAATTCTGTTCCAAAGCAACTGGGTATTCTGGCACTTTATTACATTTCACAATCTAGTCATCGGTTCATATGTAATTTTTAAAAATCTACCCATAGTTTACCATGTCTTCAGATTTAAAAAAAAAAAATGTGGAGCATGGTTTCCTCTGTGGATTAGTAATTAATTGGTTCCTACTGGGGCTGATTTTCCACACCTCTTTTTATACCGTAAGCCCCTTTGACCCAGCAATCCCATTACTGGGTATATACCCAAAGGATTATAAATCATGCTACTATAAAGACACAGGCACACATATGTTTATAGCAGCACTGTTCACAATAGCAAAGACTTGGAACCAACCCAAATGCCCATCAATGATAGACTGGACTGCATAAAGAAAAGGATTTGACCCAGCCATCCCATTACTGGGTATATGCCCAAAGGACTATAAATCATGCTGCTATAAAGACACATGCACACGTATGTTTATTGCGGCATTATTCACAATAACAAAGACTTGGAACCAACCCAAATGTCCAACAATGATAGACTGGATTAAGAAAATGTGGCACATATACACCATGGAATACTATGCAGCCATAAAAAATGATGAGTTCATGTCCTTTGTAGGGACATGGATGAAATTGGAAATCATCATTCTCAGTAAACTATCGCAAGAACAAAAAACCAAACACCGCATGTTCTCACTCATAGGTGGGAATTGAACAATGAGAACACATGGACACAGGAAGGGGAACATCACACTCTGGGGACTGTTGTGGGTTGGGGGGAGGGGGGAGGGATAGCATTGGGAGATACAGCTAATGCTAGATGATGAGTTAGTGGGTGCAGCGCACCAGCATGGCACATGTATACATATGTAAATAACCTGCACATTGTGCACATGTACCCTAAAACTTAAAGTATAATAATAATAATAATAAAGAAAACAAAACAAAAAAAAAAGACAAGGTGAGACATATACACCATGGAATACTATGCAGCCATAAAAAGGATGAGTTCATGTCCTTTGCAGGGACATGGATGAAGCTGAAAACCATCATTCTCAGCAAACTAACACAAGAACAGATAACTAAACACTGCATGTTCTCACTCATAAGTGGGAGTTGAACAATGAGAATACATGGACACAGGGAGGGAAACATCACACACCGGGGCCTGTTGGGGGGTGGGGGGCTAAGGGAGGGATAGCATTAGGAGAAATACCTAATGTAGATGATGGGTTGATGGGTGCAGCAAACCACCATGACACGTGTATACCTATGTAACAAATCTGCACGTTCTGCACATGTATCCCAGAACTTAAAGTATAATTTTTTTAAAAAGTATGACCCCATAAATTTTGGCATCTTCTCTCTATCCTAATCTTTTCTGGCCATTTTGTAACTGAGCTCCACCTCACTGTCATTATCTCTCACCACCATTTCAGCCACTTAGCTCTGCCTGCTCTTCAATGCAGTTACCTGCCTAGGCTGTCCCAACTAGTTCCTCATTCATTAGAACACACCCAAGTACAAGGTTCTAGTTTCCTCCTCAGAAGCCTATCTCAACTGAACATTTGGTTTAAATGATTTTTAATCATTACTATCCATTCAGAACTCTCACTCCCAATCCCTCCAAAAAATTCACTTTACATTCATTCTTTTATTTTTTCTTTCTAACATAATCCATGTTTTTTCCAGTATGAAATTGGGCCGAGCTGAAAATATTCACCTTCCTACACTCCCTTGTAGTTAGGGTGGTCCTGAGAGCCAGCCCTGGCCAATTGACACAAGGAAGTCTTCAGAGAGAACATCCCTTTCCAAACAAGAAGAAAGACTCAAAGGCAAACAGATTGGGCCCATATTCTACCAGTATGGAATGTGGATATGGAGCTAAAGATGGAAAACCCAATTTACAATCATTAGGCAGCAAACCTGAAGGCAGAAGTCCCATGCTAAGGATGGCGGAGTGGAAGGATTTGAGTAGCACGGACTCTGATGCATGTGGGGCTATTCCCTACCATGGACTGCCCACCTCTAAACTTCTTGTTATGAAAAAAATAATATATTCTTATTTGGTTAAGCTACTCTGACCAGATTGTTCTATTTTTCTATTACTTACAGCCAAATGCATTCCTACTTGATACATTGCTCACTTTTTTCTCATTTAATTTTGATGAGACTGGGCTGTTTTCACATCCAAACGGCCAAAGCTCAGAGTTGTACTTTTAGACTTCTTGACTTTTTAATTTTTAACTGGAAATACCTCCCAATATTTGACCTACAAGATGAAAGCCACTTCACGGATGATGAGGGATACTAATGATGAAAGATAAGTATAACCATGATTACTTAAATAATACACCCTGGCTTAAACCAAAGGAACATGAAGTAACACAAAGAGCAAACAATTTCATCTCAGAATATCTATGTGTGAGTCCTCCTCTCTTCATTGCTCACTAGGTGTGTAGCCAGGAGCAAGTCACCTAAACCCCTCCAAGCCACAGTTTCCTCACCCATAAAACAGAGATAATAATAATGTCTATCTCGTAGAGTTGCTGTCAACATTAAATGAAAAATCGTATATATGAATAAGTACAGCTTTTGTGGGCCATAATACTTCTCTAAGAGAAGAGTCTTTTCTCCATATGAATAAATATCTGGCATTTTAAAATAATTTCTTTTCTAAATATATTTCCTATAATTTTGGTAACAGCCTCTGTCTTAGTCCATGTAGATTACTATCACAAAATACCACAGACTGGATAGCTTATAAACAACGTTTACTTCTCATAGTTCTGAAGGCTGGGAAGTCCAAAATCAAGGCACTAGCAGATTAAGTGTCTGGTGAGGGCTGTCTTCTTGCTGTAAACTGACATGGTAGAAAGGGGCAAGACAGGTATTTGGGGCCTCTTTTATAAAGGCACTAATGCCATTCATGAGGGCTTCAACTTCATGACCAAATCATCTCCCAAAGACCCCACCTAATACCATCACATTGGTGATTAGGTTTTCAACTTATGAATTTTGGGTGGACATATACATTCAGACCATAGCATTCTCCTGACTGTTTTCAAGCAAGATCAGGTAAAGGCACTAGAAGTTACCTTTTTTGTGGACGCTTAAGAAAGGTGACTGGAGAGGCCCCAAAAATTCATCTTGTCCTTAATTGGCTCTAGGGATGCATTGATAAGGCAGGCCCACACTAGTGAAAAACAAAAGCACAGATAACTCAGTCCCTGCCCTACCTACCAGGTCTGACCTACAAAATCAAACCTCCAAAACCTACTGAAACCAGAAAACTGGGAATTTTTGGTGGACAGGCTTTGAATATTCATTAAGGGGAATTTGTTCACTTTGTATACTGTGTGCTTATCTATTCTTCTCTGTGGCTTCAATAGAGATCATCCCCTGGACTGTATGAATGTATCCCATATTATTATTTTCAGGAATCAGAACAAAAAAGGAAACAATATTTGTAAAAACTGGAAACTCATTTTTCTTCCCTCCCCTCCTTTCGTTTTTCCACTTAATGAATAATTAGTCATAAATATCCGGGAACTAATAAGACTTGGAAACAATTTGAGAGCTATACCTTATAAACTTACAAAAGAAATTACCTAAAACCAAGGACTTTGAGATGTCCTAATGATGTTGAAAAGCAGTGCGTATTTCTAAGCATCCTTCCCCAGTGACAACAGCTCTCCTTAAGTTGTCATTGTCATTTCCATAATGCTTAGATCCTGTGGTTTTTAAAGTGCATGTATTGTCTACAATATGCAGCACCATGCTGATGAGGGTTACAAATGTTTCCTTGTAGAGTTTAACCTTTTGTCCCTTCTGTCAAGATTGGTAAGTGTCACTGTCTTCATTTCTGCCTGCGTTTCATGTGGATCTGGACATTAACTTCTGTACCAATTTCTATGAATACTCATTGCAACCTTGTTGATCATCAAGCCTGACAAGGTTAACCTTGAGAACGTGAAAGTCAGATGAAAGCAGATCTGAGAAGTGTGGTCAGGGAGGTGACTGGATGTTCTCGAGCCTTGTGAGAGAAAGGTGTTTGCAGGCTTCATTGCATCCCTGAAGCCTGGATCCACAGCTCTCTCTAGCTCGTGCTGTCTCTCTCTCTCAGTCCCCATCCCTATTCTCAGGGCTGCTAGGCCTGAGTCAAAGGCCAACCTTGTCACGTTTTCTGTGGATCTCAACACTGAACCATGGTGCTGTGTAAGGGAAAACATGTCATTTGGAATTGAACAAATAGAGTATTTACCAGCTTGTGCAAGTATTTACATTCTCCAAAATGTTGTTTCCTCGGTTATAAAATGTAAAAAATACTGACAACATATGAGCACCTTCTTATGTTTCAGGAATGGAAAATAGAGGGGGTTAAATGATTGGCTTCTCTCAAAAGCACTTTGTCATCAAGTCTTAAAAACGTCTACCCCATTTGACCAGGTAATTTCACCCTGGGAAATCAATCCTGAAGAAATCATCTGAAATGCATATTTGCAAGTGTGTGTTCTCCAGAATGTCTCTCTCCAAAAACTTCTCTTAATCCACTAATCCTGTGGTTTTTCTCTTTCTTCCACCTCCAGCAATCTGCTCTCCTCTCGGGGGTAAGGATTCTTCTTCCTTAGGCAAGAGGAAACAAAGAAGACAAATGCAGAATTCTCTTTGGCAGGCAGGTCCTCCAGCAGCCTTACCCACAGCTCAAATTTTTATGCAGCCCCAAGTTTCCTCTTGTGGCCAGCAATACTAAAGGAAGGCAAGGAGTCCTTAGTTAATTGGTTCATTGGAGATCCAGTTGCACATCCTACCTATCATTTGAGCACTCCTCTTGCTCCAAGAGTACACAAAGTCCACTTTAATTTCTCACCTCACTTTACCACCACATTATACTCTAAGGCAAAAGTTTCAACAATTACTTCTTGAGTACCCACTATGTTCCTGGAATATAACAGCAAATAAGACACAAATGTGGCGTCTCTGTGGCTGTCCTCACTTTAGAATTTATCTAGCCTTGTGTTAAACAACTGTGAGGTATAAGAATCTATATCATCCTCTGCTAAGCCACAGAAGAATTGAGTGACACTCAGGCTTAGATCTGAAAAGGAACCTCAATGTGGAATAGAAGGGCCTTTACAATCCTCCAAAAGACAGTGATTTAGAATGGGAGTTATAGCCTATAGTCCTCGGGTAGGTTTCATGGGGCCTATAATCTTCTAATATTGTTGGCAAATTTTTCTGTATACATATGTGCATTTTTCTCTGGAAAGGGTCTATGACCTCATACACCTCCATGAACCAAAAAGGTTAAGAAACTACTGTTCCTGAGCAATGTCCAAGGAAATGAACTCCAGAAGTAGAATCTGATAGTGGTTGGGTCATACCCTGAATCCTGGTGCTCTGGCCATATCACTGGAAACATCAAGTCAACTGGTTGGCAAAAGCACTGTGGATACCAAACCTACAAGACCTTCTCTCATCTGTTCTCTTGCATAGCTGCTGCTGAAGGCATTTCCCACAAGTGTGCTCTCCCTCAAAACACTTCTTCCTATCTTGCACATAGAAAAAAAGAAAAAGAGAGAGAGGGAGAGAGAGAGAAAAGAAAAAAAAAAGTAGATAGATAAGACATCCATACACTGAGAACATAAAAACCTGCGATTAGAATCTCTCTAGTCAAAAAGAAGTAATTTTCTCTTTCACTTGTTATTCTAATTTATTGACTTAAAAATTCTAAACTTATGAGGCTCTGGACCAGTAATACAAAAATAGCAAAGTGTCAATGAAAAACTATCAGTCTCTCAATATGGAGAGTTGTTTTTCAAATATCTTGGAAATCTAATTAGAATGATTAATTCAGCATGGCTACAACTAGTCCTTTTGTTAAGATTAAGTGCTTGTATTCATGTCTTGATACATTTTTTAAAAATAACTCTCCTACCTTCCTCCATTTCCTTCTGTATTTTCTCCCATCTCTGAATTTAAATATCCATCTCACTACAATTCTGTTGCTTCCTTAAATTGTATTTTAAAAACTGGCAAACATACATGTCTCCAAAGGAGAGACTGACATGCTGCAATTTGCCCATAGTTCACATACCAAGGCACACCCTGCAATTTCCTTTTATACCCTTAAAGAAGTAAAAGATCAACTTTCTAAATGAAAGCTTCTAGAAGTATAGCTTGAAATTTATACACAATGACACTCTAAACAACTCACCAGGGAAAATGTTGCAATCCACAGCTGTTACAAACTGCCTGTAATTCAAAACTTTCTCAAAGCTGTTTCTTAGCAGGACCTACTTATCCTAATACAATTGTTTTGCCAATCTTTCTTTTAAGGTTTTGGTTTTATAAAATTGATTTTGAGTAAATCTGTGACAGGATGGTATAGAATATGGCATCCCTCTCCACTGAGATCTACTGCAAGATAGTTCAAGATACAGAGGGGAGGGAAAGGCCTATGTTTTACAACTGGCAGTAAACTTCCTCTTCAAGAGAAAGATGTCTTTTCTTTGATGGCCTTTGGTTATAAAAATGAAAGCATGCAATAACATGATTGTACTAGTCTGTTTTCACACTGCTGATAAAGACATACCCAACACTGGGCAAATTACAAAAGAAAGAGGTTTAATTGGATTTACAGTTCCACGCGGCTGAGGAAGCCTCACAATCATGGTGGAAGGCAAGGAGGAGCAAGTCATCTTTTACATGGATGGCAGCAGGCAAAGAAAGACAGAGCTTGTGCAGAGGAACTCCTCTTTTTAAAACCATCAGTTCTCGTGAGACTTACTATCACGACAACAGTATGGGAAAGATTTGCCCCTATGATTCAATTAGCTCCCTCTAGGCCCCTCCCACAACATGTGGGAATTCAAGATGAGATTTTGGTGGGAACACAGCCAAACCATATCAATGATCAAGAAGAAGAAAATGAGAGACCTGAATTATTCTACTTTTTTTTTTTTTAATGAAAGGAGTTTTGAGTTGCCAGAAAGATGCAGAAGGACAGATTAGGGAGACAGATGAGAGAAGAGAAAGAAAACTGATAGTTGGCAGGAGGCCAAGGAACTGGACTTTTCAAAATGGGGCAACTAATACTCAATTTTAAGTAATCTTCTGCTATAGGTATTTTGCTCTAATGCAACTCCCATTTTTACCACAGAACCTCTGTGAAATTCCTTGCTTTTATGAGTGGTATTTGAGGTAAACTAAGGAAAAGGCATTGTGTTCCACATTTTGGTTGACTTGGGGCATAGAAAGGGGAACAGACACAAGAGTCAAGGTGACAGTAAATTTGAAAACTCTGAGGAGCAGAAAATTAGGCCAATAAACGACGAAGAGGACGAAGTCCTCCCCGAGAATCTTCAGAGTTAGTGGACAGATGCTGTGTCATTTAGGCTTTGTCAGACAAGCAGAGCCACTATATGGGATTTGCTATAGGAACTCCACCTTATGTAATTGTAGGAGCTGTTGAGGAACCCTATGGGAGGCTGTCAGTCCTTGTCTGTTATAGCCCTGCAGGCTCTGTAGAGTTTCTCAGTACCAGCAGTTGGTAAGAACAGCTGGACATTTAAAAGGCAGGACAAGGACAAACTGGAACCTACAAAGACCAGCTGGAACCCTCATCTCCCTCTCTCTATCTCCAGCCTCAATGGCACAGAAGGAGCTGGAACACTTCACCACAGAGCCATCCACACACCCAGCTTAGGATCTGGAGAAGCTAAAGGAGATGATCCAGCAGGGGCTGGGGAGCTGTGGGCTTGGCTGCTGCCTTGTGCTAACAGGATGAGCAACAGATCAGGGACAACAGGCATGAACTTCAAGAGTGCCTAGTACCCCACACTGAACTTCCACACATAGTGGCTCACTGTGGGTAATAGTGAAAGGAATAACTCCCATCTCACACAGCTTTGCTGAATCCATGGATCCTACCTCTGTGAAAGAGAGCATTGTATATTGGTCACTGATTTACAGTATTTGCCACATCCTGAAGACTTTACCTCAAACCTGTGAGATGTTCCTTCCCAGCCGGTATGGAAACTAAATTTTTGAAAGGCTATTTCAGCATTCTATCAGACCAGCTACTTCATGGTAACAGGGAACATGGTAATATCAGTAGATTCCATCAGCATGAGTCCACAATTGCTGTTAAGTAAGTTCCTTGGTCAGAAGCAGTGTTATAAGAATACCTTGATGTGAATCATACTATGTAAGTCCACAGATGGTGATTTTGACAAAAGCCTTGAGGGCAAGGAAAACAAATCCATATTTAGAGTAAATGTCTCTTTCAGTGAGAACAAAGCACTGCCTCTTCTAAGATGGATGTGGTCCATTGCAACCAACCTACCAGCAGGTATTTCAGCCTGCTGGGGAATGGTACCATGTCAGGGGCTCAAAGTTGTACTCTGCTGTTGGCAGGTTGGACATTCAACAGTGACTATAGACAGATCAGCCATAGTGAGTGGAAGTCCATGTTGCTGAGTCCATATGAAACTTCTACCCCTGCTACCATGGCCACTTTGTTCATGAGTCCATTGGGCATGGATGGAATGGCTGCAGAGAAAGCCTGCTTGATGTCCACAGAGCAGCGCATCTTGTTCATCTGATTATTAAAATCCTCTTTTACTGAGGTTGCTCTTTGACGAGCAATCACATGGAACAAAGGTCTTCACTCTCTATGCCCATTCAGAAAGATCTATCAACACACCTCCTTGTCACCAATTGTCTAGTTGTGTTCTTTCTTGGGGGGATGCAAACAGTCAGTCCATAACATGAACCATCTAGTCAAACCATTAGCCACTGCCTGCCAGTATAAGGCCGTACCTGGGGCCATCTCCTCTTCCAGGAAAAATTAATAAGTAGGTGTACTCCTTGAAGTACTGTCCAACAATAGGAGCTCCCTTCACTACCATAGTTCAAAGCCACCCCAGAGTGGGGCAGTAGTGCTGAGCTATCCATTTTTAGGATGTGCCAGCATAGCATACCAATCTATAAACCAGGCCTGAATTGTTTTCTTCCTCAGTCAATATTTGCCATAGGCAACCCCCTAAAAGCCATATATATTTGTCTTTAGATATCCATGGGGGATTGGTTCTAGGAGCCCTTCAAATACCAAAATCCACAGATGTGGTAGTCCCTTATATAAAATAGAATAGTATTTGCATGCAACTTTTGCACATCCTCCTGTATACTTTAAATCATCTCCAGATTACTTATAACTAATACAATGTAAATGCTGTGTAAATAGTTGTTATTTCTTTCTTAGTATGACTTTTATTATTGTATTGCTTTTTTTTTTCAAAATAGTTTTTAATCCTCAGTTGGTTGACTCTATAATGCAGAACCCTCAGATTTGGAGGGCTATGTGGGTTGAGAGAGAGGAGGCAACATAACATGAGGAGGGGCATCTGGGCAACTTGCCAAGCAACTTACTCATGCCTTCAGGATCTACTTAAGCTGTACTGCATACACAACATTTTTATTTTTTTGAGAGGGCCAAAAACACCCAGTTTATTGTCCACAGCTCCTGTTCATTGGGTGGCCCATGACCAAGTGTTGAGTCTCTGCCAAGGCCAAGGAGCAATCCATAAGCAGTTTCTCAAAGAATAGCCATCTAAAAAGGATGGTAGAGCTTTGCTCCAAAATTCTAAAGACAGGCACTGTAATTCACCTGGAGCAGCCTGCCACAGTCTCCACACACATCCCAATCTATTCAGACACTTCGAGCACCATTGGATGGGCTAGGTAATATAGCAGAGCACTTTGCACAGCAACCTGGACCTCTTTCTGGGTGACATTTTGGCCTCTGTCAGCAATCATTTGAATGTACACTTGATATACAATCACTTGCATTTTTTTCTCCACTAATTTAGAACTTGAGTTAAAAAAAAAGAGGCTGTTTATTGTGTGCTCCTCAAATACTCTTAACACAAAGGATGTGGGGACTCTGGCTATTTTTATTTAAATATTTAAGGAAACAGTAGACCCATAAGGCTGAAGCTCTTCAGGATATCCAGTGACTGACGTGTGTAAGACATCAATCCTAAAAATGAAGGGAAGAACGAAACAGCAATGACTATAAGACCTCTCTGACACCAAAACAATTTGTTGCAAAGTGAAAAATTCAGTCAATCAAATCTTTGGTTTTTTCCACTGCACTAAGCTTCCACTTTGATGGACCATTCATTTTGGTTTCACAGCCTATAAATAACAATCCTAAGCTTCCATGCAAAGGAGAGCCTTCAGTGAAATTGAGAATCTTTTTAACTATGTAAACATTACAGTTGCAAACTCTTATCATATTTATTTTGTATTCTTTCGGGCCAAACTGAACAAAAAATGCCAATTTGACCCAGTTTAAAAAACAAAGAGGACAGAGATTTTACTTGAAATTGAGTCATTTTTATTCTTGTCATCTCTGCCTTGGACATAGACATTTAATATTTAAATGTTATTCCCTGTGAGAACTGGACTTTCCGCATTTTGTGGCTCTGACAGGATTCAAATTTCAGATTCTACCTTGTGTGAAAATATCATTTCAAAGTGTGTGCCCCAGGAGAATAATAATAAACCTGAGTCCTGGCATTTTTGTAAATGAACTTTTTTCAGAGGTCTCTTAAAATATAGTGTATTCTCCCTCCTTCCTAGACACCAGGAGTTAAACAACAATGCCTTTTATTTTCTTCCAGTTAAGTTCCGTCTGAATATGTTACTTATTGCAAGCACAATGAGTAATTGCTAAATGAATTAAGATTATTTCATCTGCATTTAATACACTAACTATATACTTTATACTATGCTAACCCTGCCCTTTTATACTAATTTAAAATGTTACATTAATTGTCTCTCATTATAATTTGACTATTAAAAAACATTGTTATTTTTCTTGTTATTAGTATAATCCTGAAAACACCTGCCCACTATGTACTAAATACTAGAAGCTGCTGTGATTAATAGTAGCAAATCCTGTGAAATCACTTTTTATCCTCAAGCAGTCTGAACAAATTGGGTCATTAAAATATCTTAGCTTAAGTGCTACATTGTGCTGGCATGTTTCATAAGGTTGCATAAATTCTGTCATTCTGCATCCCATAACTCATGTAGCATAAGAAATGCCATGTGGTGGATTTAATCATGTATCCACTACTGACAGTGGCCTGGCAAAGCTTAATGAGCATGTCTTTGGTAAAAACTACTTATAAAAGTTTGGAAATGAAGGTTCTCAAATTTTCTTTAAAGATTATTTTCTTGTTTGAGTTTTTTCATATTTTTTCGCATGGTCTCTACTATCACAATATTAAAATGAATTCCTGAAAGAAAACTGACTTTAAGCAAAGGTACACTCTAAGTTCTACATTTTCACTTATGCCGGAATGACCAGCTAACTTCTACTTTAACCTCACTTAGCTATTTTGCTGTAGACTATTCATGTAACTAAAAAGGTAACTAAAAGAAAGGTAGAAAAATTAGGAAAAGCATTATTATGCCTCTGTCTAGCTTTTATTCTCATTAGAATATTTTTATTGAATTACACAGTGTTCAACTTTCGAAAACTAGATTTCCAGAAATCAGCTTGCAAGTCTGTTTGCTGGAAGATACAATGCATTTGCTCATAAAAATGGTATTATAAATGCAGATAGGTACCCAGGTTAGCCCAATAAACTCATTCATACTCATTTATATTGATGCCATATCATGTATTTACAAGAAAAAATTTAGTAAAAAATTCCATTGCCATATTAGCATTTATGTAAGTAATTTAATCTCCCATCTCTGAAATTTATTAAGAAAGGTTTTCATTTTTACTAAATGGTGAATGAAAAGCACAGCAGAAACCAGATTTAATTAAGGACTGAAAATATAGATGAGTACCGTGGTGGAGATTCTGAAGGGAAATTTGGGCCCTTTGCAGGACTTCCTTCTTCTTCTTTTTTTTTTATTATATTTTAAGCTCTAGGGTACATGTGCACAACATGCAGGTTTGTTACATATGCATACATGTGCCATGTTGGTGTGCTGCACCCATTAACTCATCATTTACATTAGGTATATCCCCTAATGCTATCCCTCCCCCCACCCCCACCCCACAACAGGCCCCGGTGTGTGATGTTCCCCTTCTGTGTCCAAGTGTTCTCACTGTTCAATTCCCACCTATGAGTGAGAACACGCGTGTTTGGGTTTTTGTCCTTGCGATACTTTGCCAAGAATGAAGGTTTCCAGCTTCATCCATGTCCCTACAAAGGACATGAACTCATCCTGTTTTATAGCTGCATACTATTCCATGGTGTATATGTGCCACATTTTCTCAATCCAGTCTATCATTGATGGACATTTGGGTTGGTTCCAAGTCTTTACTATTGTGAATAGTGCCACAATGAACATACGTGTGCGTGTGTCCTTATAGCAGCATGATTTATAATCCTTTGGGTACATACCCAGTAATGGGATGGCTGGGTCAAATGGTATTTCTAGTTCTAGATCCTTGAGGAATCACCACACTGTCTTCCACAATGGTTGGACTACTTTACAGTCCCACTAACAGTGTAAAAGTGTTCCTATTTCTCCACATCCTCTCCAGCACCTGTTGTTTCCTGATTTTTTAATGATCGCCATTCTAACTGGTGTGAGATGGTATCTCATTGTGGTTTTGATTTGCATTTCTCTGATGGCGAGTGATGATGAGCATTTTTACATGTGTCTGTTGGCCGCATAAATGTCTTCTTTTGAGAAGTGTCTGTTCATATCCTTCACCCACTTTTTGATGGGGTTGTTTGTTTTCTTCTTGTAAGTTTGTTTGAGTACTTTGTAGATTCTGGATATTAGCCCTTTGTCAGATGAGTAGATTGCAAAAATTTTCTCCCATTCTGTAGGTTGCCTGTTCACTCTGATGGTAGTTTCTTTTGCTGTGCAGAAGCTCTTTAGTTTAATTAAATCTCATTTGTCAATTATGGCTTTTGTTGCCATTGCTTTTGGTGTTTTAGACATGAAGTCCTTGCCCATGCCTATGTCATGAATGGTATTGCCTAGGTTTTCTTCTAGGGTTTTTATGGTTTTAGGTCTAACATTTAAGTCTTTCATCCATCTTGAATTAATTTTTGTATAAGGTGTAAGGAAGGGATCCAGTTTCAGCTTTCTACATATGGCTAGCCAGTTTTCCCAGCACCATTTATTAAATAGGGAATCCTTTCCCCATTGCTTGTTTTTGTCAAATTTGTCAAAGATCAGTTGGTTGTAGATGTGTGGTACTATTTCTGAGGGCTCTGTTCTGTTCCATTAGTCTATATCTCTGTTTTGGTACCAGTACCATGCTGTTTTGGTTACTGTAGCCTTGTAGTATAGTTTGAAGTCAGGTAGTGTGATGCCTCCAGCTTTGTTCTTTCGGCTTAGGATTGACTTGGCAATGGGGACACTTTTTTGGTTCCATATGAACTTTAAAGTAGTTTTTTCCAATTCTGTGAAGAAAGTCATTGGTAGCTTGATGGGGATGGCATTGAATCTGTAAATTACCTTGGGCAGTATGGCCATTTTCACGATATTGATTCTTCCTATCCATGAGCATGGAATGTTCTTCCATTTGTTTGTGTCCTCTTTTATTTCATTGAGCAGTGGTTTGTAGTTCTCCTTGAAGAGGTCCTTCACATCCCTTGTAAGTTGGATTCCTAGGTATTTTATTCTCTTTCAAGCAATTGTGAATGGGAATTCACTCATGATTTGGCTCTCTGTTTATCTGTTATTGGTGTATAAGAATGCTTGTGATTTTTGCACATTGATTTTGTATCCTCAGATTTTGCTCAAGTTCCTTATCAGCTCAAGGAGATTTTGGGCTGAGACGATGGGGTTTTCTAAATATACAATCATGTCATCAGCAAACAGGGACAATTTGACTTCCTCATTTCCTAACTGAATACCCTTTATTTCTTTCTCCTGCCTGATTGCCCTGACCAGAACTTCCAACACTATGTTGAATAGGAGTGGTGAGAGAGGGCATCCCTGTCTTCTGCCAGTTTTCAAATGGAATGCTTCCACTTTTTGCCCATTCAGTATGATATTAGCTGTGGGTTTGTCATAAATAGCTCTTATTATTTTGAGATACGTCCCATCAATACCCAATTTATTGAGAGTTTTTACCATGAAGGGCTGTTGAATTTTGTCAAAGGCCTTTTCTGCATCTATTGAGATTATCATATGGTTTTTGTCATTGGTTCTGTTTATATGCTGGATTACGTTTATTGATTTGCATATGTTGAACCAGCCTTGCATCCCAGGGATGAAGCCCACTTGATCATAGTGGATAAGCTTTTTGATGTGCTGCTGGATTTCGTTTGCCAGTATGTTATTGAGGATATTTGCATCAATGTTCATCAGGAATATTGGTCTAAAATTCTCTTTTTTTGTTTTGTCTCTGCCCGGCTTTGGTATCAGGATGATGCTGGCCTCATCAAATGAGTTAGGGAGGATTCCCTCTTTTTCTATTGATTGGAATAGTTTCAGAAGGAATGGTACCAGCTCCTCCTTGTACCTCTGGTAGAATTCGGCTGTGAATCCATCTGGTCCTGGACTTTTTTTGGTTGGTAAGCTATTAATTATTGCCTCAATTTCAGAGCCTGTTATTGGTATATTCAGGGATTCAACTTCTTCCTGGATTAGTCTTGGGAGGGTGTATGTGTCCAGGAATTTATCCATTTCTTCTAGATTTTCTAGTTTATTTGCGTAGAGGTGTTTATAGTATTCTCTGATGGTAGTTTGTATTTCTGTGGGATCGGCGGTGATATCCCCTTTATCATTTTTTATTGCGTCTATTTGATTCTTCTCTCTTTTCTTCTTTATTAGTCTTGCTAGCGGTCTATCAATTTTGTTGATCCTTTCAAAAAACGAGCTCCTGGATTCATTGACTTTTTGAAGGGTTTTTTGTGTCTCTATCTCCTTCAGTTCTGCTCTGATTTTAGTTATTTCTTGCCTTCTGCTAGCTTTTGAATGTGTTTGTTCTTGCTTCTCTAGTTCTTTTAATTGTGATGTCAGGGTGTCAATTTTAGATCTCTCCTGCTTTCTCTTGTGGGAATTTTGTGCTATAAATTTCCCTCTATACACTGCTTTAAATGTATCTCGGAGATGCTGGTATGTTGTGCCTTTGTTCTCATTGGTTTCAAAGAAAATCTTTCTTTCTGCCTTCATTTCGTTATGTACCCAGTAGTGATTCAGGAGCGGGTTGTTCAGTCTCCATGTAGTTGAGTGGTTTTGAGTGAGTTTCTTAATCCTGAGTCCTAGTTTGATTGCACTGTGGTCTGAGAGACAGTTTGTTATAATTTCTGTTCTTTTACATTTGGTGAGGAGTGCTTTACTTCCAACTATGTGGTCAATTTTTGGAATAAGTGTGATGTGGTGTGGAGAAGAATATATATTCTATTGATTGAGGGTGGAGAGTTCAGTAGATGTCTATTAGGTCCGCTTGGTGCAGAGCTGAGTTCAATTCCTGGATATCCTTGCTAACTTTCTGTCTCGTGGATCTGTCTAATGTTGACAGTGGGGTGTTAAAGTCTCCCATTATTATTATGTAGGAGTCTAAGTCTCTTTGTAGGTCTCTAAGGACTTGCTTTATGAATCTGGGTGCTCCTGTATTAGATGCATATATATTTAGGGTAGTTAGCTCTTCTTGTTGAATTGATCCCTTTACCATTATGTAATGGCCTTCTTTGTCTCTTTTGATATTTGTTGGTTTAAAGTCTGTTTTATCCGAGACTAGGATTGCAACCCCTGCCTTTTTTTATTTACCATTTGCTTGGTAGATCTTCCTCCATCCCTTTATTTTGAGCCTATGTGTGTCTCTGCACGTTAGATGGGTCTCCTGAATAGAGCACACTGATGGGTCTTGACTCTTTATCCAATTTGGCAGCCTGTGTCCTTTAATTGGAGCACTTGGCCCATTTACATTTAAGGTTAATATTGTTATGCGTGAATTTGATCCTGTCATTATGATGTTAGCTGGTTACTTTGCTCGTTCATTGATGCAGTTTCTTCCTAGCATTGATGGTCTTTACAATTTGGCATGTTTTTGCAGTGGCTGGTACCAGTTGTTCCTTTCCATGTTTAGTGCTTCCTTCAGGAGCTCTTGTAGGTCAGGCCTGGTGGTGACAAAATCTCTCAGTATTTGCTTGTCTGTAAAGGATTTTACTTCTCCTTCACTTATGAAGCTTAGTTTGGCTGGATATGAAATTCTGGATTGAAAATTCTTTTCTTTAAGACTGTTAAAGGGGGGAGGATCCAAGATGGCCGAATAGGAACAGCTCCGGTCTACAGCTCCCAGCGTGAGCGACGCAGAAGACGGGTGATTTCTGCATTTCCATCTGAGGTACCGGGTTCATCTCACTAGGGAGTGCCAGACAGTAGGCGCAGGTCAGTGGCTGCGCACACCTTGCGCGAGCCAAAGCAGGGCAAGGCATTGCCTCACTCGGGAAGTGCAAGGGGTCAGGGAGTTCCCTTTCCTAGTCAAAGAAAGGGGTGACAGGCAGCACCTGGAAAATCGGGTCACTCCCACCCAAATACTGTGCTTTTCCGATGGGCTTAAAAAACGGCACACCACGAGATTACATCCGGCACCTGGCTCGCAGGGTCCTACGCCCACAGAGTCTCGCTGATTGCTAGCACAGCAGTCTGAGATCAAACTGCAAGGCGGCAGCGAGACTGGCGGAGGGGCGCCCGCCATTGCCCAGGCTTGCTTAGGTAAACAAAGCAGCCTGGAAGCGCGAACTGGGTGGAGCCCACCACAGCTCAAGGAGGCCTGCCTGCCTCTGTAGGCTCCACCTCTGGGGGCAGGGCACAGACAAACAAAAAGACAGCATTAACCTCTGCAGACTTAAATGTCCCTGTCTGACAGCTTTGAAGAGAGCAGTGGTTCTCCCAGCACGCAGCTGGAGATCTCAGAATGGACAGACTGCCTCCTCACGTGGGTCCCTGACCCCTGACCCCCAAGCAGCCTAACTGGGAGGCACCCCACAGCAGGGGCAGACTGACACCTCACAGGGCCCAGTACTCCAACAGATCTGCAGCTGAGGGTCCTGTCTGTTAGAAGGAAAACTAACAAACAGAAAGGACATCCACACCAAAAACCCATCTGTACATCACCATCATCAAAGACCAAAAGTAGATAAAACCACAAAGATAGGGAAAAAACAGAGCAGAAAAACTGGAAACTCTAAAAAGCAGAGCACCTCTCCTCCTCCAAAGGAACACAGTTCCTCACCAGCAACAGAACAAAGCTGAACGGAGAATGACTTTGACGAGCTGAGAGAAGAAGGCTTCAGACGATCAAATTACTCCGAGCTACAGGAGGACATTCAAACCAAAGGCAAAGAAGTTGAAAACTTTGAAAAAAATTTAGAAAAATGTATAACTAGAATAACCAATACAGAGAAGTGCTTAAAGGAGTTGAGGGAGCTGAAAACCAAGGCTCAAGAACTACATGAAGAATGCAGAAGCCTCAGGAGCTGGTGTGATCAACTGGAAGAAAGGGTATCAGTGATGGAAGATGAAATGAATGAAATGAAGCAAGAAGGGAAGTTTAGGGAAAAAAGAATAAAAAGAAACAAGCAAAGCCTCCAAGAAATATGGGACTATGTGAAAAGACCAAATCTACGTCTGATTGGTGTACCTGAAAGTGACGGGGAGAATGGAACCAAGTTGGAAAACACTCTGCAGGATATTATCCAGGAGAACTTCCCCAATCTAGCAAGGCAGGCCAACGTTCAGATTCAGGAAATACAGAGAACGCCACAAAGATACTCCTCGAGAAGAGCAACTCCAAGACACATAATTGTCAGATTCACCAAAGTTGAAATGAAGGAAAAAATGTTAAGGGCAGCCAGAGAGAAAGGTCGGGTTACCCTCAAAGGGAAGCCCATCAGACTAACAGCGGATCTTTTGGCAGAAACTCTACAAGCCAGAAGAGAGTGGGGGCCAATATTCAACATTCTCGAAGAAAAGAATATTCAACCCAGAATTTCAAATCCAGCCAAACTAAGCTTCATCAGTGAAGGAGGAATAAAATAATTTACAGACAAGCAAATGCTGAGAGATTTCATCACCACCAGACCTGCCCTAAAAGAGCTCCTGAAGGAAGCGCTAAACATGGAAAGGAACAACCGGTACCAGCCGCTGCAAAATCATGCCAAAATGTAAAGACCATCGAGACTAGGAAGAAACTGCATCAACTAACGAGCAAAATAACCAGCTAACATCATAATGACAGGATCAAATTCACACATAACAATATTAACTTTAAATGTAAATGGACTAAATTCTCCAATTAAAAGACACAGACTGGCAAATTGGATAAAGAGTCAAGACCCATCAGTGTGCTGTATTCAGGAAACCCATCTCATGTGCAGAGACACACATAGGCTCAAAATAAAGGGATGGAGGAAGATCTACCAAGCCAATGGAAAACAAAAAAAGGCAGGGGTTGCAATCCTAGTCTCAGATAAAACAGACTTTAAACCAACAAAGATCAAAAGAGACAAAGAAGGCCATTACATAATGGTAAAGGGATCAATTCAACAAGAAGAGCTAACGATCCTAAATATATATGCACCCAATACAGGAGCACCCAGATTCATAAAGCAAGTCCTGAGTGACATACAAAGAGACTTAGACTCCCACACATTAATAATGGGAGACTTTAACACCCCACTGTCAACATTAGACAGATCAACGAGTCAGAAAGTCAACAAGGATACCCAGGAATTGAACTCAGCTCTGCACCAAGCGGACCTAATAGACATCTACAGAACTCTCCACCCCAAATCAACAGAATATACATTTTTTTCAGCACCACACCACACCTATTCCAAAATTGACCACATACTGGGAAGTAAAGCTCTCCTCAGCAAATGTAAAAGAACAGAAATTATAACAAACTATCTCTCAGACCACAGTGCAATCAAACTAGAACTCAAGATTAAGAATCTCACTCAAAACCACTCAACTACATGGAAACTGAACAACCTGCTCCTGAATGATTACTGGGTACATAAAGAAATGAAGGCAGAAATAAAGATTTCTTTGAAACCAACGAGAACAAAGACACAACATACCAGAATCTCTGGGACACATTCAAAGCAGTGTGTAGAGGGAAATTTATAGCACTAAATGCCCACAAGAGAAAGCAGGAAAGATCCAAAATTGACACCTTAACATCACAATTGAAAGAACTAGAAAAGTAAGAGCAAACACATTCAAAAGCTAGCAGAAGGCAAGAAATAACTAAAATCAGAGCAGAACTGAAGGAAATAGGGACACAAAAAGCCCTTCAAAAAATTAATGAATCCAGGAGCTCGTTTTTTGAAAGGATCAACAAAATTGATAGACTGCTAGCAAGACTAATAAAGAAAAAAAGAGAAGAATCAAATAGATGCAATAAAAAATGATAAAGGGGATATCACCACCAATCCCACAGAAATACAAATTACCATCAGAGAATACTATAAACACCTCTACTCAAATAAACTAGAAAATCTAGAAGAAATGGATAAATTCCTCGACACATACACTCTCCTAAGACTAAACCAGGATGAAGTTGAGTCTCTGAATAGACCAATAACAGGATCTGAAAATGTGGCAATAATCAATAGCTTACCAACCAAAAAGAGTCCAGGACCAGATGGATTCACAGCTGAATTCTACAAGAGGTACAAAGAGGAACTGGTACCATTCCTTCTGAAACTATTCCAATCAATAGAAAAAGAGGGAATCCTCCCTAACTCATTTGATGCGGCCAGCATCATGCTGATACCAAAGCCGGACAGAGACACAATAAAAAAAGAGAATTTTAGACCAATATCCTTGATGAACATTGATGCAAAAATCCTCAATAAGATACTGGCAAACCGAATCCAGCAGCACATTAAAAAGCTTATCCACCATTATCAAGTGGTCTTCATCCCTGGGATGCAAGGCTGGTTCACTATACACAAATCAATAAATGTAATCCAGCATAAACAGAACCAATGACAAAAACCACATGATTATCTCAATAGATGCAGAAAAGGCCTTTGACAAAATTCAACAACGATTCATGCTAAAAACTCTCAATAAATTAGGTATTGATGGGACGTATCTCAAAATAATAAGAGCTATCTATGACAAACCCACAGCCAATATCATACTGAATGGGCAAAAACTGGAAGCATTCCCTTTGAAAACTGGCACAAGACAGGGATGCCCTCTCTCACCACTCCTATTCAACATAGGGTTGGAAGTTCTGGCCAGGGCAATTAGGCAGGAGAAGGAAATAAAGGGTATTCAATTAGGAAAAGAGGAAGTCAAATTGTCCCTGTTTGCAGACGACATGATTGTATATTTAGAAAACCCCATTGTCTCAGCCCAAAATCTCCTTAAGCTGATAAGCAACTTCAGCAAAGTCTCAGGATACAAAATCAATGTACAAAAATCACCAGCATTCTTATACACCAATAACAGATAAACAGAGAGCCAAATCATGAGTGAACTCCCATTCACAATTGCTTCAAAGAGAATAAAATACCTAGGAATCCAACTTACAAGGGATGTGAAGGACCTCTTCAAGAAGAACTACAAACCACTGCTCAATGAAATAAAAGAGGATACAAACAAATGGAAGAATATTCCATGCTCATGGATAGGAAGAATCAATATCGTGAAAATGGCCATACTGCCCAAGGTAATTTACAGATTCAATGCCATCCCCATCAAGCTACCAATGACTTTCTTCACAGAATTGGAAAAAACTACTTTAAAGTTCATATGGAACCAAAAAAGAGCCCGCATTGCCAAGCCAATCCTAAGCCAAAAGAACAAAGCCGGAGGCATCACACTACCTGACTTCAAACTATGCTACAAGGCTACAGTAACCAAAACAGCATGGTACTGGTACCAAAACAGAGATATAGATCAATGGAACAGAAGAGAGCCCTCAGAAATAACGCCGCATATCTACAACTATCTGATCTTTGACAAACCTGAGAAAAACAAGCAATGGGGAAAGGATTCCCTATTTAATAAATGGTGCTGGGAAAACTGGCTAGCCATATGTAGAAAGCTGAAACTGGATCCCTTCCTTACACCCTGTACAAAAATCAATTCAAGATGGATTAAAGACTTAAATGTTAGACCTAAAACCATAAAAACCCTAGAAGAAAACCTAGGCATTACCATTCACGACATAGGCATGGGCAAGGGCTTCATGTCTAAAACACCAAAAACAATGGCAACAAAAGCCAAAATTGACAAATGGGATCTAATTAAACTAAAGAGCTTCTGCACAGCAAAAGAAACTACCATCAGAGTGAACAGGCAACCTACAGAATGGGAGAAAATTTTCACAACCTACTCACCTGACAAAGGGCTAATATCCAGAATCTACAATGAACTCCAACAAATTTACAAGAAAAAAACAAACAACCCCATCAAAAAGTGGGTGAAGGACATGAACAGACACTTCTCAAAAGAAGACATTTATGCAGCCAAAAAATACATGAAAAAATGCTCACCATCACTGGCCATCAGAGAAATGCAAATCAAAACCACAATGAGATACCATCTCACACCAGTTAGAATGGCAATCATTAAAAAGTCAGGAAACAACAGGTGCTGGAGAGGATGTGGAGAAATAAGAACACTTTTACACTGTTGGTGGGACTGTAAACTAGTTCAACCATTGTGGAAGTCAGTGTGGCAATTTCTCAGGGATCTAGAACTAGAAATACCATTTGACCCAGCCATCCCATTACTGGGTATATACCCAAAGGACTATAAATCATGCTGCTTTAAAGACACATGCACACGTATGTTTATTGCGGCACTATTCACAATAGCAAAGACTTGGAACCAACCCAAATGTCCAAAAATGATAGACTGGATTAAGAAAATGTGGCACATATACACCATGGAATACTATGCAGCCATAAAAAATGATGAGTTCATGTCCTTTGTAGGGACATGGATGAAATTGGAAATCATCATTCTCACTAAACTATCACAAGAACAAAAAACCAAACACGGCATATTCTCACTCATAGATGGGAATTGAACAATGAGAACACATGGACACAGGAAGGGGAATATCACACTCTGGGGACTGTTGTTGGGTGGGGGGAGGGGGGAGGGATAGCATTGGGAGATATACCTAATGCTAGATGACGAGTTAGTGGGTGCAGCACACCAGCATGGCACATGTATACATATGTAACTAACCTGCACATTGTGCACATGTACCCTAAAACTTAAAGTATAATAATAATAAATAAATAAATAAATAAATAAAAGAATGTTGAATATTGGCCCCCACTGTCTTCTGGCTTGTAGAGTTTCTGCCGAAAGATCCGCTGTTAGTCTGATGGGCTTCCCTTTGTGGGTAACCCGACATTTCTCTCTGGCTGCCCTTAACATCTTTTCCTTCATTTCAACTTTGGTGAATCTGACAATTATGTGTCTTGGATTTGCTCTTCTCGAGGAGTGTCTTTGTGGCGTTCTCTGTATTTCCTGAATCTGAATGTTGGCCTGCCTTGCTAGGTTGGGGAAGTTCTCCTGGATAATATCCTGCAGAGTGTTTTCCAACTTGGTTCCATTCTCCCCATCACTTTCAGGTACACCAGTCAGATGTAGGTTTGGTCTTTTCTCATAGTCCCATATTTCTTAGTGGCTTTGTTCATTTCTTTTTACTCTTTGTTCTCTAAACTTCTCTTCATGCTTCATTTCATTCATTTGATCTTCAATCACTGATATCCTTTCTTCCGGTTGATCGAATCAGCTACTGAAGCTTGTGCATTCATCACATAGTTCTCTTGCCATGGTTTTCAGCTCCATCAGGTCATTTAAGGACTTCTCTACACTGGTTATTCTAATTAGCCATTCATCTAATCTTTTTTCAAGGTTTTTAGCTTCTTTGTGATGGGTTCGAACCTCCTCCTTTAGCTCAGAGAAGTTTGATTGTCTGAAGCCTTCTTCTGTCAACTCATCAAAGTCATCCTCTGTCCAGCTTTGTTCCATTGCTGGTGAGGAGCTGCATTCCTTTGGAGGGGGAGAGGCACTCTGATTTGTAGAATTTTCAGCTTTTATGCCCTGTTTTTTCCCCATCTTTGTGGTTTTATCTACCTTTGGTCTTTGATGATGATGACATACAGATGGGGTTTTGATGTGGATGTCCTTTCTGTTTATTAGTTTTCCTTCTAACAGTCAGGACCCTCAGCTGCAGGTCTGTTGGAGTTTGCTGGAGGTCTACTCCAGACCCTGTTTGCCTGGGTATCAGCAGTGGAGGCTGCAGAACAGTGAATATTGCTGAACAGCAAATGTTGCTGCCTGATCGTTCCTCTGGAAGCTTCATCTCAAAGGGGTACCCAGCCATGTGAGGTGTCAGTCTGCCCCTACTGGGGAGTTTCTCCCAGTTAGGCTACTTGGGGGTCAAGGACCCACTTGAGGAGGCAGTCTGACCATTCTCAGATCTCAAACTCCATGCTGGGAGAACTACTACTCTCTGCAAAGCTGTCAGACAGGGACGTTTAAGTCTGCAGAGGTTTCTGCTGCCTTTTGTTTGGCTATGCTCTGCCCCCAGAGGTGGAGTCTACAGAGGCAGGCAGGCCTCCTTGAGCTGCAGTGGGCTGAACCCAGTTCGAGGTTCCTGGCAGCTTTGTTTACCTACTCAAGCCTCAGCAATGGCGGGAGCCCCTCCCCCAGCCTCTCTGCCACCTTGCAGTTCTATCTCAGACAGCTATGCTAGCAATGAGTGAGGCTCCGTGGGCGTGGGACCTTCCGAGCCAGGCATGGGATATAATCTCCTGGTGTGCCGTTTGCTAAGACCATTGGAAAAGCACAGTATTAGGGTGGGAGTGACCCAATTTTCCAGGTGCCGTCTGTCACAGCTTCCCTTGGCTAGGAAAGGGAATTCCCTGACCCCTTGCACTTCCCGGGTGAGGCGATGCCTCGCCCTGCTTCAGCTCATGCTCAGTGGGCTGCACCCACTGTCCTTCACCCACTGTCTGACAAGCCCCAGTGAGACAAGCCCGGTACCTCAGTTGGAAATGCAGAAATCACCCGTCTTCTGCGTCTCTCACACTGGGAGCTGTAGACTGGAGCTCTTCCTATTTGGCCATCTTGGAACCGCCATTTCCATGTATTTTTGTAGCTATTGTAAATGGGATTGCCTTCTTGATTTGTTTCTCAGCTAGTTCATTATTAGTATATAGAAATGCTACTCATTTTTGTTTGTTGATTTTGTATTCTACAATTTCACCAAATGTATTGAATCTAAGAGTTTTTCGGGAGAGTCTTAAGGTTTTTCTATATATAAGATCATATCATGTGCAAAGAGGGCAAAGAAGGACAATTTGACTTCCTCTTTTCCAGTTTAGATGCCTGTTATTTCTTCCTCTTGCTTGATTGCTCTGGGTAGGACTTCTAGACTATGTTGAATAGGAGTGGTAAAAGTTATTCCTGTTCTTAGAGGAAAGGCTATCAGCTTTTCTCCATTCCATAAAATATTAGCTGTGGGTTTGTCACATATGGCCTTTAGTATGTTGAGGTATGTTCCTTGTATGTCTAGTTTGTTGAGCATTTTTGTCATAAAGGGTTAATTTTATCAAATGCTTTTTCTGCATCTACTGAGATTATCATATGATTTTTGTCCTTCATCTGTTGATGTGATGTATCATGTTTGTTTATTTCTGTATATTGAACCATTCATGCATCTCTAGGATAACTCCCACTTGATCATGATATACTATATTTTTGATGTGCTGTTGGTTTCAATTTGTTAGTATTCTGTTGAGGGTTGTGTGGTCTCTGTTCATCAGGGATATTGGCCTGTAGTTTTCCCTTTTTTTTTTTTTTTTTTTTGTTGTTGTTGTTGTTGAGTCTTTGTCTGGTTTTGGTATAAGGGTAAATGCTCACCTCATAGAATGAGTTAGGGAGAATTCCCTCCTCTTCAATTTTTTGGAACAGTTTGAGGAAAATTAGTGTTAGTTCTTTTTTGAAAGTTTGGTAGAATTCAGCAGTAAATCCTTCCTGTCCAGGACTTTTCTTTGTTGGGAGACTTTTGATTACTGATTCAATCCCATTACACATTATTGGTCTGTTCAGATTTTCTATTTCTTCCTCAGTTAATCTTGGTAGGTTATATGTGTTCAGGAATTTATCAATTTCCTCTTGGTTTTCCAGTTTGTTAGTGTAGTTGTTCATAATATTATCTAATGATCATTTATATTTCTTTGGTATCAGTTGAAATGACTCCTTTTTCATTTCTGATTTTATTTGGGTCTTATCTCTTTTTGTTTGGTTAGTCTAGCTAGCAGTTTATCAATTTTGTTTATCTTTTCAAACAATTTTTCATTTTGTTGACTTTTATTTGATTTTAGTCTCTGTTTTGTTTATTTCTTATCTGATCTTTATTATTTCTTTCCTTCTACTAAATTGGGATTTTGTTTCTTCTCGATTTTCTAGTTCCTTGAGGTGCATTAGATTATCTATTTGAAATCTTTCTACTTTTCTGATGAAAGCATTTATTGCTATAAACTTTCCTCTTAGCACTGCTTTGGCTATATCCCACAGGTCTTGGTATGTTGTATTTTGATTTTCACATGTTTAAATAAATTTTTTCTTTCCTCCTTAATTTCTTCCTTGACCAGTGGTCATGCAGGAGCATGTTGTTTAATTTCCATGTATTTTGTACAGTTTCCAAAGTTCTTCTTATTATTGGTTCTTAGTTTTACTCCACTGTGGTCTAAGATACTTAATATGATTTTAATTTTTTATTTTTAACTATTATGAATACATAATAGTTGTACATATTTACAGAATACACATGATATTTTGATACAAGCATACAATGTATAACTGTCAAATCAGAGTAATTGTGGTATCCATCAACTCAAGCATTTACCATTCCTTTTTTTTTTTTTTTTATTCAGATGGAGTTTCATTCTATCACCCAGGCTGGAGTGCAGTGGTGCAATCTCAGCTCACTGCAACTTCCATCTCCCGAGTTCAAGCAATTCTCCTGCCTCAGCCTCCTGAGTAGCTGGAACTACAGGCATGGGCAACCACACCCAGTTAATTATTTTGTACTTTTAGTAGAGACAGGGTTTCACCATGTTGGTCAGGCTGGTCTCGAACTCCTGACCTCAAATGATCTGCCCACCTTGGCCTCCCAAAGTACTGGGATTAGAGGTATGAGCCACCATGCCCAGCCACAAGCATTTATCATTTCTTTGATAGGAACATTCCAGTTCTACTCTTTAAGTTATTTTTGAAATATACAATAAATTATTACTAACTATCGTTGCCCTACTGTGCTACCAAGCACTACATCTTTTTCCTCCTATCCAACCATATTTTTATACCCATTAACTAACCTCTTCTCATCTCCCCTTCCCAGCCTCTAGTAACTATCAATCAACTCTCTACCTCGATGAGATCCACTTTTTGAGCTCTCACACATGAGCAAGAACATGCAGTATTTGTCTTTCTGTGCCTGGATTATTTCGCTTAATATAATGTCCTTAAGTTCCATCCATATTGTTGCAAATGATAGGATTTCATTCTTTTAATGGCTGAATAATATTCCATTGTGTTATATACCACATTTTCTTCATCCATTCATCTGTTGATGGATACTTAAGTTGATTCCATATCTTGGCTGTTGTGAATAGTGCTGCAATAAACATGAAGATGCAGATATCTCTTCAATATACTGATTTCCTTTCTTTTAGATATACACCCAGCAGTGGGATTGCTGGATTGTGTGTCAGTTCTTTTTGGTTTTTTTGAGGAACCTTCATACTCTTCTCCATTGTGGATGTACTAATTTACATGCCCTCCAACAGTATAGGATTCCCCCTTCTCCACATCCTCACCAGCATTCATTATTGCCTGTCTTTTGGATAAAAGTCATCTTAATTGCAGTGAGATGATATCTCACTATAGTTTTAATTTGCATTTTCCTGAGGATTAGTGATGTGGAGATTTTCATACACCTGTTGACCATTTGTATGTCTTCTTCTGAGAAATGCCTATTCAAATTTTACTATTGAGTTGTTTAAGTTCCTTATATATCCTGGTTATTAATCTTTGTCAGACAGGTGGTTTGCAAATATTCTCTCCAATTCTGTATATTAGCTTTTCACTTTGTTAGTTGATTCCTTTGCTGTACAGAAACTTTTTAGCTTGATGTGACCTGTTTGTCCATTTTTGTTTTGTTTGCCTGTGCTTTCGAGGTCTTACTCAAGAAATCTTCACCCAGACCAATGTCCTGGAGTGTTTCTCTAATGTTTTCTTTTAGACATTTCATAGTTTGAGGTCTTAGATTTAAGTCTTCAATCCATTTTTATTTGACTTTTGTATATGGTAAGAGACAGGGATCTTGTTTCATTCTTCTGCATATGCACCTCCAGTTTTCCCAGCACCATTTGTTGAAAAGACTGTCCTTTTCCCAATGTTTGTTCTTAGCACTTTTGTCAAAAATGAGTTGACTGTAAATGTATGAATTTATTTCTAGGTTCTCTATTCTGTTCCATTGGTCTATGTTTCTATGTCCACACGATGCTGTTTTGGTTACTACTGCTTTGTAGTATAATTTGAAGTCAGGTAATGTGATGCTTCCAGCCTTGTTATTTTTGCTCAGGATTGCTTTGGCTATTCTGGGTCTTTTGTGGTTCCATATAGATTTTAGGATTTTTTTCTATTTCTGTGAAGAATGTCATTGGTATTTTGACAGACATTTCATTGAATCTGTAGATTGCTTTGGTTAGTATGAACATTTTGACAATACTGATTCTTCCAATTCACAAACATGGAATCTCTTTCCATTTTTTTGTGCCCTCTTCAATTTCTTTCATCAATGTTTCATAGTTTTCATTGTAGAGATGTTTCATTGCTTTCGTTAAGTTTATTCCTAAGAATTTAGTTCTACTTGTAGCTACTGTAAATGGATTATTTTCTTGGTTTCTTTTTCAGACTGCTTGCAGTTGACATAAAGAAATGCTACTGATTTTTGTATGTTGATTTTGTATCCTGAAACTGTACTAAATTTGTTTATCAGTTCTAATAGTTTTTTGGTAGAGTCTTTAGGTTTTCCTAGATTTTTTTCTTTAGGTTTTTTTAGTTTTGCAGATGATACGATATCTGAGATCATATCTAAAATCATATCATCTGCAAACAAAGATAATTTGGATTATTATTCCTTTCCACTTTGGATGCCTTTTATTTATTTCTCTTGTTTAATTGCTCTAGGTAGGACTTCTAGTATTAGAAAGTCCATGGGCCAGGCGCGGTGGCTGACATTTCTAATCCCAGTACTTTGGGAGACTGAGGCCAGTGGATAATGAGGTCAGGAGTTTAAGACCAGCCTGACCAATATGGTGAAACCCCGTCTCTACTAAAAAAAAATAGTGGTGGTGTGCACCTGTAGTCCCAGCTACTCGGGAGACTGAGGCAGAAGAATCACTTGAACCTCGGAGGTGGAGGTTGCAGTGAACTGAGATCACACCACTGCACTCCAGCCTGGGTGACAGAGTGAGATTCCATCTCAAAAAAAAAAAGAAAGAAAGAAAGTCCATGGTTGGAATGTGGAGTCCTGTGGGTCTCTCACTTTACCTGCATTGGGAACCCTCTCCCAGGCTCCCATCTGATCCCAACTGAGCAGGCTGCCTCACTTCCCTCTCCTTCCTTGCTTTAGGTGTTTCCTGTCACTTCTTTGCTGAATTCCAGCATTCTCTCATAGATGATCTATTTGAAGTGTGATTATCTGCTCACTATTTTGGTTCTTCTTTGTGGGGTAGGCCAGTAGCAGGTGCCTCTAGTTAGCTATCTTGAAGCCTTTCCAGTGGTGTTTTCTAATCTAATTTAGGAAATACTATCACAGTCAATGTCATCCAAATCTGTTTTCCAGCATTTTTCTCTTCCTTCCTGCTGACTCTACATCCTGGGGGAAATGGCAGGATTGCAAACCAGCCACTGACCCACTAACTCTGAAGGTGGTTCTGAGCCTGCAGAAAACTCAGGTATCCTTGCCATGTCATGTGGTGGGAGCCACACGCTCTCTCCAGCTCTCTCAGCTCCACCACTCCACAGTTGTTTCCCACTCAGCTATTGTACTGTAAAACTGTCAGCCCCCAGTCTTTGTGAGAGTTCCTGGCAAGAAATACGTGCAGCCCCATGTTCTAGAATCACTCTTTAAACCCCGTGGAACACTCTCCTGGGACCCCTTGGGCTGGTGAGGGTTGCAGAGAGAACAGGTCGAGTACCCTCCATACCCCCTGCAGAAAGGAGAAAGGGTAAGGGACCAGGTGTCTAATGTAACACTCCATGAACTCTGCTGTCTCAAAGAAGCCTCTTCTGCTGGCTTTGTATTTCCCCTCCAGACCAGAGGAAGATGAACCAGTTCTTCTGGGACCACACTCATTTTGGCTCACACTTGGCAAACTGCCATTGGGTCTGGACTTGGGTAATACATGGGTGGATGGTCACAAGAGAAGGAAAGCTCAACTTGTGGTTTGATGTTTCAAGTTATTTCTACACATAAATATATCATACATGATACCTCCACAACTTGATCTTTGGAGGTCAAACTCGTGACTCATCTCTTGTTCCTCAAAATGTCCCCTATACTGAAAGCCTAATTAGGACTTTGTGAAGACTGAATGTATGAACTATAAACCAATAATTTGTAAAGTTCCTGACTGTCTTTCTTCCAGAACTTTGAAAAGTTTTGAAATCCATAATAGTTTTTTTAAGTGTAAGTCAATGTTATTACAGAATGACAATTTTTGTTACATCTTTTGAACTGGTACACTCATGGAGTGTGGGAACTTCTCTTACTTTGCAACAATACATCATAACAGATATGACTATGGCCATTACTGTCACAAAGTCATGGGTTTCAACCCGGTTCTGTCACTCACTGGCTGGAATCCTGAGTGAGGTTTTTAACCTCCCTGAGGCTCAGTTACCCCATCGGTAAAATGGAGATAGTAATACTTATTTCAGAGGAGTGTTGAAACAATTAATGTATGTTTAAAGCACTTAATAATATATAATATTATCAATCATAAAAAGAGCTCAATAAAGAGCCCATTATTGCTTCTCACTGCTTTATTTCTTACTTTCGTCTAATGATGTTACATTTTGCTTTTCTTGGACCCTGACTCCATAATCCAGGAAAATATACATTCCTGGCCAAGCAGGAGCTCTCCTTTGTGAGCATTCTTCACGCAAGTGTTGTAGAAGGACATTTAATTAAAAGACAGTAACAGAAACACTAGCCTCTGGAAACATTAAGCATCATCCCTGATTATGAAGAGCTAAGCAAGAAGCAGGAGGGTTATCAGGCCAGCCCCTGAGGGATCTCTAGCACCATAACCAACCTTTGCATATCAGGTATTTGGCAGCTCCCAATCTTATTATACCCACTGCAACATACGTGATGAATGGCATTCATGAGTAGCACCAAGATTAAGGGCTTTGGTACAGATGTTATGTGCTGCAGGTTGTGTACAATTTCCCCTTCTCCAACTCACTCGCATCTTTGAAGACTCACAGAAGTGCCAAAGAGACCCATGTCCTTGGATGACATCATCATGCAGATCACTTTGAATTTGCTATAATTTCTAACAAGCAATTCATTTTAAAACTTGGGTAACTGTTATTAATAATAAATTACTTGTGACACACCTCACAAAGGACATATCTTGATTGAGTACTGCTGCTCCCAAATGAGGGCTACCAGAGTTCAGTACAAATATTGAAGCTAAGTGTTAATTATTAGTAGAAGTTTCAGTGATCTCACCTATCCTAACACCTATATTCAGATAAATTTTTTTTGCCTGCCCCTTCTTCTGAGAAAACCTAGATCCAGTTATGTATTACATTTAATAATTCACTAAAAATGATTTTTCTTTTTAATTACCTATGTTTTTTCTTTAGTGACCCAAGGTGTTTAAAATGACAGCATGTTTTAGAGAATGTTTATTATATTTTCTTATCTTAAATATTCTTCATGTAGTTGTTCATGGTCATTTTGAATATTATGAGTAAACTGCCACCAAGCTTTGATTAAACAGTTTTTAATAATGCATGATTTATAAAGTGTCTTGTGTTAAAATATGTTTCCATTATTTTTCTTCATGTAGTATCATTAAGACAGAAATATTATAAATTCTTGCCAGCATATGTGCTTCTGTACAGTTCATATTTGTGACTACTTCTAGAATAATTACACAGAAAGTAAATGAAATTAAAGATACTTAATATAAATGGTTGCCATCAAAATATTCCACCCATATTAAAGTGTCTGTGGAGCTGGTGCTCATCTCAATGGGCTCCCAACAGATGGAGTGTTCCATTTGTCACATTACTTTGGAGCTTCAAAATGTGCCTGATGGGAATTCTATTACCTGCACCAGCTGTACAGGTGACCTCCTTGCCTTCCACTTGCCAGATTCAGAATATATGAGACATTTTTAAACATGATTTTAAAATACAGCATATGCAAATATGGCCAGACTTGACATACTTACTCCAGTGCCAAAAAAAAAGTCTGTCCTGTCTGCTTTAACCCCTGGACATACAGGATGTATGGTTTTCCATCTTCTGAAAGTCTTTCTACAAAAACGTAGTAATGCCTGTCAACATGAGGAGATATTTGTAAGGGTTTGTTTTGTTTTCAACACCTACAAATATGTTTTCTTTTATGTGAGAAAACTTTGTAAAGAGTTCTTATTTTCTTGCCAAATGTAAAATTAAATGATTAAATGAAGAATTTGAGAGACATGTGAAAAGTGTCCTCAACCCAGAAATATCTTCCTTCCCAGTGCCTGAAAGTTCTCCATTAGTGACACATTATATGGGGTTCAGCAATCTCAATCCAGGCATTTCCAGGCATTCTTTTTATAAAATGCAACAAGCAGAGACAGGATTGAAACCCTGTTTCATCTGCCTTAAAACGCTTGCTCTTTTCCCCTACAACATACTGTTTCCCCTGGATGGTCATCCGTAACAACATAAATGTGAATGAGCTTTTTTCCTAAGTGAGAAGAAATAAAGTAGCATCTGCAAACCCTGAGCAAGCAGAGTTGAAGACTCAGGAAAGGGGGAAAAGCATAGATGAGGAAACTGGGAAAAGACAAAAGAATAATGTCTACTTCAATTTTGCCTAGATTTAGCCATGACTAGAATCTGACTTCTATGAATTCTGTCTACAATGTAACATAGTGGTAACCTATCTTAAAGATCTCCTGTCACTGCAGAAACTCCACCCCATGGTCCCTATTCATATAACATGTATTACAATATATCAGATTGGACTGCATGGAGCCCAGAGAGTTTGGCATAGGAATGGTTGCAGTGGAGCATGGCCAGGGACATGTATCCCCAAGGCTCATCAGGCTCTTCTACGTGGATTTGGCCTTTCTTAACTGTTGGATTTGGACAGAACAGAGCTATCTTGCCCATGAGATGGGGCCAGTCTGATCTAAGCACCCTTCTATCTGCTGGCTTCTGCCAGGGGCCCTGCCTGGCTGCACCCACTTGTAGTGCAGCCTCAAGATGCCCAACCAGAGTGCTTCCCAGTGGTCACTGCTATAACTCTTTTGCAGGCAGATCTTGTCTAACCATTAGAAAGCTTCTGCAGATAGGCCCCCACCAGCACACACATACCCACAGCCACCCCCACCACCACCACTTTGCCAACATGCACTCACTCTCAGCCTCCCCCCACTGCTTTGACGGTACATGTGTCCACACGCAAACCCCATCATCCTACTGCTACTGACATGTACATGGGGACCCCACCATACCACTGCCACTAGTGCATGGGTGCAGACCCTACCACACAACCACCCTGCTATTGCTGGCTTGTGTATGTAAGCACAGGCTCTGCAGTCACTGCCCTGACAAAGTAGTTTTGCCAGCACCTTCTGCAGTCAGAGTGTTGTTACCAGAAGACCAGGAATATCTCAGCCCCTGCAGTCCTGTAGGTGCTTAACCTCAAGGGGATGGAGAACAAAGCCATGGACCTAGTCCCAGACCCCCAGGGTCACAGCACATAGTACAAGAATGCTGAGCTGAGCCTCGGCCCCCTGAAATCATCCAGAAACAAAGCCAGTCAGCTAAACCCAACTTATATTACCATCAAACCCTCAAGTGCATCAAAGAATATGAAAGCAAAAAGCCCCATCCAAAAAAAACAGCAACTTTAAAGATTAAAGAAACATGAGCCCAAACATATATATTTTTTTAAAGGCACAAAACTCTGAAACTCTAAAAGCTAGAAAACTAGAGTGTCTTCTTACCTCCAAATGACTTCACTAGGTCCCCAATAATGGTTCTTAACCAGACTCAAATGGCTGAAATGACAGACATAGAATTCAGAATCTGGATAGCAATTAAGAGCACTGAGATGCAGGAGAAAGATGAAACCCAATCCAGGGAATCTAAGGAATCCAGTAGAATTATTCAAGAGCTGAAAGATTAAACAGCCATTTTAAGAAAGAACCAAACTGATCTGATAGAGCTGAAAAACTTATTACAATAATTTTATAACATAATCAGAAGTATTAACAGCAGAATACACCAAGCTGAGGAAAGAATCTCAGAGCTCAAAGACCAGTTTTTCAAATAAATTCAGTCAGACAAAAATAATAAACAAAGAAGTTTTAAAAATGAACAAAATTTCTGAGAAATACGGAATTATATAAACAGACAAAACCTATAACTCATTGGCATCCCAAAAAGAGAGAAAGAGAGAACAAGCAACTTGGAAAACATATTTGAGAATACTGCCCATGAAAATGTCACCAGCCTTGCTACAGAAGTCAACATTCAAACTCAGGAAATTCAGAAAACCCCTATGAGATACTATATAAGATTACCATCCCCAGGAGACATAGTCATCAGATTCTCCAGGGTCAATGCAAAAGAAAAAATAGTAAATCTAGCCAGAGGGAAGAGGCTTTCATCTACAAAGGGAACTCCATCAGGGTAATAATAGACCTTTTAGTAGAACCCTACAAACCAGAAGAGATTGAGGGCCTATTTTCAGCAGCCTAAGAGAAAAAAAATGCCAACCAAGAATTTTATATCCACTCAAACTAAGCATCATAAGCAAAGGAGAAATAAAATCCTTTACAGACAAGCAAATGCTAAGAGAATTCATTGCCACCAAACTTGTCTTACAAGAGGTCCTTAAGGTCATGTCAAACATGGACAGGAAAGACCATTACCGGCCACCACAAAAATACACTTAAGTATATAACAACATGATGACAGGATAAAATCCACACATATCAATATTACCCTTGAACATAAATGGGCTAAACACCCCACTTAAAATGCACAGAGTGATATGCTGGATAAAGAAGCAGGACCCAAATGTATGCCGTCAAGAGACCCATCTCACATGCAATGACACCCATAAGCTCAAAGTAAATGGGTGGAGTAAAATTTCTCAAGCAAATGGAAACACAAAAGAATAGGAGTTGCTATTCTTATTTCAGACAAAACAGATTTTAATGACAATCAAAAGGAACAATGAAGGGCATTACATAATGATAAAGAGTTCAATTCAACAAGAAGACTGAACTGTCCCAAATATATATGCAGCCAATACTGGAGCGCCCAAATTCATAAAACAAGTTCTTAGAAAAGATTTGAAGACACTTAGATAACCACACAACAATAGCAGGAGACTTCAACAACCCACTGGCAGTATTAGGTGGATCATCAAGGCAGAAAGCTAACAAAGATATTTGGTACCTAAACTTGACACTTCACCAAATGGACCTAACAGATTATGGAACACTCAAGCCAACAGTAAAAGAATATACATTCTTTTCATCTAAACGTGGTACATATTCTAAAACTGACCACATGCCCAGCCATAAAGCAATTCTCAACAACTTTTTGAAAACCAAAATCACACCAACCACACTCTTGGAGCACAGCACAATAAAAATAGAATCAATAACAAGAAGATTTCTCAAAACCATACAATTACATGAAAATTAAACAATCTGGTTCTGAATGACTTTTGGGTAAAGAATGAAATTAAAGCAGAAATCAAGAAATTCTTTGAAATTAATATAAACAAAGATACAGCATACCAGAATCCCTGGAACAGTTAAAGCAGTGTTAAGAGGAAAGTTTGTGGTGCTAAATGCCCTCATCAAAAAGTTAGAAAGATCTCAAATTTACAACCTAACATCACACCTAGAGGAACTTTAAAAATAAGGAACTGACAAACCAACCCCAAAACTAGCAGAAGACAGGAAATAACCAAAATCAGACCTGAACTGAACAAAACAGAGATGTGAAAAACCATACAAAAGATCAACAAAATCAAAAGTGGTTCTTCTAAAGAATAAATAAGATAGATAGACTGCTAGCTAAACTAATTTAAAAAAGGAATATCCAAATAAACAGAATCAGAAATGACAGAGGGTACATTACTACCAACCCCATAGAAATACAAGAAACCCTCAGAGACTATTACAAACACCTCTATGCGCACAAACTAGGAAACCTAGAAGTGGATAAATTCCTGGAAACATACAACCTCCCAAGATTGAACCAGGAATAAATTAATACCCTGAACATACCAATAATGAGTTTCAAAACTGAATCAGTAATAAAAAGCCTACCAACCAGAAAAAGCCCTGAAAAAGACAGACTCACAGCCAAGCTCTACCAGGCATATAAAGAAGAACTGTATCAATCCTACTAAAACTATTCCAAAAAAAAAAAGTCAGGAGAAGGGACTCCTCCGTAACTCATTCTATGAGGCCAGCATCATTCTGAAACCAAAACCTGGCAGAGACAAAAAAATTTTTTAAAACTTTAGGCCAACACCCCTGATGAACATAGATGCAAAAATCCTCAACAAAATACTGCCAAATCCCATAAAAAAGGATGAGTCCATGTCCTTTGTAGGGACATGTATGAAGCTGGAAACCATCATTCTTAGCGCACTATCACAGGGACAAAAAAACCAAACACTGCATGTTCTCACTTATATGTGGAAATTGAACAATGAGAACACTTGGACACAGGAAGGGGAACATCACACACTGGGGCCTGTCATGGGGTGGGGGTTGGGGGGAGGGATAGCATTAGGGGATATACCTAATGTAATGACGAGTTAATGGGTGCAGCACACCAACATGGCACATGTATACACATGTAACAAACCTGCACATTGTGCACATGTACCCTAGAACTTAAAGTATAATAAAAAAATTTTTAAAAATACTGCCAAAACAAATCCAGCAGCTCATTAAAAAGATAATCCACCATGATCAAGTAGGCTTTATCCCTGGGATGCAAGGTTGGTTCAACATATGCAAATCAATAAATGTGATTCATCACCTAAACAGAACTAAAAACAAAAACCACATGATCATCTCAATAGACACAGGAAAGGCCTTCGATAAAATTCAACATCCCTTCAAGATAAAAACTGTCAACAAATTAGACATTGAAGGAACATACCTCAAAATAATAAATGCCATCTATGACAAATCCACAGCCAACATCATACTGAACAGGCAAAAGCTAGAAGCATTCCCCTTGAGAACTGGAACAGATAAGGATGCCCATTCCCACCACTCCTATTCAACACAGTTCTGAAAGTCCTAGCCAGAGCAATCAGGCAAGAGAAAGAAATAAAAGGCATCTAAATAGGAAGACGGGAAGTCAAACTATCTCTCTTCACAGATGATACAAATCTATACCTAGAAAACTCCATAGTCTCTGTCCAAAGGCTCCTAAATCTGATAAACAACTTCCTCAAAGCTTCATGACAAAAAATCAATGTATAAAAAATCAGTAGCATTTCTATACACCAACAATTTTTAAGCTGAGAGTCAAATCAAGAATGTAATCCAATTCACAATAGCCACAAAAATAAAATAAAATACCTGGGAATACAGCTAACGAGGGAAGTGACAGATCTCTACTATGAGAATTACAAAACACTACTGAAAGAAATCGGAGATGCCATAAACAAATGGGAAAACATTTCATGCTCATGTATAGGAAGAATATATGACCATATTGCTCGAAACAATTTACAGATTCAATGCTATTCCTATCAAACTACCAATGGACACTTTTCACAGAGTCAGAAAAAAACTATTCTAAAATGTATATAGAAACAAAAAAGAGCCTGAATAGCCAAAGCAAACTTAAGTAAAAAGAACAAAGTCAAAGGTATTATACTACCCAACTTCAAACTATACTACAAGGCTACAGTAATCAAAACAGCATGGTATTGGTACAAAAGCAGACACATAGAGCAATGGAACAGGTTAGAGAACCCAGAAATAAATCCACACACCTACAACCATCTGAGCATTGACAAAGTCAACAACAACAAGCAATGGGGAAAGGATTCCCTATTCAATAAATGATGCTGAGATAACTGGCAGCCATATGCAGAAGATTGAAACTAGATCCCTTCCTTTCACCGTATAAAAAAAATCAACTCAAGATGGATTAAAGACTTTAATGTAAAGTCTAAAGTTATAAAAATCCTAGAAGAAATCCTAGGAAATACCACTGTGGACATAGGCCCTAGCAAAGGTTCCATAACAAAGACACCAAAAGCAATTGCAACTAAAACAAAAATTGACAAGTGAGTCCTAATAAACCTTCTGCATAGCAAAATAGACTATCAACAGAGTAAACAGACAACCTACAGAATGGAAGAAAATATTTGCAAAGTTTGCATCTGACAAAGTTTTAATATCCAGAATCTATAAGGAGCAATTCAACATACAAAAAACAACCCCATTAAAAAGTGGGCAAAGGACATGAACAGAAACTTCTCAAAAGAAGACATACAAGCAGCCAACAAACATTTTCTTTTTATTATTATACTTTAAGTTCTAGGGTACATATGCACAATGTGCAGGTTTGTTACATATGTATACATGTGCCATGTTGGTGTGCTGCATGCATTAACTCATCATTTACATTAGGTATTTCTCCTAATACTATCTCTCCGCCCTCCCCCTACCCCACAACAGGCCCTGTTGTGTGATGTTCCCCAACCTGTGTCCAAGTGTTCTCATTGTTCAATTCCCACCTATGAGTGAGAACATGCGGTGTTTGGTTTTCTGTCCTTGCGATAGTTTGCTGAGAATGATGGTTTCCAGCTTCATCCATGTCCCTAAAAAGGACATGAACTCATCGTTTGTTACAGCTGCATAGTATTCCATGGTGTATATGTGCCATATTTTCTTAATCCAGTCTATCACTGATGGACATTTGGGCAGCCAACAAACATTTTGAAAAATGTTGCACATCACTAAACATTAGAGAAATGCAAATCAAGACAACAATGAGATACCATCTCACACCAGTCAAAATTGCAATTATTAAACAGTCAAAAAATAACAGATGCTGGCAAAGTTGCAGGGAAAAGGAAACAATTATACACTGCTGATGGGAATGCAAATTAGTTCAACCACTCTGGAAAGCAATTTGGAGATTTCTCAAAGAACTTAATGTTCTCACTCATAGGTGGGAATTGAACAATGAGAACACATGGACACAGGAAGGGGAACATCACACACTGGGGCCTGTTGTGGGGTGGGGGAAGTGGGGAGGGATAGCATTAGGAGATATACCTAATGTTAAATGATGAGTTAATGGGTGTGGCACACCAACATGGCACATGTATACATATGTAACAAACCTGCACGTTGTGCACATGTACCCTAAAACTCAAAGTATAATAAAAAATAAAAATAAAAAAATGAAATAGAATAACCATTTGACCTAGCAATCCCATTATTAGGTATATGCCCAATGGAACATAAATCATACTACATAATGATACATACATGCTGATATGGTATGGCTCTGTGTCCCCACCCAAATCTCATGTCAAATTTTAACCCTCACATGTCAGGGGAGGGACTTGATGGGAGTGATTAGATCATGGGGGTGGATTTCCCCCATGCTGGTCTCATGATATTGACTGAGTTCTCACAAGATCTGATGGTTTAAAAGTGTGGCACTTCTCCCCTCACTCTATCTCTCCTGCCACCATGTAAGATGTGCCTTGCTTTCCTTTCACCTTCTGCCATGATTGTAAGTTTCCTGAGGCCTCCCCAGCTATGTGGAACTGTAAGTCAGTTAGAACTCTTTTCTTTATAGTTACCTAGTTTCAGGTAGTTCTTTTTATAGCAGTGTGAAAATTGGTTAATATAGAAAATTGGTACCAGCAGAGTGAACCACTGTTATAAAGACACCTGAAAAGTGGAAATGACTTTGGAATGGGGTAATGGACAGAGGTTTGTACAGTTTGGAGGGCTTAGAAGAAGATAGGAAGATGTGGGAAAGTTTGGAACCTTCTAGAGACTTGTTGAATGGTTTTGACCAAAATGTTCATAGTGATATGGACAATAAAGTCCAGTCTGAGGTGGTCTCATCTAGAGATGAGGAACTTATTGGGAATTGGAGTAAAAGTCACTCTTTCTATGCTTTAGCAAAGAGGCTGGCAGCATTTTGCCCTTGCCCTAGAGATTTGTGGAACTTGAACTTGAGACATGATTTAAGGTATCTGACAGAATAAATTTCTAAGCAACAAAGCACTCAAGATGTAATATGGCTGTTTCTAAAAGTGTACATTCATATACATGAAGAAAGAGATGGTCTGAAATTAGAACTTATATTTAAGAGGGAAGCAGAACACAAAAGTTTGGAAAATGTGTAGCCTGACCCTGTAGCAGAAAAGAAAACCCATTTTCTGGGGAGAAATTCAAGACAGCTATATAAATTTGCATATGTAACAAAGAGCCAATTGTTAATAGTGAAGTCAGTGAGAAAAATGTCTCCAGGGAATTTCTAAGATCTTTGTGGCAGCCCCTCCCATCACAGGCTTGGAGGCCTAGGAGGGAAAAATGGGTTCATGGGCCAGACCCAGAGCCATGCTGCTCTCTGCAGCCTCGAGACATGGTACCCTGTGTCCCAGCTGCTCCAGCTCCAGCCATGGCTAAAAGGTGTCAAGGTACAGCTCAGGCCATTGCTTCATAGGGTGCAAGCCCCAAGCCTTGGCAGCTTCCATGTGGTGTTGGGCCTGTGGGTATGCAGAAGGCAAGAGTTTGGGAACCTCCGCCTAGATTTCAAAGCATGTATGGAAATAGATGGATGTCCAGGCAGAAGTCTGCTGCAGGGGCAGAGCCCTCATGGAGAACCTCTACAGCATAGGGCAGAGGAGAAATGTGGGGTTGGAGCCCCCACACAGTGACCCCACTGGGGCACTGTCTAGTGGTGCTGTGAGAAGAGGGTCACTGTCCTTCAGACCTCAAAACAGTAGAACCACTGACAGCTTGCACCATGCACCTAGATAAGACGCAGGCACTCAACACCAGCCTGTGAAAGCAGCTACAGGGGCTGTACCCTGTAGAGCCACAGGGGAGGAGCTGCCCAAGGCCTTGGGAGCCCACCCCTTGCATCAGTGTGCCCTGGATGTGGGATGTGGAGTCAAAGGAGATTATTTTGAAGCTTTAAGATTTAATGACTGCCCTGCTAAATTATGAACTTGCATTGAGGCTTGTAGCCCCTTTGTTTTGGCCAATTTCTCCCATTCAGAATGGGAGCACTTACCCAATGCCTGTACCCACACTGTGTCTTGAAAGTAACTAACTCGTTTCTGATTTTACAGGCTCATAGGTAGAAGGGGCTTACTTTGTCTCAGATGAAACTTTGGACTTTGGACTTCTGAGTTAATGCTGAAATGAGTTAAGACTGGGAGACTGAAAGAAGAAAAAAAATCTGGAAAGGAGGTAGGACTAACTTGTAGCTCCCACTCAAATGGATGTAGCTCCCACTCAAATGGACAGACAGTATGTGGAGACTCACAATGTAAAATATTGCTGCAAGAACCACTGCAGGAACATACCAAGAAAACAAAAAATTTCATAGACCCTTTCAAAGAAGCAGCTTGCTGCTGCAAACTCCATGAGACAGCCAAAAAACTGCAAGTGCCCAAAGCATGAGAGGGTGAAAGTCTGCCTCTGAACACACATCCTGAGGAACCTGAAAATCCAGATCACAGGAGAAGGATCTAACCTTAACTAGAGCTGAAATGAATTTAGAGAGCCAAGCAAAATATAAAATAAAAGCAGCAGTAGGAAGAGCTATGTAGGCACTCCTGGTCTCCAGGGAAGCCATTTCTAACTTTATCTCACGGGGGTTCTGGGGACAGCAGCCAGTAGAATTGGGGAAAAGCCACAGGGAAAAGGAGACTTTAAGCTGAACTTTGTAATAATTTTGACAAAGCATGAATTTTCCTGGGCAGTAGCCAGGGGTCAAACAGGAAGTACAGATATTAGCACAGAAGCCATGGCAGTCAGGGAGTAGCAAGTACTGAAAGCCCTGCTTGCTTTCTCAGCAGGGAGGCTTGTAGCCTGGGGCAAGATCTCAGCCCCGCACACTGGTGACCTGGATATAAATTCAGCTCTGTTGGCTGTTGGGAGAGTACAGCGGGAGTGAGATTAGCTTTGCTGGCTGCATGAGAGCTGGGTAAGGCCTGTCACTGCCGGCTTTCTCCAACCATCCTGGGGACCTGTATGAAGCTGCAGAGGCAGCCATAATCCCCCTTGGAACATAACTCCATTGGCATGAGAACCACCCCATCCCCAACAATGGCCACAGCAAGCCCCACCCAAGGACAGTCTGAGCTCAGACCCACCTAACCCTGCCCCTACCTGATGGTCTTTCTCTACCCACCCTGGTAGCTGATAACAAAACAACAACAAGAGACATAAACTGAAGGGAACTCTAAGACCCTGCCCATCACCTGAGAAACCCAAATACTTATCCAGGCAACCTTAGGGCAAGCTTGAATCCCCCCTATACTACCACAGCTCATGCTCTTTTGAAGGCACCACCTCCTGGCTGGAAGCCAACCAACTCAAGTCATTAGGAAACCAATTCTACTCCAAGGAAAGAGAAGGCCAACCAACTGAACTCCAAGGAAAGAGAAAACAATGGCTAATTCAACCACCTGGATAACCAGAGGTCTTGAGTCTGTCCACTTAACAACTTCACTGCTAGCATAACCAGCATTTAAGAAAACCAGTGCACTAAACAAAACTACAAGCAAGGATTCTCACAGAGTCCACTTCACTCTCCTGCTACCTCCACAAAAGCAGGTGTTGGTATCTATGCCTGAGAGACCTGAAGATGGATCACATCACAGGAATCCTTGCAGACACTCCCCAGTACCAGCCTAGAGCCTGGTAGTTCTGCTGGGTAGCTACACCCAGAAGAGCAATAACAATCACTTTAGCCCAGCTCTTAGGAAGCCCCAAGCCTAGGGAAGTGGGGAGGGCACCACATCAAGGGATCACCCCATGGAACAAAAGAATCTAAACAGCAACCCTTGAGTCCAGATCTTTCCTCTGACATAGTCTACCCAAATGAAAAGGAACAGAAAACAATTCTCATAATATGACAAAACAAAGTTCTATAACACCCCCAAAAGTTCACACTAGCTCATCAGTAATGGATCCAAACCAAGAAGAAATCTCTGAATTGCCAGAAAAATAATTCAGAAGGTCAATTATGAAGCTACTCAAGGAGGCACCAGAGAAAGGTGAAAAACAACTTAAAGACATTTTTTAAAATACAGGATATAAATGAAAAAATCTCCAGAGAAACAGATATCATAAATTAAAAAATCACAACTTCTAGAAATGAAAAACACAGAGAAATGCAAAATACACTGGAAAGTTTCAACAATAGAATTGAACAAGTAGAATAAAGAACTTCAGAGCTTGAAAACAAGGCTTTTGAATTAACCCAATTTGACAAAGACAAAGAAAAAAGAATCAAAAATAGGATTATGTTAAATTACCAAACCTAAGAATAATTTCGGAGTTCCTTTAAAGGAGAAGGGTTATATTTATATGAAATAATGCTCTTCTTACTCTAATGTCTGCAGTATTATGCTTCTGTGTTTAAATATTGAACGTTTATTACTCAGTATCTAAAATGTGAGAGGCAGGGTGATGTAGTGGAAAGAACCTTCAAATTGACCTGGGTTCTAATTGATTCTGACAGTTCCTAGGTGTGTAAATGACAAGCCACAAACTTTCTCTGAGACTGTCTTTATCTGTAAAATGGGAAGAAGAATACTCACTTCACTGGTTTGTTAAAATAATAAATTTAAAAAGACATTCAAAGTACCTGACAAAACATCTGGCACAAAATAGGCAGCTACTTAAAACAAGTTTTCATTAAAGTTGTGATTCCATTTAAAAAAAAAAAAAAAAGACTGGGGGACTGTTGAGACTGAATAATTGTATTTTGAAATATGAGAAGGACATGAGATTTGGGAGGCTCCAGTGGAAGAATGACATGGTTTGGCTCTGTGTTCCCACCCAAATCTCATGTTGAATTGTAATCCTCTCGTGTCAGGGAGGGGCCTGGTGGGAGGTGACTGGATCATGGGAGTGGATTTCCCCAATGCTATTCTCATGTTAGGGAGTTCTCATGAGATCTGATGGTTTAAATTTGTGGCACTTCCCCACTTGCTCTCTCTCTCTCCTGCCGCTATGTAAGATGTGCCTTGCTTCCCCTTCACCTTCTGCCATGATTGTAGATTTCCTGAGGCCTCCCCAGCCATCCATAACTGTGAGTCAATTAGAACTCTTTTATTTATAAATTACCCAGGTCTCCGGCAGTTCTTTATAGCAGTGTAAAAATGGACTAATACACATGCATATGTTCATCACAGCACCATTCACAATAGTGAATAGTCACAAAGACATGGAATCAACCCAGGTGCTCATCAATTGTGGATTGAATAAAAAAAAGTGGTACATATACACCAAGAAATACTATTATATATAGCCATAAAAAATAATGAAATCATGTCCTTTGTGGTAATATGGATGCAGCTGGAGGCCATTATCCTAAGCAAATTATTATAACACATAAACAGAAAACCAAATACCACACGTTCTCGCTTATAAGTGGAAACTAAATATGGAGTACACATGAACACAAAGAAGGGAATAATAGACACCAGGGCCTACTTGACAGTGGAGGGTGGGAGGAGGGTGAAGGTTGAAAAACTACCTATTGGATACTATGCATACTACCTGGGTGATGAAATAACGCATACAACAAATCCCAGTGATACATGTTTACAATGTTACATTTACATTTGTACATGTAACAAACCTCCATATGTACCCCCAATCCTAAAATTAAAGTTGGAAGGGAAAAAAAAGAAAATATTTACAGGTGAAATACCTTGATTTTAGGAATTTGTTTTAAATATTGTAGCAAAAAAAAAAAAAGTGGAGTAAAAGTAATAGATAAGACAAAATTAGCCAACTCTTTAAATGTGATTAATCTCGGTGATAGGTTCATTACTTTTTTATTTAAAATTTCTATATATAAATGTTTTGTTTTATTTAAATGATCTTTAAAATTGATTATTTAAAATTTATTAAATTCTATCTAAATTTTTAAAATTTTTAATCATAAAATATGTTTAGCCATTACACTATAGCCGTGTCTACATGGCACCAAAATAATGAATTGAAATGAGAAAGGTTTTGTGGTAGCCAGCCTCCAAGATGACTGCTATTGATCCTTGCCTTCTGGTACTTATGCATTTGTATAGTCACCTTCCATATCATTTCAGGCTTGCTCTGGGTGACCAAAAGAAACCAGTGGAAGTGATGGTGTGTGACTGCCAATGCTAGATGAGCAAAGACAATTCTGCTTCTGCTTTTTTGCTCTCTTGGATTACTCACCGTAAAGGAAGCCAGCAGCCATGCCATGATAATATTCAAGTAGGTCTATGGAGAGGTTTGAGTGGCATGGAACTAAGGCTTCCTGAAAATAGCTAGCACCAGCTTGCCAGCTATATGAATGAGTCATCTTGGAAACAGATCTTTCAGTCTCAGTCAAGCCTTGATGACTACAACACTGGCCAACATCTTGACTACACCCTCATGAGAAACTCCAAACCATAATAGCCTAGCTAAGCTGCTCTGTATTATAATTTTGGTTCAGAAAGAGAAGCAGAACCAGTTGGCAATATATGAATTTATTACAAGAAATTCGCTTGTGAAATTGTGGGTGGGGGCCAGCTTGGCAAGTCTGAAGTCCATAGAGCGGCCTTCAGAAAGAGAAGCTCACCAGCAAGCTGGCTTGGAACCCCAGCTGTTGTCCACAGGCCAACAACAAGGGAAGATCACAAACAAGCAAGCTGGAACTACATGGGCACAGGCCAAAGCTGTTATCTACAAATGGAAATCTCCTCTCTCTCCCTTTCTCCCCTCTCTCCCAGCTTCAGAAAAGTCTTAAGCCCTCTTTTAAGCGCTTCCAATTGTTTAAGTCAGGCCCACCCAATTTAAAGTCAACTGATTAGGGACTTCAATTACATCTGCAAAATCCCTTCACAGCAGCACCTAGATTTGTGTTTGACTGAATGACTGGGAGAAGGGGTGTGTGTGTGTGTGTGTGTGTGTGTGTGTGCACACTACAATACGGCTGCTGCTGCTTTTCTATCCTCCCACTCTCAAGAGACAATGTCTCTAGCAGCTCACTCTATCTGGAAACACACTAGAAAGGGAATTCTGAGGAATATTGTTCAACCTCACCAAGTTGACACATCCCAAAGCCATCACGCACTCTCAAATTCCTGATCAACAGAAACTACAAAGGATACATTTTGATCCCTGTTTTAAACCTTTAGGTTTTTTAGATAATTTGTTAGGCAGCAGTATATAACTGATACAGGTTTGATTGCACATGTTATCGGGTATCAAGTGTAACTACTAATTACAAGGGTAATTACTAAGGAAAAGCTGTTGCCTGAAGTCACCTGGGTTTTATTAGGTTTGTGCTTAATGAGTTCAAATAGTGTTTGTGGATATAATATTTGTGTGTAAGTTTGGTTTTGTGTATGGGGGCTTATTTGTGGGTGTGGGTAGGTTTAGATACGCTCTTCAACAGAATCGGACTAGCAGAATAACAAAGCACAAGAAGCATGTCAAGTAGAACATCTTGATTTTTCTCTAAAATACCTGATGGGTCTTAATATTTTCTGGAGAATAAAGTAAAAAAGACTTAGAAGCCTAAATTAGCCCAAACCCCGACTTCAAGTAGCCTCACCTTAAAATGATCTTACAACATGAGGTGTGATGTAAAGGGGCACAGACCTTACAGTCAGACACGTCTGGGCTCCGGCTCCAACTCCATCTCTCACCAATGATGTTCACTTGGCCACTTTACATAACCTTCCTGAGCCTCAGATTCTGCATTGGTAAAATAATAATATTTAAAGCTCCAGGAGTCTAGGCTTTCCTTTTAGTTGTCAGAGTCTGGAGGTTTAAAAAAGACAAAAATGTTTGGTCAAGAAGTATCTTAGATTTTATTAAATGAATGCGGCCCAGCCTTGGGAGTCAGGCTATGTTCCAGACACACCTGACTCAGAGAGTATGTCATCCAGAATGTTACAATATTTTCCTAGTCTTCTGTGAGAAAATACCTGGTCCAACAACCCATATAACAAATGGGAAGAAAAGGTTTCTGGGGCTGTCTTGCCCAGAGATTTTATCTCCTTTGATAGTCCATGATTTAAAATTTGATTTAGGTCTTCCATTGTTCTTTGGGGAAAGCAGTTACTAGACCTTCATTGTCCATATTAGTGAAGCTGGTTCCTATCAGGAAAATGAAGGAAGAGGGAAGAGAAGGTGTTTGTTAGGAAATGAGAAGGAATTGCTAAAAAAATTCCTTGGAGCATTGGGAAGATAAAATGAATAGCCATTCTGCAAATACTTGGACATTCGCAGCCATGCAAAGCCATTCTGTTTTGACATCCTTAGGTGAAAATGGGAAAGAGAAAAAACAAAATGTCCCATCTGCCACATTCACTTTCAATTTAAGTTTCATATTAAAATATGAAAAGTCTTATATTAAAATTGCTGTTTAATGTTCCTTAACATCAACTTCAGATGGTTATATAAGGATTAATACAATAACTTATAAAGCACCAAAAATATAACAGATGCTCAATAAATGCTCAGTCCCTTCTCTTTCCCTTAGTAGAGCAAAGTCAGTTTCTTATGCAAGTTTTGATCTCCTCCAGCCTTCTCCTACATGTTCCATCCCCCATCCCACCCCCACATCCCTTAACTTGGCATTTCTAAGACTGCAAATGGCAGGCAGCTGCACAAGGAAATTCTGTGGGGAGAGAGAATGTCAAGGGGCATGTCACTTCCCCACAAAGGAACTCACTCTCCTTCCCATTTTGTTATATGAGTTGTTTGGCCAGGTATATTCTCACAGAAAACTAGGAAAATACTGTAACGTTCTGGATAATGAAACCTCTGAGTCAGGTGTGACTGGAACATGGCCTAACTCCCAAGGCTGGGCCCCATTTATTTAATAGAAGCTAAGATTCTTCTTGATTCTGAAGCAGTTTTCTCACAGGTCTAAACAGCCCTGCCTCCAGCGTTTAATCATTGGATTCACTTCAATTCTGCTTAACTGTACTCTTCCACACACTCTGCTCCTCTCAGCCCTGACTGTACAGCAATGCTTTCCCTCAGTGAATGGGCATGTCCAGGTTGACGGTGATTTATACCTCACCTTTTACTTCACAATGCCACTTCAGGAATGGAGAAGCCATTAACCACTGGTTCAAATCATATGGTTCAAACCCGAAATGACTTTAACACTTGTTCTTTTCAGAGACCTACCTTTACAAGCACAGTTTAAATTAAGCAGGATGTCAGAGTCAGTCTCTTATCCTTTTTTTTTTTTAATAGGGTTTTTCTTTTTTTCCTGGTGAGGGAAAGGTTTGGAAAAAACATATATATACACATATATATATGTGTGTGTATATATATGTATATATGTATATATGTATGTATGTATATATGTATATGTATATATGTATATGTATATGTGTATATGTATATATAGATATGTAAAAATATATATAGAGACACACATATACATATATTTTGTTGGTTTGTTTGGTGTAGGAAAGAAAGGGATAGAGCCGGAATGTACGTATTTCACTTTTTTAAAAAAAGCATTTAAACCCAGTGCTCAGTACACAAAGGGATGCTTCCAGTAACTGAAAAGGGCTGAACTTCAGCCTATTTAATGTTAGAATCTGGCAAACAGTTCTAAAGGTTGGTTTTCAAATCTCTGCCCTAGGATCATTTATTTCTCTCAATGCACAAATACCAGGGAGCCAGTGGACCAGAGAAGGTAGATGGATAATTGGGCAACAGCACAACTCATTTCTCAGTTGGCAAACTTTTAAAGCTTTTTAAATCCTAAACAGCAACTGGCCTTTCCATTCCTGTTTTCCTCCTCCTGGCTGAAGTCTGCAACAGACTTTGCTGCCTCTGTTTTGACAGGCCTAAAAACTCTGTCCACTGTTAATATCAGGAAAAACACCCAACACAAACCTTTTGAGAATACCCAACCAGCCTTTTAACAGCTCAGGACATTTCTGGGTCTCCATGTTTCTGCCTAATGGGAAGACCCTGTTTCCAACTTGCACCACAATAGAGAAGTTGTTCATCTTGTGAAAGACGGTGAAATAAAATCATCTTTCCATTTGAGCAGTAGGTATAAAAAGAGAGCAGAATCCGTGTCCTCAATGAGCTCAGCACCGGAAAAAAGCAGAACCATGGTGCTGCACAAATGGAGTAGGGTTCCCAAGTTCACAAGGATTAACAGTGGGCTTTTTGTAGGGCCATTTTTGAGGGAGCAAATCACCTTAGCAACACTGAAACGAAAAACTTCATATTTAAAACATTGATTCTGGCCGGGTGCTATGACTCATGCCTGTAATCTCAGCACTTTGGCAGGCCAAGGCGGGTGGATCCCCTGAGGTCAGGAGTTCAAGACCAGCCCAGCCAACATGGTGAAACCCCATCTCTACTAAAAATGCAAAAAATTAGCCGGGCATGGTGGTGGGCTCCTGTAATCCCAGCCACTCGGGAGGCTGAGGCAGGAGAATTGCTTGAACCTGGGAGGCAGAGGTTGCAGTGAGCTGAGATGGCACCATTGTACCCCAGCCTGGGCAACAAGAGCAAAACTCCATCTCAAAAACAAACAACAACAACAAAAAAAAATTGATTCTCAACTCTGGCTGCACATTAGAATCATCTGAATAGAAATAGAAATGCCTGGATCCCACCCCTAGAGATGCTGCATTTTTTTAAGAACTCCAGCAGGGACTTTGATACACAGCCAGGACTGAGAACAGCTGACTGGGAACATGGAGAAAGTTCATAAACAGAGACTGTAGATTAGGATCTTGTTTGCAGAAAGAAACCTCCCAGAGCAAATCAACAGATGAAGATCAGCAGCCCCTGGACAGCACAGTCACATCTTGTGATGGCTTCTTACTGGGGAATTTGGGTTTTGTATCAAAACCCAAATGTGACCCAAAATATACAATTTGCTATAAATTTCCATGTATGTTGGTTGTTTAGTAGAGTGTCTCAGCTGAGCCACAACTGGAATGCAAAGTCTAGCTCCTCGCTACTCCCAAGATGTAGTCCTTAGACCAGCAACAGCAGCATAACCTGGGAGCTTGTTAAGAAGGCAGAGTATCAGCTCCATCCCAGTCCTGCTGAATCAGGATCTGCATTTCATTCAGTGAAATTCATGGAAGGCCATTGTTTTGGACTGAGCTCCTGCACTAGGCCCAATAGACCAGCCCAAACCAGAATGGAGTCACTTATGCTAGGTGCCATGTAATTAAACTGGACTTTGAAACCGACCAGTTTTCCAAAACCAGGAAATTCACAGCAACCAATCAGAAGGGGCCCAGTTACCTAAGCCAGCATGATAAGGAAGTAACCTCTATATTAACCGTATAAGGAAAGTAACTTTTAAATGACCAATTTGCTTTTTGTTCCGTTTCTGCTTTCTTCAGTATTTTCTTGCCTATAAAGCCAATCTCATCTGCTCAGTTCATCGGAGCGCCTATCTATTTTTATAGATGAGACACTGCCTGATTCATGAATCGCTAATAAAGCAAATTAGATCTTTAAACTTAATTAGTTGTAATTTTGTCTTTTGATAATTTTAACGAGATACTTTCAGGTAGTAAATCTGCTCATTAAAGTTTGGGAAGCAATGATCTTACTGTGAAATTGACAAGCTAGTGACCCCTCCAGAAACTTATTTTTATAAATTGACATAAGGATGGATGGAAAGGTTGCTTTGTTTGATTTGTTTGCAGTTGTGATTTGGTTTAATTTGCTAAAGAATAAGGGGTTTGGTGTGTGGGTGTTTGGAAAGAAAAGAGGAGACAAGAACAATGGATTATGTGCTTTAAGCCCCAGTAGAAAAAATTAGGAAGTCAAAAGGTGAAGAAGCTTGTTTTCCTGAAAGACTTAGTGAGACTCAGGTTACCAAATGGTACTCTACCAGAACCCACATGATAAATGACAGCAACCAAGATAGGAGAAATCTTCCCACTGCTGTCCAAAACCTGACAAAACCAGGACTGCTAGGTTTGCAAGCAATGACAGATAGCAGCCTCAGCACATAAACTAGCACTTTGAAGGAGGGTAACAACCAGAGGACAATGATGAGGCTCCTTGTCAAGGCAGGCAGCAGTAGCAGCAGAACTAGAATTGTTCTTATGTATACATGCCTGGCACAGAGCAGGTACTTGACAAATACCTGAAAAAGGCCAGATAGCAAATGTTTTAGGCTTTGTGTTGATATGGTTTGGCTGTGTCCCCACCCAAATCTCATCTTGAATTTCCACGTGCTGTGGGAGGGACCCAGTGGGAGGTAATTGAATCATGGGGGGGCAGGTCTTCCCCATGCTGTTCTCATGATAGTGAATAAGTTTCACGAGATCTGATGGTTTTAAAAAGAGGAGTTTCCCTGCACAAGCTCTCTTCTCTTGTCTGCCACCATGTAAGATGTGCCTTTCATCTTTCACCTTTCACCACAATTATGAGGCCTCCCCAGCCATGTGGAACTGTAAGTTCAATAAACCTCTTTCTTTTGTAGATTGCCCAGTCTCAGGTATGTCTTTATCAGCAGCATGAAAACGGATTTTAGCATGAAAAGGCAGTGTGTCTACAGTCCCTGTTGCAACTACTCAACTATATCTTTATAGCCTGAAAGCAGCCATAAACACATAAACAAATAGGTGTGGCTGTGTTCCAATAAAACATTATTTACAAAAACAGGCGATTCCATGAATTCTGCCAATCTCTGTTTCAGAGATACATTCAGAAGAGCCTATAGATGAAAGTATAAAATGTGTGGAATTTGCTCCTAAACCTTACATTGGAAAGGAGGGGAACGTGAGTGGAGAGTATGAATGAAACCAAGTTGGTCATGTGTTGATTATTAGCTGAGGATGGAAACAGGAATTCATTATAATTGTGGTTCTCAAAATGTGGCTCCTGGACCAGCAGCATCAGCATCACCTGGAAACTTGTTATAAATGCAAATTGCAAGCCCCACTTCATATCTCTTGACAGAAACTCTGGGAATAAATCTCAGCAATCTGTTTTTATGAGCCTTCCAGGTTATTTTAATGGACACTAACATTATTCTCTCTCTCTGTATACTCTCCTATATGTTTGAAATTCTTATATAGTAAAAAGTTGAGTTTTTTAAATCTGATTCCCAAAGTGGCCACACCAATAAGCAGTGTCTTTCAGGCAATATCAATTGTTTTCATTGGAGTATGATACATTCCTATAGCACACACATTTTAAAATGCAAATGAAAACAACCTCTTTTGAAATGCTTATTAGGTCTATTACCTAACTCTAAACAAATGACTAGCATACACATTTTTGTATAGTCTTGGGCTTTTCAAAAAATCATTATTAGTAGTAGTAAGACAGAAGCTTACCCACCAAAAGTTTATTTTGTATGTACCATTGGTTGAACATCTTTATTAATTTTTCAGGAAAAAAAATCATTTGGTCTGGAAACAATGCTATTATTGAGAATACATTTTCCCAATACCCGATTTTCTTGTGTGTGTGTGTGTGTGTGTGTGTGTTCTGATTCTTTTTTCTTTTTTATACTTTAGGTTCTAGGGTACATGTGCACAATGTGCAGGTTTGTTACATATGCATACATGTGCCATGTTGGTGTGCTGCACCAGTTAACTCATCATTTACATTAGGTATATCTCCTAATGCTATCCCTCCCCCCTCCCTCCACCCCAGGACAGGCCCCAGTGTGTGATGTTCCCCACCCTGTGTCCAAGTGTTATCATTGTTCAATTCCCACCTGTAAGTGAGAACATGCAGTGTTTGGTTTTCTGTCCTTGCGACAGTTTGCTGAGAATGATGGTTTCCAGCTTCATCCATGTCCCTACAAAGGACACAAACTCATCCTTTTTTATGGCTGCATAGTATTCCGTGGTGTATATGTGCCACATTTTCTTAATCCAGTCTATCATTGATGGACATTTGGGTTGGTTCCAAGTCTTTGCTATTGTGAATAGTGCTGCAATAAACACACATATGCATGTGTCTTTATAGCAGCATGATTCATAATCCTTTGGAATACCCTATTTTCTATAGGTATCAAATATCCTTTTCAAGATTTTATTACATTTTTACAATGATTTACACCATTTATAATTATGATATTATGGGCTTCCAAGATGGCCACATAGGAACAGCTCCAGTCTACAGCTCCCAGTGAGATTGACGCAGAAGATGGGTGATTTCTGCATTTCCAACTGAGGTACCTGGTTAATCTCATTGGGACTGGTTGGACAGGGGGTGCAGCCCACAAAGGGCATGCCAAGGAAGGATGGGGCATCACCCCACCCATGAAGCACAAGGGGTTGGGGGATTTCCCTTTCCTAGCCAAGGGAAGCCGTGAGTTTCTGTAACTGGGGGAACAGTACACTTCTGCCCAAATACTGCACTTTTCCCACAGTCTTCACAACTGGCAGACCAGGAGATTCCCTCTTGTGCCTGACTCAGTGGGTCCCATGCCCACAGAGCCTTGCTCACTGCTAGCACAGCAGTCTGAGATCAACCTGGGACCCTGGAGCTTCGTGAGGGGAGGAGTGTCCACCATTGCTGAGGCTTGAATAGGCAGTTCTATGTTCACAGTGTAAACAAAGTGGCAAGGAAGCTTGAACTGGGCAGAGCACATCGCAGCTCAGCAAGGCCTACTGCCTCTCTAGATTCCATCTCTGGGGGCAGGGCATATCTGAACAAAAGACAGCAGAGAGCTTCTCCAACTTAAACGTCCCTGCCTCACAGCTCTGAAGAGAGGAGTGGTTCTCCCAGCATGGCATTCAAGCTCTGATAATGGACAGACTGCCTCCTCAAGTGGGTCCCTGACCCCTGTGTAGCCTGACCAGGAGACACCTCCCAGTAGGATCCAACAGACACCTCATACACGTGGATGCCCCTCTGGGACGAAGCTTCCAGAGGAAGGATGAGGCAGCAATATTTGCGGTCCTGCAGACTCTGCTGGTGATACCCAGGCAAACAGGATCTGGAGTGGACCTCCAGCAAACTCCAACAGACCTGCAACTGAGAGGCTTGTCTGTTAGAAGAAAAACTAAAATACAGAAATAGCATAAACATCAACAAAAGGGACATCCACACAAAAACCCCATCCGTAGGTCACCAACATCAAAGACCAAAGGTAGATAAAACCACAAAGATAGGGAGAAACCACAGCAGAAAGGCTGAAAATTCCAAAAACCAGAACGTCTCTTCTCCTCGAAAGGAACACAACTCCTCGCCAGCAAGAAAACAAAACTGGATGGAGAATGAGTTTGATGAGTTGACAGAAGTAGGCTTCAGAAGGTCGGTAATAACAAACTTCTCCGAGCTAAAGGAGCATGTTCTAACCCATTGCAAGGAAGCTAAAAACCTTGAAAAAATGTTAGATGAATGGCTAACTAGAATAACCAGTGTAGAGAAGAGCTTAAATGACCTGATGGAGCTGAAAACCACAGTACAAGAATTTTGTGAAGCATACACAAGCTTCAATGACAATTTGATCAAGCGGAAGAAAGGATATCAGTGATTGAAGATCAAATTAATGAAATAAAGCAAGAAGACAAGATTAGAGAAAAAAGAGTGAAAAGAAATGAACAAAGCCTCCAAGAAATTTGGGACTATGTGAAAAGACCAAATCTACTTTTGATTGGTGTACCTGAAAGTGACAGAGAGAATGGAACCAAGTTAGAACACACTCTTCAGGATATCATCCAAGAGAACTTCCCCAACCTAGCAAGGCAGGCCAACATTCAAATTCAGGAAATACAGAGAACACCACAAAGATACTCCTCAAGAAGAGCAACCCCAAGATACATAATTGTCAGATTCACCAAGGTTGAAATGCAGGAAAAAATGTTAAAGGCAGCCAGAGAGAAATGTCGGGTTACCCACAAAGGGAAGCCCATCAGACTAACAGCAGATCTCTTGGCAGAAACCCTATAAGCCAGAAGAGAGAGGGGGTCAATATTCAACATTCTTAAAGGAAAGAATTTTCAACCCAGAATTTCATATCCAGCCAAACTAAGCTTCATAAGTGAAGGAGAAATAAAATCCTTTACAGACAAGCAAATGCTGAGAGATTTTGTCACCACCAGGCCTGCCTTACAAGAGCTCCTGAAGGAGGCACAAACATGGAAAGGAACAACCGGGACCAGCCACTGCAAAAACATATAAAATTGTAAAGACCATCGATGCTAGGAAGAAACTGCATCAACTAATGGGCAAAATAACCAGCTAACATCATAATGACAGGATCAAATTCACACATAACAATAATTAACCTTAAATGAAAATGGGTTAAATGCCCTAATTAAAAGACACAGACTGGCAAATTGGATAGAGTCAAGACCAATCCGTGTGCTGTATTCAGGAGACCCATCTCACAAGCAAAGACACACACAGGCTCAAAATGAAGGGATGGAGGAAGATCTACCAAGCACATGGAAAACACAAAAAAGCAGGGGTTGCAATCCTGGTCTCTGATAAAACTGACTTTAAACCAGCAAAGATCAAAAGAAACAAAGAAGGCCATTACATAATGGTAAAGGGATCAATTCAACAAGAAGAACTAACTATCCTAAACATATATGCACCCAATACAGGAGCACCCAGATTCATAAAGCAAGTTCTTAGAGACCTGCAAAGAGACTTAGGCTCCCACACAATAATAATGGGAGACTTTAACACCCCACTGTCAACATTAGACAGATCAGTGAGACAGGAAATTAACAAGGATATCCGGAAATTGAACTCAGCTCTGGACCAAGCGGACCTAATAGACATCTACAGAACTCTCCACCCTAAATCAACAGAATATAGATTCTTCTCAGCACCACATTGCACTTATTACAAAATTGACCACATAATTGGAAGTAAAACACTCCTCGGCAAATGTAAAAGAACAGAAATCACAACAAACTGTCTCTCTCAGACTTCAGTGCAATCAAATTAGAACTCAGGATTGAGAAACTCACTCAAAACCACACAACTGCATGGAAACTGAACAATCTGCTCCTGAATGACTACTGGGTAAATAATGAAATGAAGGCAGAAATAAAGATGTTCTTTGAAACCAATGAGAACAAAGACACAACATATCAGAATCTCTGGGACGCATTTAAAGCAGTGCATAGAGGGAAATTTATAGCACTAAATGCCCACAAGAGAAAGCAGGAAAGATCTAAAATCAACACCCTAACATCACAATTAAAAGAACTAGAGAAGCAAGAGCAAACACATTCAAAAGCTAGCAGAAGACAAGAAATAACTAAGATCAGAGCAGAACTGAAGAAGATAGAGACACAAAAAACCCTTCAAAAAATCAATGAATCCAGGAGCTGGTTTTTTGAAAAGATCAACATAGACAGACCACTAGCAAGACTAATAAAGAAGAAAAGAGATAAGAATCAAATAGATGCAATAAAAAATGATAAAGTGGGTATCACCACTGATCCCACAGAAATACAAACTACCATCAGAGAATACTATAAACACCTCTATGCAAACAAACTAGATAATCTAGAAGAAATGGATAAATTCCTGGACACATACACCCTCCCAAGACTAAACCAGGAAGAAGCTGAATCTCTGAATAGACCAATAGCAGGTTCTGAAATTGAGGCAATAATGAATAGCCTACCAACAAAAAAAGTCCAGGACCAGATGGATCCACAGCCGAATTCTACCAGAGGTACAATGAGGAGCTGATACCACTCCTTCTGAAACTATTCCAATCAACAGAAAAAGAGGGAATTCTCCCTAACTCATTTTAGGAAGCCAGCATCATCCTGATCCCAGAGTCTGGCAGAGACACAACAAAAAGAGAATTTTAGGCCAATATTCCTGATGAACATCAAAGTGAAAATCCTCAGTAAAATACTGGCAAACCAAATCCAGCAGCACATCAAAAAGCTTATCCACCACGATCAACTTGGCTTATCCCTGGCATGCAAGGCTGGTTCAACACATGGAAATCAATAAACATAATCCATCACATAAACAGAACCAATGACAAAAACCACATGATTATCTCAATAGATGCAGAAAAGTCCTTCAACAACAAAATTCAACAGCCTTTCATGCTAGAAACTCTCAATAAACTAGGTATTGATGGAATGTATCTCAAAATAATAGCTATTTACAACAAACCCACATCAAATATCATACTCAATGGGCAAAACTGAAAGCATTCCCTTTGAAAACCGGCACAAGACAAGGACGCCCTCTCTCACCACTGCTATTCAACATAGTATTGGAATTCTGGCCAGAGCAATCAGGCAAGAGAAAGAAATAAAGTGTATTCAATTAGGAAAAGAGGAAGTCAAATTGTCTCTGCAGATGACATGATTCTATATTTAGAAAAACCCATTGTCTCAGCCCAAAATCTCCTTAAGCTGATAAGCAACTTTAGCAAAGTCTCAGGATACAAAGTCAATGTGCAAAAATCACAAGCATTCCTATACACCATTAATAGACAAACAGCCAAATCATGAGTGAACTCCCATTTGCAATTACTACAAGAGAATAAAATACCTAGGAATCTAACTTACAAGGGATGTGAAGGACCTCTTCAAGGGAACTAGAAACCACTGCTCAATGAAATAAAGAGGATACAAACAAATGGAAGAACATTCCCTGCTCATGGGTAGGAAGAATCAATATCATGAAAATGGCCATACTGTCCATGGTAATTTAGAGATTCAATGCTATCCCCATCAAGCTATCATGGACTTTCTTCACACGATTAGAAAAAACTACTTTAAATTTCATATGGGACCAAAAAAGAGCCCACATTGCCAAGACAACCCTAAGCCAAAAGAACAAAGCTGGAGGCATCACGCTACCTGACTTCAAACTATATTACAAGGCTACAGTAACCAAAACAGCATGGTACTGGTACCAAAACAGATAAATAGAGCAATGGAACAGAACAGAGGCCTCAGAAATAACACTACACATCTACAACCATCTGACCTTTGACAAACCTGACAAAAACAAGAAATGGGGAAAGGATTCCCTATTTAATAAATGGTGCTGGGAAAATTGTCTAGCCATATGTAGAAAGCTGAAACTCGATCCCTTCCTTACACCTTACACAAAAATTAACTCAAGATGGATTAAAGACTTAAATGTAAGACCTGAAATCATAAAAACCCTAGAAGAAAACCTAGGCAATACCATTCAGGACATAGGCATGGGCAAAGCCTTCATGTCTAAAACACCAAAAGCAATGGCAACAAAAGCCAAAATAGACAAATGGGATCCAATTAAACTAAAGAGCTTCTGCACAGCAAAAGAAACTATCATCAGAGTGAACAGGCAACCTACAGAATGGGACAAAATTTTTGCAATCTACCCATCTGACAAAGGGCTAATATCCAGAATCTACAAAGAACTTAAACAAATTTACAAGAAAAAAAACAAACAACCCCATCAAAAAGTGGGCAAAGGATGTGAACAGACACTTCTCAAAAGAAGACATTTATGCAGCCAGCAGACATATGAAAAAATGCTCATCATCAATGGTCATCAGAGAAAGGAAAATCAAGACCACAATGAGATACCATCTCATGCCAGTTAGAATGGTGATCATTAAAAAGTCAGGAAAAAACAGATGCTGGAGAGGATGTGGAGAAATAGGAACTCTTACCTGTTGGTGGGAGTGTAAATTAGTTCAACCATTGTGGAAGACAGTGTGGCGATTCCTCAAGGATCTAGTATTAGAAATACCATTTTACCCAGCAATCCCATTACTGTGTATATACCCAAAGGATTATAAATCATTCTACTATAAAGACACATGCACACCTATGTTTGTTGTGGCACTATTCGCAATAGCAAAGACTTGGAACCAACCCAAATGTCCATCAATAACAGACTGGATAAAGAAAATGTGGCACATAAACACCATGGAATACTATGCAGTCATAAAAAAGGATGAGTTCATGTCCTTCACAGGGACATGGATGAAGCTGGAAACCATCATTCTCAGCAAAATATCACAAGGACAGAAAACCAAACACTGCATGTTCTCACTCATAAGTGGGAGGTGAACAATGAGAACACATGGACAAAGGGAGGGGAACATCACACACTGGGGCCTATTGGGGGTGGGGGTCTTGGGGAGGGATAGCGTTAGGAGAAATACCTAATGTAAATGATGAGTTGATGGGTGCAGCAAACCAGCATGGCACATGTATACCTATGTAATAGACCTGCATGTTGTGCACATGTTCCCTAGAACTACCCTAGTAAAATTAAAAAAAAAAAAAAGAAATGAGGCTTGTGGAGCACTTCTCCATTAATCTGTAAAATTTATTCTTCATAGAATGAAGATGCTCTCTGGATAGCAAAACAGTAAGTAACATGCTTTTTTGTCACATAAATTGACTTCAGATTCCCTCATCTCTGTATTACTGAGCCCTTCTTTACCTGTGTCTAAATGTATCAACTATTCATTCTAAAACTACTGATGGTGACAATAAATCTAGAGAAGGCACCCAGAACTTCATATATTGTGTCTAATACAACATCAGCAGAGGTTACATCATTTGCATTTCTTGATCTGATTTGCCTAAATGCCTTTAGTCTATCAGGATGTAAATGCACTACTGAAAGTTGGATTTTTTTATGTCAAATATTCAGTATTTTAAAAAGCATATTTTTATAAAGTAACTAATCCAGGCATATTGTACTCATTATATATAATAGCATACAAATTCTCCTCCCATAATAAAGTGAATTATTTTATTAGTTAAGATAATTTGGTTGCAAGAAATAGAAATGGCCTGGCTAACTTATGCAGAAAAAGAAATGTATGGGGGAAAGATGGGATAACTCACAAAATGGAATTGAATGGGGAATAAACACACTCAGAAAGGGCAGGAACTAAGGCAACCCCAGGCAAAAGCAGAAGGGTAACCTGATGCATGTAACTTCAGGGAGTACTGCAGAGATTACGAAGGAAAATGCCCGCCATTTTGGGTGTTTATATCACTCTTCTCAAGAATGTAAATGCCTTCCAGTCATCAGATCACTGATTGATAGCCCCACCAAAGCAAAACTAGGGTGCTGTTAAGAAGAAGGATAGCTGGTAGGAGGCAAGAATAGCAAATGTTCACTGCAATAATTAATTTTTAAAATATGGGCAAAATACCACTTAAAAGCAAGCCAATTGTGGGAATCCCTCATTCAAGAAGTTGAATAAGGCCACCAAGAAAGTCGTTCATAACACAAAGCCTGTTACCTCTTTAGTTCTGGTTATATAATTGAAGACACATATACATACACACCCAAAAAATATGAGTAAAAATTATAAAGTATGTACATGTGAATCATATTCAGCCTAATAATACAGGAAGTTCATTCATTTATTTATCCACAAATATTTAGACACTGTTCTAAATAATAAGGATGCATCACTGAAAAAAAAATGTTTTTAAAGCCCTGCCTTGCGGAACTTACATATTAATTAGAGGGAGACAAACAAAAGACAAAATAAGTAGGTTATGTAATATCTTAGAAGGTGATAATTGCTACAGAGAAAAGCAAATAAGGGAAGACTGATAGGGAGTACCAGGTCAGGGCTGTGAATCTAAAGAGAGTGGCAGGAAAGATCTTACTGAGATGACAGTGGAGCAAAGACTTGTAGGAAGAGAGGGAGTAAGTCAGGCAAATATCTGAAGGAAAGTATTCCAGGAAGAAGGTATTCCAGTAAGTGCAAGGCATTGAGCCTAGTCACATGAGGCCTTGTAGGCCACTGTGAAGCCTTTGGCTTTTTCTCTAAGTGACATGGGAAACCTATGCTGCAGAGAATTAATGTCACACCCAAAAATTTATCCTTGTCTTGAATCATCTTTCTATTCCAAAACCTGTCAAACTAAGATATTCTCTTCCCTCTAGCTCTCAAAGCCTATCTCTACTCTTTCTAGACGACCAAAGATTTCTGCAATAGCCAGGCATTGTCTTCTTCCCATACATTCCTTTTTATGCTTAAGTTAGCCAGGCCATTTCTACTTCTTGCAACCAAATCATCTTAACTGATTAAATAATTAACTTTATCATTAGAAGAGAATTTGTATATTATATAGATTGAAAGCAATATGCCTGGATAAGTTATTTTGTAGAAAATATGCTTGGTAAGGTATTGAATATTTAACATTAAAAAGCCAACTTTCAGTAGTGCATTTTAATCCTGTTAGACTGAAGGCATTTAGGCAAATCAGATGAAGAAGTAGCAATGGGCTGGGTGCAGTAGTTCATGCCTGTAATCCCAGAGCTTTAGGAGGCCAAGGCAGGATGATCACTTGAAGCCAGGAATTGGGGACCAGCTGGGGCAACATAGCAAGATCCTAGCTCTACAAAAATAAAAAGGTGTGGTGGCACATTCCTATAGTCCTAGCTACTTAGGAGGCTGAGGTGGGAGGATTGTTTGAGCCCAGGAGTTCAAAGGCTGCAGTAAGCTAGGATCACACTACTGCACACCAGCCTGGGTGACAGAGAGACTCTGTCTCCAAAAAAAAAAAAAAAGTAGAAATAATGTAACCTACTCAACTATACCAGTCAATGTCCAACCAGGAGACAGAAACTACATAACAATTTTAACAGGGAAAGTGTATAACAGAGGATTAGAGTACTGATGGACAAGCTAATAAGACATAAAGAAAATTCTAAAGAATACAGATATTACAAATACCACCCCTAGGCTGAGACAGAGTATCCAAGAAAGAACTCCCCTCCTTCTAGGGCTGAGATCCAGACCTTGTTGGAGAGAGCACTGCCATAGCTCACTGGATAGAGAGAAGTCGCCCAGGTGCCATACTGGTGGAACTTTCTGGAAATCTACCATCTGGAGCACCAGAGAAAGCCATACACAGGGAGATGTCATGCCTTGGAACTTGTTGCAGAACTGCCAAGGGACTACCATGGGATGATGCTGGATGCTGGAATGCTGTTGGTTGCCATGAACTGCAGAAGCTGAGCACGGAGAAGCCATTCACTAAAGGAGCGCAATGCTGGAGGAGACATACTTTGCAGAAACTGAGTACTGAAGAAAGCTGTGCCCTACACTGACAGAATGGCAAGGCAGAAGCCATGCATAGAGCAGGAGCCTGTCAATAAAGGGCACTGGAATCAGGAAGAAAAACATATTCTTCTCCAATATTCCTCCAGCACCCTCTATTCACAAAGCTTAACATCATGCCAGCTGGCAAAACAGAAAAATTTCAAGGGCCCATCTCCATTTTCATAGAGCAAGCAGTGAATAGTACATTCAAACCTGAGAAGCAGTAAATTAGTAACTGGCAAACAATCTGTTCTTGTTTGAATACAATATTCAAGTGTTAACTATTGATTAACTGCAATATTATACTTCTGTAAACGTTGCTACTTTCCATTGCAAGGTACTCTCCCACCCAAAGAAATCCAAAACCATGCGTAAGTGTGAAGCTCCAGGTTCTGAAAAGTATATCTATCTGGTCTGAAAATTCTACACTTATACATGAATGTCTATTTCAGGCCTTGGAGAGTTCCCTCGTTAAAGAATGTTTTGCATAGGTTTGGATGCATGGTGTTCTATCTAATCATGAATTCAAATGATTTGTATTCACTTTAAATTCTTGCCTCTTGATATTTGGGTATTTTTTCTTTCTGAGATAAGCACATAATTGTTGTCTACCTTTACTTGATCATTATGAAGAATGGCAGAATAAGATACATCATGATGGAAAAAGCACTGGCTCTATGTCAGACAGACTTGATTTTAAGTTCTGACTCCACCACTTGCCAGGTGTGTGGCCTTAAATAGATCATTGTATCTCTGTGAGCTTCAATTTCCTCATCTCTTGCTTGGGATAATAACACCCACTTTGCAGGATTTAAAGTTACTGTATAGAACACCTAGTAAAATACTTGCCCCAGAAAAAGCATCTATTTTAAAAGATGGCCTGGATCTGGGAATTACACTGCTTTGATATCATTAGGGGTTTTATTCACCTGCCCATGGTGGACATTGCTAGCATGCTAAGTTAATTCAAACTTTCATTCCAAAGACAGTTATGGTAGCATAAAATAAAGCTTCATCAAATGTTCCATTAATGACAATGGAAATTTTAAACAATATTCCAGAGTTACAGGAAAAAACACCAAAGGTTAATAGAGACTCTTGGAAATATTAGCTTTCCCTATGATGCCTCTCCCTGACTTTTGTTGTTCTTCATAAATGAGAGATGACTTTTAAAGTGAAATCCCCTTTCCTCTTAAAAGTAGCTTGCTATAATAATTCTATTCCCAACTTAGAAAATTCAAATAACTACTTAAGGGAAAATAAACCACTTCTTTACATTAAATGCAGCTGTTTACAAGAGCTTACCAAATGGAATCGGATGCTGTGCTAAAGAACTGTGAAAATAAAACTCAAACTTGAGATCTGTATACTTTGCTTAAAAATGCCAGAATGAGGCCAGACATGGTGGCTTATGCCTGTAATCCCAATATTTGGGGAGGCCAAGGCAGGAGGATCGCTTAAACCTAGGAGTTCAGGACCCACCTGGGCAACATGGCAAGACCCTCTCGCCATTCAACATCCTTTTTTTTTTTTTTTTGAGATAGAATCTTGATCTGTCACCTAGGCTGGAGTGCAGTGGTGCAATCTTGGCTCACTGCAACCTCTGCCTCCCGGGTTCAAGCGAGTCTCCTGCCTCAGCCTCCAAAGTAGCTAGGATTACAGGCACCCACCACCAAGCCTGGCTAATTTTTGTATTTTTAGCAGAGACAGAGTTTCACCATGTTGGCCAGGCTGGTCTCAAACTCCTGACCTCAGGTGATCTGCCCGCCTCAGCCTCCCAAAGTATTGGGATTACAGGTGTGAGCCACCACGCCTGGCCCATAAAATATTAAATTTTTAAAAACCACCAGAATTAACTCACTCTCAAGTTTCTCATCACAATAAACAAATTGTTAGAACTTTCATCCAGTTTAATCTCTATTTCCAAAAACCACAATAGACTTTCTAGCCTGTGTGTTCCTTCAGTTCATTTTACATTACCAATGTCTTTCATATTCAGACCACACAGGTTGCCAAATATTTTTTCTCTTTTTAAAAATAGATGTCAGCCAGAGAGGAGTGTAACTCTTCTTTGGCAACAGAGTTCTGAAGTTTCCTCTAAACCAACTGAATTCTTGACAAGATCACAAAAACAAGAATATAATGGAATCCAGGTGTTAGACTAATTATTAATTTAACCATAAATGAAGAAAAGAAAAATATTAATCTTTGATGCAAGTTGTTGTGTTATTACAGAATCCATCATAATGAAGTAATGACCCCACTGTGCTCAGAGGTTAACTGTACCAATGGTAGTGTATGGACCGAATGTTAATGAGTTGTGTGTATGGCATCAGGTAAGCTGGAGATGGCAGAGGAAGCTATTGTGATAGACAGATAATTACAATGGAAGTCATGTCTTGGGTAATGAGCAGGATTTACATCACACCTTTTCAGTCACAGCACAATTTCTTTAGCTCTGTTTATAGTAATCTGTGGGATTATTTGACAGCAAGGTGACATTTTGACTTTGGAACAATTTTTTCTCATAGAAAGCACAATTACCCACTGATATAGTGATATGCAATTAAACACAGCCATTTGGGGTAATTTACATTTTTTTAATGTACAAACAGTGAATATATTATTGTTCATTAGCACATGAGATTATTTAGTCCTTGTATATAGCCCTTTTGGTCTAAATGTCTTGGTCATATGCAAATTGATACATTCTGAAATTTTTAATTGCCTATTATTTAAATAAGAAGTTTCAATTTTCTAAATATAGGAGAACACTGGGAGCTAAAAGTAATATCTGTGATGGATCAGATCTTTATTGTATGCAGACACTGTGTTTCAAGGAACATTATTTGGCTCATATTCTATCTAAACCCATTTAACCAAAAAAATCTATATTATATAAGAATTTTATTATAGTGTAAAATTTAATATGCTGGAAATATGTATTAATTATTATGAGTCTAGTTCTTTTATTTCAACTCACTGAGATATCAATAATGCACCACACTGAGTATGCAAAAGAGGGAAACCTCTCTTTGTATTTTTCTAGGCTTTGCCAAGTTCAGGGGCAATCCTTTCCCTTGAGAGCATGTGTTTTGTGTGTGTGTGTGTGTGTGTGTGTGCACATGCATGCACATACATGCATTCATATTTGTCTACATTTAGCCCTCTTTCAATTAATTGCATGTAAAGTGGTAAAGTTTCACCCCACATTGGTTTCTCTTGCCATCTCTCAGAACCAACCTCATCTCTCCTTAAAGTGTATTCAGGAGAAATCAGTATATTTTAACTTTAGCCTAAACCAAACAGAATTTTATGGTGAAGTCTGAAATAAATTATTTATTATATGTCATAATCAAATAATTTAAGAATCAACAATTCACTTTCAAAATCACAGAAAATAAGAAATATATATATTCTGTGGTATATTAATAGGTAACATTTAAAATGCACAAAAAACATTGGGAAGTATTGTTCTGTTACATATTATGAACACATAATTAGTTAAGCACAACAAAAAACTCTAATTTCTTGGTGGGATACTATCTGATTGCCAGAGATTAGCAGAAATACTAAACCTCTGAAATACTTATCTATAATGTGTGATAATATAACTACCTAATGAAGCTTATTGTGCGAATATAATGAGACAAAGCAGGGGTCAGCAAACCAGGAACCACAAGCCAAATGTGACCCACCACTCATTTTTATACAGCCCACAAGATGAGAATGGTTTTTACATTTTTTAATGGTTGGAAAAAATCAGAAGAAAAACAGTATTTCATGATGTATAAAAATTATAACAAATTCAAATCTGAATCCATAAATAAAATGATATTGAAACCCAGCTACAGTCATTCATTTTTGCATTGTCTGTGGCCACTTTCACACTACAACAGCAGAGGTGAGCAGCTGCAATAGAGACTTTATGGCCCGCAAAACCTAAAATATTTACTATCTGGCCCTAAACAGAAAAAGGTTGAGATAAGCATGAAAACCACTTAGCATAATGCTTGGCATACAGTAGAGGCTCAATAAATGGTATTTATTTACATTAAATGTCCTTAATATATTCATATATAGTAAATGAACTAAAAATGATGGGTCTCCCAAGTGCTATAAATGACGCCAAAATGTAATATGGAGACCCAGCTCAATAAAACACCCAGGCCACTCAGGGCCCCTAACAGGGCTTTCCCCATCATCATTCTGCACCCCCACTACCCGCTGCAGGACTTGCTTCTACTTGCCATCTGCTCTGCAGAGAGGATGGAGAGGCACCTTCTGCATGCCTCATGGCTGTCTTCAATGCTATTTTAGATTACTGCTCAAAATTAATCACTCCCTCCCCCACCACTTCCTTGGGTGTCATGTACTTTGGAAATGGCCAGATGACTTGCTTTGGAATGGAATGTGAGCAGACATATCATGACCTATTAGAACTCTCGTTTTCAGCATATTCATTCTAGACCCCAAGTACACAGGAAGAAAAAGTTGTTCAAACTAGAAATAATTCCCTAATGAACTGGCCACCAACAAAATTAGTCCCCACTTCAAACTTCCCTTGCTGTTGGAGTAATTCCCTGCCCATCAGATCAGAAGCTTAATCTTCTCTCTTGATTATTCAGTGTTTCCAGCCTGATTAGACCCATGGTCTATCCTGCCAGCCAGATGTCTACTGCCCAAGCAGTTGTCAAGGTTACATTTTTAGGTCTACAAGAATGTTGAAATTGATTATTCACAAATGTAAAGCCTCAGTTAAATTTGTTCCTTCTGCCAGCCACATGGAAAGGAAACACTCTGGTGAAAACATAAAATGCAGTCAACTGAGGTTACAGCTAATTTTTGGCATGGAATCAACTTCTCAGATTTTCAGCTAGAATAGATTGCTTCCAAATTCACATGCTGAAAAGTAAAGAAAGAAAAAAATTGAGTTTACAGTCATTGCAGCAGTAAATGCTGTATGGACCACGTGGACATCCTCTCTTGAGGACACTACTTTCTCAGACTCTAGGTAACTTAAAAGGAAAAAAAATGAATGACTGTGTTATCATCATCTGTTAGCCCACTGAGGAGTTTGGCCAGGTAATATCTTCTAGGAGGAAACCACAAGCCATCACACTAAAGGGTTTTCTACAGGGTAGGGCATGAGGTACTCACCATTATTCTCTAAAAACAAAAAAGAAGAGGTAGGGAGGGGGCAGGAAATGTGTCAAAGGAGAAGAATCAGAGAATCCTGCTTAGAGGGGACACTGCCCCTGAAGATTTCACGCCACTAGAATTCTTGGCTCAATTACGTTAAAAAATTATTCATTCAAGCCAACAATGGCACATAAAAAAAATTATTCATATGCTTTCTACTAACACAATCTACCCTGATCAGACTTCCTTCATCCCTGGCTCAGTTTTAATAATGTTTTCAACGTTTTATGTAAATATTAAAAGCCAATTCAAGTTCTATTTTAAAGATATCTCAGTGAGGGGTAGACGGGAGCAGGATCTGCTTCTTTGCCAAGGGCACTTTGGTTGCTATTTTCTATTTACATGAAAGGGTATATTTCCATGTCTTTAGCGGTTAGACAGGCATAAATGAATAAATTAGCATTTGCCTACATTTAAATGTTATAACCTAAACTGCTGGGCAGCTGACTCTAATTGATTTATTATTGCTCACAGTTATTGTCTGCCAACTAAAGCCAAATGTTAAGGTAAAAGACAAGCTACTAACCAAAAAAGTGATACCTCAGTGTCCTGGGTTTTAGGCTCAGAACTCTTCCTGTGAGCCATTAGGGATCAGGTGATACTGATTTTCTCTTGCTGCATGCTCTAGTAAGTCTCTTTGGCATGCACAGTCTATTCTCAGTCATCTACTTGAGGCTTTGGGCTTCTACAGGACATGAAATTGGGTTTTAACTCTAGTTTACCTCATTATCCAAAGGCCAGATACAGCCAAGTGTACTTAACTATTACCCAGAAGTCTCAGTGACTCCTATAAGAATAAAAGCCATGATACTCACATTGTCCCTTCCACCTATGAGCAGCTACCCTGGTGGCTTAAATACTGATGTGCTTTGGTAGACATTGCCCATCCTCATCGATACACAGATTTATCTTCTCACTCACTGGGCATTCAGAAGATTACAGCTCCCAGCCCTTTTGCAGTTAGAAGGGGACATCTGACTGGTTCTGGCCAATAAAATGAGAGAAATGACTTGTGTCACTTGTGGGCTGAGGCAATGACAAACTCCTGTGCAATTACTCAGCCTCTCTCCAGTTTCTCTTTTGCACTGATGGAGCAAGATGGTGGAGCTGCTGTCAGGCTGATCCCTGAGTGACTGACTGGGCAGAGCTCCATCACGACCACTCTACCCCACATTCCCCGCCTGCCATCTGCCCACTCACACTGGATGTGCAGCTGGAACAGAAAAAGAAAGCTTTACGGGATAGGCCACTGAGAAGTGAAGGCTAATATGTTACTGCAGCCCTAACATGTATTGGTTGTCACAATTACATGATGTATATCTCCAAGGAATTACTTCCGCCTGACTCCTACATCAACGTGTCTCATGATTCTCATGGGAAAAGCGACCTTCACTTATTCCCTCAAACTCAAGGCTTCAGCTTGACTTTAAAGGAGAGATAGGATTTGGAAGGTGAAGAAAGTGGAGAGATCATGACACACCAGAGAAACAGGTTGTTACTGTGACCATTCTAGGACATTGTATGATTTAATAAACACATTCCTTTGATAAAAATTGTTGATGAAAACCAAAGATGCTCAATTTCAGCTCCATCCTCCCTTAGTACGTAGGGGAGTGGACAACCACAACCCCAGGCCAAGACTCTCTATGAATTTACTAATTGGAAAGTGTTTCTCCCTTTCCACACTTAACTACATCAAGCCAGCTTCTTCAGTATTTGTGTGAATGCATAGTCCCCAGACAGGGACTTGGGCTATTCCAAAAGATCCATCTCCTACTTAAATTGACGTATTCCTATGCCCCCACCAGAAAATCTCTGACAGTTTTGGAACGGAACAGAACCAGACACTGTGGCCATGTCTATAGTCCCAGCTACTCAGGAAGCTGAGGTTGGAGGATCGCTTGAGCTCAGGAATCTGGAGCTGTCATGCTCTATGATCGTGCCTGTAAATAGTCACTGCACTCCAGCCTGGGCAACATAGTGATACCCTGTCTTTTAAAGAAAAAAAAAGTGGAACAGAAAAATGTCAAGGCTCACAGCTTCAATAGTAGTTGTTTATGTGTTCATGTATGTATGCCAGGAGTGGAAGGGTAATGTGTTTTGGGGATGTGTGTGTGTGCACCTTATAGTATGTATTTATATAGTAAGTGTGTGTGAGCGTATGTGTTATGAGAAACATCACTGTCATACTTACCACTATCCTAAGAAAGGCAATAGTAAGAAAAACAACACAATTTCTATATTTCCTTAGGGAAAAAAATTATTCAATACAATATTGTTTTAAGTGGAAAAACATATATTAGATAGAAAAATAAAATTATAGTACAATGAAATACAACATTTTTTAGCACTTAGTAAGTATCTTCCCAACACTGTATGCTATGGCCTAATGTTTGTGTCTGCCCCTGGCAAAATTCTCTTTTTTTTTTTTTTTTTTTTGTGTGTGTGTGTGTGTAGACAGAGTCTTGCTCTGCCACCCAGGCTGGAGTACAGGGGCGCGATCTCTGATTACTGCAACCTCCGCCTCCTGAGTTCAAGAGATTCTCCTGCCTCAACCTCCCAAGTAGCTGGGGCTACAGGCGTGTGCCACCACACCTGGCTAAGTTTTGTATTTTTAGTAGAGACAGGGTTTCACCATGTTGGCCAGGCTGGTCTCAAACTCCTGCCCTCAGGTGATCCGCCCACCTGGGCCTCCCAAAAATGCTGAGATTACAGGCGTAAGCCACCGTGCCTGGCCACCCTTGCAAAATTCTTGTATTGCAACCTAATTACCAATGTGATGGTAATTGGAGGTGGGCCTTTGGAAAGTGGTTAGGATGTGAAGGCAGAGCCCTCATGAATAGGATTGGTCCCATTATAAGAAGAGACTCTAGAGAGATGCTTTGCCCCTTCTACCACATGAGGACACAGCAAGAATGTGCCATTCTATAAACCAGGAAGTAGGTCCTCACCAGACACCAAATCTGTCAGCACCTTGATCTTAGACTTCCCAGCCTCCAGGACAGTGAAAAATAAAATTCTGTTGTTTATAAGCTACCTTGTCTATGATATTTTGTTATAACAGCCCAAACAGACCAAGACACCATTCTAAGTACCTTGTGTGTATTAGCTCATGTATTCCTGATAACAACCATGTGAGGCAGGAACTATTATCCTTATTTTATAAATAAGGAAAATGAGGCACAGAGTGGTTAAATAAGTTAGTTACCCAAGATCTCATAGTTTGCAAATGGTCGAGACAGGATTTAAATGTAGCAGTCTGACTTCAAAGCCCATGCAGGTGTAGGGATTGATACATACATAATACTCTGAGTTTGATTGATACGTACAAACAATTGAGTTTCCTTTTGGCAGCATCATAAGTCTGGAAATCATCCTACGTGGGCTGTGGCCAAATTCTTTTCACCAGGCAAAGCTTAAGTCCTCCTACTCACCAATGCCTTCTGCTATTTCTATTATGTGTTGAGCACTTTGGAGAAAAAATATATATTTTTTACAATTATTAGGCCCTTTATTTTTATTATAAAAATATTCAAACATCCCAAAAGTAGAGAGAATAAAATAATGAACTCCACATACTCATCATCATCCACCTGTTCGCAATCCAGTCACCCCTCTCAAATTCCCCCATCCTACCCACATTCTGTCTCTGTCCCCACCATGCCATTGAAACTCATCAAGGATTCCCATTGACCTCTTGAATCACAATCCAATGGATTCTTTCCAGCCTTTTTTCAACATCCTTCTTCTGATCTGTCTGAATCTCCTGCCACTCTTGAAGAGACACTCATCATATTAGTGTGATAGCTACCACTCTTTGAGAACTGTGTACCAAGCAGAGTGCTGAGCACTTTTTATACATTATCTCATTTAATTATCAAAACAGTGCTGAAGTAGGTACTGTTATGATCCCCATTTTCAAAATGAGGAAACAGACTGAGGCATAGAGAGGATAAGGACATTTGTCATAGGTCATACAATTAGGTAGACCCTGGGCTGGAAATGAGGTCTGTCTGACTCTGAAGCTCATACTATTCACCACTACACCATATGTTGAGTCTCTCTCTCTCATCCATGGCTTTCCATGCATCACTCTCTCCTAGAGTCATTTGGATCTCTCTCACTCCCCTTCCCCATCCCTTTTTTAATCTCATCTTCTTATGTCCATATGCTAATGTGCCCAGTAGTACTGCCCTCCAGGCTCCTCTTTCTTATATTCACTCCATCTGTGTGACCCTGTCCATACCAAGGACTTCAATTGCCACCATATGCCAATGACCTCTAATCTAGAATTCCAGCTCCAATCTCTTACAAAGGTTTCAGTTCCAGCATTCCCCCTATCTACTGGATATCACCGCTTCACTGACCCATAGGAGCCTCCACTTCAGCATGTCCATTTATCATCTTACCTTGGAAATTTACTTTTCCCCCTCAAGTGTTGTTGGTTTAGAGAAATTATATCACACAGTTATCCACCAAGCCCTATCGAACCTCTCTTCAAAACTTTTCTCAAGTCTGTCCTCTTCTCTCTATCCTTGTTAGTTTAATCCTACATCATTTTTCCTTAGATTATGGCAAATCCTTGATTATTGCCACATCATATCTTCCAATCCATTCTCCAAACATTTTTCAGATTGATTTTTAATGTAGATCTTATCACATTACCTGCCTGCCTAAAATATTTCAAAACTTCCTATTAGGCTTCCAGATAAAATCTATATTCCTTATGATGGTATACAAGGCCGTCTCTGGTCTAGTCTGGTCCCATAACACCTGTCAGAGTAGTACCTTACCACTACCTATTTGTGCTCAATTCTCTAGCCTGTTGTATCTCTCCAAAATTCTTCTTCGGTCCTATAATCTTTCATATTTTCATGTCCTTCTACGTAATGTCTAGATTGTTCTTCCAACCATTCCCTTTCCTGCCTCCTGCCACCATACATCAACAAAAGTTTACATATTATCTACCTGGCCAGTTACAGCTCATATTTCAAGATCCACCTAAGGGTTACCTTCAAGGACCTTCTCTGACCTCCCTCTCTTATCCCTAGTTCAGGTGTTGGGCCCCTCCTTGATGCTCCCATACCACTTAGACTTCTGAGGCAGATACTGTAAGTTGCCTACTCAAAATCCTTTCTGCTGTCTTTCTTACTATTAGTACTCCAATTCTGTTCAGTGTCTGATGTGTCCAGTTAAAAATACTCATCTCTTGGCCGGGTGCAGTGGCTCATTCCTGTAATCCCAGAACTTTGGAAAGGTGAAGCAGGGGGATCACTTGAGGCCAGGAGTTCAAGAACAGCCTGGGCAACATAGCAAGACCTAGTCTTTTAAAAATCTAAATATTAGCTGGGTGTGGTGGCACATACTTGTAGTCCCAGCTACTCAAGGGACAGGCAGGAGGATTGCTTGAGCTCAGGAGTTTGAGGTTATAGTGAGCTATGATCATGCCACTGCACTCCAGTCTAGGTAACAGAGTGAGACTCTGTCCCTAAATATTTAGAGACTCTGTCTCTAAAAATTAATTAATTAATTAAAAAATTATCTGAGCATGATGGTGCATACTTTTAGTCCCAACTTGGGAGGCTGAGGTGGGAGGATCACTTGAGCCCAAGAGTTTGAGGTTGCAGCAACCTAGAGTAGTGTCACTGCACTCCAGCCTGGGCAAGGGAGCAAGACACTGTCTCAAAAAATAAAAATAATTCATCTTCCAGACTCCCTTAAGCCAGGAGTGACCACGTGAGCTACTACACTCAATGATATGTAAGCAGAATCCTGTTGGATGGGCTTCCAAGAAAGCTATGCTTTTCCTAATAAAAACAGACTCAGCTGGCACATGTCCTCTGCCTGTCTTCCCTGTCTTCCTGCCTAGAACACAATCAGACCAACTATGAAGATGAAAGCCAGACACTAAGGATGGAAGAGCAGGAAGCTGGATGGAGCCTGGTACTGGATGACTTCCTTGAGTGCCAAACTTCCTCGCTCTGAACTTCTTTTTACATGAGAAAAATAGGTTTATTTTTAAACCACTGGGTTAAGCCTCTACTGTAGGGTTTCTGTTGCATGTATCCCAATTCTAACTGATAAACTCTCTCTATTTCCTTATCACTTATCACACTATATTCTTTGTAATTGCCTAGTGTCTGAGTTCATTAAATAGGGTCCATGACCACACGGGCTGTTTTATGACTCTCTACTTCGTCCTCATCTCACAGCCTCTTAGCTCACTTTTTAGTCCAGCCTTGGCCAAGGCAAGCACCAGGTGAAAACTGACAGCACATTATCTCAGCTGCACCACTGTCTCTTGCTTTCTACTATGGGCAATCTGCCTTTGCTTGGAGACACTCAGCCATTCTGCTTCTTGCATAACTTGGAAGTTGAGGGAGTTAACACTCCCAAGGGCAATCCTTATTCAGTAGATTGAATACCGCCACTTCCATGTCTCAAGGGGGCAGTTCTGAGGGGCATCCTACACAGCTTCTCAGAGGCCCCATGGAATTGAATTCCAGGTGCCCACAGTGGTAAACCAGCTCATAACACTTTCCTATATTATTTCCAAATCCCACTCCTGCTTATTTCCCAAAGCTCCCTACCAGTGAGATCTTGTCAGGCTCTGCTCTTGGGGTGAACCCTGGCTACGACAGTTGTGACTTCATATCTCATCAGCACTTAGGGTGGTACCCAATGATAAATACTGAATGAATAAACTTCTTCAATTATATCCCTTTGGGAGAACTGCTTTTTATTTCATTAACGCTTATAATCTGAGCAGATTCTGGGAAGATGATGAAGTAGGAAGCACCAGGAGTCTGTCTCTTCATTTGAACAACACTGCAGTGGTAGAATTTGTCTGGTGGAACTATTTAGAACTCTAGAGTCTATTGAAGGCCTGTGACTTCCTGTTCTTTTTTTTGGGAGTGAGACACTGAAAACTAGGACATTCAAAACAACTGCATAAAAGACTTGGAACCAACCCAAATGTCCATCAATGATAGGATGGATAAAGAAAATGTGGCACATATACACCATGGAATTCTATGCAGCTATAAAAAAAAGGATGAGTTCAGGTCCTTTGCAGGGATATGGATGAAGCTGGAAACCATCATTCTCAGCAAACTAACACAGGAACAGAAAACCAAACACTACATGTTCTCACTCATAAATAGGAGTTGAACAATGAGAACACATGGACACAGGGAGGGGAACATCACACACTGGGGCCTGCTGGGGGGTGCAGGGCTAGAGGAGGGATACCATTAGAAGAAATATCTAATGTAGATGATGGGTTGATGGGTGCAGCAAACCACCATGGCATGTGAATACCTACGTAACAAACCTGCACATTCTGCACATGTATCCCAGAACTTAAAGTATAATAAAAATAAAATAAAAATAAAAACTGCACATATGGGAAAAGTTGGCAAGTAACCACACATAACCGGGGAAAGTCACAGGCTCAGAAAAGAGCTGAAAGGCCTTAAGTTTACATCTCAGGCTGATCCTTGGCACAACAATCAAAATAATAAAGAATCAGAGAAAACAGCAAACCCTAGGAAGAGGGAAAATCTAATTTCAAAAGTTACCATATTATGAAATGCAAATATTTCAAAAAACTCACAAAGCATACAAAAAAACAGAAAAGTATGGCTCATTTAAAGAAAAAAATAACAAATCAACAGAAACCATTTCTGAAAAAGACCTGGTGGCAGATCTACTAGAGAAAAACTTTAAACAACTGTCTTAAATATGCTCAAAGAACTAAATAAGGACATGGAGAAAGTTAAGAAAATTACATATGAACAAAATGGGAATATTAATAAAGAGATAGAAGATACAAAAAGAAACAAAATTCTGAAGCTGAAAATTATAATAACTGAAATGAAAATTCAGTTGATTGAAAAAATGTTCATTCATTCAATATTCATCTTTGAACAAATATTTATTCAAAACTGGGTACTAACCTAGTGTCAGTGAGATATGAAGTCACAGCTATCTTAGCCCGGGTTCCCCCCAAAAGCACATATGAACAAGCAACAGAAAGAACCAGCAAACTTGAAGATAGGATGATAGAAATTAGCAAGTCTGAGAAAGAGAAAGAAAAAAGATTAAAGAAAAGTGAAAAGAGAGCCTAGGGGACCTTGGGACACTATCAAGTGGAACAAACTATGCATTGTAAAAATTCCAGAAGGAAGAGAGAGAGAGAGAAAACAAAAGGACAGAGACAATATTTCAATAATGGCTGAAAACTTCCCAAATTTGATGAAAGACATAAATATAGACATCCAAGAAGCTCAGCAAACTCCAAGTAAGATGAACTCAAAGACAGCCACACCAAGACACATAACCAATGTGTCAAAATTCAAAGATGAAGAGAGAATTTTGAAAGCAGTAAGACAGAAGAGAAGTGACTTGTCACATACAAGGGGTCCTCAATAAGATTACCAGAAGATTTCTCATCAGAAACTTTTGAAAATAGAAGAGTGGCTTAATATATTCAAAGTGCTAAAAGAAAAAAACTGTCAGCCAAGAATCCTATATCTGCCAAAACTGTCCTTCAAAAGTGATGAAGAAATTAAGGCGTTCCCAGATAAACAAAAGCTGAGGGGGGTTTTTACCACTATACCTGCCCCGCAATAAATGTTTCAGGAAGTCCTGCAGAGTTAAATGAAAGGACACTAGACATTAACTTGAAGCAATACAAAGAAATAAAGATCTTAGCAGAGTGTGGTGGCCCACACCTGTAATCCCAACACTTTGGGACATCATGGCAGAAGGATTGCTTGAGCTCAGGAGTTCAAGACCATCCTAAGCAAGATAGCAAGACCCAGTCTGCACAATAAAATGTTTAAAAATTAGCAAGGTGTGGTTGTGCATACCCGTAGTTCCACTACTCGAGAGACTGAGGCAGGAAGAATGCTTGAGTCCAGAAGTTTGAGGAGGCAGTGAGCTGTGATTGTGCCACTACACTCCAGCCTGGGTGACAGAGCAAAACCCCATCTCTAACCTAAATAAATAAAGATTTAATAGGCATTATAAGAGCTAGTATTATTGTAATGGTATAACTCCATTTTTTTATTTTCTGATTTAAGAGACTAATATATTAAGAAAACATATTAGTCTCGAAGCTAGTATTATTGTAACTTTGGTGTAACTCCATAATTTATTTTTTACATAAAAGGATAATTTATTTAATATAATAATTAAATTATTAATAAAATATTAATATTAAACTTAAAAATAGCATGTTTTGGAGTACAATGTATAAAACATAATTTTTTGACATCAACAACTAAAAGGGATGATGACAGAGCTGTTAAAGGAGCAGACTTATGTTATTTAAATTAATGTAGTATAAATTCATACTAGACTATTATAACTTTAGCATGTTAAATGTAATTTCCATGGTAACTACAAAGAAAATAGCTACAGAATACATACAAAAGGAAATAAGAGAGAAATTTAAACATTTTACTACCAAAAAAAAAATTTTAAGACAGTAGTGCAGGAACTGAAAGACAAAAAAAGCTATACACCATTCAGGAAACAAAGAGCAATATGACAGAAGTCCCTCCTTATCAGTAATTACTTTAATTGCAAGTAGATTAAATTTTCTAATCAAAAGACAGAGATTGGCAGAAAGATTTTAAAAACATGAACTAACTATATGTTCTCTACAAGAGAGACTCAATTTAGACTCACAGGCACACACAGATTGAAAGTGAAAGAGTTAAAAAAGATATTCCACGTAAATCATAACCAAAAGAGAGCAGGGGCGGCTATGCTAATATCAGATAAAACAGACTTTAAATAAAAAAAAAAAAAAAAGGTTAAAAAAGACAAAGAAGGACATTGTGTATTAATAAAAGAGTCAACACAGTAAGAAGACATAACACTTTTATAAACATGACAGACCATCAAAAATATATGAAGCAAAAACAGAATTGAAGAGAGAATTAATTCTACAGTAATAGTTAGTGATTTCAATAGCCTCTTCTCTATAAAGGACAGAACAACCAAACAGAAAATAAGGAAATAGAGGACTTAACACAAAATATCAACTAGATTTAACAGACATATACAGAACACTATACCCAACAATAACAGCAAATGCTTTCTTCTCCAGTGTACATGAAATATTTTCACCAAGATAGACCATATGTTAGGCCACAAATTAAGTCTCAATGTGTTTGAAAATATAGATAATATACAAAATATTGATGGCAGCAGCAGCCCATCTGGAGCAGCCACTGCCGTCATGCCAGCTGCAGTGGGGAGGTACAGCTGGGGCTGCATGCTCCATGGAGACAGCAGGAGCCAAGGACAAGCAGGAGCCCCACCTTTTCTGAGTTGGGATGGGAGCTCCCCAGGTGCTGCTGCAGCCACCCAAGCCACAGCTGAATACCTGGGCATCCCTGTGCTCTCAGAGCCTGGGAGCAAGTGGGAACCACACCTCACCCCACAGCTCCAGCCACCCAAACCATGGAGCAGGCAGGAGCTCTGCACACACACCCACACCAGGCACAGCTGCAGCTGCCCAAACTGTGGCTGCAGATTCAGGCATTCCTGCACTCTTGGAAGCCCAGGAAGGCCCCCCTGCCCTCACAGGCTCAGAAGTGCCTGCTCCCACTGCCTGGCTTCCCCCTGCTGTTGGCACCTGCTCCAATCTCAAAGCAAAGTCAGGGCCAAGCCCAGATGCTGTCATGGCCCAGCTGAGTTTGCACACACTCAGGGCAGTGCTGACACACCAGCCCCCTGACATCCCAGCCCCCTCCAAACAAGCATAGGAGGGAAGCCAAAGGGAGGCTGAAGGCAGCTCAGTGCTGGTCTGAAGGCACCCCTTAGCACCTACAGCCTGGGTGCCATCAATGGCAGCAAGAGGCAGGCAAGTTCCTGAGTGGAAGGGGACAGGTCCCCAGTGAGCCCCACCTTCAGGCCAAGGAGGACCTAAAGGCTGGGGGCTGGGCTGCCAGTCCCAGGGACCAGAGATGGAACTTGTGGTGCCTTTTCCGGGCCTGTCCATGACCACCCATGGACCAGTTGGCAAGCACTTCCTCCCCTCTGAGCCCCATAAAAGCCCCAGGCTCAGCCAGAACAGACATCAGGAGGACCAGCTTCAGAGTGGAGCTACCCACTCCAGGGTCTCCTGTCTGCTGAGAGCTGCAGAGACATTGGGACCACCAGCTGCAGAGAGAAGCTACCCACTCCAGGGCCTCCTCTCTGCTGAGAGCTGCAGAGACATTGGGACAACCAGCTGCAGAAACATTGGGACAACCAGCTGCAGAGAGGTGCTACCCACTCCAGGGCCTCCTCTCTGCTGAAAGCTGGGAAGACATCAGAATGACCTGCCTGCAGAGAGGAGCTTCCCACTCCAGGGTCTCCTCTCTGCTAGGAGCAGAACATTCATCAGGGCACCCTGGTTACGGAAAGGAGCTGCCCCTGAAGATTTCCTCTGATCTGTTATATCACTCAGTAAATCTCCTCTTTGTCTTGCTCACCCTCCACTTGTCTGCGTACTTCATTCTTCCTGGGCACAAGTCCAAATGGCAAGGCTAAAAGAGCTGTAACACAAACAGGGCTGAGACATACCCCCTTGCTTGCGACATTGTGAGAGAAGAGAAGGAAAGAAGAGCTATGGCTCTTCAGTTAGCCCAGACCTGGGAACTCCCCAAGCCAGGACTGTGACTCCCTCTTTGGGGACCTGCAGTTCCTGGCATCTCCAAGCCTCCAGGCATCACCATGTTTCCCCATTCCAGCCTTGGAAGCTGCTTGTGGTGTGCCTGGTCCAGCTGCAGCCTTGCAGAGGGCCAGCACCTGTGACAGCACCTGGAGCTGCCCACCCCATTGCAGCAACCAGCATGTCTGACTATGCAGTGGCCAGACCCCATGCTCACTCACACACCCCTGGCCATTCCATGTCTGATTCACCCTTGGCAGGCATGGGACCCAGGCCAGTAGGTCAAGTGCAGCCTGCCAAGGTGAGTTGGTGAAACAGCCTAGCCACAGAGGTTTCTAGCCAGAAAAACAACACCCTGAAGATCCTGTAACTGCATATTATCTGAGCACTTGGGACAAAGATCCTGTCTCTAAAAACAAAATTTTTTTTTAATTAGCCAGTCATGGTGGTACATGCCTTTAGATCCAGCTACTCAGGAGGCTGAGGTGGGAGGATTGCTTGAGCCAAGGAGTTCAAGGCTACAGTGAGCTAGGATAACACCACTGCACTCCAGCCTGGGTGACAGAGTGAGACCCTGTATCTTTACAATTAATTAAATAAAAATAAATGAGAAAGAAAAAAGAACAAAAGACCACCATCTCTTATGAACATTGATGCAAAAATCTTCAACAAAATACTAGCGAACCAAATCTTGCAGCACATTAAAAGCATTTTACACAATCATCAAGTGGGATTTATTCCTGGAATGCAAGGATGGTTCAACGTATTAGAATCCACCACTCTAATAAACAACATTAACAGAATGAAGGGGAGGGAACCACATGATCTTTTCAATTGGTGCAGAAAAGGCATATGACAAAATTCAATACCCTTTCATGATAGAAAACACTCAACAAACTGGGAATAGAAGGAAACCACCTTAACATAATAGAAGGCATTATGAAAAACCCAGAGCAAATATCATATTCAATGGTAAAACAATAAAAGCTTTTCTTCTAATATCAAGAACAGAGCAAGAATGCCCACTTTTGCCACTTGAATTCAACATAAAACTGGACATTCTACGCAGAACAATTAGGCAAGAAAAAGAAAAGACATCTAAACTGGAAAGGAAGAAGTAAAATTATCTCTGTTTACAGATGATATAATTTTATATATAGAAAACCCTCAGGATTCTAACAAAAGAAACTATTAGAACTAATAATGGAATTCAGCAAAGTAGCAGGATACAAAGTTAGCACATAAAAATCAGCTGCATTTCTACATACTAACAATAAACAATCTAAAAGGGAAATTATGAAAATTCAACTTACAATAGCATTAAAAAGAATAAAACACTTAGGAACTAACCTAAATAAAGAAGTAAAATATTTTACAATGAAAATTATGAATCACTGATGAAATTAAAGAAGACTTAAACAAATGGAAATGCATCCTATGTTCATGGATTGGAAGACAATATGGCTAAGACATCAATACTACCCAAAGTGATCTGCAGATTCAATGCAAAAACTACCAAAATCCAAATGGCATTTTTTGCAGAAATAGAAAAACCCATCCTAAAATTCATATAGAATCTCAAGGACCCAAAATAGCCAAAACAACCTGAAAAAAAGAACAAAGCTGGAGGACTCACATTTCCTGAATTTAAAACTTACCACAAAGCTATAATAATTAAAATACTGTGGTAGTGGCATAAAGCCAGACATATATACCAATGGAATAGAATTAAGAGCCCAGAAATGAACCCTGCTATATATATATGGTCAAATGATTTTTGACAAGAATGCCAAGACTATTCAGTGGGGAAAAGACAGTCTTTTCAACAAATAATCCTGGGAAAATGGGATATTCACTTGCAAAAGAATAAAACTGGATCCTTATCTAATCCATATTCAAACATTAAATCAAAATTGATCAGAGGCCAGGCACAGTGGCTCATGCCTGTAATCCCAGCACTTTGGGAGGCCAAGGCAGAGGATCGCTTGAAGCCAAGAATTTGAGAACAGCCTGGGTAATATAGCAAGACCTTCATCTCTATGATAAGTTTAAAAACAAAAATGAAACAATTTTTAAAATGTTTTAATGGATCAAAAGCCTAAACATAAGACTTAAAACAATAAAACCCTTAGAAGAAAACACAGGGCAAAAGCTTCACAACATTGGATTTGACAGTCATTTCTCAGATTTGACATCAAAGGCACAGACAACAAAAGAAAATATAGACAAATTGTACTTCCTAAACAATGTTTACATTTTGTACATCAAAAGATACTATCAACAAAGTAAAAACACAACCCACAAAATGAAAGAAAATATCATATCTGATAAGGGATTAATGTGCAGCATACATAGAGAACTTCTAAAACTCAACAACAAGAAGACAACCTGATTCAAAATGGGCAAAAGTCTTAAGGTGACTCACCTTCTTTGCGGGATGCCTGGGAGTTGCCATCTGCTCATCCCCATTGGCCTTAAAAAGCCAGTGGACCAAAAGGTGGCAGTCTTTTTTTTCTACAAACAGGAATTGGAAGCAGTGGCTGGCAGGCCAGTGCGATCTCTGGTTCCTGTCTATTTATGAGCCTACTCTCTATGAGTCCTGTGGTGGCCTCAGAGCTGGCAGAAGCACACTGGGTTTGTCCCTGCCTCCCTCCAACTATGAGTTGGGCCATACTAAACTGCCCACCATATTGAAAAAAAAAAGTTTTAATGGGCAAAAGATTTGAACAGACATTTCTTTAAAGAAAATACACAAATAGCCAATAAGCACATGAAAAGATGTTCAACATTACTAATCACTGGGGAAATGCAAATCAAAACAATGAGATATCACCTCACACCCATTAAGAGGGCTACTGCCAAAAGAACAGAACAGAACAGAAGTGTTGGAGAGGGTGTGGAGAAATTGGGACCCTTGTGTACTGTTGGTGAAAATGTAAAATGTTACAGCCGCTGTGAAAAACAGTATGACAGTTCCTCAAAAATTTAAAAATTGGATTAACTTATGATCCAGGAATTCTATTTCTGTACCCAAAAAAAGCTGAAAGCAGGGCCTCAAAGGATATTTGTATACCCATGTTGGTAGCAGCATTTTTGAGCTAAACCATGAAAGCAACCCATGGTCCATCAATGGATGAATGGATAAGCTAAATGTGGTATATCTGTACAATGAAATATATTTCACCTTAAAAGGGAAGGAAATTCTGATGTCGGCTACAATATAGATGAATCTTGAGAACATTATGTGAAGTGAAATAAGCCAGTCTCTAGCAGACGAGTACTGTATGATTCCACTTATATGAGGTATTTAGAGCAGTTCAAAATTATAGAGTCAGACAGTAGAATAGCGGGTGCCAGCAGCTGGGGAAAAGGGAATATGGGGAATTATTGTTTAATGGATACAGAGTTTCAATTTTACAAGATGAAACATGTTATGGAGATGAATGATGGTGATGATTGCACAACACTATGAATGCATTTAAAAATACTGAACTGTGTACTTAAAAATAGTCACGATGACAAATTTTTTGTTTCATGTATTTTACCACAATTTATCAAATGGGGAAACACTTTATAATCATTTGAAAGGATAGGAGTGCTCATAGGGGTGAAGTTTAGAAGCTACTAACTACAACATAAAATACTAATAACAGAGGAAAAAGAAAATCATTAACAGCAGCATCTAACCAGATTTCAACCAATGGGGTTTCATAATTCGTTATGTTCAACTAAATAGGGATCCCTGAACTGTCAATATAAAATTTATTGTCCTAAATGCAATTACACTGTAAGCACTGTTAAACCTTGGGATATTGATTATTTGAACATTTAGACAAATAAAAGTATTAAAATATTATAAAAATTAAAAGACTCAGTTAAGAAATCATAACATCTATGAATATACAATCATGTTTTCCCTGAAGATATGACTTCAGTCCCAAAATAAATTTTCAAATATAAAACAGCTATAATAATGTTTCAACCAATAACTTTATATTACCATAAAATTGGAAGAGAAGTAACTAGTTTTTAGGATAATAAGAAAATGTTAGTAATAAAGCATTATTAGGAAATATGCAGCAACATTCTGTTACCATGGGCTTTGTTTTTAGATCCATGATTTGATAAAAATTCATATGTCCCTTTCTATTTATTTTAAAAGAGATAAAAACCTACCACAGTAAAATGCCTCTAGGTCTATGCCTAGCGCCTTAGAAATAAAAATTTATTATCAAAGGATGGCTAAAGCCTCAGCTCATCCAAAGAGCTCCTCCTACTGTTCCAAAATATAAAATGAGTCTGAAGAGAGGAACTTTAACTGAAGAACCAGAGCATGACAAAATCAAGGCATAGGAACCAGAAGAGTTAAAGCCCCTGAGTCAGGGCTGAGATTCTGATTCTTAAACAGAAGGAGCTAAAAGTCAAACCCTGACAGAGACAAAGCTTCTAAGTTCATTCTCAGGGCTTTCCCTTCCCTTAAGCTGCTTTGTCTAAAAACTGTGCTCACCTGCAAATTTGCAGGGGCTTTTTGGTAATATCTGAACTCAAAGAAATGCAGCTCTAACAAGAAAATACCAAGCACGTGACAGAGTGTGGGAGAGAATTTTTGAACAAAGCACCTCTTCCCATTATCCCCAAACACTCCAAGGCCAGTGTCTACTCTGCACACAAATCATCTTGAAGGAAGTGAAAGATATATTCAGGTATAAAACAATTATTTTTTAAAAACAAGTTGTTAGTAATAAGTTTCTAACAACTTAGAATTAATGTATCAATGTCTGATTAATTCAAATTCTTAGTCTCTGACATTTTTGGCAAATGGGTAGTAGAGTTTGTTTTTCAGTCTATGGGCATGAGAGCCAATGCCTGAACCACAAAGAGAAAACAGTAAATGTGTTAAATAATAAAGGTTGGAAGGTTATACACCAAACTTAACACATGAAAAGATGAAAAGCTGGCGATGAAATAAGGTGTTTTTCTTTCTACTTGATATAATTCTATATTAGTTGAATTTTTTATAATAAGCATGTTTTTATGTAAAACTTCTGAAATTTTATTTTTCAAAGAGTCATCTAAAATAATAATATTATCTGCAACATACTTACCCATCTAGGTAATAATCCATGCTCTCTATTTGGTCACTTTGTTCAGTCATCCCACAGACTAGCTCCTTTGGGGCACCAGTCCCCAGAGCAGGCACTGCAGAGGCTACAAAGACAATCCTTGTAATAGCAAACATTTATGGAGTGCTATGTGGCAGGCACTGCCTCAAGAACTTATCAGAGCTATCTCATTTAATCCTCACCCAATTATGTCAGACCCACTCCTCAAATGAGGAAACGAGGCACAGAGCAGTTAAGTAAATTGCTCAAGACCTCAGCTGACACCGATGGAACAAGTTGTTTGGCTTCAAGCTGCATCTTTAATCAGTATGCTATTTTTCATCCCTGAAGGTGAAAACCCTTCCCAATCTCTGAAGGTTTACAGTCTAGTTGGAGAGAAATGTAGAAACCAATCACATATCATAGATGGTATGATAAAGGCACACACAAAGAAAAAAGAAGAAAGCTTGATTGAGTGTGGGTGGGAAGGGTGAGGAGTGTCAAGGAACATTTCCAAGAGGAAGCCCCCAGCAAAGCCAAGAGCTGGTCTCCTCACAAGAGCTGAGGGAGGGGAGGGTAATGAACATCTACTCCACACCTGCCACTTACCAGGTGCTTGGCGAGTGTATTAGTCTGTTTTCACGCTGCTAATAAAGACATACCCAAGACTCAGCAATCTACAAAAGAAAGAAGTTTAATGTATTCATAGGTCCACGTGGCTGGGGAGGCCTCACAATCATGGCAGAAGGTGAAAGGCACATCTCACATGGTGGCAGACAAGAGAAGAAAGTTTGTGCAGGGAAATCCCCTTTATAAAACCATCAGCTCTCGTGAGACTTATTCACCATCATGAGAATAGCACAGGAAAGACCCACCCCCACGATTCAAATACCTCCCACTGGGTCCCTCCCACAACATGTGGTAATTATGAGAGTTACAATTCAAGATGAGATTCGGGAGAGGACACACCCAAACCATATCAGTAAGTGTTAACACAGATCATCTCATTCTAGCCCCATAATACGCCCTATGAACTATGTGTTGTCTCTCTTTTACTGATCAAGAGACTAATCCCCTAAAAATAAAATAACTTGTCTAAAACTGAACAATTATTAAGTGCCAGAGCCAAGAACGAACTTTTGTCTAGCTCAGAAGCCCATGCTCTTTCCTCTCCCACCTCCCCCCACTATACACACACACACACACAAGCACACACACACATGCGCACACACACACACAGAGTAGGAGGAGAAGAGGAAGGAATAGCAAAAAGACATTAAAAACATCCTGTAAAAGGCTGGGCGCAGTGGCACACGCCTGTAATCCCAGCACTTTGGGAGGCCGAGGCAGGCAGATCACGAGGTCAGGAGATCGAGACCATCCTGGCTAACACAGTGAAACCCCCGTCTCTACTAAAAATACAAAAAATTAGCCGGGCGTGGTAGCAGGCACCTGTAGTCCTAGCTACTCGAGAGGCTGAGGCAGGAGAATGGCGTGAACCCGGGAGGCGGAGCTTGCAGTGAGCCAAAATCGTGCCGCTGCATTCCAGTCTGGGCGACAGAGTGAGACTCCATCTCAAAAAACAAAAAAAAAAAAAATCCTGTAAAAACAAAATGGTAATTAATAATAATAAAATAGTAAGTTAAAAATAATATACAGTGAGTCTCCATTGGTTAAATAAAATAAAATAATAATAACAAAATGGTAATAATAAAAATTAATTAATTTAATAATAACAAATAAGCATCCTGGCATGAGACATCTCCATGCTCTGAAAGAGATCTCTTAAATAAGTAGGAGGCCATTGGTCTGAGGCCATCTCCATACCTTGAGTTCCTACAAACAAATTGCAACTTAGTGAGTAAACAACTGAAAATCTAACTTTGGAATATAACAAATGGTCAGTCTTGGCCAACCATAGCAGCTGAGCTCCAGCCAATCACAGGCTGCCACCTGCTCAGATCATGTTCAAATAGGGCAAATATCAAGCTGTAGCAAGTCAAGCTCTTTCTGCACTTCCCTTTACTGTGTAAACATACTCACTTCCAACTGTGCTTAGTGAGCTCTCTGAACTTTTGCTGGTTCTAAGTACTGCCAATGCATGAATTATTTTTTGCTCAAATAAACTCTGCTAAATTTAAGTTGTCAAAGGCTTTTATTTTAACAGACAAAGCTATCCAGCCACAAAGTGAACTATCATAAGATGAACTTCCAGTCCTGGAAATGTTTGTGCAAATTTTTAACATCTGTCAGCCTGTCCTGGAAGGCCCAAGGTGAAAGTCTGGACTATCCAACCTCTAGGGGTTCTTAAATCACAGTGGGTTTCTATGGTTACAGTTACCCTGAGAAGTTAAGTAGAGCCACAAAATAAAGTTCCACTTTAGACTGGTTTTTGTTTCTGTGGCTACACTGTCAGTTCTCTGAAGAGAAAGGTTGAGTTTCATCCTCTTTGTTAACCTCACTCTTCTCAAGGTCACTCATGACCATTGAGAGACAAACCTGATGGCTATCTCTCTGTTCTCATCTTACTTTACCTCTCTGCAGCACTATACTCTTCCTCCCTAAAACACTTTTTCTATCGATTTCCATAGCTACACCTCTCCATCTTCCTGCCTGTTACACTGGCTGGTCCTTCTCCTTTTTTTTGCTGCTCCTCTTCCTCTTCCCAACTTCAACAATGTTGTGACTTGGAGACGCAGTTCTGCACCACCTTCTCTTGGATCTATACTCTCTCCCAACATCAGCTGGTCATGGCCCTGATCTTCCAATGCCACCTATATACAAATAACACCCAAGTGTGTATCTTCAGCTCTGACTTATCTGATATCAGTGTTTTGATGCCCAGTAGGCATCTGAAACTAAGCACATTCAAATCAAATCCTTAATTTCCACCCCCTAAACCTCTTCTTTCCCATCTCAGGAGATTGTTCAGGACAAAGACCTCTTTCCCTCAATCCCCACATCTAATCCATCAATATATCCTGTGGTTTATCTCTCTAAAATATATTTTGGAATCAACTACTTGTCACCATTTCTACTATTTCCACCTTAGACCAAGACCCTGGACTTACCTGGCTTACCTGAAATAGCCCTGGTGCTCTTCCTGCACCCACTCTTGCCTGCACAGTCATTCTCCTCACAGCAGCTAGAATTGCACGTACAATAAAATCTAAACTCTTCATCGAGATCTTACAAGATCCCAGATGGTCCAATCCCTGCCTGCCTCTCCTTGCTTATCTTCCATTACCCCTCCTTTGCTCACCAGGCTCTGGCTACAAGAGCTCCTTCCAGTACCTTGAGTATGCCAAGTTTGCTCCTGCCTCCGGCCTTTGCACTTGTTTCCAATGACTGGGGTGCTCTTTTCCTTCCCCTTCTCTAGCTGATTCCATTTTCTTAAATAATACCCCCTCAGGGATGCCTTTTCCACCCCACACGTGTCACTCTCTATTACATTAATCTATTTTATTTTTTATAGCCTCTTTGTTAACTTGTTTATTGTCTTTATTCCCAGGGAAAAGTAAACTCTAAGAGAGCTGGGACTTCACCCATCATGTTCACCAGTGACCCACTACCTAGAACAGTGCCTGGCATAAAATAGGTGCTTAATAAATGCTTTTTAAAGAAATTCAATATAAGTATTAAAGAAAGGTTTTTGTTTAACTGAATCTACTGATGACTTTAAGCCACAACTGGAGTTAAAGATGTTTAAAAAGCATTGATTTCTGTTATAAACAAGTGACTAGAGAGTCCCCAGTTGCCCATGTTGCCCCAACAAGTTTACAATGGCTCTGCTACTAGTAGTGCTGAAAGAGATAACAACCAGTAACTCTGGGGCTCAACTTCTTTTGTTTTGCATTCCCAATCTCTTAATGTAGGAAACACAGTTTAAATGATGAATCTGCCTCTTTCTTCCAGGCTCCCCAGTGTTATTATTTGAAATGAAGGGACACCAAGCTTTAGGCCAAGATACGAATTATCTCATTTATATTGTCAGATGTGTGTCATGTTCCCCCAGGGGAACTATCCAAAAGTAATGTCATGAGCCACTTGCAGTTTCATATGAAACATCTCCACATGGACATCCTCTGCAATTTCTAGTGAGTTTGTAGTTCCATTGGAGGCACATTTTTTAGAAATGTTCATTATTTTTAGATATTAAAGCAAATCTCATAAGGAGGATTAAAGATTAGGTGTTATCAATGTAAAGAGAAAATAATCATTCTTTATCACTACTGCATTGTGTGAAAAAATGACTTCCTTTCATTGAGTTTTGGTTTAAACCACTATAGTGAAATTGGCTTCTAAAAAATTGTCTCAGGTAACTTATTTATAGTCATAATATGGAAAAATACAATTTGCCATCAGTAGCCTATCATTTCTACACTTCTCAGTTATTTGTGACCTGAATAAATAAGGCCTATGGCTTAATAGGATAAGAATGCTGCTAAGATATGTAGAAGCAAAGATAAACCCCCTTCTCTGTCCTCCCCAAGAATATGAGATGGAGGTGCAAGTCACGATCCTTTCAAAAAAGCAAGGCTGCACACCCAGAGCCTTTCTAAGCAACGCCCTACTTCGAAGGGACACATACAGTGAAGTGCTGGGGCTGACTTAAATAAGGTGATACAGGGAGGAAAATCTTTTTTTGTTATAAGTATCTGAATACCTCAAGAAAAAAATATTACAAGATTGTGTTATTGGTTTATTGTTCATCATCTTCACATTTCCCCTTGCATATCCAAACACAGCTGAATATTTCATTTCCAACTCCCCTGTTAATGTTACAACTACAAATTAATTTCATTTCCTTGTTGGTAATATGTTACATTGCTTGATAAGGTTTTAAAAGATTATTAGAAAAAGGTGCCAGAACAGTGCAAAATATCATCACATCCCTAAAGAAGAAAGGCTAGAGATCTCTGGCATAGTAGTAACTTGCCAGCCTTCAAAATTACTGAAAAACAACTGAAATTTTTAGTCTATGAACTTCAAATCCTTTGACCAATCCCTTGATATAGATATCCACAACCTTCATTTGCTTTTGTTTATCTAACAAATGATATAAAGATGTGATGTGCTGATGAGATGAAATGGAATGTGTGTGTGCATTTGAATGTGTGTGAAAAGGAAGACACCTGTTTTCCTAGGATGTGTCAAAGATGTACGATTCTTAATGACTTCTATCTGGGATTTACTTGTATTCAAATGTTTAAGTTTTTCATCCTTCCAAATATCTAAGCCATACTAAATTAATGGAAGAAAGTGGTAATTGTTTACTAGGGGAACAAAACAGAATGTCACATTAAGAAATCATTGGAAACCCTGTTATCCATGACCACCATCCTACGCTAAAAATTAAAGAAAGAAGAGCACTGGAGTTAAAGTTACATTCCCACTCAAACCAAAGACATTTTTGCCTCTTCATATAAACTGTAAACTCCTCTCTCTCTCTAACAGGGTTTGTGTCATATCTCTGGATTCTATCCCAATGCCCTACAAATTGAAGGTACCAAATACCTATTTTCTTTTTTTTATTATTATACTTTAAGTTCTGGGATATATGTGCAGACTGTGCAGGCTTGCTACATGGGTATACATGTGCCATGGTGGTTTGCTGCACCCATCAACCCATCATCTAGGTTTTAAGCCCTGCATGCATTAGGTATTTGTCCTAATGCTCTCCCTCCCCTTGCCCCCACGCCCAAACAGGCCCCGGTGTGTGATGTTCCCCTACTTGTGTCCATGTGTTCTCAGTGTTCAAATCACACTTATGAGTGAGAACATACAGTGTTTAGTTTTCCATTCTTGTGTTAGTTTGCTGAGAATGATGGTTTCCAGTTTCATTCATGTCCCTGCAAAGGACATGGGCTCATTCTTTTTTATGGCTGCATAGTATTCCATCATGTATATGTGCCACATTTTCTTTATCCAGTCTATAATTGATGGGCATTCGGGTTGGTTCCAAGTCTTTGCTATTGTGAATAGTGCCACAATAAACATACATGTGCATGTGTCTTTATGGTAGAATGATTTATAATCCTTTGGGTATATACCCAGTAATGGAATTGCTGGGAAAAATGGTATTTCTGTTTCTAGATCCTTGAGGAATCGCCACCCAAATACATATTTTCTAAGAATGATGATAATAATGAACTAACTCCTCTAATTCCTACCAGAAAATATACTCCATACATAATTAGACCCATGTTTTTCAAAACATGTTTCACAAAAGGTGTATGCCTTGCCACATGGATGGTAGTTCTACTAAAAATGGGAGGAAAAGAAAAATTATTTAGCTAAATAAGATTGAGAAACCTAAGCATAAAGTTAAATAAGTTGCATTACCACATAATTTCTTAAGAAATTTTAAAACATTTTTGTGCATTGTGAAACTCTAAGAGACAGTTAAAATTTGCAACATTTCCCATAATTGTTTGATAAGGAAAACTTATGAAACCTTGAATGGTACCAGTGTCTTACAGACCAAAGTTTAAGAAATGCTACATTAGATGAATGTTGAGTGCCCACTATACACAAGGATAGTGTTCATTGAAATATATCCTTTCTTTCAGCCTTGGGGATTTTTTCATCTGTAAACAGATGATAATAACACCTACCTCACAGGGTTGTCATGAAACTGGAATGAAATCAAATATATGCAATGCCAAGGCTAGCACAAAGAGGGCCAAAATGAACTCTCCTTCTCTGTCCATAAAGGCATTACTGTGGGGAAAATGAAATAGTCCTGAATTTTACTGCACTTATACACACCTCTGTATAGGTTTGTATGCCTGGGGACAGAAATGTATCATATGACACTTCATTGTCTGGTTCAGGAGTTAAGTCAGTCCAGCCATGGCCATCTCCCACCCAACTAGATTTAGTTCCTTAACTTCACAAGCCTCCATCCACCACTGCCTTCCTTAATTAGACCTATGGTCCCTCACACACAGTCAACACACTTGTAAAGACCCAGGCATTCAAGCATAAACCAGAAACATAGTACATCCAGTTGCCAAAATGGTTAAGTACTTTTTTAGCGAAGGATCTTAAGCAAATATATATATATATATATGTTATTTAGGGTCATGCAAGTGCTGAACAGTACACTAGAACTGCTTTTAGTTTCTAATCTTTTAACAACACTGCATGGCAAAGTTGATTAAAATAAATATTTAAATAAAATCTAAGTTGAACAAAGCATTACAAAAATGTTTAAGCCTCAAGTGCACGCAGCCACAGAATATGCTCTTGGACATTGCTCCCTGAAAGGGCTGCTATCCCCCGCCTCCTTGAAGGCACCCATGTCAGGGGTTGCCCCATCCAGGGAGCTGGTCCCTAGTTAAGAATATGAGCATGTGTGCGCAGAAAGGCAGGGAACAGCACGAACAGCCACGCTTCTAGAAGGTTCTAGGGAGAGGGCAGGAGCAGCGCAGAGGGAATAGGAATGAGCAGGCAGAGGACCTGGGGTCACGAGACCGTTGGGTGAAGAGGAGCCAGTGGCCAGGAAGGTTCTAGTGTGTTCTGTCTCCCGGCAGCCGCCTGCTTCTACGAGGTCATGCCAAGCCAGCACCTGGGCCTGGAACCAGCCACAGCCCCTTAGCTTTGCCCACCGCCTCCCGAAGTGAACACGCTTCGGGCCTTTGTGAAAATGTGTAAGCAGGATCTCAGCGTTCTGCACACCAAGGAAATGTGCTTCCTGAGGGAGTGGGTGGAGAGCATGGGGAGTAAAGTGCCACCTGCTAGTCAGAAAGCTAAATCAGAAGAAAATACCAAGGAAGAAAAATCTGGTAGTAAGAATGTGGAGGAAGACTTAAAGGCAGATGAACCATCCAGTAAGGAAAGTTATCTAGAAATTAATAATGAAGGTGTGATTGAACCAGACACTGATGCCCCTCAAGAAATGGGAGATGAAAATGCAGAGATAACAGAGGAGATGATGGATCAGGCAAATGATAAGAAAGTGGCTGCTGTTGAAGCCCTAAATGATGGTGAACTGCAGAAAGCCATTGACTTATCACAGATTCCATCAAGCTGAATCCTCACTTGGCTATTTTGTATGCCAAGAGGGCCAGTGTCTTCATCAAATTACAGAAGCCAAATTCTGCCATCCGAGACTGTGACAGAGTCATTGAAAAAAATCCTGATTCCACCTAGGACACAGGAAATTACAGAACATCGGAGAAAGTATGAGCGAAAACGTGAAGAGCGAGAGACCAAAGAAAGAATAGAAAGAGTTAAGAAGACTCGGAAGAGCATGAGAGAGCCCAGAGGGAGGAAGAAGCCAGACAATAGTCAGGAGCTCAGTCTGGCTTTTTTCCAGGTGGCTTTCCTGGGGAAATGCCTGGTAATTTTCCCAGAAGAATACCTGGAATGGAGGGGGCATACCTAGGATGGCCAGAAGGCCTGGACCCAATGAAATTCTTAGTGATCCAGAGGTTCCTGCAGCCTTGCAGGATCCAGAAGTCATGGTGGCCTTCCAGGATGTGGCTCAGAACCCAGCAAATATGTCAAAATACCAGAGCAATCCAAAGGTTATGAATCTTATCAGTAAATTGTCAGCCAAATTTGGAGGTCAAGCCTAATGCCCTTCCGATAAATAAAGGCATTGCTGAAGGAAAAGCAACCTAGATCACCTTATGGATGATGCAGTAATACAAACCGGTGTACCTCTGACCTTCTCATCAAGAGAGCTGGAGTGCTTTGAAGATAATCCCTACCCCTCTCCCCCGAATGCAGCTGAAGCATTTTACGGTGGTTTGCCATTAGAGTATTCATTCAGATAATGTTTTCCTACTAGGAATTACAAACTTTAAACCCTTTTTAAACCTTAAAAATATGTAAAACAAATTTAAAGGGTCTGTTAATTCTTATATTTTTCTTTATTAATCATTTTGGATTTTTTTATTTGAATTATTGGGCAGGGAAAATACTTATGTATGGAAGATTATTGCTCTAATTTGAGTGAAATAAAAGTTTATTAGTGCGAGGCAAAAAAAAAAAAATGTTTAAGCCTCTTGTGATGCACAATTCATCAGTGATACATTAGTGCCCTCTGCTGCTGGCTGAGTTTTCCAACAGCTCAGAATTTCGGTATGGCTTTTCTTTTTCTCCTTTTTTTTTCCTCTCTCTCTCCTCTTCTTTTAAGAACATTGCAGTGTATTGTTTTGGTTCAACATTTTACACATAAATTAATAAAATTAGTAGAATGGTAATCAGGATGCATGGGATTATTTTAAATTATTATTGCTTGTGTTTCGACATCAACGCAAAGAAATTTCTTGATCAAAATTACTTAGAGATTTCATATTGAGCTGCAATCACGGAACACAGCATACATTATTGCTCCTTAATTGTAAAATATTCTATAAAAGGTAACTTATGTAGCTGGCCTGATAGCATATCATATAGGTTCCAATTTTTAATGATTATAAATATAATAATTTACCCCTCATTTTGCCTGGCTTATTTCTTAGGGTTGCCAGATTTAGCAAATAAAACTATGTCCCAGGTACTTTCATGGAACCTATTTCTACTAAATACTTATACTAAAAAATGCTAAATTCTTAGGTAAAAAAAAAATATTTACAGTTGATCTGAAATTCAAATTTAACTGGATTTCCTGTATCTTACCTAGTGACCTTATCTATTCTCATGTGTGCTCTGAATTTCATAATTGAAATTCTTTTCTGTTATGATAATCAGAGTTTATCCTACCGTAATAATGACTAAAACCAAACACATTTCTTTATTTTCTATTTCTTTCCTCACATTTTGTGAAACGCTGAGTAGGTTTTCACATAACAATGCTTAATGCACAAATTGACATAACAAGGTTTGTTAGTCATGAGATTAAAAGCATTTGTTCTTAAAAGAAGAGTTATTTAATTAATGGATGGATTAAGTAAGAACAATCCTGAATTCCTCAACTTCCTTTATGGAGCAACAAACATACTATATAAAAAGCATATAAAAATTCCGTTTTACGAATGGTAAGTTTGAAAGTGAGGCCACCCAGATGCAACATTATGCTAAAGCAGTGATTCTCAAGCTTGCACAGCTGAACTTGTGGAAGTTTTTTGGGATTTTGTGTGTTTGTTTTTGAGACAGATTCTCACTCTGTCACCCAGGCTGGAGTACAGTGGCACAATCACAGTTCACTGCAGCCCCGAACTCTTGGCCTCAAGCGATCCTCCCACATCAACTTCCCAAGTAGTTGGGACTAGGTGCACCACCATGCCTGGCTAATTTTATTTATTTATTTATTTATTTATTTATTTTAGAAACACGGTCTCACTATGTTGTCCAGGCTGGTCTCAAACTCCTGGCCTCAAGAGATCCTTCTGCCTCAGGCTCCAGAGTCGCTAGTATTACAGGTGTGAGCTACTGCGCCTGGCCAGAGAGTGCTTCTTGATTTTAATATACACATGAATGAAACAGATTGATCTAGCAGAATCTGGGCATTTCTAATTAGCAACTAGTTGATGCCATTGCTGCTAAGCCAAGGACCATACTTTGAGAAGAAAGATTTTAGAAGAGACCAAAAAAGAAAAAGCAATTTGTTTCAAAATGGAACTGTATAATGTCTGTGAGAATTGAAAATGCAGATTACTTACCACCACATTACTGCCAGAATGTAATGATAACTGCCACAGAAACGAAGGATGGGAGCGGAGATGAAAGAAAACGATTAATCGTCCTGTGGTGGTGTTCAGTGTGCCATCTTCAGTTCCTTTATCGTTTTCTGTCACAGTATCTCTCACTGGCAAAATGGAATTAATATTTGCTCCCTCACTACTTTTTCAGAATTTGAGAATTTGCATTAGATCATTTTATATGCAGCATCCCAAATATGCAGTAATTTAAAGCATACAAGTTTAGACCACATTAGAATTGAGTTCATAGTTTATTTCCATCAGACCTCTTTTAACCATTTTGGTCTGTTGGAGTTTAAGTAGCAAGATGCAGATTGTGCAACCATGTGGAGCTGATCAAATCAACCCCTGAAAGTGTAATTGGTAAATCTCTTCAAGTGCTTTTGAAAAATTAATCAAGACAGGTTTGGTGAACCTTTGCTGAGAGTGTCATTAGGACAAATGACTTGGTTCCCAATATATTATCATAAAGGAAAACTCCAGCTGCAAATCCCAAGGTGACCCATTTATCTCACTTGAATGGAAAATAATGACTTTTTAAGCACTGCAAATAATTCCGCTGGTTTAAAATCAATTTGGTTAATACAATTAAATAGAACTATTTGATCTTTCAGGTTCAAAAACCACCAACTTGACTCAGACATTAACATTTTAATATGGAAACAGCCACCATAATCTTCCAATGCCCTCAAAAATGGTTTATAGGGACACGTTGTAGAAAACAGTGCATATAACATTGTCTTTAAAATCTTTCCAGAATTAATAATATAAACTGGTATTGAGGTATTCTGCCTTAAGCATTCATATTTCACCTCAAAGCCAATGCCTTTTTTTTTTTCACACAGTCTCACTTTGTCACCCAGTCTGAAGTGCAGTGATGTGATCTCTGCTCACTGCAACCTCCATCTCCTGGGTTCAAGCGATTCTCCTGCCTCAGCCTCCTGAGTAGCTGGGACTACAGGCATGTGCCACCACACCCAGCTAATTTTTGTGGATTTTTTTTTTTAATACTTTAAGGACTGAGATACATGTGCAGAACATGCAGGTTTGTTACATAGGTATACACGTGCCATGGTGGTTTGCTGCACCCATCAACCCGTCATATACATTAGGTATTTCTCCTAATGCTATCCCTCCCCTAGCCCCCTACTCCCCAACAGGCCCTGGTGTGTGATGTTCCTCTACCTGTTGTGTTCTCATTGTTCAACTCCCACCTATGAGTGAGAACATTTGGTGTTTGGTTTTCTGTTCCAGTGTTAGTCTGCTGAGAATGATGGTTTCCAGCTTCATCCACGTCCCTGCAAAGGACATGAATTCATCCTTTTTTATGGATGCATAGTATTCCATGGTGCATATGTGCCACATTTTCTTTATCTAGTCTATCATTGATGTGCATTTGGGTTGGTTCCAAGTCTTTGCTATTCTGAATAATACTGCAATAAACATACATGTGCATGTGTCTTTATAGTAGAATGACTTATAATCCATTGGGTGTATACCCAGTAATGGGATTGCTAGGTCAAATGGTATTTCTGGTTCTAGATCCTTGAGGAATAGCCACACTGTCTTCGACAATGGTTGAACTAGTTTACACTCCAACCAACAGCGTAAAAACGTTCCTATTTCTCCACATCCTCTCCAGCATCTGTTGTTTCCTGACTTTTTAATGATCACCATTCTAACTGGCATGAGATAGTATCTGATTGTGGTTTTGATTTGCATTTCTCTAATGACCAGGGATGATGAGCTTTTTTTCATATGTTTATTGGCCACATAAATGTCTTCTTTTGAGAAGTGTCTGTTCATGTCTTTCTCCCACTTTTTGATGGGGTTGATTTTTTCTTGTAAATTTGTTTAAGTTCCTTGTAGATTCTGGATATTAGCCCTTTGTCAGATGGATAGATTGCAAAAATTTTTCTCCCATTCTGTAGGTTGCCTGTTCACTCTGATGATAGTTTCTTTTGCTGTGCAGAAGCTCTTTAGTTTAATTAGATCCCATTTGTCAATTTTGGCTTTTGTTGTAATTGCTTTTGGTGTTTTAGTCATGAAGTCTTTGCCCATGCCTATGTCCTGAATGGTATTGCCTAGGTTTTCTTCTAGGGTTTTTATGGTTTTAGGTCTTTCAATTAAGTCTTTAATCCATCTTGAGTTAATTTTTGTATAAGGTGTAAGGAAGGGGTCCAGTTTAAGTTTTCTGCCTATGGCTAGCCAGTTTTCCCAACACCATTTATTAAACAGGGAATCTTTCCCCATTGCTTGTTTTTGCCAGGTTTGTCAAAGATCAGATGGTTGTAGATGTGTGGTGTTATTTCTGAGGCCTCTCTTCTGTTCCATTGGTCTATATATCTGTTTTGGTACAAGTACCATGCTGTGTTGGTTACTGTAACCTTGTAGGAGCCTCGTAGTATAGTTTGAAGTCAGGTAGCACAATGGCTCCAGCTTTGTTCTTTTTGCTTAGGATTGTCTTGGCTATACAGGCCCTTTTTTGATTCCATAGGAAATTTAAAGTAGTTTTCTCCAATTCTGTGAAGAAAGTCAATGGTAGCTTGATGGAGATGGCATTGAATCTATAAATTACTTTGGACAGTATGGCCATTTTCATGATGTTGATTCTTCCTGTCCATGAGCATGGAATGTTTTTCCATTTGTTTGTGTCCACTCTTATTTCCTTGAGAAGCAGTTTGTAGTTCTCTTTGAAAAGGTCCTTCACATCCCTTGTAAGTTGTATTCCAAGGTATTTTATTCTCTTTGTAGAAATTGTGAGTGGGAGTTCACTCATGATTTGGCTCTCTGTTTGTCTATTACTGGTGTATAGGAATGCTTCTGATTTTTGCACATTGATTTTGTATCCTAAGACTTTGCTGAAGTTGCTTATCAGCTTAAGGAGATTTGGGGCTGAGATGATGGAGTTTTCTAAATATACAATCATGTCATCTGCAAACAAAGACAATTTGATTTCCTCTTTTCCTGTTTGAATGTCTCCATTTATTTAAATCTTCCTTTTGTAAGCAATTTTTAATATTTTTCTTTTTTCTTGTTTATTTATTTAAGACAGAGTCTTGCTCTGTTGCCCAGTTTCTTTCTCTTTATTTCTTTCTCTTGCCTGATTGTTCTGGCCAGAACTTCCAATACTATGTTGAATAGGAGTGGTGAGAGAGAGCATCCTTGTCTTGTGCCAGTTTTCAAAGGGAATGCTTCCAGCTTTTGCCCATTCAATGTGATATTGGCTGTGGGTTTGTCATAAATAGCTGTTATTATTTTGAGATACAGTCCATCAATACCTATTTTATTGAGAGTTTTTAGCATGAAGGGGTGCTGAATTTTTTCAAAGGTAGGCCTTTTCTGCATCTATTGAGATAATCATGTGGTTTTTGTCATTGGTTCTGTTTATGTGATGGATTACATTTATTGATTTGCATATGTTGAATCAGGCTTACATCCAAGGGATGAAGCTGACTTGATCTGGCTGTGACATCTGTCACCCTATTGATGGCCAGGGTTGATTTGGCTGATCTGGCTGGCTAGGCGGGTGTCCCCTTCCTCCCTCACTGCTCCATGTATATTAGCCCTTTGTGCACTCGGTCAAAGAGGATGACCATCCCTGATAGAGGAGGACTGCAGTCTTTGGTCAAGGGTATAGGAGTAGCTGCACTCCCTTGCTAGAACCTCCAAACAAGTTCTCAAAACAAAATTTTTAATTAGCCAGTTGTGGTGGCATACACCTCTCTCCCACCCACTCAAGAGGCTGAGGCAAGAGGATCACTTGAGCCCAAGAGTTCATGGTTACAGTGAGCTGTGATTGTACTGCCACATTCCAAACTGGGCAACAGAGCAAGACTCCGTCTTAAATAAATAAACAAGAAAAAAGAAAAATATTTAAAATTGCTAAAAAAAAAAAAGGAAGATTTAAATAAATTGAGACATATTCTATGTCCATTAATTTGAGTGTTCATAATTTGGAAGACTTGATACTGTTGAGAATTTTCCCCTAATTGATCTATAGCTTCAGTGCAATCCCATTCATAAATCTCAGCAGGCTTTTTCATAGAAATTGACAAGCTGATTCTAAAATGTGTATAGAAATGCAGAAGACCTAGAATGGTCAAAACAACCTTGTAAAAGAAAAACAAAGCTGAAGGACTTACACTTCTGACCTTAAGACTTACTATAAAGTAACCAAGACAGTGTATTACTGGCTTAAACATAAATAAATAGATCAGTAGAACCAAATATAAAATCTGGAAATAGACCCACACATACATAGTCCATTGATTTGCAACAGACACCAAAGCAATTCAATGAGGAAAGTATTTTCAGCAAATGGTTCTAGAACATCTGGACAGCTATAAGAAAAAGAGTAAACCTGAACTCTTACTTCACACCATAAACAAAAATGAATTTCATATAAATATTATAGACTCAAATATAAAAGCTAAAACTATAAAGCTCTTAGAATAAAATGTAAAAGACTATTTTCACAACTAGGAGTAGACAAAAATTTGTTAGGACACGGAAAGCAATAACCACAAAATGTTTTTAATTGGTAAATTAAACTTCAAAATTAAAGAACTCTGCTCATTGAAAATGTTAAGAACATGAATAGGCAAGCCACAGACTGGAAGAAAATATTCATGAAACATTTATCTGATTAAAAAAACTTTTAAGTGAAAATACAAAGGCTTTTTATAACTCAATAGTAAAAAGAAAAACAATCGAAGAAAAAATGGGCAAAATATTTGAACAGACACTTTTACAAAGGAAATTTATTTTAAAATTTAAAATTGTCTGATAAACACAACAAAATTGTTTAATATCATTAGTTATCAAAGAAGTGGAAATTGAAACTACAATAAGAAACCACTACACACCTACTAGAATGACTAAAATTAAAAAGACAACTGACAATATTTGTTAGAATATAAGAGAAAATAGAACTCACATACACTACTGGTAGGAATCTGAAATAACACAACCACTTTGGGAAAAGGTTTCTGTTTCATTTAAAGTTAAATATACATATATCTTTTGACTCTGCTATTCTATCATAGGTATTTTACTTATTTGTGGAAAGGAAAACATATCCACAAAAAGACTTGTACAAGAATGTTCTTAACAGCCTTATTTACAACACCTAAAACTAAAAACAACCCATTATATATAAACAGGAGGATGAATAAGCAAACTGTTTTATATTCATACCATGGGACATGTCTTAGCAATAAAAAGAGAATGAATTAATAATAAATGCAATAATAGCAATGAAACTCACAGACATGCTGGGCAAAAGAAACCTGATACAAAAGAAAATATATTTAATGATTCCATGTGTATGAAATTCTAGAACAGGAAAAACCAATCTATGGTGAAAAAAACTTAGAAGAGTGGTTAGCTGGATGGTGGGAAAGAGGGAAACTGAGAAAAAAGAGGAAGGAACTTTCTGGGGTGATGGGGTGTTCTAAATTTTATGATGTGGGTTACACAAATGTACATATTGTCCAAATTGTATAGTTATTATTTGGGTATCTCACTAGAGGTGAAATTTACCTTTAAAAAATGAATGTGATGTGGATAGTGGCTGAAAGTATAGATTAAACAAAAGGGCAGAATGTTGATAATTGTCAAACCTGAGTCATGGGTGCAAGGATATTTATTATTCTTGGTTTGCTTCGTAAATGTTTGAAATTTTCTACAATAGAGTTTGTTTAAACTGGTAGAAATGAATTAAAGGTTAATATGCACTGAATTCTAATTGCAATAATCTTCTATTTTAACTAAAACTGTATGAGAACTGGCATAACCGCACAGTTTTTGCTAGGCAGAAAATTGAGTGCTAAACAATTAAGAAACCATTGTTTTGTTCATTTGTGCCCTTGGGAGAAGGAAGAGCAGAGTGGAGAATGAAACAGAATAATGTTAGTCTGTAGCAATCAGACCATGCTATTTCAACTATTCACCTTCTCAAGAGGATAGTGATATTCAGCCAAGATATTACCAAACCTAGTTATTTGTTCATTAAACTCACTTCAGAGAAATGCCCTAAGTGTATAATTAATAAATGTTAATTTATATTAATGATAAGATTGCACTTGAATTTTTTAACTTTTTTCTGAATTTAAAATATTCGAGAAGCAAGAGCCAAGCATTCTGCTAATAAGCCTGCATTTTTCTTTCATTATTCTCTTTCTTCTTTCTCTTCCCTGCTGATTTCTACTTCTAACTTTTGCAATGCGAGTGTTACAGTCCCCAAGAGCTGAATTTGGTTCTATAGAAATTACCAAGTAGAATATCTGCAGTTTTATTGAACAACACTGTTTATTCAACAGGTACAGATGTTAAGTTAGAAGGAAAACAAAAATTGTGTGATGCCCTAAGTGGCAAGTGGCAGCTTCTCTGAGTGCTAACTGCATTCATGCTACCTCATAACCAAAGTGATCAAATACGAGGGGGGGGAAATTACAATGAGCCAAAAACACTCTCCTAACATAATGCTTCAGAGTCCCAGAGCAAAGGTCAAAGTGACACGCACACTCCAAATCTGGATCTGTAGGGTCAAAGCCATACCAGGCAGCCCACTAATGGGGCCACCTATTAGTAGGAAGCCCTGAGGAGCCTCAGAAGAGTCAAGGTGGCTGGACTCAGATCAGGGCTCACTAGGAAACTACAGCTCCCATTCATTCTCCCAACCACTGCATGAAAAGGGACTCAATCTGAAGAAAAAATAGACATTGTACCCATTCAATAAGTATTTATTAAACACTCACTGTCTACTATGTGCTGATGTAGGCACCAGGGATACAGGAAGGACCAACATGAGCTGAGTCTTTGTCACCATGGGGAACAGCTTCATCAAGGAGGAAGTGCAGGGTGATCTGGGGTATGTAATACAGCATATATTTGAGGATATATAACCTGTGTTGAGACCCAGGTTGGAGGCTCAAGAAAAAATGTCCAGAAAAAGTAACATTTAAACTGAAACCTGGAGTATGAGGAGGAGATAGCAAGTCAACTTACTATCTTAACTATTTTTAAGTGTACAGTTCAGTGGTATTAAGTACATTCATACTCTTGTGTAACCACCAGCACCCTCCATCTCCAGAACTCTTTTCATCTTTTAAAATTAAAACCTCATACCCATTAAACAATAACTCCCCATTCTCTTCTCTCCCAAGCTCTGAACCACCTTCTGTATCTAATATTTTGACTACTGTAAGTACCTCATATAAATGGAATCATAAAATATTTGTCCTTTTTTGTCTGGATTATTTTACTCAGTATAAAGACTTCAAGGTTCATCTATGTCATAGCATGTGTCAGAATTTCCTTCCTTTTTATACATAAATAATATTCCATTGTGTGGATATACCACATTTTGCTTATCCATGCATGCATCAATGGACACTTGAGTTGCCTCCATGTTTTAGCTATTGTGAATGCTGCTGCTGTGAACATGGTGCACAAATATGTCTTTGAGATCCCACTTTCAATTCTTGTGAGTAACACCCAGAAGTGGAATTTCAGGATCATATGGTAATTCTACTTTTAACTTTTTTCTTTCTCTTTTTTTCTTTATTAAGACTTTCAGATAAAACTATTTTTAACTCTTTGGGAAACCACTATGCTGTTTTCTATAGCAGTTGTATCATTTTACATTCCCACCAACCATCCACAAGGGCTCCAATTTCTCCACGTCCTTTTCAACACTTATTTTCTGTTTGTACTACTATTTTGGTAGTAGCCATCCTAGTAAGTATGAGGTGGTATCTCATAGTTTTAATTTGCTTGCATTTCCCTAATGATTAGTGATGTTGAGCATCTTTTCATGTGCTTATTGGTCATTTGTATATCTTCTTTGGAGAAATGTCTATTCAAGTCCTTTGCCCATTTTTGAATCAGGTTGTTTGGCATTTTCTTCTTGAGTCTTAAGGGTTATCTATATATTCTGGCCATTAATCTCATATTGGATACATGATTAGCAAATATTTTCTCCCATTCTGTGGGTTGTCTTTTTCATGAAGTCCAATTTGCCTGTTTTTTCTCTTGTTTCCTTATGCTTTTGGTTTCATATCCAAGCAATCATTGCCAAATCCAATTTCATGAAGCACTTCCCCTATGTTTTCCTCTAAGAATTTCATAATTTTAGCTCTTGTATTTAGGTAGCAGATCAATTTGGAGTTAATTTTGTATATGGTGTTAGCTAAGGATCCAACACTATTCTTTTGGATGTGGACATCCAGTATTTCCAATACCACTGGTTGAAAAGACTGTTTTTTCCTCAATTGAAGAGTCTTGGCACACTGTTGAAAATCATTTGACCATGTAAGTGAAGATATATTCCTGAACTCCCTAGTCTGTTTCATTGATCTGTATATGTGTCTTTATGCCACCACCACACTGTTTTGATTACTGTAGCTTTGTGGTAAGTTTTGAAATCAGGAAGTGGGAGTCCTCCAGCTTTGTTCTTTTACAGGGTTGTTTTGGCTATTTTGGTCCCTTGAGATTCCACGTTCATTTTATTTTAATTTTTTTTTTTTGAGACAAACTCTCACTCTGTTGCTGAGGCTGGAGTGCAATGGTGCGATCTTGGCTCACTGCAGCCTCGACCTCCAGAGCTGAAGCAATCCTTCTGCCTCAGCCTCCCAAAGTGTAGAGATTACAGGTATGAGCCACCATGCCATATTAATTTTAGAATGAGTTTTTCTATTTCTGCAAAAAAAATTGGAATTATGTAAGGGATTGCATTAAATACGTACAACACTTTGGGCAGTATTGACATCTTAATGTTATTAAGTTTGCCAACCCATGAGCATGGTGTCTTTCCATTTATTTACATCTTCTCTAATTTCTCTCAGAAATATTTTGTAGTTTTCATTGTTTTTTCACAAGTCTTTTACCTTCTTGTTTAATTCCTAAATAATTTATTCTTGTTGATACTATTTTAAATTGAATTATTTACTTAATCTCCTTTTCAGACTGGTTTTTGGGGTTTTTTGAGACAGAGTCTCACTCTGTTTTCCAGGCTGGAGTGCAATGACGTGATCATGGCTTACTGCAGCCCAACCAATGTTCCCACCTCATCCTCTCGGGTAGTTGGGATTACTGGCACACACCACCATACCCTGCTAATTTTAGTAATTTTTTGTACAGACAGGGTTTCACCATGTTGCCGAGGCTGGTCTTGAACTCCTGAGATTAAGTGATCCACCCATCTCAGCCTCCCAAAGTGCTTGGATTATAGGTGTGAGCCACAGTGTGCCCAGCCCAGACTGTTTATTATTAATTTATAAAAGTGCAGCTTTTTGTATGTTAACTTTGTATCCTACTACTTTGCTGAATTTATTTATTTGTTCTAATAGTTTCTTTGTAGAATCTTTAAGGTTTTCATATTATCTGTGAGCAGAAATACAAGACAATAGAAGATAAATATCATTTGTGAGCATAAACAATTTTAATTATTCCTTTCTGATTAGGATGCCTTTCATTAGATGCTTTTGTCTTACCTAATTGCTCTGGCTAAAACTTCTAGCACTATATTGAATAGAAGTAGTAAAAGTGGGCATCCTTACCTTGTTTTTGATCTTAGAGGAAACACTTTCAGTCTTTTACCATTGATTATGATGTTCTGTATGAGTTTTCATTAAGGCTTCTATTATGTTAAAGTAGTTTCTCTCTATTCCTAGCATGTTGAGTGTTTTTATCATGAAAGTGTGTTGAATTTTGTCATATGCCTTTTCTGCAATAATTGAAATGATGATGTGTTTCTTTTCCTTTATTCTGTTAATGTTATGTATTATAATGGTGAATTTTCATATGTTAAGGCATTCTTGTATTCCAAGAATGCATCCCACTTGGTCATGTTTCTAATCCATTTATTATGCTGCTGGGATTAGTTTGCTAGTATTTTGTTGAGGTTTTTTGCATCGATGTTCATAAGGAACATTGGTCTACAGTTTCTTTTTTTATTTTATTTTATTATTATTATACTTTAAGTTTTAGGGTACATGTGCACAATATGCAGGTTAGTTACATATGTATACGTGTGCCATGCTGGTGTGCTGCACCCATTAACTCGTCATTTAGCATTAGGTATATCTCCTAAATCTATCCCTCCCCCCTCCCCCCACCCCACAACAGTCCCCAGAGTGTGATGTTCCCCTTCCTGTGTCCATGTGTTCTCATTGTTCAATTCCCACCTATGAGTGAGAATATGCGGTGTTTGGTTTTTTGTTCTTGCGATAGTTTACTGAGAATGATGATTTCCAATTTCATCCATGTCCCTACAAAGGACATGAACTCATCATTTTTTATGGCTGCATAGTATTCCATGGTGTATATGTGCCACATTTTCTCAATCCAGTCTATCATTGTTGGACATTTGGGTTGGTTCCAAGTCTTTGCTATTGTGAATAGTGCCGCAATAAACATACGTGTGCATGTGTCTTTATAGCAGCATGATTTATAGTCCTTTGGGTATATACCCAGTAATGGGATGGCTGGGTCAAATGGTATTTCTAGTTCTAGATCCCTGAGGAATGGCCACACTGACTTCCACAAGGGTTGAACTAGTTTACAGTCCCACCAACAGTGTAAAAGTGTTCCTATTTCTCCATATCCTCTCCAGCACCTGTTGTTTCCTGACTTTTTAATGATTGCCATTCTAACTGGTTTGAGATGGTATCTCATTGTGGTTTTGATTTGCATTTCTCTGATGGCCAGTGATGGTGATGTATATACATATATATATATACTTCATGAAATTAAAATTTGTTTCTTTGAAAAGATCAAAGATTTTATATATATATATATATATATATATATATATATGGCACACACACACACACATATATACACACCTACACATATATATATACACACACACATATATATACACACATATATATACACACACACACATATATATACACACACACACATATATATACACACACACATATATATATACACATATATATGTATATATGTATATATATAATGGATAGACCAGCCAGCCAGATGATAAGATATATATATATACACATACATATATACATATATATATATATATATATATATACACACATATATACACATATCACTCTTATCATCTGGCTGGCTGGTCTATCCATTATTCAGAGGGGAAATATTGATGTTTCCAACTATTATTGCAGAACTATTTCTCCCTTTGAGTCTGTCAATTTTTGCTTCTTATACTTTGTCATTAGTTGTATAAATGCTTATAATTGTTATATCTTCTTGCTGCATTGAACCTTTTTATTGATATACACTGTCCTTGTCTCGAGTAAGATTTTTTTTTTGTCTGATATTAGTGTAGTCGCCCCTGCTCTCTTTTAATTACTATTTGCACGGAATAACCTTTTCTATCCTTTTGCTTTCAATCTTTTTGTGTCTTTGGATCCAAGATGAGTCTCTTGTAAGCAGCATATAGTTAAATCCTTATGGCTTGGAGAGTTTAACTCATTTACATTTAAAGTAATTGCTCATAAGGAGGGATTTCTATCAATTTGCTATTTGCTTTCTATATGCCTTATAGCTTTTGTTGCCTCATTTCATGCATTACTATCTTCTTTTCTGTTCAGTTCATTTTTGTAGTGAAATCTTTAAATTCCTTTCTCATTTCCTTTTGTGTACATTATTTAGCTATTTTTTCTGTGGTTACCATGCAGATAACATTTAACATCATAAAGTTATAACACTCTAATTTGAATTTATACTAGATTAACTTTAATAACATATAGAAACTCTACTTCTTTAACAGCTCTATCCCCATCCCTTTCCATTGTTGATGCTGCAAAATTACATCTTTAATAGTGTGGGTCCAAAAACATACAAATTTTTAATGTGTTAGTCTCTTAAATTATGTAGGAAACAAAATATGGAGTTACAAACCAAATTACAATAATACTTTTAGAGTAATCATTGTTTTTTTAATGTATTAGTCTCAAATCACGTAGAAAGCAAAGGTAAAATTACACATCGTTACAATAATAGTGGCTTTTATAATTGCCTATGTGTTTACCTTAACTGAAATCTTTATTTCTTCATACGGTTTCATGTTACTATCTAGTCATGATTTCAACCTGCAGGACTCTTTTAGCATTTCTTGCAGGACAGATCTAATGGTAGTGAACTGCCTCTGCTTTTGTTTATCTGGGAGTGTCTTAATTTCTTACTCACTTTTGAAGGGCAGTTTTACCAGATATAGGATTCTTGGTTACCAGTTTTATTCTTTTAGCACTTTAAATATATCAGTCTACTCTGCTCTGTTAAAAGTTTCTGATGATAAATATGCTAACAATCTTATTGAAGATCAGCCTTTGTATGCAACAAGTCAATTTTCTCTTGCTGCTTTCAGAATTCTCTCTGTATTTGTCTTTTTGTATGTACTGCATTTTATTACATAAAAGTACAATTAGTAAAATAATATACTAATAATTTAATTAACTTTAATATAATTTTAACTAGAATTAAGAATGTTTTTCTCTCATGATAATGCAGAAGAATATTACTCTGAACACCTACCTAATGTATCACAAAATAACCACAAAGAGCCTTTTTAAGATATTCATCATGCATTTTACATTTTAATGTCATTACTCCTCCATAGAAAAGGTCATAAATAATGTCCACCTAATAAAAAAGAATCTGTCATGTCTTTAATGCAGAAACAATTTATCACATGCTTTCACATGTAAACACAATAGGAATGAAGAAACAGCATGAAGTAATTTTAGAGTTGAATTATATCATTATTGAATTTTTTTTTAAAGTAGCAGATTTTTCAAAAAAAGTATACTTTAAACATAATTATAACTCTTCAAAAAATCTTCTACTCCTTTTTCATTATATACAAATAATTTGTCTACCAGCTTTGGTTTTGGATTATTTTCTCTACTCAGTACTCTGATTTAGTGTAATGTCTGAAGTGTTGGTGCCTTAGTTATTTCTACTCTGAATTCTCTGATATTTACATAGTTTACTGCATCTGCAAAATTATATTTTAGTATAAACTCTCTGGTATTTTTTAAGCTGTAGTTATTAAAAAAATGTTTTTCCAAATTTATTACATTTGCCGGGTTTTTCTTCAATATAAATTCTTTGATGTTGAACAAAGTTTAAGCAACTGCTTCAGGCTCTTCTTGTAGTAAAAATGTGTACAATAAGATCTGTGATACAAGTAAAGGTGCTACAACCTTCTTTATATCTATAATGTTGTCTTCAAAATACATAGTTTTCTTCACTTTAAAAGCTTATATTTTCTGAAAAACATTTTTGACAGTAATTGCACTTACAATGCTTTCACTAAGTATGAACTCTCTGATAGTAAGATGTGAACAGATATTAATGGCTTTTTTACATTCTTTTTGTTTGTTAATTTTTTCTCAAGTATAAATGCTTTTCTGTGCAATAAGGTGTGAGGATTGGTTAAAAGTTTTGCCACATTTTTCACATTTGTAGGAGTTTTCTCCACTATGAATTATCCGACCTATAATCAAGTGTGACAACCATTTAAAGGCTTGTCACGTTCTTCACATTTCTAGGATTTCTCATCAGTATGATTTATTTTATGTTTAGAAAAGTTTGAAGTGTTGCCAAAAGCATTGTCACATCTTTCAGGTTTGTAGAATTTCTCTCCAGTATGAATTATCTTGCGTCTCTTAAGAATTGAGGATTCACTGAAGGATTTGCCACATTCTTCACACTTGGAGGTTTTCTCTTTAGTATAAATTTTCTTATGTTTAGTAAGGTTTGAGAATTGGTTAACAGCCTTTGCCACATTCTTCACGTTTGTAGGGTTTCTCTCCCATATGAATTACTTATGTATAGTAAGGTGTGAGGACCAGTTAAAAAATTGGCCACACTCTTCACATTTGTAGGGTTTCTTTCCAGTATGAATTGTCTTATGAATAGTAAGGTGCGAGGACTGGTTAAAAAACTTCGCCACATTCTTCACATTTGTAGGGTTTCTCTCCAATATGAATTATCTTATGTTTAGTAAGGCCTGAGGACCAGTTAAAGGCTTTGCCACATTCTTTACATTTGTAGGAATTGTCTTTAGTGTAAATTCTTTTATGTTGAATTAGGTGTGAAAGCATGCAAAATGTTTGACACACATTTGAAAGATTCCTTTCTAGTATGTCTTATCTTATGTCTATTTGAATTTGAAAATTTATAAAAAAACTTTCACACATTTATCACATTTAAATATTTTGCTCTCATTAGTTGTCAAACACTGGTTAAGTCCATTATGACCTTTTTTGTGCACCTTACACTCATCCACACTTTTATAACTTTTCTTAACTGTAAATTCTAATGTTCACATTTTCCATATCTTCTCAGTATAACTTTTTGGAAAAAAAACTTCCGTGTCCTACTCTGGCCAAAGGTCTTGGGCAAAAGAAAAACATAAAACTGGGGGTTTGGCTACCATTTCATGTCTCTTCATATTCCAGGGCTTTTTTTCTTTTTTTTTTTCCTCCAGACAGGTGATCAGGTCTGGCTTAGAGACAGCAATATACTCAGGAAGACCAGGTTTCTGTAGTTCCCTAACATCACATTCCTATATAAATTCTGCTGTGCAGTGTCCAGGCATTGCCATTCCTCCAGAGATAATTCTATGGCCACCTCCCTAAATGTCAATGATCTCATTTCTAGGCTTCCAGGGGGTCCTGGCATCTTAGCAGTGGATCTCCCAATACCTGCAGGTCACAGGGCCACAGAGGCTGGGCCTCTAGAAGCAGAAGAAACAGAGAAGTAAACACAAGACTGGGAGCTCTGGCTGCAGTGAGAGACAAAGGCCTGTGTTTGTCTTTTGACAGTTTGATTATAATATGTCTCAATGTGGCTATCTTTGAGTTCATCATACTTGGAGTTTGTTGAGCTTCTTGGATGTTTATATTCATGTCTTTTATCAAACTTGAAAAGTTTTCAGCCATTATTTCTTCCAATATTCTCTCTGCCCCTTTCTCTCTTCTGCTGGAACTCCTACAATGTATATATTGGTCTGCTTGATATTGTCCCATGGGACTCCTAGGCTGTGCTTACTTTTCTTCAATCTTTTTCCTTTCTGTTCCTCAGACTTGCTAATTTCCATTGTCCTATCTTTGAGTTTGCTGATTTTCTTCTGCTTGCTCAAATCTGCCTTTGAATCCCTCTAGTAAATTTCTTATTTCAATTATTGAACTTTTCAGCTTCAGAATTTCTTTTTCCTTTCTAGGTTTTCTCTTAATATTCCTATTTTGTTTCTACATAGTTTTCTTAACTTTCTCCATGTCTTCCTTTAGTTCTTTGAGCATCTTTTGCTAGTTCTTTTTTAATTAAATTTTTATTTTTAATTTTTGTGGGAACACATTAGGTGTATTTATGGGATACATGAGACATTTTGATACAGGCATGCAATGCATAATAATCACATCTGGATAAACAGGGTATCCCCCACCTCAAGCATTTATCCTTTTGAGACAAGAAGTCTTCTTCCAATCTAAGGTTTTTCTAGATTGAATGGTTCGTGGTCTCAAGGGCTTCAAGGAATGAAGCCATGGACTGCAGCAGTGAGTGTTACAACTTGATTAGAGAAACGCACGGACCCCAAGAGTGTGCAGCAGCAAGATTTATTAAAGTGAAAGTGAAAGTAAAGCAAAAGTAAAGCTTCCACACGGTGGAAGGGGACACGGAAGAGTTGCCGTTTTTCGCTTGGGTATCTTATGCTTATATCCCCTTATAACCCCTCCTCTTTTCCTTTTTCTGTCCTATAGAATTAGCTTATTTTTCAATCTGCTTGCGGGTTGGCAGGCCTGATTGGTTAAAAACATCAGGCTGCAGCTAGAGCTTAAACTCCCTATGTGACTGGTTGAAGTTCAATCCCTTAGCTTGCAGCTGTGACTCATTTTGGCTTAGGGGAAAGTCCCCTTAGGGACGTCCCTATTGACCCAGGAAGTCCAGACAATTTAGCCCCTCAGTCCCTCACTTTGTGATATGAACAATCCAATTATACACTTTTAGTTATTTTTAAATGTACAATTAAATTACTTTTTACTACAGTCACCCTGTTGTGCTAGCAAATACTGTCTTGTTCATTCTATTTTTTTGTACCCATTAGCCATCCCCAATTTCCCCTCCCTTACCCTCATGCCCCCACCCCCACCCCACTACCCTTCCTAGCCTCTGGTAACTATCATTCTGCTATCTCCATGAGTTCAATTGTTTTAATGTTTAGCTCCCATGGGTGAGAACATGCAAAGTTTGGCTTATTTCACTTAACATAATGACCTCCAGTTTCACCCATGTTGCTGCAAATGACAGGATCTCATTCTTTTATATGGCTGAATGTACTCCATTGTGTAGGTTGCTTCCAAATCTTGGCTATTGTGAATAGTGCTACAATAAATGTGAGCGTACAGATATCACTTGATATACTAATTTCCTTTCTTTTGGGGATATACTTAAGAGTGAGATGGCTGGATCGTGTGGTCTTTGAGCATCTTTAAGACAATTATTTTAAAGTTTTTGTCTAGTAAATCTGCCAACAGGTCTTTTTCAGGGACAGTTTCTGTTTGTTTGCTTTTTTCCATAGAATGGGCCACAATTTCCTGTTTCTATCTCTTGTGATTTTTGTTGAAAACTGTACATTTTAATCTAATAATCTGGTAAGTCTAAAAGTCAGATACTCTCTCTCCAGGGTTTGCTGTTTTGTGTTTTTATTTTTTTTGTAAGCTATCCCTGTGCTGAGGATCAGTCTGAGGTATAAAATTAGGGTGTTTTCAGAGCTTGCACCTTCCCCTGCACATGTACTGTAACTTTCTAATTTCTCTTGTATATGAGGTTACTTTTGAATGTCATAGTCTTCAGTGTCTGGCTCCCAAAGGGGGGAAAAGAGAAAAATGAAGAGCACAGGAAAAACAAAAAGGCACCAGCCTTTTAAATAACCAGGAAGTCACTTCAGCCAGAGGGTAGGGGGAGCTTGCAACAATGGAGGGAGGTGAAACCACAATGTCCACCTCTGAACCTCTGTAATCAGAAGCAGCAATTAGCAATCAAAGCACAGATCTCCACTATTTGGAGGACAGAGTCTTTTTTTATCCACCCTGGCTCCCACAACCTGCATGCAAGCTGCTCCAGGAACATGTGCACACCCACCTGCCACAAGGATAGGGGATGGGGGATGGGTAGCTGCTACTGTGCTAAGAACTAAAATTGACCAAAATGAACCACAATTTAATATCCAAGCTTTTCCCTGGACGTTGCAAGCCTTCAATAGACCCAGAGTTCCAAAACAGTTACATCAGAGAGGTTCTACTACTATAATTTTTACCTAAGTGGGAAGACAGATTTCTGGTGCTTCCTTCTCCATTATCTTCCCAGAATCCTCAAATTTTGTTTTAAATGTTTGACAAGGCTTCAGGTATTACTTTATAATTTATATTTAATAAAATTTTAACTCAAGAGAATGAATCCTGCTAGCTTCAGTCTTTAAACCTCTAATCAGTCACATCTACACATAGGCATCATCACCTATCAATCTAGACATAGGCCAAATGATGTTTGCTAGGAGCGGGTTAAAGATGCAGCTGCTAAGAGCAGGTAGAAGATGCAGGTAATGCCTGTGTTAAGGGGTATAGATACAATGACCATGCTTTCTGGATCCAAAATTCAGATATGGTGCCTAAAAAAGATTTGAGAATGATTATATGAAAAATATTATAAATATATAAAAATTAAATTGGATTGTATTATGAATTTAATGCACTGCCTTTTTTCTGTTATGGTTTTAGTTTGCTTAATTTTTTTTTCCATAATTATTGGGGTACAGGTGGTATTTGGTTACATGAGTAAGTTCTTTAGTGGTGATTTGTGAGATTTTGGCACACCCATCTCCCGAACAGTATACACTGCACCATATTTTTAGTCTTTTATTCCTCGGCCCTCCTCCTCTTCTTCCCCACAAGTCCCCGAAGTCCATTGAATTATTCTTATGCCTTTGTGTCCTCATAGCTTAGCTCCCACATATCAGTGAGAACATATGATGTTTGGGTTTCCATTCCTGAGTTACTTCACTTAGAATAATAGTCTCCAGTCTCATCCAGGTCACTGCACATGCTGATAATTCATTCCTTTTTATGGCTGAGTAGTATTCCATCATATATATATATAACAGTTTCTTTATCCACTCGTTGATTGATGGGCATTTGGCTTGGTTCCACAATTTTGCAATTGTGAATTGTGCTCCTATAAACATATGTGTGCAAGTGTCTTTTTTGAATAATGACTTCTTTTCCTCTGGGTAGATACCCAGTAGTGGGATTGCTGGATCAAATGGAAGTTCTACTTTTAGTTCTTTAAGAAATATCCACACTGTTTTCCATAGTGGCTGTATACTTTACTTTACATTCCCACCAGCAGTGTAGAAGTGTTCCCTGATCACCGCATCCACGCCAACATCTACTGTTATTTGACTTTTTTATTATGGCCATTCTTGCAGGAGTATGGTGGTACTGCATTGTGGTTTTGATTTGCATTTCCCTGATCATTAATGATGTTGAGCGTTTTTTCATATGTTTGTTGGCAATTTGTATATCTTCTTTTGAGAATTTTCTATTCATGTCCTTAGCCCACTTTTTGATGGGATTGTTTTCTTCTTACTGATTTGTTTGTGTTCATTGTAGATTCTGGATATTAGTCCTTTGTCAGATGTATAGACTGTGAATATTTTCTCCCACTCTGTAGGTTGTGTTTAGTCTGCTGACTGTTCCTTTTGCCATGCAAAAGCTCTTTAGTTTAATTAGGTCCCAGCTATTTATCTTTGTTTTTGTCGTATTTGTTTTTGGGTTCTTGGTCGTGAAATCCTTGCCTAAGCCAATGTCTAGAATTTTTCCAATGTTATCTTCTAGAATTTTAATAGTTTCAGGTCTTAGGTTTAAGTCCTTCATCCATCTTGAGTTGATTTTGGTATAAGGTGAGAGATGAGGATCCAGCTTCATTCTCCTACATGTGGCTATCCAATTCTGCCAGCACCATTTGTTGAAAAGGGTGTCCTTTCCCCACTTAATGTTGTTTGCTTTGTCAAAGATCAGTTGGCTGTAAGTATTTGGGTTTATTTCTAGGTTCTCTATTCTATTCTATTGGTCTATGTGCCTATTTATACCAGTACCAGTACCATGCTGTTTTGGTGACTATGGCCTTATAATATAGTTTGAAATCAGGTAGTGTGATGCCTCCAGATTTGTTCTTTTTGCTTAGTCTTGCTTTGGCTATGCAGGCTCTTTTTTGGTTCCATATGAATTTTAGAATTGCTTTTCCTAATTCTGTGAAGAATGATGGTGGTATTTTGATGGGGATTGCATTGAATTTGTAGATTGCTTTTGGCAGTACGGTCATGTTCACAATATTGATTCTACCCATTCGTGAGCATGGGATGTTTCCATTTGTTTGTATCATCTATGATTTCTTTCAGCAGTGTTTTGTAGTTTCCCTGTAGAGCTATTTTGACTCCTTGGTTAGATATATTCCTTTTTTTTTTTTTTTTTCCCCAGCTATTGTAAAAGGGGCTGAGTTCTTTACTTCATCCTCTGCTTGGTTGCTGTTGGTATATAGAAGAGCTACTGATTTGTGTACATTAATCTTGTATCCAGAAACTTTGCTGAATTCTTTTATCTGTTCTAAGAGCTTTCTGGAGGAGTCTTTGGAGTTTTCAAGGTAAACAATCATATCACCAGCAAACAGTGACAGTTTGACTTTCCCTTTACCAATTTGGATGCCCTTTATTTCTTTCTCTTGTCTGATTGCTCTGGCTTGGACTTCCAGTACTATGTTGAAGAGGAGTGGTGAGAGTGGGCATCCTTGTCTTGTTCCAGTTCTCAGAGGGAATGCTTTCAACTTTTCCCCACTCAGTATTATGTTGGCTGTGGGTCTATCATAGATGGCTTTTATTACAAGGGACATACCTGTCCCTTGTCTGCCCATTTTGCTGAGAGTTTTAATCATAAAGCAATGCTGGATTTTGTTGAATGCTTTTTCTGCATCTATTGAGATGATCACATGATTTTTGTTTTTAATTGTTTGTGTGGTGTATCACATTTATTGAACTGTGTATGTTAAACCATCCCTGCATCCTTGGTATGAAGCCCACTTAATCATGGTGGATTATCTTTTTGATATGTTGTTGAATTCAGTTAGCTAGTATTTTGTTAATGATTTTAGCATCTATGTTCTTCAAGGATATTGGTCTGTAGTTTTCTTTTATGGTTATGTCCTGCCCTGATTTTGGTATTAGGGTGATGCTGGCTTCATAGAATGAATTAGGAAGGGTTTCTTCTTTCTCTATCTTGTGGAATAGTGTCAAAACGATTGGTATCAATTCTTCTTTGAATGTCTGGTAGAATTCTGCTGTGAATCCATCTGGTCCGGGACTTTTTTTGTTGGTAATTTTTTAATTACCATTTCAATCTCGCTGCTTGTTATTAGTCTGTTCAGGGTATCTAATTCTTCCTGGTTTAAGCTAGGAGGATTGTGTTTTTCCAAGAATTTATCCATCTCTTCTAGGTTTTCCAGTTTATGTGCATAAAGGTGTTCACAGTAGCTTTGAATGATCCTTTGTATTTCAGTGGTGTCAGTTGTAATATCTCCTGTTTTGTTTATTAGTGAAATTATTTGGATTTTCTTTCTTATTTTCTCAGTTAATCTTGCTAATAGTCCATCAATTTTACTTATCTTATCAAAGAACCAGCTTTTTGTTTCATTTATCTTTTGTATTTTTGTTGTTGTTATTGCTGTTTCAATTTCCTTTAGTTCTGCTCTGATCTTGGTTACTTCTTTCTTCTACTGGGTTTGGGTTTGGTTTGTTCTTGTTTCTCTAGTTCCTTGAGGTGTGACCTTAGAATGTCAGTTTGTGCTCTTTTAGTCTTTTTGATATCAGCATTTAGGGCTATGAACCTTCCTCCTAGCACCACCTTTGCTTTATCCCAGGGGTTTGGTAGGTTGTGTCATTATTATCATTCAGTTCAAAGAATTTTTTAATTTCCATCTTGATTTCGTTCTTGACCCAATACTCATTCAGGAGCAAGTTATTTAATTTCCATGTATTTGCATGGTTTTGATGGTTCCTTTTGGAGTTGATTTCCAGTTTTATTCCACTGTGGTCAGAGAGAGTGCTTGATATAATTTTGATTTTCTTAAATTTATTGAGGCTCATTTTATGGCCTATCCTAAGGTCTACCTTGGAGAAAGTTCCATGCACTGTTGAATAGAACGTGTATTCTGTGGTTGTTGCATGAAATGTTCTGTATATATCGGTTAAGTCCATTTGTTCCAAGTTATAGTTTAAATCCCTTGTTTCTTTGTTGACTTTCTGTCTTGATGACCTGTCTAATGCTGTCAGTGGAGTACTGAAGTCCCCCACTCTTGTTGTGTTGCTGTCTCTCATTTCTTAGGTCTATTAGTAATTGTTTTATAAATTTGGAAGCTCCAGTGTTAGATGCATATATGTTTAGGACAGTAATATTTTCCTGTTGGACATGGCCTTTTACCATTATGTAATGTCCCTCTTTGTCTCTTTTAACTGCTGTTGTTTTAAAGTTTGTTTTGTCTGATGTAAGAATAGCCACCCCTGCTCACTTTTGGTGTCCGTTTGCATCAAATGCTTTATTCCACCCCTTTAGTTTAAGTTTATGTGAGTTCTTATGTGTTAGGTGAGTCTCCTGAAGGCAGCAGATAGTTGGTTGGTGAGTTTTTATCCATTCTGTGGTTCTATTTCTTTTAGGTGGAGCATTTAGGCCATTTACATTCAATGTTATAATTGAAATGTGAGGTATCATTGCATTCATCATGCTCTTTGTTGCCTCTGTATTTTGGTTTTTTACTTTTGCTTTTTAATTTGTATTTTCGTTTTACAGATCCTGTGTGATTTATGCTTTAAAGAGGTTCTGTTTTGATGTGTTGCATTTCCAGGATTTGTTTCAAGATTTAGAGCTCCTTTTAAGCAGTTCTTGTGGTGGTGGCTTGGTAGTGGTGAATTCTCCCAGCACTTATTTGTCTGAAAAAAGACTGTATCTTTCCTTCATATATGATGCTTTGTTTCACTGGATACAAAATCCTTGGCTGATAATTGTTTTGTTTGAGGAGGCTGAAGATAGGGCCCCAATCCCTTCTGGCTTGTAGGGTTTCTGCTGAGAAATCTGTTGTTAATCTGATAGGTTTTCCTTTATAGGTTACCTGGTGCTTCTGTCTCACAGCTCTTAAGATTCTTTCCTTCATCTTAACTTTGGATAACCTAGTGACAATGTACTTAAACAATGATCTTTTTGTGATGAATTTCCCAGGTGTTCTTTGTGCTTCTTGTATTTGAATGTCTAGGTCTCTCGCAAGGCCAGAGAAGTTTTCCTTGATTATTTCCCCCATATATGTCTTCCAAGCTTTTAGAATTCTCTTCTTCCTCAGGAACACTGATTATTCTTAGTTTTGGTCACTTAACATAATCCTAGACTTCTTGGAAGCTTTGTTCATATTTTCTTATTCTTTTTTCTTTGTCTTTTTTGGATTGGGTTAATTTGAAGACCTTGTCTTCAAGCTCTGAATTTCTTTCTTCTACTTGTTCAATTCTATTGCTGAGATTTTCCAGAGCATTTTGCATTTCTAAAAGTGTGTCCAAAGTTTCCTGAATTTTTTATTCTTTTTTCTTTAAGCTCTCCATTTCCTTGAATATTTCTCCCTTCACTTCTTATATCATTTTTTGGATTTCCTTGCACTGGGCTTTGCCTTTCTCTGGTGCCTCCCTGATTAGCTTAATAACTAACCTCCTGAATTCTTTTTCAGGTAAATCAGGGATTTCTTCTTGGTTTGAATCCATTGCTGGTGAACTAGTGTGATTTTTTTGTGGGTGTTAAAGAGCTTTTGTTTTGTCATATTACCAGGGTTAGTTTTCTGGTTCCTTCTCATTTGGGTAGTCTCTGTCAAAGGGAAGGTCTAGGGCTGAAGGCCATTGTTCAGGTTCCTTTGTCCCACAGGGTGTTCCCTTGATGTATACCCTCCCCCTTTTCCGATGGATGTGGCTTCCTGTAAGCCAAACTGCTGTGATTGTTGTCTCTCTTCTGGGTCTAGCCACCCAGTGAGTCTACCCAGCTCCATGCTGGTACTGGGGGTTGCCTGCACAGAATCCTGTGATGTGAACCGTCTATGGGTCTCTCGGCTGTGGATACCAGCACCTGTTCCAGTGGAGGTGGCAGGGGGGGTGCAATGGACTCCATGAGGGTTCTTAGCTTTGGTGGTTGAAGGCTCTATTTTTGTGCTGGCTGGCCTCCTGCCAGGAGGTAGCGCTTTCCAGAGAGCATCAGTTGTGGTAGTATGGAGAAGAACTTGTGGTGAGTGGGGCCCTAGAACTCCCAAGATTGTATGCCCTTTTTGTTCAGATACCAGGGTGGGTAGGGAAGGAACATCAGGTCGGGGCAGGGATAGACATGTCTGAGCTCAGACTCTCCTTGGGCAGGTCTTGCTGTGACTGTTGTGGGAGATGAGGGTGAGATTCCCAGGTCACTGGAGTTGTGTCCCTAGGAGGATTATGACTGCCTCTGGGGAGTCATGCAGGTTGTCAGGGAAGTAGGGGAAAGCCGGCAGTCACAGGCCTCACCCAGCTCCCACACAAGCCGAAGGGCCAGTCTCACTCCCACCATGCCCCCCACCACAGCCCCAAGTCTGCTTCCAGGTGGTGGGTGAGACAGGCTTGAAAACTTGCCCCAGGCTACCCACCTCCCAGCTGTGAAAGAAAAGAGCTTGGTTCTTCCCCTCTGTGGATTCTGCACATGGGATTTGTGCCCTCTCCCAAGTTCTGGCCGGGAGGCTTCTTGCCCCATTGAAATAGTTACAAAGTTCAGCTAGAGATGTCCTTCTCCCTGTGGAGTTTTACCCGCTGCTCTTCTGGCTGCCCTTGCAATGGATCTCTGTGGTGACAGGCAGGAATGGGCTGCTTGGGGACCCAGCGAGCTCCCTGGGCCTTCCTGCTGCTTGCTCTACCCCTGTATTTCGCTCGGCTCTCTAAATTAACTCAGCTCCAGGTAAGGTCGGAAACTTCTCCCACAAACAGACCTTCAGTTTCTCCAGTGGGGGGGTGTGTGTGGGAGAGGAGGGTCTCCCTTTCCCACTTCTGCAGTTGGGCACTCACAGTATTTGGGGTGTCTCCTGGGCACTGTAGGAGCAGTCGCTTCCTTCAGAGGGTCTGTGGGTCCTCTCAGTATTGCTGGTTTGTTCTTGCAGTCGATCTGGAGCTAAAATTCGAGCACTGCCTTTATTAAAAAGAAAAAGATCTAACCAGGACTGTCCCCAGAAAATTAGGCCATATGGGTCCCACATATATGATAAAAGAAGAATAGGGAGAGGATAGCATTGACCACTGAATGAATTATTTCCAATTTTCATCATAACAACAGCTCAATAAGTATCCTACAATGAGATCAGTACACATTTCTTTACATTTAATGTAAATACCAACAGTGGTCACCTATCAACATCATGGAAGAGCACACTTCACAGGTTTCATAATCAAATTTTAAAATAATCACATGTAATAAAAACAAATGACTAAAATACAAAAATGTAATGTATTTATTTACTAAATGGTTAGCTATAAAGATACAATTTCTGCCTTGGAGTTTAAAGCAGTTTCATTTTTTGCCATAGTTACTTTTTCTGATAATATGCTAGAATCACAGTCTTCTCTGTTTTATCTGGATTGTAGGGATTGTTTACATTTTATATGTTTGTTCACTTGAGAACCAAATTTTTTTTTCTTCATGATGATGGAAGCTCTGTAATATAAAAATGTCATTGTGCTCATATATTTGAATAATACCGATCACGGTTTTCAAAGTCTCTGTGAGCATATCTTGCATAAGTCTTGTTATGTGGGATCCTTCCAAAAGGTTCATGGTCATTGAAACAAGATTCAAAAACTTCATCAACAGCCTTTTTAGCTACTTCTTTGCTGATATTCCTAACAGCCAGGATAGAAAGAGTGGCTCTGTCTCGCACACAAGTCTAAAAAGAAGGAAAAGTATGAGGCTCTAATTTTATATAAACATTTAATCACGAAATAATACATTTTATCTAATGTCTGAATTAATTAAAATTAATTTCCTCATATTATTTTACTAATTTCTGTCATTCCAAAGAAGAAAACAAAATGAACAAAGATCCATAACACTTAAGGAGTATTTTTAGCTCAACCTAAAATTATTTAGGCATAAGTAAGACCTTCTCCATTTTCTCATCTTTCCCACTGATATAAGCAGATGTCATTCTCAGAAATTCTTGGCAGTGTCTGCCAAACAATATCTCCCAATTTGCAAACTCGCCAAAAAAAAAAAAAAAGTCTATAAAGTCCTGATTGACTTTTTGATAAAATTTAATTAAATTTAAAATATACTTCACTTCTGTACCTCTCTTTCTTTTCAGTTGACCAATGCTAGATAACTTTTCCTTTGAGAAGGGTAAGTCCTCTCTGGAGGCAACAGGAAACCATACACATATCCACCCGAACTTGGAATGTACCTTAATTTTTTAGGGGGTGTGGAAATTAAACAACTTTTTTTTCCTGATTGTTCTTTACACAGATATTAAAGTTCTAAGATAATAATTTACCTAACATTTCATAGTAATAGGCTAGAATTTCTCAATACTCTAATTTAAATATTTAAGAAATATAAGGCCCTGCCATTCCAATTCTTGGAGAGCTTTTAATCCATTTATTTCTCCCCAGGACCAATCTAAAACTCAAAAGAATGGCATTTGACCTTTTCCTAAAAATAATCAAACACTGGTTTGGATGGCTGTGCATCCTGACAGCCATCCGTTTTCTCCACATGTTCCCAGTTTTTCATTGGCCTGGTCAGTGTGCTCAAGCTGGAGATATTCACTAACATTGGAATATAGTGTTTCTCAACCTGAATTTTACTAAACGCTGATTTTAAAAAATAAACCCCAGGCATAAAGGAACAAGAAAAGGAAGAACCATGTGAAGCCAAAACAACAGTTGCTAAAAAGAGAGGAAATTTCTCCCCTCCAGGGAAAAAAGGTACAAAAATTTGTCTCCTGAAGCCACAGGGTTGGGAGACACAAGTGTAGACCACAGATTTACTTCTTTTCAGACATAATAAATTTCTGTTAAAATAAAGATATGACTATGCAATTTTACAATCAGTAACTGTACTTGCTGTTTCTATTTCCTGGGTACATGCTGTACAAAAGCAGGGACTCCATTCTCTAAGACTCTTCTCCCTCAGCCAGATTCCTACTACCTCCACTTATTTTCTGTCCTATTGCTGTTTCTATTTGTTTTCTGCTGCTGCTACCCAATGGTAAAAAGAGGAAAACTTCCTCTTTCAAAGATTGTGTGCATCACAAACCTATCACAAAGATAGAAGGTGAATTAAAAAAAAAAAAAACATGCTCTATTTCTTTAGTATATCAACTGATTTTTTTTTAATTGGAAAAGAATATAAAATTAGCATATTTTTCTAAAAACAGAGTATATGTAATAGTTTTTTTTTTTAAGGAATTTTTCAAACTCTATTGACAAGAGCAGATATCCATAAGCTATGCCAGCACATGCTTTAACCACATTATTCTCTTCTCTAGGGGCGTGCTGATGTGTACCCTGCTTCCACCCTCTCCACTGACAGCCAGAACACACAGAATTCACCAGAGAAGCAGGGACTCAAGGGCACAGAAAACATGCAGCACAAGACAAGTCACTGGCATATCACTAAGCTGACCTGGCAGAGGCTGAACACCTCACTGTCTAGAGTAATCACCCTTTCCAGGCAGAAGGCTTTTCTTCTCCCTCCCATTCACTAAGTTCACAATTTCTGAGTAGCTCACTGTGACTTTCCACCCCCCACTCCAGAGTTGAGTTACTCTCTTCTCCAGAAAACCAAGGGCCTTCCTGTTGTCCTAAGCCTATCTTTTTTCATCTAGTTGGAACTGATATCGTGATGCTCATATACTTCACAAACTGACTCAGCAGGCTCTTACTGTAGAAAATGACTGACCAGCCTTTCTCCTAAATGTGGACACAGGCCCAGGCAGAACTGCTCACATTCATTATCAATCCATGAGTCCTATACTTTCTTTCCCCACGTCCACCTAATACAGATCTCAAAGCCTTTCTACCAGGATAATCTTGCCTTATAGCTCTCTTTTGTTTTTTGTTTTTGTTTTGTTCACACAAATCCCTCTCAGCTAAGCTCATCATACTCAAGTCTGTGCTAAGCCAAAGGTTTTCTATCACATTATATAGCCTTTACAGGTACACTGACACATAGCCATAACTTGTGCAGCAACACACTCTCTGTTCTGAAAGGGATTACATCTTTTGTCTCCAGAATGCTATGGTAGATTCAAAATAGAAGTCAAGAATTGTTAGAATAACAGTAAGACATGCTGTGATTTCACTTCCATTCCTTATCCACCCCCATCGAAAAGTATCCCAGATGCAAGATCTTAGCTCCTTTTTTTTTTTTTTTTTTTTTGAGATGGAGTCTCACTCTGTGGCCCAGACTGGAGTGCAGTGGCATGATCTCGGCTCACTGCAACCTCCATCTCCCAGATTCAAGTGATTCTCCTGCCTCAGCCTCCATAGTAGTTGGGACTACAGGTGTGCTCCACTACGCCCAGCTAATTTTTTTGTATTTTTAGTAGACACGGGGTTTCACCATGTTGGCCACGCTGGTCTCGATCTCCTGACCTCGTGATCCGCCCGCCTCGGCCTCCCAAACTGCTGGGAGGCATAAGCCACCGCACCAGGCCTCTTTTCATTATTAGACTATCTCACACACTCATTGAGTCACATAGCTTGCCCATAATTACAAAGTAGAACTAAATTCCATCTACTTTGTTTAAATGGTACATACTTTGTATTCTTTTCACATACGAAGTTCTTTCAAATTTCAAATACTGAATGTACTTTTCATTTCTTTATTCATTATTTCCACTCGTAACACTCTGGAGGGGAAGTGATTTCATATTAGTTTTTACCTGGTGGTGTTGTTTTAATCCAAAATGTAACCTGAATATTTCATTGACAAGTGAGCAGTCTCCACTAAGGTTAGCAGCTCGAACCTATCACACAGAAGACAAATAAAAAGAAATAAACGCTCATGCTCTATATATCTTTATGATATCAACCAATTTTTAAAAATTAGAAAAGAATATAAAATTAGCATCTTTGTCTGAGAAAAGAGTATTTGTGACACTTCTTCTTAAAGGACTTTTTAAACTCTATTGACAACGAGAGCAAATATCTATGAGCTATGCTAGACAATGCCAAATACACTGGAGAGATGGGGAAAAGTTCAATCGCCTACCAAAGGAAATTTTCTAAACTTTATGCGTAGCTTTACTGACAGAACTAATTTCTTTTGGAACCAAAAGTCAGAGAGCTAGACCTCAGAGTTAAACTACACACTCTACAAGATACAAATACTTGTAGAAATTGCCAAAAGTACTTCAAGAAAGCATTCTTGAAATAAACTGAGTTTCAATGTGACCTTAAAACTGAATGCATTAATATCTGAGACACTTTGAGAATATGCCCCTCCCAACCCTTGCCCGAATCTCCCTTGGAGCTTCCCTCAAACCTATATAAGTTCATGACCTTCCTCTAGGGACTTGATTGTCCTATGAAAAATGAAGCAATACAAAACACAAAGAATCAAGAACATTCCAAACTGGTCACGCTATGAGCATGACAGCCTGAAATTAGGACATATTTTCAGATTTACTATACTTCAATGAATGAAAAAGTCTTAGAACTACCCACATAGATTCTACAGGCAGCTTGACCACATTTTTGCTAATTCATTGCTAACAGAATGGCCCACTTCTTGTTCCTTCTTCAATATTATGGCCTCATTCCTCTGAGGAGCTCAAAGTACTTAACACACTTTAACTAGCTAAAAGGCATTAATTCTCACAGTACCCAAGAAAGAGACCTATTTAAAAATTCAGGTTTCAGTCTATTCTCCAAATAATTGGAATTATAATTAGATGCAGGGGGCTACATATTAATTTCAAGAGAAAGGGAAATAATCGAAGTTATATAGTATAGGCTTGAGATTTAGATTATTTTAATTAACTCTTCAATTAATGACATCCAAGTATATGCATATGCAGAATACGCTCTCTCTAGGAGCATATTCCAAGAGCAATCCAACGTGCTTAGTAATAAATATCTTTTTATGTTGTATTTTTGAAAAGAGCATGTTTTACTCTAGGGCAAGCAAGGAGCTCTATGGAAGGCAGCTGGGCAAGCTAGTTAAAAACACTAGTTGTAATCCTGCCTCTACCACTTACTAACTTTGGAATCTAAACAACTGTCTCACTTTCCACATATGTAAAACAGGGACAATAATAGTATAATATCTATCTCAGTAGGTTATTGTGAAGATTAAATAAGAATCTGTGCAAACAGAACAGTGTTTGGAACACAGCCCTCAGTAAATTTTAATTATTTTTTTATTTTTATTTTTATTATTAATGTCTCCTATGGAATACATTATAAAATATATTCCATAGGAAAAAATTAATAGCTTATTAAAGTCAGTCATCACTATTACTAGGACTTACAGGATATAGTTAAGAGAATTCTAAAAATACACTTTAAATTTCTCTAACTGTATATCAAAAATGGTATTCAATGTTAGTTATAAACCGAAATTCAAGACTAAGGTAGAACTATGACAGTAAGAAAAGGAATACATTTAAATAAATTACACTTGAATAAAATATTCAAGCATAGAGTATTCTGGAGAAAAATACAATAAAACTCACCTCTGAGCACGCCAAATGTCTGATGTTGGTGAACCAGTCGACATGGGCACGACAATGATCAAATGCATGAATAAGCTCGTGTGTGACCACTCTGTTCATATGGGCCTGATTATGGATATTATTCTGGCACAAAACTATCTAGGAGACACCAAAATAAAAGAAGTTCAGTGATTCTAAAATCTCCTTCCATAGACTCGATCTTCTCTCCCACATGACCTCACCTCTCCCCCACAAGCTCACCTGCCTGGAATATCTCTACCCACTCTTCTTCATTGGCCACACATCTACCCATGGGACAAGTCCTAGTCCTAAGTGTACATGCTCCAATTGCCTCGCCCAGTGACTAACTTCTCCCTTCTCCTCTCTCTGGACTACAGCAGTACTTAGATTAAGGACACGTATTCACACACCATCCTTACTGGGCTGATCGTACTAGTCTGTCTCGGACTCCACAGCATTATGGTTAAGAGAGTGGGCTTTGGAATGAAGCACACAGATTCAAATTCCAGCTCCACCCCTTACTAACTCAGTGACCTTAGGCAAGTTTCTTAATCTCTCTGTACCTCAATTTCCTCAACTATAAAAAGGAGATAATTAGGGTAGCTACCTCATAGAACTGTGAGAATTAAATGAGAATATATGTAAAATACTTCTTATCAAGTTTCTGAATGAGCATTGAATGAAAAAGGAATGACCACCACTGTCCTCATTTTACTAGAATGAGGGCAAATGCCAGGGAAAACTCATCAGAAAGACCTTCAGAAAGAAGTGCAAAACACAACAGCACACTGAGCAGGACCCTATAAGAATAAGAAAGACACAAGGGATCCTAATAGTAATAGCTGCCATTGATTGTGTACTACTGCCAGACACTGGGATATGTGCCAGATATTTATATACATTCATTCAACATCCATTGATTCAACTAATACTTATTGAGACCTAATAATAGATTATAATCTACTGATGGAGATAGAAACTAACCAAATATTTACCAAAATGTTTACATACATGCAATGACAGTTGTCATGAAGAAAAACCCAGGTTGTCATGAGCATATACAATGAGGTTGGGTGCAGTGGCTCATGCCTATAATCCCAGTACTTTGAGAGGCTGAGGCAGGCAGATTCCTTGAGCCCAGGAGTTCGGGACCAGCCTGGGCAACAGAGCAAAACCCCATCTCTATAAAAAAATAAAATAAAAATTAGCCAGGCATGGTGGCACATGCCTATAGTCCCAGCTACTTGGAAGGCTGAGGTAGGAGGATCACTTGAGCCCAGGAGGTTGGTGCTGCAGTGAGCCAGGAACACGCCACTGAACTCCAGCCTGGGCAAGAAAGGGAGACCCTGTGTCAAAAAAAAAAAAAAGAAAAAGAAAGAATGCCTGACCTACTCTGGAGGTGGGGGAAGGTTTCTCTGTGGAAGGAATGGTTAAACTGGTATCTAATGGAGGAATAGAAGTGAAATTTGAGGTGTGGAGGGGAAGGGAGTATTCTAGGCAGAGAGAAAAACCTATGCAAAGCGTAGAGGGAGGGTTGACGGAAGAAAATGCTTGAGAAGCTAAAAGGAGAGCCCTAGAGTTGAAGCACAGCGGTGGGGGTGGTAGGCAACAGATACGGCTGGTGAGGTCGGGGGGCCAAATCCCTGAAGACCTTGTCTTTACCCTAAGAGCAATGGGAAGCTCTCAGGATAAAGGGAATGTTGAAACAGAAGACTGCTTTTGTTTTATTTTGCTTTTATCCTTTTAACTATAGTTGGAAGAATAGGCAGGAGATGGCCAAAACTGGATGCAGAGAAATTAGCTGAAGGCTAATATTCTAGGCAAGAGAGAACAGCACTTCAGCTAGAATGGTGGTGGAAGCCAAAAGAGTTATTTAGGAGGTAAATTAGACAAAATATGTTGATAGAATACGGGGAAGGAATCAGGGGTATCAAAGATGATCCATAAATTTCTGGCTTGGCTAATAGGGTCGATGGTAGCACCATCCACTGAGATATGCAAAACTAAAAGACTGGGTTGAGTGGGGAGATGGGGGATGGTAAAAATCATGAATTTGGACTTACACATTTCAAGTCTGAAGTGTCCTTAAGACCCTTAAGTAGGTGGGGAGCAGTGGCTCTCACTTGTAATCCCAGCACTTTGGGAGGCTGAAATGGAAGGATCATTTGAGGCCAGGAGTTTAAGACCAGCCTGGGCAACATAGTGAGACCTCATCTCTACAAAAAATTTTAAAAGTTAGCTGGGTCCAGTGATGCACTCCTGTAGTCCCAACTACTCAGGAGGCTGAGATGGGAGGATTGCTTGAGCCCAGGAGTTCAAGGCTGTAGTGAGCCATGATTGCGCCACTGCACTCCAGCCTAGGCGACAGAGCAAGACCCTGTCCCAAAAAAACTTTTTTTCCTTAAAAATAAAAATAAATAAATAAATAAAAAGATGCTCAAGTAGAGGTGTTAAATGGGCACTTGGATATATGGAATGTGGAGTTCTTAAAAGTGAGCTTTGACCCCAGAAAATTGATGAGACCTCCTTGGCAGAGTAAGAAAAGAAGGGGCTCTATGACCAAGGATTGAGGGACTTTGACATTTAAATGCTAGTAGAGGAAGGTAAGCTAGCAAAGGAGCAACCAGAAGAGTGCTGTATACTAGAAACCAAAGAAAGTGTTTGGCATTAACAGCTGAAGTCAAGTGTATACAAACTATATGACCCAGTAATTCTGCTCTTGAGCATATACCTTAGAGAAACTCTTGCACATGTGCACCAGTAGCGAAGGTCAAAAATATTCATAGCAGCATTGTTCATAATAACAAAGTTGGAAACAATCAATATTAGAGTAAACTATAGTATAAACACACAACGGAATAAATACCATATAACAGGGAAACGAAATAAACCAGAGAGGTACACACAACAACAAGAAAGAATCTCACAAATGCTGAAGGTGGAAAGTAATTGGAGACTATATACTGTACAATTTCATAATACTACAAAATGCTACATAAAATTCAAAGTATAACATGTATAAAGCTCAAAAGCAGGCAACTAAATAACACACTGTTGGATTGTATATGTAGATGGTAAAGCCATTCAGAAAAGCAGGGAATGGTTACCACAAAAGTCAGGATAAGGAAGGGAAAAGGACCTGATTCAAGAGGACCACGAAGGCTTCTGAAGTCCTAGTAATGTTCTTTTTCTCTAGTCTGGGTGGTGGTTACATAGGTGTGCACTTTATTATTACTGAAAGTGTACATATAGATGTTTTACTCTTCTGTATGAATGAGATACTTCATAATAAAAATTTTCATTTAAAAAAATAGGCCAGGCACAGTGGCTCACGCCTGTAATCCTAGCAGTTTGGGAGGCCAAGATGGGTGGATCACCTGAGGTCAGGGGTTCAAGACCAGCCTGGCCAATATGGTGAAACCCTGACTCTACTAAAAATACAAAAATTAGCTGGGCATGGTGGCACATGCCTGCAATCCCAGCTACTCAGGAGGCTGAGGCAGGAGAATCACTTGAACCCAGGAGGCAGAGGTTGCAGTGAGCCCATATTGCACCACTGCATTCCAGCCTGGGTGACAGAGTAAGACTCTGTCTCAAAAATAATAATAATTTAAAAAATAATAATAAAATAAAAGGAGAGGGTGCCCAACTGTGTTCAACACTGCTGAGAATTAGGATGAAAGTTCAAGATGTGCACTCTGTTTAACCCTGGGGGGACCGAGAAGGGAGTGAACTTATCCAGAGCCATTTTGAGAGCTATAGGTATTGTGATTACCAGTTTACAAATGAGGAAACTGAGAAGAAGAAAAATAACTTGCCCAAGCCCCACAGATAATAAGCAAGGAAACTAGGATTTGAACTCAAGTCTGACTCCAAAATCTAGACTTCTCATCCTTGTTCTATATTGCCACTTCACATGATTACTGTAAAAATGCTATAAATAACCTAAATACATACAAAATTATCCAGCAGGAAACAGTTAAGTGTAGTTAAGTATGAATTATACATTCAAGTGGGAAACAGTTACTTATAACACCATCATTTACCCTGATCACATGACATTATCTACCACCTCCAAGACTCTGTCGAAACTCTCTGATGACTTAAAACTAATAATAAAATTTATTGAATGCTTACTATGGGCCAGGCACTAAGATAAGCAACTCTATAAGAGATATCTCATTTAATTCTCATAATCATTCCATAAAATAGATACAATCGTTGCCCAAATTGTACAGATTAGAAAACTCCCCTAATAAAAAATTTTCACAGGCAGTATCAATTCTCACCACGTAAAGGTAAAAACCCTTTAATTTAGCATTCAAAACCTCCCACCATAGGGCTTACATTTCCTTCCAATCCTATTTTCCCTCATTCCCCACATGTTCCTGCCCTCCAGATAAACTAGACAATATGCCATTCCCTACACATGCCATGCAGTTTCGTAGCATGCACTTTTGCTCATGCTGCCCCTGCTCTGTCCCTGCTCTGCCCCTAAGGAGGCTTTATATCCTCTAGTCGAATCTGTTGGCATCTTTCAATCGATCACATCACTGTTCCATTGTGGTAACCAAGCCCACCTAAAATGGTTTAGCTTGCCTCATTTTATAATTATCTGTGTTCATGTCTTATCTTTCCTGTAAGGCTGTAAACTCCTTAAGAGATTTTAAGAGTAAACTCCTTAGAGTAAGGATAACTAATTCACTTTTTTAGTCCTACATAAAGTCTACCAAACAGAATGCCGAGCATGTGGAAGATGCTCAAAAAATATAAAGAGAGAGGATTAAAGGGAAGGAAACAATTTGGCAATAATGCCTACCTGAGATGTTGAAGCATCAAAACCTCCACTGACATTTCCATTACAGTCTTCGCAAGAAAAGTGTCTATCTTTGTTAACAGCACTAAAAGGCAAGAAAAGGAGACAATGTCCAGAAACAGTGTGTATGTGGCAAACAGCCCTGGGCCAGGGCTCAGGAGACCCTCCACCATATAGTAAATCCCCTCTACTACTAACACATAGGAAATCTTGGGAAAGAAACAACATCTTCAGGACTGTTATCTCACCTGTAAAATAAGGAGGTTGTACACAAAATCCATTCTAGTTCAAATTCTATAGATATGATTCCATAAAACATTTGTCCCCCAGGCGCGGTGGCTCACGCCTGTAATCCCAGCACTTTGGGAGGCCGAGGCAGGTGGATCACCTGAGGTCGGGAGTTCAAGACCAGCCTGACCAACATGGAGAACCCCCCATCTCTACTAAAAATACAAAATTAGCCGGGTGGTGGTGGGCGCCTATAATCCCAGCTACTCAGGAGGCTGAGGCAGGAGAATCTCTTGAACCCGGGAGGCGGAGGTTGCGGTGAGCCGAGATCGTGCCACTGCATTCCAGCCTGGGCAAAAAAAAAGAGCAAAACTACGTCTCAAAAAAAAAAAAAAAAAAAAAAAATTTGTTCAACTGATTATGGCCATATTGCAAGTATGCTGGAGTTCCTGCCCTTGGGCCAGAATGTTAAGAAGTGGATGTCAGAAGTCACTTCCTTTAAACCCCTCAAAGTTATACAACATCTGCAAGGTTCCTACATAACAAGCTGAGATTTCTTTTCCATTAAAAACAGTGCTCAGGCTGGTGTAGCAGAAAGGCCAGGCTTGGTAATTACTTACAAGAAAATTTTGAGTACTGTCTTTATTAATCACCCAAGGTGAATGGTAAGAACTAGAAAATGAGCTGGGCTGGCGCAGTGGCTCACACCTGTAATCCCAGCACTTTGGGAGGCCGAGGTGGGTGGATCACTTGAGGACAGGAGTTCGAGACCAGTCTGGTCAACATGCTAAGACCCCATTTCTACTAAAAATACAAAAATTAGCCGGGCATGGTGGCGTGCGCCTGTAAACCCAGCTACTTGGGAGACTGAGGGAGAAGAATTGCTTGAACCTGGGAGACGGAGGTTGCACTGAGCCGAGACAGCACCAACGCACTCCCACCTGGACAACAAGAGCGAGACTCTATCCCCAAAAAAAAAAAAAAACATGAGTTAGGGCAGAAAATGTCCAAAGAGAACAAGGCCAGCCCGGAGACAATGCAGCCAATTACCTCTATTTACCCTATGGAAAAGACTTTGTGACCTCAGAGAAATCTTAAGCAGTTCTCTTAAGAAGAGAACTTGGTTTTTGTTTTCAGCAGCCAGACCTCAGAGCAGCACTTCAAAAAGAGTTACTTACCAACCTGAGTGTTTCATAGCATCAAGCAGAAGTTTGACATATGGATCTAAAAAAGATATTGATTTAATTAAGTAATTGGAAAAGTAGCACCAATTAAACTACCCAAATAGCAGTGTAAGATATTATCAAAAAGTAACTCACAGGCCAGATGCAGTGGCTCATGCCTGTAATCCCAGCACTTTAGGAGGTTGAGGCGGGTGGATCATTTGAGGCCAGGAGTTCAAGCCCAGCCTGACCAACATGGCAAACCCCGTCTCTACTAAAAATACAAAAATTAGCTGGGCATGGTGGCACACGCCTGTAGTCCCAGCTACTTGGGAAGCTGAGGCATGAGAATCACTTGAACCCAGGAGACAGACATTACAGTGAGCTGAGATCACACCACTGCACTCCAGCCTGGACGATAGAGTGACTCTGTCTCAAAAAAAAAGTAATGTTATCTTAAAATTGGTAAAAATTGACATGAGAGGCCAAGCTTAAATCAACATCAAAGCAAGTTTGTACTGAAATAAAACACTAATACAAATACCAAGATGGTACTACTAAGCATCTTAGACAATATCAACTATGCTTTTAAAGTTCATTTTTAGTTAAATGATCAAACACGTTGTATTACGGTATATACCAAAAGACTGAGGGAATCTAGGGCCACATTCTTAGAAGTGAACAACAGCACAGTACCTAGATTTGAGGAAGCCAGTAGCCACACTGTTCTGTCCTGATCAGATCATACCGGCAATACCATGTCCCATGCTGAGTACTACCACCTTCTAAATTGGACCTGCCACTGAAGCTCTTCCACAGGGGATGGTGACTAGGGTACTACAGACTATTTCCAGTAAGAAGCAAGAAAGGATTTGGGGGGTTGGAAAGGAGACAGAAGACTTAACTAGGACCACACTACTTTCAAGTATTGAAGGGGTGCCATGTGGGACTAGATTCAGTTAATATTTCTTCAAAGGGCAGAACAAGGACCAAAGTATGGAAGTTACATGTGGCAGATTTCAGCTCAGTATGAGAAAGGATTTTTCTCCAACAATTAAAGCTGGTGAAACAATAGACAGTAGATTGAAAGAGCCTCAAGGAACAGGTAACTGTATTCCAGGAGAGGTCTGTAGAGTATCTGGCCAGCAATAGCACAGAGGTTTCCCTGTAAGGGGACGGGGAGGCCTAGACGATTCCTGAGGGCCCTTCCACATCTAAGACTCTATGGGCCCGTGACTACTACAGGAAAGTACAAGGAGCCCAAATGCCTCTGATATTAACTTTTCACATAGGCATCTTGTCTGAGAATATAAATGCACAGCCAATTATATGATGTAACCCAAAAAAAGTGAAAAAGAAACTAAGGTTTAAAAAAAATGTTGAAGGCAAAAATAGGTGAGAAAAAGAAATGTGAGATGAGAAAGTCAGGTATAGGTTACTGCTTTACCAACCTGCCCCTTGCAAGAGTGTTCACAGTAGAATAATTATTGTTAACAATACGTATTATTGAGTGAATACCAGGTAGCAGGCACCATATTAAGCACATTATTATTCATGCAACTAGGAGAATTTTACAAAATTAAAACAGTTTCAAAAGTCTGTAGTCCTTGTACTTAAAAAAAAAAAAAACCATGGTTTAGTACTTCAAAAAGGACCTGCAGCAATATTTAGAATAAAATTGCTTTGGTGAAAAAAAAAAAAAAAAAAGAGACTCCCATGAGGTCTGGTTTCCACCACCACGCCCCACCCAGGGATAGCATTTTAAAGCTGCAGGTTGACACTTTAATACCACCAAAAGACCCTCCCAGCCACCCTGCCCTTGGAAGATCAAGGTCCATTGATTCCTACTGGGGCTCATGTTCAGCACCCCACCTTCCTCACATCCTATCTATTTCCACTCTTCCTCCACTGTGTGGCCCTTCCACTGTAAAAACAGCTACCATTTATTCAGCTCAGCTCCTGATATGCTGGTACTTTACATTCATAAAATCAGTACTTTTTTTTTTTTTAGACAGGGTCTCGCTCTGTTGCCCAGGCTGGAGTGCAGTGATGCAATAACAGCTCACTGCAGCCTCAGCCTCCTGGGTTCAAGCAAATCTCCTGCCTCAGCCTCCTAAATAGTTGGGACTGCAGGCATGAGCCACCACATCCAGCTAATTTTTTTTATTTTTTGTAGAGACAGGGTCTCCCTATATTACCCAGGCTGGTCTTAAACATCTGAGCTCAAGCAATCCCCCTGCCTTGGCTCCCCAAAGTGCTGAGATTACAGGCATGAGCCACCGTACCCAGCCCCATAAAATCTATTCTTCACAACAACCCTAAAAAAGGTATTTTCCCCTTCTCTTTTTTTACAATAAGGATAGTGAGGATCAGAGAAGTTAAGTCACCTTCCACACCTGAGGAAAGGGATCCGCATTTGAACCCACATCTAACTCTGCAACCCATACTCTTTCCACTCTATTCCACTTTGAAGCACCTTCAAGGCAGGGTGCTAACTCATCTTTCTACTTCCCCCACCAGAACCTGGGAGGCACTCAATACATATTTGTACAGTAAATACAATATCATCATTCTCTCCCCTTTTACCCTCAACTCCCCTTCCTCCTCCTACCTCCCTGAGTCTCTACAAGCAGGTAATCCCAAGAAGGTTGGAAAATCTTTCGGTGGTTGACTTTTGAACTGTGACTGACTAGCTATGAAATAGTAACCTTGCTTTGGGACAAGTATGTTTAAGACTAATTTTCTGAATGTATCTGAAAGTAAACTTAAGAAGTCTATGTCAATGTAAAGGAATTAAGAAATCTTCTCTAGTGCAATGTCTCTGGGACGGGAGAGAAATTTGTCAATGGGCAGTTGTGTCCCTGTTTAACCCACAGCAGTTCTTAACCTTTGTGGGGTCGTTGGCCTCTTTGAGAATATGATGAAGCTATTAACTCTCTCCCCCGACCAAAAAAAAATACACTTTGGGCCGGGCGCAGTGACTCACGCCTGTAATCCCAGCACTTTGGGAGGCCGAGGCAGGCAGATCACGAGGTCAGGAGATCAAGACCATCCTGGCTAACACGGTGAAAACCCGTCTCTACTAAAAATACAAAAAATTAGCAGGGTGTGGTGGCGAGCGCCTGTAGTCCCAGCTACTCGGGAGGCTGAGGCAGGAGAACGGCGTGAACCCAGTAGGCGGAGCTTGCAGTGAGCAAAGATCGCGCCACTGCACCCCAGCCTGGGCGACAGAGCGAGACTCCGTCTCAAAAAAAAAAAAAAAATGCACTTAGGGGCACACACACACACATACACACGATTTCACAGACCATTTCAGGGATTTCTACGCTCTGAAGCCCATTCATGCATGAACCACTTCCAAGGAACGGTAGGTTTGCAAAACTGCTTTTATATTTTTACAGCCTTGGTATGCCTTAATTACATTTTTACATTTTTACAGCCTTTGTGTGCCTTAATTAACCTGGCTGGCACTTTAAAACTTGGCCTCACCCTTACCCTGAAGTCACAGTGTGGCTGCATAACTTATGTAAGAAATCGGAGGATCTGTCACAACAGTGAGTGACAAAAAAGGGCAGACAAATTCATTCCACAAGCCAAAAACAGCGACGAAAAGGGTCTCAGCGCCACCTCTAGTGGGGAAACTGAGCCTCAGGCTCCCAACCCAGCCCCCATGATGCCCAGTCTGTCTAGACTCTGTGCTGAACCTGAAGCCCCTGGCCAGGTGTTGCCCAGGCCCTTCCTCGCCCACCCGGTCTCAGACCCATTCTGTGGAACCACAGCCTCCAGGTCATGGCTCCTACTTGTCTCCAGCGTCTTCAGGAGCCTAAGCTGGCACTTCTGGTTGCTGGTGAAGAAGCTGGAGAAGAACCCTTGCTGGGGATTCCCCTGGGCCAGACGCTCGGGGAAGACCTGGCAAGAGACGTGTTGCTGCTGCAGCTGCTCCCCTGCCGCGGGGCCCCGCCGGCGCTCGTCCGGAGCTCCCGCCATGCCTCCCGCAGACCTCGCCGCTGCTTCCTCCTGGCTCAGGCGGCCAGAGCGAGACTGGGAAAGGTAACCTCCCTCCCGCCAACGCGACCGCCCAGGCCCTCCCTCCGCAGGGAAGAAGGGCAGCCTGGCTGGGCTGAAGACGTTAGGCGGGAGGGGGCTTTGAACCTGACGGGGAGCGCGGGAGGCGGGGCGAGAGGCGAGGGGCGGGGCGAGAGGCGAGGGGCGGGGCGAGGGATGAGGGGCGGGGCGAGGGCATGGGGCGGGGCGCGGGGCCCGATGCTGTTGGGCGGAGCTGGGTCTTGCGACTTCCCTCAAAGGCTGTAACAACCCGGCTGCCGCGGATTTCGCTGCTGCCCTCCCAGTGTGGGTGACATGTCTTTATAAGCGTTGTTCTGCAGCTTCCTGCTGCCTGCTGAGCTCTAAGGGTGTCCCGCCTCCTCGCAGACACTCCTTCCTCACCTCGGGGCGAATATTGGCCACTAACTGCTCTTGTGCCGCCGAAGGTCTCGGCCATCCTCCCACTCCCTGCCTTCTTCCGGGGCAAGCCAGTTGTCATTTCTGGCCCGCCACTTTCCCGACCCCTGCCATCCCTCAGATCCACTCTGCCCAAAGATGCCTCTGGCCATATTGAAAGCAGTGTTTTTCAGAAACGTTTTAAAACTATAAAGAATGACTAGTCACATCAAAATCCTCAAAATGTAGGAACCAACTACATTTTTTCTTCCCACCTGTACCCATTCGTTTACCCTACTCTTCTGCCCCACCCCCCACCAATAACTCCCTGATAACAAAGCGCACCCTGTTTACTTCTACCTCTCAGCCTTAACTCATACTGTCATTTCCATCTTTAAGCTCCTTGCCTCAGCCCCTATGATTGGGGCCCAGGTCAAATCTGCCTACTCCACAGGGCATTCCCAGATACCTTAATCAAAATTAATGTCTCCTGATCTCCCAATGTACAAAGCACTTTGTACCTGTTAATCATTTTCATCGTAGCCTGCCAGGTTTTATCCAATTTGTGTGTTTCTCTTTTCCTACTAAATTATTCCACTCAGCTCACACATTTATTCAGCACCTACTATGATGGGCCAGGCAAGGTGTAAGAGACTGAGGAAACACATGACTAAGAAAATTGCTAAAGATGAAGAGCAGCATGTGGTTTATGTAAGAAACATATCTGAAAAATATAGGCTCAGCAGGCCTTTAGGGTTATGAACAGTGCTTTATGTGTCATAGATGCTCAATATCTAAATTGAGTGGGATGCTAGGATAGTCATTCATCTGGAATATTATAAAAATACAAACAACTCCTATGTACATAGACTATTAAAGCCAGAAGTCAAAAAAAAAGTAACTACTTTTTAATTAAATTCACCTTGGATACATTATTTCCAATCCTCACTACAACCCTGCAAAGTAAGTATTATCTCTAATTTGCAGATAAAGTGGGCTCAGCAAAATTCAATAATTTATCTAGGACCACACAACTAGCTTTCAATCCAGTTATTGAACTAAAACACACATATGGAAAACTAAGCCATTACAATTCAGTGTGATTAGTTTGGAATACTGAAGGCAGGCTAGATATGCCTAGAAATGGACCATAGCCTATATACATTTGAAATACTATTTGGATTTTTTTCATGCTTTCTTTTTTAATACATAGATTCAGGTGGTTTATGTGTAGGTTTATTATACAGATATATTGTGTAGTGGTGAGGTCTGGGCTTCTAGTGTACCCATCACCCAAACAGTGAACATTGTACCCAATAGTTAATTTTTCAACCCTCACCCTTCCCCTCCCACTCTCCCCACTTTTGGAGTCCCCAGTGTCTATTATTCCCCTCTGTATGTCCACGTGCACTCAGTCTTTAGCTTCCACTTATAAGTGAGAACATGGGGTGTTTGATTTTCTGCTTCTGAGTTATTTCACTTAGGATAATGGCCCCCAGCTCCATCCATGTTGCTGCAAAAGACATGATTTCATTATTTTTATGGCTGCATAGTATTCCGTGGTGTATGCATAACCACATTTTCTTTAACCATCTGTTGGTGGACACTTAGGTTAATGGTTGATTCTATGTCTTTGTCTTTTTGTCATAACAATTTCTTCTTTTTTTTTTCTTTTTCAGAGACAGGTTCTTGCTCTGTCACCCAGGCTGGAGTGCAGTGGCGTAATCATAGCTCACCACAGCCTTGAATTCTTGGGCTTAAGCAATCCTACCACCTCAGTCTCTCGAGTAGCTAGAACTACTGGCATGCACCATCATGTCTGGTTAACTTTTTAATTTTTTGTAGAGATGGAGGTTTTTTGCTATATTGCTCAGGCTGGTCTCAAACTCCTGGCATCAAGTGATCCTCCTGCCTCAGCCTCCCAAAGCTCTAGGATTACAAGCATGAGCCACCACACCCAGTCACAATTTGTTTTCCTTTGGGTAGCCAGTAGTGAGATTGCTGGGTCAAATGGTAGTTCTATTTTTAGTTCTTTGAGAAATCTCCATACTAGTTTCCACAGAGGTTGTACTAATTTACATTCCCACCAACAGTGTATAGGCAATCTCTTTTTTCTGAATTCTCATCAATATCGGGTTGTTTTTTGACTTTTTAATAATAGTCATTCTGACTGGTGCAAGATGGTATCTCACCGTGGTTTTAATCTGCATTTCTCTGATGATTAGTGATGTTGAGAAGTTTATCATGTTTATTAGCCACTTGTATGTCTTCTTTTGAGAAATGTCTATTCCTGTCTTTTGCCCACTTTTGAATAGGGTTATTTAGTTTTTTCTGGTTGAGTTCCTTGTAGATTCTGGATATTAGTCCTTTGTTGGATGCACAGTTTGTAAATATGTTCTTCCATTCTGTAGGTTATTTGATTCTTTATCTTACTATGCAGAAGCTTTTTAGCTTAATGAAACTCATTTGTCTGTTTTTGTTTTTGTTGCATTTGCTTTTGAGGACTTGCTCATAAATTATTTGCCTAGGTCAATCTCCACAAGAGTTTTTCCTAGGTTTTCTTCTAGGGTTTTTATTGTTTCAGGTCTTAAATTTAACTCTAATTCATCTTGAGTTAATTTTGGTATATGGTGAAAGAAAGGGGTGCAGTTTCATTCCTCTGCATGTCTATCCACTTTGTGTAGCACCATTTATTAAATAGAGTGTCTTTTCCCATTATATGTTTTTGTTGTCATTGTCTAAGATCAGTTGGTTGTAGGTATGTGGCTTTATTTCTGGATACTATTTGCAATACCCTTCAGCTACAGGAATAAGTAAAAACGTACAAACCAAAAGCTGCAACATTTCCTTACTAAATTAGCTAAAACTGTTTCAATACTCATTGTTGAAGAAACAGATGGAAAAAAATTCATACCACAGTATCAATGGTTGTCTAGGTATTGGAATTTTTTTGTTACATTCTCCTGAAATTTTCTAATGTTCCTCAATAAGCATGTATTACCTTTATAATCAGAAAAATAAACTTTAAAAAATCAAGTGGGCTTTGGATGCCATGTGTAACTTCATCTGTATACAGTATAAAGACATAGGTATGGAATAAAAACACATTAAGGAAGAGATAATGAACAGCAAATACAAATGAGTTTTAAAAAGAAAAAGAATTACCACAAAGAAATTAGAGCAAGGGCAAAGATTTAGCTATAAGGATTTTCATTTCTCCATTGCAGCACTAATTGAGAGCAAAAATGGCCAGGCCAGTGGCATGTAATCATAGCTATTTGGGAGGCTAAGGCAGGAGGACTGCCTGAGCCCAGAAGTTCAAGACCAGCCTGTGTGATACAGCAAGACACCTCCTCCTCAAAAAAAAGGGGCGGCAGGGGAAGACATCAATTGTTTAAATATCCAACAAGAGGTATAATGGAATATATACAACCATGTTAAGTGTCTTTTTTAAACAAAATATGTTCATTAAAAGTTTTTGGGTGTTTTGTTTTGTTTTTTTGTTTTTTTGTTTTTTGAGCCAGAGTCTTGCTCTGTCGCCCAGGCTGGAGTGCAGTGGCGCCATCCCGGCTCACTGCAACCTCTGCCTCCTGGGTTCAAGCAATTCTCCTGCCTCAGTGAGCTGGGATCGCGCCACTGCACTCCAGCCTGGGCGACAGAGCAAGACAACAGCTCAAAAAAAAAAAAAATTCAGGCTGGGCGCGGGTGGCTCATGCCTGTAATCCCAGCACTTTGGGAGACCGAGGAAGGCAGATCACTTGGGATGAGGAGTTCGAGACCAGCCTGACCAACATGGTGAAACCTCATCTCTACTAAAAATACAAAAATTAGCTGGGTGTGGTGGCGCCGCCTATAATCCCAAGCTACTCAGGAGACTGAGGCAGGAGAATTGCTTGAGCCCAGGTGGTGGAGAGGTTGCAGTAAGCCGAGATCGGGCCACTACACTGCAGCCTGGGCAACACAGTAACTTTGTCTCAAAAAAAAAAAAGTTTTTTAAGTTCCAAACTAGCATATACAGTATGATTCCATTTTGAATTTGTACTTACTATAATTCATAGAAAGGGTCTGGAAGACTCCTACAAAGTATTCACATTGGTTGTCCTTAAATGGGTAGGATTTGGAGGTTTTGTGTTTTGGGGGTTTTTTTGGCCTTCATTTTCTAAAGCAAAAATAATTGCTTTTTTAATGGGAACTAAATTATTTAAAATTGTATAAATCTATCACAGTAACAAATAAATTACATATAATTGTAAAGAGTTTACCACCTGTCAGCTGTGAAAGTTGATCATATAAATCGGGTCACTTTTGTCATACCAGTTAAAGAGTGGAGAGGCCAGAGGGAAAAAACATTCAGGTCACAAATATCACTTGAAAAATATAATTCTCTACAGGCCTGGCTGCTGAAACTGCCTGCTAACACTTAAAACCAATTTAATCTAAAGGCTACTAAGACAGTCTGCTACAATTCTAAGACTAATTTTACCCACCACCGTCACTCAGCAATCAGTTTGCCAACCCCACCAAAACATTAATAGTGCCAATAAACTCTCTTGGAGACCAATACGTAACATTTCTCCTTCTTATAAAGTCTCTAACCTCTTCACTCTTCAGACATCCCGAAGACCACCCCAGTCTACATATATGCCCCAAATTACTATTTTCTTCCCAAATAAAGCATTCTAATTTCAAAGATTCATCTCTATATTCTGACTTAACAGCTTTTAACACTTAATGCTGTTTTTTAGTTGACAAATAAAAATTATATTTATAGTATAAAACATGTTTTGAAATATATATACATTGTGGAATGGTTAAATAAAGCTAACATGTACCCTTCGGCTTTTTAAAAACTAACGTCCAATTCATCCAATTCCGTGAGAGTAAAGCCTTTGCTTAGCTTTCCAGTCCTGTTAAACGGGGGGGAAACAACAAAAGGGTCCTCAGGGCCCTGCCCAACAATACGCCACATTCTGTCTAGTAAAGCCACACAGCCAGAAAACGCCAGGTGACTGGCAGGCAGATACTTCCGGAAGAAGTCGGCCCTCCGAACCCGGAAGTGAAGCGATAAGACGCACGGTGTTCTGGGAGGAGTTACGCAGGCAGGGTTGTGGTTGCTGGCTGTTACCAGGACAACCGGAGGCGATTGACCGTTATCTGCGGTTTGGAGCCGTTAGCGGGAGAGGCAGAGATATTCAGAGGTCTTTTAGGATGCGCTAAAGGGTCGTGAGGGCTCTCTTAAAATTTTCTTCACAAGCGGTTATCCAGTCGTGCCCCGCGGCCCTGCTGCTGGCCCCGGGGATCTGAGTCGTACCCTCTTGTTTTTCTCTGAGTCAGTCTTAAGGTGAAATGAAGTGTGGCCCAGTGGCTCCTCACTGTCGCTTCTCTAGTTTTCTGCCTCCTTTTAGAAAATGTAAGTTGAGAATTTCTAATTTACATCGGGATGTGTTCTAATGCGCTTGTTTTTAAAACTGTGGAAAATTTTTAAAAGAAAATAAATCTCACCAGTCATCCAGCTACCCAGAAGTAACATTTTCATGCATTACCTATTAATTTTTTTCTCTGCATATTTTTTCATAGTTGAGATAATTTAGGGAAAACCATTTTGTGTCCTTCATATATGGATGAATACAATATAATTTTGGTATTAATATCATAGCAACAAAGAAGGCATTGAAGGCTTTAAATCTGTTTACAGTGAATTGAAAAGACAGGATGAAGTGGACACAGCATGTGAAGACAATTCTTTCAAGAAGTTTGGCTGTCAAGGAAAACAGAGAATGTGAGTAGCCAAAGCAGAATGACAGTGAAAGAAAGAAATTGGGAGCCAGACAATACAGCCCGACAGTTTACGCCTGTACGGATGTACCTCTTTCACAAAAGATTGAGTATGCTTGGGGAAAAAAAATACACACTATAATAGGAGAAAATGATGAAGAGAAACTGAGGTAAAGGTAATTGGAAAACAAAATAAAGCCAGGGGTATATTAATACCCCAAAACTTCATACCAAAAGGTCCGTGTATTTACTAGAGGGGTGCCACAAATTGGGCTCTGAGGTTCCTAGCAATTAAACCAAAGGGAAAATATAAGTTTAACATGATCCGTATGAGGGAGGAGGCCTAATGGCATATTATAGAATCCTGTTACACATTAGCTGTATGAAATTGATTGGGTAATGTAAGCTCTTTAGACCTCATTTCTCCGTCTCTTAAAGAGTGGGGAGAGGAAGCAGGAGACTGTTAGACGAGTTGATCTTTTAATATCTCTTCCACTACTGACAGTCTATGATCATATAGGCCAGAGACGGCAAACTCAGATGCCTAAATTAGGGACTAAGAAAGTTTCATAAGTGAGGAAATGGACTGAATGTGACAAAAGCAAGGAGTGATAGAGATTGGAATGTTAGAGTTGATTGAGCTGTCCCATCTAAAACTCCAGCCAATTCTTGCAAAAATAAGGACTCAGTGTTGCCTGATTTTTCAGGAGAAACAGGAAAATCATATTTTTGATAATATTATACAAAACAAAACACCTCTACTAGCTAGATACAATTTGTGGGTCACTAATTTTCAACCTCTGCTATAGGTGAAAGGACCTCAACAAGAGGGATAATTGCTTGAATTAAAGAATTAAATATGAAAAAGAGGAAGAAGTCAAAAAGAATACCAAGATTTCCCCTTGGTAATAAGAAGGAGTTAGTAACATTGATACTAAAATCAGCAGAAGGTTTGGGGAGAGAAGGTGCTTTATTGTGAGTTTCTTGAACATGGGGCAAACTTATTTATGTGTATCCATAGCACATGAATCCAATTCAGCTGCTGGATTTGAGAAATCTGTGGGATTTATCAGGGGAAAGGGCGCAGGAATGTAGGTCAGGAGTTTGGGGAAAGAAGATGAAAAAGGAGTTTAAGATGTAAGATTCATTCTTTCAATAAAGTTTTATTGATTATATATCACAATATGTATTTTCACGAGACTCTAAACTGTCTGAGGGCAGAAAGCACGGGGTTTTTTTTAACCACTTACCCAGCTCCTAGCACAATACATAGTCAGTGCTTATGTATGTTGAAAAAACAAATGAAAAAATACAAAACACTGTGCTTTACAGTATAGGAGATGCAGAGTTGAATTAGAAAATCTTAAGGGAACAAGAAACACTGGGGTCTGCTTGAGGGTGGAGGGTGGGAGCATGCAGAGGAGCAGAAAAAATAACTATTGGGTACTAGGCTTAATACGTGGGTGATGAAATAATCTTTACAACAAACCTTCATGTGTACCCCCAAACCTAAAATAAAAGTTTAAAAAGAAGAAAATCTTCTTAAAGAAGTTTATAGAGCAGGGGCCCCATCTCCTTAAAAAAAAAAAAAAAGAAAAAGGAAAAGCGACTTTATAGGCCAGAAAGTAAGACAAGTCTTAACACATAAGGAGCTAATGCAAGTTTTAAAGTAGTGCCATTAAAAAAAAAAAAGTACCATGGGATTCAGAAGGGAAAGATCTTTTTAGAAGAAGTTAAGAAGTTAAGCTCTGTCTTTCTAGATAGTGGACAGTTAGGATTAGATCACACAGGTGTTGGGAGAGGAACTGATCAGAAGCAGTTAAATAGAAGATGTAGGCTGGGTGTGGTGGCTCACACCTGTAATCCCAGCACTTTGGGAGGCTGAGGTACGTGGATCACTTGAGGTCAGGAGTTTGAGACCAGCCTGGCCAACATGACAAAACCCCGTCTCTACCAAAAATACAAAAATTAGCCGGGTGTGGTGGCGCACACCTGTAATCCCAGCTACATGGGAGGCTGAAGCAAGAGAATCACTTGAGCAGGGGAGGCAGCCACTGCCCTCCAGCCCGGGCAGCAGAGTGAGACTCTTGTCTCAAAAAAAAAAAAAAAAAAAAAAGTGTATACCCTTCTTTTGAAAGTATTTGAAACTGCCAAAAAAAAAAAAAAAAGAGTGAATAGTGAAACAGTTTGAAGCCAGAACCTTGAGAATCACCCACATATAAAGAAGGTGAAGAAGAAAAACCAACAAAGTAAACAGAGAAAAAGTCATCAGAAAGCTAAGAGAAACATCAGGAGAGTGGGTTTCATAGGAACTAAGATTCCGGGTTTCAAGAAGGAAAGTTCTGTCAATATTGTCAAATACTACAGAGACAGCAAGCCATCAAGGAGGGTCCAAGTTCATTGGATTTGATGATTAAGGAAATCACTGATGACTTTAAACAATTGGCCAATGAATATAAGAAGAGGAGGTATAAAAAGCAGTAGAATTGAAAGGCTTGTTGATTTGTTTAGGGAGGTGGGGAATGGGGTTCCTTAGGAGCAGGGGAAAAAAATAAAAGACAAGATTAAGCTGCAAAACAGGACAAATTTATGAAGCAAGATTTTGGAGAATCTAAGCAGTGATGAGATCAAGAAATGGAGGAAGAGTAACATCAAGAATAAGCATTATAATTCTAACAAATATTGTTCAATTACAAGTAACTTTTTAATGTCTATCATCATGTTTTCTTGCCCAATGGCCTGGTTTCTTTTCACCTTTAGCCCTAAAATAACTTCATAATCTAAAAAATAGTATTAGAACTTCAACTTAGTAATATTTCCTAATGTTGCTTTTAAATCCTCTTTTTATAAACAGGTATTATCAGCAGGGCGTGGTGGCTCACACCTATAATCCCAGCACTTTGGGAGGCCAAGGCAGCCAGATCACCTAAGGTCAGGAGTTCAAGACCAGCCTAGCCAACATGGTGAAACCCTGTCTCTACTAAAAATATAAAAATTAGCTGAGTGTGGTGATGGGCGCTTGTAATCCCAGCTACTCAGGAGGCTGAGGCAGGAGAATCACTTGAACCCAGGAAGCAGAGGTTGCAGTGAGCCGAGATCGCACCTCTGCACTCCCACCTGGACAACAGAGCGAGACTCCATCTAATAAATAAATACATAAATAGGTATTATGGTGTATAATTCCTGATTTTTCGGTTGCTCCACATCCCTTTCAGGAAACCACCACTCACCAGCCTTAGCTGGTTCAAGTGAGGCTGATTCCCAACTGCCCACACTGCCCCCATTCCTACACTTGATTCAGACCTGACCAATGAGAACCATCATTGGTACTTTTGCTGGTACTATTTATTTATATATATATATTTTTTTTGAGATGGAGTTTCGCTCTTGTTGCCCAGGCTGGAGTGCAATGGCGCAATCTTGGCTCACCACAATCTCGGCTCACCACAACCTCCACCTCCCAGGTTCAAATGATTCTCCTGCCTCAGCCTCCCAAGTAGCTGAGATTACAGGCATGCACCACCACATCCAGCTAATTTTTTTTTTTAGTAAAGACAGGGTTAATCCATGTTGGTCAGGCTGGTCTCGAACTCCCAACCTCAGGTGAACCACCCACCTCAGCCTCCCAAAGTGCTGGGATTACAGGCGTGAGCCACCGCACCTGGCCTGCTGGCACTATTAAAAAAAAAAAAAAAAAAAAAAAAAAAAAAACTCTCCCTCTGATGTTATATTGCAGGTGCTAAAGAACATACAGACACAGAGCAGACAGGCCACCTTTGCAACCACATGGAGGTTTGTCTGATATTGAAGCTAAAGAAGCTAAGCTGGAAGACAGAGAGACCAAGTCCTGATGACATTGTTTGAACCCAGAGATCCAGACATGCCTGAAAACTAGTTTTACCACTGGACTTATCCGTTGAATGAGCCAATAAACTCTCTTTTATACTTAACCTTGGGTTTTACCTGGATTTTTGTCATTGACAGCTCAAAATATTCTAATATAGAAGTATACATCATTAAATCAACATTTCTTTTTTTCTCTGTCTTATTTTAAATGTAACTCTATAAGGTACTCTAAAAGTATTCTACAGTCTCACTAAGTTAATCTGCAAATTTGGTAAAATTCCAATATTAATCCCAAAAGTATTTTAAGAGCTTGTTTTTGTTGTTTGCTTGTTTGGGACTAAACAGAATTACTCCAAAATTCATTGAGAGAAAAAAAAACATGAAAAAAAAAACAAGAAAATAGAATTCATAAAAGGAAATTGTATTATATAACAAAGCATAAAACAAGAATAATAAACATAGAGTGGTAATGGAATAAATAAACAGTCATGGAACAGAATTCAAAGCCTGAATATATCTAAGAGCACTTACCAAATTTAATATGTGGTACATCAAGAAAAGATTAATCCAGTAAAGTATATAAGTACATTGAGCTAGATTTAGAGGAGAAAGATAATTAGATCGTTACCTTATTCCCAGAATAAATTTCAAATGGATTTGTGACTTAAGTGTAAAAATTGAAGCCAGATTCTCAATATACATTGATTGGCATATAATTGGCACAGTCTTTAGCAATATCAATTAAATGTTAAATATTAATAACAACACAGCCTTTCAATTCTAGAAATATATCCTACAGAAACAAAATATATGTATAAATATAGATAATGCAGTATTGGAATATCAAAAGTAGTACACATATGAAATAGGATATGGAATACCTATATCATGAATTCACGGGGTGGCAACATCGCAACAAGGAGGTGAAAATTGATTCTTGAGGGAAATTTTTTTTTCTAAAGCATAGATATGTGTGTAAAGCACATAAACAAATATACAGTATATATGTGGTATTGAAACTTCATGGGAGAGTAATAATTAAGAAAAAAATGTCTACACTGGGTGCAGTGGCTCATGCCTGTTATCCCAACACTTCGAAAGGCCAAGGTGGGTGGATCATGAGGTCAGGAGTTCAAGACCAGCCTGGCCAAGATGGTGAACCCGCAACTGTACTAAAAATACAAAAATTAGCCGGGCATGGTGGCAGGCGCTTGTAATCCCAGCTACTCAGGAGGCTGAGGCAGGAGAATCGCTTGAACCTGGGAGGTAGAGGTTGCAGTGATCCAAAATCACGCAACTGCACTCCAGCCTGGGTGACAAAGTAAGACTCCATCTCAAAAAAGAAAAAAGAAAAAAGTCTAAAAGGCTGAGAAAAACTGTGGTATACAATTCAATACCATGTTAAAAAGAATGAGGTAGACTTGTATGTTGACAAAAGAGGATGTCCCAAGATGCATTGCTTTTAAAAAACAAGTTGTAAAATAATATGCATAATATGGTTCCTTTTTTAATGATTAATATATGTTGATACAAATGAAAAAGTATTGATGGTGTTTTTCTCTGGGGTTAAAATTAATGTTTAATTCTATATTAAGTAGAGGGGTCCAGCCAGAGGAGGGTCGGAACAGGGGCCCCTTACTTGGTGTAAGTACTACAATATAATTCCCACAGTCTGAGTTTTGCAGATCAAATCCCCAAGGTGTCATTAAATAAGAGTTTTTTATTCCCTCTATTTCCTATAAATTGATGTTTAGATCTAGGAGCCTGATCAGATTCAGGTTCAAAATTGTTGGTAGTATTTCATAAGTGACTTTGTGTGCACCCATCAGGAGGCACATAAAATCTATCACTTTTTAATTGAGTTATAATTAAAATACACAGATCGTAACTGCTCAATTAGTTTTCACAATTGCGTGCAGCCATGTAGCTTCCTCCAAAAACAAGATACAGAATATTTCCTTCACTCCAGAAAGTTCTCTCATGGGTCTTTATAGTCAGTTCCTGTCCAGGCCCAGAGCCAACTATTTTCTCATTTCCGTCACCATAGATAGTGTTTTAGTTCATTTATGCCACTATCACAAAATACCCTACACTGGGTAATTTATAAATAATAGAAATTTATTTATTACAGTTCCAGAGGCTGGGAAGTCCAAGATCAAAGCACCAGCAGATTCAGTGTCTGGTAAGGGCTTGTCTCTGCTTCTAAGAGTAGTGCTTTGTTGCTGCATCCTCACCTGGTGGAAGAGGCACTGTTTTCCCACATGGCAGAAGAGACGGAAAGACCAGGCAGCTCCCTGAAGCCTCTTTTATTAGGGCACCAATCCCATTCACAAGGGCAGAGCACTCATGACTTACCCACTTAACAAATGGCCCCACCTCTTAATAACACCACAATGGAGATTAAATTTCAACATGAATTTTGGAGAGACATAGGCATTTAAACCATAGCAGGCCAGACACAGTGGCTCATGCCTGTAATTCCAGCACTCTGGGAGGCCAAAGAGAGTGGATCACTTGAGGTCAGGAGTTCAAGACCAGCCTGGCCAGCATGAGGAATCCCTGCCTTGATAAAAATACGAAAATTAGCCAGGCGTGGTGGCACACACCTGTAGTCCCAGCTACTCAGGAGGCTGAGGCACAAGTATCGCTTGAACCCAGGAGGCAGAGGTTGCAGTGAGCCAAGATTGTACCCCTGCACTCCAGCCTGGGCAACAGAGTGAGACTCTGACTCAAAAAAAAAAAAAAAAAACCATAGCAGATAGTTTTGCCTATTCTTAGACTTCCTATGAATGAAATAATACAGTATGTAGTCTTTTATGTCTAGTTTCTTTAACTCAACAAAATGTTTTTTAAATGTATCCATGTTGTTGCATATATGAATGTACTAGTTCATCCTTTTTATTGCTGAGTTATATTCCATTATGTGAATATACCATAATTTGTTTATCCATTCTCCTTTTCATAGACATTTGGGGTGTTTCCAGTTTGAACTGTTTGGGAATAATAGTTTGGGAATCAAGCTGCTATGAACTTTTTGTTTTTCTTTTTTTAGAGACAGGGTCTCGCTCTGTCGCCCAGACTAGAGTGTAGTAGCTCCATCCTGGCTCGCTGAGCCTCGACGTCCTGGGCTCAAGTGATTCTCCCACCTCAGCCTCCAGAGTAACTGGGACTACAGGTGCAAAACACCCCACCTGGCTAAATTTTTTAATTTTTTTATACAGACAGGGTCTCACTATGTTGCCCAGGCTGGAATTTTTTAGTATTTTTGTAGAGAAGGGGTCTCTCTATATTGTCCAGGCTGGTCTCAAACTTCTAGCTTCAAGTGATCCTCACACCTTGCCTTCCCAAAGCACTGGTATTATAGGTGTGAGCCACTATGCCCAGCCCTGAACATTCTTATGCACATCTTTTTGTGGGCATTTTAATTTCTTCTCAGTAAGTACTTGGAAGTGAAAATGATTAGTTAACTTTAAAAGAGACTGTCAAACAGTTCAAAGTGGTTGTATCATTTTTAATTTCCACCAGCAATGTAAGAAAGTCCTAGGTGCTCCACATTCCGTCGAAATTTAGTGTTGGTGGTCTTTTTTATTTGGGGTTGGTGTGTGTGTGTGTGTGTGTGTGTGTGTGTGTGTGGTGTATGTGCTATTAGCAGTTATTGATTATCATTACTTACGTATATTATGGTTTACAAAATGGTGATATTCTAATTCTGTCATCCATATAGTTGCTGAAATGCTTTTATAAAAAGAAGCTTCCCTCCGACATATATTTGGTTTCCCTAAAATACAGTTTATATGGGAAAGGCAGGATTCATGCTTAATTCTTTCCCTTTATTTAACAATTATCAAAATAATGAGTTGGTTCCCTCATATCCGTCAAAGATTACTAGTGAGAGTTGTGTCAGTTTTAAAGAATTTAAGACTTTAAATATAGGCCGGGCATGGTGGCTCATGCCTATAGTCCCAGCACTTTGAAAAACCAAGGCGGGCGGATTGCTTGAGCTCTGTAGTTCAAGGCCAGCCTGAACAACATAGCAAAAACCCATTTCCACAAAAAATATAAAAATTAGCCAGGCATGGTGATTCATGCCTGTAGTCCCAGATACTCTGGAGTCTGAGATGGGGGGATTGTTTGAGCCTAGGAGGTCAAGGCTGCACCACTGCTCTCAGTGGAGCAAAACCCTGTCTCAAAAAAAAAAAATTTGAAATAGAAGTTGAGCATTCCTAATCCAAAAATCCAGATTCCAAAATCTGAAACGTTTTGAGCACCAACATGATTCCACAAGTGGAAAATTCAACACCTGACCACACGTGACAGGACACAGTGGAGACTGAAAGCAGCCATGTTGGCTGTCACTGTTGTTTACCAGCTGACACAGGTGTTCTGGTGATGCTACCGTGCTGTTTAGTTACCCTGAACACATTAGTTTTTCACTGGATTAATAATGGTGGGTCATACTTCTTACTGTTAGGCACTTATGTGTGAACAAGTGTAAGAAAATATTTGCTTATCAGTAGCATATAAATTCAGAGTCAGGAATAATGGTGATGTCAAACAACCACAGATTGTCCACATCGGTGACTGAGATAGTGACACTTTTGCTTTCTGATAGTTCAGTCTACACAAATTTTGTTTCATGCACAAAATTACTTAAAATATTGTGTAAAATTACCTTCAGGCTGTGTATATAGCTGTATTTGAAACACAAATGAATTTTGTGTTTAGATTTGGGTCCGATCCCTAAGATATCTCATTATGTATATGCAAATATTCCAAAATCCAAAAAAAATCCAAAATCCAAAACACTTCTAGTCCCAAGCATTTTGGATAAGGCATACTGAGCCTGTATATTTGATGTGTTTAATCCATTTCAATTATCATTCTCATTGATGTTGAAATTGTCCCATCTTTAGCCAATGGGAATCTTCTCAAAGTAACCTCTGAGTTCTTTGACATGACTATAAAAGTTTTTGACAGCTTCCTTGCCTTCTAAATAGCAAGATGTTCTAGACTCATCTTCAACATTTCCTGCCTCAGATGTGGAATCAGCATGTCTCCAAGGAACCCTAATTCTTCTCAGTGGGAAATGGTATTTTAGAGGCCACAATCTAGAATGGATGCTTATTCCTACTGGGTCATTCATGACCAGTTCATTGTTTCTAGACCTTTGCAGTGGGTGGAGCTAGGAAATGTTGTTGTTTTAAAGATATAAAACAACATGAGTTTTATTGCTGTATCCAATTCAAAACCAGGACTATCTTCATCAACCTCACATCTGTATCTCCTTTTCCCCTGTGCCTAAAATCCCACCGTAATTACCTATTTATTTTTCCCATCATGAATAGTCTCAGAATAACAATCTTCACAGCACCACCACAATATGATCACTGAACATAGTTTGGGTTTTTTGTTGTTGTTTTGGGGGGACTTTTTTGCAATTCTTTTTCTGATTAGGGTATATTCCAATAGGGATGTATAGTCAATTAGTATGTTTTAAAGTCACTTGGAGGCCAGGTGCAGTGGCTCACACCTATAATCCCAGCACTTTGGGAGGCCAAGCTGGGCAGATCACTTGACGTCAGGAGTTCAAGACCAACCTGTTCAACATGCTGAAACCCCATCTCTGCAAAAAATACAAAACTTAGCCGGGCAGAGTGGCACATGCCTATAATCCCAGCTACTTGGGAGGCTGAAGCAAGAGAATTGCTTGAATCCAGGAGGCGGAGATTTCAGTGAGCCAAGATTGTGCCACTGTACTCCAGCCTGGGTGACAGAGCAAGACTCCATCTCAAAAAATAATAATAATAATTAAAATAATAATAATAATGTTACTTGGAAAAGTTTCTCACGTGTGATTATGCCACTAGCTCAGTACACAGGCTGATGTGCTTAATTGTGATTTCAATTTTTAGGGGTTGCATTTTTAGTTTTAATTTTGTTTTATAATTATATAAATTATTTGTGTGGTTCTAAAGTCTATAAAACAAGGTCTATTTGAGAAAAATCTAGCTTCTACTTCATTCCATAAATGCACCCCCATTTCTTATTATATAAATGGCCATTTATTTTTATTGCTTGTCCTTCCATTTTTTAAAGTATAAGCAATATTTCAGATATATGTATATATATCCATCCTCTCTTTAAATATAAATGGCACTGGGTGCGGCGGCTCACACCTGTAATCCCAACACTTTGGGAGGCCAAGGCAGGCCGATCAGGAGGTCAGGAGTTCAAGACCAGCCTGGCCAAAATAGTGAAACCCTGTCTCTACTAAAAATACAAAAAATTAGTTGGGCGTGGTAGTGCGCGCCTGTAATTCCAGCTACTCAGGAGGCTGAGGCAGGAGAATCACTTGAACCCAGGAGGCGGAGGTTGCAGTGAGCCGAGATCATGCCATTGCACTCCAGCCCGGGTGACAGTGCTAGACTCTGTCTCAAAAATAAATTAATTAATTAATTTAAAAAATGGCAGCAGACTATGCACTCAATTCACTCATTTAAATTATGCAAGTCAGTGGTTTTTAGTATATTCACAAAGCTATGCAACCATCGCAACAATTAATTTTCAAACATTTTCATTACCCAAAAAGATATTCCCACCAGCAGTGTGGTTTCCAATTTATCTGAATCCTTGACACCATTTATTACTGTCCATTTTCTTTATTATAGCCATCTTAGTGGAAATGAAGTGGGATCTCATTGTGGTTTGGTTTGCATTTCCCTAATGGTCTATAATATTGATATGGTTTGGCTCTGTGTCCCCACCCAAATCTCATCTCAAATTGTAATCCCCACATGTCAAGTGAGGGACTTGGTGGGAGGTGTTTGGATCATGGGGGTGGTTTCCCCAATGCTGTTCTCTTGATAGTGAGTGAGTTCTCACAAGAGCTGATGGTTTTAAAGTGTGGCACTTCCTCGCTCTCTCTCTCCTGCTGCCATATGAAGAAGGTACTTGCTTCTCCATTCACCTTCTACCATGATTGTAAGTTTCCTGAGGCCTCCCCAGCCATGCAAAACTGTGAGTCAATTAAACCTTTTTCTTTATAAACTACCCAGTCTCAGGTAGTTTCCTTATAGCACTGTGAAAACGGACTAGTACAAATATGGAGCATCTTTCATGTGCGTTTTGGCCATTTGTATATCTTCTCTTTGAAGAAATGTCTGTTCAGATCCTTCACCCATTTATCAATTGAGTTGTCTTTTTATTGTTGTTTTAAGAGTTATTTATATTTTTCTGGATATAAGTCTCATCAATATTTAATTTGCAAATATTTTCTCCCATTCTATTGTCTTTTCTTTTTTCCTTTTTCTTTTTTTTTTTTTTGAGACAGAGTCTCACTCTGTCGCCCAGGCTGGAGTGCAGTGGCGTGATCTCGGCTCACTGCAAGCTCTGCCTCCCAGGTTCACGCCATTCTCCTGCCTCAGCCTCCCAGGTAGCTGGGACTACAGGTGCCCACCACCACTCCCAGCTAATTTTTTTTTTGTATTTTTAGTAGAGACAGGGTTTCACCGTGTTAGCCAGGATGGTCTTGATCTCCTGACCTTGTGATCCACCCGCCTCGGCCTCCCAAAGTGCTAGGTTTACAGGCGTGAGCCACTGCGCCCGGCCCCTATTGTCTTTTCTTGATGGTGTCCTTTGAAGCACAAAAGATTGGGGTTTTAAGGTAGTTTATTTTAATTTTGATCAAGTCCAATTTATCTGCTTGTTCATTTGTCACTTCTGGTGCTGGCATCATGTCTAAGAAGGCTTTGCCTAACCCAGCATCACAAAGATCTACTCCCACATTTTATTCTAAGATTTTCATAGTACTATTTCTACATTTAAGTCTATGATCCATCATTATGAGTTAATTTTTGTCTATGGCATGAGGTAGGGATCTAACTTTATTCTTTTGTATGTGATATTCAGTTGTCCTAGCACCATTTGTTAAAAAGACTTTTCCCTTTTTTCTGTGATGTAATTGTGTTGGCACCATTATTTAAAAAAACAATTAGCCACAAATATAATAGTTTAATATAATATAAAAACAAATACAATAGTTTTTATAGAGATTGTGTTTAATCTGTAAGTCAATTTGGGGACTATTGTCATGTTTGCAACATTAAATATTCCAATCCATGAACATTAGATGTCTTTCCATTTATTTATGTCTTCATTAATTTATTTTAAGCATAATCTTTTAATTTCTTTTTTAGTTTTCAGAGTACAAGTTTTGTACTACTTTTTGTTAAATTTATTCCTAAGTGTTTCTTTTTTTGCTGCTAATGTAAATGGAATTGTTTTCTTCATGTCATTTTCAGGTTTCTCCTTCATTTTTTGTCTTGTTTTGTTTTTGTTTTGTTCTTTAATAGGTTTTATTTTTTAGAGCAGTTTTAGGTTCACAGCAAAACTGAGCAGAAAAGTAAAGAGAATTCCCATCTGCCTCCTGTCCCCACACATGCATAGCCTCCTCCACCATCAACATCCCACACCAGAGTGGTAGGTACATTTTTTTACAATTGATGAGCCTACATATCATTATCCATCATTTGCATTAGGGTTCACTCTTGGGGTTGCACGTCCTTTGAGTTTTGACAAATGTATAATAACATGTCCACCATTACAGAATAGTTTCACTGTTCTAGGCCAGGCTTGGTGGCTCATACCTGTAATCCTAGCACTTTGGAAGGCCAAGGTAGATGGATCACTTGAGGCCAAGAGTCCAACACCAGCCTGGCCAACATGGAAAAACCCAGTCTCTACTAAAAATACAAAAAAATTAGCCAGGCATGGTGGCACGCACCTGTAGTCCCAGCTACTAGGGAGGCTGAGGCATGAGAATCACTTAAACCCAGGAGGCAGAAGTTGCAGTGAGCTGAGATCACACCACTGCACTTCGGCCTGGACTATAGAGCGAGACTCTGTCTCAAAAAAAAAAAAAAACAAAGTATAGTTTCACTGTCCTAAAAATCCTCTATGCTGCCTATTCATCCCTCCCTCCCCAATAACTACTGGCAAACACTGCTCATTTCACCGTCTTCATGGTTTTTCCTTTACCAGAATGTCATATAGTTGGAATTACACAGCATATACCCTTTTCAGCTAACTTCCTCTACTTAGTAATGTGCATTTAAGTTTATGTTGTTGTTGTTAGTTGGTTGATTTGTTTTTTTGTTTGGGACAGGGCCTCACTCTGTCACCCAGGCCGAAGTGCAGTAGCGCTATCGTAGCTCACTGCTGCCTCAAACTGCTAGGCTCAAGGGATCCTCCCACCTTGGCCTCCCGAGAAGCTGGGACTATAGGCACCCACCACCATGGCTAACTTTTCATTTTTTTGTAGAGACAAGGTCTCATTATGTTGCCCAGCTGGTCTCAACGTCCTGGACTGAAGCCATCCTTTCACCTTGGCCTCCCGAAGTGCTGGGATTACTGGCATGAGCCACCATGCTTAGCCACATTTAAGTTTACTCCATGTCTTTTCTTTTTTGTGGACATGGGTCTCACTATGTTGCCCAGGCTGGTCTCAAACTCCTAGGCTCAAGCAATTCTACCACCTCAGCCTCCCAAAGTCTTGGGATTATAGGCATGAGCCACCGAACCCAGCCTACTCTGTGTCTTTTCACGCCTTGATAGCTCATTTCTTTTTAGCACTGAATACATTCCACTGTCTGGATCTACCACAGTTTAATTATTCATTCACCTACTGAAGGGCATCTTGGTTGCTTCCAAGTTTTGGCAATTATAAATAATGCTGCTATAAATATCCACGTGCAGATTTGTGTGTGGATGAAAGTTTTCAGCTCATTTGGGTAAATACCAAGGAGCACGATCGCTGGATTGTTAGTAAGACTATGTTTAGTTTTGTAAGAAACTGCCCAACTGTCTTCCAAAGTGGCTACACCATTTTGCATTCCCACCAGCAATAAATGAGAGTTTTTCTTGCTCCACATCCTCACCCATATTTGGTATTTTCAATGTTTTAGATTTTGGCCATTCTAGTAAGTGTGGCACTTCCTTGCTCTCTCTATCCTGCTGGTGTAGTGTGTAGTGATATCTCATTGTTTTAATTAGCAATTCCCTGATGACATATGATGTTGAGCATCTTTATACCTGCTTATCTGCCATCTGTATGTCTTCTTTGGTGAGGTGTCTGTTCAGGTTCAAGTGTCTGTTCAAAAAAAATTTTTAATCAAATTGTTTTCTTATTATTGAATTTTAAGAGTTCTTTGTTTACTTTGGATAACAGTCCATTTTCAGGTATGTCTTTTGCAAATATTTTCTTCCAGTATGTGGCTTGTCTTCTCATTATCTTGACCTCCTTGGGTTTTTTTAACTTAAATCTAGACCTAAAGATCATACCATAGTAGTAAATATACTTCTCACTTCTCTTTACAACTGCGATTATTTTCTTTGTTTATAGCTGAAGTTTTTCAAAAGGATTGTATATTTGTATAATTTAACAAGAAGCTATTTTGTATTTTGAAATAGATAAAATAATATGCCCATCAGATAATTACCTTCATTATGTTTTATGATGTGGCAAATATTAGTATATTTGAGATGCCAATAATTGCCTGCCTGCCCACATCTTCTAAGAGAATTTGTTTTGTGCACAGATTTTCTTTCCCTAAAGGATAATTTAGCCAGATGTAGCAGCTCAGACCTGTAATCCCAGCACTTTGACAAACGAATCGCTTTGAGCTGCTCAGGAGTTCAAGACTAGCCTGGGCAACATGGCAAAACCCCATCTCTACAAATACTATAAAAACAGCCGGGCATGGTGGTTCATGACTGTAGTCTCAAATACTCAGGAGGCTGAGGCTGAAGAATCGCTTGAGCCCAGGAAGCAGAGGTTACAGTGAGCTGAGATCATGCCACTGCACCCCAGCCTGGGCAACAGAGCGGACCCTGTCTCAAAAAAAAAAAAAAAAGATAATTTACTAGACCAAATAACCACTTATCATCACCATGACTGATCAGGCCAGGGAGTGCAACACTGCATTCAATACCATTCTCCCATTTTCCTTTTCCATCCTAATAGAAAAATTCCTTTGTTATCTTAGCCGAATGTATTATGACAGGCTGAGCACCTTCTCAGCCTAAGAGGATGAACCTTGATTAGTCTAAGTCAACCACGATGACTGTCATTTGCCTTGCTTAATCTGCCAATGAGATGTAAGGGGAAGTTTGTTGGACGCCTTCTGGAGACATTTTTCCCTGCCCTAAAAATGGAACACATAGGAACAGAAAACCAAACACCGTATGTTCTCACTCATAAGTGGGAGTTGAACATTGAGAACACATGGACACAGAGAGGGGAACAACACACACCAGGACCTGTTATGGGGTAAGGGGTGAGGGGAGGGAACTTAGAAAATGGGTCAATAGGTGCAGCAAACCACCATGGCACATGTATGCATACCTATGTAATACACTTGAACGTTCTGCACATGTATCCCATTTTTGTTTGTTTTGAGAAATTTTTTTTTTAATGGGACACAAGAGAAGGACAGTTCATTTTCAGTCTCCCAGTGTTGTCAACCCCTGTAATACCTGAAGCTATAACAGCCAACTTGGAATCATGAAAGAAACCAGCCTCAGTGGAAAAGCCAACCTGCTGAGGATGGCAGAGCAGAAAGATGGGAGACACCTGGGCCCCCAGGTAATGAGGTCACTGAAGACATGCTCTATCTCTAGATTGTTGTTATATATGATAATAAATGCTTAAATAACTTTGGATTGGGCTTTTTGTTACTTTTAGCAAGAGCATCACAACTGATCAAATCAGATACCTAGCTCAAGGGTAACCAATCCCTAGGCCTGCCATTGGACACAGAAATATGCAAGGTATCATTATTCACACTAATGCCAAAGCAGGGAGCTGAGGCCCACATATTTCTGCTTAAATCCAGAGCCACTCTCCAGCTCTAGTCTGTCTGATGCCTAATCCCAGTATGTCTCCTATTTGTCGAATGCCAGGAAAATTGGTCCCCCTTAGTACAATTATCACCCTTTGTTTGAACTAGCTTGAGTGGCTTATAACCAAATGAGTTTGATTAGAGCAATCTGGAAAAGTTAGTACCTTGGGAAATATCCTGCTTTCTTTAAAAAAGAGATGAAGCTTGTCACCTTTAGCCTGAAAGGCATTATAGATGCATTACGCTGCATTTTACTTTTTTAGCTACCCCTATAACAAACTAAAGGAACTAAAGACAGTCCATTTGACGGGCAAATATGGAATCTGGCCTAAAAACTTCACAGAAAATGTTATAGTATATTTTATATACCATGTTTTATATACTTTTCAGGAAGATATTTTAGTACATATGTGAATTATATGTATTTATTTTGTTTTTGCTGAACCTTTTGAGGCTTATTGCAGAGATTATGACCCTTCTCTCCTAAGTACATCAGCATGTATGTACTTAGGAGAATATGAGAAACCAGCCTCAGTGGAAAAGCCAACCTGCTGAGGATGGCAGAGCAGAAAGATGGGAGACACCTGGGCCCACAGGTAATGAGGTCACTGAGGACATGTCTTATCTCTAGATTATTGTTATATATGATAATAAATGCTTAAACAACTTTGGAAGTCATTTAATATACATTCTATCTTCAAATTTCCCCAGTTTTCCCAATATTATCCTTTATACAAATCTTTTTTTACAATCTAAAATCACATATTTCATGTAGTTGTCATGTCTCTTCAGTCTCTTTTAATCTGGAACAGTTTTTGGCCTTGCTTTGTCTTTCATGACAGTGACATTTTTGAAGAATACAGGCCCATTGTTTTGTCCCCATTGTTTCCCTGTGATTCAATTAAAGTTATACATTTTTGGCAGAGACACTACATAAGCAATTTATGTTCATCACATCAGGACACACCTACAGTCAGTTTGTATTATTTGGGAGGATGTTTTTGACCTTGATCACTTGATTAAAGTGGTTTCCACTAGATTTGTCCTCATTTTTTCTCCTTGTATTTAATAAATAATATGTAGGAATATACTTTGGGACTGTGTAAATATCCGCTTCTCCAATAAATTTTCTACCAACTTCCAGCATCCACTGACAATTCTTGCCTGAATAAATTATTACTACTGTAATTGTTGCAGGTGTGACTATCTAGGGCTAGTGGCGCAGGCTGTAAAGGAATTTACCAAGACAATTGTAGGTAAAGAAAGGAAGATTAAGATATGACAATTGCCTTGCAAGGATGCAACAGGCAGCACAGCAGAGAAGGAGTTCTGTGTGCAAAGCTCCTGCAAAGAGGCAAGGGCTGGAAGGAAGTTTTATAGGGCCATGCTGGAGGGAGCTACTTGCGGAACAGGTGTTTGTGCCACAAGGTCGTTGTGCCCTTGGGTTGTTTGATTAGCCATCTCTCAGAACAATTTTTCACTGTTCTTCCCCACCTGGGGCCCCTTTCGTTGCTGTTGCATACTTAACAGTACTCCACAGTAATTGCATAAATGGTGACTTTCTAACTCATCATTACTTCTACATTAGTTGACACCCTGCTCTAAAAAGCCCTCCTTCTCCCTTCCCTATCTGCATTTGCTTGCTTGCTTGCTTGTTTTTTAGTGTCAGTATGAATTCACGGATTCTATTTTATTCAGTGGGATGTAATCCATTAATGTCACCACTTATTTTGATGCTCAAATTATCCCAGGTTTAGCCAGGGAAAGCCCATCAACTGGCTTCTGTGTCATTTTGACATAATTTCATGCTTTTTTAGCACTTCTTTACTTTCTGGCCTAGCAAGTTTTTCAGGCCCATGTTGCATTTTCCCTCCTCTAGCCATGAAAACAGTCCCATCTTCAAGAAGCTCTGGTTCCTTATAGCAGAGAATGATTTTTTGAAAACAAGATTTGGAAACCAAATCTCTTCATTGAAACTTGCTCTTTCAGCAAACATAGCTAGGATGTTGTTTTGTTTTGTTTTGTTTGTTTTAAAAAGAGAGAGAGAAAAAAAAGCATGAGTCCATGCCAATCCAGCACCACCACAAGGTTCTTCCTTACCTTTCCCCATTCTGTATTGGAATCTCCCTCCTCTAAGCAAGAACTCTGGCTTCCAACAATTATTAATGTAATTATTTTCTCAGTACTATAAGATACAAAAAATAATTTCAGAACTGCTACACCTGTGCCACCACCAACAATAAAGCTGTCAAGTAGAGCTCAAAATTTCTCACAGCTCTTTTGTTTTTAAACTCAGGATATATAGTCAAGATACTTTGTCCAAATGTTACTTGAGTAAGTTGGGTTTCTTTTTCCTTCTGTGTGATTCTCCATTTTATGTACAGTTCAGTTTCTTTGTTTCTATTTGTATCCAATTTTAGGACTTCTTCCCCAAAATTGTTGATTATTTTATAAACATGTAAAGCATTAACATGATTCCAAAAGTCAAAATAATACACTGGATTGGAAATGTGTCATTCTCTCTCCGTATTACTTCCATTCTGTTCCCACTCTCCCCCTGCAAGTAACAAATTTCAGTCCTTTCTGTTTTGTCCTTCTAATATGTCTTTTTCTTAAAAGGAAGTAGATATATGTGTATTGTGTCCCCCTATTTCTTATCTATGGTAGTGGCATACTATTATTCTCTTTTGCTCTTTGCTTTTTTCACTTGCAGCAAAGCCTGAAAATCACTCCTTAAAAGCTGCCTAATATGCTATTATGTGTATGTAATATAATATAATTTATTCACTCTGTATTCTCGTGTATACACATTTAGGTTATTTCCATTTTGCAATTACAAATAATACTGCAAATAAAATCTTACACGTGCCATTTTATATTGTTGAAGATGTTTCTTCAGGTTAAATTCTTAGAAGTGAGATCATTGAGGCTGAGCATAGTGGCTCATGCCTGAATTTCCAGCACTTTGGGAGGCTGAGGCAAGCAGATCACTTGAGGTAAGGAGTTCGAGACCAGCCTGGACAACATGATGAAACTCGGTCCTACTAAAAATACAAAAATTAACCAGGCATGGTGGCACACGACTGTAATCCCAGCTACTCAGGAGGCTGAGGCAGGAGAATGGCTTGAACTCAGGAGGCGGAGGTTGCAGTGAGCTGAGATCGCACCACTGCACTCCAGCCTGGGCAACAGAGTAAGACTCCATCTCAAAAAGCAACAACAACAAAAAGAAGTAAGATCACTGGGTCAAAGGGTAAACTTATATGTAGTTTTCATAGATGTTGCCAAACTATGGGGATTATGTCATTTTGCATTTAGTACCAGCAATCTATGAGAATGCCTGTTTTTCCATAGCCTACCTGACAAAGGTCACAGTGTTGTGTTTTTGGTTTGTTTTTTTGTGGAGGGAGTGGTTCTTTTTCTTTTGAGACAGGTTCTTGCTCTGTTGCCCAGGCTGGAGTGCAGTGGTGCAATTATAGCTCGCTGCAATGTCAACCTCCATGTCTCAAGCGATCCTCCCATCTCAGCCCCCGAAGTAGGTGGGACTACAGGTATAAGCTACCACACACCAGAATGATATAAAAAAAAAAATTGTAGAGACAGTGTCTTACTATGTTGCCCTGGCTGGTATCAAACTCCTGAGCTCAAGCAATCCGTATGCCTCAGCCTCCCAAAATGCTGGTTTATAGACGTGAGACACTGCACCCAGCCCACAGTGGGTTTTTTTGTTTGTTTGTTTGTTTCTTTCTTTCTTTCTTTCTTGAGACAGAGTCTCGCTCTGTCGCCCAGGCTGGAGTGCAGTGGCACGATCTCGGCTCACTGCAACCTCTGCCTGCCAGGTTCAAGCCATTCTCCTGCTTCAGCCTCCTGAGTAGCTGGGGTTACAGGCACCCACCACCACACCCAGCTAATTTTTGTATTTTTAGTAGAGACGGGGTTTCACCATGTTAGCCAGGCTGGTCTCGAACTCCCAACCTCTTGTGATCAGCCCACCTCAGCCTCCCAAATTGCTGGGATTACAGGTGTAAGCCACTGTGCCCGGCCACAGTGTTTTTTAAACTACTGGTAATACTCACTTTTAAAAAAATACAACTGTAATCATCATGTCTATCTATATATCCTAAAATTGATGCATTTTCCAAAAGAATTTTAGGTAAAGGTCTGTGGAATCATGAGCAGCTTGCATCCATGAGTTTATATTATGTGGATTTAGAACCATGTCGATTCTCTATTTGGAATTTTTCCTTCTTTTTTTTTTTTTTCAACTATACTTTGAAACAGTATGGGACCTAGAAGAAGGCAAGCACCCAGCCCCTATCATGTAGTCAGTCTGGCTGCCACCCCAGCAGTAGGATATAGTGAAAATATTATGCCCTGGGGATAACCACTCAAATAGATACCCACATACCCCTTATGCTTGTCAGTGTCTTGAGACTGGTATTGTGTTGTGTTTGTCTTTCTTGCAAAATGTGTCTGTTTTATTCACATATTTTCATCATGTAAGAAAAAATTTTCACTGTTTTGAAACTCTGACACCAAGGAACAGGGAAAAAGCTAAACCTATGGATGTGAAACTAAACATTATCAAGAACTATGTGCCAGGAGAAGACAGCTAACATCAAAGGTTGCTTGGAACTGACTGAATGCACATTGCAAATCTCAAGAAGCTCAAAGCTGTTGACTGACTAGAGTGGGCACACGCCTTTAACCCTCACTTTGTTCTTACCATCCTCAGAATCCCACGCAGGAAAAGGCCCATCTGTCAATGAGCAATATTGTAGAACCAGCCAGGAGCCACAACTCCTCTTTAAGGGACTCAAGCACCTCACTCATGTCTTCTTCCTCAAAGTCCACCTGCCTGGCTAGCCTTCAAGCCATCGACCTGTGGAGGGTGGAGGAAACCACCCCCACTAACTCCAACCCTGCATCCAACAGCTTTCCCTGCTTATGCCACACCTCAACTTCCTTCCCTTGCTCTTTCTTTCTTACCCTGCACTCCTCCTACCCTTGGCCACTTCACCAATTACCCACTGGTACTTCAACAAGCCCATCTGGGTCCTCTCCTTCCCCAGCCTGATGGAGGCTGCATAGTTATCCTGGAAACAGCACAGGCTTTGGATAAAAACAATACGTTTGACTTTTGGCTCTGCTTTGATGATCTTTATGAGCTTGGGCATGTTATATAGCCCCTCTAAGTCTGTGTCTTCATCTGTTAAATAGAGATAATAAGATTTACCTTGCAGGAATGAAATGATGTATTTTGCAGCAACTTGGATGGAGCTGGAGGTCATTATTCTAAGTGAAGTAACTCAGGAATGGAAAACCAAATATCATAGGTTCTCATAAGTGGGAGCTAGGCTGTGAGGACGCAAAGGCATAAGAAAATTCGTGGGAAGACTTTGGGGACTTGTGGGGAGAAGGTTGGGAGGGGTGAGAGATAAAAGACTATACATTGGGTATGGTGTACACTGCTCAAGTGATGGGTACACTAAAATCTCAGATATCACCACTAAAGAACTTACCCATATAACCAAAAGCCATCTGTACCCCAAAAAAAATTGAAATGAAAATAAAAATTTTTTAAAAGATCTACCTTGCAGAGTTGTTGCAGGATTAATAAAGATGGTTTTAGTGTCTGACATATTAGTAGTGAAATAGGAGAGTTCCCTGACCCCCCTTGCAGGACATGTGACAGGGGTGTGGCTCATCTGTTAGGTCGCTGCCACTGATCAAACCCCTTACAGGATGGGGAGCACACAGATGGACATGTGAAGGAGCCAGGGTGCTGGGCTCCGGCCCCATGGCAGCATCCAGGGTTGGGAGCCTGTGACTCTTGGAACCCAACAGGCATGTGTTACAGTGTGCGCTTTTAGCCTTGCTAGTGTTAACCAGCTCAGTGGACCCTCTGCCTTTTTGCAAGGGCAGAGGGCCAGTGTGGCAGCTTTCTGCATCCTGAGCTCTTGTCCAGTGTCCCGGAAGAATCAGGTCACACATGGACTTGAAGGATGAATGCAGGGGTTTTATTGAATGGTGGAGATGGCGCTCAGAGGCATGGATGGGGAACTGAAAGGGGGATGGGGTGGGAAGATGATCTTCCCCTGGAGTTTGGCCATCCAGCAGCCAATCTGCTCTCCATTCAACCCCAGCCGAACTTCTCTTGGCGTTCAAATGCTCCTTCTCTTCTCTCCTTCTCTGTCATTCATCTGCTCATCTCCTTGTCTGCTTCTGGAGCCTGGCGTTTGGGGTTTATATGGGTACAGGACGGGAGGCGTGGCAGACCAAAAGGCAACGTTTTGGGTGCAAAAACAGGAATGCCTGTTCTCATTTAGGGCAATGGGTATCTGGGCTTGAGAGTGGGGCCTTTGCCAGGGAACTGCCCTCTTCTACCCAGTATTTCCCTGTCTCCTGTCCATAGCATTAGCTCAGTAAGCAGTAACTGGTAGTGGTAATGGTGATTGAAGGAGAGAAGAAACTTCAGGTTCCTATGTAAAAAAACACCATATAAGGAAGGCTGAAAAGGTAACTTTATACTTTCTTTTCTTTCCATCTTCTAATCTGTACTTCCTCACTTAAAAAAATAAATGATTTGTAAGGCCTTTTCCAATACTAGAATTATGTTTTTAATGTCAAAAAATAAACATCCATATTAAAGGCCTATTATGTACAGAGAAGTTCAAATAAATTGCTTTAGGTCAACCTGCTTAAGTTAAAATCTGCTAAAAAAATAATCTTTAGATTTTTAATTTTTTCTTTCTTCACACACTATTGCCACTACTGTCACTGTGTATATGATCAAAGGGAGTAGCAAATGACAAGCATTTTTCTACATAAGTACTTTGGCTCCTGAGGCTACTTTTATATATATATATGTATATATGTGAGTGTGTATTATATACATATATGTATGTGTATATAATCTATACATATATGTGAAAATAGCTTCAGAGTGGTAACTTAGTGATGATTTCTGAGATTTTAGTGAGATTTTACATAATACACACACATATATAATACACATACTCTGTAAGTTGTTATTAAATAAGGTTTAAGCCTCAAGATTTTCATTTCAATACTTCATTGCTCTCTAAACCTGCGCTAATATGGTCACCCTTAGCCACGCGTGACTACTAAGCTCATAAAATATGGATAATCATAACTGAGATGTGCTGTAAGTGCAAACTACACACTAGATACCAAATATTTACTTTGAAAAAATGGAATCTACTTCACTGACATGTTGATTACATGTTTTAAATGACACTATTTTAGACAGATTAAATAAAGTACACTATTAAAATTAATTTTGGCCAGGCGCGGTGGCTCACTCCTGTAATCCCAACACTTTGGGAGGCCAAGGCGGGTGGATCACATGAGGTCAGGAGTTCAAGACCAGCCTGGCCAACATGGTGAAACCCCGTCTCTATTAAAATACAAAAATTTGCTGGGCGTGGTGGCACACGCCTGTAGCTCCCCAGGCTACTGGGGAGCCTGAGGCACGAGAATCGCTTGAACCCAGGAGGCGGAGGTTGCAGTGAGCCAAGATCTCGCCACTGCACTCCAGCCTGGGCGACAAGAGTGAGATTCCATCTCAAAAAAAAAAATTAATTTCTCTTATTTTTACTTTTCTTAACGTGACTACTAGAATTACCTAAGGGGTTCACATTATATTTCTATTGGACAGCACTGCTCTAAACAAATAGGAGATCTATATAACATCAATAATCCCCAAAACAGTTCTTGTCACAAACTTATAGTAAATTTAATTTACTAAAAAATGCTATCTATGATTTCTTTTTCTCTGCATACTCTTCAGGGGAATAAAATCAATACCCCTTCTTAGTAATTTTTACATTTTAATTTTTCAGAGTGATTTTCTCAAATCAGTAGATATCAGTAGCTATCTCATAAAGACTGACTGTTCTACTCAACAATGTGGCCTCATTCCAAGGAGTCCATCAGGAAAAGATCAGGCTGAGATGGTTGCCTTTCAGCTTCAGTGTCTAGAAATTCATTTTATTAAAATTGAATCTGTTCAGTGCAACCCAGCTAAGTGTTCTCCTGAGTACTATGAGAGTCTTTGGTGGGAGATAACAATGCTATCCCTAGGAAGCCTCATTTTACCCGCTTGTCTCTTCTGAACATACCTTTTGCCTTTTTATCATCTGCAAATGTTTTCACCCTGGGTCCATGAGGTGTGCTCTGGTGAATTCATGAATCTCTCAAAGCTGTATTCAAAGTTTTGTGCGGATGTGAATTTTTCTAGATAGAAGATCGCTGGCTTTCGCCAGGTTCTCAAAGGGGCCTATGACCCTCAAAAAGTGAAGGACCATGAATATAAGGAATTAAGTCGTGTTCCACCTTTTGTATTCGTTTTCTATTGCTGCAGAAAGTACCACAAATTTAGCAACTTGAAACAAATGTGTTATCTTACAGTTCTATAGGTCAGAAGTCTGACGTGGTCTCATGGTCTCATCAGGCTAAATTTAAGGTGTCAGCAGGGTGGCTTTTCCTTCCTGAGGTTCTAAGGGAGAGTCCATTTCCCTGCTCCTTCGGGTTTCAGGCAGAATTCACCTCCTCATGGTTGTAAGACTGAGGTCCCATGTCCTTGCTCACTGTCGTTGGCTGCCCCTAGCTTCTCGAGGCTGCCACGTTCGTGGCCCCTGGCCCCTTCCTCCATCTTCAAAGCCAGACTTTAAGTATTTCCCACACTTCGAGTCTCTCCTGCCTCTTCTTCTGTCTCACCTCGCTAACTCATTCTTCTGCCTTTCTCTCCACTTTTAAAGGCTCTTATGATTCACATTACGCCCATCTGGATAATCTAGGATAATCTTCCTATTTTCAGTTCATGATCTTAATTCCCTCTGCAAAGTCTCTTTTTTTTTTTTTTTTTTTTTGAGACTGAGTCTCCCTCTGTCACCCAGGCTGGTGTGCAGTGGTATGATCTCAGTTCACTGCAACCTCTGCCTCCCAGGTTCAAGCGATTCTCCTGCTTCAACTTCCTGAGTAGCTGAGAATAGAGATGTGCACCATCAAGCCGGGCTAATTTTTGTATTTTTTATAGAGACGGGGTTTCACCATGTTGGCCAGGCTTATCTCAAACTCTTGGCCTCAAGTGATCCACCTGCCTCAGCCTCCCAAAGTGCTGGGATTACAGGAGTGAGCCACTATGCCTAGCCCACAAAATTTCTTTTACCATGTGATTTAACATTTTCACAGATTCCAGGGATTAGGGCTTGGACATCTTTGGGGGGCCACTATTCTGCCTATCACACCTTTCTACCCATGTTTGTGCCATTTGCTCTGTTCCAAGCACAGAGTGGGTGAGGCCGATCACTAGCCCCCATAATGGGAATCCCTCAGCAAACATCATGAGGCAATGTTTGTCCTCAAAAGCTTCCTAAGTCTTCTTTTAATTACTAATTATTGAACTATCACCCAAGCCCCTCACCTAAAGATTCAATGAACTTGGGCCCCAGTCGCACCCACTCCTCCTGCCCCTCAGGCCAGGCTGTGACCACCATCTCTCCACCTTTCCTCCCAGTTAAAAATAAAGTTCCTCAGTGATGGCCTGGGAGGGATCCAAAGAACAATTTACTCTAAATTGCTAGTGACTGTTCAGCAGTAACCCTTCCATAATAATCTTAGTGCAAAAAAAAAAAAAATTTGCAAAATGTATTAAACTGCAAAAGGAATTTGTTACTAAATTTCCGTGAATTGCAATTAAAGTGTGTCCAATACTAATTAAATACTTCTACTTAACCTCCATCCTCCTCTTTTTTTCTTCTTAGCAGCAGCAATTGACCCCACTTACTTCATTTTATCTTGGGGACTATCGTTCATCCCTTTCCCTCCTAGGATACTCACCTTCTGTGCCAGACCCACAGCCCCTGGCTCCACACACGGGTCTCCAGGAGAGCACTGCGGAGCTGCCTGTGATGAAGCTCACAGACAAACAAGGAAGGAGGTTGCATTACAGGGAGACGGCCCAGGCTTCTTGGCCTAGACATTCTTTAACTGTCTTCTTTATAAAGGAAATTGTTATAGACTTCCTAGCTAATTCCTCAAAGTATCCTAATTTTTTAGAGAAATGGTCAAATGTAAAAAGATATTGAGAATACTTATATTCACCAGTATAGACGATCTTTCTCTCTCTCTCTGTCTCTCTCACACACACACACACACATACATGCACACACATGCAACTATTTCTGCTATGCGTGGTTGCAATAAAAAGAAAAAAATTTGTTGCTGATAGACCGTTTCATTTTTAAAACTCAAAGTTTCAGGTGTGCCCATCATTAAGCCAACACCTCCTTGGCACCACAGACAAGGAAGGCAGGCCTCTTCAGCACAATATTTGCTCACCTACTGGCGCTTGCCACAGTGGAAAGAGGGACATCACATTGTCATGCGGCTGTTTTGATGTGGGACCATTTTTCAATAAGGTCTGAAAACCGACATCAGTTCTTTTCTCCCTCTCTCCCCAGCCCTTTCATTGTTCATCATCAGGTGGTGTGTGCAATGCACATCCTCCCCTCAACCCTTCTCTCCCATTTCTGATCTCTGCCACATTCCTCAGTCACCTCCAAGTGTGGACTCACAGTGAAGCTAATGAAACTTCAGCTTCACGGCCCCTCACTTTCAAGGCCCCTAGGAGTGTTGAAAGTTGCTGGGAGCTGTGAAGGGGTCTAGGTGGAGAGGGGAAGCCAGGCTGCAATCACAAAGCATTTCTGCATGAGCAATTTTGGTAAATTGCCTAAAAGGGTATTAGGAAAAAGGATTCTGGTTCCCCAAAGCATCAATAATTTGTTTGTGATTTATTGTCTCATCCTAAATAAGTACCTAAATAGGTACTTTTGTACCTAATTTAGCATGTTTTTTATTAAAGCACCCTCCTGCCAAATTGTAAAAGCTTCAGCCCCACGAAGCCTGGATCAGCCCTGCCTCACCTCATCACAGTTCCCCACAGCATCCACAGGCCTCAGCCCACTCATACGTCATTCCTAGCCCCATCCCCATCCAGCCTACCTCAGCCGCGGGAGCCACAAGGGTGAGAAGTCAGTTGACACACTATATCGCTTATTAGCTCTGTGGCCCTGGGTGAGATATTGAAGCTCACTGAACTTCATATTCCCACCTATAGAAACTGGATAATAACAGTACCCATCTTGAAAGATTAAGGTTCAGAAAGAATGGATGAGAAGTACCCATCGCCGCGCTTGACATGTAGGTGCTAAATTTATATAACCTAAGGCTTTCAATTACTATGGTGGATGCAGATGGGGAACACAGACTACACTCAAACCAGGTAAATTCCATAAATAGTTAAGTACTCAACATTTGCTTGCCACGACTTATATATCATCGTGCCTTAACAGAGGGTTGCTTTAGGTTTGACCCACATATTAACCATCTTCAGACCCAATCCTGGGTGTCTTGCCCTTTGGTAGCCCCAGAATCTACCTCTTAGTCCTTTTCTGCAGTTCTGCAGGTACCCAAGCTCTGCCTCAGACTCTGCCTCCTACCTCCCGATTCCTCCCAGTGCCTCTTCATATTATGTTTCTGCTTCAACCCTTTATTTCTAGTTTAGAAAAACATATTAATTGCTGCTTCTCCCATTTAAATTATTTCCTAAGGATTTCTCGGTAATCGATTTTTTTACTTTTTGAGACAGGCTCTTGCTCTGTTACTCAGGCTGGAGTCTAGTGGAGCAATTATAGTTCACAACAATGTCAACCTCCTGGGCTCAAGCAATCCTCCCACCTCAGCCTCCAGAGTAGCTGGGACTACAGGCACATGCCACCATACCTGGCTAATTTTTTAAATTTTTTGTGGAGACCAGGTCTCCCTATATTGTCCAGGCTGGTCTCAAACTCCTGGCGTCAAGGATCTTCCCACCTTGGCCTCCCAAACTGCTGAGATTACAGGCATGAGCCACTGCACCTGACTCAATTGTTTTTTAATATTCATTGAGTACCTGTATATGTGCTGGACATTTTATTAGGCTCTTGAGAGAAAACAAGGAATGTAATACAAGACCCTTTTACCTGAACAGGGTTAGAGAAAATAAAATGGATTCTAAATTACTACAAAAGTATAGAGAATATGTTAAGTGCTGTAGAAGTTCAGAAAAGTGATTTTTTAAAATGGTTTGGGCTAAAAGAATCAGGGAAGGTTGAAAGAAGGACTATTTGATCTTGACCTTAAAGGATGGAAGGAATTCGGGTGATGACACAGAGGTAGGGGAAGTGAGCTCCAGTGTGCCTGAGGCTCTGGCTTGGGGGAAGTGAGTGGAGGAATTCCGAGCTCAAGCAGGAAGAAAAAGTTGGGATCAGATTTTAGGGGCTCTGAATGCAAGGCTTGAGAGCTACTCTGCAGGCAGTGGGGAGCCCTGAGAGAAGGAGACTAAGAAAGTGAGAATGAACAATTGTGACGGGGAAAAGTGATCAGAACTACATGTGAGCCAAGCCAGTGAGATCACAGTGGGAGAGGGGTTGCAAGGGAGAGGCCCGGAGGCAGGGAGCCCACTCCAACTCTAACTGTGACCAGCCTCCATCTACGGAACAGAAACCTGGGGCAGAGAGGGGTGCTGTTACAAGAAAAACCTTTTACTAAATATGAAGACAAGCATTGAACAAATAAATAAGCAAACACATGGTGCAGAAAACACAAGAGCAATTCCATCTGGCCAAGGCTTCTGATCCTGTTAGGTGGACTCTCGCCCAGTGTTGGCTGACCCTTTAAGGACACCTCCCCAGGCCAGTTTCCCCTTCGGTTCTCCTCCTCTCCTAGCTCCTCTTCTGCCCCTCCCCACCCATCCTTTGGTCACCAGAGTTCATCCTCCACTTTCCCCACTGGTCACACACTCCACACACTCTCCAGGTTTCCTTCATTCAGTTTTGTGATCCTAAACCCAGACCCATGTATTCAGATACCCTCTAGACATCGACCTGGAGGTGCCACAAACACCACCACTATGTTCTTTACCTTCCTGTCAAAATCTGCTCCACGCAGACCCCATGCCAAAACTCTGGGTGGCAGCCATCCTAGACCCTTCTCTCTCTTTCATTGCCTCTACCGATTCTGTATTCCCAACAGTACTCAAATCCATGCTTTCCTCAATGTTCCCATTTCTCCGCCTTAGGATTTCATCATCACTCACTGGGTTATTTCAGTAGCCTACTAATTAGTTATCGGCCTCCTTCTCGCTGCTGCCAAAATTGTTTTTAAAATATAAATATGATCATGTCACTCCTCTGCTTAAATCCTTCAAAGGCCCTCCACCCACACCCTCCCTCACCTCTTCTAGCATGACGTTCAAATTCCTTAGTGTTATGACCTGCACCCCACCCCCCATAACCTCTTCATCCTCCTCTCTCACCATTCCCACCATCATCATTCATAGATGCATTCATTCGGCAAGGATTTATGCAGCATCTGCTACCTACCTCATACCATATGCTACAGCCGAATGCAATGTCCCACCTGCCTGCGTGTGCTTCTCAACTGCCTGGGCCTCCCTCTCTGATCCCCACCCTTACCCACCTACCTGGAAAACTCCTCATTCTCTGAGACACAAGTCAGGTGCTAGCTCCTCTCTTTTAAGCCTTCACTTACCTCAGGTAGAGGGGGCCATTCTGACATCTGTCCTCACAGTATCGCATGCTCTCCCAATGTTATTGCACCTACCACATTACATGGCATTTACTCGCTTTATTGTATGACTTTTCTGCTACACCTTTAACTCTTTGAGGACAGGGCTTATTCATATCTAATTCATCCTTAAGTCCCTAACAGCACGTAGTACAGAGGCACATAGTAAAAACTCAATAAAATTTTATTGACTCATTTCTAAGATCCTTTCCAGCTCTAAAATTCTATGATTCAAAAACAGGATAAAGATATTTTTAATTGAGAATATGTCATAAAACTCCACCCCGCTCCACCCAAAATTATGAATTGGGATTGTCATATTTGGGGTTTTTGTCAATCTCCTGTGGGCAGCAGGCAGTAACTGCAGATACCATGCCAGCGTCGGTGCTGTCCTGGCTCCTCCCGGAGCCCCATCTGCTTTAGGGCATTAAGTAAACGTTGACTTTAACTGCCTTCCTTCCTGATCTGTATCTTTTCTGTAATCCTGAACAACGCAGGGCAAGGATTCCTACCTAGGGCGTCATACCACCTCTTGCCACGAGAGGACAGCAGGGAGCCCTGGCCTGTGTTAAAACCTTTCTGGCCACCAGATGGTTCCCAACACCACTTTGATGGAGGCCAGGACTTAATTTAAATCACGTGCACTCGACAATCGTTTTCCTTTATTCCCGCTCCCTGAAAAGTGAACTCTCTCCCACAGGTGAACACACAAATACCTGCCAATTGTCTAGAGTTTTTATGTTACTTTGCTTAGGAAGAGGAAATGTAGGAAGAGAGAGGAGCAACACTGAGAGCTTTTAAACATTGGCTAGAAAGAGAGGCTTTCTTTAGATTTTTTTTTTTTTTCGTGACAGGGTCTCTGTCACCCAGGCTGGAGTGCAGGCGTTAGCCACCGCACCTGGCCGCTAGTGGTGTTTTTATTAAGAAAATAACAAATAGACATACCTAAAAGCAAAACAAACAAAACCCCTTCAAAAAGTCCTGGACAGGCCGGGCGCGGTGGCTCACGCCTGTAATCTCAACACTTTGGAAGGCCAAGGCGGGTGGATCACTTGAGGTCAGGAGTTCCAAACCAGCCTGGTCAACATGGTGAAACCCCATCTCTACTAAAAATACAAAACAAATTAGCTGGGCGTGGTGGTGGGCGCCTGTAATCCCAGCTACTCAGGAGGCTGAGGCAGGAGAATCGCTTGAACCGGGGAGGCGGAGTTTGCAGTGAGCCAAGATGGTGCCACTGCACTCCAGCCTGGGCGACAAAGCAAGACTTCATCTTAAAAAAAAAAAAAAAAAAAAAAGTCCTGGGCAGAGAGGGTGAATCCCTTCATCATCAAATTATATTCCTGAAAGCCCAGCATTCTCACCGTGGCTCAAACAACCAAAATGAGAGGAGATGTGTTTGTGAACTAAAGAAAATCCGTGTAGGGGACAGTTTTGCTGTGCCTAGAAAAGTGTGTAGGCCAGGTGCTGTCACCCAAGCCCTTGTGGACTGGCAGGTGCGAAAAGAGGAGGCGAGATGAGGAAGCAAATCCTTCAAACCTGCTTCAAGGAAGATGCTTTGCCTTGATGGGCAGCAAATTCAAGAGAGGAGCTTTTCATGTTAGTTCTGGATAGACCTCTGGAATTTATATTCCCCTTAAATGCTTTTGGGCCCTCCCATTAAATATGGGTGGTCATCTTTTACCCCAAGGAAGAAATTTCCGTGAAAAACCAGGATGCACATCCAGATTGCATGAAAAGACTGCACTCGGGGTATCTGGTGTTTGCAATCAGCAAGAAAAACTATCCAGGGAGCCTCATGGCTATTTTTATTTTGTAGACCCCAGAAGAAAAAAAGTGCACACCCTGCTTTTCTTCTTTGTATACTGGTGCTTTCTCCTCAGTTAAAAGAAAACTGTTTATATCAAAGCTGATTATAGGAAGATTTTTGGGGGTTTTTTTGGCCATGTCATGAGGTGTTTTTTATTTTCAGTAATCGTGCAAATAATGTTCTTTAATGAAAATTATTTGTATGATTAATACAAAATTATTTGTATTAATTTTCATTACAGAAAATTATTTGTATTATTTTCATTATAGAAAATTATTTGTATGATTTTCCATTATAGAAAATTATTGTATGATTATTGAAAATAAAACACACCTCATGGCATGGCAAAAAAAAAAAAACCCTGCTATAATCAGCTTCTTCCACATGGCAGCTGGAGTCTGGAAGATGATGGGGTCGGGAATCCTCCAGGCTCTTAGGAAGTCTCACACCGCTTCTCCTGCTCAGCAGTCTCTTGGGTTGGTTGGCAGGGTGTTCTGCATCCCCATTTTCCTTAGCTTGGCCTTATGAAAGCTAGCGATTTCCTCCATGCCCAGTTCGTCTGCCATTTTCTTAAAACAATCCGAGGCGTCCTGCTCTGAGCCCAAGCTCCTGATGCTCCCGCTGGCATCACTGCAGCAAAAGACCTGTAGGAGGTATTTTTAACTCCAAAATAAATGTTAGTACCCAATCACCCACAGAATGTGTGTGACCTTCCCTGACCTGCCCACTAAAGTCAATCCCATATTATTCTCTGTCGCAGCACGTGTGTATGTCCCTCACAGCACTTACAACAGCTGTTTTTTGTTTGTTTACTTGTTTATTGATTATCCCTCTCACTAGACTGTAGGCTCTGTGAGGGCAGGCCCTAGGTCTGTTCACCACTCTTTCAGCTCTTAACAAAATGGCACAGAATGTGAATGTGGTAAGCAGTTGTTGGATGAGTAAATGAGTGAAGAGAAAGCTTAATGTCATCCAAATTGTACTGAATGCAAGACAGGGAAAAATGGAATCTTGGCTGGTTTCTCCATTGAACATTCTTTCAGGCATGAACAGGACTATTAAGTCTATTGCTCTTTTTCAATAGAGCCCAATTATAATTACTGTTAATTTACCTGTGTTCTCCAAGAGGGACTATTTAAGCCAATTATTGACATTAAAACATAGAAATATGAAATTTCACTGTTGAGATGGCAATCTATTTAAAATATGTTCTAATTTGACTCTTTTGTTATGAGGCTTTCCTGACAAATCTCCTTATAAAAGCCAAGCCTTCCCCTAATTGAGACTAATCATGGTAGAACCATTAGTATGCTGCAGACAACAGGGCTGAAGAGCGAGCTAGTCCCAGAGTTGAATCCAAGCTTGGCCACTGACAGCCCTGTGACCTGGAGCAAGTCAGCTTTCTTGAGCCTCCATCAGGGCTGCATGCCTGGTACAGGCCAGACCCTCAGAACTATTCCATTCCACCACTCTCACCACCAGCCAAGGGCAGCCAAGCTACACAAGGCACTTCAGAATTCCTCACCAGGGCATTAGTAACGTTTCACTTAAGAAATGAGAATGCAGGCCACATTCCTATTGCTCCAACTCAAACTTTCTCTCCCGTCTCTGTTTGTTTTACCCTTTAATAGAAGATGGGCTTCCACAGTGTACACACTCCCTACCCTATTGCTCCTACTTACACAGAACTACATTGCTCCTCCTGCCACTTCCACAAAGCCTCCAATTGCAGCTTTTTACATTCTTGTGCAACACAGCTAGTGTTCAAGGGCTAAAGAGGGCAAATGTGGTACAGAGGCTCAGGTTTTTCTAGTTCCATCATCAATGGCTTGCAGTGAGGAGATACACATGCAGCATGTAGCCACACACACAGCAGAAACAGGGTATATTTCTTTACTATTCAGAAAGCCTTCACAAATCAATTAGGAAAAAGCAAACTACTCAATAGAAAAATGAAGAAAACAGAAAAAGAAATGTAAAAGGCCAGTAGCCTGTGAAAATATGCTCAAGCTTACCCATAATTAAGACAGATCAAAACAGTGAGACACCATTTTCACCTATCAGATTAACAAAAATTAAAATCATTCAGGCCCAGTGTTGGCAGCAGTGTGGAAAACCAGGCACTCTTATACACTATTGACAGAAGTACAAGCTGAGCAATTAACAATATAAAAAATTTAAATACAAAACTCAACTATATTACATCAACTTCTGTTCATCAAAAGTCCACTCGTTTTAAAAGTGAAAAGATAGCCAAGCATGGTGGTGTATGCCTGTATTCCCAGCTCAAGGCAGGAGGATCACCTGAGCCCAAGAGTTCGAGGCTGCACTGAGCTGTGATCGCACCATTGTGCTACAGCCTGGGCAGCAGACTGAGACCCCGTCTCAAGAAAAAAAAAAGTGAAAAGAATCAACAGATGGGAAAGATATTTGCAAAACATTTAACTGATAACAGACTAGTAAGCATAATATTTAATGGAATTCTATAATCAATATGGAAAGGACAAGCACTCCAAAAGAAGAAAATGGGCAAAGGTAATTATCATAAGAAGAGATACGTATAGCAAAAAAATAAAATATGTGAAAAGATGCCTAACCTCACTAGTAATCAGAGAAATGTAAACCACAACAAGAAAGCATTTCACACCAATCAATTCCACAAAAATTAAAAGTTTGACAACAGCAAGTGATGGTGAGGAGGTGGAGTAACTGACTGTGGATAAGAGTGTAAATTACAATAACCACTTTGGAAAGACTTTTTTTTTTTTTCCTTTTTTTTTTTTCTTTTTTTGAGAGAGTCTCACTCTGTCACCCAGGCTGGAGGGCAGTGGTGCAGTCTCGGCTCACTGCACCTCCATCTCCTGGGTTCAAGCAATTCTCCTGCTTCAGCCTCTGGAGTAGCTGGTAGCTGGGATTACGGGCTCACACTGCCACATCCAGCTCATTTTTTTTTTTTTTTTTTTTTTTTGAGATGGAGTCTCGCTCTGTCGCCCAGGCCAGAGTGCAGTGGCATGATCTCGGCTCACTGCGAGCTCTGCCTCCCGGGTTCTTGCCATTCTCCTGCCTCAGCCTCCCGAGTAGCTGGGAGTACAGGCACCCGCCACCACGCCCGGCTAATTTTTTTGTATTTTTAGTAGAGAAGGGGTTTCACCGTGTTAGCCAGGATGGTGTCAATCTCCTGACCTCGTGATCTGCCCGCCTCGGCCTCCCAAAGTGCTGGGATTACAGGCGTGAACCACTGCGCCCAGCCAATTTTTGTATTTTTTTAGTAGAGACAGGGTTTCACCATGTTGGGCAGGCTTGTCTCGAACTCCTGATCCTCATGTGATCTGCCCACCTCAGCCTCCCAAAGTGCTGGGATTACAGGTGTGAGCCACCGCACCCGGCCTGGAGAATACTTCCAATCTCATTGAAGATTCTCATAATCTATGAACCAGTCAGTAATTCCACTCCTAAGCAAATGTCCTAGAGAAACCCCCACACATACACAATCAAGAGATGATGTGTACAAGAATGTTCATAGAAGCACTGTTTGTAACAGGAAAAAAACACTGTACAACTTTAATGTCCATTAACCAGAAAATGGATACATAATTATAGTATATTCATACAATTTGAAGTTATACAGTGAAAATAAATTTCCTTTAAAAAGGTATCAACATGGAAGAATCTCAGAAATATAATACTGAGGAAAAGACGATGCAAGTTTCAGCCAGGCACAGTGGCGCATGCCTGTAATCCCAGCTACCCGGGAGGCTGAGGCAGGAGGATTGCTTGAGGCCCGAAGTTCAAGACCAGCCTGCGCAACATAATGAGACTCAGTTGCCACAAAAAATGTGTTTTCGCCAGGCACAGTGGCTCACGCCTGTAATCCCAGCACTTTGGGAGGCCAAGGTGGGTGGATCACGAGGTCAGGAGTTCAAGACCAGCTTGGCCAAGATGATGAAACCCTGTCTCTACTAAAAACCACCAAAAAATTAAAATTAGCCAGGCACGGTGGCAGGCACCTGTAATCCCAGCTACTCAGGAGGCTGAGGCAGGAGAATCACTTGAACCTGGGCAGCAAAGGTTGTAGTGAGCCGAGATCACGCCACTACACTCCAGCCTGGGCAACACAGTGAGACTCTGTATCCAAAAAAAAAAAAAAATTGTTTTCATTAGCCAGGCATGGTGGCACAAGCCTGTAGTCCTACCTACTCGGGAGGCTGAGGTAGCAGTTCGAGCCCAGGAGTTAGAGGTTATGGTGAGCCATGATCACACCACTACCCAGCATGGGCAACAGAACAACACCCTGAATCACAATAATAAAAGATGCAAGTTTCAGAAGAATACATGCAGTAAAATATAATTTACGTAAAATGTTAAAACATTAAAAGCACTGTATAGGAATGATAAACACCAAATTCTGGATCCTGGTGTCCTCTAGGTAGAAGGGAAGGGATGGCAAGATCAAGGTTGTATAAAGCAGCATTCTGCTTGTGTTAACAGTGTTATTTTTTTAAGCTGCTTTTATTTTTTATGTCTATTCATCTGCCTTAAATAGTGTATATTTTAAAACTTAATGTATATATACTTTCATCTAATTCCATTGCCAGGAGTTTATCTTATGTAAGCATTAGCGTATGCGATAACTATCTGCAGAGCATTTTACCAATACTTGCCTTACTCAAATCATCATTCTAAAAACCACAAACTGTCTTTTCACCTAACAAGTTGTTTTTTTTAAGAAACTCATTCAAAAAGGAAATTAGGACCCAAAGCATATTAGCAGGGTGGGTTAGCATGCCCCAACCAGGGTGGTTCCCCGGCCGCTGTGACATCAGGTGCTGCTGTTCATCCTGCCTGCCTAGAGACAGTGCACCTGGCCTTCTGCCTTGCCCTGAGCTGGTGCCGCTCAGCTGGTTCACACTCATGCGGCTGAAAGCTGGGCAGAGTCGGGCTGTTGGCATCATCGCCAGGGTCAACACTTGGCTCACACAGAGGGCACACCTAGGGGTCTGTGAAGCCTTCTTGGGCTGGGGCCTGGCTTTCACAGTCAGGAAGTTTGTGGCTGAAAAGGAAAAGAATGAAGCTTAGTGTAGAGGGAGAGGCTCTGGGTGCTGGGTTACCCCACAAGGAAAGCCCCACTTCTCAGCCTGGCCTGGGGCTGGGAGTGGGAGCACAGCCAAGCAGTCGTGACTCAGAACCTCCCCACTGCACTGAAACCAGAACTGGGTTGCCTATATCTATTTTATTTGACTACCGAGTAAAATTATTTCCAAAAATAAAGGGCTACAAATAGAAGTTTAGAAAGCTCTGAGCTAGAGAGTACTGATTAGACATGTGGTTCTCAACAGAATAATAAAACTTTTTACAACCATTCTTCCATTTCTTCAGCTGTAGGGGGGAAAAAGGCCTGATAATACCTGCCTTCCCAAACCCTGCAGGGCTGCTGGAAGGATCCAGTGAGGTAATAGCCAGCTTCAGCTAAGAGGCCCTTAGGAAAAAAATTTATTATTTCCTTCCTTCATAATGGAGGGTATTTCCAGTTCAAATAATTGGTCATGCAAACAAGACCGTGTGTTTCTTCTAGAAAAAGAAGAAGGAGATGAAGAGGAGGAGGGGTAAGAAGAAAAACAACAACAATTTAAAAGGAGAGAAACTGTGTTCAGGTGGCTGCCATGAAAGGACATAGAGGGTGTGGCAGGAAGGGAAGTGTGGAAAGGAAGAACAGCTGGTGCTTGCCCTGCACCAGACACTGTGCAGTGTGTGAGATGCTTCAGACATTTCACATCGTCCTCACAGAAAGTAATGCAAGTGCTGTTAGTGCCATTTTATAGATGAGAAAACTGAGGTGCAGACAGAATAAACAACTTGGCCAAGGTCAGGCAGAGACACTTCGTGCCCAGGTTGGTCTGTCCTTGGGGTGTGAATATTCCTTCCACAGCCTTGCCAGCGGCTCCTACTCCTAAACGTGGGTGTCCCCTGGCCCTACTTCTCTTTCTCCCTTTCTGTGATCTCCCTGTAAGATCTGCAAGATCTCTTTCATCCCTTGAGTTATTTCCTCTGACTTCCAGCCCACTGGACATTTCCCAGTTAAGAGCCCATTGTCTTCACAAACGCCATCTCCAAAAGGAGCTCCTCCCCTGGCCACTGGCGCACCCCCCCCTCCACCTAAGGGCTGCAGGGCTGCCATCTTCTCCCTGCCATCCATGCTCAAAATCAACATCACCTCTGGTGATTTCTCCCCTTTGCTGTATACACAATCAATTATCTCCATTCTTTCTTCAAAATCTCTTATTTCTCGCTGTTCATTTTCACCTTTTCTCTTAACACCCCAGCACTGTGACCTTACGTCAGCCTGGTTCCTTGCAGAAGCCTCCAACGGGTCTCCATCAATGCTTCGAGTTTATTCTGCGCACTGCTGCCAGACTTCTGGTCCTTAAAAACACCCCCTTCATCATACCATTCACCTGCCCTCCCACCTCTGCAGGCTCGCCCACTGCCTTCACCAGATCAAGTCCACACTCAGCCCTGCACTCAAGGCCACCTGCACCTGGCCCCCCTACGGCTTCCCACCCTCATCCCCCACTCCTCCTCTCTCCAGTTCCTCAGTTTAGCAAAGGGATTACTCCAACATCATGCTCCTTTCTCCCCTCCTGACACATGCCGTCCATCCTCCCCCAGCTGCCTGTCCCCCTCCTGCCTTGCCTCTGGCCCACCTCTCAGTCAGGGCCTCCAGAGCCCTCTTCCCAAGGCCTGAAGGACTCATTATCTGTGCTGTTGATCAAGCAAGTAATTATGCACAGCCTTGTAACGCTCTTCTGTTTAGCCTGGAACAGGCATTGAAACTGACTAGTGCTATTTAATCTCTATATCTCGTGTCTGCCTCTATGTCTATATCTACATATCTCATCACCTAAATCCTATAAACCACTTGAAGGTGACGACTGTCTAAAAGGTCTTGGTTTCTCCCTACAGTGCCTAATAGGTAGATGATAGGTGCTGGATATATGTGTTGAGCTCGTTTTTCTTCTCACATAACTTAGCCTCAAACAAATAACCAGGGCTGGTCAGAACAGTAAGCATCACCCTTAGAAGTCTGCTCTTGGCCACCGCAAATCTGCCACCGGCCAGTTTCATTGTAACCCCTCAGCTCAGGGTCCCCCACGGGGATCGCTGGTCTCCAGAGTGATCGCTGACCGAGGCGAGGCGCTGGAGGCCGCCCCAGCTCGGCTCTGCCTGCTGATTTGGCGACCGGATTTCCATGCCCCTCCCTGGTCCCGAGCTAAAAGGAAACATCCCGGGGATGGGGGATGGGGTGGGGGGTTCCTGAACCCTGAACCCTGACCCCTGCTTGGTGAAACCACCCCACCCCAGCTCAGGGGTCGTCAAAAGCACCCTGGGGAACCTCTGCCCTTGGGAGAGAAAGAAGACACTGCACCTTTAAGTCTGCAGCTGGTTGAGAAAAACAAGCTGTGATTTATATAAGCGGGAAAATCATGTGATTTGCAGGAACGCTCCCTCCTCCCCCGACCCCCCGCGTCGCCTCCAAGCCCTTCCCAGAGGGGCCCGGGCGGCGGGCTGGGCCCGGCTGCCCATGAGGGGCGCGGGTGGGGGGCGCGCCGAGCCTCGGTTCACAAAGCCTCTTCCCCGGGCGTGCATTCCCGCAGCTCTTCCTTGCGGACCTCAGACGCGGGGACAGGCGGCGGCGGGCTCTGGGGCGCGGCAGTTTGGTCCCCACGCTGCCTCGCGGCGGGCTGCCGTTCAGGGGGTCCTCGGTGGGGCCCCGCGGTCCTGTGCCTCCGAGGGCGCAGGAGGCCCACTCCCCCGACTGGGTCGGCTGCTACCCTCAGGCCAGGGTGTGCGGTGGAGAAACTGAGGCTCTCCTCCAGCTGCTCTGGGAGAAAGGAAAGCCGGGGACCCCACACACTGGCGTCTGTGTCCCAGAACACCCAGCAGGGGGGAGAGCAATTTAAGAAATAATCTGGTTGGCAAAGGGCGTCATGAAAATCAGCCATTTCTAGAGCTGAGGGGCGGTGGTGTTTAGCCCAGAGGACCTAGCTAGCTTTCAGGGAAAAAACGGATGTGGCCTTTCAGGCAGAGCCCAGAAAAAAAGACCTGTGATTAGGAGACCCTAAGAACCAGCAAAGAACTTCTAAATATTGGAGGGGAGGTGGTGTAGCTGCAAAGAGCCCACACCCACGCTGAGTTAGCTCTGACAGCTTCTAAAGGAAAGGGAGATGCTTAGATTATCCTGAGAAACTGGAGGATCTCCTGAGTGACCTGAAAAGGTCATCTCACTCATCCGCCTGTGGCTGGAGTAAAATATACGGAGCCCATCCCAGGACTCCCAGTGGGAGAGGATGAACAATCACTTCTGAAACTAAGCTCAGGAGAAGTTGAGGAGCTTTCTCAAGGGAGAAGAGCTGCCAGGAGAAGCAAGGGTCTCTCTCAGTGCCACTTCCTTTCCATAAACCATAATGATGGGCTCTGAAATTGTCCAAGGAAGGAAACCCATGGCTTCTCAGAGCAACCAGTACCAGGGGTTCAAGTTCGTCAGAGAGCATGTTGAAGTTCTATTTTATTTTCCTCCATTGGTCACCTGCTGGGGATGAGGCATAGGCCTAGTGTTGTCACCTGGAGGAAAGACATGATGCAATTAACAAAGCTGCTAATGCCTCCTCTCACCCTGACCTCTGCTCTTAGCCTCTGTACCAGCCCACCCTCTGCATCCTGCACAGCCAGCTGGGCCCTGAGAGGTCCTCCTGGCCCTCCTCCCACCCGTCCTTTGCCTGTCAGATGGAGGGTCTTTATGCTGAGATCACTGGAGAAACAGAGCTTCAGTGCACTCTGTCACACCAGCAATGAGAAAACCTTTCTAAAGGGGAAAGCTCACAGTAGGCAGATTCCTGATTATTCCATAAATCCTGGAGAAGAAAAATATAGGTTAACATAAGGATTCAAGAGGATGACACTCTGTGTGTTCAGGCATAAGCTAAATTCACTCATTCCGTTATTTAGTGATTTTGTTATTTAGGGTGTGCCTGGCACTGAGCTAGGCGCCGGGGCTACCACATGAATAAGACAGAGATGGCCCCTCCCTGAACCCTGCCGCATGCCCTTCCACTCTGCCTCCCAGGACAGGAGGCTATGATACACTTTCCTCTCCTGCACCAGCATATGTCTGTCTCCTTCCCAGCCCACCCCTAGCAGGTGTTGTCCCCAGCCCCAGCTGCTTATGTCTCGTGTGTTCTGCCAAGAGCTGCTTCTGTCAGAAGGCACTAACTCTCTGGTGATTGGGTGGTGGATAGAAGAGGTAACCTAAAGGCCTGTCCAGAAAATGAGATCAAAGTTGGCAGCCTCCTGGGCCCCTCCCAAAAAAGGATATAGCCACCACCATTTATAATTAATTCAGGCCCCACTTCACTCTGTCCCACCTGCTTTCTGTCTCTCTCTCTCTCTTTTTTTTTTTAAGATCTTTTTCTGATATGCCTGGTTGCCCCAATGCAAGTCTCCTCTTTCTGAAGCTTCCTGTGCCACCAGGGGCCTGTCCACCTCAGAGACCTCTCAGGTGCAGCTCAGCTGCATCCACAGGGGGTCCTGAGTCCCTAGGCCCTGCACAGATGTCTACCCAGGTTCTCTTGGTCTCTTCCATAGCTATGAGGCCTCCTCATTGAGGGTGCCCAAACACCACCCTTAATCACAAGTTTGCCAGCCTCCACCTTCTAACCCTCCTAGACCACATCAGCCCCTGCCTTATTCCAGTATTTTCCTGATTTCGCCTATTTCCAGCTTCCCTCAGCCATTCACAAGCACAGCCTGATGCTGTGCATAGGAAGACCTGGCAGTAAGCCTATGGTGAACAAATATTTTTAATGAACAAACAGAAATTATGGCCCCAAACTGAAAACACCCTGGAAGCCACAAACTCTGTTACCTTCAAAAGAAGCCAGATCTGGACCGCTGAGGTTTTTAAAAAATGCAATGAGCGAATTAGTGAAATCAGTTCATCACGGACACTGTGTCTTTCAGGAAATGAAGCCTCCGAAGAAAAAAGGGATCCTAGCCCCTGCCAAATTCCATTCTGTTTCAAATTAGCCTTCCAGTAAAATGAGGGGGCTGTCCTAACTGGTCTTTAAGGTCCTCCTAGTACCAGAGCTCTGAGGCTCTGTATTTCCCCTGAACAACCTCTTGGAACTCTCCACATTCTCATAACAGAAGAAAATGCATTTGTGCTCTGGGCTGAAGCTCAGAAGTGGGCTTTCACGACAGTCATTTCAGGCCTGTTTCCCTTTTTCTCCCTTCCCTGAAAGGGCCTCTGGTCTTTCCCAAGCTGCCTGAGTAGAAGGAAACACACAGCTCCCCCAGAGCAGAGAGGCCCGCGAGAGGGAAAGCTGGCCCAGGCCCAGGGCAGGCTCGCCTCTGACTCTGCAGGGACATTATTCCCTCCCAGCCAGCAGGGAACTTCTGGAACTTCTAAACAGCACATCCTCGAGCCAGCCCAGGCCCCCACAGCATCCTGCACCCCAGGTTTACAAGCTTTTTAATGGTAAGTAACACATTTGGCAAACCTCCTCAAGTGTGAGCCAAGCCAGGCCTTTTTCCCCAAGTCCCAAGTAACAAAGGGATGCTGGGCTGGGCCAAAAACAGGATCTATCTAGCCAGATGAGCCTAGAGCCTTGGTTCTCGGGGCCAAGGCTGGACAGGACCAGAGGGAAATGTCCTCGGCCAGCCTCACTCTGGTCTCCGTCACCATGCAGGCTGGTCCAGAGATTTCAGGATGCATCACTGATTCCAGGCAGGGCTCCATCCCCGGCCCACACTCAGCCCAGGACCTGGCCAGAGAATCACCAAGCATTCCCGGCAACACGATGCACGGCCCATTTTCCATGCCAGGCTCTTCCAGGGTCTCTGGGTGGGAGCAGCCCGGCCTTCTCACTGGGTTCCTGCTATGTCTGGGGGGTACAAAAAGCTTATGTTGGCCAGGCGCAGTGGCTCATGCCTGTAATGCCAGCACTTTGGGAAGCCAAGGCAGGCAGATCAATTGAGGACAGGAGTTCAAGACCAGCATGGCCAACATGGTGAAATCCTGTCTCTACTGAAAATACAAAAATTAGCCAGGCATGGTGGCACATCCTATAGTCCCAGCTACTCAGGAGGCTGAAGCAGGAGAATCACTTGAACCTGGGAGGCAGAGGTTGCAGTGAGCCAAGATTGCGCCCCTGCACTCCAGCCTGGGCGACAGAGCGAAAACCTGTCTTAAAAATAAATGAATAAATAAATAAAGGTATATGTCTCCATCAGAGATAGTCAACTGCCATATATCTCTGCTTTCAGATGATTTTAAAGAGAAGGTGTTTTGAAAGCTCGAGACATGTTCTGGGCTTGGCTTTGGCTCTACCTCCATCTCTGTTTTGAGAAACACAGTCCTCTTCTCTGTGTATCTGGAAATCTTGGAGGCACTGAGCTGTGTTGCAGGGACTTCCTCATTACCCAGGCTGTGCCTTGTCCAAGTGTTGCCAAAGGTCTCCAAGAAGAGAAATCCATCCACTCCTTCCTTCAGGCTGTCTAACTGGCGTGCCTGCCCTGTCATATCCAAGCAGTGACCCCAGCCCCATTCCCCTAAGAGTAGGGACTCCATCATTGTGTCCCCGCAAGCTTGCAGTTCTCTCAAATCTTGTCACAACCCCCCACCTTCTGGGTGCCAAGATGCTCAGACGGTTTGTGATTCCTCTGATGACCTCTGGCTGGGATTCCCTGCTTCCCACCTCTCACCCTCTATCTGCACCTCAACTCCCACAGCTGCTCTCCTCTCCCACCCGCTCTTTATCACCCTTTGCTTAGCCCCGTCCCTGCATTGCCCCAGCCACGCCCAACTCACACGGCAGCAGACTTTTACTCAAGGTTAGGGGTCATAGAGAGGAAATGACAGTAAGCAAATGAGAATCTACGAATAGACATTACCCTGAAAGTTCACCAACCATCTCCCACCTCAGAAAACTTCTCACTGTTCCCTAAGTCCCAACTTAAACCATCTTCTCTCCAGCCTTCCCCTTCTCTTCTAGACCCTTCTACCCAAATTCCAAGTTCCTGGGGATTCATCTTGCAAAACAATTTGTCTTGCCTTCCGCATGCCCAGAAAGTCTCATTGTTCTCACCAGAGCGCTTCCCTATCAGGGTTCATCATAGCATAATCCTCAAAACAGAGGCATCTACCTCCAGGATAGATGCCAGCCCGCCCCTGGAATGATAAAGCACAGCATTTTGTTTTCTATGTAACACTTTCTTCCTATCCACCCGCCACCACCGCCCCCTTACATCTGGTACCCCTGACAGTCAAGAAATCCACCCCAAAATGTTCCTGTTTTCTTTTTCCTTTTTGCTCTTTCTTTCCTTTTTCTTTTCTTTACTCCTCTATAGGCATGGCACATCACTGATCAGCATTCCTGCTGCAGTCGAAATGGTGATCTAATTAAAAATAAGTCAGCATGAATCAGATACAAAAGCACAAAATATTGTATGCTTCCCCTTACATAAGGTACCTAGAGTAGCCAAATTCCCAGAGACAGAAAGTAGAATAGTGGTTACCAGGAGCTGGGGAGAGGGGAGAAAGGGGAGTTATTGTTTAGTGGGTGTGGAGTTTCAGTTTGGGAAGATAAAAAAGATGGAAAATGATCATGGTTGCACAATAGTGTGAATGTACTTCATGTCACTAAACTGTACACTTAAAAATGGTTAAAATGGTACATTTTATTTTATTATTTTTATTTATTTATTTATTTACTGAGACGGAGTCTCGCTCTGTCACCCAGGCTGGGGTGTAGTGGGGCCATCTCGGCTCCCTGCAACTTCTGCTTCCTGGGTTCAGGTGATTCTCCTGCCTCAGTCTCCCAAGTAGCTGGGACTACAGGCACCCACCACCACGCCCGGCTAATTTTTGTATTTTTAGTAGAGATGAGGTTTCACCATGTTGGCAGGCTGGTCTCGAACTCCTGACCTCAGGTGATGCGCCCACCTTGGCCTCCCAAAGTGCTGGGATTACAGGCGTGAGCCACCATGTCCAGCCAAAATGGTACATTTTCCATTATGTATACCTTACCACAATACAAACAATAATGTCAATAACATTCATTCTGACCTCAAGAGAGACCTGCCGTTAATTCCACAAATAAGGGCTTTTCCCTCAGCAACTTTGGATCATATCACTTCTGTGAACTCCTGTGCAGAGAGGCTGTGCCCAGGAGATCAGCCTCACCTGCCTCAGGCTTGGTGGTCAATCTTTCTGCTGACCCCACCCATGTGGCTGTAGACTTTATGCTCCCTTCCAAACTGATGGAAAACAGAAGAAGCACACAGCAGCTGCCACTGGAATAGGAGCCTTCAGACGTTGGTTTTAAGCCTAGTTCAGCTGTTAACTAGCTATGCGGCCTTGAACAAGTTATTTAATCTCTCTTTCAATATCCTTATAAAGAAAATGGAGAGGATAATAGCCGGTCCCCAGTGAAATAATGGATGCGAACAAACACACTTTGAGAAGTGTGTGCAAGCTGGTTTCATCATCTCTTAAACATCTCAGATATAAGAAGGAAGTTGCTACCTGGAAATAAGGAGGTAGACGGCAAATAGCTAAGTAAATACAACCTAAAAATACCACTTTGATCTTGGGCCAATGTCCCTGAATCATCATCCTCCTCAAAGATGGAATGAAGCAAGGTCCTTCACAGTCTGGTCTCTACTAAGAAAACCCCATTTTACTGAGACACTGATTTTCCCCATGATTCGCTTTTATTCAGAGCCAATATCCAGCTTTGTCCACAGGGTGCCCGCTGCGTTGCTTCACTGAGGTGAGGAGTGGGTTCTGAGCAGGAGCATCGTCGGGGAGGAGTGGGAACAGGACAGAGGGAAGGGCTGATTCCCAGGAGCACGTGTTCCCAACAAGGCCCTCTCATAACGTTCACAGCACTCGGGCATGTTGACTGTCAAAAGACAAATGAAAAGGTGACAGCATGAGTAGGGTAGATACAAGACTACAGTCTCATAAAAGACGGTGGCCTGATAGTGGCTTCAGATGGTGGCATTGGCTGCCCCTCAGTCTGGCTGCCAGCTGGTCCCGCTGCCCTGGCTCTGGTCCCTTGGGAAGTAAGAGGCAGCACTTCTTGTCAGGAAGTCTCTCTTTCCCTCAGGCCTTAGGAAGAAGTTCAGGTCCCCACAGCCCAGGTGAGTCCACACTCTTCCTCCCTCTGGCCTCCCCTGCCTCACCAGGACCCTCTCCTGTCCTTCTCTCAGCTGTCCCTTCCCACCTCCAGGGAATGCCCAGAGGCACAGGTCCCTGTACTCCACATCTCTGGCCCCAGCCACACTCAGGCCCGTCTCACACACCTCACAGTGACCCAGCTCAGCCCAGATGGAAGTCATCTGGTTAGGGCTTCAGACTGATTTCACCAACAGTGACGTTATGCTTGTCCACACCCATTCCCACATCACCTCCTTCCGAGTCCCCTTCCCACTCACACAGGCAGTGCCAAGAAGTGAAAATGGAAGCAGACTCAAAGAACCCAGGCTGGGGTTGTGTCTGGGGACACGACCAGGGCCCAGGGCTTGGACCATGGACAACTTCAGGCTCCGCCTTATCCAGCCCAGCCTCCCAAGCCGCTGCCACACCACAGCTGCAGAATCTGCAACCTACAGGAGCTCGCTTTTCACTTAAAGCCAAGGGAGGGGAACGGAGAGATTTCCCGCAAAGCCGTTCTCTCATAGGGTAGCCTGTTTCCCTGCTTCCCTCTGGGCCTCAGGACACTCAGGGTGGCCTGTCCTTGCTTCGGCCCCACAGCCTTCAATCCAAGCCAGCCAGGGGTGTCTGCGTATCACCACACCCCAGGTCCAAGGACCCAGAGGGGCAGAGGGTTTTTGCGGGCTCTGAGAATGTCACCATGAGTTGCAAAATTTATGGGATTTTAACTTTACCCAGCCAGGGCAGACCCAGAGGACCTTGATTCCGTGGACGACCAATGGAATAAACTGTTTCTACAAATGGGGCCTCATCCCAACCTCCTCTCCACCCCTCCTCTCAAAGGTGGCCTGTTTAAAAGCAAGCTACTGTAACCTTACCACACCTTCCTGGGAGCTGGGTGGAGGGCAGGGGTAGGGGTGCTGAGCAATCACTGTGGCTGAGAGCTCCCTGGAAAGCGGGAGAGAATTCAAGAACTCCCCATTCTTGAAAGAGCCAGAGTGGTTCCTCACAAGAAACCTTGGAGTGTCACTGGCCGAACCGCTAGCACAGCCTGGAATGTATGAGCCACCAGCTTCTCCACCAGTGGCCCTCTCAGTTCCTCCATGGAGGCTGGGGGTGGAGAGGAATAATGTTTCTTCTGAGGCCCTCCGGGGCGTAGCCCATCCCAGCCTTCTCACAGGGTGCTTTGAGGGAGAAGCTGCAGCCCAGCCTCTCCAGCCTCTGCCCTCACAAAGGCACCCTCTGTCACAGCCTCCCCCACGATCCCTACTCCCCGCACCCCGCACCACACACATGCACTTCCTACAGGAGCAGATTCCAAGCCCAGTTAATGTCGGATGCTGCCTCCCGACAACATGCTGGAACAAAGGCTGCTCATGACTAAATGTGCCGGGGTGCTTGTCAGGGCTTAGGCAAACGTAATTACAGGGAGAGGCAAAGCCGCTCTTGCAGCCACACCTGGCCATACAGTAAACAGCACTTTTTCCTGTCGAGCTGGGGGGAGCTGAGAGACAGGGAGGCGACAAACCACAATTTGAATCATTTGGAGAGAAGCTATAAATATAATAATGAGTCATTTGTAAAATATAATTTCATCCAAAAGCCTGGAAAAAAATAGGAAAGAAGTTCTTATGCTATTTCAGGCTAAATTGTTCAAGGGTGTTCTGCCAGAACCTGGGGAGGGGACCCAGCTGCCCACCAAGAGCCAGGCTGGGATTCACATACGGACCTTCCCGAGCTCCCCGCCTCCCACCAAGAGTGCTGCCTGGGACAGTGCCTTCCCCGGGCCCTCGGAGTATGGAATATGCCGAGATGGGAATGCTGCAGACTCTAGCGCTTGCTCTGTGGAGAGCTGATAAGAATCATGGACCAGCCAGCCTGACATCCAGGCTGTGCAACCTCAGAACAGTTTAGGGCAGGCACGCTGTTGTTTTTGGCAAACTCTCCCCCAGCCTGGAGGCCCTACCAGCCTTTCATGCTCAGGGTGGCTTTTCTAGTGCTGTTCCAAAGTCTCTTCTAGAACACCGGGAAGACTTAATTCTAGCCCTGGGCCCCAACTTCTCTGGGGGAAGAACGTGGAGCCTTTCTAAAGCTCTGTCTGAGGGAGGGGGCTGAGGTCACACTAGGCTTGGCCCAGGTCACCACTACCATTCTGGGTAGTTGTGAAGAGCATGTGCTCTGGAACTAGACTTTTCTTAGGTTCAGTTACATCTGGGCCACTTAATACCTGTGTGACCTTAAGAAAGTTACTTAACCTCTCTGGGCTCAGTTACCTCATTTATTAGATGGGTTTAATAATAATTGTACCTTCCTCAAAGGGTTCTTGACAAGATGAAAAGAGTTAATATGGAAACACTTGGAATAGGGCTTGGCATAGTAAGTACTCAATAATGTTAACTAATAAGATTATTATTATTTCTCACTGGGCATCTTGGTACAACAGGAAACCACAGAACAAAGGTACCATGGCATACATCGTTCACCACGGGTGACCGTGGATACACGGGGTCAGGTCCCCTGGCTTGTCCTGTTGACCCTGAGCAAACTCTTCAATTTCTGCAGCCAGAGGATCCCCCTTATCCCTCCTGACACCCCTACTTTGCCTCTGAACTGAACTGCAAGTAGGGAGAGGAGACAGGGTAGCATTCTACCTACTGGAGTTTGGTTTTGGTTTTGTCTTTTAGAGACAGGGTCTCACTCTGTCACCCAGGCTGGAGTGCAGTGTTGTGATCATAGCTCACTGCAGCCTCTAACTCTTGGGCTCAAGCGATCCTCCCACTTCAGCCTCCCAAGTAGCTGAGACTACAGGCCGCACCACCACACCCAGCTAATTTTTAAACTTTTTTTAGAGATAGGGTCTCACTATGTTGCCCAGGCTGGTCTCAAACTCTTGGCCTCAAGCCATCCTCCTGCCTCGGCCTCCTGAGTCATGGGGATTACAAGTGCAACAAGCCACTATGCCCGTCTTCTACCTACTGTTTAGGGGCCCTAAGTCAGTTGCTACTTTAAAACAACTGAACACATCCTGAGCTCTAACTTCAGCCCCTCCTTCTCTTCCCTGTTCTCCTCCTCCCTTCTTCTCTTCACTTCCCTCCATACTTTCCTGTTCTTTGTGCTACACCTCTCCTCCTTCCTTGTCTTCTAATGCCAGGGCAGAGCTGGGAGAGTGGGATGAGATCAGTGTACTCAAAGCCTCTGTTCCACCCAAACCACCAGGTCCTTTTCCCTTGTTGCTGAGAGTGGCCTTGAAAACCCTCAGTAACACTTCTCCCCTGCCCTTAGGTGCCTGCTACACCCAGGGAGGCCAGAAGAGGTGGACAGAAATAGTCTCCATGTCAATATGCTGCATTTTCCTTTCTCAGAAATCAGAGCACCACAGCCAGCTCTAGCCCAGAGGGAAAGTAAGAGGATGTTTCTGCAGCAGCTGTCCTTTCTCCTGTAACTACTAAACTGTCGCCCCTCACTAAAGAGGATGGCTTTGCCTATGCTGTCCCCACCCCTTGAAGCGAGCTTCCTCCTCTATTGGGATAGGTAACTCTCTTTTCTTCAATAATTCTTTAATGTTATAAAATACCTGCCAGTGTTCACATTTCCCTGAATGATTTTTAATTCTTTTTCCTTTTTTAGTATGTTTGTTTGAAGTAGGAATCTAAACAAGATCTATATATTGTGATTAATTGATATGTCTCCGAAGTCTCTTGTTTATAGTTCTCTCTCTTTGTAAATCTCTCTCTCTCCCCTTGCACTTTTTTTAATGAAAAAAAAATCTGATTGTTTATCTTACAGAATTTCCCAAATCTGGATTTTTAAAAAAAATTAAAACACAGTGATATCATTTAACATGTTTCTCTGTCTGTTGTAAAGCCAGTAAATTGATAGTTAGATCCAGTGGCCAGGGTCAGGTTTGGTTATTATTATCTCTTTTTGTTCTTATTTTTTGACAATATTACTTCACATGGGTGGTATATAACACCTGGCTGCCGCTCTTTTTGTCACATTGTCAGTCATTGTTGATCGTTGCCTATATTCATTAATTCATGAGAGCATACAAAATTTTGTTACTCTGTTCTGTCATTACTTATTCATTTATTAGATAGAATTCCCCATTTCCAGTGCTCTTAAATTGCTGTGTATAGATTCAGATTTCTATCTAGTATAATTTTCCTTCTGTTTGAAGGACTTCTGTCACTGTTTTTTTTTTTTGAGATGGAGTCTCACTCTGTTGCGCAGACTGGAGTGCAGTGGCATGATCTTGGCTCACTGCAACCTCCGACTCCCCAGTTCAAGTGATTCTCCTGCCTCAGCCTCCTGAGAAGCTGGGGCTACAGGCATCCACCACCACGCCCAGCTAATTTTTTGTATTTTTAGTAGAGACAGGGTTTCACTGTGTTAGCCAGGATGGTCTCGATCTCCTGACCTCGTGATCCGCCCGCCTCGGCCTCCCAAAGTGCTGGGATTATAGGCGTGAGCCACTGCGCCCAGCCATGTCACTGTTTTTTATAATGCAAGTCTTCTGGTGATCCTTGATATTTTAAATGTCTGAAAAAGTTTTTATTTCCCTTTCATTTTTGAAAGCTACTCTTGTTGGGTATAGAATTCTAGGATGACAATTTTTTTTCCTTCAGTATTCAAAAGATGTTACTCCATTGCCTTCTGGCTTTCGTTGTTTTCAAAAAGAAGTCTGCGGCCAGGTGCAGTGGCTCACGCCTGTAATCCCAGCACTTTAGAAGGCCAATAAGGGCAGACAACCTGAGGTCAGAAGTTCAAAACCAGCCTGGCCAACATGCCGAAACCCTGTCTCTACTACAAATACAAAAATTAGCTGGGCATGGTGGCCCACACCTGTAATCCCGGCTACTCAGGAGGCTGAGGCAGGAAAATCGCCCGAACCCAGGAGGCAGAGGATGCAGTGAGCCAAAATTGTGCCACTGCACTCCAGCCTAGGCCACAGAATGACAGCAGACTTCTTTTTGTTTTTCTTTTTCTTTTATTTCTTTTCTTTTTTTTTTTTTTGAGACAGAGTCTTGCTCTGTCACCCAGGCTGGAGTGCAGTGGCGTGATTTTGGCTCACTGCAAGCTCTGCTTCCCGGGTTCACACCATTCTCCTGCTTCAGCCTCCCAAGTAGCTGGGACTACAGGCGCCCGCCACCACGCCTGGCTAACTTCTTGTATTTTTAGTAGAGACAGGGTTTCACCATGTTAGCCAGGATGGTCTCGATCTCCTGACCTCGTGATCTGCCTGCCTTGGCCTCCCAAAGTGATGGGATTACAGGCATGAGCCACCACGCCCAGCCTTTTTTTTTTTTTTTTTTTTTTTTTTTGAGATAGAGTCTCACTCTGTGGCCCAGGCTGGAGTGCAGTGGCACAATCTTGGCTCACTGCACCCTCTGCCTCCTGGGTTCAGGTGATTCTCCTGCCTCAGCCTCCCAAGTAGCTGGGATTATAGCCATGTGCCACCAAGCCCGGCTAATTTTTTTTTTTTTTTGGAGATGGAGTCTTGCTCTGTCACCCAGGCTGGAGTGCAGTGGCATGATATCGGCTCTGCAACCTCCACCTCTCGAGTTCAAGCAGTTCTCTTCCTCAGCCTCCCAAAGAGCTGGGATTACAGGCACCTGCCACCACACCTGGCTAATTTTTTTTATTTTTAGTAGAGATGGGGTTTCACCATCTTGGCCAGGCTGGTCTTGAACTCCTAACCTCATGATCCACCCACCTTGGCCTCCCAAAGTGCTGGGATTACAGGCGTGAGCCACTGCACCTGGCTATTTTTTTTTTTTTTTTTTTGTATCTTTAGTGGAAACAGGGTTTCACCATATTGGCCAGGCTGGTCTCAAACTCCTGACCTCGTGATCCCCCTGCCTCAGCCTCCCAAAGTGCTGGGATTACAGGTGTGAGCCACTGCGCCCGGCCTGCTGTCATTTTTAATGTTCTACCCTTGTACATAGTGTATCCTGTTTTCCTCTAGCTGCTTGTAAGAAATTCTGTTTCACACTGGTTTTAAACAGTTTGGTTATGATGTGTCTTTGTGTAGTTCTCCAGTTTTTTGTGCTAGGGGTTCATTGAGCTTCTTGGATTTGTGGACTTACAGTTTTCATCAAATTTGGAATATATTTGGCCATTATGTCTTCAAGTATTTTTCTACTCTCCTCTTTTTCCTGGGACTCCAATTACACAAATACTAGGCCACTTGAAGTGCTCTGCTCTTTTTTGTTTTCCTCAATATTTCTTCTCTGTGTTTCTGTTTGGATAGTCTCTATGACTATAGCTTCAGGTTCATTTGTTTTTGCCTCTGCAGTGTTTACTCTGCTACTGATTTCATCCAGTATATTTTTTATTTCACATTATATTTTTCATTGCTAGAAGTTTAATTTGGATCTTTTTAATATCTTCCATGCCTTTATTTAGCATACTTAATCTTTCTTTTATTTTCTTAAACATGTAATAACTGTTTTAATGTCCTTGTCTACTAATGTTCTTTTTCTAACATCTATGTCATTTCTGGGTCTGTTTCTATTGATTAGTTTATTTTCCTTGTTATTGGTCATATTTTCCTCATTATTTGTATGCCTGTATCCAATAATTTTTGACTGGATAGTATACATTGTGAATTTTACCTTGTTGGGTGTTGCATATTTTTATATTTCTGTAAATACTCTTGAACTTTGTTCTGAGACACAGTTATTTGGAAACAGATCTTTTCAAGTTTGATTGTGTTTAAACTTTGTTAGTTAGGACCATAATATCCACTAGTTTAGTACTAACTTTGCCCCACTACTGAGATAATACCCTTCTGAGTACTCTGTCTGATGTCTTGTGATTTATGAGGTTTTTCAACTGGCTGGTGAGAACATACACTCCAGGGATTATTTCCTCTGCTCCTTTTGTGTGGTTGTTTCCCTAGACTCAGATACTTTCCTCACATACATGCTCTGATCAATACTCAGCTGAAGACTCAATGGGACCCTCTGCAGATTTCTGCATCTCTCTCTCGCTCTCTCTCTCCTCCCACCTCCTGCCCCCCACCCTTATTCTCTTCCTTCATCTCTCTGTAGCTCTCTCCTGTCTGGTACACTGCCCTTAAAACTATAGCTGCCTTGGCCTCTCTGAATTCCCTGTTGCATCTCCTCAGCTCAGAGAGACTACTGGACTCTGCCTGGGTTGCTCCTCTTTGCACAGCAGCCTGGAAACTCTCTCAAGGCAGTAGGATGGAGCAAATGTACAGCTCAGTTCACTTGTTTTCCCTCTCTCAGGGATCACTGTCCTGTGCTGTCTGATATCCAAAACCATTGCTTCATATATTTTATACAACATTTTAATTGCTCCAGGAAGGAGGGTAAAGTCCATCCCTGTTATTGCATCTTGACCAGAAACAGCAGTTGTTCTGGATAACTTCTGCTTAAATTTGTATATTCAGCTCAGGACCTTGCTTTCAGAAGATATCCCTATGCCTCACCATTATCTCCACCAGTGCAGGTTGGAAGCTCTTCTTTAGTGAGCTTATAATACCCTACCTGTGAGTATGATTATCGCTCCTGAGTCTCTCTGCAGGGCCACCAAGTTGCTTTCTAGTCTGTGAGTTCATCTGGGGTACAGTTATGTCTACACATCTTTGTATTCTCCCTGGCGTTTTGCATATAGTAGGTGCTGAATTAAATGTTTAGGAGATCTCAGTAAACATAAGATTCAGTTTAAAAAAAAGAAATAAAAAGAAAAGAAAAAGCAAACAAGAAAGAAAAATAGAAAAAAAAATAAATGTTTAGGAGAATGACACCAGGTGCAGTGGCTCATGCCTGTGATCCCAACACTTTGGAAGGCCAAGGCAGGAGGATCACTTGAGACCAGGAGTTTGAGGTCAGCCTGGGCAACAGAGAAAGACCTTGTCTCTACAAAAAAAAAGTGAAAACATTAACTGAGCATGGTGGCATGTGCCGGCAGTCCCAGCTACTCAGGAGGCTGAAGCAGGAGGATCACTTGAGCCAGGAGTTCAAGGCTGCAGTGAGCTGTCACCATGCCAGTGTACTCCATCCTCAGCAACGAAGCAAGACACTTACTTTAAAAAAACAAAAAAAGTTTAGGAGAATGAATGGAAAGAAACCCATAGTCACTTGGCCATCACCAGCTATAACTAAACAATGATAAGACCATACCTATAACTGGCATTTACTATTAGACTCACCATAAACTATGGGCACTGACACTGACAGCTGTCTCTGGGCACCTCCCTCATCCTGAGCTGACCTGGCAATGTCCAGATCACTCCCAAGAATGTGACTTTAAATATCCTGACCTTGACAATCCCAAGGCCTTCAATGGAGGGTGTGTGGCACTGAGACATATGAGTCATTCAAGGTGCCAGAAAAGTGTCACTGCTTCACTAAGGCTTTCAGAATACTCCCTGTCCTAAGGTGAGATGGAGGAAAGAAAATAAACATGGAAAAGCTTAGTAAACACTCTCCCCAGGGTTTGTCACATTCTCTACCTCCCACAGATGTGTCCAGAACTCTCTGACTATACAAGGGACACTGACAGAGGATCCCAGGCACACTCACTGCCAGGTCAGTGTCTGGACAAAGCAATCCTAATAGAGCCAAGGCAGAATTAAACATGATCAAGAAGTAAGGGAGCAGGGACTCAGGGCAAATCAGTTCCTGGAATCATAGTCTGCTTACTTCCCAAAACCACCTTGGTTCCAGAAACCCATGCTTTTCAGGTCTAATAGACAAGGCTGTGCTGAGCTCTCAGTCTGGGCCCTACACAGTGCACAGATACTATCAGGACAAAATGAGTCCTGCTGATCATCCCTAAAGAATTTAATACTAGGCCAGGCGCCGTGACTCATGCCTGTAATCCCAGCACTTTGGGAAGCCGAGGCCGGCGGATCACGAGGTCAGGAGTTCGAGACCAGCCTGACCAATGTGGTGAAACCCCGTCTCTACTAAAAATACAAAAACTAAAAACATATATATATATTAGCCGGGTGTGGTGGCATGGGCCTGTAATCCCAGCTACTGGGGAGGCTGAGGCAGGAGAATTGCTTGAACCCAGGAGGCAGAGGTTGCAGTGAGCCGAGATCATACCACTGCACTCCAGCCTGGGCAACAGAGCGAGATTCCGTCTCAAAAAAAAAAAGTAATAATTTCCTTCAATGCAGTGTTTCCCAAAGCGGGGCTCCCTGGCCACCCACATGTGGATCATCAAGGATATTTGTTAATAATGCAGATCCCCAAGCCCAATCCCAGATGGAAGGAATCAGATTCTTTGGGGATGAAGCCCAATAATCTGTATTTTTAATAAACGTCTTCTGTACACAAAAGTGTGAGAACCACTGTTTTAATGTTCACAGAAGACATTAAAGCAGTGGTTCTGTGAAGACAAATTCGTTGTGCTTTGGGACCTGAGAATTATGTTAGGAGTTGAAGTCTCTAGCCATTGTCATCTGAGCTTGAAGTTTCTTTGTGGGCTTCAAGTTTATTTGCTTCTGGTTGATTCTATGAGCTAGTATATGAAACCAGAGCTCCCCTTGAGACAGAGTTTCATTCTTGTTGCCCAGGCTGGAGTGCAATGGCATGATCTCGGCTCCCTGCAACCTCCACCTCCCAGGTTCAAGGAATTTTCCTGCCTCAGCCTCTCGAGTAGCTGGGATTACAGGTAGGCGCCACCAAGCCCAGCTAATTTTTGTATTTTTAGTAGAGATGGGGTTTCTCCATGGTGGTCAGTCTGGTCTAGAACTCCCGACCTCAGGCGATCCGCCCGCCTCCGCCTCCTAAAGTGCTGAGATTACAGGCGTGAGCCACCGCGCCCGGCCAAAACCAGAGCTCTTTGTGAGACTAGTCTTTGAGTCTGGAGTCTGGCCTGGGTATTTCTTTCACTAAGCAAATAGGTCTTAGTTCTCTTCCCAAATACCCAGCCTTACGTTTAGTCTCAAACTGTACCTTTGAACAACTTGAAGAAACTGCCTGGGAGGCACTCTAAATCTGGTCGTTGCCAATAGGCTGTGTCCCACTTACATCTGTCATGGAAGTTATGGTCACCTTTGTTTTAGGAGGAATAAAAAGCAGGAGGTGCTTGGGAAAGGGCTAGGGATAAGCCATCAACCATATCCCATATCCTATATCCCATATTCCATATCCTATAGCCCACATCCATATCCCATAGTCCATAGCCCATATCCCACATCCATAGCCCATATCTCATATCCCATATCCCACATCCATACCCCATATCTCATATCCCACAGCCCATATCCCATGTCCCATATTCCATATCCCATATCCCACATCCATAGCCCATATCCATATCCCATATCCATATCCCACATCCATAGCCCATAGCCCATATCCATATCCCACATCCATATCCCACATCAATATCCCATATCCCATATCCCACATCCATATCCCATATTCCATATCCCATATCCCACATCCGTAGCCCATAGCCCATATCCATATCCCACATCCATAGCCCATAGCCCATATCCATATTCCACATCCATATCCCATATCCCACATCCATATCCCATATGGCATAGCCCATATCCCATATCCATATCCCACATCCACATCCCATATCCCATATCCATATCCCACATCCCATATCCATATCCCACATCCATATCCCATAGCCTATATCCATATCCCATACCTCATATCCATGTCCCATAGCCCATATTCATATCCCATAGACCATATCCATATCCCATGTCCCATGTCCCATGTTCCATATCCCATATCCCATATCTTGTATCCCATATCCCATATCTCATATCCCATATCCCATACAATGCAATCCCCCATCCCTGTTTCTGTTCACATTAGGTTAGTGCAAAAGTAATTGCAGTTTTGCAATTCTTTTCGATGGCAAAAAACGCAATTACTTTTGCACTAACCTAATACTAACATACCTTGGGACAAAGTTTTCAGGGCTTTCTAGTCCTCTCAGCCATTTTTTTTTTTTTTTTTTTTTTTTTTTACCGTAGGCAGAAAGGGCTTCTCTTATCAAAGCTGTATTTTCTTCCTTCTCTGTTTTGGGGTAAGCTAGTTTGAACATAAGCTTACCCTTTTTTTTTTTTTTTTTTTTTGAGACGGAGTCTCGCTCTGTCACCCAGGCTGGAGGGCAGTGGCATGATCTCAGCTCACTGCAACCTCCACCTCCTGGGTTCAAGAGATTCTCCTGCCTCAGCCTCCCGAGTAGCTGGGATTACAGGTGTGCACCACCATGCTGGGCTAATTTTTGTATTTTTCGTAGAGACGGGGTTTCACCATGCTGATCAGGCTGGCCTCGAACTCCTGACCTCGTGATCCGCCCACCTTGGTCTCCCAAAGTGCTGGGATTACAGGCGTGAGCCACTGCACCAGGCCAGCAACTTACCTTTTTACAGTACTTTATTAATATTAACAAGAAGGAGCCAACCCAATCCAACACTCTACATTTTTCTACTAAGTAGTGTACCGCTACAGCCGCAGATTGTGTAATCTGCACCCCAAGTCACAACAGGAAACTGTATAGCTAATTAGATGGCCAATTTCTCAGCCGAAAATGTAGGGGTTCTTTATCCTTCATCTTACTTCTTTGGTTGGACAATCCCATTTTTAGGGCCTGTCTCTTGAAACACCTTATGGAACTCATTTCTGTATCAGTTAGGAATCTTTAGGTTGCAGTAAACCAATCTCCAATTCAACTGGTTTAAACAATATGGAGAATTTATTGGCTCAATTTACTGTGAAGTCCAGAGGAAGAGGTGGCTTTAAATAAGGCTTGAGGCCAGGCGTGGTGGTCATGCCAATAATCCCAGCAATTTGGGAGGCCAAGGTAGACAGATTGCTTGAGCCCAGGAGTTTGAGACCAGCCTGAGCAACATAGCGAGACCCCGTCTCTACAAAAAAAATTTTAATTAGCTGGGCACAGTGACATGCATCTGTGGCCCCAGCTACTCAGGAGGCTGAGGAGGGAGGATCACTTGAGCCTTTGAGGTCAAGGCTGCAGTGACTGTAATCACACCACTGCAGTCCAGACTGGGCAACAGAGTAAGACCCTATCTCAAAAAAAAAAAGTAAAAAGTAAATAAGGCTTGATCCAAAAGTTCATACAACGTTACCATGAAGTCAGTTCCCCCCCTTCTCTCTCTGCCTTTCATGGCATCATCATGTTTCATATAGTGGTCTTCCAACAGCTCCAGATTTTCCCATAACAGTCATGGCATGGCTATAGCAATTCACACCTTACATCTTCATACTAGTAGCTGCTATAAAAGTCCTGAGACTCACATTCTCTCACTCACTTAAAATGGATCAAGTGCCCATCCCTGAACCAGCCACTGTGGTCAGTGCACTAATTAACTTAGCAATGGTTGGGAAGAAGAGCTCATCACACCCAAATCACATGGTTGAAGATGTGAAATCCTCTAAAGGAAAACCATGACTATGGCAGCAGGCAGGGAACAGACACTGGCGAGGCACCCAACAAGGGGTTTGTAGCCAAATAGCCAAAAATGAGTGTGATCTACTAATTTTTTCCCATACTTTAGTCAAAGTGATCTTACTAAAACTCAGATTCAATCCCATCACCCTCCTGTCTTAAATCTTCAGGCTTCCCATTGCCTTTTGAATAAAGTCAATATTTGTTCATACGGTTGGCAGGGTCCTGTATGATCTGGCCAATCTCTCTTTTCTTCCTCCATCACACTTCAGATAAACTAACCCTTTTTAGTGTCTTAAATTTGCCATGCCCTTTTTGAGCTTTCACACATGGTCTTCCCTGTAACTGAATTTTCATCATACTTCTTTGGCTAATTCCTACTCAGTCCTCAGATTTTAGTTTAAAAGTCACTTCTTCCTGGAAGCTTTCTCTGAGTCCCTAGTACTGAGTCATGTACCCCTCCACAGACTCCACATCACCTCTAATTTTTTTTTTTTTTTTTTGACAGAGTTTCACTCTGTCGCCCAGGCTGGAGTGCAATGACATGATCTCAGCTCACTGCAACCTCTGCCTCCCAGGTTCAAGCAATTCTCCTGCCTCAGCCTCCCAAGTAGCTGGGATTACAGGCACGTGTCACCATGCCCAGCTAATTTTTTTTTTTTTTTGTATTTTTAGTACAGACAGGGTTTGCCATGTTGGCCAGCCTGGTCTCGAACTCCTGACCTCAGGTGATCCACCTGCCTCGGCCTCCCAAAGTGTTGGGATTACAGGCGTGAGCTACTGCACCCAGCCTCCAATTTCTTATATATATATCATTTTTTAGTGTCATTGGCATTTAATAAAAGATAAGGAGATCATTACCATGGTCCTCAAGAAATGACCACCTGAACTAAAAGCGTGGCTGCAGAGACAAACGAGGGAGACAGGGTGATAAGGGAAACATTTAGAATAACTCCCATGTTGCTGGCCTGGTTAATAGGTTAATGACACTGGTGTCATGAGAAGGAGGTTAGATCCTATCAAGCCGTGATGGAGCTGCAGCAGACAACTTTAGGTGTCCTGTACTCTATACCCTCTCTCCCTGCTCAGATTCGGGTGCAGCTGTGGCAGACAGTCCACATGGCTGTCTTTCTGCCTTGGCTGGCTTTCTGCCTTGGGCAGCCCAGAAAAATGCAGGGAGGTTAATATCCCCAGCACAGCGCTCAAGAAATGGGGTGTGAGAGACCATTGAATAAGTGCCCTGGCCTCCTATGCTGCTGGGGGCCAATCTGAGATGCACTCTACTCAGTTCCTTATGGGCCCAGCCAGATCGAGCTTCATTTGCTCACAGTGGTAACCAGCTCAATAACATACTCTTTGTGACTTTTCCTTCTTCCCTGCCTCACTCTTTTTGCTCTCGCACCCTGCTTCCCAGGATCGTCTCCAAAATAAACTCCCTGAGCACAAGTCCAAGTCTCAGTCCCTGCTTTCATCCCAAACAGAAACCATTGAAGACTCTTCGACAGAGAAAATAAGAGGAGAAGCAGGTTGAGGGGCAGCTGGCACCTTAACAGCCACCTGTACTGTGAGAAGCCCATGGGACAACACAGGGCCATGATGTTGGCAGGGATTTGACCTCTGCTCAACCTACAGAACATTTTCCCTTTATTTGTCACTGTTGATCTCTCTCTTTGACATGCTTCACTGACACAATCCTACCCTGGTCTTCCTCCTACATTCCTGGCTACTACTTTCAGTTTCCTTTGTAAAATAAAGTTGCTAGTGTTGAGGCTGGGTGATGGGTACATAGGAGGTTGTGATAGAATGTTATACTTTTGTGTGTCTTACTCTTTCCAAGATACTTTTTGTTTTTGTTTTTTGTTTTTTGTTCTTTGTTTTTTTTGAGACAGAGTCTCGCTCTTGCTGCCCAGGCTGGAGTGCAGTGGTGCAATCTCCCTCACGCAACCTCTGCCTCCTGGGTTCAAGCGATTCTCCTGCCTCAGCCTCCCGAGTAGCTGGGATTACAGGCACTCACCACCACGCCTGGCTAATTTTTTTGTATTTTTAGTAGAGACAGGGTTTCAACATGTTGGCCAGGCTGGTCTCAAACTCCTGACCTCAGGTGATCCACCCACCTTGGCTTCCCAAAGTGCTAGGATTACAGGCATGAGCCACCACACCAGGCCTCCAAAATGCTTTTAAAGAATAACTTTTAGGCCAGGCGTGGTGGCTCATGACTGTAATCCCAGCACTTTGGGAAGCCGAGGCAGGAGTTCGATCACCTGAGGTCAGGAGTTCGAGATCAGCCTGGCCAACATGGTGAAACCCTGTCTCTACTAAAAATACAAAAATTACCCAGGCGTGGTGGCGCATGCCTGTAATCCCAGCTACTTGGGAGGCTGAGGCAGGAGAATCACTTGAACTCGGGAGGCGGAGGTTGCAGTGAGCCGAGATTGTGCCACTGCACTCCAGCCTGGGCAACAGAGTGAGGCTCTGTCTCCAAAAAAAAAAAGAAGAAGAAGAACTTTTAAATGGGGTTTCTCTTCTCATTTCTTCTTCATCTACCTAATGGTTTTCAAATGTGTGCAGAAGCTTACATAAGTGTCACCTGGGGATCTTGTTCAATGCATGCTCACCTTGCCCTACTTGAATGAGCCCCTACTATTTTTCTGACTTTATCTCCCATCACTCCCTTGTGCCTACATTGCTCCAGCCACACTGGTCTTCCTCCTCTTCCCCAAACACATTGATAAGTCCTCCATGCCTCTACGACCTTTGCACTTGCATAACCACAAATGACAGATACCACTAAATGATCTCTGCTCAAATGTTACCTCCTCAAAGCAGTCATTCTAAAATAGTGTGCATGCACACACACACATACACCCTCTATCACACTGACCTGTTTTATTGTCTGCATAAAACCTGTCACTATCTAAAAATATCTGGCTTACTTACTTGTTTACTTGGATTTTGGCCACTAGCTCCATATTGGCTAGCACTCCTAGAAGGTGAGTTCCTATTTACTGCCCTATCACAACTCTGGGCATATTCAAATAGCTTAATGAATATGTGTTGTGTGGATGAAGAGCTATATGCCTACAGGACTTGGGAGGGAGAGCTGGGGGCATAGACATAGGAGCTGGCATCATCACAACAGTAACAGTGGAAACCATTTCGCAAAACGGTTTGCCCAGTAAGAGTGGGTAGAAGTGAGGAAAACCAGAATAGAATCCAGGAGATCAGCCACAGAGCGGAAAAAGGAAAAGGAGCCTGGGAAGGAAACCAAGAAGCAGCCAGAGAGGCCGGACAAGCGCTGGAGGGAGAACTGCCGTAGAAACCAGGATAGAGAGAGTTCAAAAAGAGGAAGTGGTGGACAGAGCAGGCCAAGATGAAACGTACCCAATGGATTCTTGTCACTAGGAAGTCACAGGAAACATTCAGTTTTAGTAAAATGAGGGGCAACTGGCAACCAATGAAAGTCTCTGGACAAATGCCCCAGCCTCCTGCCATTTGGAGGGACAATTATAATAATAAGCTCAAAAGTACGCCCTTGGTTGGCTTGTCTTCCTTTCCTGTTTCATTCTCCCCACTCCCTTCTCCCTCCTCCCTTTACCCTGCTCCCTAGAATCCCTTACCACATAAACAATTAGCATTTTAATCTGTCTCAGGCTTTGCAATCCAGGAAATCCAAACTAGAATAGACTAGCTGCATTTCTCACCTGTTTCTGTTTTCCTAGGAGGGAACGAGACTTTCCCTTTACATTTCATCGTCCAAAACTGGTTTGTGTTCCGATGTCTAAACTAATTATAGCCACCAGGGAAAGGGATTATTAGGATTCGCCTAGACCAACCATGCTTCATTCCCTGAAGCTGGGCATGCTGGGCATTGATATCAAGCCAGGTCCTGGTTCCATCTCCAAACCATCAAGATTCCCAAGACTGGCCGGGCGCGGTGGCTCACGTCTATAATCCCAGCACTTTGGGAGGCCGAGGCGGGCGAATCATGAGATCAGGAGATAGAGACCATCCTGGCTACGGTGAAACCCCGTCTCTACTAAAAATACAAAAAATTAGCCGGGTGTGGTGGTGGGTGCCTGTAGTTCCAGCTACTTGGGAGGCTGAGGCAGGAGAATGTCATGAACCCGGGATGCAGAGCTTGCACTGAGCCCAGATGGCGCCACTGCACTCCAGCCTGGGCGACAGGGCAAGACTCTGTCTAAAAAAAAAAAAAAAAAAAAAAAAGATCCCCAAGACTAATGAGTACGGAGGCCCCTGGCAAGGATGACACCTCTCAACCTCTACACATACGCCCAACTGCATCCACCACAGCCAAGGACTGCTGTACATTCACCCCTCCCCTCTGCAGAGCACTATGCTGAGTGCTGCGGGCCAGAATGCTAAGATCGTAACATAGGATTTCTAACCTGACGGGGGTGTCATCTGGACACATTACATACACGATATAATGTGAAAACACAGAGGACAGCACAGTGGATTGCAACTCAGAGAGGGAAGACTTAGGGTAGACTCGGTTGTGCTGAAGAAACAAAAGGCCTCTCAGATTTATGTGTCTCACACTACATAGCGCCCACAGGTGGACAGGAGATTCTACTCCATGGCACCACGCGCACTCCAGAACCTCCAGCCTGAGAGAACAGCTTTTTTGTGTGTTTTTTTTTTCAGATGGAGTTTTGCTCTTACGCCCAGGCTGGAATGAAGTGGCATGATCTTGGCTCACTGCAACCTCTGCCCCACCAAAATTCAAGCAATTCTCCTGCCTCAGCCTCCCGAGTAGCTGGGATTACAGGCATGCACCACCACACCTGCCTAATTTTTGTATTTTTAGTAGAGATGGGGTTTTGCCATGTTGCCCAGGCTGGTCTCGAACTCCTGACCTCAATTGATTCACCTACCAAAGCCTCCCAAAGTGCTAGGATTACAAGTGTGAGCCACCATGCCAGGTCTGAGAACAGTTTTAATCTGGATGTCACCCATCGCTGAGCCAGAGGGAAAGACAGCTCAAAGGGTTTTGAATTAGCAATTGAATTCTGGAATTCTTGGCCCAGAAGTGAAATGTATGACTTCCACTCACAACCCATTGGCTAAAGCTGGTCACATGGCCCCATCGAACTACAGAGAGCCAGGAAGAGAGATCCTACCATATGCCAGAAGGCAGAGAGGCACAGATATTTAGTGAGCATTGGAAAGACATCTAGAAACCACCAAGGAAGAATGACATTTGAACCAAGATTTGAAAAATATTTTAGTCTTCAATAGATGAAGTTAAGGGCCAGGGAGGAGGATCTGCCAGGTAATTATATAAGAGAAGTCACAGAGGCATGAAATGGCCTGGCTGGTATGACCAAAAGCCAGGCTGAATGAGGGGATAGGGATTGGCCTGGGATCCCCATCCCAGGGGATGGGAAAGGAAGGAGGCAGGAAGGCTGAGCCTAACTGTGAAGGGCTTTGAATCACATAATAAGGATTTTGTACTCTACTAGATTACTGGCAATAGAGAGCTACCAAAGAGTTTTCAAACAGGAAAGCACCATGATCTGATTTGTGTTTTAGGAAGATAACTTTGGCAGCAGAATGGGAAGAAGATTGGATGGGAGAGAGATCAAAGGCTGGGAGATTCTAAGAGGCTGTTGCAGTATAGTCGAGGTAGGTGGTAAGAAGAAACTGAAGTGAGGAAGGGGCTGGGAGAATATGAAGGAGGAGGTAGGTGGGAGAGACAATTCTAATCTAAAAGGACCGCTGCTTCTCTCTTTTTTTTTTTTTTTTTACTTTTATGGAAATATTCAAACATGTACAAGAGTAGAGAGAATAGTTTAATGAACCCCCACATACCATCACGCAGCTTGGTTATCCATACATGGCCGATTTTGCTTCACTTCCACCCCTCACTTCACCCCACTAAATTATTTTCAAGCAAATCCCCATGTCATATCATTTAATCTTTAATTTCTTCATTATGTGTTCCAAAAGATAAAAACTTCTCTGGAACATGACTACCATACCATTATCACCCTAAAAATTAACGATGATTACTTAATGTTATCAAATATCTAGTCAATATCAACGATGATTACTTAATGTTATCAAATATCTAGTCAATATCAAAATGTCCCTGATGGCCTCTTTTATTTTTTCCCAGTTGGTTTGTTTGGATTGGGATCTGAACAAGGTCCTCATATTTCTTTTTTCTTTTCTTTCTTTTTTTTTTTTTTGTTTTTAGAGACAGAGTCTCACTCGGTCACCCAGGCCAGAGTGTAGTAGTGCGATCTCGGCTCACTGCAGTCTGAACCTCCTGGGCACAAGCAATCCTGCTGCCTCAGCCTCTCAACAACCTGGGACCACAGGTGCAAGCCATCACACTCAGCTAATTTTTAACTTTTTTGTAGAGACTTGGGTCTCGCCATGTTGCCCAGGCTGGTCCTGAACTCCTGGTCTCAAGCAATCCTCCCACCTCGGCCTCCCAAAATGCTGGGATTACAGGTGTTAGCCTCCGTGCCCGACCGGCCTTCGCATTTCACTTGGCCCTCCCACTTTTTCTCTCTTGTAATTTGTTCATTGAGGATTCTGCGTCATTTGTCCTACAGAATTTCCCAAATTCTGGATTTTGCTGATGAAATCCCCCCCCACCACCACCATTTACCATCCCTATCTTCCTCCTGCATTTCCTGTAAACTGGTGGCTGATTATAAAATTCTTTTCCTTTTTAACAGAAGCAGAGGGAGAAGGAAAGGGGGAAGGGAATTATTTATCAACACCTACTGTGTGCCAGGCACTGTGTGGGTTCTTGTATAAACATGATCTCATTTAATCCTCACTGATACCCTTTGAGGTGAATATTTATTATCACTATTCTTACGGATGAGGAAACTGGGACTCAGAAAATCTGAGTCTCACAAATTGATCTGACAAAACTGGAAAATGAAGGAACCAGGGTTGGAACCTGGCTGTGTTTGGCTCCAGAGCCCCTTCTCATTGCACTACACAGCCCTGGATTGAAACGGGTTTTGGCACATTAGTGATGGTGCAGGAAGGAGGTCTAGCTAGCCTGAGTTCTGGGACTATTATTCATACTGTTCAGTGTTAATAATACACATTGTGACTTCATATGTGCCAAGTATCTTACATGCATCACGAGGATCTGGACAATGGATGCTTTATTATCCCCATTTTACTGGTGGGGAAACTGAGACAGTGAGGTCCAGAAAGGGCAAGTGGCTTGCTCTGGGCAGTGCAGGTGGTCTCACCAGGTTTTGCTCCCAGGTTTGTCTGCCAGTGGAGTCCATGTTTCCACCACTGTCCTACATGGCCTCTCCTCACGAATGGCTCCAACCTCCTGGGTGCGATGGATGAAGCCGGGTGCAGAGATGGAAAGAGCAGCCCAACTTTCCTAACTGGAGGACTGAAGCGAGAGCTCTCACTGTCGGCCTAGTGTGGATTGACTCCTTTCCACCACATTCCCCAACCAAGGACAGTCTATACCAAGCTCACAGCACTGAGGCGCTGGGGGAGGGCCAGCCCACACCTAGCCCCGTCAATCTTGGTGGCATGGACTCCCTCCTAAAGCTTTCTCAGGAGGCCCCATTTCCTACTGCAGCGGGGCAAGAATTCAGGAGGAGCCCACTCAAAGGGGAGACAGAGGCAGTGCTCCCTGTGAGCAGCTCTTCCTCCTCAGAGCTGTCATGGACAATTGGAGAGAAAAACCGGGACATTCTCCCCAACCAGGATATTTTGTATGCTTTGCACTTACTGCTGCGTTCCCTTCATCTAAAAGCTCTAAAATTTCAAATAAAAAGGTACAATGAAAGCAGCAGCAGGATAAATAGCCACAGTGATCTGAGCTGAAACCCTGGAAGCTTTATTCACATCTTTAGAAAAACTCTGAAGGCTCCTAGTAGCAGCTGCAGTACAAAGCCTCACACTTTAATTCTAAGGCTGCCAGAAATAGGTCTGTCAGGCCTGAAATATCACTGCATTTCATTACTCTTAAATGTGCATTACCATCTCTGCTTCATTACCAGCTGGGGGGTATTCTCCGGATCAACTTCGGAGAGCACCAGGGATCTGGGACATATGGGGAAGGGCAGAGGACAGAGTTGGGTCTAGAACACCCGGATGGGCAGGAAGACCTAGTGGGCTTAAAGATCACACCGAAGCCCACAGGAGCGGAGGATCCATGTTCCCAGCAGAGGAAGGCGAGCTGCACTCTCCAAGTCTGATGTCACCCACTTGGGCGGTGAAGCCAGTAGGAGATGGGAGAGGCAGCGGCAGGACTGCTGGGGCGGTGGAGAGGACAATTTTTAAGCACAGAATAGGGCTTGTGGAAGCAATGGGTAAAGGGCCGGGGCTTTCGAGCCCAGCAGCAGGTAGGAACTGGTCAAAGGGAAATTAGGCCATCAAGGCCTGGGGAAATCACAGGCACAAAGCAGCCACTGCAAAATCCTGGAGGGAGACGGCTGCTGGAGGTTTGGAAGTTTGGAGCCTGGAGCAATCTGCATGTTTATAATAAAACTGACACTCAGGGCAGCTCTGAATAATTCAGTAGGCACTGTGATCTCGTTACAGTGCATGTCCCTGGGGTACAAAGGGAGAGGGGCTGGCTCGGCCCAGGCTGGCTGCTGCCACCAGGCTCCCTGAAAGGGCGTGACAGATGGGCCGACACCAGCCACCACCCAGTCACGCTTCGCACGGTGATTGGTTTTCAAAGGAGGACAGGGTTTGTGAATGGAGCCAGCTTGTTGCTTGCTGCCTTCAAATGGATGCTGCTGGGTCGCGTGGCCAGCCGGGCCCCCTTGTGAATGGGGCATCGCCAGTGGGTGGTGAACGAGCCAGAGATGACTCCCCGCTCCCCTCGCCTGTCATTGCTGAAGCTGAGATGGAGGGAAAGGGGAGCAGGGCCCCTGACCCCTTCTCTCTGCTGACGGGCTTAACCCTCCATTGGTCCTTCTCTGCTCTAACCCTGCATCAGTGAGAATTACGTTCAGGCGCATATACCAAAAAACAAAAACAAAAAGTTAAAACTAGATGGGAGTGTCTTTTTCTCTCATGTAAACAAATCCAAAGATAACTAGTACAGACCTAGTTTGTGAGCTCCACCACCATCAGAGACCTAGGCCCCTTTCCCCTCACTGCCCTGCCATCCTCAGTCCTCAGCATGCTAGTCCTGGTCCCACGTGACTGCTCAAGCTCCAACATCATGTCCACATTCCAGCCATTAGGAAAAGAAGATGGGAAGAAGCCTCCCAGGGTGCATGCTAGTCATTGAAATTTCCCAGAAGCTGCCACACACGCAATAGATAACAATTTAGTTACATGGCTACACTTAGCTGCAGGAGAGGTTGGGAAATGTATGCTTGTCTTATATGGCCGTTTGTTTGTTGGGAGACAATGCTCCATGATTCTATTCCATTTCTACACATCTTGCAAGTGAGGCATTGACTGTCCTTTGTTCCAGATTATCATTTTCAGGATATAGTGTACAGCCTTGGAAGATCTACAATGTCTCCCTCCCAAAGGGGCAGGCATGCTGCCCCTTATAAAATATACGTGGACGGGCCGGGCACGGAGGCTCACGCCTGTAATCCCAGCACTTTGGGAGGCCGAGGCCGGCGGATCACGAGGTCAGGAGATCGAGACCATCCTGGATAACACGGTGAAACCCTGTCTCTACTAAAAAGACAAAAAAATAGCCGGGCGTGGTGGCAGGCGCCTGTAGTCCCAGCTACTCGGGAGGCTGAGGCAGGAGAATGGCGTGAACCCGGGAGGCGGAGTTTGCAGTGAGCCGAGATCGCGCCACTGCACTCCAGCCTGGGCGACAAAACGAGACTCCGTCTCAAAAAAAAAAAAAAGTATATATATACATGGACCATTCTAAAAAATCTGGGTTCCCTAAGTTCAGGGTTCCTGTCTTGAAATGCAATCCACTGTGTGTGCAGGCATCACCAGGCCCTTTCTGCAAAATCCTGTGGGAATTAGAGCTGATACTCTTGCTACTGCTGTTGCTGTGAATAATAAACTGTCCTTCATCTCTGACCTAGGAGTCTGGGCTTCTATCACAAGCTATGACACTGGTGGGCTAATTTGTTAGCTTGTAAGTAGGATAAAATCTCAGACCCTTTACAGTTCCTGACAGTGTTCAGCTAAGAATCGGGGTTTCTGCAGGAGTAGTTACTAGAAATCTACCATAGGCTTCTTCCCAGCTACTTGAGTTGGCCATACAGGTGTTTCCAGGTATCTGGATCCCTCCCACAACCAAACAGAAGGGAGTGCCTTCAGGTAAAACTCTAGTCACTTCCAAAATTATAGCAGGTCTCAAAATGCCTAAAGACAGTAGGAGTCGGCCACGCACAGTGGCTCACACCTATAATTCCAGCACTTTGAGAGGCCAAGATAGGAGGATCACTTGAGCCCAGGAGTTCAAGACTAGCCTGGGCAAAATAGGGAGACCCTGTCTCTTCCAAACAAACAAAAAAAAAGAAAGAAAATTAGCTAGGCATGGTGGCACATGCCTATAGTCCTAGCTTCTCAGGAAGCTGAGGTGGGAGGATCACTTGAGCTCAGGAGGTTGAGGCCGCAGTGAGCCATGATTACACCACTGTACTCCAGCCTGGGTGACAGGGTAAGACCCTATCTCAATTTAAAAATAAAAAGTAAAAAAAAAGACAGGGAGGTCATGCACCTGCTTACCTCCTTAGCTCTGAGTGTTCTCTAAAGAACCCCATGGACTTCCTTGTCTCCATCCAGTAGGACCAGGTGCAGGCCTTGGGATCCAGATTTATACCAGGTGCTACCAGAGCCAGCAGGCAGACCCAGCAGGAATCCCTTAAGAGCATTCTCAGGATATCCAGGGCTCGAGGTGTTTCCTGGGCCATCAGGACAAGGACAGGGAGGTCAATCCAGTGCCAGGGACTCTGCCTCCTGCCTCATTGCCAAGGGGAGAGACTCTACACAATGAAATCTGGATTACATACTAAAAGGCTTCAAACCCCTAAATGCAAGATGATGGCCCAGACTGAATCCTGAAACACAAAAAGGACAGGAGTGGAAACATGTGAAATCCAAATAAAGTCTGTAGTTTGGTTAATAGCATTGTTCCAATGTTAATTCTTCATTTTGACAAACGTACCATGGTTAGGTAAGATACTAATTTTGGGGGAAGCGGGGTGAAGAGTACATGGGAATTCTCTACACTATTGTTGCAACTTTTATGTACATCTAACAATTTTCCAAAATAAAAAGTATACTAAAATAAAATAAAGCTAAAAAAATTCAAGACCTAAGCTCAAGATTTAAGAGGCAGGAAAAGAAAAATATGAAGGGTGGGGCATGGTGGTGCATGCCTGTAATCCCAGCACTTTGGGAGGCCGAGGCAGGCAGATCACTTGAGTCCAGGAGTTCAATACCAGCCTGGCCAGCATGGTGAAACCCTGTTTCTACTAAAAATAAAAAAATTAGCCTGGCATGGCACGCACCTGTAGTCCCATCTACTCAAAGACTAAGGTGGGAGAATTGCTTGAACCCGGGAGTCGGAGGTTGCAGTGAGCCGAGATCATGCCACTGCACTCCAGGCTGGGGGACAGAACAAGACTCTGTCTCAAATATGTATGTATATATGTGTGTGTGAGTGTATATATGTATACATACATATATACACATACATCTATGCATACATACATGTATGCATACATACATGTATGCATACATATATATGTATGTATACACATACGTCTGTGTACACAGATGTATGTGTACATATATATATACACACACATACACACACACACATATGATTATTGTAAGTGTTTAAATTCAAAGAGCTGGGTTAGGTTAGGACCCCTCTTTTGGAGTTCACTATAAACTGTCCCCTTTTCATCGACAAAGAATTTCCAGGATTGGAGTAAAAATGGAAGCAAAGGAGCTCTCTGTATAGAGCGTCAGAGTGGGCGGTCAACCCGGACTAACGCCAACATCAAGGTCGGGTGAGGCCTGGCACCCGCTTGGTCTTTCGGCAATCCCGCCGGCGCTGCAGGAAGGGCAGGCTGGGGCCTGGGCTCTGCGGCCCCCCTCTCCGAGCTCGGCTCCCCGGGGAGGGTCTGGCGGCCGCGCTCCACTTAAACCCGGGGCGCTGCCAGAGGCCCCGGACACTCGGGCCGCGCCCCGCGAGGGCCCCAGCGCTGGCGGCCCCGCCTTGCCCGGCCAGCCGCCCTCGGAGGAAAAGCTGTTGCTCAACCCGGAGGAATGCGGGGCCGGCGCTCCGGCGGGGGAAGCGCGGGAGACTGCACGGCCGGCGGTGGCCGCAAACTTCGCCCCTCTGGACACTGCGGCTCCGGGCGGGAAAAGAGGGGCGGCCCCAGGCCGGGCCCCCAGCCCGGAGGTGGCCCAGCCAGAGCTCCCAACTTCGGGGCCGTTTAAAAACGGCGGCAGACGCAGGCCCGAGGGCCGAGGCAAGAACCTCCCACGGAAAGCTCCAAGGAGGCGGGGATTTCTGCCTCACTGTTGTGTTCGTGATTCATCTGCGGCGCCTGAAGAGTGTCTTGAACATAGTAGGCGCTCAGTAAACATTTTTGAAAGAATAACATAATCCCTCCCGGCCTCAGTTTCCTCCCGTCTACAGGAAGGGTTTGATCTCAGAGGGCCCTATCAACTCTGAAATTCTAGGATGCTGAGATTAAATCCCATGTGTACTACTGTGGTTTTGCTTTTAGTTTTTCGGGGACATTTTTAGTGCTACCCTTTATGATGTGCCAGGAGTGAATTTGACACCAGATGGCTTTTTTTTTTTTCTTAATAAGAAAGAAGACAAAGGGAGGGAGAAAAATATTTTCCAACTGGCAGTGCTGACAGCATTTTGGAAAAGAATCCAGGGAGGCAAAGAGGAGCTGTTTCAGCCTGATTCTGCCTTCTCCTGCACACTCTGCCACCCTGGCCTCCACCACAAACGAGGTAGATCTGAGTGGAGCTTTTTATGGATGAGGCAAAGGGAGCATCATTACAGAAGACTCCACCCCGAGTTAGCACTTGCTTTGTCCTCTGTGGCAGTCACAGCGAACTGGCCCCTGAGCCGCATGGTGGTGGATTCCAGCTATAGGCAGGGCTCTGGCTAAAGGCTGGATCTGGTGTTAATTAGAAGAACAGAGAGACACCTGGCAAATCAAAAGCTGGCGCTCCCTGCCTGGGGAACATGCAGGAAAAATAGCCAAAGTGGCAGTGCCTCTTCTGGAATTCCTCTTCTCTGGGATCCCAACTCCCTCTCATGGAAAGGCAGGGTGGAGAAGGGTTCCTTGCTCAAAATGACCTCTAGCTGAGTTTTTAATATGTCATGGCGCAGGGAAGGGAAATTCCTAGAATAAGACAATTTGGCAGTGTGCACAGGGGTGCCGACCAGGGATGCTGCAGGCAGTCTGCTTGGGTTCAAATCGTGGCTCCACTACTTACTAGTTGTTTGATAAGGATAAGTGACTTTATCTTTCTGTACCTTAGTTTCTCCAACTGTAAAATGGAATAATTAAAATTCCCACCAAAGGCAATTGTTGTGTGGACTGAATTAGATAATACAAGAAAAGTGACAGTGGTCTGCCTCTTCAAACAGACACTGGCACAAGGCAAGCACTCAATATTTTCTTATTTAAGTGACAGGACCCCCAAAACTAGAACCTTGTGCTGGACAGGTCTCAAAATGGCTGCCTGTGAAGAGCCCCACTGTGGTACTATCAACTTTGGGCAAAGAAGTCTCCATCCAGCTGACAGGTCCCTCCCTCCTCCTTCACATCCCCAGGAAACTGGAGGAAGGCCACACACGATGAGCAGAAATTATGTGTCAGGCTCCAACTTGATGGATCACCTCCAAAGGGATCTTGGAGGGAAGAAGGGAGTAGTGGGCAAGGAGAAGAGGACTGTTGGTGCCAGTTTGGGAGGCTGGGACTAATGCAGTAGATGGTATATAAACCAGTGCACTGTGTACCATAGGTGGCTTGTGATGGCCACCCATGGTCTATACCTCTGTTGAATGTCCTTGATTTTCTACTGATAAATTGTTTCAGATGCAGTGTTCTCGAATTTGACCAGCAAACTCCTTGAGGCCAAGTCTTGTCTTTCTGTCATGGTATCCACCCGACACAAACATGTCAAAGATGCTACTCACAAAGTAAAGACTTCAGAGGCGCTTATTGACTGGATGAGATGTTAAACAGGGGAGCAGATTGGAATTCCAGACTGCATGGGCAAGGGGAGACAGAGGCAGCTGGGCATGTAAGGATCAGAGGTGTGACTCATCTGCTGGCCCCAAGTATCCTCCCTCAAACCCACAGTAGAAAATCAAGTAGCAGATCTATTTATCAGTAGAAAATCAAGGACATCCAACCAAATTATAGACCATAGGTGGCCAGCACAAGCCACCTATGGTATATAATGCACTCCAAATATTCCACTCAAACCTCTCCAGCTTCCAGAAAGTCAGCAACACCAGGGTTCCCAACCTGTCCTGCCACAGGGGAGGTGATATCCATGCCAGCCCTGGGAAAATATATCTCTCCAGCTGCTCTGTCATTCCTGGCCTGCAGGAGCCTCCAAGGCAAACTTTGCTGCCATTTCTTTCCCTTTTCTGAATGGACATTGGACTTCCATTGCTGTAGTCAGGACAGAGCCCACAGTTGCCCTGAGATGTCTTCTGGAGTCCTCCTAAGTTTCTTCATGTGGCTGGCCCATCCCTGTACCCACAGGCTATGTAACCTGCGGCAGGTGCATTACATGAATGTTCAGTAAATATTAAAGCGAACTGAAGGCCCCCCTCGATGGCTCACGCCTGTAATCCCAGCACTTTGGGAGGCCGAGTTGGGCGGATCTCCTCTTCTTCAGAGGAGACTTTCTTGACCATCTTCTATCAAAATTAACTGCCCCCCGCCCCGCCAAATTACTTCCCATTATCTTATCCTGTTTATTTTGTTACTTACATGTTCATTGTCTCTCTACCCCACCCAGACTGAAAGTTTCCCTAAGAGCAGGGACCTCGTATTTCTGTCCATCACTGTATCCCACCCCCTTTCACAGTGCCTGGCATATGGCAAGTGTCTGCTTGATGAGTGGTGGCCTCCTTCTCCCTGAGTTAGTCCCCTTCTCTCTAACATTTTCAATCAGTTCTTTTCTATTAGGTAATTCTTCTGCCTTCAAAAATGCATCAGCTCCTTTATTTTGCAAACTCTTTTCATTTCACCCTTTAGCCATCAGCTTATTTTCCCATCTTTCGCCCCACCTGCTACCCAGGAAAAATAGCTAGCCTTCATGTGTCAGAACCTTTCAACTGAAAGCACAGAAGACCAACTAAAAGCACCTTACACAATGGGCAAGTATATTATTTTTTAGAGGCAGAGAGCATTAATTCCACCTTTAATAAAGTCAGCTTCTCTGTGATTCTTTCCGAAAACCCTGGCCTAGCGGGCTTCCCCTTGTGTGTCCTTGGCCAGCGCTGCCTCACATGCCTAAACCTAAACCAATCACTGGCACAGAGGCAGGAAGTGCCCTGGTTGGCTGAGACTCATCAACATTATCCCCTGTGGCTGAGGAGGGGGTCTCCTTCCTTGGGTACAGGGCACGTAAATTTCAGGACAAAATCAAGCCTTTACCAGCACAGAAGAAGGGTAGAGTGTAGCTGTTGAATCTATGAGCTGCCCAATAACCTTCCAATAAATTGTTTTTCTGCTTAAGTTAGCCAGAGTTGGTTTCTGTGGCTTGTAATCACAGAAGCCTGGCCGAGCTACACTCAGGGGCTGCCTGATGAGATGACAGGAGCAGCCTTCTCAGCCAGGAGGAGTGCTATCAGCAACATCTGTGAGGCGGCATAGAATGACCATATAGAAGCACACAGAAAATAGTCCCAGGACGTCAGGAAAAGACTGTGGAGTCATGCATGAGAGCTGAGTTATTACAGCTTAGAGTCAGAGGCTATGTATTTTAGGTGACTCATTGCGACTATACCCCCAGGCTATGTAACCTGGGGCAGGTGCATTACATAAATGTTCAGTAAGTATTAAAGTGAACTGAAGGCCCCTTTTGGTGGCTCACGCCTGTAATCCCAGCACTTTGGGAGGCCAAGGTGGGCAGATTGCTTGAGCTCAGGAGTTTGAGACCAGCCTGGGCAGCAAGGGGAAAAACCCTGTCTCTACCAAAAATACAAAAATTAGCCAGGCTTGGTGGTGTGCACCTGTGGTCCCAGCTACTCAGGAGGCTGAGGTGGGAGGATCCCTGGAGCCCAGGAAGTCAAGGCTGCAGTGAGCCGTGATTGTGCCACTGCTCTCCAGTCTGGGTGACAGAGCGAGACCCAGTCTCAAAATATAAATAAATAAAATAAAGTGAACCGAAGTGATCACCCTTCCTGTTTAAAATCTTAAGCCAGGCATGGTAGTCAGAACCTCTTGTTCCCGCTACTCGGGAGGCTGAGGCAGAAGGATCATTTGAAGGCCGAGTGCAGTGGCTCACACCTGTAATCTGAACACTTTGGGAGGCCATGGTGGGTGAATTGTTTTGAGTCCAGGAGTTTGAGACCAGTCTGGGCGACATAGCAAGACCCCATCTGTACTAAAAATACAAAAAAATTAGCTGGGTATGGTGGCATGTGCCTGTAGTCCCAGCTATTCAGGAGGCTGAGGTGGGAGAACGGCTTGAATCCAGGAGGCAGAGGCTACAGTGAGATTGTACCACTGCACTCCAGCCTGGGCAATAGAGCCAGACCCTGTCTCAAAAAAAAAAAAAAAAAAAAAGAAGGATCACTTGAACCCTGGAGTTCAAGGCTGCAGTGCTCTATGATCATGCCCGTGAATAGCCACTGCACTCCAGCCTAGGCAACATAGTGAGACCTCATCTCTAAAAACTAAATAAAATAAAATAGTATCTTTCCTTGGTTCCCAAGAGGCCACTCATCTAAACAACTGGCCTCTCCCACCTGCTGCCATTCTTTCTGAAGACTTGAACCATTATACCACTGCTTCTTCCCACCCCACCTCTTGCCCTCCTCAGGGACACCCTGCTTCATGGGTCTGCACATGAGCAGTCTCTCACCTCTGGAGCAGGAGACTCCATCATCACTCAGACCTGCCCCACTCCCACCTCTGAGACTCAGCCCTTCCTTCACTGACCTAGACCACCTTTCCTTTCTCCTCCTGGCTGCCCACTCCCACTAAGCCTGCTTTGAAGAACCTGGCCCAGTCCCTGGCACATCACCAACATCTAATCAGTGGCTGTCAATACTGTCTTGTCCTCTTCTGCTCCCTGGCCAATGGCCTGCCTCAAAGCCACTTCACTGCCCTCCTTCTGGCTCTAGAATGCCCCCATCCCCTCATGTCCTCCTCTGAGCTAGAAGCTGCTGCCCACTGCTCACTGTCTCCATCCCTGTTCCCTGCTGAACCTACCACTGATTCTCACAGTCTCACCTCAACCAGGCCTCACTGGGGCCCAGTAATCCTTTTCCTCTTGGGCCCTCTTGGGAGGACGGGGGGCAGGGGTTCCAAATCAAGTTCCCACAGCAGCTTTTCTAAGTTCCGGAAGCTTCTCTCCTCCCCTCCTCACCTTCCTCCTAACATATGGCCCACTTTCAGCCACTTTGTCAGCAAGAGTGTCTGGCACAAGCACCACCACTTCCACCTCAAGAAGACATCTCTGCCTTCTGGTCACAAGAGAGTGGAGTAAAGCCCCCTTCTCCTCTCAAAAATCACCCCCAAGATGATAAGGAAAATAAGAAACAGGAACCCAAAGTCCATCTTCAATGAAACAAGGATTTAGAATCCTGGCCCCCATCATATGAAAACAGAAAATGGATAGAAGAATGGTAAACGACCCCACAGAGTCCAAGAAGGGCAGACCAAAAACATTTGGAGGCACAGACCCACGAGAAGCAACCTGATTCTTCCCTTGGAAACCCAGGAAAGCTCGGGACTTGGAAGTAGCAAGTAAGACAGAAGGATAAGCAGGGGTCTAAAACTGAGGCAAGGTCTAAAACTCCAGAGATTGCTTGAAGATCTGTTTAAAGAGCAATTAGACTGTCAGGAACCCCAGCCATCCCCAGCACAATCAGGTAATTTAATGTGTCCCCTCCCGATTCCTGTAGGAGACAGGAAGATGTATTCTGGAGATATTGAAACAGAAAGATTCTGGACTTAGGGGTTGGGGAGGTGCAGGAAAAAGAGTGGGATCAAAGACTGAGGGAAAGTCGGTGACATGGTTTGGCTGTATCCCCACCCAAATCTCATCTTCAATTGTAGTTCCCACAATTCCCATGTGTTGTGGGAAGGACCCAGTGGTAGATAAATGAATCATGGGTGCAGCTTCCCCCATACTGTTCTCATGGTAGTGAATAAGTCTCACGAGATGGGATGGTTTGATAAGGGGTTTCCGCTTTCGCTTGATTCTCCTCTCTCTTGCCGGCCACCATGTAAGAAGTCCCTTTGCTATTCCTTCATCTTCTGCCATGATTGTGAGGTCTCCCCAGCCATGTGGAACTATGAGTCCATTAAACCTCTTTCCTTTATAAATTACCCAATCTTGGGTATGTCTTTATTAGCAGTGTGAGAACAGACTAATACAGTCGGCATCTGAACAATAACACCCGGTCTCCCTGCCACACACCTCTCTAATTCCCACACTATAGCTGGCTCTAGAACTCTGGGTGAGGGGCTTGTAACCTTCAAGCAGGAGACGAAACTAGATCATTCTTTTCTGGAAAAAAACAAAATGTGACAGAGAAAAAGCCTATTAACACTGACAATTGATACCCTCCAATGAAGGAGTCCAGCCAGCCACTTGATTGCCCTACTGTGAGCCCACAGGGAGAGCTTCCAACCGGATCTCTAAAGCCTCCCTCTCAACAGGAGTGGACAGCCAAGGAACACCAGACCTCTGAAGAAAGCCTCCAGCATGATGCAAATCAAAACACAGGGGGAAGAAAAATTCAAGTTAATATCCTCAGAGAGATAATTCATGTGTCCAAAGGACGTGAAAACTATTTCTTAAAAAAAAAAAAAAAGTAAGAGGCCAGGTGTGGTGGCTCACATCTGTAATCCCAGCACTTTGGGAGGCCAAGGCTGGCGGATCACTTGAGGTCAGGAGTTGGAGACCTGCCTGGCCATCATGGTGAAACCCTGTCTCTACTAAAAATCCAAAAAAAAAAAAAAAAAGTTAGCCAGGCGTGGTGGTGGGCACCTGTAACCCCAGCTACTCAGGAGGCTGAAGCAGGAGAATCACTTGAACCCGGGAGGTGGAGGTTGCAGTGAGCCGAATCACACCACTGCACTCCAACCTGGGTGACGCAGCAAGACTCAGTCTCAAAAAAAAAAAAAAAAAAGAAAGAAAGGAAAAGAGGGCAGGCACCGTGACTCACACCTGTAATTCCAGCACTTTGGGAGGCCGAGGTGGGCAGATCACCTGAAGTCAGGAGCTCAAGACCAGCCTGGCCAACATGGTGAAACTGTGGCTCTAATAAAAATACAAAAATTAGCCGGGTGTGGTGGCAGGCACTTGTAATCCCAGCTACTCAGGAAGCTGAAGCAGGAGAATCGCTTGAACCCGGGAAGCGAAAATTGCCATGAGCCGAGATCACGCCATTGCACTACAGCCTGGACGACAGAGTGAGACTGCATCTCAAAAAAAAAAAAAAAAGAAAAGGAAAGAAAAAGAAATGCTGGGCATGGTGGTACATGCCTGTAGTCCCAGCGACTTCAGAGGCTGACGTGAAAACATCACTTGAGCCCAGCTCTGGGCTGTAGTGTGCTATGCTAGGATCAGGGAATCACCAGCTTGCCTAAGAGGGTAGAAGGAACCAGTTCAGGTCGAAAATAGAGCAGGTCAAAACTCCCATGCTGGCTGGGTTCGGTGGCTCATGCCTATAATCCCAGCACTTTGGGAGGCCAAGGCGGGCAAATCACTTGAGGTCAGGAGTTCGAGACCAGCCTGGGCAACAGAATGAAACCTCATCTCTACTAAAAATAAAAAAATTAGCCAGCCATGGTGGTGCACACCTGTAGTCCCAGCTACTTGGGAGGCTGAGGCAGGAGAATTGCTTGAACCCAGGATTGCAGTGAGCCGAGATCGCGCCACTGCACTCCAGCCTGGGCGACAGAGCAAGACTGTCCCGGGAAAAAAAAAAAAAACTCCCATGCTGACCAATAGTGTGATCATACCTGTGAATAGCCACTGCACTCTAGCCTGGGCAACGTAGTGAGACCCTTTCTCTTTAAAAAAAATTAACTTAAAAGAAAGAAAAGGTAGAGAACATGAAAGCACTCTTGAAAATTATATAAAGAAAAAATAAAAAGAGTAATAACAATATACTTAGCAAATAGATTAGGATATAACATAGAGGATACCTACCAGAAAACAGAACAAAGGGATGGTTAATAAGAGAGAAATAATACGAAAATTAGAGGATCAATCCAAGGAGCCTAGCATCCAAGTAATCAGCGATGCCGAAGGAATGAACAGGAAAAATGGAGGAAGAAATGTCAAAGAAATTATAAAGCAATTCCCAGAACTAAAGTACATAAATTGTTTTGGGACAGAGGTTCTTAAGCTTTAGCATGCATCAGAATACCTGGTAGGCTAGTTAAAGCACGGATGGCTGGGCCCTATCACCGGAGTTTCTGATTCAGTAGGTGTGAGGTGGGGCCCCAAGTTTGCATTGCTGACATGTTCCCACAGGTGATACTGATGCTGCTGGACTGGGGACTACACTTTAAGAACCACTGTATTAGATTTCAAGAACCTGACAAGTACCCAGAAAAATGAATGAAAAGCAACCCACAGCAATATACTGTGACATTTCAAGATAGCCAAGATAAAAGAAAACAATCCTAAAAGTGGGGGTTGGGGGGAAGGGCGGAGGTGAATTCAAAGTCTCAGAAATCAAAATGGCAAGAACTTCTGAACTGCAAAATTAGAAGCTGAAAAATAAAGGAACAATGTCTTCAAAATTCTGAAGGAAAATTATTTTCAACTTAAAATTCCATACCCAGCCAAAACTATCAATCAAGTGTGAGGATGGAATAAAGCCATTTTAAGTAACACGAAAGTCTAAAATGTTACCTCCCAGGCACTCTTTCTCAGGAAGCTACTGGAGGATGTGCTTCACCAAAACAAGGGAGTAAACCAAGAAAGAAGAAAACACTGAGTCCAGGAAAGAGGACAAGGGCAAAGGTGATGCGAAACCCAGGATGACAGGTGTACCACAGCCCAGAGGGCAACACGTCCAGAGGAAAGTGCAAGGATGGGGCACCCCAGGACAAAAGTCTCCAAGGGAAGAAGAGAACCAGTAAGATTATATGACAGGTTTGGCCATATGCAAAATTGTACTGAGAGGGCGTTTTACAGAACTGTTGAAGGGTGTGGGAAGACAGAGCCAGAGATTCAAAGAAAAAACCAAGCAAATTAAAAATGAGGCAATTAACTCCAGAAAAAACAAAAAGGTTGTACAAGGAAGGAAATATAAACAGAGTATATGACAAAGTTATTTAGAAAAGGAAATGTAACCAGAATACTTGCCTCAAGAATAAACAATATTTACAAATTCAATAATGAAATCACTGAATATGGATTTAACTATATATTATGATATAAACATAATGTGAGTGGTGTCTCACGTGTCCGTATGAAGAGACCACCAAACAGGCTTTGTGTGAGCAACAAGGCTATTTATTTCACCTGGGTGCAGGCGGGCTGAGTCCAAAAAGAGAGTCAGCAAAGGGTGGTGGATTATCATGAGTTCTTATAGGTTCTGGGATAGGTGGTGGAGTTAGGAGCACTGTTTTGCGGGCAGGGGGTGGATCTCTCAAATACATTCTCAAGGGTGGGGAGAACTACAAAGAACCTTCTTAAGGGTACGGGAGATTACAAAGTACATTGATCAGTTAGGTTGGGACAGAAATCAATCACAGTGGTGGAATGTCGTCAGTTAAGGCTATTTTCACTTCTTTTGTGGATCTTCAGTTGCTTCAGGCCATCTGGATGTATACGTGCAGGTCACAGGGGATATGATGGCTTAGCTTGGGCTCAGAGGCCTGACAAGTGGGGGAGGTGAAGAAGCGAGTAGAGAATCAAAATCCTCCACTACCAAGACAAGAAGTCAACAAATTAGATGAATCCAGAATGGCAGTACATATACTATTTAGAAATAAGAGGCCAAGAATGGTGGCTTATGCCTGTAATCTTAGCACATTTGGAGGCTGAGGCGGGTGGGTCACCAGAGGTCTTGGGTTTGAGACCAGCCTGGCCAACATGGCGAAACCCCGTTTCTACTAAAATTACAAAAATTAGCCAGGTATGGTGGTGTGCGCCTAGAATCCCAGCTACTTGGGAGGCTGAGGCAGGGGGAATTACTTGAACCTGGGAGGCGGAGGTTGCAGTGAGCCGAGATAGCACCACTGCACTCCAGCCTGGGTAACAGAGCAAGGCTCCGTCTCAAAAAAAAAAAAAAGTAGAAATAAGGAAGGAAATACCAGAAAAAAAACAGCTGAGAATTGAAAGCAGTTGACCCTAGGGACTAGGATAAGGGCTGGGAGAAAAGCCGGGGGGACTTCTGTTTGCGTTACAAGTCTTTTAGCACTATTTGATTTTTCAGCTATGTGTATGTATTATCCTGATAAAATAAATACTGATTTTCTAAAGCAACTATAACTCTGGTGCCACAATCTCCACTACAGCACACCTGCAGGACTGTGTGGACCCAAAGGAGCAGGAATTCCTCCACCCTCACCCTGTCTGGACAGGTATTATTCATCACCAGCTTAACCCTCTTCCACTCACAAACGCAATTTCTCCATCTCCTCCTGTTCCTGTAGCAGCCATCAACTGGGTGGCTGTACTGAACTATAAGTTTCTAGAGGTCAGGCACAGTGGTTCACACCTGTAATCCCAACACTTTGGGAGGCCAAGGTGGGAGGATTGCTTGAGCTCAGGAGTTCGAGACCAGCCTGGGCAACACAGAGAGACCCTGTCTCTACAAAAAAATTTAAAAATTAGCCAGGTGTGTTGGTGCTCACCTGTGGTCCCAGCTACTTATGAGAGTGAGGTAGGAGAATTGATTGAGCCCAGGAGGTTGAGGCAGCAATGAGCTGTGATCACATCACTGTACTCCAGCCTGGGCAATGGAGGGATAGCCTATCTCAAAAATTAATTAATTAATTAATTAAAAGTAAGTGTCTACAACATGCCTTTAAGGCTTTACAGGTACTCACAGTGCCCCTTACCTGGAAGGCTAGCTTTCCCTCCTCTTCTCCCTTCCAAATGCTGAACTCTAGTTTATACTTCAGATAACATTTCCTCCATAGCTGTTGCTCTCCCCACTCATCTGAGCTATCCCCACTTTGCCCTCCCCCTCTCCCTCCTCGCACTCCTCCCCTTCTTCCTCCTTCCTCCCCTTCTTCCCCTTCCCTCTGCTCCTCCCCGCCCCCTCCTCCTCTGTTTTCCCTGCTGGAGCCTTTAGCACTTTGTATCATAACTGCCCCTCACTGTTAGACTGTAAGTTCCATGAGGCCAGAAACTCTGTCTTATTCACTGTAGGCTCAGGACAGGGCCTGGTGCATGGTTAAGGAGTCAGTAATTATGCAAATAGATGAATGCATGACTCACTTTTAGTAAGGGCTCAAAAAGGATTTGAGTGAATTAATTAGTCACAAAAAATGCAGGCTCCCCCTCAATATTTAAAGTCTGCCTCTCTCTGCCATCTCCATTCTACCATCTACTCTCCCTCTTTCCTACAAGGTCACACCCTCTCAAATAAGTTGGCTGTGGCCAGTGCTCCACTTCCAATTCATTTACTCCTGCCTCAACCCCATAAAGAAGCCAGGGCCCCTTCATGTGACCAGGGTCAGCTCCAGTACAGGGCTTAATTTTTTTTTAAGAGATGGGTCTTGCTCTGTCCCATGGGCTGGAGTGCAGTTGCCCCATCATGGCACACTGCAGCCTCAAATTCCTGGGCTCCAGCAATCCTCCTGCCTTAGCTATGGTGGCTGGCTTTTCCAGGGCTTTGCTAGCTATCTGAGTTTGTACTATACTGGAATGAGCTGCTTGGGGAATATCTGTCTACCCAGTTCTGAAGGAAATCAATCCTCTCTCAGTTTCCCTTTCCCTAGGCCCAAAGTACAGCTCTCAGAGGTCTAGGACCCAGGCTCGACAGAGGGTACCCAGTTAGCTCTGGACTTTGGCCTGCTTGACAAGGATAGATCTTGGCCTAAACTAAGTGGCTGGCCCTTCCCAGTCTTCTCACTTTCCCATCCATTTTGCAGGCCAAGAGTTGAGATTCTAGTCCTTCAAGTTCACGTGCCCCGGTGACTCCCAGCCAGTGTCTTCGAGTAGGATGGGTATGCAGTCTGGGCTGGGGGTACAGGGAGGACTGGAGGACCGCTTAGCACCGCAGGCGCTGGAGGGTGAAAACCTGCCTTGCCTCCCCACTGAGTTCTTGAGGCCAGAACGAAGCTGGCCCCCGGGAGGTCTCGGGAGAAGGGCCCCCAATCTGTTGATCACTGAAAGACCTCAAGGCCGCCCGCCCCGGTCAGGGCGGTCCCCTCCCCACCCCCACCACGCCACTTGACCTCAAAGAGCCACCCGGGCTTTGGAATACAGCGACCTAAGCTGTGCCCCCAAAGGGGCCAGCAGGCGGCGGGGAAGGGAGGGAGGGAAGGGCGGAGAGCACCCGGGCTAGGGGATTGGAGAGGTGGGGGTGGGGCACAGGAGAGGCCCCTTCTTTCCTTTGCCCACTGCCGGAGCAGGGAGGAGCGTGGGAAGAGGGAGGTTTGGTCTGTAAATAGGGAACATGTAAATACCGGCCGGGAAACTCGATCGGGTCTCGTCGCTTCCCAATTTAGGAGAAGGGCTGGAGCTAGGCTTTCAGTGGCTGCTTGGGGCGCAGGTCACGTGGCCGCCCAGGACCGGAGGGTGGGGCGAGGCTAGGGGGCTGCTCCCGATGTGGGTAGAGGGGAGGCAGGAATCCCGGCCAACCTCGCCGGCTCTGGCCCCCAGTAGTTATTTTTGTCCTTATGGCACACTTCCCCAACACTGACTGTGGGGGTGGGAAGGTCGGGGGGCTGCGCTGCTCCGGATTCATCCGCCCCAGGCGCTTCCTGAATGCTAAGGCAAGGTGTGCCTGTGGGTTTCTCCAAGCCTCAGTTGGCCTCGGTCTTGTTTCATCTGACTCCTGGGCGGCTTGCTGCTGCCTGGGGTGATGGGCAGGGTGCTGGCAGGCTGTGCCCTGAATTGAAACTCCATCACTGACTGGCTTGTGGAGAAAGTGCCTAGGAGGCTGGCATCCCGCCTCCCAGGCTCAGTGCCCCAGGGAGATCAGCAGTGCCCAGAAAGGAAGGTGCCCGCTGGAACTGGTTTCCAACAGAGCACTGTGTGCCAGGCTCTGTGAGAGGCATTAGGGGTGCGCAGAAAAAGAGACAGCGCCTGCCCTGAAGGAGCTTACACTGCAGTGGGGGAACAGACAAGTAAACCAGAATGAAAATACAGGCGCTCCAAGAAGCTTCTAAGTCAGACTGGGACCTGGGAGGATTTGAGGAAGAGGTGGCACTTGAATTGTATCTTCAAGGATAAGGAGTTAGCTCACAGAGGAGGGGGAAAGGGCATCCAGGCAGAGAGAACTGCCTGTGCAAAGGTAGGGAGGCATAGGACGTCAGTAACAGGATCCCAGGCATTTAGTTCCTCCTGACAGGAGCACAGGGGGCTGTGGGGGAAAGTGCTGGAGATGGGGTGGGCAGGCTGACTAGGAGATAGATCTTGGGGACCATGGGTGCCCAGCTAGGCATCTAAGCTTCCTTCTGGAAGTCTCAGGGAACTGCTGAATCATTCCATACAGACAGGATCAGGACAAGACAGAGTCAGATTTGCATTTTCTAGGAGAGCTGGGAATGGATTTGAATTTGGGATGTAGAGAATGAAAAAGGTTGATGAGAAGCCTGTTGCCAACCTCCCCTGACACAGCAGCCAGTCATGCATGCGAATGGAAAGAAGGAAAAGGCCTGACAAACCTTTGGGAGTGGAGGAGCCATTGGTTTTCAGGACTGATAGGGGGTAGGCATGAGTTAGGTGGGAGAGAATTGGGTGACCTCAGGTTTCTGGCTTGGGGAACTGGGCAGATGATGGATGCAGAAGGAACAGCTTTGGAGGAAAGGAGAATGATGATGATGAGCATAGTGTCTATTAAGCACTCAGTGTTTCAGGCATAAACACTTCATACATCATCTCATTTAATCCTCACAATAACTTACAAAGTAGGTACTATTGTTCGCTCCATCTTAAGGGAAAACTGAGTCAAGAGGTTAAGTAATTAAGCGGTGGTGTTGGAGTGATGAGCATGCCTGCACCTTGCAGGCAGTGAGGTTTCCCACGCTGTTGCACAGAGGAGCTATCCCCGCTACCACTAGCTCCTCCCTCCCTCTGCAGCCCTCAGCATCTGGCACCCTCACAGCAGTTCAGTCATTAGCCACTGGGTCTCTCTCCCTCACCCCACCCCATCTCAGCCCCGATACTCTGCCCTGGGAAGCCAGGACAGGACCATACCATACAAGCCTTGTGACAGGAGGGCACCAAGCTCTGGAATCTTGGCATTGACATCCACCTACTCATGAACAATACAAAGCAGAACTGAGACTGCAGGGACAATCAGAAAAACCAAGAAAATCAATGTGTTCCTTTTTTTAAAAAAAAAGTTTTTAAGAAAAAAAGTAATATTTCAGTGACATCAGAGATAATCATGAAAGGTCGGTAGCCCAACCTTGTACTTATTTTCTGTGGGGAAAAGGGCAATTAGGCATCTCCCATGGAGGAAGCTCCTCCAGCTGTTTCCCTTTCGCCAGCCTTGGCTCGGGACACCCAGTCCGACTTCAGTAGCCACAGCAGGAGACAGACAGGGACAGCCACTCCATGTTTGCCCCACATAGCCCCCCATTCTAGCATTTGGGGGTAATGGGGACACTGCTGTTGTTTCCAAATTGCCTCTTACCAACCATGCAGTCAGAGAGGCCAGAGGAAAGGGGATACAGCAGGTAGGGAACCAAGTGAGAGTCAGTGGGCTTTCTCCTGGGAGAGTTGTTAGACCTGGCTTCAGCTATCTCCCTTGAACCACCTAAAATGAACCACCTAAAGTTACACAACCAGCAACTGGCCCAGGCCCCGTAGGCAGGATGTTATTTTTGAGGCTATTTTAGGCAGAAGTTAGAAGGTCCACTTGCCTCCCACCACCCTCACCACTTCAACTATAGGAAAGAGGCCCACCATGACCCTACAGAGCTTTCCAGAGTGCAGACCTTTTCCTAGTCATCTGTGGACAGAGCAGTGAGAAGCCTGTGGCATCAAGAGAGCAAGCCCCACCTATGTTTGGGGTTCCAGGCTCCAGTAGCGCCTCCACTGCTTTTGTAGTCTCTGGAAGCACAGGGGTCCTCACCAGGCCTCTTGGGAACTGCCCCTCCTCCCTCATTTACCCCTCCTTGCTGGGTTCTATTTGTACCCTTGTGCCTCTGGCCTTGGAAGGGGTTCTATCTGTTATACATAAATTTTTCTTTGACCTCAGAGCAAGAAATGCTTGAGGACCATCTCCTCTGCATCTTTCAGGGACAGCCAGAGCCCTGAGACACACATGAAGGCATCTACTGCATCCAGGAGTGAAAGTAGCATTGTTTTAACACTGGGTCACAATCCGGTGGTGGTTTGTGAATTCAATTTAAAAGGTCATGGCTGGCACCTTAAAACCATCAAATAGAACACAATACGTGCAATAGAAAATATGAGTGTGCACACATAGCCAGGGTAAGTATTGTCCATGAAACTTTTGTATCATTTATCTCACAACATAAAATGTGTTTCTTGCTGTAGGTCACTGAACAAATCCCTGGACAAAAGAACACTGGTTCAGACATAAAGTCAAGGCCAGGCATGGTGGCTCACACTGGTAATCCTAGCACTTTGGGAGGCCAAGAGGCAGGTGGATCACCTGAGGTCAGGAGTTTGAGACCAGCCTGGCCAACATGGTGAAACCCCATCTCTACTAAAAATAGAAAAATTAGCTGGGCATGGTGGCAGGTGCCTGTAATCCCAGCTACTCAAGAGGCTGAGGCAGGAGAATTGCTTGAACCGGGGAGGCGGAGGTTGCAGTGAGCCAAGATCACGCCACTTCACTCCAGCTGGGGCAACAGAGTGAGACTTCATCTCAACATGTACAAGTCACCTGTTCTGTGTTAGGCACTCTGCTAGGCACAAGAAATCCAGTAAAGAATAAGACATCCCCTAGTCTCAATCCACCTTCTGGTTGGGAAGCCAATAAGCACACAGTTGCAAGATAGGGTGCCAAGTGGTCTGAGAGAGTATGTATGAGGCTATAAAACCCTGACATGAGGGCGGGCATCTGGGAGGGCTTCCAGGAGAGGTGATGCAATTGGAGTTCACAGCAGGAAAAGAGAGCGATAGGTTCTAGTGTCTCCTCCATCCTATAGATAAGAAGGGAACTATGTTAAAGTGTCAAGGGTTCTAGTCTTAAAGTCCAAAGACATCCTGTCTCCTCTTCTTAACAAGCTGTGAGGTCTCAGGTGAGTCAATTAACCTTCCCAGACCAATTCCTCATTTACAAAACAGGCATCTATAAAAATGGGCATAATATCTGCTCTATCAACCTCAAAGAAGTGAGAGATCAAATGAAATAGATAATATATGTGAAAGTACTTTGTAAATTACAAAAGGGGAGGTATTGTCTCTATGGATGAGGAAATGGAAGCATAACGAAGTGAAGTGTCCTGCCCTACAGTGCTATGGGTAGCAGGCCCCTCTAAATCCTCAGTCCTCAGCTCCTGCCTGCATTCCTCCCACTGCAACTAATCTACCTTAGAAGAGGGCAGGGGAAGGGTCTAAAAAGGCCCCCATAGCAACCTGACTATTGAAGATTTACCTTAAAGATCCTATTGTTTTAATGATGGGAGGTGGGTATGTCAGAACTCCTCCGTTTCCCTTTCTGTTAATGAATTAAGATCTACCCAAATTCAGTGTTTAAAGTTACATAAGCATCATTCAGATCTGTAACAGCCACTTTCATTTTGGAAAAACAGCATTTCCATTAAAATGATGTTATATAAAAAGGTTTTGTATACGTGCGTAGGAACAGCAGAAACAGGCACACATGATCACTGTATGGCACACAGGCATATGCAGATCATGACCTCACCTGTCCTCATGAGGAAGGGACCATAGGAAGCAGGTGTCTGATAGTACCTGGCAAGCTTAGCTGTGACCTAGTTGTCCTCTAATCATCAGTAAGACCTGATGCATGTTGGGCAATGGGAACTGCAGCAGGAAGGAAGCCCCTTCCTTGGCAGGGTGAGTGCCACTGAATCACAGAATATTGGGGTTGGATTTAGCTCAGAAGTCACCCAGTGCAATCTCACTCTACACCACTCTTGCCGGCCTTGACTTGAACAGCTACCATTGTCCCAAGGCAGCCCATGTCACCTGTGGACAGATGTAGATCACTGGAAAAGACCTGATATTGAGCTGAAACCAGCCTTTCTGGAGCTACCACCGCTGGGGAACAAAAGCACCCACAACCTTGAGCAGAGACTCCAGGAGCTGTAGCCAGCGGAGCGTGCCCCGAGGCCTAAAGAGCAAGTGGGGAAGGCAGCCTGAGTCCACAAAGCTGAAGCTCCTCCGAGAGACCTCCATCCATCTAAAGGAAGCTGGGACTGTGGGGGCAAAAAGAGAGGGGTAGGATGAGGGAGGTAGGGAGGAGGGGCGGAGTCGGGGCCGCCTAAATGGGAGTAAGTCGGTGGGTGTGAGGAAAGCCCAGCACCTCAGGTCTCATTTTCAGTGTTTTGGGGGACACAGTCCCGAGGTCAGTTCCAGCTCTTATACTCTGGAGTCCTAGGTCCGCCCACACGCACACACCCCTTTCGGGATTCGAAGGTTGTACTTTTTTTTTTTTTTTTTTGAGACAGAGTCTCGCTCTGTCGCCCAGGCTGGAGTGCAGTGGCGCGATCTCGGCTACCTGCAATCTCCGCCTCCCGGGTTCAAGCAAGTCTTTGCCTCAGCCTCCCGAGTAGCTGGGATTACAGGCGCCCGCCACCACGCCCGGCTAATTTTTTTGTATTTTTAGTAGAGACGGGGTTTCACCATCTTGGCCAGGCTGGTCTTGAACTCCTGACCTCGTGATCCACCCACCTCGGCCTTCCAAAGTGCTGGGATTACAGGCGTGAGCCACCGCGCCTGGCCTCGACGGTTGTACTTTTATGTGACTTGGTACGTCCTTGATTCTAGGGCTAAGCAGGGGGGTAAGGTAACTTCCGATCCGCCCCATCCCCTGCTGGAGTCAGGTTAGGCTTAGCGGCTTGTCTTGGTCACCCCTGAAGGGGGAAACCTTTCCACCTTCCCCGAGTGCGCCCTCCGAGAAAAGAACACCCCAGCACAGAGCACCAGAACGTGAGCTTCGGAGCGGCCTTTTAAATAGTTGGGAAGGGGGTGTGGCCGAGGAGACTGGGAGGCCGCAGTCTGGCGCGGGGGGAGTGGCCCGGGGGCGTGGCCGTGGCGCCTGGAATGTTGTTAGGTCCTCTCACCGCATAGTAAGGAGGGGCCACGCCCCTTTTCTCCAAGAGAGCCAATCGGAGCACCGGAACGGTTTCAAGTCTCCCCCGCCAGCCTGCCCGCCCGCCACCCCACCCCCCTTGAGGATTCGCTTTTTCCGTAACAAAATAGCAAAGCTCCCGACTGTCCGCAGCCCCGGCCGCTCACAGATGGAGGGTCCCAGGGCCTAGGACGCAGCCCCCAGCGGGAAGCTCCAGCTGGCCGTGAAGAGGCCGAGTCGAGAGCCGGGAGGCGCGCGGGGGTGGGCGCTGCAGCCGCGGGTTGTTTATCTGGAGTACGGAGGGGAGGGGGGAGCCTGGAAACCGCCCCGTGTCCCATTTCCTCCTCTTGTTTTCGCTCCGGATTCTCCATGTTGGACCCAAACTGAGGAGCCCGGAGCTGCCGCTGGGGGATCGGGGCCGGGGGCACCCGGGGGAGCCGCTGCCCGGGCCGCCCGCCCTTTGTACAGGCCGCCTCCCTTCCCGGTCCGGGGAGGAAACGAGAGGGGGGATGTGAACAGCTGTGGAAGTCGGAGTCTCGGGAGCCGGAGCGGGCCCCCGCCCAGGCCCCCCAGCCCAGCCCAGCCCGCGCGCCCGCCCGTCCTCCCGCCCAGCCAGCCCGGGCCCGCGGGATTGTTAGATGGAACACGGCTCCATCATCACCCAGGCGCGGAGGGAAGACGCCCTGGTGCTCACCAAGCAAGGTAGGGGCAGCAACTTCCCAAAACTTTGCGTCGCCCCCGGGCGCGGAGGGGGCTAGCACAGCCCCGAACCCAGGTCTCGGCCCTTGACCTCCAGGGCTTAGAGCCAGCGATCCCGACTGGACCCCTCCGGTCCATCCGCCCCCGCATCCCGGCTGGCACTCAGACCTCCGTGGGGGTTGCACGGGGATCCCGGCGCCCGAGCGGAAAGGGCGTCTTCGGCGCAGCTGTCACCCTGTCCCGCAACCCCTCCCCCTCGGGGCTGAGAGACGGAGGGGTAGCTCTCGAAGCACTGGGCCACTCCGCGTCCACCGCCTCCGGAGTTGGGGGTGGGGTCGTCACTTTCCTTCACCGCCGCGCGCGGCTGCCCCGGGATCGCGGGGAGGGGTTAGGAAGGTGACAGAGGGAGCCCCAGGTGGAACGGAACCGAGACTGGAGTCCAGCACTTGCAGGCCCCCCCAAGCCCGAGGTCGTTCGGGCAGCTAGCTGGCGGTGACGGCGTCCGGCGGGACTTGGGACCAAGTTCACCTCTTGGAGGCGGGGGCGGTCGCGGTGGGGGAGGGGCCCGGGCCCTGGCGCACCAGACGTGGCGGGTTCCCGGCTCAGCGCAGGCCCCGGGACCTTGGCGGCGTCGGGCTCCCTCCCGGCTGCCTCTGACCAGTTTCGCTGAGCAAACAAGCCCGACCCTGAGGCCCGGCCAGAGCCCCTCCCTGCCCGGTGCGCTCCCCCGGGGCCGGCGCTGCACACACAGAGCCGCGTTTGTTTAGCCCGGGAGCGGTGTCCCTGGTTACATAATTCGCCGGATGGCATCAGACCCGGCGTGGTTCTGAATCGCGCAGCGAAAAAGTGCGAGTTCTCTGTGGGCAGCGGCTGGCGGCCCCCGCCTTCCAGAGCGTCAGGTGGAGGCGCGAGGGGGCCCGCAGGCCCTCGCGGGGGTGAGGCGGAGGCCGAGGCCTCTCCCGGGGCGGGAGAAAGCTGGGGCCCGAGGGTGGAACCTCTTAGTTTGGTCACAGTGGGAGACTCGAAACTCTTTCCCCCTCCGCCACGTTCTTCTTTTGGCCTTGAGGAATGTGTCCAAAATAGCGGCAGATTTTCCGCGGGGTGTAAGGACGAGTGTGGCGTTTCTCTAGAGAGCCCCCCGACCGGGGCCACCTGGCCCCGGAGGCTGGGGCGGGAGCTGGCTCCTGGGGCCGAAGCCGGAGCGCTCCCTCCCCTTCTCCACCGAGCGCGAAGGGCCGGTGCTGCAGTTGAACACACTGAGGCCTAGAGCCTGGTGGGCGGCCAGCTTCGGGGCCTCGTGCGCCCCACGTCTCCCCGTTTGGCAACATTAGTCAGCAGGTCACTAATTCCTGGGGTTCACGTTCCAAGGAGCTCCCCCAACTTCCCTAGGGGCAAATCCGCTGAGTTGGTGGTGTCAGCCTCTCCCAAATTCCCTCAGTGGAACGAGAGGAGCTGGGAGGGGGGAAGGGTGGGGGGAGGGAGGCAGTGTGTTCCTCTTGCATCACTGGCCGGACTTTAAATAAGCCTGCCCTGAGAAGGGATGGCCTTGCCTACTCAGATCCCAACCCCCGAGAAGGCTCCGGCCTCCCTGACCTCGGTGTTGCCATGATTTCTGCTCTCCTGGCTGCATCACTAACCAGGCTGTGACCCAGGCAGCAACTTCACCGCCTCTGCTGGCTGCTCAACTGTGCTGATGGCTGAAAAAGGAAGGGAGCCTGCGTGTGTTTATAGCTCACTCCTGACTCTTCCCACTCCCTTTTTATCCCAGGAAAAGACCCTAAGAGCTAGCCAGAGGGGAAGAAACCTAGATGTGGGGGGATTCAAGAGGGGGCAGTGGTGATGAGTAGGGGGAGGAGCCCTGTGCTTCCCCACTAGGTCTTCCTCTCTTGCAGGGACTCTCTTGCAGGGAGTGTGCCTTGGGCATCGTGGGGCCACGCGAGGAGTAAGGGAAAGCTGGACTGCGCCGGGGCATCTTAGAAATCAGAGCTGGAAGTTTCATCCACCAGGGTGAATGGCAGGCTACAGAATAGATAACAGCAGAAAGCAAAGCAACTGGCTTGACAGTGTTAAGTTGCTGGTGTTGGATTTTCTTGGAGTTAATGTTTCTCCTTTTTTGTGTGTGTGGTTTAAGCCAGCAGCCACTGGGTCTCTCCCTCCCCATGTAATTTTTTATTTTAATTGAGATGGAGTCTTACTCTGTTGCCCAGGCTAGAGTGCAGTGGCGCAATCTCAGCTCACTGCAACCTCCGCCTCCTAAATTCAAGCAATTCTCCTGCCTCAGCCTCCCAAGTAGCTGGGATTACAGGCGCGCGCCATCACGCTTGGCTAATTTTTTTGTATTTTTTAGTAGAGACAGGGGTTTCGCCAGTTGCCCAGGCTGGTCTCGACTCCTGAGGTGATCAGCCCCCTTCGGCCTCCCAAAGTGCTGGGATTACAGGCGTGAGCCACCGCGCCCGGCCCCTCCCCATGTAATTTGATTGCATTCCAGAGAAGACAGACTTTCTTCCTGGGCTGCTTAGGCACCCAGCAACCACTAAACCAACTTTCTGAGTCCCACATCATTTACAAACAAAACCTACGTCTTCAAAACAAAACAAAAAACAAAAGCTGGGGGACTGGGGAAGCAGATGTTTTAATTGGCTCCTTTTGGAGTTCCTTCTTCTCCCCACTCCGTCCTCTCCACAACATCCCATCTCCATGCCTTGCCTGCCTTTGGAAAAAGGGGAAGAAGGAGTGTGAGGTACTTATTATTAATAAGTAAATTTCTGGAAAGAAACAAATTGCTCCTAGCTTGGGTGGCTATTTAGTGAAGTTACTTGCCATTGCGGGTTTTTTTTTTCTTTTTTTAGCATTCTGTTCTCTGAGGTTTAAGGCTGTCTGGGTGCGTTGATGATTCAAAAGTAATTACAGTAGGGGAAGTAGAACAAAGTTGCTGAAAGCATTGATGATAAAAGCACCAAAATTGGATCATCTTCCCAGACAGATGGGTGAAATGGCTTTCTGGTACAGCAAGGACAGGATTGTGTGTAACATCAAAAAGAAAAAAGAAATGTTAATATCAGCTTGGCAAGAATGGCTGTTGATTGCAGCTCTATATGAGATTGTCACCCCATTGCTAAGAGGTTGTGACCTTGGCTTTGGGATTAGATGGGGGAAAGCCAAGGAAACAAGACCCACGCTGTAACCTCCCAACGTGAAATGAGACCTGGTGGAGGCAGCCTCTTCCGGAGCTCAGTGACCCACACGCCTTTTGGAGGAATCAGAGATTTTTTTGTTGTCCATGAATCCTGATGCCCCTTCCTCTCGATGATGCCCTGGATTACCTTCTCACATGCCGAACTGGACAGGTTCTGATAGCTAATTGCAAGGATTCTTCTGAGAGACTGACCATCTCTGAAAATTACGATGTGGCAAGTTTTCAGGATGGCTAGCTCTTTTGTTATCCGCATAAGGGAGAAATTCTGCCTTATTCCCTCAAAAAGTTGTTCAGACACCGTTCACTGTAGATGTAGGCAAGCCTTTAACTTGAAAAGCTTAGACATGAATCTTGCTGGAGCTTCCTTCCATAGCTTGCTATGCAGGGGGCGGGAAGCCTGCATGTTTATAGCTGGCTCCTCCTCCTGCCCTGCTGGTGCCTCTCACCTTCCTTTGCCTACCCTGGGTCTTGGCCTCTTTGTGCTCTCACAGTGACTGCTGAGGCTCCCTCCTGCATCTCCTTTGGAGTTTTTCCCCCATCTTTGGGTAAGGGTTGCAGCCTGCGTGGTGACTTAAGCTTGTGTTTGCTCCTGTCCCCAAAATTGCAGAGGAGCGCTGATAAATCAGCAACAAAGTTTGTAAATGCCTAACATCTGGGGCTGGGGGTTTGCAGTTGACTTGCAGAGCTTTCCACTGAGCAGCACTGGAATTGCTGTGAAAAATCCCTCGGAGGATGGCAGAGGTGGGGGTGTTCCTTTGTCCTCTCTTCTCAACCGTAGAGGTCTTAAAGAAACTGGGTAGCAGAGAGGTGTCATTTCATCCTTTCCATGGGACCTTCCAAATCCCTTATCATGGATTTTGTTAAAATGGTAAATACTAAAGAAGTCACATTTCTAGCCAACGTGAATTGATGCTCCCAACCTGTGAAGAATTAAAGTGTTTGTAAATAAGCATGGAAAAGAAAGACAATATGTAAATATATATGGGATTGTGTGTATGTGTGTACATATCAATACATAGCTTCCCTTCCAATTCCTCCTACAATTTTTTTTTTCTGCTAGCTTTTGGGTAATTTGGGGTATTGTCTTTTATTCCCATCATGGTAAGTTTGGTTCTTAGATTGGACAGAGTGGGGACCAGGGTCAGGGATGGTGGTTAAAGTTTACATTGTTACTTCAAAGCATTGTTTCTGAAGCAAAATTGCTTCAGGCCTGGGTTCAAATACCTTCTTTTCCTATTTGCAATGAGACTTGATAAATCACTTTAGTATTCTGAGTAACTTATCTATAAAGTAGTAATAATGATATCTACCCTTCTATTATACTTGGTACTTAGTAGGTGCTTGATAAATATTAATGTCCTCCCTCTTTACATAGTTAGACTACTCTGTTCGCCCTCCTCCATTCCCCCAAGGACACAGTGTAAACAGCACGTAGTCTTGTGGGTTTTATTTTTCAAGACAGGTGGCCGGGGGTCAGAGGGGACACTGATTGTGGGGGCTTGGGCCTTCTGGAAGGATCAACCTCTTAGGCTTACAAACAGCCTTGCTGCACAGACCCCTTCTTTGTGTCATGTGACTTGGGATGTGATTTGTTATCTGCCTGGGCTGTGGGACTTTGGCCATTCTGTCTGGTGCCTGGGCATCTGGGGGTGGGAGAAGGCCAGGCATGTGCCCCCTGTGAGTCTCTAAAGTCTAAACTTCCTTAGAGGTTCTCAAATATGGATATAACGAATATTCAGGACAACTGTATGCTACATTCTCTCACTGTCTGCTTTGAGAGTTAATGAATTCAGAGAGATTGAGGTTTCTTTTAGGTAATTTTAATAAGAGGGGGAAAAAGAAAATGGGGTTTGAAGAGAAATAGATGTTCTTAAGCTATTTGTTTGCTCCTGTGGTTTTGGGGTACAACATTGAGAAAGTACAAAAGCAGCATTGATCTGCTTTTCATCTTGTCTTAGTCTGGCCAGCTCTGGGAAGCATGGAATTAACTCGCTTGTCTTTGGGACGTGGGATTGGGTGTGGCCCTGACATATTTCCCTCACTTTTCTGAAATGGAGTAGTAGTTCTGAACTGGGATGCAGATGAGCACATTAACACGCAAATCTTACAAAGAAAGTACTAGAAATTAAAGTGGATAAGTTGACGACTTAAAACTGGAAGCATCTCTGGACCAGAGACCAAATAGAATGGAGTTTCTTTGTCTGGCAAAATGCCCAGCCCTTCAGGTCTGAGTATGCCTGCACCAGGATCTGTTATCACAGGGTACTCCAGTGAGCGCCACAGCCTCCCTCTAGGCAAAAGTGTGTATGCCCTGTTTTATGTTAGCTATTCTAGGAGTTAGCCTTGAACCTGATCTCTGAGTGGATCTGACATTTCCATTTCCCTCCTAGGTGCTCTAGTCCTTCCCCCACCCCCATCCCCCCAAATCAGACTTTGCTCTTACTCTCTTTTTATTCTATACCTTCTTTTATTTCTTGCCACAGCTTTTTCCATCCTCTTGAATTTGCACTTTCCCATCTGCATTGTTCCCAGGGAACAAATATGGCCCCAATCCCAGTGAGAGCCAAGCAGACTCATGGAAAGGCTCAAATTGCCTGCGGAAGGCTTCCTGGATAGTAGATCCCAGCTTTTCTGTTCCCGCAGCAGAATAGAGCTAGGACCCCTCTTTCACAGGAACAGGGGCCTGCAGGTAGAGACAGCAGACCCAGGTTTTCTGACTCACGTCACATAGAACTACCCCTAGAGAAGAAAACTGGATCCTAGGCATGAGTCCTCTAAGGCTTGCAGAAACACTGAGCCAGTCAGGTACGGTGGGGAGAGGGGCCAAGGGGACTTTGGCTGAATTGCCTTCTAGCCCTGGGTTAGTCAGAGACCCTGGCAACCGGTAGATACTGGCTCTCAGCCAGGGACACACATCAGAGTCTCCTGTGACACTTGCTAAAAATACAGACCCCCCACCTGGGATCTGCTGAATCAGCGCATGGGCAGGTGGGTCAGGCATGCATGTGTTCCAAATGCTCCTTGTGGCTCTGACAGGTGCCCCTGGAGAAGAGCCAGGTAGGCACAGCAGTGGCCCCAACTGCCTGTTTTGCCCCGAGCAGGAAAATTCCTCTTGGTGGTCCCGTTTTACTGTATGTTAAAGATCTGTGGCTCTTCAAGGGGAGTCCTAAAGTTTTCAGAGTAAATGGACAGAGTAATGATCCATCCTTGTTTACCCAGTAATGGTTACAGCCAATATTTATAGAGTACTTGCCATAGGCAAGGTACTATTCCTAGCATTTTATATCTCGTATCTCACTTAGTTCTCCTGACAACTTTTCCTTTCCAATAAGAGGAATTAACCTCACTTTACAGATAAGGAAAACTTTCACAGGGAGAGGGAAGGACTTTGCCCAAGGGTACATGGCTAGTGTCAGCCAGACATTTGCATTGTCTGGCATTTCACTTTTTTTTTTGAGATGGAGTCTTGCTCTGTCGCCCAGGCTGGAGTGCAGTGGCGCGATCTCGATCTCAGCTCACTGCAAGCTCCACCTCCTGGGTCTATGCCATTCTCCTGGCTCAGCCTCCTGAGTAGCTGGGACTACAGGCGCCCGCCACCACGCCCGGCTAATTTTTTGTATTTTTAGTAGAGACGCGGTTTCACTGTGTTAGCCAGGATGGTCTTGATCTCCTGACCTCATGATCCGCCCGCCTTGGCCTCCCAAAGTGCTGGGATTACAGGCTTGAGCCACCGTGCCCGGCCTAACATTTCACCTTTTAGAGTGCTTTTGAGTTCATGATTCAGGTGCATGCTTCAGGTGAAGCCACCTTTTAAGGGACCATGCAGGGGAAACCTTTCCAGATTGGCTTATGAGGAAACTGAACCCCAGAGAATTGTGCCCTAGCAAGGCCACGGAACTGTTGAAAAGCTGAACTGGAGCAAGAGCTGGGTTTCCTGACTTCTAGATCAGTACTTTCTCAAGTGGACTCACCTATACGGCTTGGCTGGTCATAGGTGAAGCTGAGGGGTGTGGGGGGAGCAGCAGAATGTCCCTGGAGATGGGTGCCTCCCTGGCAGACTCCTTCCATTCCTTCTGCAGAGGCCAGCCATATGAAGGAGGAACTGGTTGGCCAGCCTCAATGAGTGTGTATGTGTGTGTGCGACTGATTCGTTTTTGTGGAGTCCCGGAAAACATCATTTCCGGTTTGGCCCTGTTACTACCTCTGAAATGAGTTAGAAGAAATCTCTATGGTCCCTTTAATGTGAACATTTTGAGATGGAGACTGAGGTAAGAGTATGAAAGTACTTTGCACTTAATGAGTAGCAGTTGACACTTACAAAGCTTTTGTTAGGACCAGGACACTCCCTGAGCTCCCTGCAATTCTGACACTGAGAAATAGGTAGTCTTCCCATTTTGCAGATGAAGAAACTGAGGCCCATGGCTGCATACCTTACACATGGCAGAGCCTAGATTCGAACTCAAGTCTGGGTGCCTTGTGTCACCACTGTATTTTTCCCTGGTCAGAACAGATACCCTTGCTTTGTCCTGTGTCCTCACTGCTTTCTCCAGCTCACGTTTGTATCAACCTAAAGCAGGCCTACATACCTGGAAGGGAAAGAAGCAGTGGATTCTTCCTAGGCTTCAACTATATCTAAGCATTCCAGGAGTCAAGGGCACAGCACTAAGGCAGGAACTTGAAACACTCACTGAGAGGTTGTCTGTGTGTAGCCCCTCCCACAGGGGCTTGTTATACACCTCCTTAGGGGGAAGGAGGGGTAACTCCAGGTAGGCAAGTGTGGTTTCCAATCCCTCACAATGATACCTTTGCTCTGGCTGGTGCTACATAGGGCAGGGTCTCCTGCTGAGGCAGGGGCAGGATCCAGTCCTTTGAGTTTTCTTGGATGGCATCTCAGGCTTGTCCCTGCTGCCCTGTGGGCTATTAGATCACTTCCTGACATCCCTCAAGAGTCCTCTGGAGTGGGGCTTGCAGGGCTGAGCCTGCAGCTGACTTGTCTATGAGGAAACGCCTCCTCTGTCTCTGGTCCAGGATCTGCTACTTATGGAGGCCCACCCCAACCCAGCACGTTTTTAAAGTACGTTGGAGCTGCCCAGGAGGGTGTTTTGGCAATACCTCCTTTAGAGGCTGATTCTGAAATCAGCGTGCTTTAGAACTGCCAGAAATCCCCTGCTCCCAAAACTGAGTCCTCTTACCTCTCTAGCTGAGGTCAGAGAACAGATTGCTGAAGGGGCAGAGACAAGAAAGTGTGTGACCTGTGACCCTCGCCCCACAGGTGGCATTAAGGACTCAGGTCTGAAAGAAGAGACAGCCATATAGGGAGCTCTCCTGCCCAGGGAAAGGGAACTAATGGAGACACTGGCTTAGGTAGAGCTGCCCCAGTTGCTGGTGCAGAGAGGGCACCAGCATACAACATGCTGGTATGGGCCAAACAGCATGGCTAAAACTGCTTTTTAATTTTTTAAATTTTATTTATTTATTTATTTATTTTGAGACAGAGTTTTGCTCTGTCCCCCAGGCTGGAGTGCAATGGTGTGATCTCGGCTCACTGCAACCTCCACCTCTTGGATTCAAGTGATTCTCGTGCCTCAGCCTCCGGAGTAGCTGGGATTACAGGAGCTCACTACCATACCCTGCTAATTTTTGCATTTTTAGTAAAGATGGGGTTTCACCATATTGGTCATGCTGGTCTCGAACTTCTGACCTTAAGTGATCCCCACTGCCTTTGCCCCCCAAAGTGTTAAAACTGCTTTTTTCAAAAAATGCCCATGCAGTTAGATACACAGCTACTTTTTGGAACTTCGGGAGCCGGTGCTAAGCTGGGTCCGGCCCTGCCTTGCTTGTTAGCTGTAGAGAACAGTGTCAGTGGCCAGGCATGAAAGCAGTACACCCTCCCCATTGTTTGCAGTCTTTTGTGTGTGGGGGCTGTCTAGGCATCTCACCCTCTTTTGTTCCCTGCCGACTCACCTGCTGGTCCCAGGAGCTCTTCCGTCCACCTGGCACTTTAGGGCATGTCCATAGCCAAGGAACAGATGCCCCTTGCAGAGGACCTGGGAGGACTTCTCTCCATGGGGGAGTCCCAGTCAAATGTGTCTTGGCTGCAGGGTTCAGGCAGCCGTCCAAGAAGGGCCGGAAATGCTCCAAATACTCTCCTTCCTCCAATAGCTGAGAGGAAGGAGGCCCCTCAGAGGGGCCATTTTATAGTGATAGCCAGGCTAAGGCTAAGTCCTTTGCTGTGGGGGATGGGAGGTGGTGGGGAAGGAAGTACTTCTGGGGATGAACCAAAAAAGAAAGCAACTTTCTACCTGAATGGGCTTGTTAAAATCTGATTGTCTCAGAGGTTACCTTCTGCTGAATCGCAGGCAGATGTGTGAGGAGTTCCTTTGCTGGGACACAAAGCTGTGTTGTTGACAAAAGTGGTATCTGGACCTGACTTTCAGGAGAAGATTAAAAACAGTGTTGCCCTGGTCACTCTGGTCTTCGTTTGTGTGTATGTGTGCACGTGTTCACGTGTTTGTACATGTACACTTTTTTTTTTTAAAGACAAAATCTCACTCTGTCACCCAGGCTGGAGTGCAGTGGTGCAATCACGGCTTACCGCAGCCTCAAACTCCTGGGCTCCGGTGATTCTCCCACTTCAGCCTGCCAAGCTGGGACTGCAGGTGCACCTGGCTAATTTTTTTTTGGTAGAACAGGATTTTGCCATGTTGCTCAGGCTGGTCTTGAACTCCTGAGCTGCAGTGATCCAACCGGCCCAGCTTCCCAAAGTGCTGGGATTACAGGCTTGAGCCACCTACCCCGGCCCATGCATAGGGGCAAATAGTGTCCTTACCTGGTACTTCTTGAGAGTAGTGGGGATGAATACCAGGGGAGACAGCGATTTTTGTCTCAAGTGAAACAGTCTTACTTGCTTTTGTTTTTCACAGAATACCCAGTCAGGGAGTTTGTGAGCTGGAAAACAAATTTTGTTGTGGACTTGGGAGAAGGTATAGGGGCTATTTTGACTTTCTGAAACCTGCTCATGATCAGAGCTCTCAGGCACCTTTCCCTCATCTTCTTGGGCTTCATCCACGTGATGATGGTGGGAGGGCTCCTGGTCTGTTGCTGGCCTCCTGGAATGAGGCCCATGATGTTGCCATTTAGTGGTCATCTCCCCTTGGATAATTAATTAAAACAAGCGCAGCATTTAGCTTTAGAGTTAGCACAGTGCCTTACTCTCTAACTTCGTTTATCCTTTCAGTCCTGAGTGAGGGCTTGCTGTTATCCCAGTTTATGGATGAGGAAACTAAGGCTCCAAAAGGCTGTGTGGCTGAGTCAGTAACTGGCAGAGCCTGGACCCCAGCCCTGATGATCCTCAGTGGGGGCATACTCCTCACATCCCCTCTTCTCCTCACACCCCGCCTCAGTAGGAAGACTCGCAGCAGTGAGCTGGATGGCTGGCCTGGTTTCCCTGTCTTCAGCCACCAGCTCACTTTCTTCTTAAGCCAGAGCTGCTTCCCTCATTGGGTCTGTGCTAGTCCTCTCAGACATCTAGCCCCAAACCAAATGTTTGGGGCAGAGAAAGCAGAAGCACATCTGCATCTGGGCAGAAGAGGAGGGCTGGGTGTCCGCAGAGGGTAGCAGGGAATGAAGGAGGGAGAGCAGCTCGTAGTTGGGCTACATGGCATCCGCTGGAGTCCTGCCCTCCCTGGTTGGGGAAACCATGTGCAATGAATTTCCTACGGGGGCCAGGCATGGTGGCTCATGCCTGTAATCCTAGCACTTTGAGAGGATGAGGCAGGAGGATTGCTTGAGCCCAGGAGTTCAAGGCCAGCCTGGGCAACATAGTGAGACCTCATCCCTTTTTTTTTTTTGAGACGGATTTTCGCTCTTGTTGCCCAGGCTGGAGTGCAATGGTGTGATCTTGGCTCACCGCAGCCTCCGCCTTCTGGGTTCAAGCAATTCTCCTGCCTCAGCTTCCCAAGTAGCAGGGATTATAGGCATGCACCACCACGCCTGGCTAATTTTGTATTTTTAGTAGAGACAGGGTTTCTTTCTTTTTCCTTTTTTTTTTTTTTTGAGATGGAATTTTGCTTTTGTTGCCCAGGCTGGAGTGCAATGGCATGATCTCTAGCTTACCATAACCTCTGCCTCCTGGGTTCAAGCGATTCTCCTGCCTCAGCCTCCCGAGTAGCTGGGATTATAGGCATGTGCCACCATACCTGGCTAATTTTGTATTTTTAGTAGAGACGGGGTTTCTCCATGTTGGTCAGGCTGGTTTCAAACTGCCAACCTCAGGTGATCCGCCCGCCTCGGCCTCCCAAAGTGCTGGGATTACAGGCATGAGCCACCATGCCCAGCCTCTGTTTTTTTGTTCTGTTTTTAAAGAAGGAAATCGCTGTGGGCCTGTAAATCCTCTTGTGCCCAGTGTTCCTCTCCTGGAAAGGCAGGCTGTGCCCCTCCCCATCACACACAGATGGGTAGGGGATGGCCTGCACCTGGCTGTCAAGGACACAATGCTGAGTGCTGGCTGAAAGGAGCCATTGAAAGGCTCTTTGACACAAGTTTCAGATCCCTCTCTGAACTCTGTGGTTCCCTCACCCTTAACCAAGGAACAATGCAGGTCTTGGACCAAAGCTCCTGGCTCCAACCCCTCCTTCCTCCTCTGCCCCATTGTCATCTTGATCCCCCAGAGGTATCTGCTGGTCAGAGCAGGTGCAGGCAGGGGTGGGGGTGGATTCCCTGGAGTGGAATCCCAGAGCCTTGTGCTGTTTTACCCCTTCCAACTTTGACATCCTGCCCAAGAAAACCTGGGGCAAGGGGTAGGGGCTAGACCCCAGACTGGTCCTTTACCAGCTCATCCTAGAGAGGCAGAGAGCAAAAGTTCCCAAGAAGACTGTAGTCCTAGCTACTTGGGAGGCTGAGGTAGGAGGATTGCTTGAGCCTGGGACATCAAGGCTGCAGTGACCCATGATTGTACCACTGCACTTCAGCTTGGGCAACAGAATGAGACTCTTGTCTTAGAAAAAAAAAAAGTTTTCCAGAAGAGACCTTGAGAGTGCCCCTACACCTCCCATTTGTTGCATAAGTAAATGTGTATGAGACCCTATACAGGGTAATGGTTAAGAGCCTGGGCTCTGGGTTCAGGCAGATCTGAGTTCAAATCCTGGCTCTGCTGTCATACTACCTGCATGACCGTGAGCCAGGTTACTTAACCTCTCTGTGCTTTAGTTTCCCTTCTGTAAAGTGGGGAACTAGTGCCTACCAAAGTGTTAATAGTAAGGATTAAATGAGGTAATGATGTCAAGTGTCTAACGCAGACCTGGCACATCCTTGATGCTCAGTAAACATGGCGGTGGCCTAGAAAGACTCAGTGGTTTGCCTTAGGGGCCCAGCTCCCTCAGTGCTCACCTTCCTCTCCTCACATAAAGGAGGCTTCTCTATCTAACTCTTCTGGGCTGTTGCAAACTAGTGGAGGCTTCCCCAGGTCCTAGCTCTGTAGACATGACAGGCCCTGGAGGCCCCTGGAGTCATTCACTCAACCAGGCAAAGTTACTGAGCACCTGGTACGCAGAGGGTCACGGAGGCTGATGAATGCACTGGGTTGGGGCCATTGTAGGCCTTGCAGGGAGGCAGTCATGCTGGGAGAGGCTGATGCATTCTGATGAATTCTCTGGAGTAGTATTTAGAAAGGAAAGGAGGACAGCCAGCCTGGAAAAGGATGGAGGGAAGCAGGGCCCCATCAAGGGAGTGGGGAATGAGGGATGCCTGAGGTATTGACCTTGCTGTTGTGGGTCTGAGGTACTCTGCTTCAAGCTCCTGCCCCCAAGGTCAAGGCATTTGTGGTCTCAGAGGCCCAGGGGCTGCCGGCCACATTGGGTTTTTGAGAAGACCCTCATCCCCTGCAGAGTCCAAGCTCCCTCCCCATCTAGGACTGAGGCGCTTCTGCCTGTTGGGCTCCCTGCAGCGGGCGCAAGCCAGGCCTTTCCATGCCCCCAGCCAGCTGCCCCTTTCACCCCCGCAACCTCTCAGGATTACTCAGCCTTCACAGCGTCTGTCACTAAGATGCTGAGTGCATTCCTGACGGCCTCTCTTCAGGAAAAGCCCAGGCTGTGTGGCCTTTTAAAAAAGACTCTGTGCCCGGGTTAAGCCTCTGATTGTGGTTCTGCATGAAGAAACCATAAACCAAAGGGAAAGCGATGGTTCAGCTTTGGTCTTGGAGCTTTGTGTCAGCGTCTGTCCTGAGTCCCTGAGCTTAGAATTTAATGTGAGCCATGCAGGCAAGGTGGGGAAGCTGTCCTTTCCCTCCAATTTCAGCATAGAAATAGGGAAAGTCCAAGGAACCTCTGTCTTGCTGTCTTTTGTTTTTTTCTTTTTCTTTTCCTTTTTTTTTTTTTTTTTTTTTTTTTTTTAGCCAGAGTCTCGCTCTGTTGCCCAGGCTAGAGTGCAGTGGCCCGATCTCAGCTCAGTGCAACCTATGCCTCCCGGATTCAAGTGATTCTCCTGCCTCAGCATCCCAGGTAGCTGGGACTACAGGTGTGTGCCACTACGCCCGGCTACTTTTTGTATTTTTAATAGAGACGGTGTTTCACCATGTTGGCCAGGCTGGTCTCGAACTCCTGACCTCAGGCGATCCGCCCACCTCGGCCTTCCAAGGTGCTGGGATATCAGGTGTGAGCCACCACGACCGCCCTGTCTTTTCTTTTTAAATTTGAGATGAGGTCTTGCTATGTTGCCCAGGCTGGTCTTGAACTTCTGAGCTTGAGCAGTCCTCCTATATGAGCCACCGTGCTCAGCTTATCCTGGACTCTTTGAGTGCTGGGCTCTGCTGAATTTTTTCTCCTTGATAAAGGGCTCTGGGGGATGTCCCCAGCACAACTTCATGACAAAATCCCTGTCCCTGGAAATTTTGGTTCCTCTTCCAGAGCCAGGAGCTTGAAAGTGATGTCCAGGCTTTCAGGCTAATTGCTGGAAAGCCCCAGTCATTTTCTAAAAAGTTTCCAATGGCCATACCAATGTTAAGGAATCTGGCCTAACCCAGGGAGGAGAGAGAGAGAGAGCATGCGCGCAAGCTCTGGACCAGCCAACTGGGGAGGCTGAGCCTGCACCTGCAGGAAGTCCTCTGCCTTTCTGTTGAGGCAGAGCTGAGTCCCTTATCCTAGGAGTGATGCTGACTATACTTGTCCAACTGCTGTGTAAAGGCCATTTTCTCACCCTTGGTCCTGTGGAATAGTTTGATCTTTCCCTGCTCCTCTCCAGGGGGTACTGGCAGCCCAGTAACTGGATGTTAAATGGCTCTTCCATTACCCACTTCTGCAAGGGCCACCTTGGTACATTTTCTGGGTGTGTTGCTCCTAGGTAGCCCCTACCACATTGTCTTCCTCCTCCCTTTATCTCTGTCCCAAGGAACAACACAGGGCAGTTTGTTCTTCGTGGTACATTCTGCTTTCGTTTCTTTTCCCCACAAAGACAGAGGCATTTCCGGCATCCATTTTCCTGCACAGTAGTTTGCCCTGTGCTTTAAACTGGAATGGCTTGGGTTTAATCATTGGGCCCATCTCCTGCTCAGGCTCTAGGAAACTCAAGACCCTCTGGAGAAGAGAACTGGGACCAAGGACCATTCTGTGAGTGGTTGTGCAGTGCCACCTCCTGGCCACAGTGACCATTGTATCTTTCTACTCTTGCTCAACAGTCATCAGAAAATTTCATCTATAGCAAAAGGAACTTGCAAAAGATAATCTTTTTTTTTTTGAGACGAGTCTTGCTGTGTCGGCCAGGCTGGAGTGCAGTCGCATGATCTCGGCTCACTGCGACTTCCACCTCCTGGGTTCAAGCAGTTCTCCTGCCTCAGCCTCCCAAGTGGCTGGGATTACAAGCGCGTGCCACACGCACGGCTGTTTTGTATTTTTAGTAGAGACAGGGTTTCACCATGTGGGCCAGGCTGGTTTCAAACTCCTGACCTCAAGTGATCCACCTGCCTCGGCCTCCCAAAGTGCTGGGATTACAGGCGTGAGCCACCACACCCAGCACAAAAGATATTCTTAAGTCCATTTCTAGTTGATCCTGTAATGCTCATAATTTTTTTTTTTTTTTTTTTTTATCTGCTTGGCCTTTCTGGGGATGTCTTGCCAAGTCTTCTATTAAAATGACTTTGTGGCCAGGCGCAGTGGCTCACGCCTGTAATCCCAGCACTTTGGAAGGCCGAGATGGGCGGATCACCTGAGGTCAGGAGTTCAAGACCAGCCTGACCAACGTGGAGAAACCCCATCTCTACTGAAAGTACAAAATTAGCTGGGCGTGGTGGCGCATGGCTGTAACCCCAGCTACTCAGGAGGCTGAGGCAGGAGAATCGCTTGAACCCAGGAGGTGGAGGTTGTGGTGAGCCGAGATCGCTCCATTGCACTCCAGCCTGGGCAACAAGAGCAAAACTCCATCTCAAAAAAATAAATAAATCAATAAAAATAAAATGACTTTGTTTCCACCGCCCAAATGATCAAGGTAGGACTAAGCAGCTGCAGTCCAGAAGCAAGGCTATCAGCCTAGAACCTGAGGCTGCGAATGTGTGTTCTAAGGGGCTAATCCATGGTATCTGTGTTTTACCAATTAGGCTCCCCATCCTTGAGGGGAGGGGGCCTTAAAGAGAGCTGCTGGAGTGGAGGAGGGGAGGCAAGGCTGTGAACAAAAAGTGTAGTTTCTTCCTTGGGGCTGGGGCTGCTCTGGAGTTCCTAGTCTCTTGTTTCTAGCCTGAAGTGGTTTTTTGTTGTTGTTGTTGTTGTTGTTGGTTTTGTTTGTTTGTTTGTTTTTGTTGTTGTTTTTTTGAGACGGAGTCTCACTCTGTCATCCAGGCTGGAGTGCAGTGGCGCGATCTTGGCTCACTGCAAGCTCCATCTCCTGGGTTCACGCCATTCTCCTGCCTCAGCCTCCCAAGTAGCTGGGACTACAAGCACCCGCCACCTCACCTGGCTAATTTTTTGTATTTTTAGTAGAGACAGGGTTTCACCGTGTTAGCCAGATTGGTCTCAATCTTCTGACCTCGTGCTCCACCCGCTTTGGCCTCCCAAAGTGCTGGAATTACAGGCGTGAGCCACTGCACCTGGCCTCTATCCTGAAGTTTTTAGGCAAATTGGGCTCCGTTCTGCCTCCACTAAGCCAGTATCTAGGGAAGCTGATGCTAAACAGAACTACAGCTCCACTAACTCAAAGGGGACCAGGTTTCTCCGTTGTCTGGAACCGATGGTCTTCCTGGGAATTGACGTTAGGGAGGATTTTTGTCTTCGTGAATTAATTTTGAGTGTGCTGCAGCTGGAGCAGCAGAACACCTTGATTCTATGCCTGGCCCCATCTTCCCCGATGGAATGAAAAACAAATGCTCTGTGGCTCAGGTCTCCCAAGCCAGAGAGTGGGGATTCCTGACATTCCTGCTTTAAAGAGAAAAGGCTGGAATAAACATGTATGTTTGACTGTTAACTGTATGTGGTTGTTCACCAGCCGTATACTGTGTGCCCTAGTAGAGTTTACAAACTAGAAGAGCTATGGGCATGGTAGTATCTGTGGACAGAAACTGATGTCCCTAGAGCTAAAGCCTCTGTCATTCTCTCCACCCTAGGCCTGGTCTCCAAGTCCTCTCCTAAGAAGCCTCGTGGACGTAACATCTTCAAGGCCCTTTTCTGCTGTTTTCGCGCCCAGCATGTTGGCCAGTCAAGTTCCTCCACTGAGCTCGCTGCGTATAAGGAGGAAGCAAACACCATTGCTAAGGTAGGTGGGTTGGGGTGGTAAGATGCCAGCAATGAAGGGACTGTTAATGGGAGATCCCTGCAGACGATGGCAACCGGACAAGGAAGCTTTGCCTGAAGTTGCAAAGATTTCTGGCTGAGAGGGGGCCCTTCCTCCATCCTTCCATAAGTAGTGTATTTCCTTTCTGTTCCTTCCCTTTTGCGGTGTGGGCCATTCACATGTCACTGTGGTTTCTGAGGGCCCCTGTGATCCTGATCCTTCCAGGTTCCAGGAACTAGGCAAGGTGCTTTGCATATATTGTCTCATGTGATCCAGCCAGCAGCCCTGTAAGGAGATCACAGGATTCACACTTTGCAGATATGGATTTATGTAGAGGGTTTATGTAGCACCTGAAGAGTTCATGGTTAATAAATAGTAGTGTCAGGATTTGAACTTAGATTTCTCTGGCTCTAAAGCCTGTGTTGTTGTTCTCAATTATGCAAAGCTAACTTCCAAGTTACCTGAGTTACAGGGAACCAAGGAATTGAAACTCTACCATGCTGTTAATAACTCCTGTCAGCAGTTCTCTCCCATACTCATGCAAGGCATTTGGGATTTTGTGGGTATTTTTTATATGTCTAGTATTTCACAGGTGGGGCCAGCCCCGACCAACAAAAATTATTCTGCCCCAAAAGCCAGTGGTACTTCTCTGAAACACTGAGGTCTGGTTGTCCTTCCTTTTTCTCAAGACCAGGCTGAAGACATACATCAGTGAAAAATCACTGCATTTTGCAGTAGGGGAAATGGTTAAATAAAATACAACATGACAGTATTACTGAGTGATTAGCTTTTACAGAGTTCTCAATAACATGGAGAAGTATTGAGTTGCAACATTAAGTAAAAAGGCAGAGTGTGTAATTGTATAGCATTCTGGAAAAAGTCTGCGGACACAGATTTGAAGGCAGTACACTGAATGCCACATTGTTTATCTAAGTGCTAGGATTTTAATTTTTCTTCAAAGTTTTCATTAAGAACACTTAAAACCATAACTTTTTTTTTTTTTTTTTTGAGATGGAGTTTCGCTCTTGTTGCTCAGGCTGGAGTGCAATGGCGTGCGATCTTGGCTCACCGCAACCTCCGCCTCCCGGGTTCAAGCGATTCTCCTGCCTCAGTCTCCCGAGTAGCTGGGATTACAGGCATGTGCCACCACGACCGGCTAATTTTGTATTTTTAGTAGAGACGGAGTTTCTCCATGTTGATCAGGCTGGTCTCGAACTCCTGACCTCAGGTGATCCGCGCGCCTCGGCCTCCCAAAGTGCTGGGATTACAGGCATGAGCCACTGCGCCCGGCGGTCATAACATTTGTATTAGCAAAAATTGGGGTGGGGGGCTTGCTGATCTCTCTGCACTCCCTCCCCTCACATTTTGGGTACCTACAATGTGGCTTACTTGATGTTTTATAGGGCTTGTTCCCCCACATAACCCCTAAGGAGGGCATGGAAAACAACATGTTCTCAAGGAGAAGCCTGAGTTTAAGGACTTAGCGAGAGTTTGCCACTGTGAGGAATTCAGACTTTGGTTCTGCCTCTGACTCTGTGTCCCTGAATCAGTTACTTGAGTTCCCTGTTCCTCACTTTGTCCAGTTGAGAGGCAGTGGCAGCCGAGAACAGGGACACTTGTCTTCTCCATCCTTCATCAGGCCTAATGTGGAAAGGAAGCTCTAGCCTTTCCCTTTTCCTGCCCCACTCCTAGGAAAAGTCACTTTTGACATGGTAGGAGCTTCCAGGTGGCTGGGTCTGGGGGAGAAAGTTGCCCTCCAGGCTTAAGACAGAAGCAGTGGGTTTGGATGGGGTGGGAAAGGCAGTGAGATGGCACTGACCACCTCCTTCTCTTCCTCAGTCGGATCTGCTCCAGTGTCTCCAGTACCAGTTCTACCAGGTACGTGACTCTGGCCTGGTAAGTACTCAGAAGCCAGGATCCTGTGATCCCTGCCAGCTCCACGGGCAGGGTGATGTGCATAGTCCTTGGTGCCTAGCCAGCCACCTCCCTGACCTGGGAAGCCATTTGTTCCCCATACTTGTTGAGGGCCTGCTATGTGCAAGGCATTAGATTTTAGGGGACAGCTGGTGCTCCATGCCCTCTTCCCACAGCTGCTGTCCATCCCACACCTGCCCTGGCCACCACCTCCAATGTCCAGATCACTTAATAGTCCCACTGGGAGGCTGAAACCAAGGAAACAACTCCACCTCCTTTCTTCCTGGCCTTTAAGTGGTGCCTATCCTGGGTTGGTGATTGTGTCTCCACAAACAACCCAGCTCTTCCCATAATTATGCCAAGGGGTACAATTGGGCTTTCTTGGTAGGCAGATCTCAGCAACCTGGCTTGGTTTTAGATCCCAGGGACCTGCCTGCTCCCAGAGGTGACAGAGGAAGATCAAGGAAGGATCTGTGTGGTCATTGACCTCGATGAAACCCTTGTGCATAGCTCCTTTAAGGTAACTCAATGTCTGGAACCCTTCCTACCTTTATCTTGGGCCTTCTTGTGAATCTGGCAACAGATGTGTAAGGCAGCCTAAAGGTGAGGAAAGAAGAGTGATTAGAAGGGAAAAGGCCAGGCCTCTGGCATTTTGGCCACCCTGTGTCACAGGTATCTAGAGGCCCCACTGAAGAATGTTGAGTAGGAACCCTGTGTGTTCCACCAGGGCTGCTATCTCCAGTCACTCCCAACAGGCTGCATCTGCCCCCGAGCCACATAGCACAGAAAGCCAGCCACGAGGGCTCTGTACAGGGCAGGCCTAAAAGAGTGGTTGGATCACCTTTGGCCCTTGCCCCTGCTTGTCTCCTCAGGAAACTCAGGCCCCAAAACTCTCAGCCCAGGTAGAATTTGTCAGAGTGGAGGTGCTAAGGAGTAGGGAAAACCAGAATGGGGTATCACATCTTGAACTAGGGTGAGAACCCCTTAATGAGGTGGCCAGAGGCACTTCCAGGAGTCTTTAAGACCTGTTTCTCCCCACCCACCTAGGGGTATGGTGGGGGCCTCATGTTTCTTTGCCACCATGCTGACAGCATTAACTTTTCTGCCTTCCAGCCAATCAACAATGCTGACTTCATAGTGCCTATAGAGATTGAGGGGACCACTCACCAGGTGAGCTGCCAGCCAGACCACACCCAGCCCAGAGGGTGGGGGGTCTGCCTTCTGCCTCACCTGTACTGGGGTCCTCCACCCATCTCAGGGCTTGGGTTCTGTCAGTTGATCCCTTTTCTATAACTCCAGCCTCCCCTTTTTATTGGTATCTTTCACTCAAGGCTTTCTCACCTTAAAAAAAGAGTTTCAGCCCCATATCCCACCCAGCTGTCTCCCTTGTTTTCTCTTTGCAACCAAGCTGTTTAAAAGAATAGTTTACATTTTATTTAATAATAATAATAGCTATCGTTTGTTAACCACCATCCCCTCACGTGGCCAGCACTGTTAAATGATTTATTACATTTCTCTGTTCCTTAAGAAAGGTATCTATACCTGTTAAGATACCTTAACCAGGTATCTCTTTGCCTGTAACAGGCAGGGAAATCAGTAGTAACCATTTTCTCTGCCCGGAATGCCCTCTTGCCCATGCTCCCCCTGCCACCCCCACTGTGAATAGCTAGTGACTTTCTTCCTCCCCAGCCCAGACATCTCCTCCTCTGTGAAGCCTTCTCTGACTGCCTTCCCTGGGGCCCTCCATTGGATTCTGCCTGAGGAAGTGCTCAGTGTGTGTCTGTCAATGTAAAGAGCACTCAAATCTAAACAGACCAGGCTCCAGCCTGCAGCCCAGGCAGTCCCAGGTTAAGGATCATGTGACACTGCTAGTGAAAGACCATTTACTCAGCTTGCTTGCCCAGAAGGCCTGCCATGCCCAGCGCCAGGCCCCGGTCAGGACTAGGCTTGGTCCAGCAGCCCTTTGACAGTCTAGCTGAGGGTATAGGGATGTGCTAAACCCTTGTAGAAAAGATGAAGGCATATTTTCAAACAGATATACACTGTGAACTCCTGGCTAACAAGGAAGGGTATGAATAATTTTTAAAAGGATGAGATTAAAATGAGGGAGCACTACCTGCCCAAGGTGGGTGAAAGGATGCCAGACTTGATGAAAGCTGGGATGAGGAAGGGGCTTGTTGGAGGTCGAAGGAATGGCAGGCTAACAGAAGTTAAGTTGTGGCTGCCTAGAACAGAGGGTTCCTGCAGAGCTCTGAGTGGTCTGGTGAGTTGGTGGCCAGTTCAGGCCTACTCTAGGAGGGAGAGTCACAGCAGGCCGACTCTCTTTGAGCTCGGGAGTAATGCAGGTAAAGGAGCTTTGGGAGTCAGGTGCCGTGGCTTACACCTGTCATCCCAACACTCTGGGAGGCCAAGGCAGGAGGAATGCCTGAGCCCACAAGTTCACAACCAGCCTGGCCTCACATAGCAAGACCCCATCTCTAAAAAAAATAAGTAAATAAAGAAAAGAAAAAGGACCTTTTTGGAAATGGTTCTAGTAGCAGCTGTGTAGGCTAGAGTCATGGAAGCAATAGAATGCAGACCGATGGGGGGTCAGGTGGCCAAAGGACTTCCCAAAATGTGCAAGATCGTAAGGGTGGACAAAGGTGTTAGTGGTGGCTGGCAGAAGCAAGCACAAGATCGGGTGCAGAGCAAGACTCGGCAGGGTGTCTGTCTAGTCTATGGTCATTGAGGGGAAAAAGTCACTTCTCCCTGGTGCAATTCATTACCTAATCATGACCTGGACAGACTGTCCTGTCGGAGCCAAGGACAGAAAGCTCCCATAGAGGCTGTGGCTGGATTCAAGTAATCCAGGATAGGCTGTTTCCATCTGTGAGGCCTATTCTTGATTACTTGTTTCTGGAGGCAGCTGATGGTCCGCCGCCGGAAACAGAGATGGCTCCTGGGACATGGTGTGTGCGCTTCTTCCTGAGCCAGGTTGAGGTTGGGACCACTGATCCATTGGAAGCCTGGTGAGGGGTACAGCCAGTTCTCCGGGTCTGTGGGGTCTCAGGGGGCCGCAGGCTTCCAGCCAGGTAGCCCAGGAGGCTGGGCTGCAGGGGTTGAGAGCTCCTTGCTGCTGTGTAACTGGTGAAGGTACCCAGTACTGCAAACCTTCATCACAGGGATGCCTCCAACAGGCTGCTCTGCTCTTCCTCAGGTGTATGTGCTCAAGAGGCCTTATGTGGATGAGTTCCTGAGACGCATGGGGGAACTCTTTGAATGTGTTCTCTTCACTGCCAGCCTGGCCAAGGTACCTAGGGGTGAGAGGGAAGAACCAGGAGTGGGTGTGGTGGCCACGGGGGTGGTCCAGCAGCTCCCTTTTGGTCCCTAGGGTTATACAGGAGGACCAGGAGTGTATCCAAACTAAGGCATCTTCTCTCCTCCTAGTATGCCGACCCTGTGACAGACCTGCTGGACCGGTGTGGGGTGTTCCGGGCCCGCCTATTCCGTGAGTCTTGCGTGTTCCACCAGGGCTGCTACGTCAAGGACCTCAGCCGCCTGGGGAGGGACCTGAGAAAGACCCTCATCCTGGACAACTCGCCTGCTTCTTACATATTCCACCCCGAGAATGCAGTGAGTGCTCCTGATGCGTCTCCACGGTAGGGATTGGGAGAGGAAGCAGACTGGAACTGTGGGCTCCACCAGAGAAGTACACCCCTCCAGGAAGACCCAGCCACCCTCTAGGGCTCTGGGGCGAGGGAGGGGGAAGCAGCAGTCGGGAGATTGACACCACATCTTCCCCCCACCAGGTGCCTGTGCAGTCCTGGTTTGATGACATGGCAGACACTGAGTTGCTGAACCTGATCCCAATCTTTGAGGAGCTGAGCGGAGCAGAGGACGTCTACACCAGCCTTGGGCAGCTGCGGGCCCCTTAGCCTGCCCTGCTTCCAAGCGACGGCCATCCCAGTAGGGGACTTTCCCACACTGTGCCTTTACGATCAGCGTGACAGAGTAGAAGCTGGAGTGCCTCACCACACGGCCCGGAAACAGCGGGAAGTAACTGGAAAGAGCTTTAGGACAGCTTAGATGCCGAGTGGGCGAATGCCAGACCAATGATACCCAGAGCTACCTGCCGCCAACTTGTTGAGATGTGTGTTTGACTGTGAGAGAGTGTGTGTTTGTGTGTGTGTTTTGCCATGAACTGTGGCCCCAGTGTATAGTGTTTCAGTGGGGGAGAAGCTGAAAGACCAAGACTCTTCCCAAGTTAGCTTGTCTCCTCTCCTGTCACCCTAAGAGCCACTGAGTTGTGTAGGGATGAAGACTATTGAAGACTCCATTGCCAAACCATGGCCTTTCCTCAGTGTTGTAAGGCCTATGCCAAGGATAAAGGAAGGGTATGCCTTTGGGTACTCCAGGCACACACCTTTCTGAAATCCTTCTCCAGCCAGCTGCTGCAGACAAAAGATCACATTTCTGGGAAGATGAGAACTTGTTTCCAGACCAGCATCCAGTGGCCATCAGGTCTTGTGGCCCAAAGGCTATGCTTGCCTCCGGCTGAGTGCCTGGGATAGGCCTTTTCTATGTCTCCCCAAGGCTGGGGTGCTGAGCCTGCCTTCCTCACCACCTAGCCATAGTCTCAAACCTGTGGGGAAGGAGGTTTTCTCCCTGCCCGGGAAGAGGACAGATAACTGATTTCCGTTCTTTTGACTGTGTTTTAAAATTCTCTTTCTAAACACAGAGTGTTGGGCCTGGTTTGTTTCTGACAAAGTTACAGTCCTGGGCCTGTAATGAATGTCGGCGGCGCTGGGGTTGCAGGGAAAAGACAAATCCTCAAAGCGTGGACGTGTGTCCCCATGGCTTGTGGATCAGCTAAGCTCGGGATCATTTCCATAAGTCTGCTTTTCAGGGATTCTCTGCTGGTGCTGGTGCAAGGACTTCTGTTCCAAAGGCTGGGAAAAACTAAGCTGTCCCAGCCCCTCCCATTTCTTGGGCAGGGCTCTTTTCCTGTTGTGTCTTCCCCCAGGGCCTGTCCTGTACCGAGCTCTGTCTGTTCCAGCCTTCATCCTTCCTGGCTGTTGCTTTTCCTCTTAAGGGCCTCAGAACTCTTGCTCTTCCTGGGCTGAGGGGGAATGAGTGTTCTTGCCATTTGCCAGCCTAATGCGCATGCTTTCTGCCTCTGGTAACAGGAGTGAGTGAGCCCCTCAGACCTGCACTCTGGGTGTCTCCTGCTTTCAAAGGTTCTTAATAGTGAATGCTTTAAAATTAAAGTCATCACGAAATGGAAGTTTTCCCAGGGTGGAAAATAAGAGGAAGTGCTGCTGTAATTGGGAGCACAAGGGGCCTCCCAAAAAGGAGCCCCACCTCAGCATCACTGCCTTAATCGTGGCCTCCCTGGGGTGGGTGGGGTTCTCTCCTCCCTCCCTCCCTCCTCCTGGGGTGGGAGGGCGCTCCTGTTCCCATCTCTGTGTTCCCTGGAGGCAGGTATCACAAAGCATTTGTGAATTGCTTTAGGTGCAGGGACACCACCCACTCAGGACTCTTCCCCATCATCCCTTCCATTGCCACACCCTAGATCCAGCCTCAGGAACTAACAAGTTTTGAGAAAAGCAGGTAGTAGAGCAGCAGCTTCGTGCTCTCAGCGGTGGCTGGCTGGCATTTTTCTCTAGCGTTGTGGTGCCACCTTCCCTTCTTGTCCCAAGGTTATAAGGCCTTGTCTTTCTCTTTGGAATCATAAAGTGGAACAGAGTCCCCAGAACTCATGTGGCCATTTCCGCCAGCATCACTCCCCGGTGCCTATGGGGTCCCGGTGTACCTAAAGGGAGAAGGACCCCATGTGCTAGCCAGAAATATACTGTCTCTTGAAGGAAAGCAGGAGCTCAGACTCTTAGAGCCAGCTGTGGCTTCGGACCCAAGGCCTGACCTAGGCTGCTATCCTAATATTGCAGGAGGGGCCTCTCTTCCAAGCCCCACCCTAAGGGTTAGCCCTTGGCCAAATCTTTTGCCGTCTAGGCCCAGCCAGGCTTTTCTGACTAAATAAGCAATAAGAGGCTCTAAGCTGACTGAGTTGCAAGGACCCTTTCCGCCCTCCCTTGGATCTCCATGTTTTTCCAGATGGCGGAAGAGCATGTGCCACCCCCTTTCCTAACAGACTTGTCCAAGTGCTTGGCGTGGGACCCATGACCAAAGCCCAGGATGGCTTGGTGGGAGTGTCCCTGCTGCATCTGCATGAAGCCCCTGCTTTTTAGGCCTCACTCCCATCAGAACCCTGCCTGCCCACCTGCAACTCCCCCCCAACAATGCCATTCCCACTTGCCCCAGAGAAGCTACTCGGCCAAACCTAGCCAGGGTCTGTTCTTGTGGACCAGAGCCAGCCTAGTCATTATTTGCTGTCGGGTTTCCAGTTTCACCGTGTGTTAGGGTGAGGGATGATTGTAAAATTTGCTCCTCAAAGGAATCAGGCCAGACTCAATTTTGGAGGGCAAGACAGGGAGGAGGCCGCTTCATCCCAGACTCTCTTCTAGGGCTTCCCACCATCAGCCCCTCCCACTTGAGACTGGTCTTTGGGAGGCAATAGGCCACCATGCCTGGTCAGCACCAATTCAAGCCATGCCAGGAATCTGCCTACCTGCCAGGTTCAGTTCTTTTAAGGTGCCTCTTCAGGGACACAGTGTGTCTCTCTGATTGGGCTTCTAAATCAAAAGCCTGATGTTCGTGTCCCTCTCATAGGGGGAGCTTTGGACACAGGACCAGTTTGGAAAAGGGTCAGGTAAGGGTTTCCACTCTGCACATTGTAGAGGGAACACTCTGTAGGCCCATGGGTCCCTTACTAGAGAGGTTGAGTGAATTTGCCTTCAGTTAACATGGGACCTTCTGTTTAGCTTCCTCTTGCTTCCCAAAGATTTTAAGCATTTTGTAAATGTATAAACTCACCTCTGGTAACAGTGGCCCAGACGCTGCTTTGTGCTAAAAGCATGGGAAATGTAAAGGCAGTCTTTCTCTGGGAAATGGATGCTATTCTATTCTGCTGCCCCTACCTGTTCCTGAGGCCTCATTTAGAAAGAAAATCCCCTCAGAAGGCTGTCTGGCACCCAGTGTCCTAGCCAGGCCAAGTATATGAGAAAGGTAAGTCCATTTTCCCCTTCAGGTCCTCAGTGGATTACTTAACCACTGCTGTCCCTCGGTCCCTTTTTCCTAAACGGGTTTAGTTCTGTCTTTTTTCTCCTTTTTTCTAAATGCTGGTAAATATTTACATTCAGCCAGGGAAGAGGAGGCCAGAGGTCGGGCCAGCTGCCCCATTCTTTTAACGTTGTAGGGCCTGCCCATGGAGCGGACCCTCCTCTTTGGGCCTCGTGAGCTTTTTTGCTTATCATGTTCCATTTCGTGCCGCTTTCCCCCTTCAAGATGCCATTTGGAGGGTAGGGGATCTGCTTCCCACTGTGACTGGGCTATGGGATTCTGACTACCTTGCTTACAGATTCATGGTTTGATAAATTTGTTGTATTCAAAAACTTGAAATGCAGGACGCCATTAAGTGTCTGTTTATATTTTTGGAATATTTGTATTACTTACAATTAATTAATAAAAGTGGGTTTAAAAAACCTTTCCAGGAATGTGAGCTGCCACCAACCTTCATTGGCCCTTAAGTGTTCACTGGGCCCATGGCAAGCACCGCCTTTCTTCTCGCAACCCCTTCCATCATGAAGCAGCTGCACCCCCGGGCTGAGTGGGGTGTTGCACCCACCGGGAGGCCAGCTGCAGATGCCACACAGGGCTTCCGCTCAAGGTTACACAAGTTCTGCTGTGATCAACCCCATTGCAGTCAGGTGCTTAGCACGTGTATATGCTTGATGTCCTATTGACTTCTGGGCATGAACCAGAAGCCCTAAGGGAATGGATTATTATTTTTTTTTTTTTTTTTGAAATGGAGTCTTGCTCTGTTGCCCAGGCTAGAGGCAGTGGCATGATCTCAGCTCACTGCAACCTCCACCTCCCAGGTTCAAGCGATTCTCCTGCCTCAGTCTCCTGAGTAGCTGGGATTACAGGCGCCTGCCAGCACGCCCGGCTCATTTTTGTATTTTTAGTAGAGATGGGGTTTCACCATCTTGGCCAGGCTGTTTTCAAACTCCTCACATTGTGATCCACCCACCTCAGCCTCCCAAAGTGCTGGGATTACAGGCGTGAGCCACCACCACACCCAGCCCTGGGAATGGAGTCTTGATTCTTCTCTGCCCCTCACTGATTCTTCCAAACTGGAAACCCTGAAGCTGAGAGCCCAGCATGGTTCCTGGCAAACAGCAGGCACTCAAATATTGATTGGTTTACTGTATGACTAGTAGAGACCCCAACGAGCAAAACTGTGGCCTAATAAAATTCTGGCTCCTCTCCCAGACTTCCCCTCCCTTTGAGAAATGCCAGAAGCTTCTTAGGGAGGCTCTTGCCAACCTAGACATCACAGGCACTCATGGGGCAGCTCCAGCCTCTTCCTCCTGTCATCACCATAATGCATCCATATCTACAATATGGCAAATTTCATATCCTTCCAACCTCTTTCCTGCATTATTGATGGGCTGTGTGCACTTTTTAAAAAATCAATTAGATCAGGGCGTGGAGCTGGAGTTCAAAGAAGCCTTTAAAAGTCTGCTCTTCTGTTTTGCTGTTTTGAATAGGCACAGATAAAGCTTTCCCTCTGGTTTGAATAAGCCAAGCTCAGTGCTAGGTTGGCTCTGATTGGCCAGGACTAGGAAAATGCGGTTAAGATGCAAACACAAGCAAATATAACCCAGTATCTCTGCGGCCATTACTAAGCTAAGGCAGCAGGACCTGGAGCCTCCTGCTTTGGAGTGGTTCTTCAATACTGCTGCTGCTTACGCGCCGGGAAACTGGGAAGGCTGGTGAGCGAGAAGGCAAGGTAAGGTCTCTGATTTACGGGGGCATGCCAGTTAATCCTCCTGAATGAGGAAGAAATGAAAGGAAGAGGAGCTTGAGAGTCCCTTGGCTTTGTCTTCTGAGATGAGGCTTTTAAAATGAACCAGGAGTCTGGCTGGCCAGTTTTGCAAACTTCTTGTTCAGAAGAACCCCTTAGAGGCAGCTGAACATATAGGGCACATTTTCAAAAGCTGGGAAAGACAGACCCCTTTCACCTATCCCTAGAGAAAGATGGTATGGAGCAAGGCAGGAGGAGTTAAAACCAGCTTCCTGGCCCAGAGAGGTGGCTTACACCTGTAATCCCAACACTTTGGGAAGCCAGGGCATGAGGATTGTTTGAGCCCAGGAGTTTGTAACTTGTGACCATCCTGGGCAACATAGTGAGACCCTGTCTCTACAAAAAAAAAAAAAAAAAAAAAAAAAAAAAAAGCCAAGCATGGTGGTGCACACCTGTGGTCTCAGCTTCTCAGGAGGCTGAGGCAGAAGGATCACTTGAGCCCAGGAGGTGGCGGTTGCAGTGAGCCGTGATTGTACCACTGCACTCCAGCCTGGGTGACAGAGCAAGACCCTGTCTCAAAAACAACAACAACAAAAAACAGCTTCCTCTGCTCAGGGTCCGTCCAAAAGGGCATCTCTGAGAATTACAGGCCACTGGCTTTTAACCTGACATTTCAAAACTGTGCCCCACACCCAAGGGGTTTCTGCAGTCCTCTCAAAGGATACTGAATTAGGATTTAGGGAGAAGGAGAGACCCAGCTTTGGGAGATTTGATGTCAGAACTGTGTTTTCTGTGTGTTCCAGTGTGACAGGAAGTCCCTTCCTGGAGCTTATCCTCTCGCATTCGGGGTGCCTGGCCCAGGGAGCTCCTTGATTCCTAAATTCCTGCTGGGAAACGGGACAGGTTTCAGCCTCTGAGGCTCACAGTCCTAATTGCTGCCGGCTGGTTTGGCTTTTACCAGGGTGACAGTTCTCTGTCTCCAAGGAATGAATTCAGTGGCCCTTGTCCCCTTCCCCTAGTTGGCTCATGGCTTTTGCCTTTAATGACTGCTACGTAGGGTCTGAAGAAAACCCAAACACCATATTTCCTGGCAATTCTGAGCAGCACAGGGTGGGGCAGCACAAGTTATCAAATTAAATTCTCAAACACTGGCTGCTCCGCACCATTGCCTTGCTTTAGTCCTGCTACAGCAGTAGACAAAGCGAGTCTGCTTTGAGCTTTATGGTTTTTTGCCAAAGTCCATACTAGATGGCGCATGCTCTCCAAACTTGGCTTTGTCCATCAAGGTTCAAGAAAACAATGGTCAGACATGTTCCTCTTAACAAACAGTATGTCCCCAAACAGCAAAAATGCATACAGTCCTTTCTGGGTGAATTTTTAAATCTTACATAAATCCATCAACCCCATCCTTTTTCCTTTGCCTCTTGGGAGAAATTAATCTAGCTTTACATTAATTATGCATGTTATCAGATTTCAAGCTCCTTGAGAGCAGGTATTTTAATTCTATAAAGCCTCTACGTGGCCTTGGACATGGGTAGGTGCTTAATTACCCAAGATGCTCCTTGAATACAGATGGTACACGACCTACACAGACTTAGATCTTTACCACTTCCCCCCTCTCCCCACCCTGACTTGCTCAATCCTGAAGGAACTGGAGACGTCTAAGTGTCTGAGGTTCACGCTTCCACACAGAAGCTTGGGTCTGTGTGGGAGGGAAAAAGGAAGCCATCTGTCCGCAGGCCAGACCAGGCCACACCCTGCTAGCACCCAGAACCCTTTGTCCCAGGCCCAGCCCTGCCATTTTACTTTCCTTGCATCTGGAAAGCACAGGGAATATAGTAGTGACAAAAGAAGGAAGGGTTGTTTGAGTTTAAGAATAGTTTACTCTAAAAAAAAAAAAAAAAAAAAAAAAAGGACAAAAGCCAAAGAGAAGGTCAAAGTTGACTGTGGAGAAGGCCTTGCAAGCAGGGAACTTGGGAAGAATTGGAATGAGAGTGAGAGAAGGCAACTGAGTTTGGAAATATTTTTTCTGACTAGCTTTTCTTTCCAAATGCCACTGAACTTAGATTGGTTTAGGAAGGGTTGTAGTACATCAAAGTGGCTAGAAGCACAGGTTTGGGGATCAGATAAGGATTTCATTCTAGAGTGTGATCTTGTACAAGTTATTCAGCCTTTGCAAACCTCAGATTCACACAATGTAAGATGAAGAAACTCACCTTCTGAAAATTAGAGATAACATATGCAAAGTGAATCAATACAGGGCTTAACATATTTATCACCCCTTTGGTAAATAACCATGACGATTACCAGAGCTCTTAAGGGCAATGGCAGGTGGGAAGCAGAACTCATGGGTGGTAATCCCCAGGCCAGCCAGGCTCACCATGTGCACTTGGACAAGTCCTTGCCCCCATCATTGTGAAATGGTGCAGGGATGCACCATGAGGGTGTGGCAGGATGGCTGACAACAGACTGGGAAGCAGCTCGGCAGAAAAACTGGATTGATGCCCACTATGGCAAGAGATATCATCTCCCCTCTTGTTCTGTGATGTTTCAGTCCTGGAAAGACAAGCATCATGCCTCTGACCAGTGCCTTCAGGGCTGTGGACAACGACCCTGGGATCATTGTCTGGAGAATAGAGGTGAGCTGGGCTGGAGGCACCTTACTTGTGACCACTGGCATCTGGAAGCAGTCTGGCTGCCTGGGGCTGCTAGGCAACAGCCCGCCAGCACCCCTTAGCCTATGGTTTGAGGAGAATGAGAGGCAGCATCAAAGTACCTATTTCCCATCCTTCACCTCTCCTGGGTGCTCAAAGCAGGTGGTTGGCAGGTGGAGGAAATGTTCAGCCCCGAAGAACAGGGCTCCAGACAAAAACAGGCTTGTCCTTTAGCCAGCCACCTGCTCAGTGAGTCTGCACTTGCAGGAAACACCCTGGAAAGACAGGTGGGACCTACTCAGCAGACTCCTGGCAGCTTCCATCAGAGAAATGGAACATGTCTTCCACGGGGCACCCTGGCTCCTACAAAATATGGGGAGAGGTGAGGGGGCACTGCAGAGATGAGGAGCTGTTCAGCCCGTCTCCTCTTGGGCTTGGGACCCTCTGTGCGGCTGTGAGCTCCAGCAATCCATAGCTGGGAACCACCCTGGCCTGGGTAGCTCCACCTGCCAGATACGAGGATTCCCCCCAACCCCTGCCCTGAGCCCAGTCAGTTGCTGCTGCCTAAAACCCAGCGATGATGCCTCACTTCACTATCCTCAACCAGGAGGGGGAGTCAGCTCTCCAGCAAGCCTCGCAGAGATTGTGAGTCCCAGGTCACTTCCACTGTTTGAAGGCTTCCAGTTTCCTTAAAAACTAACAGGTACTGGCGGGGTGCGGTGGCTCACGCCTGTAATCCCAGCACTCTGGGAGGCTGAGGCGGGTGGATCACGAAGTCAGGAGATTGAGACCATCCTGGCTAACACAGTGAAACCCCACCTCTACTAAAAATACAAAAAATTAGCTGGGCATGGTGGCAGGCGCCTATAGTCCCAGCTACTCAGGAGGCTGAGGCAGGAGAATGGCGTGAACCCGGGAGGCGGAGCTTGCAGTGAGCCGAGATCGCGCCACTGCACTCCAGCCTGGGAGACACAGGGAGACTCCCTCTCAAAAAAAACAAAAACAAAAACAAAAAACAAGTACTAAAACACGGTTACCAGATTTGCAGTATATTTAACATTTATCACATTTTACATAGAACACACACAAGTATGGCCGCAAGTTTCCCTCACTTGGGGAGTGTGATGAAAATCTACATCAAGGCTGTGTGAACAGTCCTCCAGGGCCAAGCCATACATGCAGTGATAAATCAGGGCCCTGACCCAGACTCCAAATATAAGACACTTGGCACAGAGCCCTGCTGACCGCTGGCACTCTCCAAATGTTATCCTCCACCTCCCACGGCCCCACAGAATCCAAGTGTTCTTTCTTACATGGGCCTGGGCCAGCACCCAGTGGTCAGCGTTGGGAAGAGCGTTGGAGGTGCTGGCACAACGGCTCAGAGAAGGGTTTGTACTTGGTCGTTTATATCCAGCAAAGGGCTGGAGGTGGTTCACAGGTTTCCCACAATAGTGCGAGATGAGATCGGGTGGGAAGTAGAGTGGAGAATAGGGCAAGGGAAAGCAGGATAGGGACCAAGGTTCAGATCCGGGGTGATGCAAGCAGAGCTCACAGAAGCCAGAGGGATGGCCACGTTAACCCTGTGGCTGGCAGCCTCACATCCTGTAAGGTCATTGAGAACATCTCCCCTCCTTCTCCCCACCACCTGCACCGAATGACAGAGAGGAGAGGGAGGCTCATGGGGAAGGGAGGTGGGAGGGGATGTAGCCTATACCCACCCCTTGTCCTTCCAGAAAATGGAGCTGGCGCTGGTGCCTGTGAGCGCCCACGGCAACTTCTATGAGGGGGACTGCTACGTCATCCTCTCGGTGAGCACCCTCCTCCCCACTCCTGTGAGCCTCTCCCCTGGGGCCAGTTCTTGGGCTGTACTGGGAGATGTGCTGGTGAGGGAAGGTAGTCAGTCCCTGGTATCGGTCTCAATGGTTCCTCAGTGCTATGCAGAGCAGACCTCCAGTCTGACTATCAAAGGCCATCATTAAGCCTGGGTTTTTAATGCTGCATAAGAGGATGGGGGTAGGACCCTCAGTCTGAACCTCAGTGAGCCACCCACAAGCAGCACTTCTCCCGGGCCTAGGCCCCACATTAAAGTGGTGTGGAAGAAGGCCTGATAAATGCAAGGCCTGTCTCTAGCCTCAAAGTGCTATTCTCATGGAGGAGACTCACATGAACGGTGCTGACAGGGTCGTGCAGGTGTACAGATGAGCACTGTGCCAGCTGTGTGAGTGCAAGGGACCAAGGGGACCTGTGAGGTAAGCCTGCAACCCGGCTGGGAAAAGATCCCCGTTGGTATCTATTTATTTGGGGAACAACAAGCTGTCAACTTTCCCCAAATGCGGGGAGGAATTTGGGCTGCCAAAGTTTATGCCATGATCGCAGGTCTGCTCGGGGGCCAGGGCAGCTCCCACATCCACTGCAGGAGAGAGGGCCCTCAGTCTGCCAAGGGCATGCACATGTGCTGCATTCTCCCCATAACAGGGGCCAGCAGCAAAGGGGAGGTGAGCTGGCCTCTGACCTGATCTCTCTGACTACCTCCCAGACCCGGAGAGTGGCCAGTCTCCTATCCCAGGACATCCACTTCTGGATCGGGAAGGACTCCTCCCAGGATGAGCAAAGCTGCGCAGCCATATATACCACACAGCTGGACGACTACCTGGGAGGCAGCCCTGTGCAGCACCGAGAGGTCCAGTACCATGAGTCAGACACTTTCCGTGGCTACTTCAAGCAGGGCATCATGTGAGTAGGGGTGCACAGAGCAAGGACAGAAACAGCAGTTTACAGAGGAGGAAACCCAAAAGGCCAACATGCATTATCAAGAAAGTAATCAGAGAAATGCAAATCAAAACAAAGCTGTCACTTCCACCCACTAGAGCAGCAGATTAAACAGCTGGGAGGTGCCAAGTGTTGGCAAGGCTATGGGGAAATAGGAGCCCTTGTGCCCTGCTGATGGAAGTGTGGACTAGCGCAGCATCCTGGAGAGTAGTCAGTGCCACTTGCAAATCCCACTTCTGCATGTGTAACTCACAGAAATCCTCACGTATCCAGGTCCATAAGGGCACATGGACCAGACTGTTCATAGCAGCCTCATTAATGATGTTAGGAAGCTGCAGGCAACGTAGGTGTCCATCACTCGGAGACTGGACATGCACACCACGGAGTATTATGCAGTAGCCAGAAGCAACAGATTAGATACACACCTAACACAAGGACAGAGCTCACAAACATGGTGCTTAGCACACAAAGTAAGAAACAGACTAAGACATATAACAGAATGCCAATTTCTGTTTTAAAAAGCACACGCATGGCCAGGCATGGTGGCTTACGCCTGTAATCCCAGCACTTTGGGAGGCCGAGGCAGGCGGATCACGAGGTCAGGAGTTCAAGACCAGCCTGATCAACATGGTGAAACCCCGTCTCTACTAATAATACAAAAATTAGCCGGGCATGCTGGTGCACACCTGTAATCCCAGCTACTCGGGAGGCTGAGGCAGGAGAATCATTTGAACCCAGGAGGCGAAGGTTGCACTGAGCTGAGATCATGCCACTGCCCTCCAGCCCCGCAACACAGCAAGACACCATCTCAAACAAAACAAAACAAAACAAAAACATGCACACAAAACAACAGGATGGGTTGGGCGTGGTGGCTCACACCTGTAATCCCAGCACTTTGGGAGGCTGAGGCAAGAGGATAGCTTGAGCCCAAGAGTTCAAGATCAGCCTAGGCAACACAGTAAGACCCTCATCTCCACAAAAAATATTTTGTAAAAAAGCTAGCCAGGCATGGCGGTGCACTCCTATAGTCCTAGCTACTCCATGGGCTGAGGGTATTGAGCCCTCAATTATCGAGCCTGCAGTCCCTGATGAGGATCACTTGAGCCCGGGAGGTCAAGGCTGCAATGAGCCATGATTGCACTATTGAACTCTAGCCTGAGTGACAGAGTGAGACCCTGTCTTTAAAAAAAAAGGTGGGGGACACAGTTTACTAGAATGAAAATAAAAAGGTCAACAGTTAGAATGGAAGCGTATTGGGGAGAGGAATGGGAGTAGGACAGGCAGATAAAGGGAATGCACAGACACATAACACTAGAGAGGGAGCGAAGGCTGATGATAATGTTCCATCAACTGAGAAGTTTAACTCAAAACTTTGCCCCTGATATTAAAACAAAAAGAGGAATTCCAATGAGCTTGAGAATTGTGAGGCTGGGCCAAGATCAGCTTCTTGCAGGTCAGCAGTCTCCACTGACTGAGGCCCTTCTGGGCACAGAGGAGCACACTGAGCCACTGGGGAACCCAAGGACAGAGCCCCTCTGCTCCAGGGCTACCTTCCGCATTCCCTTAAAGTGCAGGACCCCTGGCTCGGAGGCTGGGCTGGGCTGAGTGCAGGGCGGGTGAGCTGATTCCTAGGGTAGGTGGTCTTAAGGCCGTGGAGTCATTAATGCTTCTGCTGCAGCACAACTTGTATCCCTCTCCCAGTAACACACTGGCATTCAGACAGTTCCTGGAACAAAACAAGCCCTCTGTGGTGCAGGGGTCTTTGTCACTGATGTCTCCTGGACACTGTTATAGTGCCTGGAGCACTATTCTTCTGGGTATTGGTTCATTTTCCTTGTAGTATCTCAGTTCAAATGTCATTTCTTCAGAGAAGACTGCCCCAACTCGCTACCAGAAAGTCACTCACCCAGTCTACTTGTGGGGCAGCAGCTGCCACCATCTGTATTTACCTTGCTGATGTACTGTCATCACATGAGTGAGGCTGCATCTGTGTAATTCACCACTGTCTCCCCAGAACCTAGCACATAGCAGGCACTCAAATAACTGAATGGATGTTCCCTTAGCTACAAGCAGGGGGGTGTCGCCTCTGGGATGAAGCACGTGGAGACCAATACCTACGACGTGAAGCGGCTGCTACATGTGAAAGGGAAAAGAAACATCAGGGCTACCGAGGTTAGTCCTGCACACTCTCTGCCCCAGGCCCGGGGCTTCTCCACCTGGCACCTAAGAATTCCTCCTGAACAATGTTTACCTCTCATCGACAGGTGGAAATGAGCTGGGACAGTTTCAACCGAGGTGATGTCTTCTTGCTGGACCTTGGGAAAGTCATCATCCAATGGAATGGCCCAGAGAGCAACAGTGGGGAGCGCCTGAAGGTATGGCTTCCTAGCCTTAGCACTTTCTCAAGTTCCTCTTTCTTCTTCCCTCCATGCTGGCTCTTCCCCAAGAATCAAGGTGGAGCCCTGCCTTTGAGTAGAATCTGTCTTGGAGACAGGCCAAGTGTGTGAGTTTGTGACTCACCCTGGACTCCTCAGCATCCAAGTAACTCCTGTGTCTGGGATCTAGGCTGTTCTCCCCAAAGACATCAGGCAGAAAGGGGTCCCAGAGGAGCTGAGGGCTTCCTTGGGCTTCTTTGACAGGCTATGCTTCTGGCAAAGGATATTCGAGACAGGGAGCGAGGGGGCCGTGCTAAAATAGGAGTGATCGAGGGAGACAAGGAGGCAGCCAGCCCAGAGCTGATGAAGGTCCTTCAGGACACCCTTGGCCGACGCTCCATTATCAAGCCTACAGTCCCTGATGAGATCATAGATCAGAAGCAGAAATCAACTATCATGTTGTATCAGTGAGTAGCTCAACCTGGTTTTAGCTGGAAGCTGGGGTTGGGGGGAAGGTGTCCCCTAGAACACCAGCCACCTCTGCTTGGCTCCTTGTTTTGGGTGTAGCCATCTGGTTTTCTTCTTAGTCCTTTTCAAATGCAGCTCCTAGAAAGCTTGGAGATCCCCCACTCAAGGAGGCAGTTCTTGTTAGCAACTCTCCTGATCTCTTGAGGAGACCTTTCCTTTACTCTAGCCTACACATGCCCAGGGATGTGGAAGGGATAATGTTTGGGAGAGAGATGAACAAAAGTCTCCACCAAAGAAAAGAGTCTGCACATTCCTGTCCTCACTCAAGTCATGGCTGTCTTAGGCAGTCACACTCTACCTAGAAACTCCAAACTAAAACCAAACCAGAACAACATCTAGTTGACTACAAGATGCTTTATAGAGGAAAAGGCACAGGCTAACCTCTCCCCTTCTCCAGTATCTCAGATTCAGCTGGGCAGCTGGCAGTCACAGAGGTAGCAACAAGGCCTCTGGTCCAGGACTTACTGAACCATGATGTAAGTAGAGTTTGGGTGGACTTAGCTTGGGGTAGCCAGACATGCTTCAGAAGCAGACCCTGTGCAAAATCTTCCTTCTGGTCTTGAGCAACCATACCTATCTCTGGCTGCTTTAGGACTGCTACATCCTGGACCAAAGTGGAACCAAAATCTACGTGTGGAAAGGAAAAGGAGCCACAAAGGCTGAAAAACAGGCAGCCATGTCTAAAGCGCTGGTAGGAGCTACAGATGTGCAATACTGTTCAAATAATTCTGCTAAGAGCACTTCAGGTGTGTCACTCCACAGAGCCATGCTAGGTATTTGAGCATATAACATTGTGCTTACGTACATGGACTGCAAAGTCAGGCAGACAAACTGGGATTCAAATCCAGGTTTTGTCTTTTCCAGCTGTGTGCTCTGGGGAAGACATACTTAACACCTGTGGGCCTCAGTTTCCCCATATCTAACATGGGGGTCATACCCATCTCCTAGGGTTATTGTGAGGATTAAATATCATTTGTAAAGCACTCAGGGCCGGGCGCAGTGGCTCACGCCTGTAATCCCAGCACTTTGGGAGGCCGAGGCAGGTGGATCACCTGAGGTAAGGAGTTCAAGACCAGCCTGCCAACATAGTGAAACCCTGTCTCTACTAAAGATACAAAAAAAATTATCCAGGCATGGTGGCGCATGCCGGTAGTCCAGGCTACCTGGCAGGGCACTGAGATAGGAAAATCACTTGAACCCGGGAGGCTGCAGTGAGCCGAGATCACGCCACGGCACTCCAGCCTAGGTGAGAGCGAGACTCTGTCTAAAAAAAAAAAAAGCACTCAGAACAGTTCTTGGCACACAGTACCTGCTGAATAAAAGGTGGCTGTTATTATTGAAGGGGATATCACATATCAAGGTTAATGGCCCTGTCCTCAAGGAGCTTATATTTGTGCAGATCCATGCAGATGAACCAAGCCAGAAGCAATAAATGAGCAAACAAATGTGATGCAAAGTCAGTAAGGACAAAAGTACTGAAAGAACACAGCATAATCATCCTAAAAATTAACAACCATAATCACCGCAAGCCAATAAACAGATCCAAAAATGTTCCACTCAGTCATTTTTTTTTTAGGCAGGTACCTTGGTCCTTAGACAAAAGTGAGTTAGAATTTGACTCTGACTCCCAGAGGGGAGACGCTTATATCATGTGGCTTCATAGAGGTGAATTACCAGACAAGCAAAGAACTCAGTGTATTCCACCACTGACCTGCCTTTGGGAATGGGTGGCTCTGCAGGGCTTCATCAAGATGAAGAGCTACCCCAGCAGCACCAATGTGGAGACCGTCAACGATGGTGCTGAGTCGGCCATGTTCAAGCAGCTGTTCCAGAAGTGGTCAGTAAAGGACCAGACCATGGGCCTGGGGAAAACGTTCAGCATTGGTAAAATTGGTGAGACTGCCCCCAGATCATCCTCTCATTGCTAAGACTCTAGAAAAGCAGGCACAGATGCTTCTTACTCACTCGGCTTTTCCCAACCCTTTCTCCACAGCTAAAGTTTTCCAGGATAAATTTGATGTGACTCTGCTACACACCAAGCCAGAGGTAGCTGCCCAGGAAAGAATGGTCGATGATGGCAACGGAAAAGTTGAGGTAAGCCCAATGATTCAAATGTCAGGGCAGACAGCACTGGCCTTCATGGCTGTCCTGCTGGGGGCAGGGGTGCAGGTGATTCTGTGTCTGCTTTGCTTTCCCTTTCCCCTCCGGCACCTCAGGAGTCTTCTTTAAGAGTCTTGTGAGTCTGTAGAGTTTTCAGGGTAGTGAAAGGCACATCCTCAAATGTGCTATCAATATCTCACCTGGAAGATATATTCAAATCATTGCTCAGCCTTGCAAAGACCGAGCCATGATGGGATGCTCCTGAACAGGATGGCCCAGTTCATCTCACGATTCAAATCATGCAAATGTGATGAGTCCTCAGCACTGGGAGAGAACCAGAGGGAGAAAGGGAACATGGAGTAAACGTCAGCACCTTTCCCACCTGGATTCTCTCTTTAGTGTGGCCTAGCCCCTCTCAGCACCCCCATCTCTGGAAAACGGTGTCTCCTTCTATGCCCAGGTCTGGAGAATTGAGAACCTGGAGCTGGTCCCTGTGGAGTATCAATGGTATGGCTTCTTTTATGGGGGAGACTGTTATCTGGTCCTCTACACATACGAGGTAAATGGGAAGCCACATCACATCTTGTACATCTGGCAGGTAGGCCTGGCACAGGCTTCAGCTTTGGATCCTGATGTGTCCTCTGGCCACTGGGCTGGGGCGGGGAGCATGGGTCCTTCATGGCCTCTCACCATTGCAGGGCCGCCACGCCTCACAGGATGAGCTGGCAGCCTCAGCATACCAGGCAGTGGAGGTGGATCGGCAGTTTGATGGGGCTGCTGTGCAGGTTCGAGTCAGGATGGGAACGGAGCCACGCCACTTCATGGCCATCTTCAAAGGGAAGCTAGTTATCTTTGAGGTGAGGATGCTCTGATAAAATTACACCATGAGCTGGAACGTTCCAAACTAACAAACCAGCACAGGACTATTGGAGAGCAGAGGAGGGGTGGGGTAGGGAGTCAGGCTTGGATTAGACAGAGGAAGAAGGGGGTTAATCCCTCTAAGACAGTCAAGTGAATCCCAACTGCCTAGGGCTTCAAGTCTGAACCACTATCTAAATTATGTTCAAGGTCTTTCATAACCTGACCCATATTACCTATGCAGGTGCACCACCCTCAGCTCCCTAACCTGCACCCTCCACTCCAGTCAGGTGGGTCTCTTCATTAGACCTCACGTGTACCATACCATACCCCTCCTGCTTCAGATGTGCTCTTTCAAATTCAAGTCCCACTTCTTCCATGAAGCCCTGGCTGAAGCACTACCAAGCAATGCGTAATGGCACATGCTTGATATCACACAAGTCTGGGGTCAAGTCCTAGCCTTGTCATTTACTAGTCAAGTTTCCAAGTCTCAGTTTCCTCATCTGTACTATGGAATAATAACATCTACTTCATAAGAGTTATAATGAGGATCAATGAAATGATGTAGGTAAGCACCAGTCACAGAGCCTGGAATATGATAAAGTTCTCAGGATGAAAGTTGTTGTTATCGGTGACATAACTCCAGCTTACCCTGACCCTTTCCAGTGAGTCTAGAAGCTCCTCAAGGGCAAACATAATACTATAACATTCACGTTTCCCACAACAGCTCCTCTAGCACTCTGCTCACATGGTGCTCCTTAGATCTGGACTCTGCTTTTCTTCTCTCTAGGGTGGGACTTCCAGGAAGGGAAATGCCGAGCCTGACCCTCCAGTAAGACTCTTCCAAATTCATGGAAATGACAAATCTAACACCAAAGCAGTGGAAGTTCCAGCCTTTGCCTCCTCCCTAAACTCCAATGATGTCTTTCTGCTGCGAACTCAGGCAGAGCACTACCTGTGGTATGGCAAGGTAGGATGGCTGGGCCCCGGGTCAGACCAGCCCCTCGGAGCCCAGACCTGCACTCCCCTCCTCCTGTCAGCAAGGTCAAAGGACCTAGAGTAGGCTGGAGTGCTTGCTTTGGCAGCACATATACTAAAACTGGAATGATACAGAGAAGATTAGCATGGTCCCTGTGCAAGGATGGCATGCAAATTCATGAAGCGTTTGATATTAAAAAAAAAAAAAAAAAAAAAAAGCTGGGCACGGTGGCTCATCCCTGTAATCCTAGCACTTTGGGAGGCTGAGGCAGGCAAATCACGAGGTCAGGAGTTCGAGACCAGCCTGGCCAACATGGTGAAACCCCATCTCTACTAAAAATACAAAAATTAGCTGGGCATGGTGGCACACGCCCATAGTCCCAGCTACTCAGGAGGCTGAGGCAGAAGAATCTCTTGAACCAGGGGGCGGAGGTTGCAGTGAGCCGAGATTGTACCACTGTACTCCAGCCTGGGCGACAGAGTGAGACTCCGTCTCAAAAAAAAAAAAAAAAAAAAAAGCCAGGCACAGTGGCTCACACTTGTAATCCCAGCACTTTGGGAGGCCGAGGCAGGAGGATCACAAGGTCAGGAGAACGAGACCATCCTGGCTAACACAGTGAAACCCCGTCTCTACTAAAAATACAAAAAAAATTAGCCGGGTGTGGCAGCATGCGCCTGTAGTCCCAGCTACTCGGGAGGCTGAGGCAGGAGAATCGCTTGAACCCAGTAGACGGAGGTTGCGGTGAGCCGAGATCGCGCCATGGCACTCCAGCCTGGGCAACAAGAGTGAAACTCCATCTCAAAAAAAAAAAAAACTCACTGAAAGCCCTGCTTACACCTAGCAGAAATCTCATAAACTTCTATGCAGATGGAGGCTGGATAAGTCAATCTTCCCATGTGAATTTGGTGGACTCTAACAGACAGGCACTAATACAGAACAAAAACACAAAATATGATGTCAATTCATATTGCAATAGTGGATTAAAATGCACTAAGGCCGGGCGCGGTGGCTCACGCCTGTAATCCCAGCACTTTGGGAGGCTGAGGCAGGCAGATCACCTGAGGTCAGGAGTTTGAGACCAGCCCGGCCAGCATGGTGAAACCCCGCCTCTACTAAAAATACAAAAAATTAGCTGGGCATGGTGGTGCACGCCTGTAGTCCCAGCTACTCCGGAGGCTGAGGCAGGAGAATTGCTTGAACCTGGCAGGTGGAGGTTGCAGTGAGCCGAGATTGCGCCACTGTACTCCAGCCTGGCTAACAGAGCAAGATTCCCTCTCAAAATAAAATAAAATGCACTAAAATTATTTTACAAAAAAGAACAGGAAAAGATGCTTAACATCATTAGTCACTAGGGAGATGCAAATCAAAATCAATGAGATAACCACTACACATCTATTAGAATGGTTAAAAAAATTGACAACATAAAATATGAGCAAGGATGCAGAGCAACAGGAATTTTCATGCATTGTTGGCAGGATTGCAAATGGTACAGCTTCTGGAAAACATTTCGACAGTTTCAGTTTTTTTTTTGTTTTTTTTTTTGAGACAGAGTCTCATTCTGTCGCCCAGGCTGGAGTGCAGTGGCGCGATCTTGGCTCACTGCAACCTCTGCCTCCTGGGTTCAAGTGATTCTCCTGCCTCAGCCTCCCAAGTAGCTGGGATTACAGGCGTGTGCCACCACACCCAGCTAATTGTATTTTCAGTAGAGACGAGGTTTCGCCATGTTGCCCAGGCTGCTCTCGAACTCCTGACCTCAGGTGATCCACCTGCCTCAGCCTCCCAAAGTGCTGGGATTACAGTAGGGAGCCACCACGCCCAGCTGACAGTTTCTTACAAAGTTAAACATACACTTACCGTATGATCCAGCAATCCTACTCCTGGGTATTTACTCAAGTAAAACAAAAAACTATCTTCACAGAAAAACCTGTGCACAAATGTTTATAGCACCTTTATTCATAATCAGAAACAACCCCACTGGAAAATGGATAAACAAACAGTAGTACATCCACATGATGGAATACTTCTCAGCAATAAAAAGGGATGAGCAGCGCGCTGGTAAACCCAACAGAGATCTCATATGCATTCTGCTAAGAGAAAGAAGCCAGACTGAAAGGCTAAATATTGTATGACTCCACTTACAGCATTCTGGAAAAGGCAAAACTATAGTGATGGAGAATAGATTCATGGTTACCAGAGGTTAAGGATTCAGGGAGGCTTTGACTCCAAAGGGGTCGCACCCCAGATAATTTTGGGACGGACTGAGGAAGAAACTGTTCTGTGCCTTTATTGTGGTGGTAGTAACATGATTCTGCTTGTGAAAATTCTTAGAATTGTATGTCAAAAGAGTATATTTTATTGTATGTACTTTTAAAAATAAATTTAAATTTTTTCTCTAAAATAAAAATCAAAAGTAGGTGCCTAAATTCAAACTGAAGCTGAAACAAAGGTGACTTTTGCCAACACCCACTGTGGGTTTCAAAGCCTAGTCCTGTTCTTTGCCCCACACTGTTTTCCTCCCCACTCCCCAGCACTAGAACAAACTTGTCTGTCTTCCCAGGCTGAGGGACTGTGGTTTGGTAGCTGATCCTGGCACACTGAGTTATTAGTCTCAGATGCTTTTCTTTCCACATCGAAGTGCCCCTGTGCAACTAACATCTGTGCTCTCCTCGCCCCACTCTCAGGGGTCTAGTGGGGATGAGCGGGCAATGGCTAAGGAGCTGGCCAGCCTTCTCTGTGATGGCAGCGAGAACACTGTGGCCGAGGGCCAGGAGCCAGCCGAGTTCTGGGACCTACTGGGAGGGAAAACTCCCTATGCCAATGATAAAAGGTATGGGAACACAGCCTCCCCCTCTTCTGGGCTCCCCCTGCCTGCCAGGCTTGTGAATTGCACAAAGGCTAAAACCTCAGTTTTAAAAACATTTCTAAGCAGCTTGATGCCCTTAAATGGACTATATTGCAGACTTCAGCAGGAAATCCTAGATGTCCAGTCTCGTCTCTTTGAATGTTCCAATAAGACCGGCCAATTCGTTGTCACTGAGATCACAGACTTCACCCAGGATGACCTGAACCCTACTGACGTGATGCTCCTAGATACCTGGGACCAGGTAAGACACAGCTGCAGAAGTCAGAACATGAGAAAGACTCCCACAGTAAGGGTTGTTTTTGTGTAGTATCCCCACCCTAGAATAAACCCAGGGTAGCCCTGGACCATCCCCAGCTCAATCAAACCTTTGTCAGCAGTGACCAAAAGAAAGCCCGGGTTTTTTTTCCAGGGGTGATGTTTGAGAATGATGTTTGAAACTCACCATCCTGGGCATTTTCCCACCTTGCTTTGGAAAAATCCAGCCATCCTATCATCATCCTATCATCATTTTAGTCTTAGGATCAATAGCAACGGACTCCACATGCAGAGGATATGGGCCTTTGGGGGAACAAAGGCAGTCAGTAGACTATTGTCATGGTCAAGTAAGAGCTACTGTGGGCCCACATAAGGGCAGTGGAGTAGGGATGGAGGGATGGTGACAGATTTGACAAATGCTTAGGAGGTAAAGTTGGTCAGCCCTGGTGACTCATTGGATATGGGGGGTTTCTAGGAAACTCTCAGGCTTCTGCCTTAGGTGACTAGATAGATACCACCTATCAAAAGTGGAGACTCAGATACAAGTTTAGTAAAGAAGAGCTACATCCTGAAGGTGTTATTTTTAAGGTGCTTAGAGCAGTCAAGAGGAGGTGTTCTGCAAGAAGTTGGATTCAGGAAGCTGAAGTTCAGAGACAGCTCCAATTTGGAAAGGCAGACCTGGAAGATACACATAGCAATTAAAATGATAAACATCAAGCTGATTCTGGGAAAACCTTTCTCTGCTGAACAAATTAGGCTGAGAAAGTTTTCTGAGGCTGTGAATTGCTCACGAAAGAAAGGGGAAAGATAGGGTAATGTGTATGATCTAGTACTTAGTCCTTGGTATGAACACAGTAACATATATTAAATCTCCACCTTAACAGGTGTTCTTGTGGATTGGGGCTGAGGCCAATGCCACGGAGAAGGAGAGTGCCCTTGCCACAGCACAGCAGTACCTGCACACTCACCCCAGCGGCCGAGATCCCGACACACCAATCCTGATCATTAAGCAGGGGTTTGAGCCTCCCATCTTCACAGGCTGGTTCCTAGCCTGGGACCCTAACATTTGGAGTGTAAGAAAAGAGAGTAGGGAAGCTCTAACTTCCTGCCAGGTAGCTCAGAACAGCTCAGTGGGCAGGAAGGTGGAGTACTGATTCACGGCTCAGTGAAACCAGGACCTCATTTCCCTACTCCCATCCCACTCCCTGCCTTTTACTTTTCTCCTCTTTTTCACCTGCCACAGCAGTAAGTCCAGGTGGACAATTCACAGCAGGTGTCAGCAATAAGCAGTGTGAAGTATAAACAGTTTATAAAGTATATCCATACACATCATCTTTTTGATCTTTACAACAATCCTGATAGCCAGTAGAAGTATTGCTCCCTATTTTATTGATAAGGAAGCTAAGAGGATAAGTCATTTGTCTAAAGTCACAGTTAATCAACAGAAAGCCAGGTTTCCTGACTCCTAATCAACTTTTTTTTTTCTTTTTTTGAGACAGAATTTCGCTCTTGTTGTCCAGGCTGGAGTGTAATGGCACAATCTCGGCTCACTGCAACCTCTACCTCCTGGGTTCAAGCAATTCTCCTGCCTCAGCCTCCCAAGTAGCTGGGATTATAGGCATGCACCACCATGCCCAGCTAATTTTTCTATTTTTAGTAGAGATGGGGTTTCACCATGTTAGTCAGGCTAGTCTTGAACCCCTGACCTCAGGTGATCCACCCGCCTCAGCCTCCCAAAGTGCTGGGATTACAGGCATGAGCCACTGTGCCTGGCCTTCAACTGCTCTTTCTTAAATCTTATTGGGAGGACTGAGGGGTTACCATCAAAGAATGTGCGTTATGTTTAAGCACCTTTCAAGCCTGCATGGACCCAAAAGGGGGGATTTTCATTTTTACTTATCCTTGAAATGTCTTCTGACTCCCTGGCTCTTTTGCTTTTCCTGAAGACACAGACCAGACCTAAGATGTCCCTCCCCTATAAGAAAGACCTCATCCTGTGTTTTCTCTCTCTTCTTCTCAGGCAGGAAAAACATATGAACAATTAAAAGAAGAGCTGGGAGATGCTGCTGCTATCATGCGAATCACTGCTGTGAGTCGGGTTCGCTCTTGGGAGAAGCCAGCCACATGGGCAACCAGAGCCAGAGAACACACAAATGCTACAGATGCTCACAGGCAAAACTCATGTCCTTAGTATTACCATAGTTGTCTGTTTTGATGTAAAGACTTTTTGTAATCAATAGAAAAGCAGGTCTCAGAGCCAAGTTCCTTATTTTCCTGACTTCCAGATTTTCAAACAGACTTGCTGTGTAAAAACAACAAAAATGGGGCCGGGCGCGGTGGCTCATGCCTGTAATCCCAGCACTTTGGGAGGCCAAGGCGGGTGGATCACCTAAGGTCAGGAGTTTGAGACCAGCCTGACTAATATGGTGAAACCCCGTCTCTACTAAAAATATGAAAATTAGCCGGCCGTGGTGGCATGCGCCTGTAGTCCCAGCTACTCGGGAGGCTGAGACAGGAGAACTGCTTGAACCCAGGAAGCGGAAGTTGCTGTGAGCTGAGATGGCACCACTGCACTCCAGCCTGGGCAACAGAGCGAGAGTCCGTCTCAAAAACACAACAACAAAAAAATGAATATTTGTTTTATTATTCAACTCTGCCGTTTAAGGAGAGATTAAAGTCATTGGCAGTATTTTTCAGAAATAAGCTTCTAACCCAAATGACATTTTTATTCATTTCTGACAGTGAAGTCCACAGAAACTTAGGCCATTTACACCTATTTTAATGGTTAAAAGAAGTGGAGCCTCTAGCCAGGAATCCAGCAGTTCTTTAACCTCAGGAGGAGTGCATGGCACCAGGTGTTCAAACCATCTGGCAATTCTGTCCTTTGTGCTCTACAAACTCAGATTCCAAAGCTAATGTTGATGTAGTATCTTTAAATTGTATTTAAGTAGGACTACAACCTAAAGTCATTTAAAGGCTGGAAATGCAGGGCTAAATAAAAGTACCAAGAGAAGGTATGTGATCCCAATATTCAAATGAGATCCAGACACAAGATGTATGCCAAACTAGCTATACAGGACTTGCCTTGGACTTACTGAATCAGCTTTCCCAAGAACAACCCCAAAATCTGAATATTTTCTATTCCCAGATGATTCTGACATGCAGCCAGGTTTGGGGAGCATTGTTATCAAAGATGATTACAGAGGGTGAAGTGGCATAAGTCAAAATGTTAAATATTATACACATTCAGAACTGTAACCACACAGACACTGAGGAGTCTTTTCCCTGTGCCTACATTCTTATCTTACCTAGGACATGAAGAATGCAACCCTCTCCCTGAATTCTAATGACAGTGAGCCAAAATATTACCCTATAGCAGTTCTGTTGAAAAACCAGAATCAGGAGCTGCCTGAGGATGTAAACCCTGCCAAAAAGGAGGTGAGTGGCTGAAGGAACTGTGTCTGTTGGAAGTGGAGCTCTCCGTGAGTAAAAAACTCAGCTCAGCAAATGGCCTAGGACAGCTCCGGCACATTGTAGCCGCTCAATGGACATCTGAGCTACCTAGGAACTCAAACCAAAAAAAACCAGGGTTCTTTCTTGATTCTTTTCTCTCCACCTACATCAGTCTATCAGCTAGCTTCTGTTCACTCCTCTTCCATTTCTCTGCTACTAGTCTAGTCCAGCTATCATGGACTACTTACTACAATCCAACTGGTTTCCACCTGTTCCTACAATCCGTTCCCCACACAACAGCCAAAGAGATCTTTAAAATATATGGCACGGCCCTGTTTAAAACACCTGGAATAGCTTCCCACTACATTTAAAAAAAGAATGTGAAGGCCTATACAATCTGGCCCCTGCCTAGCTCTCTGATTTCATTTCATATACCAATACCCTCATCACTCACCACCCTTCAGCCAGTACAGCGGCTGCTTTGCTGTTCCTTAAAACATGCTTATTCCAGCCTTTGAGCCTTTACACTTGCTAGTGTTCGTGCCTGAAAAAACATCCTTCTCCCAAATCATCACAGCACCAGCACCTTCTCATCATGTAGGTCTCAGCTCTAATATCACCTCCCCAGGGAGGCATTTCCTGACCACCCTAATACTGCTTCCCATACCTGCTCCAGTCCCTTTATACTTGTTCATTGCCTATTTCCCCCTCTAGTAATATCCTTAAAAGGAAGGACCTTTGTTTGTCTTGCTCACCATCATATTCTCAGCTTCTCTGCACCTACAACAGTGCCTAGCAGATAGCAAGTATTCTTAAGTTTTGCGTGAATGAATTAACATATTTGAGTTAAAAGAATAAATTTCTTGGCCGGGCACGGTGGCTCATACCTGTAATCCCAGCACTTTGGGAGGGTGAGGTGGGTGGATCACGAGGTCAGGAGTTCGAGACTGGCCTGGCCAATATGGTGAAACCCCGTCTGTACTAAAAATACAAAAATTAGCCAGGCGTGGTGGTGGGTGCCTGTAGTCCCAGCTACTTGGGAGGCTGAGGGAGGAGAACTGCTTGAACCCGGGAGGCAGAGGTTGCAGTGAGCCGAGATTGTGCCACTGTACTCCAGCCTGGGCCACAAAGCAAGAATCTGTCTCAAAAAAAAAAAAAAGAAAAGAAAAGAATAAATTTCTTTTCCCCTTGAAGAAGTTGATTTAGGCACAGACTCTGGACTCTGGATTTCCCACAATGTCTTATCTAGTCAACTCAAGTATCTGGACTACAATTTTCTTGAAAGCAAAGCCCATATATTAATAATCTTTACTTGTATATAAATATTCAATAAATCATTAAGTAAATGTGTAGAAGAATTTTATGCTCAATAAGATCCACCCGATCATGCATTTGAAAATTTATGGGTAAAAATGGTAGTTACGGGCAGAAAACAAGGAAAACCATAGCTCAATTTAGTTCTTCATTCTGCCAAAATTTGATGTCTGTAATTCATCCTTAATACATAACCCATTTATTGCCTTCTGGCAAGAAACTGGCGCTTGCTGGCACTGTGAGAGCAGTGAATCCAGTAAGCTTCTGCCACAGGCCAAAATGGGACTCCCTGACCTGAAGAACACCTCTCCAATGAATAATTTAAATCTTTAACAGCCTTTCTGAGAAATTCATTCTACTTCCCTCTTCAAGGATCCACCTAGAACTCCCTCTTGCTCCAACTTCCTCAACTTCTGTTGGCAATGATGTCATGTCTTCCTTCTAACTAGAAACTTTGTTTTCTCTCTTAGAATTACCTCTCTGAACAGGACTTTGTGTCTGTGTTTGGCATCACAAGAGGGCAATTTGCAGCTCTGCCTGGCTGGAAACAGCTCCAAATGAAGAAAGAAAAGGGGCTTTTCTAAAGCAAGAAGGCCTATACCTATTGCAAGGCCACAGAAAAGAGCAGATAGTGCCAATATCAGGAAATAATTTATCCACCAATTTCTGCCTGACATTCAGCTACTTAATTTAGATATAATAGAGTCTGCAAATCACGGCATGTTCTCCATTTTTTCTCATCCTTGCATTCCTTGCTTGTTATATACCTAAAATGTTAACCATATAGTTTTTGGGTTTTGTGGCCCTCTAGCTAAAGCCTCAGCAGAAAGCACTAAAACTGCATAAATCTGGAGAAATCAAAAGAAAGAGAACCAAAAAACAATGCTTAAAATGTTTAATAACTTTATGTTTAATATTATACCAGGACCTACCTTTGTTTTCAATTTTAAGATGATTATTTCTAAAATCTATTTAGCCTGTAAATCATTGAAATCATATATGCACTCCATAGGCAAAATCCAAATACCCAGATCTGTAATGTGTCAAAGCATTTTTCACTTTTCAAATAAAGATACCTATAATGAACAAATGGAGTTATTTTCAGTATTCTGGGTCTGCTTGTTACGGTAATTTTATGTTATACTTGAAGAAATGTTTCAGTACTGGGGAAGTAAAGAGGCAATGTTAAGTGAGCTCTCTGGGTAACTGGACTACTCTAATTTCTGTTTCTGGCACAAGAATGTCAAAATCTGCCTTACAGCTGGCCAGGAAACCTCAGTACCCACCCACCCACACATCATCCAAAAGAGAAATAGGGGCATGTGTTATTAATTTCATTAAATGAGGCCAGAACCAGTGTGTCTACCACTGCAGAGCACCTTCAAAGCATACTACAGACAATCACAAAGAAGAGAACCCACATTTTCCAGACAACTCTAGGTTTGAATCAATAATCCTAAAGAAATCCATGTGGCACAAGTAATATAACTAGGGAGGTTCCGAGGCAGAAGCACGGTTCACAGTGTCGCAAAGCAAAAACAGAACAAAAGAGTTCTATGTCATAAAAGGTGTAAGACAGAACATATAAGTTAGAAATTTCAGAAATACCATAATAAATCTATGTTGAAGGGAGCAGCAGTATTGTTGATGCCTGTTCTCCACGACACTATCACGTCAATAAGGCCCACCTGTTGTTTTTGAAAGGCACAGAAAAGCTAAATCCAGTATTACGCAAACAAGGAAAAAATTATTTTTATTATACAACTATTTAATAATTTTACCCATGCATTCTCGGTCTGAAGAGGTTTGGGAAATATTCCTTTTTGTAATGATGTCCAGAGCTAAAAGTAAATATTCCTCCTGGGCCAAAAGTCTCTGGAACCTATTCAGTTTCTGCTGCCTCTTCACCTTCTCCACATTCAAACCGCACAAAGTCTACTACCGACACCCCCTGAGGCTGCACATACTGCCCCAAGGTAATGGAGGGATCCAGCAAATACGGCTGGGACAGCATCTTAGTCTCTGCCTCTCCCCCAGGCTCATCGTCCAGGGAGCCAACAGAGAGGGGGGCCATGCCCACCACATGCTGCCCAAGGCGGCGGCCAACGTCTTCAAGGTTTGTTTTCTGTTCAGACGTCTCACAGATGACCAGGGCCCCATACTTCCCCAGCACCAGCTTGTGAAGTGAGGGACTCTGCATTGCTCCGTGGACATAAGAGCCAACGTAGAACCCAGATGGCACCTTCACCCATGCAGCTCGTTTAAGAATCATGTTTTCTCCCAGTTTTCCTATTAAAGCAAAAACAAAAAACCAACACACCAACAAATTGTGATGTCTGTGATGGTACCAAAATATGCACAGAAGAGGCCCAGTTTGGAAGACAGTCCCTTTGCATTTACATAGGATATGCAGTAAGATGAAGAGATACCATTTTCAGTTTTTGTAGAAAGAGGAAAAGGGGTATGGGGCAGGAGAGCGGGAGTGGGGGAAGTGAAGAATACCTTTATGAAGCACCAACTATGTGCCAGGCACTCTGGTACTTAAAAACAGGCCGGGTGTAGTGGCTCACGTCTGTAATCCCAGCACTTTGGGAGGCTGAAGCGGGTAGATCACCTGAGGTCAGGAATTCAAGACCAGCCTGGCCAACATGGATGAAACCCTGTTTCTACTAAAAATACAAAAATCAGCTGGGCGTGGTGGTGTGCACCTGTAATCCCAACTAATCAGGAGGCTGAGGCAGGAGAATCACTTGAACCCAGGAAGCGGAGGTTGCAGTGAGCCGAGATCGTACCATTGCAGTCCATCCTGGGAACAAGACTCTCTCCAAAAACAAAAAAAACAAAAAAAACAACAAACATAGGTTGTATAGGTTGTGGTGACACAAGTATGTGTGACTCAGGTCTCAGTTCTGCCTATTTACTGACTATATGACCTCGGGCAAGTGACTCAATGACATAATCTCATTTACTAAATTTATCAAGCCTTTGTTTCCTCACCTTTAAAATAGAGATGACACCACCTACCTTTCAGGGTTTTGGGGAGAAATAAATAATATATGTAAAAGCAGCCAGCCGTGGTGGCTCACGCCTGTAATCCCAGCACTTTGGAAGGCCGAGGCAGGCAGATCACCTGAGGTTGTGAGTTTGAGACCAGCCTGACCAACATGGAGAAACCCCGTCTCTACTAAAAATACAAAAAATTAGCCAGGCATGGTGGCACATGCCTGTAATCCCAGCTACTCGGGAGGCTGAGGCAGAGGAATTGCTTGAACCTGGGCAGCAGAGGTTACAGCGAGCGAGATCATGCCATTGCACTCCAGCCTGGGCAACAAGAGCAAAACTCCATCTCAAAAAAAAAAATTTATATATATATATACATATATATATATATATGGAGCATTAACTAGGGCTGGGTGCGGTGGCTCACGCCTGTAATCCCAGCACTTTGGGAGGCCGAGGTGGGCGGATCACAAGGTCAGGAGATCGATACCATCCTGGCTAACACGGTGAAACCCCGTCTCTACTAAAAATACAAAAAATTAGCCGGGCGTGCTGGCGGGCACCTACAGTCCCAGCTACTCAGGAGGCTAAGGCAGGAGAATGGCGTGAGCCCGGGAGGCAGAGCTTGCAGTGAGCCGAGATTGTGCCACTGCACTCCAGCCTGGGCAACAGAGCAAGACTCCGTCTCAAAAATAAATAAATAAATAAAGCATTAACTATAGTATCTGGCACATAGCACTCAAATGCTAGCTACTATTACAATAAGCTTAGGCTTAGAGAACTTAGGTAACCCACCTAGTAACACAAGGCAGAGTTAGAATTAAAACTCAGATCTGACTCCAAAGCAATTAGGTGCTTTTTCCCACCATCCTGAATACTCCATAACTGACACAGACAACTCCTGATCATCCCTTCTATCCGGAAAAAGTCCACAGCTCAAAGCACCATGTCATCGGATAGTTTCAATTTCCTCTCATCAAAAACAGAAAAGATAACATTGTCAAGAGTTATTTATGAGAACCAGAAACAGATTTTAACTTATTTTTCCCCTTTCTCTCAGGATGTTATTCTCTTCTAACAGAAGTCCAAATAAGCCAAAAGGTAAAAAGGGGTAGGAGAATAAACAAAAGGGTCTGTATAAGTATGCCTGGATTAGCCATAGTCATATCTAAAAGTCATGAAAAAGGAGAATCCAGAAACCAAAACAAATTTTAAAATAGCTCAAAGCATATACCCAATAGTTAATTCCCAGAAACTGACAAGGCTGAAACACCCAGCTCTTCCAGAATTTCTTAATAAGCCTCATACATAGCTGTCTGCCTGGTTTCTCACCCATGACTCATTGAAACATCATAGATAATACAAGATGACCTGATAAAAACGGAACTGATGCCTTGACTGGAAACTTCAGATTAGTAAATTCCCAGCAAGCTCCAACCCTTCCCTACCACCCACCCTCCATCAAGGATACTTAGGAAGAAAGCAAGATGCTAGTCCCACCACAATGATCCAGATGTGGTTCCTATAGCCAACAGGCTCTAAAAGAATGTATCTTTACAAATTCACAACCAGATTTTTTGAAAAGAAAGATCAAATTCCTAAAAACAATGCTCCTCAATTGTCCTGCCACCTTTTATAAAGAAGAGGAAATAATCTTTAATGTACTATTTTCCCTACAGCATATACTCAAGTACTCAGCTGGAAGTCAAAAGGCCATCTCTGCCTAAAGACATGCTTTGTTTTGTTGGCACAGTGATGAAAATAATTTTAATTAGTTGCAAACAGCCAAAATCCGTGAGATTTTGGATACAAATCTAAATTCTTTTAAGGAATTTAGAAATTCTGATGACCCCAGGACTCCGTTTCCCTAGATATAACAATTGGTTACAGCTTGGCAATGGGACTTCCTCCAGCAGCGTATGAGCTCTTTAAGATGCCTAATGTGGCCGGGCGCGGTGGCTCACGCCTGTAATCCCAGCACTTTGGGAGGCCGAGGCGGGCGGATCACGAGGTCAGGAGATCAAGACCATCCTGGCTAACACGGTGAAACCCTGTCTCTACTAAAAATACAAAAAATTAGCCAGGCGTGATGGCAGGCGCCTGTAGTCCCAGCTACTCGGGAGGCTGAGGCTGAGGCAGGAACCTGGGAGGCGGAGCTTGCAGTGAGCCGAGATTGCGCCACTGCACTCCAGCCTGGGCAACAGAGCAAGACTCTGTCTCGGAAAAAAAAAAGATGCCTAATGTTCCCTAACATCTAACACACACACCACTTCTCACGTTCGTATCATCTGACCCTTGTAGGCACATGATTCTTGACCTAGATTTGGAGGAACAAGATAACAAGAGATCCAGTCCCTAATTTCCAGTTTCCAGAACCTTTACAAATACTCACCAATTGCTAAAGCCAACTGATCCTTGAGTGAGCCTTCTCTGTCAGGCCCAGCTGGAAGTCCAGAAAGCTCAGAGGAATTCAAGAAACCCTAAGTGCACGAAGAAAACAAACATGAACTGATTCTGTACTATTCAAATTATCAAAAGAATAGGCAAAAATAGTCTATCTCTAAGAAAAGTATTGGCCAGGCGTGGTGGCTCACGCCTGTAATCCCAACACTTTGGGAAGCCAAGGTGGGTGGATCACCTGAGGTCAGGAGTTTGAGACCAGCCTGGCAAACATGGTGAAACCCCGTCTCCAACGAAATACAAAAATTAGTTGGGCATGGTGGCACACGCCTGTAATCCCAGCTACTGGGGAGCCTGAGACGTGAGAATCGCTTAAACCTGGGAGGCGGAGGTTGCACTGAGCTCAGATTATGCCAATGCACTCCAGCCGGGGAAACAGAATTGAGACTCCATCTCAAAAAAAAAAAAGAAAGAAAGAAAACATTCTTTAAGACAACTAAGTGTAGACAATATTTTCATAAAGGCAAGAATGTTAAAAATTGGTAACAGTTCCATCTTTATAAACATTTTATTCTATCACTGCACCACCCCCAATTACATTCCACTCTCATCCTCCAGCCTAACTTCCTAGAATGTAATTTCCTAGAAATCAAGAACAATTATTTTCTTTTTCTTTTAAATATAGAGATGGGGTTTCCCTATGTTGCTCAGGCTGGTCTTGAACTCTTAGCTTAAGAGATCCTCCTGCTTCAGTCTCCCAAAGTGTTGGGATTACAGGCGTAAGCCACTGCACCTGGCCAAGAACAGTTTTTTCTTTTTTTTGAGATGGAGTCTCGCTCTGCCGCCCAGGCTGGAGTGCGGTGGCATGATTTCAGCTTACTGCAACCTCCACCTCCCGGGTTCAAGCGATCCTCCTGCCTCAGCCTCCCGAGTAGATGGGACTACAGGCATGCGCCACCATGCCTGGCAAATTTTTATATCTTTTTTAGTGGAGACAGGGTTTCACCATGTTGGCCACGCTGGTCTTGAACTCCTGACCTCAAGTGATCCACCTGCTTCAGCCTCCCAAAGTGCTAGGTTTACAGGCGTGAGCCACTGCACCTGGCCAAGAACAATATTTTCATAAAATCATAAAATGTTAGAGCTAGATTTGCACATTTTTGATGGGAATGCAAAATGGTACAAATCCAATGGTGTGAAGTTGTAGTATCTAATAAAACTACATATGCATTTATCCTTTGACCCTGAAATCCTATTTCTATGAATTCACCTTGATGATATACTTCCAATAATACTGCACAAGATTATTCATTGAACAATTATTTCTAATCAGAAAATTTTAAAAACAGCCTAAATGCCCAAACATAGCAGGAGATTAAACTATAGCACATCCACACAACAGAATACTATGTAGTTGGAAAAAATAAAAAGGATGACCTTCATGAATTGCTATGGAGTATTTCCAGGACATATTATTAAGTGAAAAAAGCAGATTATAAGTGTATATGCATATTATACTACTATCTGTGCAACAAAGAACTATTTGTATAAATATGCTTATTTTTGCAAAAAGAAATACTGAAAGGATAACCACAATCCAATGACACTGGTTATCTAAATAAAGGGATGGATAGGAACGGGGTAGAAGGGAGAGAAGCAGTAAGACTCCTCTGAGCATACTTTTTTTTTGACAGTTTTAACTTTGAGGACTTTCTTAATGTATCTTATGTATTCAAAAATAAAATTGAACCTGGCCGGCCGGGCGCGGTGGCCCACGCCTGTAATCTCAGCACTTTGGGAGGCTGAGGCGGGTGGATCACCTAAGGTCAGGAGTTCGAGACCAGCCTGGCCAACATGGTGAAACCCCATTTCTACTAAAAATACAAAAATTAGCCAGGTGTGGTGGCGGGCACCTATAATCTCAGCTACTCAGGAGGCTGAGGCAGGAGAATCACTTGAACCCAGGAGGCGGTGGCTGTAGTGAGCTGAGATCATGCCATTGCACTCCAGCCTGGCTAATGAGAGTGAAACTCCATCTTAAAAAAAAAAAAAAAAAATCTGGCCCAGTGCCGTGGCTCATGCCCATAATCCAGCACTTTGAGGAGGCCAAGTCAGGCAGATCACTTGAAGCCAGGAGTTTGAGACCAGCCTGGCCAATATGGTGAAACCTCATCTCTATTAATATAAAAAAGATTTAAAAAACAAACAAAAAACCCCGAAGTGCTGGAATTACAGGCATGAGCCACTGTGCCCAGCCAAAAAAAAAAACACACATTTAAAAAATAAAATTAAAATAAAATTAAATCAACACATACTTGGGGTGAAAATAAATACTGACTACAAAGAAATATAAAACTATATTTCAAATGAGTAACATAAGCTCACAGAAGGAAAAAAAAAATCCAAATAACTAAACGGAGTCATTTGACCACCTAACTTCAATGTAAAGACAAAAAGAACTACAAATAAATCTTGAACTCCTTAGTAGTTTTGTTATTTGCAGTGGTCAGGGGTAGCAATTCTGAAACAATTTTGTATATATATTGTAACACTTAGTACATATGAGTACATAACTAAAAACAGTAAACATATTGAAGTTGCTATGAAAAAGGAAGGATTGAACCACACGCACACAGCACATACACCTGCACTGTCTGCTCGAAGAACAAATGACATCTCAGTAGAAATCAGCACACCTGGCCAGGCGCAGTGGTTCACGCCTGTAATCCCAGCACTTTGGGAGGCCAAGATGGGTGGATCACGAGGTCAGGAGTTCAAGACCAGCCTGCCCAACATGGTGAAACCCTGTCTCTACTGAAAATACAAAAATTAGCTGGGTATGGTGGCACGTGCCTGTAATCCCAGCTACTCGGGAGGCTGAGGCAGGAGAACTGCTTGAACCGGGACCCAGGAGGCAGAGGTAGCAGCGAGCCAAGATCGCGCCACTGCACTCCAGCCTGGGCTACACAGCAACACTCTGTCTCAAAAAAAAAAAAAAAAAAAAAGAAAGAAAGAAATCAGCACACCTAACATTCAAATCTTGATTTCTAAAAACCATTCCCCAACTAAAAAGGACCAGGACTCCTTGAAGAAGTGGCCCATTCCACAGTTGGGGAAAGGAAAGTATGACATAAACCCAAAAGATAAGAATAAACAAAAAAGCCAAAAAGTAAGAAAATACTCAGAAAATAATAAGGGCATATCAAAGGACATTACAGTCAGCTTGCATTGATCAAATCCGCAGATAATTTGAGCATCAAAACGAATAATGAGTTATAACTTATTGTATAAAATAAGAACCCACGAGTCAATGTTAGTGCTGAATAAATCACTAAATAAAAATGAGAAGGGAAATTTATTTCTAACAGTAGAATGACAACTACTAAAACTAACACATTTTGGCTGGGTGCGGTGGCTCACGCCTGTAATCCCAGCACTCTGGGAGGCCAAGGCGGGCAGATCACCTGAGGTCAGGAGTGCGAGACCAGCCTGACCAACATGGCAAAACCCCATTTCTACTAAAAACACAAAAAAATTAGCTGGAAGTAGTAATGCATGCCTATAATCCTAGCTACTCAGGAGGCTGAAGCATAAGAATTGCTCGAACCCAGGAGGTGAAGGTTGCAGTGAGCTGAGATCACAACACTGCACTCCGTCTCAAAGAAAAAAAAATCCTAAATGTGATCACTGTCCTGTGGTTATATAACAATGTCCTTGTTTTTACGAGATACATGCTGAAGGAATAAAGGATCCTGATGTCTGCAACATACTTACAAAAAGATTTTTTTTAAACAGTGATGATGACCGGGTGCAGTGGCTCACGCCTGTAATCCCAGCACTTTGGGAGGCCCAGGTGGGCAGATCACCTGAGGTCAGGAGTCAAGACCAGCCTGGCCAACATGGTGAAACTCCCGTCTCTACAAAAATACAAAAAAAATTAGCCGGGCATGATGGCAGGTGCCTGTAATCCCAGCTACTTGGGAGGCTGAGGTGGAAGAATCGCTTGAACTGGGAGGGAGAGGTTGCAGTGAGCGAGATGGCACCATTGCACTCCAGCCTGGGTGACAGAGAGACTCCATCTCAAAAAAAAAAAAAAAAAAGGGCGATGATAACATGTATATAAAAAGTGATAGGGCCAGCTGTAGTGACCCAAGCCTATAATCCCAACACTTTGGGAGGCCAAAGCAGGTGGATTTCTTGAGCCCAGAGGTTTGAGACCAGCCTGGGCAAGATGGCAAGACTGTCTCTACAAAAAACTTAAAAATGAGCCTAGCATAGTGGTGTGCACATGTAGTCCCAGCTACTCAGGAGTCTGAGGTGGGAAGATCACTTGAGCCCAGGAATTTGAGGCAGCAGTGAACAATGATTGTGCCACTGCACTCCAGGCTGGGCAAGAAAGCCAGATCTGTCTCTTAAAGAAAAAAAGAAGTGATAAAGCAAATACAGCAAAATGTTAATAAATGGCAAATCTGGAAAAAGAGTACACTGGGGCCAGGCATGGTGGCTCACGCCTGTAATCCCAGCACTTTGGGAGGCGGAGGCGGGCGAATCACTTGAGGTCAGGAGTTCAAGACCAGCCTGGCCAACATGGTGAAACTCTGTCTTTACAAAAAATACAAATACTAGGCGTGTGTGGTGGCGGGCGCCTGTAGTCCCAGCTACTCGGGAGTCTGATGCAGAATTGCTTGAACCCAGGAGGTGGAGGTTGCAGTGAGCCAAGATTGCACCACTGCACTCCAGCCTGAGTGACAGAGCAAGACTTCATCTCAAAAAACAAAAACAAAAATAAAAAAAAAAAGGGTACACTGGTGTTTACTGGCAAAATCAAAGCTAAAATTTCTAGTTCAAGTGACTTACCTACTCAATACAATTAAAAAAAATAATCTCAACATTGTTTTCCATATGACTATGTAATGCCAATAATAATTAACATTTACCAAGACATCTCAAGAGAAGGATAAAGAAGATAAAAAAAGTTGGTAATAAACTCAAAAAAATTACTGTGAGTGGTTGGTTCATCTTTGCCTTGGCAATAAGGCTGAGTCAAAGGCAGAATGACATAATTCCTTTCCTTGATCCCTCTATGGATAAGAATATGCTTATTTTCCTAAACCATGTCTTTTCCAATCTCTCTCTCTTTTTTTTTTTCTGAGACGGAGTTTTGCTCTTATTGCCCGGGGGGAGTACAACGGCTCACTGCAGCCTCTACCTCCCGGGTTCAAGCGATTCTCCTGCTTCAACTTCCCAAGTAGCTGGGATTACAGGCAAGCGCCACCACGCCCAGCTAATTTTGTATTTTTAGTAGAGACGGGTTTCTCCATGTTGGTCAGGCTGGTCTTGAACTCTCGACTTCAGGTGATCTGCCTGCCTCGGCCTCCCAAAGTGCTGGGATTACAGGGGTGAGCCACCACACCTGGCTCCAATCTCTTTATTTAGAAATTCTTTCCTAAGACCATTCCAAATTTCTGAACACAAAGCCTCAAATGGCTTCACTTGATCTGGCTAACTCCATTTCACTGGCATGCATGCATTCAATCATTCATTCATTCATCTGACAAAGATTTACTGAGCTCCAACTAAGTAGTGGGCCCAATTCTCTTTCACCAGAGATACAACAGTGAAAAGACAAATTCCCTGCCTCATAAAGCTTACATTCTGCTGGGGAAGATAGACAACACACAGATAAATTAAAATGTAATATATAAGCACCATAATAAAAAATTTTAAATGCAGCATGACACGGGGATATAGCAACGGGGGAAGGGTAATTCTATGCAAAGAGATAGCATTTAAGCAGAGATGTGAAGTAACAGAATGAGACATGAGAATGTCTACAATAGGAACAGCAAAAGACCCAATGAGGACAGCAAATTCAGCACACTGGAGACAAATCCCAAACTTACTTTACTGTATGCAGAGGGTTGATCCTTTAGGGTCTGACAATGCATCATGGTTCCAAGGGCTACTTGCTGGACCAACAGTTGAAATTTTAAATTTCTAGAAACAAAATCTGTCTCACAGTTTACCTGTGGGAACAAATTGATATAGCTGTATAAGCTGTTTAATGATAATTTCCAAAAGTGCCTTAAGGCTGGAGAATAAATCAAGATACTGATAGAACAAGCTACAGACTCAACGGAAAAAAAATGACTCCAAAATTTTAAAGCTACGCTTCCTCTCCTAGCCTGGAACAGAATGAAGTGATTTATGTTGGGCCAGTGAGTTAGCAATAGCCTGTATATTCAGAAGATGGTTCAATAATGTCCTGAAGGACTCACCACAAGTTCACCACTTACCTATGTCTGCACACCATCATCACCTCATTCTCCAGCCATCCCAACTCCAAACCACTTATGCTATTATCTTGTTTATCCCCATCTCTCACTCTAAACTAATCCACATCTGACTCTTCACCAATTATGGCCCCCAAACCTCCTCTAAAATACCTACTCTCTATTCAGCAACAATTAATATAATTAACTTGTAATCTAACTGTTCCAGGAAACAATCAGTGACAAGGTGTAAGCCTGTGCCAGACTCACATTCAGGAGTAATATTCTAGACTGTCAGGCCATTTCTCATCAACACACCAGTACATTTCTATACTTAAACGAATTCGTAACTAATACCCAGGGTTTCATGAGTTTAACTTCAACTACGCTTTATGGTTCTTAAACAGATCTCTTCTTCAAGAACAGGCCCCTTTAGGGCCTACTACAAGCTTTACACCCAAGGGACAGCTGTTCTTGGTATCTGGAATTTCCAACAACTCACCTCTACTAATACAGTTGTGTTTCCTTCCTGCAACAGCCCAATCAGGCCTTCTTTGGTCTTCCTCCCTTGGAGCTTGGCAGCTTTGCTCCAGCCCTCCTTCTGGGCCTCCTTGTGGAGCCAGATCTCTGCCTGTAAATTGAGAGGAAAAAGAGCAGACAACAAAGTCACAGAATTTAGCACTAAATGTAGTTCTAAGATATACTCAGGTTTCCTGATTCTCTAAATTCTCTAACAGAAACTAAAGTAATCTATCATTTACTGGCAGTCTACCACTAAATGCCAAATACCAGGTATTATTATAACTGGTGCCTTGGATGAATCTAATCTTCACAACAACCCTATGGGGCACACAGTTGTATTTTCTTTATACAGTTACGCACCACATAACGATATTTTGGACAATGACGGACTGCATATATGATGACGGTCCCTAAGATTATAATGGAGCTGAAAAATTCCTATTGTCTAGTGACACGGTAGTCCTCCTAACATTGTAGGGCAACATATTACCTACATGTTTGTGGCAATGCTAGTGTAAAGAAAACGTCTGTGCTGCCAGTCCTATTAAAGTATAGCACATACAATTACATATAGTACATGATACTTGAAACAATAATGAACAACTATGTTACTGGCTTATGTATTTACTATAATACATATGCTTTATTGTTATTTTAGAGTGTACTCCAACTTATAAACTACTCGGGTGGCTGAATTTCTTGAACCCGGGAGGCGGAGGTTGCAGTGAACCAAGATCTATCGCGCCACTGCACTCCAGCCTGGGTGACAAAGTGAGACTCCGTCTCAAAAAAATAAAAAATAAAAAAATTTAACAGTAAAACAGCTTCAGGCAGGTCCTTCAAGAGGTATTCCAGAAAAAAACATTGTTATCATAGGAGATGACAGGTCCATGCCCGTTACTGCCCCTGAAGACCTTCCAGCAGGACAAGATGTGAAAGTGGAACACAGTGTTAATGATGATGCCACTCCTGTGTAGGCCTAGGCTAATGTATGTGTTTGTGTCTCCGTTTTTAACAAAACAATTTTTTAACTTAAAAAAAGTTTTGGCCAGGCGCTGTGGCTCACGCCTGTAATCCCGACACTTTGGGAGGCTGAGGTGGGCGGATCACAAGGTCAGGAGATCGAGACCATCCTGGCTAACACGGTGAAACCCTGTCTCTACTAAAAATACAAAAAATTAGCCGGGCGTGGTGGCGGGCGCCTGTAGTCCCAGCTACTCAGGAGGCTGAGGCAGGAGAATGGTGTGAACCTGGGAGGTGGAGCTTGCAGTGAGCCAAGATTGTGCCACTGCAGTCCAGCCTGGGGGACAGAGTAAGACTCTGTCTCAAAAAAAAAAAAAAAAAAAAAAAAAAAAGATATTTCAATAAAAAAAGTTGTTGTTTTTTTTTTTGAGACAGAGTTTCACTCTTATTGCCCAGGCTGGAGTGCAATGGCACGATCTCGGCTCACCACAACCTCCGCCTTTTGGGTTCAAGAGATTATCCTACCTCAGCCTCCCGAGTAGCTGGGATTACAGGCCCTTGCCACCACACCAGGCTAATTTTATTTTTTTTTAGTAGAGACGAGGTTTCTCCGTGTGGGTCAGGCTAGTCTCGAACTCGCAACCTCAGGTGATCCGCTTGCCTCAGCCTCCCAAAGTTCTGAGATTACAGGCATGAGCCACCACGCCCAGCCAAAAAAAGTTTAAAATTTTAAAAACAGAAAAAAGCTCACAGAAAAAGTGCATAAAGAAAAATATTTTGGTACAGCTGTACAATATGTGTTTTATGCTGTTATTACAAAAGAGTCCAAAAATTTAAAACATGTTAAAAGTTTATAAAATAAAAATGTTACATTAAACTAAGGTTAACTTATTATCACAGAAAAAAATTTCTTATAAATGTAATGTAGCTTATGTGTACTGTGCTTTAACGTCTACTATAGTGCACCATAGTGTCCTAAGGCAGGCCTTCATATTCACTCACCACTCACTGACTCACCCAGAGCAACTTCCAGTCCTGCAAGCTCCATACATGATAAGTTCCCTATGGAGATGTATCGTTTTTTATCTTTTATGCCTATTTACTGTACTTTTTCTATGTTTAGATACACAATACTTACCACTGTGTTACAACTGCCTACAGTATTCAGTCCAGTAACATTTTGTAACGGTTTGTAGCCTAGGAGCAGCTGGCAATTCCATATAGCCCAGGTTGTAGTACAATATACCATCTAGGTTTGTGTAGGTACTCTATGATGTGCATAAGCCAAAATCTCCTAACGACGCCATTTCTCAGAATGTATCTTCCTATTAAGAGACGCATGACCGTACAGGCAAAAACTACACAACTCTGAAAGATTAAGATGTCTAAAGTCAGCCGGGCGCGGTGGCTCACTCCTGTAATCCCACCACTCTGGGAAGCCGAGGCGGGCGGATCACCTGAGGCCAGGAGTTCGAGACCAGCCTGGCCGACACGGCGAAACCCCATCTCTACTAAAAATACAAAAAAAAATAAAAAATAAAAAATAAAATAGCCGGGTGTCGTGGCGCACGCCTGTAATCCCAACTACTCAGGAGGCTGAGGCAGGAGAATCGCTTGAACCCGGGAGGCGGAGGTTGCAGTGAGCCAACATCGTGCCATTGCACGCCGGCCTGGGCCACAGAGCAAGACTCCGTCTGAAAAAAAAAAAAAAAGTCTAAAGTCAGACAGTGTGGGGGCCCCACAATTTGACTCCTGAACAATCTGACTCCAAAGCTCACACAAACCCTTTCAGCTCCAGGCAACAAGAAACACCGTAACAGTCTGGTTTGTTAATCCTGGGATACTCAACTGCTTTCAAATAAGACAAAGTCAAGGCCAAGGTTGTCATTTAAGCCAGATTTCCACTTAGGACTGTGCCATTATGGTCACTGAAGAGCAGTCTAACTTTATGCTCCCCAGCGTGACCGCCCCAAGAGTCTGAGGTCGAGCTCTAGTACTCCGCCCTGCACCCCTCCACACACACACCTGTTTGAGGTCCCCGCCACAAGTCTCCAGAGCTTTCTTGCAATTTACAAAGGAGTAGCCTGTTTTCCGCCGCAGCTTCATGAGGAGCTCCTTGCTGGAGGCCGAGGCAGACAGACGGGGCCCAGCATAAAATGTGTGCCTTGGCTGGGGCGACTGACGCAGAAGAGACCCAGCCTAGATGAGATAAGAAAGGGATGAGGAGCAGGAAGCAGCAAACTCCAGAGGGTGAAGGGTACACGGGCAGGGAAGCGACCTTAGGGAGCGGACAGTGTGCAAAGGGGGGTGCACCGGGGCTGGACTGGGCAGAGGCAATGCTGTCGGGGAAGGTGAGATGGAGTCAAACGAGGTTGGGAGGAAGGGAAAGGTACAGGCGCACAGGAGAGCTGCAGGGACAGCAGGTCGGTACCAGCACCAGGACTTCTCACCGGGTAGCTCCCGGTCCGCGCGACCAGAAACACGCGCAGCGACCGCAGCAGCGACATCTCTCTAGCCGCGATAAACACCCTCCGGCGGGCGCACTGGTGAGGCAACAAACCTACGGCGCGGCGGAAGGGCCAGAATTCTCCAGCGGAACGCACCAAACGAGTATGGTGCCACCTGCTGGCCGGAGGAACACAGTCCTCGCCTCTACTTGATTTCTTGAGACGACACATTTCATACGGGAATTACCCCCCACCTCCCACCCCAGGTAAAATAACAGAAACCAAGAAATAAAGTCGTCACAAAACAACAACACAAGAAATGTGGGTAACATTTTATGTTTATTTTCAATGCGCATTTATATTCATTATCCATTTATGACTCACAACAAACTTGTGTGGTTGGTGAATGGGTTCGAGAATTTGTCCAAGGTCACCTAGGAAGGCAGGGGTGGAATCCATTAAACAAAGCGAGTAAATATTTATTGAATGAGCACAATATCTGTTGAACACCTGTTGTGTGCCAGGAACTGTGTTAGGCTTCAGGGGTTTAGACAGGAGTAAACCACAGCCCTACCCTCCAAGGTAATTTAATGGTGAGAAAATGAGAATCACAAATGTCCATGCAAGACAAATTAAGGTCCCATAAGATGAACCTTATGGGTCTCAGGGAGAAAGAAATCACATTCAAGCAAGAGGCTCAGGAAAGAGGCAAAGAATAATGAAGATTTTGACAGGTGGCAATAGCCTTTCAGGCAGAGGATTATCATAAAGAGTGTGAAAGAAGTCAGAAAACTTTAGTGTGGTTTTAGAGAACAAAGAGTACATCTTTTGTAATTTGGCCAGAGGTCCAATACACGTAGCAAAGGAGTAGGAAATGCAATAGGAAGGTAATTTTGGATCACATGGACACAGACTAAGTACCAAGCAGAGGAGCTTGTTCTTGCTTCTACAGGAAGTGAAAGCTAATCAGAGCTAATTTTGGAAGATCACAAGAGTTTGCGGAATGGACTGAAGGAGAAAGCATGGAAGCAGGGAGTCCAGAGAAGGTGACTATGTGCCTAAGCAGTAAGTAAAGAGAGCCCCAACCAGAAGTACCAATGTGGGAAGAGAAAAGAGGTTAAGGCAAAACACATTAGGAACTGTGTTAGGCTTCAGGGGATTAGAGATTAGGAAGGAAGGACTGATGAAGCTAAAGAAAAATCAAAGATGAAAAGAACTTAGTACTAGGTACAGTATTCTTCTGCACACAATGATGTTCCGTGATCAAGGCTCTAACTCTGGAAAGCATGAAGAAATACAGTCCAAAGGACAGCTCTGCAGCCTTAGCTTCAGAGCTAGGAGGACTTGACCCAGTTAGAGCCATGGTTCCACTAGACTCTATCTCTAAAAAGCAGGAAATGGGTGGTTTGAGGCTTCTTCCTTCTCAGCTCCTGAGTAAAAGTTGGGTTCTTGCACAATAGATTTTTAAGGCTTAATTCTTTCTTAAAAAAAAAAAAAAATCCTAGGCTAGCACAGTGGGCCATGCCTGCAATCCCAGCACTTTGGGAGGCAAGGCGGGTGGATCACTTGAGCCCAGGAGTTTGAGACCACCCTGGGCAACATGGCGAAACCCTGTCTCTACTGAAAATACAAAAATTAGCCGGGTGTGGTGGCGCATGCCTCTAGTCCCAGCTACTTGGGGAGCTGAGGCAGGAAGATCATCTGGGCCTTCAGAGGTTGAGGCTGCAGTGAGCTGTGATCACACCACTGCACTCCAGCCTGGATGACAGAGTGAGACCCTGTCTCAAAAAAAAAGAAAAAAAGAAAAAAAAATCCCACAGAATTTTTTTAAAGTCCATTCTGTGTAAACAGCAACAGGAATGGAAGTGATCAGTGACAGTCTGTCTACAATCACTGCTCTCACATCCCATATATCTCCCTTACCCCCTAAAAATCCTGGATACCTTACCATCCTCCTTCTCTGAGAACAGGAGCCAGGAACCTCCTTGGTGTTCTAACACTAGTGCTGCCAGAACTCTGGGATTCCTTGTAAGCAGGCACCTCACTGCACCTGCCCAAGAGTATCTGGGGTAACAAAGAGGGAAGGAGGAAAGTGAGAGAGGCCAGGGAAATCCATCCTTTTTGGTCCTCATGTTTGTGGCTCTGGAAATATGGTTTTTGAGATACACAGTTCCTTCATTAGAGCAAGAGATTGAGAAGAACAGCAAGGGTGATGTCAAGCAGGTCTTGGTTCCCTGTGCCTGGCCCTATAGATGTTGACATTTTCATCCTCATCCCGCTGAGCCAGCTCCAGTTGGAAATGCTGGGGCAGGAGGTGCTGAAAGAAGCTCTCTGTCCCATGCTCCTTTCTCATCTTGGAGGCCAGATAGATGGTGCCATGGGGCCTGCACAGGTGTTGGAGGGTCCCCAGCAGCAGAGGGAAGGTGGGTTCCAGGTACACGATATCAGCCCCCAGCACCAGGTCATAGTTTGCAGGGAAGACATGATGGTCAATCCCCCAGGACAAGGCACGCACCTGGGCCTGGCCTCCAGCTGGCACATTGGCCTGGACGTTGCCCTGGATCTGTTCTAGGGCCAGGGGCAGGTCAGTGATGGTAACATCCCCCCCTGAGAGAGAGGAAGGAGGAAAAATGCAAGTCAGAGGAACCAACCAAGGGTTCTTGGCTCCTGCCTGGAAGGTCCAGAGACCTCAGAGCATAGAGGACAATGTCTTGACAGCCCAGAGCCCACACTGGCTTTTAGTTGCCTCAACCTCCATTTCACCCACTGCTATTCTCATTACTCTACATTCTACAACATCAACATTCTCTCTGAGCTAATCTTCAACCTCTCTGGCCAACACACAACAATCAGATGTCAGCAGAAGCCTGGGCAGGACTAAGCTGGAGATGGGTTCTGTACCCACCCCCACTGACACAAGCTCGCCTTAAGGGTCTGGAAAGCTTCCCAGAAAATGTGACCTCAGCTGAGCCCTAAAGGACAAGTAGGAGTTAGTCAGGTGGAGCTTTCCAAGAAGAGAACAGTGAGTACAAAGGCCTGGGAGTGAAAGAGCATGGCATATTCAGGAAAGGCTGCATCTTAGAGGATGTGGAAGGGGGAGAAAAGTGTCAAGACATGAGACAAAGGGAAAGTGATTATGACATGCTAAGAAGATTCAGGTTCGATACTGAGGGCAGTAAGCTTTAAGGGCAGAAACGGGTGAAGATGGTCAGATTAGCATCTCAGAAACCTTCATTCATGCAGTAGATATAATTTGGAGAACCTTCTAAGTGCTGGGTATATAAGGTGAGCAAGACAAAAACACAGCTTTCTTTGTTTCATTCTAGAGGTAGAGACACACTAGGTACTGCATCATAATCATGATGACTATGATAGAAAGAGAAGCAAGAAGTACTAGGAATCCATTCATTCATTCATATTTATTATGTGCCTATATGCCAAGTGCTGAGAACATAATGATGAACTAAGAAGATAAGAATCCCCCCTCACAGAGCTTATGGTCCAGTGGCAAGAAACAGATGATAACAACAAACAAAATAAATAAAATAAAATACACTGTACATCAGATGGTAATATATGCCATGGTGAAGCCCCAAGCAGGGAAGGGGGATAAGAATTGCTTGAGGGATGGGGAGAAATGCAAGTTAGAGGGACCAACCAAGGGTTCTCGGCTCCTACCTGGAAGGTCCAGAGACCCCAGGGCATAGAGGACAAAGTCTTGGCAGCCTGAATGTAATTTTAAATTGAGTGGCTGGAGAATGAAATTTTAAATTGAGTGGTCAGACCAGCCTGACCAAAATGGTGAAACCCCATATCTACTAAAAATACAAAAAAATTAGCTGGGTGTGGTGGCGGGCGCCTGTAATGCCAGCTACTAGGGAGGCTGAGGCAGGAGAATCGCTTGAACCTGGGAGGCGAAGGTTGCAATGAGCCGAGATTGTGCCATTGCACTCCGACCTGGGCAACAAGTGCAAGACTCTGTCTCAAAAAAAAAAGAATGGCACACGCTGGCATGCTTTAGGAGGAGCATGCTGGCTGCTATGATGAGAAGAGTACAGGAGGGCAAGGTCAGAAGCTAGGAGACCAGTTAGGAGGTGATGGCAATGACTCAGGTGAGAGATGATGATGGTTTAAACCAGGGCAGTAGCAATGGCTAAGAAATGGTCAGATCCTGAATATATTTTGAAGGTAGAGTCAACAGGATTTGCCAATAGATTGGATATAAAATATGAGAGAGAGAGAAAAGCTTGGGATGGGCCAGGCACAGTGGCTCACGCCTGTAATCCCTTTGGATTACACTTTGGGAGGCCAATGCGGGATGACTGCTTGAGTCCAGGAGTTTGAGACCAGTCTGGGCAACATAGCAAAACCTCGTCTCTATAAAAAATACAAAAATTAGCTGGGTGTGGTGGCACATCCTGTAGTCCCAGCTACTCGGGAGGCTGAGGTCAGAGGATTGCTTGAGCCTCGGGAGGTTGAAAGTTCAGGGCTTTAGTGAGCCATGATTGTGCTACTTTCACTCCAGCCTGGGCAACAGAGTGAGAACCTGTCTCAAAAAAAAAAAAAAAGCTCAGGATGGTTTCTGGGTGTTTGGCCTGACCAACTAGAAGACCAAATTGCCACTCATTTAGATGAGAAAGGTTGCAGGAGGCGCAATTTGGACAGGAAGATCATGAGTTCATTTTCTGAGCACGTTAAGTTTGACATGGACTTCTATATCACATCAGACAACCACATGAAGATACTGAGTAGGCACTAGGTTATGCAAGCAAGTCTGGAGATAGAAATGGGATAGTCTTAGAGTCATGATCACCAACGGGGCATTTTTTTTTTTTTTTTTTTGAGATGGAGTCTCGCACTTGTTGCCCAGGCTGGAGGGCAATGGCATGATCTCGGCTCATTGCAACCTCCGCCTCCCAGGTTTAAGCAATTCTCCTGCCTCAGCCTCGCAAGTAGCTGGGATTACAGGCGCCTGCCACCACGCCCGGCTAATTTTGTATTTTTAGTAGAGATGGGGTTTCACCATGTTGGTCAGGCTAGTCTCAAACTCCTGACCTCAGGTGATCCACCCACCTTAGCCTCCCAAAGTGCTCGGATTACAGGCGTAAGCCACCGCGTCCGGCTTCAACAGGACATTTAAAGGCATGAGGTGATGGGCTGCTCAGGAGTGAGGTAGACAAGAAAAGGAGGGGATCAAAGGACTGCCCCTGAGCCCTGGGGCACTCACATTTTCAGTTGTGAAGATGAAAAAGAACCAACAAGAGAGCATGGAAAAGGAGTTCCTGCCGGTAAGCAGAAACCAGAAGTGTGGTCCCCTGGAAACCAAAGGAATTGTTCCAAGGAGGAGGGAGTGTCAGCATCAAATGCAAAGTTATCAAAGGTAGGCTGATAACTGACTCCTGCGTTTAACAACCTGGAGTTGGAAATGAAGCTCACGACCTTAACTAGAACAATTGGATTGAAGGAAAGAATAGGAGGAGAGGAACTAGACACTGAATATTAACTCTTTTGAGTTTTGTTTTAAAGTGGAGCATAGAAATGGAGTGATAGCTGGAGGGAGATGTAGGATCAAGAGTTTTTTTCTGAAATAAGAGAAATCATAGCATATTTATATGCATTTTATATTCCATATATTACTATATATGGAATGATCCAAAGAAAAGGAAAAACTGAGAATGCAGGAGAGATGGGGGTGGGTGTTGCTGGAACAATGTCTTTGAGTAGGCAGAAAGATTTGGGGTCTTGTGACAAGTGGGGGGCTTGACCTTAGCTAGCACAATGTGTTCATCCATGGTAACAGGAGAGAAGGCACTGCACACAGATGCAGATGCAGTCACATAAGTAGATGTTGTGATAAAAATATATGGACATTTTCTGAGAAAACAGAAGCAATCATTAGAGATAAGAAACAGCCCAGGTGCGGTGGCTCACATTTGTAATCCCAGCACCTTGGGAGGCCAAGGCAGGTGGATCACCTGAGGTCAGGAGTTTGTGACCAGCCTGGCCAACATGGTGAAACCCCATCTCTACTAAAAATACAAAAATTAGCCAGGCATGGTGGTGCGTGCCTGTAATCCCAGCTACTTGGAAGGCTGAGACAGGAGAATCACTTGAACCTGGGAAGCAGAGGTTGCAGTGAACCAAGGTCGCACTACTGCAGTCCAGCCTGGGCAACAGAGTGAGACTCCATCTCAAAAAATAAAATAAAATAAAATAAAATAAAGAGATAGGAAACAAAGTCATCAGGTGAGGGTGAAGATGGCAGAAGAGGCATGTGGAGGTTTGAGGAATAAGAAGGTAAGAAACAGTTGTTCAGGAGAGTGGCAGAAAAAGTGGACGAGAGAATGTACCAGGCTAGCTGGGAAGCACTTAGGACCCACCTAAGGCCAATGGTAACAAAGTTAAAATTAGCCCAGTTAGCACAGTTGTGTATGTACTGGGAGGGTCTAAGTTAGCCTAGGAGTGGGAGTGCCAAGGAGGCCTTCCCTTCGAAGTGATGTTTGAGCTGAGGAAGGAGGGATGCATATGCATTAAGCAGATGGTAAAAAGTTTCAGACAGAAAGTAAGCCTGAGTGAAGTCCCCAAGGAAGGGAACATCAGAGTAGGTTTGAGGAACTGATGGACAGGCAATAGGCAGCCCAAGAAAAACAAGAGAGAAAGAGGCACAGAAAGAGGGAGGCAGGACCTTGGGGGCCATGCCATAGGTGTTGGTTCTATCCTGAAAGCAACAAGAGGCCACTGAAAGATTTGGGGTGGGAATACATGATTACAGTTTTATTTTGAAAAGATCACTCTGACCACTAGGTGGAAGGGCAGAGGTCTAGGTGAGGACAAGGAGTCAAAGCAGGAAGACAAGTGTGGCTGTTGTAGTAGTCCAGGCAAGTGATCGTGGTGGTTTGGACTGGGGAGCTGTCAATGGAGATGGAAAAACATGAGAAGATTTAAGAAATTTTTAGGAGATAAACTGAATAATGGACATGTAGGTGAGAAAGAGGGTCGTGTCAAAGGTGATGTCTAGGTTTCCCACTGGGTGCACAGTGATTTGATTCACTGAGATAGGGAAGTCTGAGGGAGAAATGTGTTTGGTGGAGGAAGGTCACAAGATCTAGTTGGGTATGTCACACTTCCCCAGAAGAAGCTTGAAGGCCCTTGCGAAAATCCAGGCAAGAGATGCCAGTGGCCTGAACTAGAGATGCTGAAAAGATAATACTTCCCCAGACAACTGGAAGTTGTGGCCAGATCACTTGAGGCCAGGAGTTCACGACCAGCCTGGCCAACATGGCAAAACTCTGTCTCTACTAAAAACACAAAAATTAGTGAGGCATAGTGGCAGACATCTGTAATCCCAGCTACTCGGGAGGCTGAGGCAGGAGAATCGGTTGAACCCAGGAGGCGGATGTTGCGGTGAGCCGAGATCATGCCACTGCATTGCAGCTTGGGTGACAGAGTGAGACTCTGTCTCAAAAAGGAAAAAAAAAAAAAAAAGAACATTTAACTCATAGGACTGGGTGATTGCTGGAATGTGAGGGGAGAAAGTGAGGGACAAGATGACATCCAGCTTTCTGACTTGACAGCTAAATAGGAGGCAAAGAAGGAGAAGCCAGTCTGGGAGCAAGTGAAGCTAGGTGTTCCCATCCATACCGCATGCCTTTTCTCCCCTTTTTAGCATAACTGCCTGCATCCACCCATGCTTCATGCAAAAACTGCTGTTGGCACCCTCCACTGTTTCTTTTTTTTTTTTTTTTTTTTTTTTTTTGAGATGGCGTTTCACTCTTGTTGCTCAGGCTGGAGTGCAACGGTGCAATCTTGGCTCACTGCAACCTCCGCCTCCCGGGTTCAAGCAATTCTCCTTTCTCAGCCCCCCAAGTAGCTGGGATTACAGGCATGCACCACCACACCCGGCTAATGTTGTATTTTTAGTAGAGATGGGGTTTCTCCATGTTGGTCAGGCTGGTCTCAAACTCCTGACCTCAGGTAATCCGCCTGCCTCGGCCTCCCAAAGTGCCGGGATTATAGGCATGAGCCACCGAGCCCGGCCGGCACCCTCCAGTGTTTCTGAGCCTGCTGTGTTCACACTGTTCACCTCCTCCTCACCTGACAGAGCTTCCCTTGATGGATTCCCAGGGAGTCATGGTAGACATGGATAGAGCATGTCCACAGGCTCCACGCATACCTCGCCAGAGTTCTTGTTCTATGACATCGTCCTCTGTCTCCCTCACTAGACCATAAGCTCCTTGGGGAGAGAAAATCTGTCTTATTTATTGTTGAATCCCCAATACCTAGCATGATTCTTGGTACATAGGGGACTTGAAATACATTTTGGTTGAATGAATAGAAGAATGAATGCCTGCCTCTGGGAAGATTTCCCTTTTTTTATTTTTGAGACAGAGTTTCACTCTTGTTGCCCAGGCTGGAGTGCAATGGTGCGATCTCAGTTCACTGCAACCTTCACCTCCCGGGTTCAAGCGATTCTCCTGTCTCAGCCTCCCAAGTAGCTGAGATTACAGGCATAAGCCATCATGCTCGGCTAATTTTGTATTTTTAGTAGAGATGGGGTTTCACCATGTTGGTCAGGCTGGTCTCAAACTCCTGACCTCAGGTGATCCACCCACCTTGGCCTCCCAAAGGGCTGGGATTACAGGTGTGAGCCACTGCGCCCGGCTAGGCTTCCCTTAATATGACCTAGTTCTGTCCCTATGAACAAAGACATGTTAATTTACATTCCTAGGGAGATGACATTGTAAGAATTTTTAAACGAGTGCTTTCAGTTTGAGGTTTTTTCTGCCCATTAGATTATAATTTGTGAAACTGTTTCCTCTGTAGTTTTTGCTTCTTGACAAAAGAGAAGCAAATTTTTCCTTACCTTTTCCTTTTCCAAGTCTGCAGTGTCTAATTCCTACCCCGCTTCCTACAAAACACATCCTAACCCTTGGAAACTCATAAGCTTGTTTCTCTTAGCAATAAAAACCTAAGGAATCTGAAATATATTCATAATAAAGTTATAAAGCACTCACGAAGTTTAATGTCTGCAAGTCTCCCTACAGAGTACCCCCATATGTGCATCTTGACAGAAGACCATGTCCAAAGCCAAGGCGCTTTTAAGTGACAGTATTCTCCATAAAATCACAAAGAGTAACACAAGGCTGGGTGTCGTGGCTCACGCCTGTAATCCCAGGCGCCTCGCGAGGCAGATGGATCACCTGAGGTCAGGAGTTCGAGACCAGCCTGGCCAACATGGTGAAACGTCTTCTACTAAAAATACAAAAAGTAGCCGGGTATGGTAGCGCAAGCCTGTAATTCCAGCTACTTCGGAGGCTGAGGCATGAGAATTGCTTGAACCCGGGAGGCAGCGGTTGCAGTTAGTGGGGATAGCAGCCACTGCACTCCAGCCTGGGCGACACAGTGAGACTCCGTCTCAAAAAAACAAAAAAAATTAAAAACAAAAAAAAAGCAACACGATAGAAACAACTCCTTCTTATAGGCCTGCCTGAGTTTTATTTCCTGCCCTCCCCAATCACCCACCCTAGGTGCTTTGACAGGCAATTCGCGCTGTCTGGCACGCAGAAGCAGACGCCAAAATAAAAACAAAAACAAATTTTAAAAAAAAATTTGTTAAAAAGAAGGGGTTAGACTGGGCCCAAAGTTCTCCCCTCTCCCCCAAAGATCCACGAAGTGACCATTTCTCCGCGCCCCTGGGTCCCCACTCTCTCCCGTAAAAAGCCAGCTCACGCACCCTGCAGCGCTGCCAAGATCCCCACGATGCCTGTCCCCGCACCCAGTTCGATCACCTTCTTGCCTCGGAAATCCACATTTTGACTCTCGAAATAATTGCACAGGCTCAGGGCCTACGGGAGAAAAGACAGAGAAAAAGACAGTCGTGAGGATGGCTCCATATGGGAGAGGCGGAGTCCGGGATCTGGACCTCCCACGGACCCTCACCCGGCGCAGCCCATTCCTCACCGCGTCCCACACGCGCGCCGCCACCCCGAGGCGGGACCCAAAGTTCTGCGTGATGGTCAGCACATGCCCACAGAAACAGAACTGGCTCTTCTCCGAGTAAGAGTCTGCAAAGAGCCCGACCTCCCGCGGGAACACCGATTCCGACTCAGATTCGGGATCTGGGCCGGGGTCCGCCATCCGGCCCGCCAAGGGAGTGCCTGGGCACCGCGGCCGGCGCTCAGATCCCGGATCCGGAGCGGGGTAGAGGCTGGGGGCCGCGAGCCGTCGTGGTGTCCCTGTGGAACGAGCCCCGCCTCCCTGAGTTTGCCCTCCTTCCTCCAGTTCGATTTCCTGGAGGTGGAATGAGGAGCTGCCCCTCCCGCCCCGGCCCCGAGCGCACACTCGACGAAACCCACACGGGACCACAAGAGTCAGACCGGGCGGACTGGTCCGAGACCAGGAGTAAGGGGACAGGAGCGAGGACTGATGCCACTGTAGAAGGCGAGGTCTCTAGACCCCTCTCACCTGTGGGGTGCACAGGTGCCTGCAACCAGGATGGTAACCCAGACCAGGCAGAAGCAAGCTAAGAGAAAACGTTGGGTCCCTGGGCCTGGCCTCGCCCTCCCAGTTGGAGGCTAACGGTGCGGAGGTTCCCTCCAGCACTCGCTCCTTACAGCCCTCCCCACCTAGCCCAGCCCAGCCCAGCCCAGCCCAGCTGAATTTGCTCTTGGGTCTTTAAGGGGCGGGAACTGCCACCAACGCGCATGGCTGCGTCATTAACTTGCGCCTCTGGCCTGCGCCTCCACGTGGATTTGGTAGAGAAACCCCGGACTGGGATCATGGCAGCCGAGACTCGGAACGTGGCCGGAGCAGAGGCCCCACCGCCCCAGAAGCGCTACTACCGGCAACGTGCTCACTCCAACCCCATGGCGGACCACACGCTGCGCTAGTGAGGAGTGGGCAGAGGGAGAGAGAGGAGGGCGGGATTCTCAAAGCAGCCGGGAGAGCAGTTGTGCTGCAACTGCTGGGAGGATTTGGGGTAGACCCGGGAGGATCAGATGGGTGACGTCAGTTTTTGGGGGTGGGACCGGGAGATTCGACCGAGAGAGGAGTTGGCGGGTTGAGAGTGGGCGTGGCGTTCGGGCCTAAGTCTGGGTAGCGGTGCTAAGTTTGGGAAGAGAAATAAATTGTTACTGAGACTGAAGTGATAGAGGCAGAATGTCGTTTCCATCTTTTGCTTTTGTTTGTTGGATTTAATAAAAAGGCAAACATATACACAATCCTGCCCGCACCTTACCTTACCTTCCCTCCCCGCAGAGCACAAACACAAAGTAGGATCCCAGTGCATTAGGCAGCCAGTCTCGGGAGAAGGGGAACTTGTGCCCCAGAAAGGGCAGTTACCCGGCCAGGGTCACATCAACCGCCAGAAGTGGAGTTGGGCAGGTCAGCGTTTATGGGCCTCATGATGGTCCTATGATTCACACTGGGAGTTAAGGGTGGTTTCCATTGTCCCTCTTAGAGGCCACAGGGCCCAGTGTTACAGAATTTTTGAGAAACCCTCCTCCCTTTTACCTCCCACCCTCACCCACCCACACACTCTCACAGTACCACTTCTGCAATGGTGTGACCAACCTTCTCATGCTTCTTATGTCTTCTTTCCAATAGCCCTGTGAAGCCAGAGGAGATGGACTGGTCTGAGCTATACCCAGAGTTCTTCGCTCCACTCACTCAAAATCAGAGCCACGATGACCCAAAGGATAAGAAAGAAAAGAGAGCTCAGGCCCAAGTGGAGTTTGCAGACATAGGCTGTGGCTATGGTGGCCTGTTAGGTAACACTCAGGCCCTCTTTTTGGGGTGAGAAGAGGCCTAGTAGCTTCTGCTGCCTCAGCAACTTTTGTGGGGGGTCATAATTGGCCTTTCCCCTTTCGTCCAGACACTGGTGACATCAGCATGGAGAGGCTCCACCTACCCTCTACTCTGGGTCTGTGACCTTTGCCCTGGAGAGTGGAGGGGGCTGCCTCAAATGCTTCTTAAAACCTGGGTTGTCCTTTCTGGCGTCAATCCCTACATGAGCCATTTCATCTGCCAGGTTCCGGGTCAGTGAGCTGGTCAGCACAAGCATCAGAGATTAGCCGTTGTGGCCAGTGATCCTGAACTGTCTTTTCTCAGAGATTCTACCATCTCCCCTCCCCTTTGCCCCTCCCTCGCCAGATCTCATTCCTTCTGCCCCACTCTCCTGTTTTTTGGGTTCCTCTTGTATTGTCTGTATTGTCCCACCCATGCATGCCAAGCCACTCCCTATTTTTAGATCTTCCCAAACAGATAACAGCCTGATAGAGAAGAAGAGCATGGTACATAGAGGCAGAAAACCTTGGTTTAAGGTCCAGTTCTGCCTGGGCACAGTGGCTCACACCTGTAATCCCAACACTTTGGGAGGCTGAGGCAGGTGGACCACTTGAGGCCAGGAGTTCAAGACCAGCTACTCAGGAGGCTGAGGCAGGAGAATTACTTGAACCTGGGAGGCAGAGATTGCAGTGAGCCAAGATTGTGCCACTGCACTCCAGCCTGGGTGACAGAGCAAGACTCCATCTCAAATAAATAAGTTCCAGTTCTGCCCCTTCTTAACTCTATGATCTTCGGCATATCTGACCCTCAGTTTCCTTATCTTCACAATTTACCACAGAGTGTTATAAGGATGAAATAACACAATGTGTGAAAACACTGTGGAAAACTCTAAAGCAATGGCAAATATACATGTATCCTCAGCCCTCCCATTCTGGTCCTGGTGACAATTTTCATTTCTCCCCCCGCCTCTTGAGCATAAAACTATCCATATATGTATCTCTGTCCTCTCTTGCCGTTCTGGACTTTGGTAGTTGCAGGTTGAGGCTTCCTTTCCTGTGTTGACCCCTTTGCACTTCCTACAAGTATATGGTTGATGATTCCATTGCTATTTCTGTGTGCAGTGGAACTGTCACCGCTGTTCCCAGACACACTTATTCTGGGTCTGGAGATCCGGGTGAAGGTCTCAGACTATGTACAAGACCGGATTCGGGCCCTACGCGCAGCTCCTGCAGGTGGCTTCCAGAACATCGCCTGTCTCCGTAGCAATGCCATGAAGCACCTTCCTAACTTCTTCTACAAGGGCCAGGTGGGGAGGGGCCCTGGTGGGTTAGGCTGGTAGGCAGGTGGGGGCATGGAGGCCAGGCTCTCACAACCCTGTTGGTGTGTGTCTGTCTCACAGCTGACAAAGATGTTCTTCCTCTTCCCCGACCCACATTTCAAGCGGACAAAGCACAAGTGGCGAATCATCAGTCCCACCCTGCTAGCAGAATATGCCTACGTGCTAAGAGTTGGGGTGAGTTGGGATCGGAGGGATGATGGGGTGAGTGGCCTACTCAGGGGCCCTTCACTAAGAATTCAGTGGGGGTGCATTTAGGGACTCACACCACCACTTCCTTCATCTGGCTGCTGACGTTGCATGCAGCCTCCTGTCTAGGGTGATTTTGCCTATGCAGGGGCTGGTGTATACCATAACCGATGTGCTGGAGCTACACGACTGGATGTGCACTCATTTCGAAGAGCACCCACTGTTTGAGCGTGTGCCTCTGGAGGACCTGGTGAGTAGGGGACCTAGAGGAGGTGGAGGCCCTTTCCAGAGTGGTTCTGTATTTGGACTTAACTCAGTGCCAGGAGGATGGGATAGGTGTCTAAGGGCCAGGGGCAGTCTGAACAGTGGGCAAGGACTTATTGGACCCTTCCTTCTCCCAGAGTGAAGACCCCGTTGTGGGACATCTAGGCACCTCAACTGAGGAGGGGAAGAAAGTTCTACGTAATGGAGGGAAGAATTTCCCAGCCATCTTCCGAAGAATACAAGATCCCGTCCTCCAGGCAGTGACCTCCCAAACCAGCCTGCCTGGTCACTGACTGCTTACTCTACCTTAGCTGGACCTCGTCTCCCAGGGATTAGAGAAAAGAGCAGGAGTCCTGGGTCTTCCCAGTTGAGACTGCTGGAGCTGAGACACAGTACTCTCTTAAAGAAGGTGGGGAGCTGCCCAGGGCAGAACCCACTGGTGTTCATGACTACCCCTGGCTCCTCTCACCTTGTCCCTCCACTGCCAACAGAAAACAAAGCAGCTGACTGAGATGGTCAAAGGACTTTGGACCATAGGGGATCTTTGGAAGGCTGTGGGGTCTTGCTCTTCCTTAGCACTCCTTTCTCCTTGTGAGATCTCTCCTCAGCTGGAATGAGGAATGTAGTCCATCTAAACTGCTTGCTAGGCTCAATTACCACTTCTGTTTGCTTTGTGGATCCTGGGATAACATGTATATGTGTACACATGCCTATTCTGCCATTTCTCAGGAAAGGGTGGAGTATGTATCATATGCCTTCTACCATCCTCCTGTCCTCTCCCTGCGTAAGACTTGACCTGGGGAATCTGTGTTCCCTAAGTGTTGTCTCTGGAGAGTCCTTGGGAAGGTGTGGGGGTGGAGACCCTCTCCTTTTTCACATTGACCTTCAATTCCAGAACTTCAGAGCTAGCTGACTGGCACAGAGCCTGATAGAGTTGCAGTGGGGAATGAGGGAGTAAGGAGCAGAGAGGTAAACTGTGGGAGATTCTTTTATTTTAATTTTTTTTAGAGACAGGCCCTCTCTCTGTTGCCTAGGCTGGAGTGCAGTGGTACAATCATAACTCACTGCAGCCTTGACCTCCCGGGCTCATGTAATCCACCTCAGCCTCTCAAGGCACTACAGGCATACGCCACCATGCCTGGCTAATTTTTGTATTTTTTGTAGAGACAGTTCCACTATGTTGCCCAGGCTGGTCTCAGACTCCTGAGCTCAAGCAGTCTGCCCACCTTAGCCTCCCAAAGTGTTGGGATTACAGTCATGAGCTGCCGTGCCCAGCCTAATTTTTAAACTTCTTCTGTAGAGACAGTCTTGCTATGTTGCTCAAGCTTGTCTCAACCTCCTGGCCTCATGCCATCCTCCTGCCTCAGCCTCCCAAAGTGCTGGGATTATAGGCATGAGCCACCACAGGATTCTGAGGCTAAAAGTAGAAAGGAGCTGCTAACCAGAAAGCCCCCCAGAGGAGACCGAGTCAGCTGGGGAATTAGAACATCCACATCCATTTAGCTCCTCTAACACCCCACAGACAATCTCTGAACTTAACTAATGTACAAAAAGTTTCATTTCTGCTTCTCAAGCCCCAAATTCCCATGTCTGGAAGGAGGGGGCTTGTATACCCAAGAGACCCCCTTATCCTCAAGAAAGAAAGATGGAGGTTCTAGGAGCCATTTTAGCCCATTAACCCACCTGCCATCTGCCCAGTATATGTTAGGTACAGGAGGAGGGGGAGGTGTGGCTAGTGCAGGAAAATAATGCAGAGAAGATACAACCCACTAAGCCAAGAATGTGGGGACAGTTACAGCTGTGCCTCCCCTGCTTCCCTTCCTGGAGGAGCTGAAAGATGGGGAATTCCTGAGGATGGGCCTAAAGGGGCTGGGCTCACTGGTAGAAGTGGGAATATCAGAGACTGACTAGTGTAGCTTGGTCACCTAGTCCCTACTAAAAAGCCTTATAGCCTTTCCTAGGATGAGACTTTGAGGCTCCTAGACAAAGGCACTCTCCCAGGAGGAAAATCTTAGGCCCTCCCTCCCATGAGGGTCATTGCAACATGAGACCCAAGGGAGTTGTGAAGTCAGCCCCAGCCCCGCCTACTGTTCCTGGGTGCTAATCCCCAGCACAGACCACTCAGGAGGAGGGATTGGCTGAGGAGCTTGGAGAGGGGGCGTCATCACCTCACCCAAAGGTTAAATAGGGGTTGAGATATGATGCTCAGGAGAAGCGCTTTCTTTCGCGAGCACCCTGAACCAGACCATGACCCAGACCCTCAAGTACGCCTCCAGAGTGTTCCATCGCGTCCGCTGGGCGCCCGAGTTGGGCGCCTCCCTAGGCTACCGAGAGTACCACTCAGCACGCCGGAGCTTGGCAGACATCCCAGGCCCCTCTACGCCCAGCTTTCTGGCCGAACTTTTCTGCAAGGGGGGGCTGTCGAGGCTACACGAGCTGCAGGTAGGAAGGGACGCCTTTCCCGAGACAGAGTGCTGGGGAAACTGGTTTTGACAGCGTCAGAAAGGACTGACTAGTGCAGAGCAAATGTGGGACAGCCAGAGAGAACGGATGCCCATGAAATAAGGAAAAGGCGAGTTGAGGCTGGGGGCGGTGTGGCTACACTCGGGCAGAGCCCGTCCCGACTCTTAGCAGAGGGCGCTGCGAAAGCGCCTTCTCGCTGTCCTGAGGTGTGGAGATCCTGCAGATAAAGTACAAGTGCGCGGGAGGGGGAGGCCGGAGTGGGCAGTACCCTCCGCCTGCTTGCGGCTTAAAGCTACATGGGTTCCTTTTCATTCACTGAGGACTCGTCCTGAGATGGACAGTCCAGACATGGAACTTTTAGAGATTTCTCCTCGACCGAGATGATCAGAGAGGTCCTGAATGTCTGCCTTGCACAAAGTTCCGGTTTTGCCCATCACACTCAAACTTTCTAGGGATGGGAAATGAGAGAGGAGGAGTTTGCAGTATCAAAGGCATACACTAGTTGGGCACCCGAGAAAGAGCAGAAGCTCCCTATTCCCAAGCCCAGTCAACGCCCTTGGCGTGGGCACAGGTCAAGCTGAAAGTCCCCGCCCAGGTATCCAAGTGTCCGCTGTGTCCGCTCCCCCAGGTGCAGGGCGCCGCGCACTTCGGGCCGGTGTGGCTAGCCAGCTTTGGGACAGTGCGCACCGTGTACGTGGCTGCCCCTGCACTCGTCGAGGAGCTGCTGCGACAGGAGGGACCCCGGCCCGAGCGCTGCAGCTTCTCGCCCTGGACGGAGCACCGCCGCTGCCGCCAGCGGGCTTGCGGACTGCTCACTGCGTGAGTCTTCTCTGCCCCCAGAAGCCCAGACGCCCTGCAGCGGCCCTCTCCTGCTGCGGGTCCCGAAACTATCAATCTGGGGGCATGGTGGGAGGTCGGCTGTCCCACTCTACCATTGGGCATCTTGGGGTTCCCATCCCAGTCTGCTTCACCCACACTCAGGTTGAGCCCCAACCTCACTCCCCGCCTACCTCCTTATCCTTTGAGGCCCGAATCCTGGGAACTGGGGGAACCGGAGGAATTGGGCTAGGGTACAAGGATCTGGATGGAATGAATGTAAGGTTCTGTGACTCAAGTTACCCGGGAACCCCGGCCCCTGAGGGCAGGAAATGAGTAAAGAGGAAGGGGGCTGGAAGACAGGCGCAGGCCGGTGCAGGTTTCCGTACCCCAAGGGGGCAGACGCAATCCCTCTCCTGGCCACCGCAGCCGAACGCGCTCCTTCACTGCAGCCAGTCCCGTCGAGCCGTCCCCACCTTCCCGATGCGCACTCTCTCCTCAACCCTGCAGGGAAGGCGAAGAATGGCAAAGGCTCCGCAGTCTCCTGGCCCCGCTCCTCCTCCGGCCTCAAGCGGCCGCCCGCTACGCCGGAACCCTGAACAACGTAGTCTGCGACCTTGTGCGGCGTCTGAGGCGCCAGCGGGGACGTGGCACGGGGCCGCCCGCCCTGGTTCGGGACGTGGCGGGGGAATTTTACAAGTTCGGACTGGAAGGTGAGTCCCAGGACAGAGCTGGGCAGGCGTCGGGGGCGCCCTACCAGAGCCTCCCGGAACCCTGACGGCGCCCCCTCCCGACAAGGCATCGCCGCGGTTCTGCTCGGCTCGCGCTTGGGCTGCCTGGAGGCTCAAGTGCCACCCGACACGGAGACCTTCATCCGCGCTGTGGGCTCGGTGTTTGTGTCCACGCTGTTGACCATGGCGATGCCCCACTGGCTGCGCCACCTTGTGCCTGGGCCCTGGGGCCGCCTCTGCCGAGACTGGGACCAGATGTTTGCATTTGGTAAGGCACAGGTCGAGGTGGAAATGGGGGAATGTAAAGCTGTCCAGGGGTAGCGAGGTATTCACGTGCCTTCTACCCACGCAGCTCAGAGGCACGTGGAGCGGCGAGAGGCAGAGGCAGCCATGAGGAACGGAGGACAGCCCGAGAAGGACCTGGAGTCTGGGGCGCACCTGACCCACTTCCTGTTCCGGGAAGAGTTGCCTGCCCAGTCCATCCTGGGAAATGTGACAGAGTTGCTATTGGCGGGAGTGGACACGGTGAGGTTCTCCCTCCGTGCTGTGAGCCGGTTCCAGGGCTTAGCCTCCGCAGACTCCGGCTCCATTTTTCTGTTGCAGGGGATCCATTATGGCCACGTAGACCAGCTTGGCTTAGCACCCTGTAGCCCCAGACTCTTCCATAATCTGCACCCTCTGCTGGGTTCTCACACCCAACACCTCTCTTGCTTTCACATGTTTTTCAGGTGTCCAACACGCTCTCTTGGGCTCTGTATGAGCTCTCCCGGCACCCCGAAGTCCAGACAGCACTCCACTCAGAGATCACAGCTGCCCTGAGCCCTGGCTCCAGTGCCTACCCCTCAGCCACTGTTCTGTCCCAGCTGCCCCTGCTGAAGGCGGTGGTCAAGGAAGTGCTAAGGTGAGGGGGAAGGAGAGGAGGAACAAGAGGAAATGCCAAGGAAGGGCTGGGGAAGCAACTAGTGGATGGAAGCAGGGAGATAGCAGAGAAAAATGGCCCTCTACTCCTGGCCAAAAAGGGTTTGGAAGTTGGAAACAATGAGAAGGGGGCTGCAGCCCCTAGCCTCATCTTGTTGTCTCCATTTTGTGCTTTGCAACCTAGACTGTACCCTGTGGTACCTGGAAATTCTCGTGTCCCAGACAAAGACATTCATGTGGGTGACTATATTATCCCCAAAAATGTGAGTAAAGCCTATGCACCCTTTCTACTGAGCCATTCCTCACTATCTTGGGCCCCAACCCTGTTCTCAAACACTCTCCTAAAAGCCCTTCAAACACTCCCCTTGACCCCTCTCTAGGATATGCCTTTCTAGGATGTAATGGAACAGTGGGGAGATCCTTCCAAAAGTAGCCCCAGAAAACTTCCCCATCACCCACCAGGACCTGCCTTTGTCCCTGTCTGAATATCCTCTTCTTCATGCCTGCCCTATTCTGAGCCCAAACTGACAAGTTTGTTTTCCTTTGCACCAGACGCTGGTCACTCTGTGTCACTATGCCACTTCAAGGGACCCTGCCCAGTTCCCAGAGCCAAATTCTTTTCGTCCAGCTCGCTGGCTGGGGGAGGGTCCCACCCCCCACCCATTTGCATCTCTTCCCTTTGGCTTTGGCAAGCGCAGCTGTATGGGGAGACGCCTGGCAGAGCTTGAATTGCAAATGGCTTTGGCCCAGGTGAGTGCTCTAGATTTTATACCTTCCCCAGACTGGAGAGACCCTAACCCTCTAAAGTTGTGAGCTCTTTCCCCTGACAAGCATAGGAAATCATATAAGACCTGGTAGAATGAATCTTCTGAAATATGATAAGCCCATTATAGGCCTGGAGTGTAAGTGAGGGTATTCAAACTATTTTTTCCCTACCATAATCCCTCACCCTTATTAACCAAGAAGTCCCCTACTGGCCACAGGTGCCACCCAATCATTGACCATTCTAACACTAATAATGCATGCCCTTTACCAATTGGATTACCAATGAATCCCCCCATTATAGATATCTTTCATAGTAATGCTCACCTTCTTCCCTTTCCAGATCCTAACACATTTTGAGGTGCAGCCTGAGCCAGGTGCGGCCCCAGTTAGACCCAAGACCCGGACTGTCCTGGTACCTGAAAGGAGCATCAACCTACAGTTTTTGGACAGATAGTCCCATGGAAAGAGACTGTCATCATCACCCTTTCATTCATCATAGGGATAAGATTTTTTGTAGGCACAAGACCAAGGTATACATCTTCCCCTAATGCCTATCTGACCAAACTGGATAGAACCACCATAGTGAAGTGTGAGGCGGCCCTGACCAATGTGTGAAGTATGCACTTGGCCTGACTCAGGAAGCCAGGTGAGAAAACCATGGTCTCTCTGCTTGCTTGGCCCTTCTGATCATGTATGCATCCCCCAAGGATGAAATCAGATTTTAACTAATAATGCTGGATGGCCTGAGGAAAGATTCAACTGCCTCTCTTTTTGGGCTTTCATAGTGTTCATTGATGCTGCTGGCTAAGCATTTATCAAAGCATAAGCTCAGTAACTGTGCATCTGGTCTGTACCTGGTTGGTCCTTCGTCTTTGCATGTAAGCTCTTTGAGAGGAAGGGTGAAGCCTTATTTGTTTTTTATGTCCCCTGCCAGGGCCTGTCTCTGACTAGGTGTCACCATACACATTCTTAGATTGAATCTGAACCATGTGGCAGAAGGGATAAGCAGCTTACTTAGTAGGCTCTGTCTACCCCCTTCCTTCTTTGTCTTGCCCCTAGGAAGGTGAATCTGCCCTAGCCTGGTTTACGGTTTCTTATAACTCTCCTTTGCTCTCTGGCCACTATTAAGTGGGTTTGCCCCATCACTTAGTTCTCAGGCAGAGACATCTTTGGGCCTGTCCCTGCCCAGGCCTCTGGCTTTTTATATTGAAAATTTTTAAATATTCACAAATTTTAGAATAAATCAAATATTCCATTCTTGATTTTGACTTATTTCTCTCATATTCCCACTTCCTACAAGACCTGGAGGCAAGACTCTAACCCTCCCATCTCCCACCTTGGTTTCTCAGGTCCTGGGGGTGACCCCCATAACAATGGGAGGTCTGGACGCCTGGAAGAGTAGTTTGTAACACAAACCCAGACATGTTTCTGTCTGTAGTGGGAACATCCAAGTCTAGTCTGGCTTCCTGTAAGAGATTAAGGGGGTGGGGGGTGAAAAGTAACGGCAGGGGCTAAGCTGTAAAATGGGCCCGGAGCTAGGGATTTGCAGACATGGGCAGAGGTTGCTGACTCTGGTAAGGAAAGTGCTTTTGGACTGCCAGGATTGAAGGAAGTCCTAGATTGGTCACTTTGCCCTCTCTGGAAAAGTTGTTCCAAGATAATTTCCTTCAGAGGAAGGGATACAAGCAGAGAAGTGGAATCAGACAGACAGAATGAAAGCTGAGTGTGGGGGTGGCCAGAAGCCCTGGGGCACTGAGGCAGGATAAGGGCGGTGGGCAGAGGGAGACTGTTTCCCTAAGTCAGCATTCTCTGGCCCCCCAGAGGCTGGGCACAGCTCTCCTCTTGTGATGTATACAGATTAACTCATCTTCCATCCAAATAAATCTCTCAGCACACTGCACAGTTCCTTCTGCATCCCAGATTACCCTTCCCATGTCAGGACTTGCCCCCCTTCCCCTACCGCTCACCCTATTCCAATTAGCTGGGTGTAGATGGAGATTTCACTTCACACTTCTTCCTCCTCCACACCTTGGCCTCCTGGCCTAGACATGGCTCCCTGACCGCAGAAACTCCAGTAGCCACCAGGCCTTTTGCAGGGGCATCTAATTATGCAAGATCTACAGAGGGGCAGGGCAGACCCAAAGCCTCGTACAAAGATCAAGGTTTCTGTGCATTTTCTGCCCTTCTCAACTCCTTCCCTACTGTATACTCAGTCTCCACCCCTATTCCTCTATCACTGAACTCAATTTGAACCTAAATGACCAAATTTTCAGCAGATTTGATCTTTGAGGGAGAATAAAGCCCAGCTTGTCAGACCCTTTACCCTGGAATCAGTGATGAGAATTCTGCCCATCCGTACTCCCTATTTTCCACTGGGCAAGTAGGAATGCCCACTTGAAGAGGGCAGCAGTTCCCATGACCCTTTCCTGGACAATGATCTTTTTAAGTTGGAAAAAGGAAGAAGAGGAGACCATACTGATTGCTGGCCCCAACTCCCATACCAAGACTTCCATTAGTGCTGAAGGAGAGGGGAAAGTGTCCCACTTGGCCTCATTTTAGGACCCAGAGTGTAAATGGATACAGTGTGTTTGTGTGTGAGTATGTCTATTTTCTTTGGTATGTCTAACCTTCCCTGCAGAGCCATCACAGAGGACAGCTCAGGCTTGGCACAGGAAGCTCCACATGTGTCCTATCTACCTGAGCCCTATCTGCTGGTATAGATATTAGTAGTCACTCTGATTTGCAATCCCCCATTTGGTCCCCACCAGCTCTTCTGAGAATGGCAAATCAGTAAAGTCTGGCCTTTCTGTCTCCCAAGATGGGGGATATAGAGGGTTCTCTCTCTGGGGAAACAGTTTCCTACTGAGCAGACGGAGGGTTCAGTCTCAGTTCCCTATCCACTCTACTCCCTCAAAAATTGGAAGTTATATACTTCCACACTTTGAAATTACTTGAACCGCAGTCCAGCTTTTGTTCCTACATCCCAAGGCTGGTCTGGATGCCAGCACCATGGACAGCAACCAAGACCCCCTTTGGGAGAGGGGAGGGGACAAGGTTTCCTGGGCAAGGATGTGTGTGGGCCTTTGCAAGGGAAGCATTTTCTCCAAAACATCCCCAGGGAGGAAGGAGGCAAAGCAGAACCTTCCCTGATAGAAGGATCAATAATAAGAAAGGCCTCCAGATCTGACTTTAGCCGTGAATGAAGGAATTATTTAATTGCTGTTGAATGGTTTACTTAAAAACAGCATCATTCATATAATACACAACCCCAAGGTCACAGAAGAAAGTGCCCAGGCTTCAGGCTGACCCACATTGTAAACAGTCCTTCCCAAATCTTTTCTCTATAAACAACAGTCCTCTATGCTGCTGCCTCCAAACATAATGCCATCCATTAATACCACTGGCTGGGCACACCGGGATCAAACCTGTGACCCTAAACTGCCATGGAAATAGCTTAAACTGGGGTTGGAGACTCATAACACTGAGTGGGGGGATTCCCTCCATCTCACTCCAAATGAGTCCAAATTCACTTCACACTGCTTTTCTGGGTGAGCACAGTACTTGAGAAGGACTGATAGAACCCAGATGATCTCCAGAACAAGGCAGATGGCTCCAGCCTTCCCCAGCCCACAGGCCCAAATATTTAGAGTCAGAGGAGTTCTCATTCTTAACAAATAACCACCATGCTTCACATTTGCAATGTCTATTTCCCCTCATATTTCCATACCTATTATGTCACTCAACACAAAATTCCATGATTCTGTGCAACTCCAGATGAAAAACACATTTTAGAATTTGTTACACCAGCTACTATTTGAAATAAATGGACCATCAACTATTCTAGAAATCTCTTTATGTCATTGCTGATTTTCTCTGCAACGGCATCCAACCTGTCCCTCATTTATCCTTATTCCAACCCTATGAAGTAGACAGGAAAACCAGAGCTAAGAGATTTTTTTCTATATCACACAACTCATAGGTGGCAGGTCCAGGTCTACCCTTTAGATACCTCGGAGTGCTGCCACCTAGCAGCCAACATGAATTATTCACCAGCAAGTGGGAGTCACACCTACAACTCAGAACCCACTGCTGCATTTGGGATTTGCAACCTGTGCAGAGAAACCTCCCCACATCTCCCAACCCTCCAGAAAAGCCCCAGATGAGAAAGGAGTCTCCACGTGCATATAAATGATTCTTTATGCCCTTCCCCCATGCAATGGGGGATGGAGCAGGGGGAACTCCCCGCCCTCATGCAGGGAACGGGAGGTCAATGTATACTAGTCTTATTGCCAGATGCCCTGTGGCCATGGGGTGGGGAATAGGGGTCTACAGCCCCTTTCTTCTGGCATTGGTCCCCCTTCACCAAGTCACCGTGGTGGAGCTGGGGGGCTGGAGGCCCTAGGAGCTGAGGTAAAGACGGTTCTCTCCAGGGAAGGAAAGCTGCTCTCCCCGCCTGCCCACCGGCCGTCTCTGGATGAGTGGGAGGAGCTGCCAGCGGGTACTGAAATGTCATCCAGGTGTCTCTACCCAGTGGGCAGTGAGGCCAGACAATGTCTCCAGCTTGAGGCTACCCACACAGATCCTCGGTGACGGGGGCAGCATGCCCCAAACACCTTGTCCAGCTGGTACCTCCAGCAGCCATGAGAGTTCTTCTCTGACTGATGCATTGACTCAAGATCCCTGCTCCTGGAGTCCAGTTCAGACTGTAGTGACCCTCATGACAACCTCTCGGCCAGAATGGGAGCTGGAACGGGCATCTGGTGGCCGCAGCTGCCCAAGGAGGTGCAAGATTGTATAACCGCAGCGCTGAGGCAAGAGCGTCCGCATGCGCTGGGCAGCTGGGGGGCGGCTCGTGGCCCCAGAGGTGGGGCCCGTCCGTGAGTTCCTGGGGCCTGACTTCCCTGCCGTCCCTCCCCCTGCATCTCCTCCTATGTCCTTGGTCTTGTCATAATTTAGGACCTTCCACTGCTGGTTCACTGCCTGCCAGCGCTTGAAGATGCGGTAGACAGAGGAGCCTTCATGGATGATGAGGCCTGAGCAATAGGAATAAGAAATCCAGGGTTAACTGTGGCCTAGATCTAGGCCAGAGGTACTTAAGCAAGCATTTCTTCAGAGTGAGAAGATACAGTTGCAAAGGGCCCTGGAGAAGCAGGGAAGTGGGTTGAGGGGGCACCAGGATAGCACTAAAGGCTACAGTGGCAGAAAATAAAGCCAGGAAACTGAGGGGATGGGCAGGGGAGTTAGGTGTGTAAGAGGAAGATACAGAGCAGGTAAAGGAGAGAGAGGTGCCCTCACCTATGCAGACGACATCCATGAAGCCATACATGCCGTAGCAGATCTGAAAGAGCAGATCCTGTCGTTGCCACTTGGCTGAAGGGCTGAGTGAGGACCAGATGAGCCAGGAGATGCTGGCAACCAGGAAGAGCGAGCCCAGAACTATGGCAGCAATCTGGACCTTCTCGATGACCGTCAGGGAGATGGCCTGCCACTGTGTGGGAGAAAGGGCTCCAAAGAGTCCCAGAAAGGGATGGAGGGCCAGGTGATGGGTGGCCCTGAAGAGCAGGGTGCTCCAGGAACCTTCCCTAAAACCTTCAGGCAGGATCAACATCTGTCTTCTCTGTGCCTTGATTAAATCTAGAATGTGGCACTTGTCTGACACCATTTGTCTTACTTTAGAAAGGCAGGATTGGGCAAGTGCTCTGAAACCAAAACATCTAGATTTGAATCCTAAATCTTGACTCCATCACTTACTGGCTAAGTAACCTTGGGTAAGTTTTCAAATCTTTGTGCATCAGTGTCCTCGTTTGTAAAAGGGGATAATAATAGTATCTAATAAGATTATTGTGAAGATTAAGAGTTAATACACACCAAAACTTGACACAGAAAACACTACATATTTGCTATCATCATCAACATCATTTTTTCTTTTCTTTTTTTTTTTTTTCCTTCGAGACGGAGTCTTGCTCTGTTGCCCAGGCTGGAGTGCAGTGGCTGTGATCTCGGCTCACTGCAACCTCTGCCTCCCGGGTTCAAGGATTCTCCCGCCTCAGCTTCGCGAGTAGCTTACAGGCACGAGCCACCACGCCTGGCTAATTTTTGTATTCTTAGTAGAGACGGGGTTTCACCATGTTGGCCAGGCTGGTCTCAAACTCTTGACCTCGTGATCCGCCCGCCTCGGCCTCCCAAAGTGCTGGGATTACAGGCGTGAGCCACCGCGCCCAGCATTTTTTTTTTCTTTTCTTTCTTTTTTCTTTTTTTTTGTGGCGGGTGGGGAGTGGTGATTGTCCCAGTGCCTAGAACAGTGCCTGGAATATAAGTGGCACCCAATAAATATCTCTGTGAATAAATTAAGGGCTTAGGAAGGATATACAGACACACGGGAGACTGTGGTAACTGGCGGGGAAGGGTGGCTTTGGGAAAAGAGTAAATGAAATAGGCTTCCTGGAGGGTCCCTGAGTCCAATAGCTAAAAGGTCCTCGCCCAATCTCCGAGTCCTCTCCTTGCACCTCACCTGCAGTGGGTTCTTGGTGCTGATCGCCAGGACCTGGTACTTGAAGTAGCAGAGCTCACAGCTCCAGGAGCCCCTCTCGCTGATCCAGCGGATGAGGCAGGGCTGATGCGTGCAGCGCACTGAGCCGTCGCAGCGGCAGGGGCTTAAGAGCTCCCCCTGGAGGAAGAGTGAGGAGGGGCCCTGTCAGCCATCACCACCCCGACCCCACTCAGCCGCGCTCCCCGACAGGGAAACCTCCTCTTCAGGTCACTTTCCCACCTTAAATAACTCAGGCCTTTCACCCAAGACAGGGCAAGAGGCTAAGTAAGGCTGCAACAGAAAAGAAGCTTCCCTTGGAGATCAAGGGAAACTTCCCATACCAAAGAGATGAAAGATGGAAAGGGATGGGGGGATTAGAGGGGAGAAGGGCTGGGTCTTCTCTTTTCCTAGAATTTGGGATGGGTAGTCTTTAAGACTTCTCAAAAGAAAGGCTTCCTCTTAGGATCTGGAGGGAGGGGAGTGTTAGAGCTTCTGAGCCATGCTTTCCTTCCCCCACCCCATCATTGTAAAGTTACTTCACAGATCTGGCGCAAACTGGGATGGGTTATGGTCCTCGGTTTCCACGTACTAAAAAGGGGAGAAATCGCGGAGGTGGGAGTGAAGGGTGTTTCCCTTTAATCATGGAATCAATTCTCACTACACAGAGACACCCCCTGGCACTATTCTGGGACAACTTTGCCCATAAAATTTTAACAAAGAATACTCTTTAGAATGAGATAGAAAGTTGCAGAATGGGAAGTGAAAAAAAGTGCCCCACGGGGAGAAATACTGAGCTAAGCAAGGGCGCTGGCTGGGCCCCTCCCTTCAAGGGGGGCACAGAAGCACTCTCCTTTCTGCCCACCTGCAAGAGAACAGGTCCCCTTAGCTTACGGAGACCCTGGGGCGAGGGAAATAGGAGAGAACAGCAGTCCCTGTTAATGGGTGAGAGGGATTTTGCGCTCTCCGGGGAGAAAGCCCCACCCCTTCCTGGGGACCCTTGACCCTCCGACACAAACAAGCGCTCCAGGAGTCCCCTGCCAGCCCCTCGGCCTCACCCCATTCCCACTCCGTGTCCTGGGGCCCGCCCAGCCTCCTTAGGCGCCGCGCCTGCTCGCGGTCTCCGCTGACACCCCAGGTGCGCGCCTCCACCCTCCGCGCCCGGCCAGGTGCCCAGGCCTGACCTGCTCCGGGCCCTGGAAGCAGATCCGGCACTGAGGGGTTCGGAGTCCGCTGTCCAGGCTACTGCTGAGCGACAGGGCGTCCAGCGCGCCCGGGGGCGGCAGCGGCGGCGCGGGCGGCGGCAGGGGTCCGGCCCGCGGCTCCTTGTCGCCGGCCAGGCCCCGGGCCCGCGGCTCCGACCCGTAGTACTCCTCCTCGTCGCCGTCGCCGTCCCGGGTGGAGCAGCCAGCGAAGGGCGCCCAGCCGCAGCCGCCTCCCCGGCCCCCCCGGGGTTGCGGCTCGGCCCGGGGCCGCCCCCCGCCTGTCAGCACCAGCAGCTTCAGCTCGTTCAGAAACATGCGGAGCCGAGACTTGAGCATCGTCCGGACACCGGGGGCGGGGGGCAGCGTGCAAGGGGGGCTCGCTAGCGGCGGGGGGAGGGGAGAGGACAAGGCCGGGAAGGGGGCGCGCGCTAGAGAGCCGAGCCGGGCCGGGGTCTTCGGGGCCTGCGACAGCCGTTCACTGCTGCCACCGCCGGGGCTCCGGTGCTTGCGGGGCCGAGCGGGCTGGCGGCCCGGGGGCGGCGGGGTGGGCGGCCATGGCCAGGGCAGGGGGCGGGGAGGGGGGCTCAGGGTGCCGCACCCCGCGGGTCTGGGTCTGGAGCGGGCCGGGCCCCCGGGGTTACGCGCCCGGGTCCTCCTGCGGCGGGGCCGCCCCCCATCGCCGTTCTCTCGGTCCCAGTCCCCCTCCGGCTCCGGGATCAGGCTTGGCTCGGCCCGTGCGCTCGGCGGTGGCAAATGGCGGCTCCTTCCGGCGGCGGCGGCGGCGGAGACCCCCCCGGAGTGGCGGGCGGGCGGGGCGGGCGCCGGGGAGCGGGTGAAGGATGGAGGGAGGGGCGGGGCGGGGAGGGGGAGAGGAGAAGGGGCCGCGGCTGCGCATCCCCGCCCTGCCCCGCACGAGCAGGTGTCCCAGGGGCGGGGGCAAGTGTGGGATCCCGAGGAGGGTGGAGGAAGGGGAGTGGCCAAGGAAGGGGAGTGTGCACACAAGTTGACTAGGTGTGTGTCTGGGAGTGGGGGATGAGCGGGTGAGCATGGAAGGTGAGTGGTTAAATGACGCAGGTGTACCAGGGAGGGTGAGGCTTGTGCAAAATGGGAATGTGCAAAGAAAGAGCTGTGCAAGTGTCGGAGGTGTGAGGGAGGTACATGGGCAGGGGTGGGACTCAAGCAATATACACTTTACCCAAAGGGCTGAAAAGTGTGATCGATGGGGACTGGGAAAGAGAGGTGTGTAAGGAATGGAATCGGATTGTCTGAGAAACAGAAGCCTGTGATTGTAATGTGTGAAGGAGGTGAGGGAGGGAGCAGGGGAGGTAGGCGTGCTAAAGGGATGGGAGTGTCTTTCCTGGTACTCTCCTGCCCTCACCTCCACTACACTGAAGTGAACAATACACACACTTACCCCTTTCCTTTTATGGAGACTTCCCTCTGAGGCCAAGTTCTACCCCCATCACATTTTTTTCTTTCTTACACTTACATTCTCCCTCTCCTCCCCTTTGCAAAGCTGAGGGAAAAGGGATTCCAGGGGAGCTCATTGGGTCAAACATACTGGGAAAAAATTTAATTAGTGAAAGAGTAATTAACAGAAGAAGGGAGGGGACAGAGCCTGGGACAGACTGCCAAATTAAGGTTCCTCAATAGAAAGTGATGGAGAGACAGTAATGTTCCCATGAAGTATTCAAATGTTTTGGATGGACTAATGAATGAATCAGAAAAAGGGGCTGGGACCCAAGCAGACAGAGAGGACGTCTTCTGTTGCAAAGACAGTAAGCTGTGAAGGTCTTATGTGGAAGGTGAGGCTGAAGTGGGGAATGCTGGTGTGGGAAGGGAGTTTGAAAAACTCACAGACAATTATCTTAGCCTTCCAGAAGGCTTACAAAGCACCCACCCCTAGCAAGGTAGCCAATAAAACATTCACCTCTTGAGCCCCTTAGTCAGTTCAGTCCTTGAGGTTTTTCTTACTAGTGTTCCAGCTGCCCTTGCCAGGAGGGGCCCAGGGCTACAAGTATCAGGATGGAAAGAGGAGGCATCTGTATTAATATGTATTCTATTTTGCTCTAAGTCATGGTTTATATTCATCTTCTAGTTTGAACTCTTATATTCTCAGCCAGATGGTTAAGGAAAACAGAAGTTAGAGTGGAAGGAGTGGCAAATAGGGTAATAAAATGGCTTTAGATTTTAGACAAATTCTCACAAATGAGACACTAACCGCTTTCCTCCTTTACTCCCATACCCCCAAAGGGCTGGGAGATAAAGACCTTGGAGCCAATAAAACAAAGTAGGAGAAATCTACTTGTGTCTACCTAGGTGTCTGGGCAGAGGCCATTTGGGAACAAGTGTGTTCTGGACAGTGCTAAGTGCTAAGAAAGCGGCACTAGGGAAAAAGAGGGAAGCACAATAACTCCAAATGAGTAGTCACAAGGTTTGCAGAAGGGGGCATGTCATTTTCATTCATTGTGGTGGTCTGGAGGGTGCAGGGGGTGTGGTGGTAACTTTCTTGCACATGTGCAATCCTGTATCCGTCTTATATATGATGTGATAAATAATATCATATACATACATATATACATAGAAGCATATATGCACACATACAAATATCACATAATCATAGAACCTTCCTACTGGAAAAAAAAAAAAAACTTAAAAGGTCAAGTATTCCTGTCTCCTGCTCATCAATAACTTCTCTGCCAGATGGCCTCAGGTCTTTGCATTAACACTCCCAGGGAGGTTTGGAAGTTGGAAAAGTGAGAGGATTACCTTGTCACTGAGCCTGTTGGATTACTGTATTAATCTGCCTTCCGTCATCCTTTAATCGTAGTTTTGCCCTCAAATGGGCATTGTTTACTCCCTATTGTAGAAGACCCCATTGTTGGCTACATCTTTATAGATAGTCGTACCACTACTTTAAAGGGCCAGTGACAGACACCAAAAACAAAATAAAAACCCACATACACACTGGAAGCAAGCACTCAGTAAAATGTTGTAGAATTAATGAATGAAACAATGACACAAATGAGAGTATGTTTTCTCATGGTGGAGCGAAAAGGTGACAGCATCACCTCTGGTACCCCAACTCCCACCCCCTCCCCAATGCAGACAGGCTGAAAGACCGGTAGTGAGACTGGAGTTCAGCCTTCAGACCGGTAGTGAGACAATCCTTCAGCCGGGAGTTGGGCTCTGGGTGGCCTAGGTTGCCATGGCACCGCCTCGGGCTCCACCCTCTCTTGTCCCCCTCACCGCTCCCCCCCTGCAGCGGGGGTTGTGGCAGCCAGTCACGTGCCCGCCGCGTAGCCACACCTCTGCTCCTCAGAGCAATGTCAAGCGGTCACGTGTGATAGCAACAGATCACGTGGCTGCCATCGCCCCTCCGCCCCCTTACACTCTTCGCCCTCCTCCCAGTCGAAGCACCTCCTGTCCGCCCCTCAGCGCATGGGTGGCGGTCACGTGCCCAGAACGTCCGGCGTTCGCCCCGCCCTCCCAGTTTCCGCGCGCCTCTTTGGCAGCTGGTCACATGGTGAGGGTGGGGGTGAGGGGGCCTCTCTAGCTTGCGGCCTGTGTCTATGGTCGGGCCCTCTGCGTCCAGCTGCTCCGGACCGAGCTCGGGTGTATGGGGCCGTAGGAACCGGCTCCGGGGCCCCGATAACGGGCCGCCCCCACAGCACCCCGGGCTGGCGTGAGGTAAGTGCAGTCCCTTCCCAGGAATGAGAACCAGTGCCCGCCCCCCTCACAGCTTTCCACGCGTTCGTTTCGCGAGCTGGTTATGGAAGGGTCGCTCAAGGGCGGGAAGTGGGGCCTTTGTGGTCATGGGAAAGTATAATTTTAGGGACTGAGGTGTAGGATCTTCGATGCAAGGCATGTGTCATGTGTGATCTTTGTGCGGGGCGCGATTGTCCCAAAGGAAAAAGCGTTTTCTATTGCAGGGCCTCACGTGGCTGGAGGGGTTGGTATTGAGTCATTGTGTTATCTCTGGGGCCGGCCCCAAGGAAGACTGGGAGCGGGGGATGGGATGCTGGTGGTGTTCTTTGCGCTTTTTTTTTGGGAGTCCCTTTGTTGCTGCAGGCTCATACCATCCTAACTCTGTAAGCGACTTTTGGTGATAGGAGTCTGTGATTGTAGGGTCTCCCTTGATCTGAGAATGGCTACCTCTCGATATGAGCCAGTGGCTGAAATTGGTGTCGGTGCCTATGGGACAGTGTACAAGGCCCGTGATCCCCACAGTGGCCACTTTGTGGCCCTCAAGAGTGTGAGAGTCCCCAATGGAGGAGGAGGTGGAGGAGGCCTTCCCATCAGCACAGTTCGTGAGGTGGCTTTACTGAGGCGACTGGAGGCTTTTGAGCATCCCAATGTTGTCCGGTGAGAAGGTGGTGGAGGGTTGGGCGTGGGGAGTAAAGGGAAAAGACAGCCTATAGGTGGGGTGTGATGATCTGTAGAGAAGTGGGGACCCTGAGGAAATAATGAGAGGCCATGTTGGGTTAAAGGGGATTGAAAAGTGAGCATTTACTCTGGTCAGGCTGATGGACGTCTGTGCCACATCCCGAACTGACCGGGAGATCAAGGTAACCCTGGTGTTTGAGCATGTAGACCAGGACCTAAGGACATATCTGGACAAGGCACCCCCACCAGGCTTGCCAGCCGAAACGATCAAGGTGAGTGGGGTTGGTAGGCATTGAGAGGTGGATTGGGACCTTTGTAGTAGAACCTTCTGGGATTTCAGGTATGGTGCCTAGTTTCCAGTGCATCTGTACCTCCCCTTTGAAACTAGGATCTGATGCGCCAGTTTCTAAGAGGCCTAGATTTCCTTCATGCCAATTGCATCGTTCACCGAGATCTGAAGCCAGAGAACATTCTGGTGACAAGTGGTGGAACAGTCAAGCTGGCTGACTTTGGCCTGGCCAGAATCTACAGCTACCAGATGGCACTTACACCCGTGGTCAGTAGAAAGATGGTACCAAAATGGGTTCTGGTTGGGAGTAGGAGAGTGATTGCCCGTAGCAATTGAGAAGTCATGTGCTTCATGTGTTCAGTCAAGCAAGTTGTGTTTCATGGTAACCCATGGGGTCCCCATCCATTCTTCCTATTCCCTTTAGGTTGTTACACTCTGGTACCGAGCTCCCGAAGTTCTTCTGCAGTCCACATATGCAACACCTGTGGACATGTGGAGTGTTGGCTGTATCTTTGCAGAGATGTTTCGTCGAAAGTATGGGACCCACATACCCTGGACTACCTTGAATTCCCCAAATCGCTTGTTCATAAACCACATCCATACCTTGCCCATTCTTTTTTTTTGAGACCAGGGCTTGCTGTGTTGCCCAGGCTGGATTGCAATGGCATGATCACAGCTCACTGCAGCTTCAACCTCCTGGGCTCAAGTGATCCTCCCATCTCAGCTTCCCAACTAGCTGACACTACAGGCACGCACCTCCATGCTTGGCTAGTTTGTTAATATTTTTATAGAGATGGGGTCTCAGTATATTGCCCAGGCTGGTCTTGAACTCTTGCACTCAAGCAATCCTCCCACCCCTACCTCCCAAAGTAGCATAAGCTACTGCATCTGGCCCCATTCTTTTACTTGCGTACTACTAACTTGCCCATAGCAGAAAGCTCTGAAATGTTCTGGAATTAGGAACTTCATATCCCTTTATTCTCTTTATTTTTTATTTATTTATTTATTTATTTATTTATTTATTTATTTATTTATTGAGATAAGGTTTCACTCTGTCACCCAGGCTGGAGTGCAGTGGCCCAATTACAGCTCACTGTAGCCTCTACCTCCTGGGCTAAAGCAATCCTCCCATCTCAGCCTCTTGAGTAGCTGAGACTACAGGTGCACGCCACCATGACTGGCTTTTTTTTTTTTTAGATGGAGTCTTGCTCTGTCGCCAGGCTGGAGTGCAGTAGTGCGATCTCTGCTCACTGCAACCTCCACCTCCCAGATTCAAGCAATTCTCTTGACTCAGCCTCCCAAGTAGCTGGGACCACAGGTGCACGCCACCATGCTCAGCTAATTTTTGTACTTTTAGTAATGACAGGGTTTCACCATGTTGGCCAGGATGGTCTCGATCTCTTGACCTCATGATCCACCCACATCAGACTCCCAAAGTGCTAGGATTACAGGCGTGAGCCGCTGCACCTGGCATTTCTTTTTTTTTAAAAAAAGAGACAAGGTCTTGCTTGCCCAGGCTGATCTAGAACTCCTGGGCTCAAGCAGTCCTCTCACCTCAGCATCCCAAAGTGCTGGAATTGTTGGCCTTTATTCCCTATACTTCCTATTTTGAGCCACTAAGCAGTAACCATTCAACTAAGATATCTTTGAAAATGACTGCTACCTTATATCCCTTCTCACCTTAGGCCTCTCTTCTGTGGAAACTCTGAAGCCGACCAGTTGGGCAAAATCTTTGAGTAAGTGACCAACATGGGAGAAAAAGATTTTCTATTCTGAGTCCTCTTTCTGCTGAACCCAGGATGGCAACTGGCTCTGCCCATGGGGATGGGAACTGGAGGACCCTCCTGACCAGAGTTCTCCTGTCCCCCACAGCCTGATTGGGCTGCCTCCAGAGGATGACTGGCCTCGAGATGTATCCCTGCCCCGTGGAGCCTTTCCCCCCAGAGGGCCCCGCCCAGTGCAGTCGGTGGTACCTGAGATGGAGGAGTCGGGAGCACAGCTGCTGCTGGTACTGGAGATGGCTGTGGGCACAGGGAAAGAAATAGAGACTGGGGAAAGAAATAGAGCAGTATGCAGGGCCCTGGCCACTGTGGTTAATGAAACTTGGTTGGTAGATGGGCTGTAGTTTTTATTACAGCTGCAAATAGCCACCCACAGAGAAGGATATAGAAGAGAACCCATCCTGGCTGGGCACGGTGGCTCACGCCTGTAATCCCAGCACTTTGGGAGGCCAAGGTGGGCGTATCACCTGAGGTCAGGAGTTCGAGACCAGCCTGGCCAACATGGTGAAACCTCGTCTCTACTAAAAGTACAAAAATAAGCCGGGGGTGGTGGCACACGCCTGTAATCTCAGCTACTTGGGAGGCTGAGATAGGAGAATCACTTCAACTCAGGAGGCGGAGGTTGCAGTGAGCTGAGATCATACCATTGCACTCCAGCCTGGGTGATAGAGCGAGACTCCGTCTCAAAAAAAAAAAAAAAGAAAAAAGAAGAAAGCTCATCCCAGGTATTGTTGTGGGTGGGCAGAAGTCTGTTTTCTTCATGGTTTTCTGACCTTTGCCTCTCCCCTCAGGAAATGCTGACTTTTAACCCACACAAGCGAATCTCTGCCTTTCGAGCTCTGCAGCACTCTTATCTACATAAGGATGAAGGTAATCCGGAGTGAGCAATGGAGTGGCTGCCATGGAAGGAAGAAAAGCTGCCATTTCCCTTCTGGACACTGAGAGGGCAATCTTTGCCTTTATCTCTGAGGCTATGGAGGGTCCTCCTCCATCTTTCTACAGAGATTACTTTGCTGCCTTAATGACATTCCCCTCCCACCTCTCCTTTTGAGGCTTCTCCTTCTCCTTCCCATTTCTCTACACTAAGGGGTATGTTCCCTCTTGTCCCTTTCCCTACCTTTATATTTGGGGTCCTTTTTTATACAGGAAAAACAAAACAAAGAAATAATGGTCTTTTTTTTTTTTTTAATGTTTCTTCCTCTGTTTGGCTTTGCCATTGTGCGATTTGGAAAAACCACTTGGAAGAAGGGACTTTCCTGCAAAACCTTAAAGACTGGTTAAATTACAGGGCCTAGGAAGTCAGTGGAGCCCCTTGACTGACAAAGCTTAGAAAGGAACTGAAATTGCTTCTTTGAATATGGATTTTAGGCGGGGCGTGGTGGCTCACGCCTATAATCCCAGCACGTTGGGAGGCCAACGCGGGTGGATCACCTGAGGTCAGGAGTTCGAGACCAGCCTGACTAACATGGTGAAACCCTGTCTCTACTAAAAATACAAAATTAGTCAGGCGTGGTGGTGCACACCTGTAATCCCAGCTACTTGGGAGACTGAGGCAGGAGGATCGCTTGAACCCGGGAGGCAGAGGTTGCGGTGAGCCGAGATCATGCCATTGCACTCCAGCCTGGGCAACAGAGCAAGACTCTGTGTCAAAAAAAAAAAAAGAATATAGATTTTTAAATGGCTTTTACTTTTATATTCGCTAAACTTTCTCAAACTGGATCCTGCTTATTACAGGAAAGAGTTCTTGGTTGTTTTCTCCTTGGCCCTATCCCTGATTTACCCTTAGAGCCACACCAGGGTATGTTGAGGTGATCCAGTATATGGACAGAGGAAGGGAAACAGCTAAGAATGACTCCAGCCCCCATCCTATGCACTCACAGAAGCTTCCCATATCCTCTTGGAGAGAGAGGAAGAAAGTTTTTCCTTTTATTCCTTATAGTCTGGCTCCCACTAAAATATGTCAAGGCATAAAGTCTTGCTATTCCATCAATTTTAGAGGATGTGACAAGGGGCCTTTCCTTTTTCTCAAACCAAAACGGTTACAGACCCTAGATATTCCCTAAGGGAGGAAGAGAAAGCTTAGAGAGAGCAGAAGAAAAGTCAGAAGGATCCAAAGTCTCATAGAAAGGCACTGGGGTTGGCTCTAGGATCCTTCTGATTCCGAAATCTCATTGCTAGCCAAACACCAAGGATCTGTAGGAACAAAGGGAGAGAGATAAGTATCAATTAATTCTCAGTCTCAAAAAGGATGTGTGTGAGGGAACTGGAGAATGTTACCTCTGTAAAGCTAAAGAAGAGTCCAACACCCCCTAGGATTTTCAGGGCTTCGTCTGAATGCTTAAGAAACTTTTCTCCACACATCTGGCATGTGGGGCTCTGGCTCTTGCAGATCTGAGGATAAAACGTGAAGAATGCAAAGTTGTGAATGTAAAGTTGCTAGTGACTAATACCTATGCCGAATGTCCCTAGAAACTTTACTGTTATCTGACCAGTGTCCTACAAACTAAAATCCTACTTGGCTAATTCCCCAGCCTCTATCCACCCCCACCTCCCACCAACACAGCCCCAATACAAGAGGGCTTGTAGAGAGAGAAACAATGACATTCAAACTAAATTTGCCAACTTGGGCATTGTCCTTACCCAGTTTCCTACCTCCCCTGGCTGCTGCACCACCCCCAACACACTCACTGCAGTGCAGAAATCATAATCTTGTTGATACAGGGTTGTGAGGTTGAATAAGCCACAACAATCAAAACTTCTTTCCAGTTCATCCCGAGTCTTGTTGCTCATGACCCACCAAGAAGCATTGATGACATCTGTCTGAAAGATATGGGTAGAGGGAAATTAAGTCTCCCTACATCCTGTTATCAGTTCAAGTGCCTCAATTTCCCTAGCCCAGCAAAGGAAGTCAAACAGAAGCATAACGGTGTGCAACAATTATAGACACGATAAATATCTACCTTTTGAGGTTCTCTAGATCATCCTCATGGAAAATTAACCAGACATCCCAGAGGAAGCAAATAGCCCAAGAGGCCAGAAGCAGTGCACCTAAGGATGATCTTTGGGTAGTTGGGGCCAGACTAAGGAAGGAGTTCGAGGTTAAGAGGAAAATTTTAAAAAGCAAGTAAGTACTTGAAAGGGTACTGTCTTACCTGTTTGCTTCGGTTAATAGCCAGACATGAGCAAGAGATTACAAATTGGAAGATGAAGACCAAACCAAGGATGATCATGTACTGAGAGGAAAGGTTATGGAAAAAAGTCCTAGATTCCTTTATGTTTCATCTATAATAACTGTCTGGTCTCATCTGTTCATAGAACTTACACCACCATGTCAAATTGAAAGCAATAAAATCAGCTCTTGTTTCGTAGATTATGGGACAGGGCAGGGCAAGGAGACGTGTCCAAGATCCCTGAGGTCCCCTACCCTTCTAACATCTTCCTTAGATGACAGCCCTCCCAAGCCCCCGGTTGCCCCCATCACTTCAGGTCAGGATACAAAGAACAGCAGGACTTGGTGGTGGTTGACAGCACCCACCAGTCCAGCCACTGCAATAAGGAGAAGGAAGACTCCCACAGCAATGACTCCGCCGATGATGTGGATGCTGGACACCAGACCCAGGCCCTTGCCCCAAGCAGCCACTCCAATGAGCAACAAGCTCACCAGCTACGAAGAAAGAGCAGGATACATCTCAACAATTCTAGCATGCGGCACAGCCCAAGGCCATACAAGAGGACTTGGGAGCGGGGCAGGGGGAAGGAATAATGGAATAGTGTGTGAATGGGAGCTGGGGATGGTGCTATCCGCACCGGGAGCATCCCTAGGCACTCCCAAAGGTTAGAATGGCTAGGATGGCGGGGAGGGGGTGGCAGGGATGGTAGTATGAATGCAAAAGATGAACCCTCAGGATCATCCTATCACTTCCAGTTTGGAAGAAACTGAGGTTCACAGGAAGGAGGTATGGAACTTACGCCCACGGCCTTCAGTTCATTCCCCCACCCTCAGACAAACCCCCTTAATCAACCGGAAGTCTCCTCTCTCCCACGGAAGTCCCCAGGAATTCCCTCGTCGCCGGAAGTTCCTGGGAATCTTCCCGGAACCCCCATACACCCCTCTCCCCACCGGAAGTACCCTAGAGATTCTCCCCACGGGGCCTTTCCGCCTTGAAGCTTCCCCCACCTCCAAAACCTCACCATGTAGACCACGTTGAGAGCGCAAAGCGCATTCTTGGAGCAGGCAAAGCCGCCACAAACCATCTCCCCAGCTCTGGGGACCCAAGTGGTCCCAAGGACTTGGGGGGAGGGTATTGGGGACCGTCTTCCAGGACCCCGACAGCTTCTGTCTCTTTAAATCGAGGCCAGCCAAACCCAATACTCTGCGCCTGCACCGTCCCTCCCCTGCCTCTGGATTGGCGAAATGCGTGGCTAATCCTGGACGTCCAAGGCCTGCATGCCAATCAACCCGCATTACGTCACCGACCCGCCTTCTGTCCCTCTCCTTTTGTTTTTTCATTGGGCGAAACTTAAAACTAGGGGCAGGGTTTCTAGAGACTCTCTTAGGGACTACAGCCTAAACTCCAAAAGCTTAGGTTGAAAGCTGAGCTTTCTGTGGTCGGAGTTAGGAGAGGGCTAATTCCCAGGGAGACGGCTCTGGAGGAACTTAGGTGAAGGGGAGACGGCGGGAGGGGCGGGTAGGGGGCCGCTCTGAGAGCTGGGCAAAAAGGGCTCCGCCCGTAGAAGGAGGGCCCTTCCCCACCCCCTTCCCCCTGTTCTGCAGTGACCTCACGATGACGCCATTGTTTTGTTATTGCGTCACGCTCGGGAACACCCAAAGGAGCCACATATTGAGCTTATTTAGCCCGGCCGCAGAGTCCGCGGGTTGGACACAGCAACACCCAGCAAATCATCACACGTTTGTGTGTCCTCTAGTACCCATGTCCTGTTCCATATCTCCTCCTAAAGGGGTGTGAATATACCAGAAATTCAGTGTGGAAATAGCGGCCTCAGGCCAGCGCATTCCTGTATGTGGCATTGCCACAAGTGCACAGAGGGGTGTGCTCAGCATTTTCAGAGTACACGCCTGATCTAGGGCTTGCAAAAAAACGGCAGGCAAGAGGAAGAGTCTCATTTACATAAATATAAGTGGAAGGAGCCTCCACCTTTTCACTTGGGGGTAGGCTGATCAACAACTTTATTATCTAGTAAGTGCTTTGACAAACCGTCCTTCTCACGGGGGTAGGGAAAGGCATAATCCTTCTCTTCCCCAGGAGAAAGAAACAGTAGGAACAAAAAAGAAAACCCTCCAATCAACTCAACAGAATGATTTAAGTTTGTGTGTACTTAGATTCTATAGACTTACTGCCACAGTCAGATTGCCACTTCCTAGCTGCGTAACCTTTGGCCAGGCACTTAGAAACTGTCTGTGCGTGTTTCCTCATCTGTAAAATGGGGATAAATAACAACACACCCTACCTCTTGGGTTGTAAGAATTAAATGAGTTAATATATGTAGAATACTTAGAACAGTACCTGGCATATAGTAAACACTCAATGTTAGTTATTACTTTTCAGGTCATTTTACAGGTTCCTGTGGGCAATTCCAACCTCAATTCCCTTATCTTTAACTACACAGTATTTATATAAACTCTTACAGAAATTAATACCAAAAAGGTATGCAGGAGAATAGATGTTTGACAGGGCGAGAGAGGTGTTTGGGTCTTGAAACAAGGTAATTAAGTTATTATCATTATTATTATTTTGAGACAGAGTCTCCCTCTGTCGCCCAGGCTGGAGTGTAGTGGCGCGATCTCAGTTCACTGCAACCTTCACCTCCCGGGTTCAAACAATTCTCCTGCCTGGCTCAGCCTCCCGAGTAGCTGGATTACAGGTGCCCGCCACCACACCCAGCTAATTTTTTTGTATTTTTAGTAGAGATGGGGTTTTGCCATGTTGGCCAGGCTGGTGGCGAACTCCTGACCTTAGGTGATCTGCCCGCCTCGGCCTCCCAAAGTGCTACGATTACAGGCGTCCGGTGGAAACAAAGTAATTAGGTCAAACTACCCGCTACCTCCTACCTCCCACCCCCTCACTCCCCACCTCCATCCCCTTCCTACCCCAAGTCCCATCTTCATTGTCTCCTTCAGTTCCTCATCTACCTTCTTTTCTTTGAGGTCCTAAATCAAGGGCAAGACAATGATATTAGAAGGGGAACTGGTTGACAAGCATTTTGGTTGTGTGGTGTAGTGAAAAGGGTATCAAAATTATAACCAATCTGGGCTTTATGTGCTTGGTAAAAAATAAAAATAAAAATGTAAAAATAAAATCAGAAGACCTAAATCCATGTCTTTGTTTCACCTCTTAATGGCTTCTCTGAGCCTTAGTTTCCTTTTATGCAAATAGGGATAAATAATCCTACTCCTCAGGGCTGTCATGAGGATAATATATATATGAAAGTATGTTGTAAACTATTAAGTGTTATAGTCATGTTAATTATTATGAAAGCGATTGGACATGGAACATGGTAGTTTTTGTCTTTTTATAGGTTACTTTCCTCCTTCATAACTGATTTTCCCCATAATCACTTGGCCTATTTATTTATTTTATTTATTTTTGACGTGGAGTTTCGCTTAGTCACCCAGGCTGGAGTGCAGTGGCGTGATCTTGGCTCACTGCAACCTCCACCTCCTGGGTTCAAGTGATTCTCCTGCCTCAGCCTCCCAAGGTGCTGGGATTACAGGCATGAGCCACCACGCCTGGCCTCACTTGGCCCTTTTAAACAGGAGGTGGCCTCAGTGGGTAGCTGCCTGAAAAAGGGTTACATCGTAAGACATAAGGATACAGGGCTCATTGGGATGTGTAGAGAGGGCAATGGGTACAAGTGTATACTAGAATGCAGGGCTGTGAGGGTAACAGACCAAATGTGCATGAATTCCTGTGAGAGTTTGAAATCCGCAGGTCATCAAGAGTTTAGGATTGCACCTCGGACCTAGCTTGCCATATTCTCCCAGAACCAACACCCATCTTAATTAGCCACCTCCCACAGGAGGCCCTGGGACACTGTTAAGATTTCTCCATCCACCTGGCTGGGAAATCATAGCAGGGACTGGCTGGCAGGGTTGATGGGCCAACACTAGAGGGGGTGGGAGGTGCAGGAGGTAGTGCTGTCCCAGGCTGTGGGTTTGAAACTCACCAGTCAGGAAGTGAGGTCGACAGACGGAAGGGCGGGCAGGGGCGGGGAGTTCTGGGCACAGCAGAAGGGGCCTTCTGAGGTTTGGGGGCTGTAGGGCCATGGGCCTCAGGGCCAGAGGTGGTTGTTAGCCTGGCAAGACAGGTCTGGGCAACATGCATGCCCAGAGGCAGTTCGTTGTAGCTGCAGTGAGAGCAGAAGTCAGACGACATGAGGTGGCCAAGCAGGCTCTAAACCGCCTCAGGAAGCTGGCAGAGAGGGTGGACGACCCCGAACTCCAGGACAGCATCCAGGCCTCATTGGACAGCATTCGAGGTAAGAGAAAGGTCAGCCCTCAACTTGGGTGTATCAGGGACTAGCAGGTGCATAGAAGGTTTAGCTGTATCATATATCAATTCCCAGTCAGCTACTTCCTAGTCCCCAAGATGGGACTCTGGGAAAGAATACATTTAGGGAGGATGGAAAAAGACATGGGAGGTATCATTCTTTCTCTTTCCCTGCTCTGATCCTTCTCCCAGGAGATCAAAATACAGGTCCCTGTTGAGCTGACCTTCTTGGCAATGAAGAAATGTGTGAGCATGGGGAAGATAGGCTGTGACAGACTCATGGTAGACTTGTTCCCTGCCTGGGGAGTCCAGAGCAGGAAGCAGTCTGGGGCAGCAGGTTCTGGGACTGGATAATGAGTTCATTCCCAGGACCCACAAAGGATCAGTGACCTCTTGTTCTCCAGCTGTAGAGAGAAACACATGCACACACATACACACACACACACACGCATGCACATTGAAGTACACCATGCAGAGAATCTCAGGCTCCCAAGCGCATACTAACTCTCACACACTATGCTCTGCAGAGCCAAAGTGCAGATAGGTCCCCAGAACTCTTCTTGGTCCCCTCTCCTCCCCTTGCTCCTGTTCCTGTCTTCCCCCCACACACCTTCCGCTCTACCTCCTTAGTGCCATTAGAGCAAGTGATGACAACACAGGGAGGAAATGCTGCCATGGCAACACCATCCGCCACATCCTCCTGCCCACCCCAGGCTTCAGTCCTGTGGTGGAGCCCTGGCAGGAACAGCTTCTCTCCATCCACAAGGCCCTACCACTGAGGAACTGGTGGAACTGGAGGTTGTTCCAGCTCGCTGTCATTCCATTCACCTCTGATGCAGCAAAGAGCTAACAAAAGCAGCCTTCTTTGCTCATGAAAGGTGTCTGGTGGAAACACTTCTTCCATCATATCCTGATCTCTTCCAGCCATTTCAGTCTTCTCCATTGTTACCTGCCTACCTGGGTGGTTGTCAAGAGATCATTCTTTCCCTCAAGGACACCTCCTGCCAGACCTCTCTGCTAGTACACCAGAGTATAACTTGGGGAAGGAACAGCTTGCTTTGGATGCCTAGTGGGACAGTCTGATGATCCCCTTCCCATTGTTCTTCGGAGGCTAGTGCCCCTCTCACCTCCTGTCCCATACCCTTTGCCAGGAACTACACCTGAAGCTTCCCCTGACAGCCTTAGTGTTTGGAAAGGCAGACCAAGGGGGAGTGGGCCATGGGGCCTCCTAGGGAGAAACTCTAAGCCCCACCCCTCTCAAAAATAATAATGATAATAATAATAAAGGAGAAGAGCGGTTTAGGCCAGGCAGAAAAGCTGTGCTTAGCTCTGGAGAGGGAGGAGGGTGAGGAGGGGTGGAGGTGGAAATCCCTGAGAAGGCTTCACTCCTCATAAGTGATTTGTTTTACTCCTTCTCTAAGAATTAGTATTCTGTTCCCATTGAACATAAAGGAAAACCGAGGCCATCAAAGGAGGGAAGTTTAAGCCAGAGCCAACAATTCTCCTTCACCCTCTCCATCAAAAAACACTACTGAAGGGTCTCCTGTCCTGGGGATGGTGTCATCTTGGTTCTGTAGGGAGGGAGGGAGAAACTGCTGAGCCCCAGGACAGAACATTGGAGGGATTGGATACAGGCCTCTGGGAGAACAAAGGGCTCCTGGCATCCTGGCTCAGCCCCCCCACCCTCAGCCCCCCACCAGGCCAAGCACGCTGCGGGCTCCTGCCTCCAAGAGCCGCCCACGGCAGCACTTATTATAGTCTCAGCTGCGTCAGGAGGGTGGGACGCCAAATCAGGGGACTGCTGTGACTCCCCAAGTCCCGGGAAGGGGTCTCCAAGGCTGCAGAGAGACCTTCCTTCGCCCATCTTACCCCACCCCCAAGGGGTCTCAACCTCTTTTCCACTTTGGCCTAACCACTTCAGGATTCTCACCTGGCTGGAGGATAGAGAGCCTTGAACTCCAAGACCCCTAGAGGGGTGGGGGACACGGAGCAGACGGTTTCCATTCACTCTGCCTGCCTCCTCTTTAATCTTCTGAAAGAATCCCACTCAGCAAACCTCAGGAGACTGAAAGGGAACCCTGAAGAGGCCGGCTCTCACTGCCTCAACTGAAGGGTCCTTATACTTGGGGAGTGAAATCCTCCACCTGTGGGTAGCCAGGTGTCAGGGCAGTGCCTCCACTAATTCAGCATCCCGCGGTTGGTCCCCTACCCACCATACACACGGATTCCTCTCTGCTTCTGCCCGCTGTTTCTGAGGCACTCTTGGAGCTACGGTTGCTATGGAGACTGGATGCATTTTGGCATGGGGGGGTATCAGTCTAAGACACATCCTTCTCCCTCCTCCTAGAGCTGGAGCCTTTGACTTACCCTGTGGCCTGGGCTCCTCCAGCACTCAGATCTCTCCCTTCTCTCCTACCCTGCTAAGTTCCATGTTTGTCCCCATCCCTGGGGAACATTTTCCAAGTTCACTTTGGGACAGTCGAGCTCAAGTCTTGGCCCCGTCAAAGTATTAAATGTGGTGGTGTGAGTGGGAAAGGGAGCTGGGTCATGAGAACGGGAACCGTCCAGGTACCTGGGGGAGACAAGAGATCCTGGGGGAAGGGATTTCAGGGCCCCCACTTTCCCACTTCATCTTCCCCAGAATTGGCAGTGACCCTGGGTTTGCTCTGTTTACCGCGGCCCCTGTCCACCCAATAGATCGATTTTCACCCTTATCCCTAAATGCCATACCTCACAATCGCGCTTCCTAACCTTGGTGCGCGAGAGGAGGGGGCTAGGTTGTTGGAGGAGGTGAGTCCAAGTCCCAGGAAATCCAGCCCAGGATTTGGGAGAGAAATCCAGCCCTGGATTTTGCACCGCCCTCGCAGACATCGGTGCTGGTGGAGAAAAGGTGGGGGGGAGATAGGGTGGGGGGGCCTGGGGGCCGCCTCCTCCTCAATGTGAGGGGAGCGCCCGGACACAGCGCGCATCCGGACCAAGCCGAGCCCAGGCGAGGCCCCCGGACTCTTCGCCCGGATCTCACGCCCCTCCCCTCCCAGACCCCAGACCCGTGGGTTCCCACCCACCTCCCGTTCCCTCTTTCCTCCCCCGCCGCCTCCTGTATCTCCATCCCCAGCATCCTCCCCGCGCCCCTGCGAATCCCCCGCACGGCCAGCCCCACTAGCTTCCCACCCTCCTCTAGACCCTCTTTCCGACCGCATCCGCGGCCCCTGTCCCTTGAGTCCCAATTCCCCGCCCCTGCCTCCCCCGCACAGGTTCGTTTCCCCTAGCCTCCGGTCCCCTTTTCTGCTCCCTTTTCCTCTCTCTCCCCCATTTGCCCCCACTACTGTCCTCCCCGCCCTCCCCCACCCATCTCAGCGCCCCCACCCAGGCCGGGGTGGACGGTCCGGCGCGCCTCCCTGGAGCAGCACCAAGGTCCCGGGGCTCCAAGAGGGTGGGGGCGCAGGGCGGGGAGCATGGGGAGGGGGCGCCCCATGTGATGGGAGGGGGGCGCAAGCGGAGGCGGCGGAGGCGGCGGCGACAGCGGAGCCGGGCCGGGGGCTCAGCGGGGTCCGGGGGCTGGGGGCAGCGAGCAGGGCGGCCCCATGGCCGGGCCCCCCTGAGGCAGTCCGGGGGAGTCCCCTCCCCTCCCCAGCTCGGGGGTCTCCGGGCCCCATGAGCCGGGGCGCGGGCGCGCTTCAGCGCCGGACAACGACCTACCTCATCTCGCTGACCCTGGTTAAGCTCGAGTCGGTGCCTCCGCCGCCGCCTTCTCCGTCTGCGGCCGCGGCCGGCGCCGCCGGTGCCAGAGGCTCCGAGACTGGGGATCCTGGCAGCCCCCGAGGCGCGGAGGAGCCGGGCAAGAAGCGGCACGAACGTCTCTTCCACCGGCAGGATGCGCTGTGGATCAGCACGAGCAGCGCGGGCACCGGGGGCGCGGAGCCCCCAGCCCTGTCCCCGGCTCCGGCCAGTCCGGCCCGCCCAGTCTCCCCCGCTCCCGGCCGCCGCCTCTCCCTCTGGGCCGTCCCTCCGGGACCCCCGCTCTCCGGGGGACTGAGCCCCGACCCCAAGCCTGGGGGCGCCCCCACCTCCTCCCGGCGCCCCCTGCTCAGCAGCCCGAGCTGGGGCGGCCCGGAGCCCGAAGGCCGGGCGGGCGGCGGCATCCCTGGCTCATCCTCTCCGCACCCTGGCACCGGCAGCCGGAGGCTCAAGGTGGCGCCTCCTCCGCCGGCTCCCAAGCCTTGCAAGACCGTGACCACGAGTGGAGCCAAAGCCGGCGGGGGCAAGGGCGCGGGTAGCCGCCTGTCATGGCCCGAAAGCGAGGGCAAGCCCAGGGTCAAGGGGTCAAAGAGCAGCGCCGGGACTGGAGCTTCGGTCTCTGCCGCCGCCACCGCCGCCGCCGCCGGGGGAGGGGGCTCTACAGCTTCGACCTCTGGTGGGGTCGGGGCTGGGGCTGGAGCCCGAGGGAAGTTGTCCCCTCGGAAAGGCAAGAGTAAGACCTTGGACAACAGTGACTTGCATCCGGGACCGCCTGCCGGCTCTCCTCCTCCGCTAACCCTCCCACCAACTCCGAGTCCAGCCACTGCTGTCACCGCTGCTTCCGCGCAGCCCCCCGGGCCTGCACCTCCAATCACTCTGGAGCCTCCAGCTCCGGGGCTGAAACGGGGCCGGGAGGGGGGCCGAGCATCCACTCGTGACCGCAAGATGCTCAAGTTTATCAGCGGCATCTTCACCAAGAGCACAGGAGGGCCTCCTGGCTCCGGGCCCCTTCCCGGACCCCCCAGCCTGTCTTCTGGCAGCGGGTCCAGGGAGCTGCTGGGCGCCGAGCTCCGCGCTTCCCCTAGTGAGTTGAGTCAGGGCTTGAGAACAGGGAGGGAAGGGTACCTGGAATGCTCAGCTTGGGGTGGAGGAGCGAGGTCCAGGAAACTAGGGAAGCTTTTCTCTGGGGTGGGCGGATGAACCAAGCTCACCCCTCTGTCAAGGATTGGGGCAAAGAATAGGAGTCCTGAAGCGGGGCGAGTAGCTACATTGTGCGACAGGAGAAAGGACTTGATTTCAGAGGGACTCAGCCTCAGAGCTTTCTGGGAAAGTAACGTCCTTGATCAGAGTGACTAGAAAATTGCTCCCAGAGAAGCCCAGGACCCCACTTCCAGCCTCAGCTGAACTCTGGGAGCATGGAAACGGGGCTTTGCCGTGTTTAGAGCGACGTTGAAGGTGAAGGGGATGAGGAAGCCTCAGTTTCCCCTGAGCACTTGGGGCAGGTGGCATGACAGTGACCTTGCAGGCAGCTTCTCGCCAGGGACTAGTCGTCCCCTGGGCTGAGAGCAGGCTAGTGATGTTTTTCGTGCGGTGAAGGCGGATTGGGCGGTACGCGAGTCCGCGGGGGCTGGAACGTGCAGAATATTTAAATGTGAAGTGAGAGGGGGCGGATAGGAAGCCTCACTTCCCCCACTGCCCACCCCCTCCCCAGAGCCGCATTGAAACCCACCCGGGGCTGACCCTGGAGTGAGTCAGGTGGGGCGGAACTGCTGCAAAGGCAATCCGTACCCCGGGAGACTTGGGAGGCGGTACGGGGAAGGTAGTGTTTTTTACGGGGGCAGGGTGTCTATTATTATTACTATTTTCCTACTGGAGGAGATAGGCAGGAGACTCTTGGTTCGGCTCACACTCCCGGGAGAGGAGGCGGGTCCGGGAGCGGAGGCGGCCCCCGGGGTTTGGCTCCGGAGCGGGTGGGAGCAGATGGCTCCGGATCCCAGAGTTCCCGCCGCAGCTGCGGCGCCCCGGGAACGTCCGGCCGGTGTCAGGCGCGGGGGCTGGACCTGGCTGGCGGAAGGAGCATCCTTTCCCCCGGGCCTGTGGCTTCTCTCGGCCAGGCGATGGAGCCCTTCCCCACAGTTCTTTTGGAGGGCGTTTGTGGGGAGGGTGTGGGAGATGGAGGCATAGGAAAATCCTAGCTCTTTCCCTTGGGCTGTGGGGAGGGGTCCAGGGCTACAGTGCCGTTGACCTTGAAGAAGGGGAGGGAAACCCCTCACCTCAGTTTCTCTCCTGTGGAATGGAGGTTGGGGAAGACACACTCTCTTCTGTGTTTCAGCACCTCCTCCCAGGGTCTGCCCTGGGAACCAGTGGGTTAGGGAGGAGCTCCTCTTCTATTCTTTTTCCAGAGGGAAGAACCTGCCACTGTCAGAGCCCTGGTCTCCCTGTCTGGGGCCAGGACCCGCGTTTGGGGATGTGCTTTAAGGGAGATGCCAACTGAAGTATTTTTGTCTTGCTAGCTCCGTTGCTAAGCAACCACTGAGCGGCAGCAACAGCTGGGGGAGAGTGGCTGGGATGGGAGGCCTGGGGACCACCCTCAAACCTGTCTGTTGCACACACCTCTCCAGTGCAGGCAGGGTTGGGGGGGGGTTGGAAAGCTGCAGAGGGAGGAGGGGTGGCTCAGTGTTGGGGGTCCTTCTGAGCCAGGAGCCTCCCCTCTTACTGCCCTTCTCCCGTTACAGAGGCTGTGATCAATAGCCAGGAATGGACTTTGAGCCGCTCCATTCCTGAACTGCGCCTGGTAGGTAACCCAGTCCCCTTGCCTATAGGGAAGGCTGACCTCCCACCCACTGCACTCTCAGCTCTCTCCCTTCACCTCTCCTTCTCTCTCTCTCTCTCTTTGGGAATAGGGAATCGTTTTCCAGTTCTCCTGAGAGTCTGCCTTCATAGCACCAACATGGGGTTTGCTACAGCCTCCTCACAAGTTTTTCCTATCTAGTCTTTATGCAGCCATCCCCTTTTTCCTGTTTGTTCATGGTCCTCCTCCAGGCTTCTCATTTCTGGTATCTGCCCTTTGGCCTTCATGTTGTACTGCCTAGAATTGGGTAAAGTTTTCCAACTAGTGCCTAGAGCTGTGACATGCTACAAACACACACACACAGAGACACACACACACAACATATCTAGTATGTTTTCTAAACAACCCAACACACAAAAAAGCTGGTACTGAATTGCTGACATTCTTCAGCTCGTGCTCCACTTTGAGCTTGGGATCATTTCTTACCACACTCATGCCCTGATCCTCCCAACTGCTCTGATCCCCCCAGCTGCTCTGATCCTCCCAACTGCTCTCTCTGGAATGACTGTCATCCAGGCCCTGTAGGGTCCTGCTTGGATGACTTATCTCTCTGGGTTTTCTGGAGTGTCCAGACCCATGCATCCTGCCTTCTCTTATATCCCACAATTTCTGCTCCACAACCTTGCCCTCAGGGTGTGCTGGGCGATGCCAGGAGTGGGAAGTCATCGCTCATCCACCGATTCCTGACTGGCTCATACCAGGTGCTGGAGAAGACAGAGAGTGAGTTCTGAAGAGCCATAGTAAGCTAACCATTGGGGTCAGGGATCCAGGAGTGAGATCAATGATTAGGCAGGTGTGGAGACCAGGGGGGAAGGATGAGGCCATAATAGCAAAAGCACTGGGAGCATGGGGAGGTTTGGTGACCTGTCACCTCTGACCTGTTACCCCTTCCAACTCTTCTGGACAGGTGAGCAGTACAAGAAAGAAATGTTGGTGGATGGACAGACACATCTGGTGCTAATCCGAGAGGAAGCTGGGGCACCTGATGCCAAGGTGAGGGTGGAGGTGGTGGGGGACAGGCTGGCTGGGGTCAGCACTGGCCAAAGGAGAGGGCTCTGGTTTCCCAGGTCTTCATCTGGATTGGGTCCAGAGGAGTAGACCTGTCTGACTTTCCATTTGCTCCCTCACTCCCCGCAAGTTCTCAGGCTGGGCAGATGCTGTGATCTTCGTCTTCAGCCTGGAGGATGAGAACAGTTTCCAGGCTGTGAGCCGTCTCCATGGGCAGCTGAGTTCCCTTCGCGGGGAGGGACGAGGAGGCCTGGCCTTGGCACTGGTGGGGACACAAGGTAAGGAGGGGTTAGGAAAGCACTGCTTTCAAGGGAGGCCCTAAGGAGGCTACTGGGATATTGCCCAACATGGGTGAGAACTTGGTAAGGTGTGGAAATGGCCACTTGGATTATAGTACCCTTCTGGAGGGAGCCTGGTCTCCAAATAAGGGAGTCATGAAACCAAACAATAACTTCCCAAGGTCTGAGCAGAGAAAAGGGGATCTCCAGGGAGGAAAGGACAGCTATAGTAGCCATCTCCTTGCCTCTCCTGAAATGTCACCTACCTTGTGTTCTGACACTGCCATTTCCTAGTGCCACCATCCTAGGACACAGAAAATCTCAAGTCCTAGGGTGGATAGGAAACCTTTTCCATCTTCCTTTTTGCGACAGCTGGGTAAGGCTGACACCTTTTAAAGGAACTTATCCAAAAACAAAGTGAAAACACAAAGGAAATGATGATGAAAAGAAGAGAGCAGAAAACCTTTTAGTTCTCAGAGAAGTGACTCAGAGGCTCCCAGACTCTGCCAGGGCCAGGAAATGCTTTTCCAGCACTCCCCTGTGTCGAGCTGGTGGGACTTGGTCTGGATGCCTGTTCTGCTGGTGCCTATCTCCACCTGTTGCTTGCATCCTGGTTTCTTGCTGCAGAGTGGGCAGTCCAGCCATGACCCATGGGCACCCAACCTTTTCCTAGTTCACAAGCTGGTGTCCTCCCACCAGTTCAGGGTTCTATGGATTTGCAGGGCAGGGTGATTGTCGCTCGCGCCTGGGTCTCAGCTATGTAGACCTTGTCAGGAAGCACCACTCAGCAGCTCTGGAGTATTCCTTGAGGACACACACACACACACACACACACACACAGCTCACCCAGCTAGGTGTGTGAACTGGGCCCAGTACTCAGAAAGGGCTTATGTACTCCCATTCCACCTGGTCACAGAAAAGATGATCTCTCACACCCCATCCCCAGTGGACCCAGCCTGAGGGCCCAGTGCAAGGATAAGGGAATTGTGAAAAATCGAACAAGGTGGGGCTCCTTGTTCAATCCTGCCCCTTTCCTGTCCCCTCAGACAGGATCAGTGCTTCCTCCCCTCGGGTGGTGGGAGATGCTCGTGCCAGAGCTCTGTGCGCGGACATGAAACGCTGCAGCTACTATGAGACTTGTGCAACCTATGGGCTCAATGTGGATCGGGTCTTCCAGGAGGGTGAGTGTAGTGATCTCCAGCATATGTGGGAAGCCAGAGCAAGGGGCCTGGGATATTCTCAGTGGTCAGGCATCCAGGCCTCTCTCTGTGAGTGACAGGAAATTAGCCTTTGTGGGAGGGAGGAGAGATCAGGGAGGCCAGAGAAGGTTTGCTTAATAGTCGCAAGGTCTTTCTGGGCTGGAGGAGCTGGCAAGGCCACAGGTGGCATGGAGGCCACAGTGACAAGGAAGTTGGGTCCTGTGTTGTCTACTGGGGATTTCTCAAAGCTGGGCATGGAAGGGTGGTCTTGGGTATCTGGCCTGCTCACACCTCCTTCCGTCAACTCCCCTCAGTGGCCCAGAAGGTGGTGACCTTGCGCAAGCAGCAACAGCTTCTGGCTGCCTGCAAGTCCCTGCCCAGCTCCCCAAGCCACTCAGCTGCATCCACTCCGGTAGCTGGCCAGGTGAGTTGGGGTTTCAGAGTCTGCAGAGGGGCCGGTAAGATGCAGAGGGGCTGGGGATCCTAGGACAGGTACAGAGTACCCAAGGAGGTTCAGGGAGTGGGGAAACAGATGGAAATGGCAGTGAAACTATTGGCAGAAAGTGCATTGGACTGGAAATCAACCAGATTTGAGACATCATTTGCAGTGTCCTTAAGCAACTCACCTAACCTCCCAAGGCTATCAGGAAGATTGTATGACACAATACTTGTGAATCAACCTTTACAACATTTAAAGCATTGTCACAATGTTAGTGAGGATTTTAAAAATTATTAATGACAACATAAATAAATGGTGAGGTGATCAAGGAATGTCTCAAATTCCCCATAACGAGATATGAGTGTAGCTTGGTGGAGTAGGGGGCATCTCAGCTCTGCTGACTCTTCCATATGTGCCCAGGCTAGTAACGGGGGCCACACTAGCGACTACTCTTCTTCCCTCCCGTCCTCACCGAATGTTGGTCACCGGGAGCTCCGAGCCGAGGCAGCTGCAGTGGCTGGATTGAGCACCCCAGGGTCCCTGCACCGGGCAGCCAAGCGCAGGACCAGCCTTTTTGCGGTATTGGACATGGACATGCTGACCCCCATCCTCCTGTCCCCCATGACCTGCCCATCTTCCCTAGTCCCTAGACTCCTCTGTTGGGCCCTTCTTCATCTATCTTCCCTATCGTCACATCAGTGTATCCCTCTATCCATCCTCAAACTGATTCCAATAACCATTCCAGAATCGTCGGGGTAGTGACTCCGAGAAACGAAGCTTGGATAGTCGGGGAGAGACAACAGGGAGTGGGCGAGCCATCCCCATCAAACAGGTGAGTGATCCAGGGGCTGGGACAGGCTAGGGGCAGCTGGTCTTAGTTGGCTTTTTTCCCACATGTGTCTTTCCCCTTTCTCCAGAGCTTCCTACTAAAACGAAGTGGCAATTCCTTGAACAAAGAATGGAAGAAGAAATATGTAACCCTGTCCAGTAATGGCTTTCTACTCTACCACCCCAGTATTAACGTGAGTGGCAGAGACTGGGCCACATTGGCCAGCTTTGGATTTCCCTCAAGTTCTACCTGTCTATGCCTCTGACAAAGCACTAACCTCATTTCTAGGAAGTGCTAGTCCTCTTCTCTTAAGTTTAGCAGGCATGTGTTAAGAGCCCACCATGTGCCCATGCCAGGAATGTAAAGGTAAATACATTGCCCCAGGAACTTGCAGTCTAGTGGGAGAGCACCCAGGAAGGGAACGCTTTCTGGAGGAGACAATTGCTGGGCCAAGTCTGATGGGCCCATCCCCTAGATGTTCATCACAACCCATTTGGCCCCCAAGACCCCTCCCCAGTCCCTCTCTATTCTGTACCATGTTGACTGCTTCCCAGCATACCAAGGACCCCAACCTTCCCTACACTCTCGGCCCTGTACCCCTCCAGGATTACATCCACAGTACCCACGGCAAGGAGATGGACTTGCTGCGAACAACAGTCAAAGTCCCGGGCAAGCGGCCCCCGAGGGCCATCTCTGCCTTTGGCCCCTCAGCCAGCATTAACGGGCTCGTCAAGGACATGAGCACTGTCCAGATGGGTGAAGGCCTGGGTGAGTAAGGTTTATGACATAGGAGCAGAAGAGGGGCCAGGGCTGGGGAAAAAGAGGGGTAAGAGGGAAGAGGGGGCTGGCACTGGGCGAGTAGGAAGCTGGGTGATAAAGAGGGACCACATAAGGAATGGGGCCAGAAGAAAGAGGCTCACTGAGGTTTCATCTTCTTCCGACAGAAGCCACTACTCCCATGCCAAGCCCTAGCCCCAGCCCCAGTTCCCTGCAGCCACCACCAGATCAGACATCCAAACACCTGCTGAAGCCAGACCGGAATTTGGCCCGAGCCCTCAGCACGGGTCAGTGGGGATGACCTTCCATCTGCTGTCTTCCACACCCAAATAGGATGAGTGTGGGAAATGAATATGGGGTGAAGGCTTGGAGGCTGGAATAAATGCATGAGTGAACACATGGAGCCCCACACATGAATAAGTTCAATCATACCATGTCTATCATAATGGTTAAGACAAGTGGACTCTAACGTCAACTGCCTGAGCTTGAATCCTGGCTTGCCACATGGGCAAGTTACTTGACCTCTCCGTGCCTCAGTTTCCTCATCTGTAACATGGAGATAATAGTTTCTACCTCAGAGGGTTGCTTTGAGGTTTAAACAAACTGAGAATATTGTCTAGTACATAGTCAGCCATGTTTGACATGTTTGAAAAAAAATATATATATATAGTATGCAAATAACATTGTAAACAAATGATCCTTACAACAGTTTTGTCAGGTCAAGATTATTACCCCTATTTCAGAGATAAAGAAACTGAGGCTCAGAAGATTAAGTGCCTTGCTCAAGGTCTTAAGGCCAGTAAGTGGCAGAACCAGGATCTGAGTGCAGGACTGACTCTAAACCTCTCATCTCCCTGCATCCCCAGGAATGATCAAGGGGGAACTCCTGGAGAGGGACAGTTGAGGAGGGGAGCCCTAAAATGCCAAAGCTAGTTCAGGGAATGAGACAGGCTATCAAGAAATCAGGAAATCTGTGGAGGGGGCTACTGAGGCAGCTGTGTCTTCCTCCCTAAGACTGTACCCCATCTGGAGACCTGAGCCCCCTGAGTCGGGAACCCCCTCCTTCTCCCATGGTGAAGAAGCAGAGGAGGAAAAAATTGACAACACCATCCAAGACTGAAGGCTCGGCTGGGCAGGCTGAAGGTGAGGCTCTGGCAGGCACTTCCACTCCCACCCAGAACCCTCATCCCCAACATCAGCTCCCTGGCCTAACTCCTGCAGCAGGAGGAAAAGTGCCTGAGCTGAGTGCTTGACTACCATTACCACTGCACACAACTTAGTGAAAGAGTGGATGGACATCCCCCAGCCCCTGTCCTTCTTTCCTTGTTCCCCAGCTAATTCCTTTCCCCAGCCCCTGTTCTCAACGATGTCCATGTCTATAGCTCCTGCTCCCTCTCCTAATGACGTTCTAGTTCCTCTTCCTTCCCTCAACTCCACTTACCACCCCAGCCCCTGCACCCGGCAGCCCCGCTGATCCCCAGTGATTCAGCCCCTTATCTCAGCATCTCCCACTGATTCCCCAGATCCTGGATTCTGTGACCACCCAGCCCCTTCTCCCAATAACTTTCTTTCTTTTTTTTTTCTTTTCTTTTTTTTTTTTTTTTTTGAGATGGAGTCTCACTCTGTCACCCAGGCTGGAGTACAGTGGTGCGATCTCGGCTCACTGCAAGCTCTGCCTCCCGGGTTCACACCATTCTCCTGCCTCAGCCTTCCAAGTAGCTGGGACTACAGGCACTTGCCACCATGCCCGGCTAATTTTTTGTATTTTTTAGTAGAGACTGGGTTTCACTGTGTTAGCCAGGATGGTCTTGATCTCCTGACCTCGTGATCTGCCCGCCTCGGCCTCCCAAAGTGCTGGGATTACAGGCGGTGGGGATTACAGGCATGAGTCACCGTGCCCGGCCTTCTCCCGATAACTTTCTATTGCCAAGTGCTCCCCAACAGCCCTTGACCATAGTGATCCCCATTCTTGTCCCTCAGTGATTCCCCGCACCCCCACCGCCACCAGCCCCAGGGCCCTCTCATCTCAGCCCTGCGCCCCAGCTTCTGTCCCCTTCCCCCGTGTTCACTCAGATCCTGACCCTCCCTTCTTCTCCCAGAGGTCCAGCTCCTCGCTGGTCTTGATAACCCATCCCTGCTGCCCCTGCTCTCTGCCGGGTGCTCAGACCCAGGTTCCAGATCTGCCTACTCTCATGGCTCTTGGCTTCTGTTCCACTCTGCTCCGGGGCCACTGACTTTAGTTCTGCTTTCTCTCCCCATCTGTCTGTCCTGCTTTGTCTCTGGCACTCTGTCACTATCTCTCTCCATCTCTCCATCTACCTGTCTTTTTCTCCTTCTTTCTTGGTCTCTCTTTCTCTGTTCTGCTCTCCATTCTATCTCTATCTCCTTCGCTTCGGGAAACCAGCCAAGCGCAAAATGTGGAAACTAAAATCCTTTGGTAGTTTAAGAAATATTTATAAAGCAGGTAACAAGTGGGGAGCCGGGAGGGGCGCTCAGCTGGGGTGCAGAAGGGTGGGGGTGCCCCCGCCTTCCCCTGCATGTGCTCGGGCTTCCTGCTGCCCCCCACCCTCTGCTTTCCCTACCCCCACTGCCCCACTCCCAGGGGCTCGGGATGGACATCAGGGAGGACGGTCTTGGGAAAGGCAGCCCCTGCTTGAACTCTGTCCCTTAATGACCCCATCCCATCCCCCACTCAGAGGAAAACTTTGAGTTCCTGATCGTGTCCAGCACGGGTCAGACGTGGCACTTTGAGGCAGCCAGTTTTGAGGAGCGGGATGCCTGGGTCCAGGCCATCGAGAGTCAGATCCTAGCCAGTCTGCAATGCTGTGAGAGCAGCAAGGTCAAGGTAAGAGTTTGAGGTGGAGTGGAGGACTGGCCGCAGGAACTGACCCTGGTGCTGACGGCCATTGGCAACGACACGGCCGAAGTCGTGTGAGAGGAGAGCAGAGGTGTCTGAGAAGGAGGTGGGGCTTGGAGGCAGAGTCAGTGCCAACCCAAACCCTCTCTGCAGCTGCGCACAGACAGCCAAAGCGAGGCCGTGGCCATCCAGGCGATCCGGAACGCCAAGGGGAATTCAATCTGCGTGGACTGCGGGGCCCCCAGTGAGTGCCAGGAGGCAGCGGAGGGGCTAGGGAGTGTAGTGAATGCCGGGGTGCCTGTGCTGCCCGGCTGGGAGCCGACCTCTACGCTCCTTCCGCAGACCCCACGTGGGCCAGCTTGAACCTGGGCGCCCTCATCTGCATCGAGTGTTCTGGCATCCACCGCAACCTGGGCACACACCTGTCCCGCGTTCGCTCGCTGGACTTGGACGACTGGCCACGGGAGCTGACCCTGGTGCTGACGGCTATTGGCAACGACACGGCCAACCGCGTGTGGGAAAGCGACACGCGAGGCCGTGCCAAGCCCTCGCGGGACTCTTCGCGGTAAGCGTGAGGGAACAGAGCGGGGGGAGGGTTGCTGAGGGTGTGCGAACCTGAGACGGTCCCGTGGGTAGGGGCAGAAGTCCTGGCTGGGGGTCCCTAGAGCCTTTTCCGTTGATCCCTGGTCTTGCAGGGAGGAGCGCGAGTCGTGGATTCGCGCCAAGTACGAGCAGCTACTGTTCCTGGCGCCGCTGAGCACCTCGGAGGAGCCGCTGGGCCGCCAGCTGTGGGCCGCCGTGCAGGCCCAGGACGTGGCTACCGTTCTCCTGCTTTTGGCCCATGCGCGACACGGGCCGCTCGACACCAGCGTAGAGGACCCACAGCTGCGCTCCCCACTCCACCTGGCGGCCGAGCTCGCCCACGTCGTCATCACGCAACTGCTGCTGTGGGTACGTGAGCTGGGGGGAGGAAAGGGGGTCTTTGAGGCTTCATCTCGGAAAACGCCTGGCGCGGGAAAGCCCGAAATTCCCAGAGGGACCCCGGAAGTAGGCTTGGCCATGTGGGGGAGGCGGCGCCGGGTGTGGGCGCCCTGGGGACGCGCGGTCACGCGGCCGTTTCCGCCCTCTAGTACGGCGCGGACGTGGCGGCCCGTGACGCCCAGGGCCGCACGGCGCTGTTCTACGCCCGCCAGGCTGGAAGCCAGCTGTGCGCCGACATCCTTCTCCAGCACGGCTGCCCGGGTGAGGGCGGCAGCGCGGCCACCACGCCCAGCGCGGCCACCACGCCCAGCATCACCGCCACGCCCAGCCCCCGCCGCCGGAGCAGCGCCGCTAGCGTGGGCCGCGCCGACGCCCCGGTTGCGCTGGTATAGTTGCCCAGCGGGAGAGACACCCCCATCCCCACGCGGGCCGGGCACGACCACACCGGGCGGACCGCTGGACAGACGCACCCACTCACCTCTCCGATCCGCACCCCGCCCCACGGGAGCACTTCCTACCCCCACGAGGGCACAGCCCCCACGCCTTCCAGAAGACACAAACTCACCTCCCTCTCCCCAACGAGGCATGGAGACCCCAGCTCAACACGCCCCCTCTCCATTGTTTCCACACTCGGATTGCTCTGGGTCTACCCGCTCGGGGTTCGCGGAAGGGGAGGTCCCCAGCGGTACGGGCTCCTAGGCGCTTGGACATGCCCGCTTGTGCCCCCTAGGGGCGGAAAGAAGACCCGGTCCTGCCCGAGCTCAACAATCCCAGGGCGGGAGCCCATACCCAGGCTGGCTCCTGGGGCGACGCCACGCCAGAGGGAGGGTTTAGTACATGGGAGGGCTAGCCCCGGGACTTGGGGCCAATACGGAAACCCTACCCCTTCCATGCTCATCTCACTGCCCAGTGAAGGGGGCAAGGGCAGCGAGGGGCAGGACCCCTGCTGCTCATGGGGGTGGGGGTTCCCAACCCTTTCCGTGAAAGGGACCGTGAGTAGTGGAAACCAGGACGTCCCCTACACCTACCCATGGGTGGAAGCTAAAGAGTCCGGGGGGAACCAAGAGCCTGGGTCCCTCCCACTACTATCTTGGGAGGGAGAAGGGATGGAGCAGGAGCGGGCTAAGAGGGCTGCGGGGGCCTTGTAATTTATTGCTTTGTTCCCCAACATGGGGATGGGGGCGGGCAGGGGCGTGGGGAGGGCGTTTTGGGGTAGGGGAAGCCCAGGGTGGGCAGGGGGTGGGTTGGGGTGGGGGTGCTCTCGGGTTGTGTCTGTGACCGTGACTGCGTACCTGTGACTGTGCAGCGCCCGTGGTGATCTGGGGTAGGGGGCACCCCTACAGTGGGACCCCTCCCCCATTATTCTTTCTGTCCAGCCCCTCCCTCCCACTGGAGCAGCTCCAGAGCCATTCCTCACCCCCGTGACCTCTCCCAGCCAGGGCTGAGAGGATTCGAGGTGGCTGGGAGGGTTTCCAGGCCCCCTGCCCCTTCCCCACAAACTGGGTGATAGGGCGGACTTACCTGGCCCAGCCCTGCCTCCCTCAGCCAACCCAGCCCTTGGGCTGTCTGTGTCAGTGGTTTCCGGTCTTTTTTTTTTTTTTTTTTTCTGGCTAAAATAGTTTGCAAAGGACCAGGTAATTGGGGAGGGGAGAGAGGTGGGGGCAAGGGGGAAATGCCCCCCCATCTCCTTGGAGGCAGTGGTGTGAATCTTCTTCAACAGCAATTAAAGAGGAAGTGATTTTGTCTAGGGGGTGAGCTGCTGGTCTGTTCTTGGAGGCAGGTCAGGGCATGGCCTTGGTCAAGATGGGGTACTGGGGTTGGACAGGGACAGGCAGAGGTGCCTCCCACTGGGGCTGGTGGCAGGACAGTACCCATGGGCATGGAGGTGGTTCCATCATGTACAACAGTTCTGGGTTCATGTAGTGGAGGACGTGGGCAGGTTGGAGTCAGTGGGGACCCTGGGAACAGAGAAGGCACTGACTCTTAAGATGATGCCAGTCCTGGGAGAGTTGGGATATGGTACTTAGAGGAGAGGACAGGCCCATGGAGAGGGGTGGGAAGATGGGACAGCTTTGTTTAAGAGCAGGAACTTTGGAGACAGATCTGATTTTGAAACCTGCCCCTCCACTGCACAGCTAGGGGACCTTGGTGGCATCTGTTTATCTGTATTCTGAACAGTATCTGTTCAGAGGGCACCTGAAAGGCGCTCCAGCTCTGAGGAGGGCTGCCCCGAGCCAGCCTGCTCACCGTGAGCACTAGGTACCAGAGTAGAACATAGAGTAGGGGTTCCTCCCCTGGCCTCGTCAGGGGGTGTTCCAGAGGGAAGGGGTGGGAGACCTCCTGGGAAAGATTTCCCAGCTAGCTGCAGAGGTCCCTGGTGTCCACAAACTCAGTGTCAGCTGATGCAGGCATTTATCCACCTCCGTGCCATCAAAGGGACCACCAAGGCCACAGCGGCCTGAAGCCGGTGCTGCCTCCATGAGCTGCAGTGCCACTAGGCTCAGCACATAGCCAATCCTACCATTTCTCGAGGGCAGCTGAAAGTGTTTACTCAGGTAGAGGGGCTGGACAGGGTAGGGTTGGGTCAGCAGCCAGTGCAGGTTGGGCACAGCCATATGTTGTTATCTACCTTGAGGAGTTAGTTGGTAGCACCAGCATCTTTGGGTAGAATTGCTTCTGACCCTTGGTGCCCACCAGCCCCAAGAGGTTCAGCTGCAAGTGTGCCACTGAACTGAGGACACAGCACCAGACCTGAATCCAGTTCACATGGAGGCTGCGGCTCTACAGGGTCCTAGGCTGTGACCACCCAGCACAGCGGCGTGACCCAGGAAAGGTGGATTCAACAGTGCAGGTGCAGTGACAAGTACAGAGGCAGGTGTGTGGTCTGGGCAAAGCGACAAGAGGGGGGAGGTAGCAAAGAAGATTGGACTAGAGGACCTGGCCGTTCCCCCTTCACCTCCAAGACCCTGGACTCTCTTATTTCAGCTCCACTCCTTCCTCGTGGCCAAAGTTTGCTCCCTTCTTCAGAAGTTTGGGAGTGTGAGAGAATATGGGAAGGAAATAAGGACCCTGGAGAGAATGAAATTGCCTTCAAAGAGCAAGTGGGAAGTTCCTTTCATTTCCAGCCAGTGAAAAATGGTCAAGGTGTCAGCAAACCTCACAACAAATCCCAACACCAAGTAATCCACTTGCCTCTTGTCTTAATGGGGAGTGTCTTTGGTCTTGCGGGGGAGATGTAAAGGGTGGTAGTGGATGGAATGACAAAATATCAAGCCCTCCAGGTTATGACAAAATAGGAGCCCAGAAGGGGACTCCCTGGGTGGGTGAAGGAGAGCTGCTGCCCCTTTGTGCCCATGCCCCCTTCACAGCTCACCCTGGGCTGCCTTGCTTGGATGCCCTGCCATGCAGGATGCCCTATTGCCATCCGCCAGCCCTCCCTGCAGCCCTGCTGGCTGCCATCTGCCACACCCTGCTCCCCTCCTTTTGTTTGTCTTAGCACAGCTGGGGCAGACCGACCTTCACCATGGGAGTGCTGCCGCCAAAAGCCAAAGGAAAGGAAAAAGGAATTTCGATTGAAAGTACAAAATGATTAACAGAGTGAGATTTCCAGAACTCTGCTTTCTGGTGATGCTGAGACTCCATCCCCAGCAAATCAAAGCACAGCCCTCCTGCCCCAGCCCCTTCCCATTCTGAGCTTCTGATCAGCTTTGGGGACTCCTTCTGAGACTCTTGCCTCCAAGTAACCCAGTCTTTTCAGAACTCAGGAGTTGGCTTATAATAGAAAGCTAGTGAGCACTTACTTGGGGCCAGGTTCTGTGCTAAAAGCACGACATACACTCTATCTCATTCAATCCTCGCAACCATCTTAAAAAGCCAGTACTGTTGTCCACAATTTACCAATGAGGAAACAGCATTTAGAAAGTTAAGTGACTTGTTCAAGGGTCCGCTGGTGGGAGATGAGGGGTGCGGTCTGGGAGCTGCATTCTGACTACTGCTGCCCTCAAGGCAGTGTCTAAGCTCTTGTCCAGCTGGAGCATCCCTCCCTCAGGGGGCGCAGATGGACCAGAGGAAGCAGGGTTTTCTGAGTCTACCTATTTACACTTCAAAACAAAACAACGTAAGCATAGCATGCACAGTAAGCACTAGTCCACGTTCAGCAAGAGCTTCCTTCAACAGTTGAATCCTTCACTCTCCATTTATAGACACATGGGAGTTCTGGGCCCTCTATCCTTTTTTTTTTTTTTTTTTTTTTATTTGAGACAGTCTCACTCTGTCGCCCAGGTTGGAGTGCAGTGGTGTGATCTCAGCTCACCACAACCTCCGCCTCCCAGGTTCAAGCGATTCTCCTGCTCAGCCTCCCGTGTAGCTGGGATTATGGGCGTGCGCCACCACACTCGGCTAATTTTTTGTATTTTTAGTAGAGATGGGGTTTCACGATGTTGGCCAGGCTGGTCTCGAACTCCTGGCCTCAAGTGATCCGCCCGCCTCAGCCTCCCAAAGTACTGGGATTACAGGGGTGAGCCACTGCTCCCGGCCCCTCTATCCCTTTTCTTATCCTGTGAGCCCGGGGGCAGCCTTCAGCAGAAAGGCCGTTCACCTCAGAGACCAGAGCAGAGGACTCTACCTGAGTCCTCTGCACTCAAAATTAGCAGAGCATGGTGGTGTGTGCCTGTAATTCCAGTCACTGGGAGGCTGAGGCAGAATTGCTTGAACCTGGGAGGCAGAAGTTGCAGTGAGCTGAGATCAGGCCACTGCACTCCAGCCTGGGCAACAGAGTGAGACTCTTGTCTCGAAACAAAACAAACAAAATCAGAGTCCTCTGCACTGGGAGGAGGCATGTGGGGGGACCCATGCCTGCACTTGGTAGTGAAGAAGAAAGGGAGACACCAGGCCCATGTACCCTTGGGCATACTAAGAAACTGGCATGTGTGGGCAGCAGCCCTCTCTCTGCGCATGCCCAAAGGTGGAGGTCTTTTTGGAAAATGTTGAAAGGACAGGTGGGTAGGGGTGTGGATGACAAATGGAATCTGGAGCATGATATGGGAGAGACCACAGCAGAAGGAAGATCCCCGCCGGGGGGAGCTCCATGGTGTGCATTTTGGCTTTCAGGGTATAAAGGGGGAAACAATAGGGAAAGACTTGGTGCAAAAGGGAAGGAACAGAAACAGACAGATGAGAAAAGGAAGATGACAGCATTGCAAGTGTTTCTTTCAATCCTTGCCAGGCCAGGCTTTGTTTAGCTACCCTGGTCTCTTCCTGCATACCCCAGCCCCCGTTTATAGTACCTGGGGAATGGGGAGCAAAGAACAGGATCAGAGCATGATCTGAAAAGAACACTGAGCCTTCTCCCTGCTGGAACCCCCACCCCACAAAAAAGGTTGATGGATTGATGGTCCAGTTGTTTATTTAGAAACCTGATTGTTCAAGAACATGGTGGGTGCTTCACACCTTTTTCACTGGGATTGTGCTGGAGGTGATAGGCAGCATTCTACCATTTCCTCAGCAACAGAGGTGAAGGCTCCTCAACTCAGAAGCACAAATTGTAGGGGACAGGGTGGGCAGGGAAAGGGAGAAGGAAATCCCAAGGCAATTCAATAGAAGAGGGTAAAACGACTCCAAACATCACTAAGGGCAGGTGGGGGCCTGCTTGCTCAGTGCCTGCTAAGTGTCCTGCCCTCCTTGCTCTCTCTACCCACCTCCACTCAAAAGATCCTACTGAATCTCCAGGTAGGCAGCAGGGAATATCCTATCATTAGGGGACAATAACAGGAAAAGCCACAGAGGAGAGGAAGAGGATTGAGTGAGAGTTCAGGAGAGCAAATATCACAGGCCCGGTGAGGTCTCAAGGTGGCTGCCAGCAGGGGCAGCAGCATTCACCCAGGGCCCCCACACCCACAGAGTTGCCCGAGAGGTCCACAGCTCAGCTCCACTCTGCTGTTTGGCCCTCAGGGGTTCCAGGGTGGGGAGGTGGGGAGGAGGCAAGCCAGTCCAGGAAGAGTCTGGATTCCGTGAAGGGTCAAGTGTAGTGTTGGTCTCAGAAGTCAAATTCGTCCAGGTCCCCTGTGCCCTCCCCACCTGGAGAGCCCCACACCCGGCGGTAATTGCTCTCCAGCTCTTTCTGCCGCTGGCGTTCCTTCTGGGCCTCTTCAGCTCCCGGCACCTGGTGGGAGAGGGTAGAGGTGGGCTGGAGCTACTGGCCGTTGAGCCCAGGGAAGTCCTGGGCCAGGCAGCTGGGGGAAGGCAGGGAATGAGGACACCCATGTCCTGAGGGGCTCTTCCTGCATGGCAGCACTCTGAGCCACTGGAACCCCAGCCTTGTCTTACAGATCAGGAAATGGAAGCTCAGCAATGGCGTGGCTGGGGCAAGCCCGCACCTCCACTCCAGGAGGGCTGGGGGCCAGGACTCGGGGGTAGAAGCCTCTTACCAAGATATTGAAGAAGATCTCCTTGAGGTTTCTCGTGTCCTCATCAGTCAGCCAACGTGCACCCTCTTCAGTCCCTTCAGCCCATGGGCGGACAATTTTGATCTCAATTTTCCCTGGAAAGGAGCAGTATGCAGTGAGAGGAGAGGATGGTTGGGAGCCTCAGGGCAGGCCCCCTGCCCCACTGGTCCCAGCCCCTCCACTTCCGGCAGCTTGCCCTTCCGACAGCACTGGGTCCAGCCGCCCTCCAGGGCCCACCTGCAGCTGTGAGTCCCTCCCTCTCCAGCAGCTCCTTCACCAGCCCCTCGATTTGTTTCAGCTGTGGGTTTTCCCGTTTCATCTCGAGGACAGTCAGATCCTGATTAGGGCCTCCGAGACGGAGCTTGGTGACCCGGACCCGGACTCTGTGCTCAGGATCCTCCTCTTAGAGGGGGAGACACACAGGGAAACACAAAGCAGAGGCGTGACTCCAGGGTTAGGGGTGTGGGGGTCATCTCCCCCTAAAACATCAGTTGGCTTTGGCAGCTCTTCCATCTCAACATGTATATGAGCCAGGGCTCAAAAAAATGTGTGCCCCGCCCCTCCCAGTTCAGCCTGTAGAGCTCCCTCCACCAATTGCAGCCTTCCATCTTCCCGCCCTACCCAATAATTCTGCCCGTCACCTATAGGAAAACAAATGTTTTCTAAAGCCAAAATCAGGCCACCTGCACCAACAAAGTTCTGTTTGAAGAAGCAGGTTGGAAAAGTGTGGTCTCCTCCTCCATATGTTGGGACTTTAAAGACATTTCAATGTTTATAGAGAGAGTGGGAATGGAAGGTTTGAAACTGGAACATTCCATTTAGAATATCTGATGTCCACACCCATAGGACACTATGAAATGGACACAAGGGGATACAAGAAGAAGAAATAATTTAAAGTCTATCCAAGCTATTGGCTCATGTGCAGCTGGGCTCTCCTATTCATGCCCTGACAGCTGGGGCCTCTCTTGGTGCAAAGTCCTAAAGTGGTTTTCAGCATATAGACTCACAAGCATTCAATTACTAGCTACTGATCATCCATTGTGTGCCAGGCAGAGTGCTAGGCACTGGGTGTACAGGAGCAAACCAGAAAACCAGCAGATATGCTCTAAAAGCTGCTTCCCAGAGGGATGAATAGGAGGTAAACACGCAAAGGGATGATGGTGTTGGGAAGCAGGCGCAAGTGAGGACAGTGTTCCAGAAAGTGGGGAGAGAATGAGCACCCTCAGAAGGGAAGGAACAGGGTCCCCTCTGGGAACAGAACCAGCTGAGGGATGAAAACAACAGACTGGGCTACTCTTTCTTGTCTGACTGCTCTCACCTGTAGGTTGGGGTGATGGGGGAGGCTTTTTGGGGACAACCCTCTTTTTCTTGTGCTTCTTCACCAGCTCTGGACTCTGTTTTTCCTCCAGTCTTTTGATGAGTTTGTTGAGAGTGGATGTGAGAGCCAGCATTGCCCGATCCCGCTCTGACTCCTTCTTCAGCCCATCTGGGTCCAGCTCTTTCTCTGTCTGGAATACCCAAGAGAAGAGAGTGAGTCAAGGGTCTGGGGTGTGGAGGCAGCCAGCGGGCTGGGCTCTGTAGGAGAGTCTGATATTTTGAAATGGAGTTTTGCTTATCACCCAGGCTGGAGTACAGTGGTGCCGTCTCGGCTCACTGCAACCTCCGCCTCCCGGGTTCGAGCGATTCTCTTGCCTCAGCCTTCCAAAGAGCTGGGATTACAGGTACCCACTGCCATGCCTGGCCAATTTGTTTGCATTTTTAGTAGAGAGGGTTTCGCCATGTTGGCCAGGCTGGTCTTGAACTCCTGACCTCAGGTGATCCGCTCACCTCGGCCTCCCAAAGTGCTGGGATTACAGGCGTGAGCCACCGCGCCTGGCCAGAGAGTCTGATATTTAAGTCTTGTCCCTCTCTCTGGTCCCCCTTCCCCAACAGCCCCGATTAATTAGGGAAACAGCTACCACTTCCAAGTGCCCCGTCCTTGCCCTGTGCTGTGCCCTCTGTTTCTTTTAGCCCGTCAGCCTGTCCTGCTCCACGGGACCAGGCGGCTGTGGAAGCAACAGGAGGAAGAGCTGGGCTTGCCTCCTGGATGATGTTTTCCAGTTCCCGCTCCATGCCAGCCTTCACCTCCGAACGGAGCCGGTCTCGGTCTGACGGAAGCAGGATCCCTTCCAGTTCCTTCTCAAATTCTCCCAGTAACTGCCGTTCATCCTCATCTTCATCCTCATCCTCATCCTCATCCTCCTCTTCTTCCATCTCTCTCTGCCGTTCTGGATCACCCCTTTCCTTCTCTGGTTCCCTCTGAGGGACTTCTGCAGCATCATCCACAGGCTGCTCTTGGCCTATATTTGGCTTCCCCTGGGTGGGTAGGGAGTGGGGAGAAAGACAGTTGGGGTTTCAACAGAGACACATGGTCGGGGGCAGACAAACAGTAGCAGGTGTGTGGTACTGGGGGACCCAGGAGTTGAGTCCCAGGTCAGGGTAGTTTTTCAAATGCTCGCAGTTGGGAGGTGGGTTCTACCCATTCCCTAAGCACGGCCTATACCTTTTTTGTTCCACCTTTCAGCTCCTCTATGAATCGAATCAAATCCGCAGGGCTTCGAATGACTTTGACCTGCACGTTGTTCTGAAAATCTGAGATGAAAGAATAATAATCATGAACCTGTTCTGTTGTGTTTAAATTCTTTTTTTTTTTTTTTTTTTTTTTTTTTGAGACAGAGTCTTGCACTGTCACCCAAGCTGGAGCACAGTGGTGCAATCTCTGCTCACTGCAACCTCTGCCTCCCGGGTTCAAGAGATTCTCCTGCCTCAGCCTCCCAAGTAGCTGGGATTACAGGCGCCTGCCACCACACCCAGCTAATTTTTGTATTTTTAGTAGAGATGGGGTTTCACCATGTTGGCCAGGTTTGTCTTGAACTCTTGACCTCAGGTGATCCACCTGCCTCAGCCTCCCAAAGTGCTGGGATTACAGGCATGAGCCACCACGCCCGGCTCTTTTTCTTTTTCAACATGGTGTGTTACTATGTTGCCCAAGATGATCTTGAACTCCTGGGCTCAAGCAATCTTCCTGCATCAGCCTTCCAAGTAACTAGGATTACAGGTGTGCGCTACTGCGCTCCTAAATTCTCTCTGGATTCCTAAGGACAGGTAATGAGAGACCAAGGAAGGACATGGTCCCTGCCTCTAGGATTTACCTGTTTGACAGTGAGACAAGGGCAAATATTCGCCTGCAGAGAGCACCATCCTAAGGTGGACACTCTGGTAGGAGAGATGGATGCTAACAAGCTGCTAAGTCCCCACTCTTCCATGCACTTCTGAGGCCCTTCTGGCAGTCACTCTAGCTTTTAGGACTACAGAGGAGATCCTGGGGCTAAGGGCTTGTCTTCCCTGGAACCCTTCTCCTCTTTCCACAAATATTAACCATTTAGTTTATTCAGTTCCAGGCCTTCTACTGTGAATTATGGATGCATTCTCATTTAATCCCATGCAACCCTCTAAGGTAGGGGTTATTACCCTCATTTTATGGGTAAGAAAATTGAGGTTAAGTGAATTACAAAGTCACCAAGTGGTGGAGCCACTGTGTTCTGCCACCTTGCTAAAATAGCAGTGCTGTCTACAAAGAGTATTAACTCCTATAAAAATGAATTTTCTGCCGGCCTGGCTACCCAACCTCCCTCCCAGGCTTAGCTCTCCCCTCCATCCCTACCCCTGCCAATCCTAAAATATATTCAGTAAAGGAGACATGGAAGGTTCACTCACCATTGGGAGCACCAGAAGCTGAATCTGCTGCCTCAGGGCTTGGGTCCTGCTCCTGACGAGGAGAAAAGGAGAGAGTCAAGTATGAAAGCCTGTTCATGCCCTCCATACTATGAAGGCAAAGGTTCTGGGGATATCCTTGCATCCCTAGGTAGATGTAGGTCACCTCACAATGGCCCCAGCTGCAGTGACCCTCCCCATCCCCATCCTGCTCCTCTGAGGCAGCTGGTCTCACCTCAGCCGGCACCTCCTCCCCTCCTGGGGCCTGGTCCTCTGGCTCATTAAGCATCTTCCAGAAATCTGAGTCCTTACTGTCATCCTTGGTCGGGCTCGCACCTAGGGTACAGAGAACAGGGAGAGACTGATCTGACAGGAGGGGTGAGACAGAAGGGAGCAAATAGGATGGGGTCCCTTCCCCTCCTCTATCACCAAGGGAGGAGGGCCCATGGTACTTTTCCACCCCCCCCCACCCCACCAGTCAGTCAGGACAGTAAGATCAGGGGAAGGGAAGAAATGGAAGTGAGTTTCACGGAACAGGTGAAACAAGGTCCTACCTGCCATCTTTTGGGGTGCCACCCCAGACTTGGTCTCACTCCACACTTGGGGGCCTAGATCTTGCAGCTCCTCTATGATTTTATCTCCATACTGCTTTGAGTCTACTGAGAAACAGCATGCAAGCAGGCCAGGAACACATTCCTCCAGCTATTCAATACTTGATCTTTTGCCACCCCCTGCCCCCGTATCTCCCCGTCTTCTCCTCCTTCTCTAATTACTCACCGGCTTGCCTCTGAACGTAGGCCATGTACTCCTCAGGCTGTAGGGAAGGGTGACAGAGGATGGCCTGCGGTGCAGCACTGGGTGGGGGCCGGAGGAGAGGGTGGGGGCAGAGCCGAGGAGTGCGAATGGTCAGCACATAAGAGCAGGACAAGGGCTCGTCCACGCGATCGATGTAGTCCCCAGAGATACCTGCACCCTCGTCACAGAGGAACTGCCAGGACAGAAAGGATGAATACACTTAATCACCAACAATAATTTGCTTTAGTTATTAGAGCAGGTGTCTTTTACTAAGCACTGATTATCTGTCAAGCATTGTGCATACACTGTGCATATGGCACTTTACATAAATTGGCTCACTTATCACAAAGACCCAGTGAGGCGATATTGGTTTCTCAACTTCGTGCCTCAAGAAACAGGTGTGGTGCAGTTAAGGCACTTGTTCAGGTTGACCAGCCTTTAAGTGGTAAAAACAGGAACTGAATTCAGGCAGCTTAACTGTAGGTAACCAATTTATGTTTCATATTCTTGTTTTGTATAAATATTGTGTGTGTGTATATATATACTTTTATTTGCTTCATATATGTATTATTATTATTATTATTATTTTTGAGATGGAGTCTCACTCTGTCATCCAGGCTGGAGTGCAATGGCATGATCTCAGCTCACTGCAACCTCCGCCTCCTGGGTTCAAGCGATTCTCCGGCCTCAGCCTCCCGAGGAGCTGGGATTACAGGCACCTGCCATCATGCCTGGCTAATTTTTGTATTTTTGTAGAGACAGGGTTTCACCATGTTAGCCCAGCTGGTCTTGAACTCCTGACCTCAGGTGATCCACCCACCTTGGCCTCCCAAAGTGCTGGGGTTACAGGCATGAGCCACAAGGCCTGGCCTGTATTTTTTTTAAAGTGTATATATATTTGTATATAAATATGTAATTTTTATATATGTGCATATGGTAAAAAACTTCAAACAATTCTAAGATTCTTATATCATTCAGAAAGAGGGTAAAGAGATTGATTGGCCTTTGATAAATTAAGCATGCAATATTCTAATTTCTAAAATAACTATTAAAAGTAAGAGAGGCTGGTGGTTCACACCTGTAATCCCAACACTTTGGGAGGCCAAGGCAGGAGGATGGCTTGATGCCAAAAATTCAAGACCAGCCTTGGCAACATAGTGAGACTCATCTCCACAAAAAATTTTTAAAAATTAGCGAGGTGTGGTGGTGTGCACCTGTAGTCTTAGCAACTTGGGAGACTGAGGCAGGAAGATCCCTTAAGCCCAGGAGTTCAAAGTTACAGTGAGCTATGATCATGCCACACTGCATTCCAACCCGTGTGGAAAGCAAGACCTTGTCTCAAAAACAAAAAGTGGGAGCGGTCCTACTTCTGAAATGGCAGCATGAGGGATTTCGCACACTCCACAGGGAAACTCCATTACTGATGAAAATTTAAAAACACAAAGCATGGCTGGGCGCGGTGGCTCACACCTGTAATCCCAGCACTTTGGGAGGCCGAGGCAGGTGGATCACCTGAGGTCAGGAATTCGAGACAAGCCTGACCAACATGGAGAAACCCCATCTCTACTAAAAATACAAAATTAGCCAGCCTTGTGGCACATGCCTGTAATCCCAGCTACTCGGGAGGCTGAGGCAGGAGAATTGCTTGAACCTGGGAGGCCAAGGTTGCGGTGAGCCGAGATCGCACCATTGCACTCCAGCCTGGGCAACAAGAGTGAAACTCTGTCTCAATACAAACAAACAAACAAACATAAAGCATTTAAACTCTTTGGAAATTTTCCTAAGGACATATAACAAATGAAGAAATGTTTACTCAAGAAAATCTACTAAATCTTTTTTTTTTTTTCAGACAGGGTCTCACTGTGTCACCCAGGCTGGAGTGCAGTGGCATGATCACAGCTCACTGAAGCCTCAACCTCCTAGGTCCAAGCAATCTTCCCACTTCAACCTCCCAAGGTAGGACTACAGGTGTGTGCCACCATATCCAACTAATTTTTACAAATTTTTTTGTAGAGACAGGGTCCCGCTATGTTGTCCAGGCTTTCCAGGGCTCAAGCAATCCTCCCACCCAAAGTGCTGGTATTACAGGTGTGAGCCACCATGCCCAGCTACTAAATCTTGAATAGTGAGAATTTGCAGCACTTGAACCATGACATGCTCCCTCAATCTATGCCCCAAACCCCTACCCCACAGCTCAGTTAGACTAAAGCTCCACTCCAGCAGGTAAGCGTAGTTAAAAAAAAAAAAAAAAAAAGTGGGGTGGGGCGGTGGAGGGGGAGGGACTTCCTATTCTCTCAACATCCAGTCATGAGATATGATATATGGTATTTTACCAGGAGGGCCACCAGCTCCAAGATACAGCAACTAAATTCCTGAAAAAGATCAAGGGCTCCCTTCCTCCACTCAGCCCCACCCACAGGGCAGAGGCTTTACCTCAAGTGCAGTGGGACAAAAGTATCGGGGCCCTGATTGCCCTCACGGAAGCTTGCTCAGAGAGTGGAGGTTTCACAAAAGGAGATGCAAACCGAGAGAGCAGAGGTTGTCATCCCTGCCTAGCTCCCTGCTCATAAAGCAGGAATGTCCTTCCAAGTGAAGCAAGCCATTATTCCTGACCCCAACTCCAGAGCAGGGCCTCGGGGATTTTGCCCAGGGGGAGAGGCAGTCCGTAAGAATACAGGGCTCCAAAACATTCTCCAAAGGACCTGACTTAATATGAAACAGAGTATGGGGAAATTCAAGCCTATAGGCACTTCAAAAATGTAGAGATTTTGGCAGGAGGCAATTAAAAGGAGGCTGATTGCTCCATGATAGCAACAGGCTAAACCTTGGGACAGCTAGTTTAACAGAGAGAACCAGGGAAAGGGCAACTGAGAGCCGTCCTGGACTCAGAACAAACCTATATATTGCCCTCAAAAACTAGCCCGACAAAGGGGCCCACAATTAACTGGACTAAACTATGGAACAACTTATGCCCCACATGTCAAAAACAATAAAGCAATTAGTTGGCAATGAATGGAGCCTAACAGCTGGGGGTGATACCAGCAGAGGCAGATGGCTTAACAAATTCATGAAAGAAACAGTCAAAAAGCCTGCTGAAACCACTGTCATCTAGTGTGGCTGTGTGCAGGGCCAAGACCGTGCACTCTGAGAAGAGACACTAGAGGCTTCATGTTGTGAGGGGGAGACTGAATGCAAGTAGTGCAGCCAAGTCACTGAACAAATGAACAAACAAAAGCCATGGGGTGGAGGGCAGGAATTTCTATCTGGAGTTACTACAACATACTATCTAAAATGTCTGATTTTCAACAATTATGAAACATGCAGAAACAGTAAAGTATGAAACATATATAGGAAAATATGCAGGCAACAGAAACCACCTGTGAGAGGGCCCAGATGTTGGATCTCACAAAGAGTTAAAAGTAGCCATTATATTAATAAATATATTCAAAGAATTAAGAATTTAAGTCACACAAAGTGTGTTCTCTGACCATAATGGAATAAAATTAGAAATGAATGAGGAAAAAAATTTGGAAATTCAGAAATATGTAGAAATTAAACAATATACTCATTAAGTAACCAGTGAGTTAAAGGAAAAAAATCAAAAGAAAACTATAAAATACCTCAAAAATGAACGAAAATGAAGACATAACATATCCAAACTTACAGGATGCAGCTGAAGTAGTGCTTAGAGGGAAATTCATAGCTATAAACATCAATTTTTTAAAAACAAAATCTTGACTCCATAATCTACCCTTCTATCTTAAGAAACTAGAAAAAGAAGAACACACTAAACCAAGAGCCAGCAGAGGGAAAGACTACAGACTAGGACAAAAATAAATGAAATAGAGAACAGGAATACCATCCTATGTGTCCAAAGACAGGGAACCACAGATACACCTTTGTAGGGAGTTTATATATGTTTTTAAGTTTCTGTAATAAAAAGTTTAAAAAAGACAATCTTTAAATATCCATAACTTGCACCTGGCAATTATGCTTTTTTTGCTTACTTTCTTTTTCTTCTTTTTTAATAGATGCAGGGTCTTGCTCTGTTGCCCAGGCTGGTCTCAAACTCCTGGGCTCAAGTGATCCTCTCTCCTCAGCCTCCCAAAGTGTTGGGAATATTGGCATTAGCCACTGTGCCCAGCCCAATTATATGTAAGATATATTTACACATGCATATATGTACAATGTAATAATCATTTGTGACAACAAAAGAATTGGGGGTGGAACTATTTCAACCAGTAGAATAATGGTGACAAAATGATGGAACACACAATGGAATTTTATGCAGCTATAAAAACAAAAAAGGGCCAGGCATGGTGGCTCATGCCTATAATCCCAGCACTTTGGGAGGCCAAGGAGGGCAGATCACGAGGTCAAGAGATCAAGGCCATCCTGGTCAACATGGTGAAACTCCATCTCTACTAACAATACAAAAATTAGCTGGGTGTGGTGGCGCACACCTGTAGTCCCAGCTACTCGGGAGGCTGAGGCAGGTGAATCCCTTGAACCCGGGAGGTGGAGGTTGCAGTGAGCAGAGATCGCGCCACTGCACTCCAGCCTGGGTAACAGAGCAAGACTCCGTCTCAAAAAAAAAAAAAAAAAAAAAAAAAAGATATACTGCCATTGAAAGATCTCTCTAAGGTTTATTGTCCAGGGAAATAAAAGCAAGGTATAGAACAGTGTGTTTAATTTACTATATATTGTTTATAAATAAAGGGGAAAGGAAATAAGAATCTCCATTCATAATTGTTTGTAATCACACAAAAAGGCTGGAAGGATACATGCAAAACTAAGACCAGGGTTAACCTGTGGGGCTGGAGCAGGGATGGCGGGGAGAGAATGGGAAATGAGCAGATGAGAGACAAGTATGGGAGGAAATATTTTTCTCTTTTTTTTTTTTTTTTTTTTTTTGAGACGGAGTCTTGCTCAGTCACCCAGGCTGGAGCATAGTGGTGTGATCTCGGCTCACTGCAACCTCTGCCTCCTGGGTTCAAGCGATTCTCCTGCCTCAGCCTCCTGAGTAGCTGGGACTACAGACATGCCTCACCACACCCTGTAATTTTTGTATTTTTAGTAGAGACAGGGTTTCACCATATGGGCCAAGCTGGTCTTGAACTCCTGACCTCAGGTGGTCCGCCTGCCTCGGCCTCCCAAAGTGCTGGGATTACAGGCATGAGCCACCATGACCAGGTGGGAAATATTTCATTACATACCTTTTAAATAATACTTTCTGGGTTTTGTATCATGGGAAAGTATTATCTATTTAATAATTAGATAAGGAATTTAAAATAGCCATTAAAAACTTGTCAGAGATATATAGATGGTTGGAGACAAATTTATGAGATATAAAAGAGGAAAAGCTGAAAATGAATGAGCTAGGCATTCATTTCAAGAAGTTGAACAAACAGTAAAATAAACCCAGAAAAGTAGAAGGAAGGAAAATAAAGATTAGAGTAGAAATTAATAGAAAACAAATACAACAGAGAAGCTCAACAGAGCCAAAAATTGTTTCTTTGAAAAAACTAGTAAAACTGACTAACCTCTGATGTGACTGACCAGTAACAAATTAGTGATGCAAAAATAACCCATGAGGAATGAAAAGAGGAACCTAATTACAGATGCCACAGAGATTAAAAAGATAGAAGAATACAATGAACTTTATGCCAATAAATCTTAAAAGTTAGATGAAATGAACTCCTGAAAAGAAAACTTAAACTGTCCCAAGTAGAAACAGAAAACTTTGAATATTCCTAAAACTACTTCAGAAAATGAATCAGTAGTTAAAAATCTACCCACAGCCAGGTGCGGGTGGCTCACGCCTGTAATCCCAGCACTTCAGGAGGCCAAGGTGAGCGGATCACTTGAGGTCAGGAGTTTGAGACCAGCCTGGCCAACATGGCGAAACCCCATCTCTACTAGAAATACAAAAATTAGCTGGGCATGGTGGCACACGCCTATAATTCCAGCTACCTGGGAGGCTGACGCACGAGAATCTCTTGAACCTGGGAGGCAGAGGTTGCAGTGAGCCGAGATCATGCCACTGCACTCCAGCCTGGGTGACATAGTGAGACTCTGTCTCAAAAAAAAAGTAATAACAAAAAAAAAAAGGGATCGTCAGGGATAATATATATGACCACATTTGGTTCATTTCAGGAATGCAAAGTTGGTGCAACATTAGAAAACCTATAAATTATTTAATTTCAAAATTAAACATAGCCTTAAAACATATAAATAAAAAATTAACAAAATTGCCAAATCCACCATCACAGTGGGAATATTAACAGAGTTCTTTAAATGATCACTAGTCAACTCAACATAAAATTGTAGAAAATCTGAACAATACGGTGAGCATCTTGAACTGCTTAATTGGAGAAAAGACATGCTTTCAAGCGCAAACATACAATTTTTTAAAAATTCATCAAAAAGAAAGTCTCAGCAATCACCAAAAGAATCACTGACACAATGGCATAAAATTAGAAACCAATAGCAATCATATAAAAACAACAAAGCAAAACACATTTGTTTAGAAATATATTAAGCATAATTCTAAATAAGTTCAGAAGCACGTAGAAACCATAATGAAAATGGAAACACCACATACTAAAATTTGAGGGATGCAACCAAAATAGTACTCAGAGTGAAATGTAGAGCTTTAAGTGTATAATTAAGAGAGAAGACAGATTGAAAAGCATTTCGCTGAAGAAGTTATAAAAATATTTGCAACTCACATCACAGACAAAAGGACAATATCTCTACTATATAGAGTTCTTATAAATTGACAAGAAAAAGACCAGCAAGCCATTAGGAAAACGAGCAAAGAATTTGGACAGCTGAAAGAAAAGAGTAAAGAAGGGAGTAGAGAAAACCCTTAAATGAGGAAAATTAGACATTTTTTTCTTAAGAGAAATGCAAATTAAAACCACACTAAGAAATCATTCTTTCTCTGATGCCTACCTGATGATTGGCCAAAATCCAAAAGTTTAAAAATATACCAGGTTGGCACGGCTATAGGGAAATCAGCATTCCCATACGTTGTTGGAGGGAAAGTAATTTACCTAAGCAGAGTGATTTCGCAGCACGTAGCAAAATTACACAAACTTACTGCAGCACATAGCAAAACTACACAAACTTACTTCCAGGAACTCAATTTACATATCCTCTGTAAGTACAAGATTATTCAGTGCAGCACTTGTGTGTTAATAAAAGATTTAAAGCAAGCTAAATGTCCATCAACAGGGAACCATTTAGATAAAAAATGATACAACTATATAACAGAATAACAGAAACTATATGCAGGAATAAGGATGACTTTTTTTTTTTTTTTGAGACAGTGTCACTCTTTTGCTCAGGCTGGAGTGCAATGGTATGACAATAGCTCACTGCAACCTTGACCTCCTGGGCTGAAAAGATCCTCCCTTATCAGCCTCCTGAGCAGCTGGGACCACAGGCACACACTACCACACCTGGCTAAATATTTTTTTGTAGAGATGGGATCTCACTACGTTGGCTAGGCTGGTCTCAAACTACTGGCCTCAAGCGATCCTCCTGCCTCCACTTCCCAAAGTGCTAGGATTACAGGCATGAGCCACCACACCTGGCCCAAGTAAGGTTTTATATATATATTGATTTGGAAAGAGTGCAAAGATATATGCTTATATGTGCATTTAAAAAAATCTCAGAGTATATAAAGAAATTAACAATGGTTACCTTTCTTTAAGGATGGAAAGAGGCTAATGAGGGACAAGATGTGTTAATACTTTTCTCTGTATACCTTTTAAGCATTTCTATAGTTGAGTTATGTGAATGTGATTATGCCTATTCAGAAAATTTAATATAGAATTTTTTATTTAAAAAATTTGAGATGATGTCTTGCTCTGTCACCAAGCTGGAGTGCAGTGGTGTGTTCATAGCTCACTGTAGCCTTGACCTCCTGGGTTGAAGAGATCCTCCCAACTCAGCCTCCCAAGTAGCTGGGACCACAGGCACGTGCCACCACACCTGGCTAATTTTTTTTTTTTTTCCATAGAGACAGGGTCTCACTGTGTTGCCTAGGCTGGTCTCAAACTCCTAGCCTCAAGTGATCCTCCCACCTTGGCCTCCCAAAATGCTAGGATTATAGGGCATGAGCTACCATGCCTGGCCAGAATTTTTTAATGTTAAAAAAAATTCAAGTTGTTAGAAAAAAAAGAAATCAGAATAACACAAAGAAAGGAGAAGGAAGGAAATAACAAAGATAAAATAACGAACATGTGGCGGGACACGGTGGCTCACGCCTGTAATCCCAGCACTTTAGGAAGCCAAGGCAGGTGGATCACCTGAGGTCAGGAGTTCGAGACCAGCCTGACCAACATGAAGAAACCCCGTCTCTACTAAAAATAAAAAAATTAGCTGGGCATAGTGGAGCATAAAGCACCATCCCCTTGGTGCTTTCTCGTGACAGTGAGTGAGTTCTCAAGAGATCTGGTTGTGGCATGTCCCCCCTCTCTCTTTTGCTCCTGCTTCCACCATGTGAGACTCTGGCTCCCCACTTGCCTTTCACCATGATTGGAAGCTTCCTAAATCCTCCTCAGAAGTAGAGGCTGCTATGCTTCCTGTATGGCCAGCACAACTGTGAGACAATTAAACCTCTTTTCTTTATAAATTGCCCAGTCACAGGTATTTCTTTATAACAATGTGAGAATGGACTAATACAATGTTAGTGAAATACTAAATGAACAACAGAGAGGATAAACAAAACCAAAAGGTGGTTATTGGACTAATAAACTAGACAAGCCTCTGGCAACATAGATCAAGAAAAAAGAGAAAAGGCAAAGTCAATATTAGGAATGCAAAAGAGGATATATTTACAAAAAGAGATTATTAAAAAACAAAAAAATCTGTAATTTTATACTAATACATTTGAAAATTTAGACAAATGAATAATGGCCTATGAAATTATACTTTATTAAAGCTTCATGATGCAGCAAACCAAAAAAGTCTTATAATCTTTAAATAAATTAAATCAGTAGCAACAACGATCCCCCCAATATACCGGTTTTGTAGCATATTGTGGGGATGGGGAGGATTTATTTTATCTAAACTTTTTTTTTTTTTTTTTTTTTTTCAGAGAGTCATGCTCTGTCACCCAGGCTGGAGTCCAGTGGCGTGATAACAGCTCCTAACAGCCTCAACCTCTCCAACTAAAGCAATCCTCCTGCTTCAGCCTCCCAAGTAACTGGGACTACAGGTGTACACCACCACATCAGGCTAATTTAAAACTTTTTTTTTGAGAGACAGGAGTCTCACTATGTTGCTCAGGCTGGGCTCCTAGGCTCAAGAAATCTTCCTGCCTTGGCCTCCCAAAGTGTTGGGATTACAGGCATGAGCCACCACACCCGACCCTACCTAACCTTTGAAGAATAATCTCTATCTTAGCAAACTGCTCCACAGAGCAGAAAAAGAGGGAAGCTCCTCAAGATATTTTATGAAGTGAATGCAACTTTATACAAAAACAAGGTAAGTACAAGAAGAGAAAATTATAGACCAATTCACTTACGAAAATAGTTATAAAAGTTAATTATACTATCAGGATACTGAATATAGCAATGTACAAAAAAAAAACTTCATGACCATGGATTATCCCAGAAGTGAAAGAATAAAAAAAAACTAGAAAATAAATTAACATTTTTAATATTAAAAAAACCATATGACTATCTCAATAGACACAGAATAAGCATGTGTTAAACTTCCACACCTATACATGGTGAAAATATCCAGCAGTCTAGGTACAGAATGGAACTTCACATACCTGATAAAAGGTATCTGCAAAAAGCCTGCAGGAAAACATCACGCTAACAGTGAAACTTCAGGAGCATCCCCTTTAAAGTCAGAAACAAGTCAAGGATGCCCATCATTGCCACTTCTGTTGCACTCGAGGTATAAGAAAAATGAAATGTATACAACTTAGAAAGGAAGAAACCAAAACTGTTTCTCTTGCAGATGACATAATTATCTATACAGAAAATCCACAAGAATTTGTGAACTACTAAAAATGAAAGAGTTCAAAAAAGAGTTGCTGAGTGTAAGATCAATATGTAAAACCAATAATGTGACCATGTACCAGCAACAATCAGAAAACGGAATTTTTGGCCAGGCACAGTGGCTCATTGCCTGTAATCCCAGCACTTTAGTAGGCCGACGGTGGATCACATGAGGCCAGGAGTTTGAGACTAGCCTGGCCAATATGACAAAACCCCCGCTCTAAAAAAATTACAATAATTAGCTGGGCGTGGTGGTACGCACCTGTAATCCCAGCTACTCGGGAGGTTGAGGCAGAGAATCACTTGAACCTGGGAGGCAGAGGCTGCAGTGAGCCAAGATCGCACCCCAGCCTTGATGACAGAGCAAGACCCCATCTCAAAAAATAATAATAATAAAGAAAATGAAATTTGTAAAAGATGCTACTTAAAATAGCATCTAAAACTATAAGGTCCTGTATGTTTGAAATATATGCATACACAAACAAGACAAAAATAAAAACTATAAGGTATCTAGACTAATCTCACATAAGATGTAGAAGAACTTTTAGAGAAAATTAAAGCTTTACTAAAATATAGGACAACAAGTAAATGGAAACAAACACGTTCATAGTGTATGAAGACTTCATATTATAAAGTATCAATTCTCTTCAAATCAGTCTAAAATTAAATTCCAGCCAAAATCCCCAAAAGGAGTTTTAACAGAACTTGGCCAATGATAGCCCCAACAGTTTTGAAGAAAAAAGGGGAGTATATCCTACCAGATACCAAGATTTATGAAAAAGCTATAGTAATTAAAACAACGTGGTAATGACATAGGAATAGATAGACTATTGGAACAAAAGAGAAGCCAAGAAGAAAATGCACATATATTTGAGAACTTGGTAAATAACTGAGGAGGCATTACAAATCAGAGAGGAATGTATGGACTATTCAATAAACAGTGCTGGGGCAACTGTGGAAAATAGGTGTATCTAGGTCCTAACCTTATAACATACATTAAGATAAATTTTTACTGAATTGTAGTCCAAAGTATGAGAAACTCTATTCACACTTTTCTACTTTTTTAGAAACCTGAAAAAAACAGATGAATAGTAAATAGGAAAGGATTAAATAAAAGACATAAGATGTATAAGGTATAAAGAAAAAGACTGATAAGTTTGACTATATTGGAATTTAAATTTTTTAAATTAAAATTCATTTAAGACACTATAAACAAAACAAGAAGACAAAGTATAGATAGAAAGAATGTAGGTGACAAATAATTAAATCTGAAATTTATAAAGAATGCTTTCCTAACTTATTCTGTGAGGCTGGCATTACCATAATATCAAAGCTAGACAATACTACTACAAAATACTACAAGAAAACAATAGACTAATATCTTTTTTTTTTTGGAGATGGAGTCTTGCTCTGTCACCCAGGTTGGAGAGCAGTGGTGCAATCTTGGTTTGCTGCAACCTCCGTCTCCCAGGTTCAAGCGATTCTCCTGTCTCGGTTTCCCGAGTAGCTGGGATTACAGGTGTGCGCCACCACGCCCAGCTAATTTTTGTATTTTCAGTAGAGATGAGGCTTCACCATGTTGGCCAGGCTGGTCTCGAACTCCTGACCTCAGATGATCCACCTGCCTTGGCCTCCCAAAGTGCTGGGATTACAGGTGTGAGCCACCACTCCCGGCGACTAATATCTTTTATACATATAGATGCAAAATTCCTCAACTAAATGGTAGCAAACCAAATTCAGCAGCATATTAAAAGCATTATACATCATGATTTATGTTGGATTCACTCCAAGAATGCAAGGATGGTTCAACATAGGTAAATCAATGTCATATACATTAATAGAATGAAGGGGAAAAAACCCAAATGATCATCTCAACTGATGCAGAAAATGGACTTGATAAATTCAATAACCTTTTCATGTAAAAAAACAATCAACTAGGAATAGGAGGGAATGTCTTCAGTTATTGATAAAGTCCATATAAGAAAAACCCACAGTTAACGTCATACTCAATGGTGAAACATTGAAAGCTTCTCCCTTAAGATTAGGAACAAGACAAGGACAGCCATTCTTTTCATTTCTATTCAACATAATACTGGAAGTTTTAGAGTGATTAGGAATGAAAAAGAAATGAAAGGCATCCAATGGTGTTTTTTATAGAAAAAAAAAAATCTTAAAATTCACATGGAATGTCCAGGGATCCCAAATATCCATAACAATATTAAAAAAAGAACAAAGTTAGAGGACTCACATTTCCTGACTTAAATCTTAATACAAAGCTACTATAATCAAAACAGTGTGATACTGGCAAAAAGACAGACATATTTACCAATGGAATAGTATAGAAAGGCCAGAAATAAACCCTCACATATATGGTCAACTGATTTTTGGTAAGGATACCAAGAATATTCCATGGGGAAAGGACAGTCTTTTCAACAAACGATGCCAGGAAAACTGGATATCCATATTCAAAACAATGAAGTTGGACCATATGCAAAAATTACACCACATACAAAAATTAACTCAAAATCAGCAGCTGGGCACAATGGCACACCCCTATAATCCCACCTACTCAGAAGCTGAAGTAGGAAGCTTACCTGAGCCCAGGAGTTTGAGGCTAGCCTGGGCAACATAACGAGACCCCCATCTCTAAGAAAAAAAAATTAACCTCAAATGAATCAAAGACCTAAATTTAAGAGCTAAAACTATAAAACTCTTGGAAATCAAAATTAAAAGCTTTTGTGCACCAAAGGACACTGCTGATGCAGGAGAATCGCTTGAACCTGGGAGGCGGAGGTTGCAGTGAGCTGAGATCGCGCCATTACACTCCAGCCTGGGCAACAAGAGTGAAACTCTGTCTCCAAAAAACAAAGCAAAACAAAAGATAGTAAAAAGGCAACCACAGGATGGGAGAAAATACTTACAAATCATAGATCTGATAAGGGATTAATATTCAGAATTTATTACATAAAGAACTCTCACAACTCACCAACAAAAACCAACTCAATTCAAAAATGGGCAGAGGATTTGAATAGACATTTCTCCAAAAAAGATATACAAATGGTCACCAAGCATATGAAAAGATGTTCAACATCATTAATCACTAGGTAAATGCAAATCAAAAACCACTATGAGATACTACTTCACACCCATTAAGATGGCTATTACTGAAAAAAAAGAAAAAGAAAACAAAGGAAAATAAGTGATGGAGGTAGTGTGGAGAAACTGGAACCCTGTGCACTGCTACTAGGAATGTAAAATGATGCAACTGCTATGGAAAACAGTTTGGCAGTTCCTCAAAAAACTAAACCTAGAATTACCATAAGGCACATTCTACTCCTAGGTACAGACCCAAAAGAATTGAAAACAGGACTCAAACAGATACTTGTACACCAATGTTCATCGCAGCATTATTCACAGTAACCAAAAGATGAAAACCTATTTGTCCATCCATTGATAAATAGGTAAACAAAATGTATATACAGACAATGGAACATGATTAAGCCATAAAAAGAAATAAAATTCTGATATATGCTACAACATGGATGAACCTTGAAAACACCATGCTAAGTGAAATAAGCCAGACACAAAAGGACAAATCTTGTATGATTTCACTCATGTGAAGTACCTAGAACAGGAAACTCATACAGACAGAAAGTAGAACAGAGTCTGGGAGAGGGAGAAATAGGAGTTATTTTTGTTTGGGATGATGAAAAAAGTTTTGGAAATAGTAGTGATGGTGATAGAACACTGAATGTTTCCACTGAATTGTACACTTAAAGACTGTTAGAATGATAACTTTTAGGTTATATATTTTTTCAATCATTAAAAAAATTGAGGGCCAGGCATGGTGGCTCACACCTGTAATCCCAGCACTTTGGGAGGCCAAGGTGGACGGATCACAATGTAAGGAGTTCAAGACCAGCCTGGCCAACATGGTGAAACCCCGTCTCCACTAAAAATACAAAAATTAGCTGGGCATGGTGGCAGGCGCCTGTAGTCCCAGCTACTCAGGAGGCTGAGGCAGGACAATCGCTTGATCCTGGGAGGCGGAGGTTGCAGTGAGCCAAGATCACGCCATTGCACTCCAGCCTGGGCAACAAGAGTGAAACTCTATCTCAAAAAACAAAACAAAACAAAACAAACAAAAAATTGAATTCACCAATAACATACACTCCTGTAACCCAGTGATTCTACTTTCTAGGTATTTCCCTGGAGAAATTCTTGTACACTCACAATAAGACCTACATTGCAGCACTGTGTATAAGGGCATTAGAGTTGAAACCCAACTGTTTATCAACAGAGGAATGGGTAAGTAAGCAATGAAACACAATACAGACATTAAAATCACTCAACCAGGCCAGGCACGGTGGCTCACACCTGTAATCCCAGCACTTTGGGAGGCCAAGGTGGGTGGATCACTTGAGGTCAGGAGTTCAAGACCAGCCTGGCCAACATGGTGAAACCCCTTCCCTACTAAAAATATAAAAATTAACTGGGCGTGGTGGTGGGCACCTATAGTCCCAGCTACTCAGGAGGCTGAGGCAGCAGAATCGCTTGAACCCAGGAGGCCGAGGTTGCAGTGAGCCTAGATTGCACTACTGTATTCCAGCCTGGGTGACAGAGCGAGACTCTGTCTCAAAAAAAAAAAAAAAAAAAAAAAAAAAAAAATCACTCAACCAGAGTTCCATGTCATGCCATTGAATGGCAAACACACTGATCAGTGAAAAAAACAAGTTGATACTCCTGATGTATAATTTTAAAACACAAAACACTATCTATTGTCTGTAATATATATATCAGTAATAAAAATACAAAACAAACATAGTGAGGGTTGTGGTTGTTTCTGGCGGGAGGGAGAGTGACTAAATATGAAGGTGGGCTTTAGCTATTAGCACAAGCATTTTATTCCTTTTTTTAAACCAGAGATCTGAAACAAATCAGGCAAAACATTAACATCTGTTTAACTTGGCAGTGAATTTATGGGTCTCTATGACATTTTTTTTTGTATAATTGTATGTTTTATAACTTAAAAAAATCTTTGATATCTCTAGAATCTTACTTTATAAGAATTGAGTTGGTCTACTACCCTAGACCTTCCTTTAGAGGCAAATTGCTCTCCCAGGGTTCTGCATCCCAGCCCTGTCCGCATTTTTTTCTCACTTTTTCTACTGTACCTTGATCTCCCTCTCCTCCTTTCCGCTAACATCCACCCAACAGCCTTCAACATGTTCTAGTCTGTTGCATCTTAAAACACACACCAATAAATAGGAATTTATTTAATTCCATATAGCTAACCAGTTGTTCCCTAGCCCCACAGAGACTGCACTTTAAACAACATGCACGCTGTTCCTATTGAGGAGGCATCAGGCCAGCAACACATCACAGTGCCTGCCCTGGAGTAGGGGCTTTACCTGATCACCTAGGCAAGTGGCATAAGAACTGAAAACTAGAAGCAACCAGACAGGAATGGCCTCAACTTTCTGCCACCAAAACCTCCAGACTCACTAGCAAATACACCATTCCAGTTACGACCCTAGACCTTCCTTTTGAGGCAAATTGCTCTCCCAGGGTTCTGCATCCCATCCCTGTCCACATTCTTTTCACATTCTCTCTACTGTACCTTGACTTCCCTCTCCTCCTCTCCACTAACATTCACCCAAGTCTTCAACATGTTCTAGTCTGTTCCATCTTAAAACACACACCAACCACAGAATGCCCCCTCTCTCAACCCCCCAGCACCTCTCACTAATGCTTACCTTTTATCTCCCTTTCATATCCAAACTTCTTCAAAGATTTCCAGTTTCTTTTTCTTTTTTTCTTTTCTTTTTTTTCTTTTTTGAGACAGTCTCACTCTGTCACCCAGGCTGGAGTGCAATGGTGCGATATCAGCTCACTGCGACCTCCGCCTCCCGGGTTCAAGCAATTCTCCTGCCTCAGCCTCCCGAGTAGCTGGGATTACAGGCGCCCACCACCACACCCGGCTAATTTTGTATTTTTAGTAGACATGGGGTTTCACCATATTGGCCAGGCTGTTCTTGAACTCCTGACCTCAAGTGATTTGCCTGCCTTGGCCTCCCAAAGTGCTGGGATTATAGGCATGAGCCACCGCGCCCAGCAGAGTTCCACTTTTTCACCACTTTTCTCAACACCTCATCTTCACAACTCTGCTCAAATTGCCCCAGCAAAGATCACCAATGATCTCTATCATTAAGTCCAACCAAAGGACTGGTCAGGGGTGCCTGGAAGTAGAGAATTTATACTTTCCATCTGGCTCTCTTCTCTACTGTCTGAATTTTTTATTTCCATGTACATGTTTTGCCTTTATTAAAATAATAATGACTATGATTGCCTATAAGCAGTTTTTAATCCTCCTCTTCCTTGAAGGTTCAGGCACAGCCAACACCATGGACCAATTTCCCCTTCAAATGTGTCCTTCCTCGTTTCCATGTCACCATAGCCTCCTCTCTGGCCCTTTCTTCTGGCAAAACCCTCTTCTTCCCATGCTCTTAGTGATGGCTTCCTTGAAGTTCCATCCCACTTTTCTCATTAGATACTGTTTTCTTTGGGGGATTTCATCCATACCTTGGCTTCAGTTATGGCTGATACAAGGACAACTCCCCACCTCTGGGTTCAATTCAGATCTCTCTGCTGAACTCCAGACCCAGAGATCCACAGCCCCCTTGGAAATCTCTACTTGAATGCCTAGCAGCCACTAAAATCATATTCAAAGCCAAACTCACCATTTTCCTTCACCATACCTACTCCTCTTCTCATTATACCTATCTCAGGAACACGAATCACCCTCTATCTAACTGCACAAGCCAAAAGCCTGGAAATCATTCTTGACTCCTTCTTACTCTGTTGATTTTACCCCCTAAATCTGTCTCTAAATATTCACATTTCTTCATCCCCAGGCCACTTTTATTTCACACCTGGATTACCACAGCTGCCTAAGTGAGCTCTCAATCTTTGCTATACTCCAGCTAGAGTGGGCCTTCAATTCCAAACCTGAATATGTCATCATTCTGCTTCAAATACCTCATTGCCTCCCCTAACCATTGTCTCTTGGATTGTCTAAATTCCTCATCATAGCTACAGAGCCCTTCATGACCTGTCCCCTACCAACCACCCAGACTCATCTCCTACACTCCTCTTCCCATGATTATCCCCTCAGTCCCTGTGAGTATCTGTCAGTTCCTGGGATAGGCCATTGCCTCTTGTCTCCAGGCCTTTTGCACTTAGCGCACCTTCCATTTGGAATGCCCTCTCATTCCCCCCACCATCCTCTCCATCTGCTAGTCTAACTCCTCATCCTCCAATGTCAGTTCAAAGGTCACTTTTCCCAAGAGGCCTCCTTTTCACCCTGGACTCTGTCCCGACTGTGTGCTCCCCTGCGGGCTGCACTTCACTGCTCATGGCATTTATCCTGCTTGTTGTGGCTGTTCATTTAACATATCTCCTGAGAGCAGGACTAGGTCTCATCCACCTTTTTGTTCCTAGTTTCTATTAGTGCTTGGCACAGGGCATATGTTCACCAGATATGAGGAAGCTATGCAGTCTTGACCTCAGTTCTTGGCCTACTGAAGATACAAACACCCAAACGAATAACTAGAATACAATGAAGTGCTATAACGGATTATATACGTGTGTGGATGCTTGTATTATTAAGTGGTGAAGGAACACAACTAACTAATTTTCTGGGTTAATCAAGAAAGGTGATATTAGAACTGGCTTGTCAGTCATTTCATTCATTCAATGAATAATTTCTAGGTACCTATTTGAGTGAAGCACTGTTCCAGGAGCTGTGGATACATAAGAAAACAAGATAGACATCATCCCTGCCTTCCCAGAGCTTATCTTAGTGAGGGAAGACAGAATTAAACAAATACAATAATTTCAAGTAATGATACATGCTTTGAAGAATGCAAAACACTGTGGATGCTTACCAGGACAGGAGCAATAGGGTGTGTGTGTGTGTGTGTGTGTGTGTGTGTGTGTGTGTGTGTATGTGTGTGTGTGTGTTTGCTTATGTTAGGTTCCGTGTGTGTGTGTGTGTGTGTGTGTGTGTTTGCTTATGTTAGGTTCCCTGGGAGTTGTCACTTGAATATAACCTGAATGAGGGGATGGGGCCAATCATTTAAAGATCTGCAGGAGACTGCACCAGGCAGAGGGAACAATGAGACCCACTGGTTCGAAGGACAGAAAAAGGCCAGTGTGGCAGAAATACAATGAGTACTTATATCTCTATCCCAGACCTTGTCCCTGAATTCCAGAACCACAGAGCCAACTGTCAACTGGACATCACCACTAGGATGTCTAAAGGCACCTCAACCTTCAATATCCAAAACCAACCTAATTTCCTCCCCTAAACCTGTTCCTTCACACTTCAGTAAATTACAATTCCATCATTCCAGTTGCTCAAGCCAAAAATCTTGAAGTAATCCATGATTCTATCCCACATCCAAACCATCAACAAATCTCATTGGCTCTACCTTCAAAATATATCCAGAATCCAACTACTTCCCATCACCTCCACTGCCACCACCCTGGTCTGTGCTGAAACATTTGGCTCTTAGCCTTTGTGCAAGGCAGAAACATTGAAGGTTTTTCAGGACTGAACAGAGAAGTGATGCAGACTTACAGGTGTGTTGGAGCCAACTGGTAAGTTTTGGAGAATGTTGCAAGACAGTTGACATCATTTGACTTGCGCATCATGGGAGTATTTATACCACAGGCATTGGCAAACATTACAGATCAGGGCTTCCCTCCCACACCCATAGAGATCTGGGGGTCCAACACTTACCAGCACACAACTGCAGGTACAAATCTGCATTATGGAAAGATAACTCTGGCAGGTGTCATGTAATTCTTTACAGGTGTGTATATTTGTGAATACATGAGAATCACCCAAGGAACTTTTTGCATTCTATATTTGCCTGCCTCCACTCAGCTAAGGACCACTAGATGAGAAGCACTTGTAAAGAAGCTGTTTGCAGGGATGCAGGCGAGAGTGAAGGTACCGACCACAAGAAAGCATAGGAGAGTTTTGAGAGATATCTAGTGCTGGGATTACAGGCGTGAGCCACCGTGCCCGGCCTGGAAATAATGTGGGTTTTTTTTTTTCTTTTCTTTTTTGAGACAGAGTCTCACTCTGTCACCCAGGTTGGAGCACAGTGGCACGACCTCGGCTCACTGCAACGTCCGCCTCCCAGGTTCAAGCAATTCTCCTGTCTCAGCCTCCCGAGTAGCTGGGCCTATAGGCACCCGCTACCACGCCCGGCTAATTTTTGTATTTTTAGTAGAGATGGGGTTTCACCATATTGGTCAGGCTGGTCTTGAACTCCTGACCTCAGGTGATCTGCCCGCCTCGGCCTCCCAAAGTGCTGGGATTACAGGCATAAGCCACTGCGCCCGGCTGGAAATATGTTTTAAACTTTGGATTTAGGGTCTGGGAGGGGACCCCCCCCGCCCCCGCCCCGACTATAAGATGCAACCCTCTTCCCTTAGAATCTGAACTGTCCCTGTGGGAGTGTCAACTTCCCTCTCTCAAGACTCACCCGAACCTCGGCCTCCCGGGGCCTCCCATTAAGGTCGCACTTGGACCCATTGCCATAGGTCTGGCTGTGGTAGCGTTTAAGACGATGCTGCTTGGAGGCCTGGAGAAGACATGAGGCAGGAATGGGGGACATGAGAAAGATAGCAAAGAGGAAGGATGGCACTGCGTCCCCAAAGAGACAAAAGAATGGCCTGTGCCCCCAGGCCCCAGGAAACTTTGTCCTAATGGCCACCAAGCCCCAAGAAACAGATCAGCTAATCTTGACCCTCCCCTTCTTGTCAGGGCTCTCAGCCGGTGGCCAGAACCCTTTCTTCCTGAATCCCACACTCTTGCCACCTTGGCTGTTTCATCATCCCAGTCGAAGGCTGATTGGTAGTAGCCGAGATAGAGGACTTCACCTTTGATCTCTGAATCTGCAAGGGAAGCCACAGTGAAGCACTGTTACTCTTAAGAGGAGGAGGAGGAGGAGGGAACTGGGGAACTTCCATGATATGACACTAAGGGCTTAAGGAAAATATAGGAGTGAGTTACCTTCCATGTGGTATTGCTGGATGTGGCGTCCATAACAGAATTCATATGTCCACCAGTCCTTTGTCTGACAATTAAAAAATAAACAATCAGGGGGATGGAGTGCAGACATCTTTTCTTGGAACCAGAGTCTCCTGGCTCCAAGACACATAACCTCTCATCTACTTACACACTCAATTCTCTTCCCTTCACTTCCACTCTCAATTCTCCAGACTTTCAGTAAGGAGGGAGGGCTGCTTTCCTTCTGTGACTTGGAGAGATATCTCTAAAGTCTGTTTTCCACTTGTGGTCTTTCCATTCCTCCCTTTTAAAAGATTTTTTAAATCCTTATTTGCCCTCCATAAAGATAAGAAATTATGGTATCCCTGAAGCAATTATATTAGGGAAACATAGAAGAACCCAAAATTAAATATTAATTGAACTTCTTGAACATTCCTGGCACTGTTCTGGCCACTGGGAATACAACTGTGAACAAGATTAATTCTTTGACCTCATGGAGTTTACACTCTAATGCGGGGAATCAGACCGAAAATAAACAAACTGATTCAGTAAATATGATTTCAGATCATGAAAAGTGCTACGATGAAAATAAAACAGGATACTGGAGCAGAGTGATAGGGCAGGGGGTGACTTTAGCAAGTAGGCTTAAGGAAGTACTCCTCCTACCCCACGCAGACCCTCAATCTTGCTTTAGCCCTTTTCTGAGATCTTCTATCCTAACCTGCTCCTACGTTCAGCAAAGTGTCATCAGTGGTTGCAGGATTCTTTGCTTCTTTCCTGTCCGTGTAATCTGTCTACTCCTCCAGTGGTCTTCTTAACCACTACAGGTCCCCTAGATCCTGCCTCATTCAGTGGACTCCAGTTCTTGGATGAACTGCTAGTTTCCAAGCCCTCATTCTATCTAACCCAGTCCCTTTCACCTTCAGCAAGCAGGGAGCATCTCTCATTGGGCTCAACAACTCAGGGATCCCAGGCCCTTGGTAAGCAGGTGTTTCCTCCTCCCTTTCACGCTGGAAGTGAATAGCTCCAGCTGGCAGGCGACACTCATAGCGCTGTTTGTACTTAGAGGAGACAATCACCACGTCCGAAGATTGGCTCTGGGAAAGAAGGGAGGGTCGGGGGGCAAGGAAGCAAAGAAAGGCTGGGATCAGGGAGAACAACGAAATCCCTCTTCAAACCCTGGGGAAGAGATCAGTCGAAGACAGAATAAGCCATAAGCCCTCCAGCTGTATTTAGTGGGTGAGAGGAGAGGGCGCTCCCATTTCTCCACGGGGGCGGAGTCCGGGTGTTTCGATCATAAACTGAGACCTGAAGGTTGACAGCGGGAAGCCCCACCTCTCCCAATTCCTGGCCCCCAGAGAATTGGTCTCAGTCTGCGACCCCCAGGGGTCACCGTAAAAGCAATACCTACTCTTCCCGATTCCCCGTAGGCTCCAGCCCCAGACTCCGGAGCTGCCCTTCTTCCTCTATCTCTTACCCGCTTCCTCTTCTGCCCAGACCCTCGCCCCTTATACGCCTCTCACCTGCCCTCCCATGACAGGCAACGGCAGGATCTCGATCCCATAACGCATCTCACTCAGCTCCTCCAGGTTCAGGCTCCCGACACCGCCGGTCAGACTTGCGGGTAACAGGAGTCCCAGAAGCAGCAGTCCTAACAAACTGGACAGCAGCGTTTCCGCCGCCATCTTTCGTTCCCCTTCTTATGCAGAGAATCTGTTTCCGCCCTAAGCCAGGCAGCGGCCTCAACACGCCCATCGGCGCCACATGATTTTATTGGCTGTACGTTCTATCCCTCCCACGTACCCTATTCCTATTTGTAAACGTGGCTCCAAGGTCCTGGGGAGGTGGATCACGACGATTAGAAATATCAATCGCTGTCCGTGATTGGTCAGAGACCAGCCAATCATCGACAAGATCAAACCCCTCCTCGTTCCCCAATTTCAGAGGCGTGGTCTATGCGCTTGGTCCTTTTAAGTTTGCCCTCTGTCTTCGCCCAGCTGTCATGCGCATCTCATTGCTTTTTCAGACGTCTCTTGCATTATATCCTGCCCACCGCCGGGCGGAGTATTGAGGCAGATAGGTAGCGTGCGCAGTGCCGGTGAAAGTTATTAAATGCTTGTTGCAAAACAAACAATTATTATACGGACGCTTACCTCTTTTCATATATACATATTGCTTTGAGGCAATCAGAAAATTTGTGTCAAAACCTTCCTATACGATCCTGCAGTTGACCTCCAGTAAAATGACCTCCAGTAAAAATCCTAGAGAAATAATGCGGGCAGCCAGACGTGGTGGCACGCACCTGTGGTATCAGCTACTCCGGAGGCTGAGGCAGGAGGATCTCCTGAGCCCAGGAGTTCAAGTGCAGCCTGCGCAACACAGCGAAACCCCGTCTCAAATAAGTACGTACATACATACATACATACATACATACATACATACATACATACATGCATACATGGGCTTCCAGTTAAGGTGAAATTATGTATTACTCTCCAGGCCGTAAGAAAGGGAAAGGAGACAACAACAGCAACATTTTGGAAGCTGGAAATCAAACAGAAGAATGTTAACTGGTTTAGCAAACTTGAGAATATTTATTACGAAACAAAGGTAAACAAGAGGCTGATTATACCTTTGGAAAACCCTCTCTGGGGAATCTCACCAGCCAAAACGAAAAATCCCAAAGATACCCTTATCAGAGTTCTCTTAATGATATAGATAACTAGAATGAATTCCACATGTAACACTTTGGCCTACGTGCCCCAGCCCTCATTCCACTTTCCAATCAGCTTTTTAGTGTTCTTACTCTTCAAAATAAATAGCCAGAGATCATTAGACATTTAAGGAAGGACTTTAATATACAAGTAAGAAACAAACAAGAAGGGAAAAGCAAATGAGAGGAAACATAAATTGCAAGGGAGGGGAAAAAACACTAAAAATAAAAAATTTAAAAATAGGCCGGGCACGGTGGCTTACGCCTGTAATCCCAAAACTGTGGGAGTCCGAGACGGGCGGATCACTTGAGGTCAGGAGCTCAAGACCAGCCTGGCTAACGTGGTGAAACCCCGTATCTACTAAAAATACGAAAATTAGCTGGGCATGGTGGCACGCGCCTATAGTTCCAGCTACTCAGGAGGCTGAGGCAGAAGAATTGATTGAACCTGGGAGGCGGAAGTTGCAGTGAGCTGAGATTGCGGCACTGCATTCCAGCCTGGGCCACAGAGCTAGACTCCGTCTGAAACAACAAAGCATTTAAAAATAATCCATCATCAGACTTCTCAAAGAGATATTATAGAGCATTCATAAAATAACAACAGGAAACTACTTGAGAGTAACTACTATTCGGATAAGCAAAAAGAGCTCTTGGAAACTAAAACCATGTTACAGAAATAAAAATTCTATAAAAAGGCTGGGGGATAAAGTTGAAGAAGATCAAATTTGTTCTGCTTTAGGAGAAAACATAAAAATAAAGGATCAGTCCAGAAGGTCTGGACTAAATAAGAGTTCTAAATTAGAGTTCCAGAAAGAGAACAGAGAATCAGAAGAGATCATCAAAAAAACTATTTAAAAGGACTATCCCAAACTGAAGAACAGTCTCCAAATTGAACAGGCACCCTAAGTATCCAGAACAACAAATCAAACCCACACCAAGACACATCATTATAGAATCTCAGAGTACTGGACACAGAGAAAAAAATTCTAAAAGCTTCCAGAGAGAAAGAACAAGTTGCATATACAGACAAAAAAAATCAGAACATGTGACTTCATGTTGTTGCTTTGTTAATACATTTTTTAAAAATCAGTATAACATTAGGATTAAGAATCAGAACACCATTGCTACCCAAAGCAATCTATAGATTCAATGCAATCCCTATCAAAATACCAATGACATTCTTAACAGAAATAGAAAAAACAACCCTAAGAGACCTAGAATGGAACCACAAAAGACCTAGAATAGCCAAAGCTATCCTGAGCAAAAAGAACAAAACTGGAGGAATCACATTACCTGACTTCAAATTATACTGCAGAGCTATAATAATCAAAACAGCATGGTACTGGCATAAAAACAGACACAGACCAATGGAATGGAATCCAGAATCCAGAAACAAATCCATATATCTGTATTGAACTCATTTTTGACAAAGGTGCCAAGAACAGACACTGGGGGAAAGACAGTTTCTTCAATAAATGATACAGGGAAAACTGGATATCCCTATGCAGAAGAATAAAACTTGACCCCTATCTCTTACCATATATAAAAATCAAATCAAAATGGCTTAAAGACTTAAATCTGGCTGGGCGCAATGGCTCATGCCTGTAATCCCAGCACTTTGGGAGGCCGAGGTGGGTGGATCACGAGGTCAGGAGATTGAGACCATCCTGGCTAACACGGTGAAACCCTGTCGCTACTAAAAATACAAAACATTAGCCAGGTGTGGTGGCAGGCACCTGTAGTCCCAGCTATCCGGGAGGCTGAGGCAGGAGAATGGCATGAACCTGGGAGGCCGAGCTTGCAGTGAGCCGAGATCGCGCCACTGCACTCCAGCCTGGGTGACAGAGCGAGACTCTGTCTCAAAAAAAAAAAAAAAAAAAAAAAAAAAAAAAAGACTTAAATCTATGACCTGAAACTATTAAACTACTACAAGAAAACATTGAGGAGCCTCTCCAGGACATTGGCCTGGGCAAAATTTCTTGAGATACCCCACAAGCACAGGTAACCAAAGCAAAAATGGACAAACAGGATCACATCAAGTTAAAAAGCTTCTGCACAGCAAAGAAAACAACAAAGTGAAGAGACAAGCCACAGAATGGGAGAAAATATTTGCAAACTACTTGTCTGACAAGGGAGTAATAACCAGAATATATAAGGAGCACAAACAAAAGAAAAAAAAATCTAATAATCTGATTTAAAAATGGGCAAAAGATCTGAATAGACATTTCTCAAAAGAAGACATACAAATGGCAAACAAGTGTATGAAAAGGTACTCAACATAATTGATCATCAGAGAAATGCAAATCAAAACTACAATGAGATATCATCTTACCCCAGTTTAAATGGCTTTTATCCAAAAGACAGGCAATAACAAATGTTGGAGAGGATGTGGAGAAAATGGAACCCTCGTACACTGTTGGTGTGAATGTAAATTAGTACAACCACTATGGAGAACAGTTTGGAATTTCTTCAAAAAACTAAAAATAGAGCTACCATACAATCCAGCAATCCCACTGATGGGTATATACCCAAAAGAAAGGAAATCAGTATATCGAAATGATATCTGTACTCCCATTTTTGTTGCAGCACCATTCACAATAGCTAAAATTTGGAAGCAAACTAAGTGTCCATCAACAGATGGATTTAAAAAAATGTAGTACGTATACACATAGGAGTACTTACTATTCAGCCATGAAAAAGAATGAGATCCTGTAACTCGCAACAACGTGGATGAAACTGGAGGTCATTATGTCATATGAAATAAGCCAGGCACAGAAAGACAAACTTAGCATGTTCTCACTTATTTGTGAGAGCTAAAAACCAAAGCAGTTGAACTCACGGAGATAGAGAGTAGAAGGATGGTTACCAAAGGCTGGGAAGAGTAGTGTGGGGTTGAGGAGAAGTGGGGATGGCTAATGGGTATAAAACATAGAAATAATGAAAAAGACCTAGTATGTGATAGCATAACAGGGTGACTATAGTCAATAATAATTTAATTGTACATTTTAAAATAACTAAAAGGGTATAATCGGATTGTTTGTAACACAAAGGATAAATTCTTGAGGGGATGGATACTCCATTTTTCATGATGTGATTATTACTTATTGCATGTCTGTATCAGAGTATCTCATGTACCCCATAAATATATACATATATACACCACTGTGTGCCCACACAAAAATAAAATTTTTAATTGTATTTAATTGATTCCTTATCAGAACAGCATTGGGCTTACAAACTCATCAACATTGGGAGGAATGAGTGTGGTGGCTCACTCCTCTAATCCCAGCACTTTGGGAGGCCAAGATGGGAGGATCACTTGAGCCCAAGAGTTTGAGACCAGCCAGGGCAACATAGGGAGACTGCATCTTTACAAAAAAAAATTTAAAAAAAATAGTAGGGCATGGTAGCGAGTGCCTGTGATCCCAGCTTCTTGGGAGGCTGAGGTGGGAGTATTGCTTGAGCCCAGGAGGTCAAGGCTGCAGTCAGCCATGATCACGCCACTGCACACCAGCCTGGGTGACAGAGTGAGACCCTGTCTCTTAAAAAAGAAAAAATACATTGGGAGCTAGAAAATAATATAAAATATCTTCAAATTTTTTAGGGAAATTATTTCCAACCTATAATTCTATGTTCCACCAAACTATAATGTTTTTTGATTCAACATTATTTTTGTATAAATTTGTGGAATGCAAGTGCAATTTTGTTAGATGCATAGATTGTGCAGTGGTGAAGTCAGGGCTTTTAGGGTATCCATTACCCAAACAATATGCATTGTACCCATTAAGTAATTTCTCATCATCCAGCCCCCTCAAACTCCATCATCCTTCTGAGTCTCCATTGTCTATTATTCCACACTCTATGTCCATGTGTACACATTGTTTAGCTCCCACTTATAAGTGAGAACATGCAACATTTGTCTTTCTGTTTCTGACTTGTTTCACTTAAGATAATGGTCTCCCATTCCATCCATGTTTATGCAAAAGACAGATTTCATTCTTTTTTATGGCTGAATAGTATTTCATTGTATATATAGACCACATTTTCTTTAACCAGTCGTCCATTGATATACACTTAGGTTGATTCCATATCTTTGCTATTGTGAATAGTATTGCAGTAAACGTACAAATGCCAGTATCTTTTTGATGTAGTAATTTCTTTTCCTTGGGTAGATACCCAGTAATGGGATTGTGGAATCAAGTGGTAGTTTTATTTTTTAGTTCTTTGAGAAATCTCCATACTGTTTTCCATAGAAGTTGTACTAATTTACATTCCCACCAACAGTGTTTAAGTGTTCTCTTTTCTTCATGTCCTCACCAACATCTGTTATTTTTTGACTTTTCAGTAATAGCCATTCTGACTGTTGTAAGACGGTGTCTCATTGTGGTTTTAATTTGCATTTCTCTGATGATTAGTGATGTTGAGCATTTTTTCATATGTTTCTTGGCCATTTGTATGTATTTTTGGAAAAAAATGTCTATTCATATCCTTTGCTCACTTTTAATGGGGTTATCTGAGATTTTTGTCGAATTTTAGTTCCTTTTATATTCTGATATTAGACCCTTGTTGGATGTGTATTTTGCAAATAGTTTCTCCCATTCTGCACGTTGTCTGTTCATTCTGTTGACTATTTCTTTTACTAGTCAGAAGCTTTGTAGTTTAATTAAGTCCCACTTGCCTATTTTTGTTTTTTGTTGCCTGTGCTTTTGAGGTCTTAGTTATGAATTATTTTGCTAAGCCAATGTCCAGAAGAGTTTTCCCTAGGTTTTTGGCTGGTATTTTTATAGTTTCACATCTTACATTTAAGTCTTTAGTCCACCTTGAGTTGATTTTCGCATGTAGTAAAAGATAGGGGTCCAGTTTCGTTCTTCTGCACATGGCAATCCAATTTCCCCAGCACTGTTTATACCATTTGTTGAAAAGGATATTCTTTCCCTTGTGTGTGTGCCTGTGTGTATTTATTGATTTTTTGAGACAGGGTCTCGCATTGTCGCCCAGGCTAGAGTGCAGTGGCACAATCATGGCTCACTGCAGCTTTGACTTCCTGGGCTCAAGCTATTCCCCCACCTCAGTCTCCCGAGTAGCTGGGACTACAGGCACATGCCACCACTCCCAGATAATTTTTTAAATTAATTTTTTGTAGAGATGGAGCCTCACTATATTGCCCAGGTTGGCCCAGTGTGTGTTCTTGTCGACTGTGTCAAAGATCAGGCCAGGTATGGTGGCTCATCCCTATAATTCCAACACTTTGGGAGGCTAAGGCAGAAGGATCACTTGAGGCCAGGAGTTTGAGACCCGCCTGGGCAACATAGTGAGACCCTGACTCTACAAAAAATAAAATTAAAAAAATTAGCTGTGTATGGTGGTGTGTGCCTGTAGTCCTGAGCTACTCTAAAGGTGAAGCAGGAGGATTGCTTAAGCCCAAGAGGTCCAGGCTGCGGTGAGTCATGATCACACCACTGCACTGCAGCCTGAGCAACAGAGTGAGACCCTGACTCAATAAAAAAAAAATTTTGACTCTAAATATGTGCATCTACTTCTGGGTTCTCTACTCTGTTCCATTGATCTATGTGTCTATTTTTAAATGAATATCATGCTGTTTTGTTTACTATAGCCTTGTAGTATAATTTCAAGTCAGATAATGTGATGCCTCCAGCTTTGTTTATTTTGCTTAGGAAAGTTCTGGCTATTTGGGCTGTTTTTTTTTCCATATGAATTTTTTAGGATTTTTTTTTCTAATTCTGTGAAAAGTAACCTTGATATTTTGATAGGGATTGCACTGAATCTGTAGATTGCTTTAGATAGTATGGTCATTTTAACAATATTAACTCTTCCAATCAGTGAGCATGGGATGTTTGTGTCACCTACAATTTCTTTCATCAATGTTTTGTAGTTTTTCTTATAGAATCCTTTTACTTCCTTGGTTAATATATTCCTAGATATTTTATTTTTTGGTAGCTATTGTAAATGAGATTGCCTTCTTGATTTCATTTGCAGCTAGAACATTATTAGTGAATACAAACACTCTTGATTTTTGTACATTTATTTTGTATCCTGAAACTTTACTGAATTAATTGATCAAATCTAAGAGTTTTTTTGGTGCAGTTTTTTTGGTGGAGTCTTCAGGATTTTGTAGATATAAGATCATATTGCCAGGGGTGGTGACTCAACACCTGTAATCCCAGCACTTTGGGAGGCCAAGGCAGGCAGATCACCTGAGGTCGGGAGTTCAAGACCAGCCTGACCAACATGGAGAAACCCTGTCTCTACTAAAAATACAAAACAAGCCGGGCATGGTGGTGCATGCCTGTAATCCCAGCTACTTGGGAGGCTGAGGCAGGAGAATCGCTTGAACCCAAGAGGCAGAGGTTGCGGTGAGCCAAGGTGGTGCCATTGCACTGCATTCTGGGCAACAAGAGCGAAATTCCGTTTCAAAAAAAAAAAAAAAAAGATCATATCATCAGTGAACAGGGATAACTTGACTTCCTCTTTTCTAGTCTGGATACCTTTTATTTCTTTCTCTCTTGCCTGATTGCTCTGGCTAGGACTTCTAGTACTATGTTGAATCAAACTATAATTGAATTGTGAATCCAGAATAAAAACTATTTCAGACATGCAAGTTCTCAAATTATTGCTATTCCATGCACTGCTTTTCAGAAAGATAGAAGATTTATTATGCCAAGACAAATTAGTCAGTCAAAAAAAAAAAAGAGAGAGAGAGAGAGAAATGCATAAAGTCCAAGAAATGGGATCCAGCGATCCAGCACAAAAGAGACGAAAGTAATCTCCAGGACAATGGTGAAGAGAGATGCCAAGTTGTATAGCAGGACTAGAGATCAATTCATCAAAATTAGAGCAGTTCCAAAGGGTTTGAGAGTGATTTCTTTAAGAAATACATAGACTACCTAATGCATTTGAACTTAGGGAGAAGAGATTTGCATGAGAAGAGTTTGCAGATATATTAGTAGCAAGTTGGTAGAAAGCTAAGGAGGATAAAAGACAATGATTAATTCTATAAAAATAAAAGGTTGTGCTAGAAAAGCTAAACAGATTTCTGTTTTCTTCAATATAGTAGGTTAGGTATTCAATTGATACTCCCCCCTGCAAAAAAAAAACTAAAAAATGCTGGGGAAAATGGAAATATCTTCTTAAAAGCATGGTAGAGCCAAGAAGACAGTAAAGAATCAACAGGCCAAAATATAAAGGGGGTCAGAAACCTAAAGAAGTATTCAAAACAGCAGTCATATCTGCTTGGAGGGCATCCACCGCATATGCAGACTTGAGCTTTCTTTTCTAGAGGAAGGGATGGAAGACTCACCAGGGTGGAGAGTCTGAGAGGAGATTCCCTGCTGTACTGAACCTTCCCTTACCTCCCCATTTTCAGGGAACTGCAACAAAAGCTGCCTTGGTGTCAGCAGAGGAATTTGTGACCACAAGTGGGCCCTTACAGAAATTTTCAGTGTAATTTCAGATTCAGGTAGTTTAAAAACAGACAAACAAAAAAATCTGCTTAATTTGTACATTTAGTTTGTTGTAGTCCTGAAGAGGTGAGTATAATGTGCCCAGGCATGTGGCAGAAACAAATCCAAATCCACACTAGAAAAATGTCTTTTCATCCTAGCACCAAAGAATGCCTACAAGTCATTTTCCAAGGAAAATTAGTAGCACACACACACACACACACAAGGAGACCTCATAAATAAGAACCAAAAGAAATAACAACAGCAAAAACTGAGCCCAAAAGACTTTAGATATTGTAATTATGATACAGATTCTAAAATAATTACGCTTATTCTGTTTAAAGAAATAAAAGAGAAACAAGAATATATTGAAAAACAGAAAATGAAAGAAATAAGGAATAAATAAATAATAATGTAGTATATTTAAAAATAGAGGCTCCAGAAGTAAAAGGTATAAAGTTTTAAATTAAAAAATGAGACTTTACTGAATTCATTTATCAGATCTAGGAGTTTTCTGGATGAGTCTTTAGGGTTTTCTAGGTGTATTATCCTATCCATACACCACACCAACAACCAAGCTGAGAATCAAATCAAGAACTCAATCCCTTTACAACAGCTGCAAAAATATAAAATACTTAGGAATATATTTAACCAAGGAGGTGAGAGATCTGTACGAGGAAAACTATGAAATACTGCTGAAAGAAATCAAAATCATAGACACAAACAAATGGAACTATATCCCATGCTTACATATAGGTAGACTCAATTGTGAAAATGACTACACTGTCCAAAGCAATGTACAGATTCAATGCAATTCCCATCAAAATACCATTGTCATTCCTCACAGAACTAGAAAAAACAATCCTAAAATTCATGTGGAACCAAAAAAGAGCCCACACAGCCAAAGCAAGACTAAGCAAAAAGAACAAATCTAGAAGCATCACATTACCTTACTTCAAACTGTACTACAAGGCTATAATTGCCAAAACAGCGTGGTACTGGTATAAAAATAGGCACATAGACCAATGGAACAGAATAGAGAATCCAGAAACAAAGCCAAATACTTGCAACCAACTGATCTTTGACAAAGCAAACAAAAACATAAATCGGGGAAAGGACACCCTATACAATAAATGGTGCTGGGAAAACTGGCAGGCCACATGTAGAAGAATGAAACTGAATCCTCATATCTCACCTTATACAAAAATCAACCCAAGATGGATCAAAGACTTAAATCTAAGACCTGAAACTATAAAAATTCTAGAAGATGGCATCAGAAAAACTCTTCTAGACGTTGGCTTAGGCAAAGAATTCATGACTAAGACCCCAAAAGTAAATGCAACAACAACAGAGACCTAATTAAACTAAAAAGCTTCTGCACAGCAATATAAATAATCAGCAGAGTAAACAGACAATACACAGAGTGGAAGAAAATATTCACAAACTATGCATCTGCCAAAGGACTAATATCCAGAATCTAAAAGGAACTCAGACAAACCAGCAAGAAAACAAACAAACAATACCATCAAACAAACAACACAATCAAAAAGCAATCCCATCAAAAAGTTGACAAAGGACAAGAATATACAAACACCCAACAAACATTTGAAAAAATGCTCAACATCACTAATTATCAGGGAAATGCAAATTGCAACCACAATGATATACCACCTTACTTCTGCAAGAATGGCCATAATAAAAAAGTCAAAAAATAATAGATGTTGGTGTGGATGTGGTAAAAAGGGAACACTTTTACACTGCTGGTGGGAATGTAAACTAGTACAACCACTATGGAAAACAGTATGGAGATCCTTTAAAAACTAAAAGTAGAACTACCATTCAATCCAACAATCCCACTGCTGGGTACCTACCCAAAGGAAAAAGAAGTCATTATAAGCTTATAGCAGTACAATTTGCAGTTGCAAAAATATGAAACAAACCTAAGTGCCCATCAACAAATTAGTGGATGAAGAAAATGTGGTATATATACACACGGAATACTATTCAGCCATAAAAAGAATAAAATAATGTCTTTTACAGCAACTTGAATGGAGCTAGAGGCCATTATTCTAAGTGAAATAACTCAGGAATGGAAAACCAAATACCATATGTTCTCACTTATAAGTGGGAACTAAGCTGTGAGGATGCAAAGACATAAAAATGATATAATGGAATTTGGGGACTTGGAGGTGGAATGGGAGAGGGGGATGAGTGATAAAAGACTACATGTTGGGTACAGCGTACACTGCTTGGGTGACGGGTGCACCAAAATTTCTGAAATCACCACCAAAGAACTTATCCATGTAACCGAAAACCACCTGTACTCCAAAAACTATTGAAATAAAAAATAAAAATAGGCGGGCATGGTGGCTCACACCTGTAATCCCAGCACTTTGGGAGGCTGAGGCAGGAGGATCACTTGAGATCAGGAGTTTGAGATCAGGAGTTTGAGACCAGCCTGGCCAACATGGTGAAACCCCTTCTCTACTAAAAATACAAAAATTAGCTGGGCATGGTGGCATGTGCCTATAGTCCCGGCTACTCTGGAGGCTGAGGCAGGAGAATCGCTTGAACCCAGGGGGTGGAGGTTGCAGTTAGCCAAGATCACGCCATTGCACTCCAGCCTGAGCAACGAGAGTGAGACTCCGTCTCAAAAAAATTTTTTTAAATATAAATATAAATATAAATTTAAAATAAAAAATAAATTTTAAAATGAATGGATAAAGTAATTAAATAACTTAAGAATTCTTCTTTATAGAATAATTTCAGCTAATAAGTGCAGAAGGAATGATATGCTGCCATCTTTTTACAGTCCTAATGAAATAAATAATCCAGTCAACAGTCACCAATGACCTCCAAAACATTAGTTACGTGGCTTGTGGGTGAATCAAACGGACACCAAGTGTCACCAAGTGAATACACTGACAAAATCTAACATCGCGAAAGGAGGAACAACCAGGGCTTCTTGATGTGATACAATAGGAAACACAGAACATTTATCTATGAAGGATTCTTGCTCTCCAAAGAAGACTTTTTTTTTTTTTTTAAGACAGAGTGTGGCTCTGTCACCCAGGCTGGAGTACCGTGGCGTGATCTCAGCTCACTGCAACCTCTGCCTCCTGGGTTCAAGTGATTCTCCTGCCTCAGCCTCCCGAGTAGCTGGGATTACAGGCACGCGCCACCATGCCTGGCTAATTTTTGTCTTTTTAGCAGAGACGGGGTTTCACCATGTTGGTCTGGCTGGTCTTGAACTCCTGACCTTAGGTGGTCTGCCCGCCTTGGCCTCCCAAAGTGCTGGGATTACAGGCATGAGCCACCATGCCCAGCCCAAAGAAGATTCTAAATATAACCAACAGTTTACAGGAAATAGGAGAACTCAGAGAATATGTTAAATGACACCACAGGAATGTAATCAGGAACAAACGGAATCAAAGCTCCAGTTTCTTCAACAAAGTACACTGCAAGAGGAAAAAGGTAGGGAATGAGAACTGTTACAGAATAAAAGAGATCTAGGAGACACAGCAACCAAATGTAATGCGTAGATCTTATTTGGATCCTGAATCAAACTATCTATAAAAAAACTTTTATTAGTCAATTATGGACACTGGATATTATGTGATATTAAGATATTGTTGGCTGAGCACAGTGGCTCAGGCCTGTAATCCCAGCAGGCCAAGGCAGGTGGATCACTTGAGGTCAGAAGTTTGAGACCAGCTGAGGTAGAAGAATTGCTTGAACCTGGGAGGTGGAGGTGGCAGTGAGCCGAGATCATGCCACTGCACTCCAGCCTGGGCAACAAGAGTGAAACTCTGTCTCAAAAAAAAAAAAAAAAGTAAAAATAAAAATACTAAAAAATTAGCATCCGTGGTGGCGGGCACCTGTAATCCCAGCTACTTGAGAGGCTGAGGCATGAGAATCTCTTGAGCTGGGGAGGCAGAGGTTGCAGTGAGCTGAGATCTTGCCTCTGAACTCCACCCTGGGTAGGATGGAGTAAGATTTTGCCTCAAAAAAAAAAAAAGAAAAAAAGAATTTGTTAATTTTGTTAGATGTAATCACGGTATTTTGGTATGGTTTTTAAAATGGTCCTTAACTTTTAGAGATACATACTCATGTATTTATTAATGGAATGGCATAATGTCTGGGATTTGTATTAAAATAATCCTGTGGGAGTCCAGGGGAAATTGGTGAGATATAGATGAAACAAAATTAAGTATATTTTGTAATTGTTGCAGCAAGATGATAGGTACAGAGGGATTCATTATACTTTTGATTGTGTTTGAAATTTTCCATTTAAAATTTCTTTTAAGTAACCCAAAGACCAGTTTAGATTTAGCTGAAGGTAGGATTAATGAACTGGAAGATAGATGAGAATAACTTAACCAGAATAAAATGCAGAGCAACAAAGAGGAGAGTATGAAAGAGAAAGATATATGAATAGCAGAGTAAAAATCTAACTAGGCTGAGCACTGTGGCTCATGCCTGTAATCCCAGCACTTTGGGAGACCAAGGCAGGCGGATCACGAGGTCAAGAGATTCAGACCATCCTGGCCAACATGGTGAAATCCTGTCTTTACTAAAAATACAAAAATTAGCTGGGTGGTGCTCGCCTAGTCCCAGCTACTCAGGAGACTGAGGCGGGAGAATCACTTGAACCTGGGAGACGGAGGTTGCAGTGAGCCAAGATCGCACCACTGCACTCCAGCCTGGCAACAGAGGGAAACTCTGTCTAAAAAAAAAAAAAAAAAAAAAAAAAAAAACTAACTAATTGGGGTTCTGGAATGAGAAGAGAGCATGGTGCAAACCTAATGATTGGGCATTTTTCAGAACTAATGAAAGATACAAATCAACACAGATTCAAGAGGCCCAACACATTTCAGACAGGATAGATAAAAAGAAGTCCACACATAAACATAGGATGGTGAAACCGAATAACATTAAAGGAAAACAGCAGATCTTAAAAGCAGCCAGATTGTGGGATATATGAGTGTATGCATTTGTCAAAATTCACTGCCCTTATACAGGTAAGGTCTGTGTACTTCACTGCATGCAACTTTTACCAGAGTAAAAAATTAAATTAAAAGCAGCTAGAGAAACAGCTTCCCTTCAAAGGAGCAGCAGTTTAGACTGAAAACTAACTTCTTATGGCAACAATGAAAGACAGAAGTCAATAGTTGATATCTTTAATGTGATGAAAGAAAACAACTTCCACTAGAAATTTTATGACTAGTGTAAATACATTTCAGTAATGAGGATAGCCAGGTGTGGTGGCTCATGCCTGTAATCCCAGAACATTGGGAGGCCAAGAGGAGAGGATCACTTGAGGCCAGGAGTTCGAGACCAGCCTGGGCTACCTAGGGAGACCCTGTACTAAAAAAAAAAAAAGAAATAAAAAAGAAAGTAATAACAACATTAATGTTTTCTGGAATTTAAGTAAAAATATAGAATTAAAACACATTAAAACAATAACATAGACATTGGGAGGTAGGCAGACAAAGTTAAATTGTTCTAGGCTTCTTATATTGTCTGCAAGGATAGTATGCTGATTATCAAACTATGTCCTTCAACTTCAAATCCACCCTTCTATACATCATGATGCTGGGGCTGGTATTCTGCAAACTACATTTTGTTTTCTTTCTTAAATTGACTTATTTTTTCAAACAGCAGATTTAGGTTCACAGTGAAACTGATCAGAAAATATGAGCATATTCATATACCCTTTGTCCCCACACATGCACAGCCTCCCCCACTGTCAACATCCTGCCCCAGAGTGGCACACTTGTTACAGCTGATGAGCCTATATTGATACATCATTATCATCCAAGGTCCACAGTTTACACATGGGTTCACTGTGGTGAACACAACTCTGTGTTGTACATTCTCTGGGTTTGGATAAATGTATAATGACCTGTATCCATCATATAAGTATCATACAGAATGGTCTTACTGCCCTAAAAATCCTCTGTGGTCCACCCCTTTATCCCTTTCCCTACCCCAGTCCCTGGCAACCACTGATCTTTTTACTGTCTCCATAGTTTTGCCTTTTCCAGAATGTCACATAGTTGGAATCACAGTATTTAGCCTTTTCAGCTGGCTTCTTTTACTTAATAATATGCACTCAATGCATGTTCCTCCATGTCTTCTTATGGCTTAATAGCTCATTTCTTTATAGCACTGAATAATATTTCATGTCTAGATATACCATAGTTTAGTTTTCCATTCATCTACAGAAAGACATCTTGGTTGCTTACAAGTTTTGACAATTAAGGATAAAGCTGCTATAAACACCCATGTGCAGGTTTGTGTGAACATAAGTTTTCAACTATTTTAAGCATATACCAAAAAGCATGAATGCTGGATAATATTGTAAGAGTATATTTAGTATTGTAAGAAATTGCCAAACTGCCTTCCAAAGTAGCTGTACCATTTGGCATTCCCACCAACAATGAATGAGCGCTCCTGTTGTTCTACATCCTTGACAGCATTTGGCGTTTTCAGTGTTCTAGATTTTGGCCATTCTAATAAGTGTGTAGTGGTATCTCATTTTTGTTTTAATTTGCAGTTTCCTAGAGACATATGATGTGGAACATCTTTACATATGTTTATTTGCCCTTTTTTTTTTTTTTTTTTTTTTGGAGACAGGGTCTCACTCTGTCATACAGGCTGGAATGCAGTGGCACAATCACGGCTCACTGCACACCGAACCTTCCAAGTTCAAGCAATCCTCCTGCCTCAGCCTCCCAAGTAGCTGGGATTATAGGCACATGCCAACACACCCGGCTAATTTTTGTATTTTTAGTAGAGACGGGGTTTCACCATGTTGGCTAGGCTGGTCTCGAACTCCTGACCTCAAGTGATATGACTGCCTTGGCCTCCCAAATTATAGGCATGAGCCACTGCACCTGGCCTTAGTTCTTAGGCCTCTGGACTCAGACTGAGACTTAACACCATTAGCCCCCTGATTCACAGGTGTTAGGTTTGGATCAGAACTACAGCACTGGCTTTCCTGGCCTCCAGCTTGCAGATGACAGATTGTGGGACTTAATCATTGTGTAAGCCAATCCCTCATAATAAATATCTCTCTATATATCTGACTATCTACCTTTCTACCTACCTGTCTATTTACTTATATATCCTCCTATTGATTCTGTTTCTCTGGAAAACCTGACTAAATACATTTATTGTTGAATTTTAAGAGTTCTTTGATATTTTGGAAACTAGTCCTTTATCAGAAACATCTTTTGTAAATATATATATATATGTATGTGTATATGCATGTGTGTGTATATGTGTATATATATGTGTGTGTGTGTATATATATAAATATATATATAAATATATATATATACAAATATATATATATATATTCTTGCTCTGTCACCTAGGCTGGAGTGCAGCGACATAATCATGGCTTACTGTAGCCTTGAGCTCTGGGCTCAAGTGATTCTCCCACCTCAGCCTCCTGAATAGCTGGGACTACAGGTGCATGCCACCACATCTGGCTGATTTTATTTATTTATTTATTTATTTATTTATTTATTTATTTATTTATTTTGAGACGGAGTCTCGCTCTGTCACCAGGGTGGAATGCAGTGGCGCAATCAGCTCACTGCAACCTCTGCCTCCCGGTTTCAAGCGATTCTCCTGCCTCAGCCTCCCGAATAGCTGGGATTACAGGCGCGTGCCACTATGCCCAGGTAATTTTTTGTATTTTTATTAGAGATGGGGTTTCACCATATTGGCCAGGCTGGTCTCAAACTCCTGACCTTGTGATCTGCCTGCCTCGGCCCTCCAAAGTGCTGGGATTACAGGCGTGAGCCACCACGCCCAGCCAAATTTTGTCTAGAGACAGAGTTTCGCTATGTTGCCCAGGCTGGTCTTGAACACCTGTGTTCAAGCGGTCTTCCCACCTTGGCCTCCCAAAGTGGCAAATACTTTCTCCTAGCCTGTGTCTTGTCCTCTCATTTCTTTTTATAGTGTCTTTCACAGAGCAAGTTTTTAGTTTTAATGAAATCCAGCTTATCAATTCTTTCATGGATCATGCTTTTGGCATTGTATCTAAAAAGTTATGGCCATACCCAAGTTCATCTAGATTTTCTCCTATGTTATATGTTAAGACTTTTATAGTTTGCATTTTACATTTAGATCTATGATCCATTTTGAGATAATTTTTGTTGAGGGTGTAAGGTCTGTGTCTAGATTCTTTTTTTTTTTTTTTTTTTTGGCATGTGGATGCCCAGTTGTTCGAGTACCATTTGTTGACAAGGTTATCTTTTCTCCATTGTACTGGCTTCCCTCCTCTTCTTTGTCAAAGATCAGTTGACTGCATTTATGTGGGTCTATTTCTGGGTTCCATTGATCCATTTGTCTATTACTTTGCCAATACCTCACTGTCTTGATTATTGTAGCTTTATACTAAGTCTTGAAATTAGGTACTATCAGTCTTCCAACTTTGGTCTCCTATATCATTGTGTTGGCTACTTCAGATCTTTTGCCTCTCCATAGTAACTTTAGAATCAGTTTGTAGATATCCACAAAACAACTTGCTAGGATTTTTATTGAGATTGCATTGAATGTATCAGTCAAATAGGGCAGAATTGACATTTTGACAATATCAAGTCTTCCTTTCCATGAACACGGAATATCTCTCCTTTTATTTAGTTCTTTGATTTCTTCCATCAGAGTTTATAATTTTCCTCGTATAGATCTTGTACATATTTTGTTACATTTAAACCTAAGTAGTTTATTTTTGGGGAGTATTGTGTTTTTAATTTCAAATTCCACTTGCTCATTGCTGGTATAAAGAAAAGCAATGTACTTTTTTATATTAACCTGTATCCTACAAATTTGCTATAATCATTATTAGTTTCAGAAATTTTTTGTTAATTCTTTTGGAATTTCTACATAGACAATCATGTCATCTGTGAACAAAGACAGTTTTATTCACATTTCTTTCCTGTCAACTGGCTCCCTCTTAGTTTCTATCAATAGGAGTGTTAAGGGAGACTGGAAAACTGAAAGAAAAGTGACTTTCATTTTCCTCTTTGCTTGCTATGCCTGTCAGTGTTGGCCTAGCATCAGAAGTTAGTTCAGCCTCAAGCTTCTCTCAGCTCTCCCAGAACCAGACTCATTGTGCCCTCTTAGACATCCAGCACCAATCAGGAAACATCCCCATCCTCAGAGGCCTAAGCCTCAGCTCTGTTAGGTCCTTTATCTGAACTTTTGGTTTAGATAACCCCAGCCTCTTCCCTTTGTTTCCCCAGCTCCAAAGGTGGTAGCTGCTCCTTGCAGATTTTATCTCTATGTTACCTCAATGTTTCCCTTTGCTTTTTCATTCCTCCAACGCTTATTTAATCAACTCCCTGCACTGCATTTTGTATTGAAGCATCTAGTGTTACTTTTGTTTTCCTGAATGAACTCTTATTGATACAAATAATATTGATTAACTTCATATTTTGATAAATGAAAGGTTTGTGTTGTAGGTAACCAGTAAAAGTCTGGACATAGAATTATATAACTTCAAATTGATCAAGGGAAAAATGAAATGAGAAATAAATACCAGTTATGAGGCCACTGATTTCAGGAAATACTTGTATCTATCATCAAAAAGAATATCGGCGGGGCTTCGTGGCTCATGCCTGTAATCCCAGCACTTTGGGAGGCCGAGGTGGGCAGATCACGAGGTCAGGAGATCGAGACCTTCCTGGCTAACACGGTGAAATCCCCGTCTCTACTGAAAATACAAAAAATCAGCTGGGCATGGTGGCGGGTGCCTGCAGTCCCAGCTACTCCGGAGGCTGAGACGGGAGAATGGTGTGAATCCAGGAGGCGGAGCTTGCAGTAAGCCGAGATCGCGCCACTGCACTCCAGCCTGGGCGACAGAGCGAGACTCCGTCTCAAAAAAAAAAAAAAAAAGGAATAAAAGTAATTTATTTGATTCCGATCACAAAATACAGGCAAGAAGCACGGGCAATGCCTGTAACTCCTTGATCACACATCTTCCCAGTCTGTGCTTTTATAAATACCCTTCGTACAACAGCAAGCTAATGCTGTCCCCCAAGCGCTTGTTCACATTCTAACAGCTGCAAAGTATAGTGTATGACTAGTTGGGAAGTTAAACAGATGCCCTGCTCACAAGGTAGGGCCCCTCCAATTAGTGTTCCAGCTCCCTTTCGCTGATATTGAAACTGAAGTAATTTGTTGCTCTATTGGTCACAGATGAATTATGCCTGCACAATTCTTCGAGGGCTTTAAGTAACCTTATTGAAAGGCAGTGACTAAGACCCTTTCCTTGCTCCCAAGCTTCCTAAGTCCCAGGCTGCCTGTGGCACCTGGACTGCTGCCCCTGGGTCTCCCACATTCCAGGGCCACGATGGAGGAAGGGCAGGCCAGGCCAAGCATAAGTAATAAACAGTCTTTACCGGGCTCAGGCCAGGAGTCCGTGGGCCTTGAGGACCTCCCTGTATTTGTCAATTTTCTTCTCCACATTCTTTTCGGCCTGTCTCCATAGCCTCAGGAGTTGTTTCTTCTGGTCCTGGATCTTGGCTTTCTCCTTCCCCTTCTCCTCCAGGGTGGCTGTCACGGTCTGGTACTTTCAGCCAATCTCGTGAGCCAGGTACCCCAGGTAGGCGAACTTTCTCGTAGGCTTCAGACGCACAACCTTGGGGGCAACAGGAAGCACCATCCGCTTTTTCCTCTCACGGGGCGGTGGGACGCCACCGAACACCTGGCGGCAGGTCCTAGGCGGCCTGGCTGGCTGCTGTCGTGGGGCGGCCCGGCTCGCAAGCTCTGCCAGAAGACGTGGGGCCTCGGGAAGGGCTGGTGTTCATCCGCTTGCGGAGGAAAGCCAGGTACTTCAACTTGTTTCCGTAGAAATTGCCAGAAATGTCGATGCCCTCGCAGCGCACGATCACCACCTTCCGGCCCAGCAGCACCTGCTTAGCCACGATGGCCGCCAGGCAGCCCAGGAGGTGACCTCGGCCATCGAGCACTAGGACCTGCCCCTCCGCCATCTTCAGCAGCCTCCTAGAAAAGATTGAATTATAAATCAGAAACTTCCCATGAAGAAAATGTCAATACTATTTCTTCACAAGCTTTTCCAAAAATAGAAGAAAATGAAGCTCTTCCAAGCCCATTCAATGAGGTAATACTACTCAGATACCAAAATCAGACAAACACAATACAAGAAAACTGTAGACTATTTCTTATGAATATAGACCCAGAAATTCTCCACAAATTACCATGAATTCAACAACAAATAAAAAGGATTATATACCACGACCAAGTGGGATTTATCCCAGGAATGAAAGCTTGAGTTAACATAAGAAATAAAATTAATGTTGTACATCCTATCCATAGACTAAAGGACAAAAACCACATGGTCATCTTAGTAGACACAGAAAAGACATTTGACAAAATTCAACATCTCTTCATGATAAAAACATTTAATAAACCAGGAAGATAAAGGGACTTAATCAACCTGATAAAAGTCATCAAGCATCTACAAAAAACCCACAACTAATATCATACTTTTTGGTAAAAAATGAATGATTACTCTCTCTAATATTAGGAATAAGACAAGAATACCTACTCTTACCATTTCTATTTGACATTGTACCGGACATTCTAGCCAGTGTAATTAGGCAAGAAGATGAATGTTGTATGTAGATGAATGAATGAATGTAAAAGGCATACAGATTGGAGAGAAAAACAAAACCATCTCTATTTGCAGATGACCTTATATCTAAAATATCCTAAGGAATTCACTAAAAAATCTATTAGAACTAATAGAAGAATTCAACAAGGTTGCAGAATACAAGAATCAATTGTATTTCTATACACTTGCAATGAACAATCTAAGAACAAAAGAACATAATTTCATTTGCAATACCGTCAAAAAGAATAAAATAATTAGAAACACACGTAGCAAAGAAGTACAAAACATATACTCTAGGCCAGGTGCGGTGGCTCATGCGTGTAATCCCAGCACCTTGGGAGGCCAAGGCGGGCGGATCACCTGAGGCCAGGAGTTCGAGACCAGCCTGGCCAACATGGTGAAACCACATTCTACTAAAAATACAAAAAAAAATTAGTCGAGCATGGTGGCGGGTGCCTATAATCTCAGCTACTTGGGAGGCTGAGGCAGGAGAATTGCTTGAACCCGGGAGGCCAGCCAAGGTTGCGGTGAGCTGAAATTGCGCCACTGCACTCCAGCCTGGGTGACAGAGCAGGACTCCATCTCAAAAAAAAAGAGAAAAGAGGATAAAAGAGGCTAAGTGAACAAAGCTAGTCTTCAAAACCACATATTGTGTGATTACATTTATATGAAATGCCCAGAATAGGTAATTCAATGGACAGAAAGTAGATAAGAGGTTACGTTGGGCTGGGGAGCTCACTGAAAGTTGGGAAATGGGTAGTGACTGCTAACGGGTGCAGAGTTTTTTTGGGGGTGATAAAAATGTTCTAGAACTGATTGTAGTGCACAACTCTGTGAATATACTAAAAACCATTGAATCTACACTTTAAATTGGTGTGTTAATACTGAGTATCAACTTGATTGAAGGATGCGAAGTATTGTTCCTGGGTGTGTCTGTGAGGGTCTTACCAAAGGAGATTAACATTTGAGTCCGTGAACCAGCAGAGGCAGACCCAACCTCTATCTGGATGGGCATCATTTAATCAGCTGCCAGCGTGGCTGGGATAAAAGGAGAGGAACGTGGAAGGGCTAGACTGACCAAGTCTTCTGGCCTCCATCTTTCTCCCATGCTTGATGCTTCCTGCCCTTGAACGTTGGACTCCAGGTTCTTCAGCTTTTGGACTCTTGGACCTACGCCAGTGGTTTGCCAGGGGCTCTTGGGCCTTTGGCCACAGACTGAAGGCTGCACAGTTCACTTCCCGACTTTTTTTTTTTTTTTTTTTTTTGAGACGGAGTCTCGCTCTATTGCCCAGGCTGGAGTGTGCAGTGGCGCGATCTCGGCTCACTGCAAGCTCTGCCTCCCGGGTTCACGCCATTCTCCTGCCTCAGCCTCCCAAGTAGCTGGGACTATAGGCACCCGCCTCCACGCCCGGCTAATTTTTTGTATTTTTTAGTAGAGATGGGGTTTCACCCTGTTAGCCAGGATGGTCTTGATCTCCTAAGCTTGTGATCCGTCCGCCTCGGCCTCCCAAAGTGCTGGGATTACAGGCATGAGCCACCGCGCCCGGCCCTTTTTTTTTTTTTTTTTTTTTTGAGATGGAGTCTCACTCTGTCGCCAGGCTGGAGTGCAGTGGCATGGTCTCGGCTCACTGCAACCTCCACCTCCCGGTTTCAAGCAATTCTCCTGCCTCAGCCTCCCAAGTAGCTGGGACTACAGGTGTCCGCCACTACACCCAGCTAATTTTTGTATTTTTAGTAGAGACGGGGTTTCACCGTGTTGGTCAGGATGGTCTCGCTATCTTGACTTCATGATCCACCTGCCTCGGCCTCCCAAAGTGCTGGGATTACAGGCATGGGCCACCGTGTCCGGACTGTTTATTTTTGAGATGGAGTCTCACTCTGTTGCCTAGGCTGGAGTGCAGTAGTGCCATTATGGCTCACTGCAGCCTCAGCCTCCCAGGTTCAAGTTATCCTCCCACCTCAGCCCCCTGAGTAGCTAGGACTACAGGCGTGCACCACCATACCTGGCTAATTTTTTTGTATTTTTTGTAGAGATGGGGTTTTACCATGTTGCTCAGCTAGTCTTGAACTCCTGGGCTCAAGTGATCCACTCACCTCAGCCTCCCAAAGCACTGGGATTATAGGCATGAGCCACCACCCCCAGCCTCCATTCAATATATTTGTGATAAGTTATTTTGGCTAAACTATATGAAGAATTCTGAGCCACTGTACCTGTAGTCCAAGCTACTCAAGAGGCCGAAGCAGTAGGATCACTTGAGCCCGGGAGTTTGAGGCCAGCCTAGGCAACATAGTGAGACTCCATGTCTAAAAAAACAAAAAACAAGAACTGTATGATGCAGGATTTAGTTGCCTTTTGTTTATTACACCACACTCAACAAATAGTTCTTTCTTTCTCTCTCTCTCCCTTTCTTCCTTCCTTCCTTTCTTTCTTTCTTTCTCTTTCTTTTCTCTTGAGACAGGGTCTTGCTCTGACACCCAGGCTGGAGTGCGTAGGGCAGTGGTACAATCATAGCTCACTGCAGCCTTGACCTCCTGAGCTCAAGCGATCCTTCCACCTCAGCCTCCTGAGTACTTGAGACTACAAGGAGGTGCCATCACACCTGGCTAAATTGAAAAAAAAAAAAAAAAATTGTAGAGACAGCATCTCCCAATGTTGCCCAGGCTGAAATATTTGTTTCTTAAACATTAGCTGCAATGTAAAATCTGAAACTATATCAATAAGCCTTTTCCACTCTGGGTTATATGAAAATCTATCTTGCACTTTGATTGGATTTTTTTACCCATGCATGATTTTGTATCCATAATGAATTGGTCATTTGGAAAACATTGGATCACTGAGCTATGCAGAGCTTGCAAATGTTGCCACATTTCACTGTACAACGTTTTTAAAATAACATTCTTTAATATCACCACCAGTCTCATCAGAAAAGTCTTTAAGTATTGGGAAACGGTCAAGCTTGGGTGGCAGGTACAAAATTCTATTTTGCTTGAAAGTTCTAACTTTATCATTGCCAACAAATAATGTTAAGTTGCTTTCCTTGAAGCGACAGGCTTACTTTGTTTATTTTTGTAAAACTGTCTGCCTAATACTCAAGACTCAATAAACATAGTTCATTATACTTTCAAGTAAAAAATGCGTTCACTGGAAAAAAATTGGCTAGTTCCGTTTGTGTCTAAATAACACAAGTGCTTTTCTTCCAAACAACCAGACTTTGGTAGGGAGCAAAAGCACTTTGCCCATACTTCCCATTTTGTTAGACAGAATTTTCAAAAGATGTTCACTCAAGGGTTGAGATTTAACAAAATTAATACTTTTCACAGCTTCACAAAGGACACTCTTTGTTTTTGTTTTTATTTTTTTGTCGTTGTTGTTGTTGTTGTTTTGAAATGGAGTCTCACTCTGTCACCCAGGCTGGAGTGCAGTGGTGCGATCTAGGCTTACTGCAACCTCCACCTCCCGGGTTCAACTGATTCTCGTGCCTCAGCCTCCTGAGCAACTGGGACTCCGTCTCACAAAACAAACAAACAAAAACAGGCAAGTAGTGTTTTATTTGTTTCTTTGTTTGTTTTCTAATAGAGAAAGGATTTTCCTATCTTGCCTAGGCCGATATCAAACTTCTGGGCTCAAGGTGTCCTCCTGCCTCTACTTCCCCAAGTGTTGGGATTATAGGCATGAGCCACTTTTTTTTTTTTTTTTTTTGTGATGGAGTTTTGCCCTTGTCACCCAGGCTGGCACACTGCAACCTCCGCCTCCCAGGTTCAAGTGATTCTCCTGTCTCAGCCTCCCGAGTAGCTGGGACTACAGGCACATGCCACCACACCTGGCTAATTTTTTGTATTTTTAGTAGAGATGGGGTTTCACCACGTTGGCCAGGCTGGTCTCGAACTCCTCACCTCAGGTGATCTGCCCCCCTCGGCCTGACAAAGTGCTGGGATTACAGGCATGAACCACCATGTCCGTTTTTTGTTTGTTTGTTTGTTTGTTTGTTTTTAAAGAGACAGGGTCTCGCTCTGTCGTCCAGGCCGAAGTGCAGTGGCACAATCTCAGCTCACTGCAGCCTCGGCCTCCAGGGCTCAAAGAGATCCTCCCACCTCAGCTTCCTGAGAAGCTGGGACTGCAGGCGTGCATCACCCCACCCGGCTAATTTTTGGGGATTTTTGTGTATGTGTGGAAACGGGGTTTCACCATGTTGTCCAGGCTGGTCTCAAACTCCTGGGCTCAAGCAATCCACCTGCCTTGGCCTCCCAAAGTGCTGTGATTACAGGCGTGAGTCACCTCGCCCAGCCATATTTTTTAATAAAAAAGAAGATGGTGCTTTGGGAGGTCAAGGTGGGAGGATCACTTAAAGCCAGGACTTTGAGAGCAGCATGGGCAACATAACATGACTCTGCCTCTACAAAAAATTTTTTAAATTAGCCAGGTATGATGGCACACTCCTGTAGTCCTAGATACTCAGGAGGCTGTGGCAGGAGGATTGCTTGAGCCCAGGAGTTTGAGGCTGCAGTGAGCTGTGATCATGCTACTGCACTCAAACCTGTGCAACAGAGTGAAAACCTGTCTCAAAAATGAAAAGAAAATGGAAAAAGTGCCAAGAAAACATCAATAATATGATATAATAATATTGGCCGGGTGCAGTGGCTCACGCCTGTAATCCCAGCACCTTGGGAGGCCGAGGTGGGCAGATCACGAGGTCAGAAGATCAAGACCATCCTGGCTAACACGGTGAAACCCCGTCTCTACTAAAAATACAAAAAAATTAGCCGGGCGTGGTGGCAGGCGCCTGTAGTCCCAGCTACTCAGGAGGCTGAGGCAGGAGAATGGTGTGAACCCAGGAGGCGGAGCTTGCAGTGAGCCAAGATAGCGCCACTGCGGGTCCAGCCTGGGCGACAGAGCGAGAGTCCGTCTCAAATAATAATAATAATAATATTAGCAAAAAAGTGAAAATACCTAGTAATAACAGCAATAATAATAGCATGCACGATCCTTTTGTGGGTCATATGCATGATGATTGGGTGTTCACGCACAAGTATGAGATGTGCCACCTTTTTACAGCATTGGCACATTACCTGTCTGATGACAACGATGACAAAAAGGAGAAGGAGGAGAAGAGAAGGAGAAGGAGAGGAAGAGGGAGAGGAAGAGGAAGAGAAAAGGAGAGCAGGCACTTTTTTTTTTTTGAGACGGAGTCTAGCACTGTCACCCCGGCTGGAGTAAAATGTCGCAATCTTGGCTCACTGCAACCTCCGCCTCCCAGGTTCAAGTGATTCTCCTGCTTCAGCCTCCTGAGTAGCTGGGATTACAGGTGTCTACCACCACACCCGGCTAATTTTTTGTATTTTTAGTTGAGACTGGGTTTCACTATGTTGGCCAGGTTGGTTTCGAACTCCTGACCTCATGATCCGCCCACCTCGGCCTCCCAAAGTGCTGGGATTACAGGTGTGAGCCACCGCGCTTGGCCTGGGCAGGCACTATTAAAGCATTTTAATGATGGTACATCTACATGACAGAATACTAGGCAACCTTAAAAATATGGTGGCAATACTTGGCGAGAGTGTAAATTGGTATAACCTTTCTGGAGGACAATTTGGGACTAACTATCCAAATTTAATATGTATATAATCCTTTCATTTAAAAATCCCACTGCTAGGAATTTATCTTAAGGATATTGTAATAAGTGTAATTAATAAATTATAAGGTGATATGATGTATAAATTCAGAGTAATGTAATATATTCTATCATCCTGAATTATTTGCTGAGATGTGTTGGATGGGGTGAGGAGCAGTTTGTAAGTAAACATGTTACCTTAAACTTATAAACACATATACAGGTCCACTAGGCTGCATCACACTCAAAAATAAGCAGGTATTGTTTACACCACTTCATCACTAATAAGCACCTGTTGTGTGCTTAAGATGTAAACAACTGGCCAGGCGCGGTGGGTCACACCTGTAATCCCAGCACTTTGGGAGGCTGAGGCGGGAGGATCACGAGGTCAAGAGATTGAGACCATCCTGGTCAACATGGTGAAACCCCGTCTCTACTGAAAATACAAAAAATTAGCCAGGCATGGTGGCAGGTGCCTGTAATCCCAGCTACTTGGGATGCTGAGGCAGGAGTATTGCTTGAACCCAGGAGGCAGAGGTTGCAGTGAGCCGAGATCGCACCACTGCACTCCAGCCTGGGCAAAAAGAGCAAAACTCTGTCTCAAAAAAAAAAAAAAAGATGTACACAACCTATAATTGTAAATGTATTAGGTAAAATATAATTTGTAAAAAAGTGACATCTGTTACATACAGCCTTGTATAATAGGAATGTGAAAAGTGTGAACCCTGAAAATCTGAGACAGGTCTCAGTTAATTTAGAAAGTTTATTTTGCCAAGGTTGAGGACGTGTGCCTGTGGCACAGCCTGAGGAGGTCCTGACGACATGTGCCCAAAGTGGTCAGAGCACAGTTTTGTTTTATACATTTAGGGACACATGAGACATCAGACATATGTAAGATGAACATTGGTTCACTCTGGAAAGGCTGGGCAACTCAAAGCAGGGAAGGGGCTTCCAGGTCATAGGTAAATAAGAGACAAATGGTTGTATTCTTTTGAGTTTCTGATTAGCCTCTCCAAAGGAGGCAATCAGATGTGCATTTATCTCAGTGAGCAGGGGTGACTTTGAATAGAATGGGAGGCAGGTTTTGCCCTGATAAAAGAAAAACTTCAGCCGAATTAAATTTAAAGGAGTTTAATTCAGCAATGAAGTATTCGCAAATCAGGCAGCCCCCAGAATTAGAGCAGATTCACAGACTTCAGGGGTGCCTCGTGGTCAGAACAAATTTATAGACAAAAAAGTTAAAGTGACATACAGGAATCGGAAGTGAGGTACAGAAACAGTGAGATTGGTTACAGCTCTGCCTTTGCCTTACTTGAACTAGTTTGAACACTCAGCAGTCTATGAGTGGTTGGCCAGCACTCAGCTATTGTTACGGGTGCATACTATTAAGTTAGGTTTTCAATTTTGTCTGACTATTACGCTAAGTTACAGTTCATCCACAAGGTCTCAAATATGGAAGTACAGAGTCCTTCTCAGGCCATATTTAGTTTGCTTTAACAATTCTCCCATTTTGGTCATTTTCTCAATTTTGAGAGATTGGCCAAAACCTTAGTCATTGATGTTACTGTCACTGTTGTAAATGTACTTATGTGGTTTTGAAACCCACTGGGAAACAGTAGAATAGTGGGTTTTGCAAGGAGAGAATAAGCACTGAGTAGAGGGTATCTCCTTATGCTGGAACATCTGTTTACAGGAGAAAAACAAAACCTGATCTGTTCTAGGATCTATGTGTTTTCTTAAAGCCTTAGTTTGATTGTGTCATATTTAGCACAAGTGACTCCATTCTAGTTTCATTTGGTTAGGGCCTAGTGCATGAGCTCTGTCCAAAATAATGGCCTTCCATAATTTTGTTTTAAAAAATTCCCCTTTTCTGGCCAGGTTCTCACTTAGGTGAGAGTGTGACCAAAACTTAGGGCCTTAGCGCCATTCTCAGTTACCATCATTTTAGGTTTCCGGTCTCAGTGTGTCATTCATAGGTTATGGTATCCTCATTGTTGCACATTTCTTTCAGCTTTTTGTTCTTGTTGTTTTTTGTTTTTCTATAGCTTTGTTCTTCTTTTTTTTACTTTTTTTTCTTTTTTTTTAGTATTTATTGATCATTCTTGGGTGTTTCTCGGAGAGGGGGATGTGGCAGGGTCATAGGATAATAGTGGAGAGAAGGTCAGCAGATAAACACGTGAACAAAGGTCTCTGGTTTTCCTAGGCAGAGGTCCCTGAGGCTTTCTGCGGTGTTTGTGTCCCTGGGTACTTGAGAATAGGGAGTGGTGATGACTCTTAATGAGCATGCTGCCTTCAAGCATCTGTTTAACAAAGCACATCTTGCACCGACCTTAATCCATTTAACCCTGAGTTGACACAGCATATGTTTCAGAGAGCACGGGGTTGGGGGTAAGGTTATAGATCAACAGAATCCCAAGGCAGAAGAATTTTTCTTAGTACAGAACAAAATGGAGTCTCCTATGTCTACTTCTTTCTACACAGACACAGTAACAATCTGATCTCTCTTTCTTTTCCCCACATTTCCCCCTTTTCTTTTCAACAAAACCACCATCATTATCATGGCCCGTTCTCGATAGTCACTGTCTCTTCGGAGCTGTTGGGTACACCTGCAGAAAGCCTGTCACTTCACACTTGGAAGATTGCACAGCAGCCAGGCAGAGGCGCTCCTCACTTCCCAGACGGGGTGGCTGGGCAGAGGCGCTCCTCACATCCCAGATGGGGCGGCAGGGCAGAGGCGCTCCTCACTTCCCAGACAATGGGTGGCCGGGCAGAGGCGCTCCTCACTTCCCAGACAGGGCGGCCGGGCAGAGGCGCTCCTCACTTCCCAGATGAGGCGGGCGGGCAGAGGTGCTCCTGACTTCCTAGACGGGGTGGTGGCCAGGCAGAGGCTCTCCTCACATCCCAGACGATGGGCAGCCGGGCAGAGGTGCTCCCCACTTCCCAGACAGGGCGGCTGGGCAGAGGCACTTCCCACTTCCCAGACGGGGTGGCCAGGCAGAGGCACTCCCCACTTCCCAGATGGGGCGGCCAGGCAGAGATGATCCTCACTTCCCAGACGGGGCAGTTGCCGGGCAGAGGCGCTCCTCACTTCCCAGATGGGGCGGCGGCCAGGCAGAGGCGCTCCCCACCTCCCAGAGGGGGTGGTGGCCGGGCAGAGGTGCTCCTCACTTCCTAGATGGGGCGGCCAGGCAGAAGTGCTCCTCACCTCCCAGACGATGGGCAGCCGGGCAGAGGCACTCCTCACTTCCCAGACAGGGCAGCTGGGCAGAGGCGCTCCTCACTTCCCAGACGAGGTGGCCGGGCAGAGGCGCTCCTCACTTCCTAGACGGGGTGGCGGCCAGGCAGAGGCGCTCCTCACATCCCAGATGATGGGCAGCCAGGCAGAGGCGCTCCCCACTTCCCAGACAGGGCGGCCAGGAAGAGGCGCTCCTCACATCCCAGACGGGGCAGCCGGGCAGAGGTGCTCCTCACATCCCAGACGATGGGTGGCCAGGCAGAGATGCTCCTCACTTCCTAGATGGGGTGGCGGCCGGGCAGAGGCTGTAATCTTAGCACTTTGGGAGGCCAAGGCAGGCAGCTGGGAGGTGGAGGTTGTAGCGAGCCAAGATCACGCCACTGCACTCCAGCCTGGGCAACATTGAGCACTGAGTGAGTGAGACTCCGTCTGCAATCCCAGCACCTCAGGAGGCCGAGGTGGGCAGATCACTCGCGGTCAGGAGCTGGAGACCAGCCCAGCCAACACAGTGAAACCCCATCTCCACCAAAAATACAAAAACCAGTCAGGCATGGCGGCATGTGCCTGCAATCCCAGGCACTCGGTAGGCCGAGACAGGAGAGTCACGGGAGCCCAATGTAGGGAGGTTGCAGTGAGCCGAGATCACGGCAGTACAGTCCAGCCTCGGCAACAGAGGGAGACCGTCGAAAGAAAGGAAGGAAGGAAGAAGGAAAGAAAGGAAGGAAGGAAGGAAGGAAGGCTCTTTCAACTTTTGTCATTCCAGTTGAAGAGAGACCATTTGGCGTTCTAGAGATGGCTACATGCAAACATTTAAAACCTTTGAGAGAATACAGTGCACCAGGGAGACTGTTACTATGAGTATGGGGAGGCCATACCCCAAGAGTTTGGTGTATGTTCCTTACCCAGGGTCCCCATAAACCAAACCACCTAAAATTAAATAGATTAATGAATGAGCTAGCTAGAGTCTACTCACTTAACTAAGTGGTCTTTGCATTAATCCCCTACAACTGAATTTTTATAATTTACATTTGATATATTTCTCCATAGGCCACAAATATCAGCAGCTGCACAGGTACTTTTCTGTTTAGCCAATTCTATTATTTAGCATAACTTTCACAAGAGAATTTAAAGTCTGTTGTGTAACAATAGCCTTTAAAGTATAATTTGCTGTAGAGCCTATTATGAGGGAGACATTTCTAATTATTGCCTCTCTTATTCTAAACCATGGAAAAAGGACCGAACAAATGATGTCCTTCTAGAAGAGTGAAGGCCTTCTGTCAATGTTCTCTTTAATCCATGATATGGGTTAAGAGGAGTTTTGACTGATTTTGAGGCAATGTATGTATCACTAAAGTTTCTCACCTACATTGGGCCTTCATCTTTTATCTATTAAAGTGTAAGTTTATTCATGTATAAGGCTGGCTGCAAAATCCTTCACAAAGAAAAGCATACCCTGTAAGAGCACATAATAGACCCCCTTTTCATTTCTATTGTTCATAGAGGCATAAACAAGAAAAAAAATTCAAATATAAGAGTCTCATGATAGTAGAAGTTTTGATCCGTGATCTTGTGGAAAAGCTGTTCACATCAAGGATGCCATCTTCTTCTGGGGAGAAACTTTCCTGATTAGTTTTACCTTAAGGGTTCCAACAGGTGTACAGTTGCAGGAGTGTGGAGGGACCCTTCTCAGTTGTGAGATTATAAACCCAAGGTTCGAGGCTCCAAAGTTTTTCTGTAGTGTGGATGGCAAAGACGGCCTTTCTCTGATGTTCTCAGAAGATCCAATCTTCAGGTTCTAGATTGTGAAGGGACTGTCCTCAGTGAACCATAAAAAGCTTTCTTTACCTGGTTAAAATACACTGTAGCATAATAATCTACTGCTATAAGATCAGCCCTCTTGCATGGAAAAGCTTTTATACACCAGAAAACATGCATTGAAAATGACAATTGAGTGAAATTCCTTTATAAATGTTTAAATGGCCCATCAGGTAGCCAAATGTACCTGAAGCTTTGATTGTCTTCCTGGGAATATGGAACCAAACATTGGTTTTAAACTATTTCCTTAATTTATAAGTCACCACATTAATATATTCAATTTGGATTATTTTATCTTTTCCATGACCAGTCATGGAATGAAAAACCTTTAATAACAAAAGCTTTAAGGATTCAGGAAGGACAAGGCAGCTGTCCTGGTTCTTAGTGAGACCATGCTTAACATATGTCCTCTGGAATACCAGTTGTTTTCCAATTTAGGTGCATAGAACTGATAACTAATGGGTTATCATAGGTAATTTGACTTAGACCATGGAGTTCATTCAAATTGTACATTTAAACAATTTTAGTGTTGGCTGATTTAGCATGATAATCTAGAGCTTGATTTTGAAAGATTTGTTAAATACCAAAGGTTTAAAACATTGGCTGTTACAAAATAGACTCTCAGATTACCATAAGTCACTCATTTAGCCAAAATGATAACTCGAAAATTTTTTAGGCCAGGCATCATGGCTCATGCCTGTAATCCCACCACCTTGGGGAGGCCCACCACTTTGGATCATTTGAGGTCAGGAGTTCAAGACCAGCCTGGCCAACATGGTGAAACTCCGCCTGTACTAAAAAGACAGAAATTAGCCATGCATGGTGGCAGGTGCCTGCAGCCTCAGCTACTCGGGAGGCTGAGGCAGGAGAATCACTTGAACCCAGGAGGCGGAGGTTGGAGTGAGCCAGGACCACACCACTGCACTCCAGTGAGACTCTGTCTCAAAAAAAAAAATTTTTTAAGGAAAAAACATTATTCTGATAAAGAGGAGACTCAGCTTTCAAAACAAGACCCAGTGAAGACGAAGATAGCATGAGGACAACTGATTCTGTCTCCTTTCTTTCCTTTCCCCCACTTTTTCCTTTTATAGTTTACTTAAAAGGTAAACAAAAACCTTTCATTATCTTTTAATATTACATAAAAATCCTTTTTAAAATAGAAAACCAAATTTTTTGTTTCCATTCATGTTATTTTTAATGTTAAAGCTAGTTTTTAAAAACATTTTATAAATCTATTCAGTTTTAATTAGTTTGACTATAAGGTAAGATTTATATAAACATTTTATAACACTTTACAGTATTTTTTTCTCAGAGCAGAACAATGTTCTAATGAAACTCTGTTGCGCTTCTATTCCAATGTCCAATTTATGGGGAAAAAAACTAAATAATGCCATTTTAACTTTAGCCAATATGTTCACACATAGAATCTGTTAATTTTTATAAACCTTTTACAACTTGTTCAAACCTTTAGCTTTATTTAATTTAAACAATCCTTTAACCCTCTAACCTAGGCAAAACTTTACATTCCCATACTTTCTTATAATCTCGTACAAAAACACATTTTATTCTCCCTACACATCTTGTATGTAAACTTATTTTTTCAGTAGTCTCAATTACATATTACGATGTTAACTCCTAGTAATTTTACTTTTGGTGAAAACCTTGGTAAGTAAGGGATTTTAATTATGTACTAGGTGTGGAGCCTAGGACCCAGACAGAAATGCAGATAAGGTCTGACTCTTTCCAGCATTTAACTCCATGTGTCCCGGGCCTCACCTAGCTGTAAAGCAGGCAAGCTGTACAGTTAAGAGTCATAGCGGCGTTTCATGAAGCATTTAGGAGGCCAAACCACCTTTAAATTGTACAACATTTTTGGCATAAATTTCTGTTCATAAATTCTTTCACAACTTACACAGACCATGTACAACATGTTTAGACTTTATGACTTGCACTAAACATCCCTCTTTTAAACAACCAGTCATTTTACTTTAGGACAAGAATTTACCATACAACATCCTTTCTTATATAAAATCTCCTTTCTTTATGACCTTCCTTGCATAGCTAGGGGGCATGGCTAATTCCATGTATCCCCATGCCTTATTTAGAATTTAATGTCTTCAAAATATATTGAACAATTTTCAAAAGTCAAAGCAGTTTATGACCTTAAAGCCTTTAGCAAACCTAATATCTGACCTGCATGATTTAGACAAAATGTTTTTATTTTATCAATAATCTTTAAAGCTATTTTTATTTGCCAAAGATTACTAAAGTTACATGAACTAAAAGGCATTACAGTTTTTATTTTGCTTTTAAGAGCTTATTTTTGTTTAAACCAATTAATAGAGCTCTTTTATATAAGCGTTACACACAACCCATATATAGTTACACAGAAAGACAGACAGAAGATTACTACAGTAGTTGTAAGATTTTTCATTTGCCAGTTTTTAAGTTTCTCAATTGGTTATTGGCTTTAGGGTGGAGCCCTTGGAAAAACAGAGCCAGGAAAGGGGTTTCTGGTGCCTCCTGTTTTTCCCAAGGAGTCCAGGATATTAGAGCTTGAATATCTGCTTTTAATTAAGCTGACTTTTAATCATAGCACTTTTAATGAAGTCCATTTAAAATTTCCTATTACCTAATTTTAGCCAGGCTAAATGGCCGATATTTCTGGCTTTTGAAATTTACCAGAGGTAACCTCCCAAGTGCTCAGAGAAAGGAAAATTTTTTTGAGGCAGAGTCTCACTCTGTCACCAGGCTGCAGTGCAGTGGAGCGATCTTGGCTGCAACCTCTGCCTCCTGGGTTCAAGCGATTCTCCTGCCTCACCCTCCTGAGTAGCTGGGACTACTGCTGTGTGCCACCATGCCCAGCTAATTTTTGTATTTTTAGTAGAGATGAGGTTTCACCATGTTGGTCAGGATGGCCTCAAACTCCTGACCTCGTGATCCACCTGCCTTGGCCTCCCAAAGTGCTGGGATTACAGGCATGAGCCACCACACTAGGCCAGAGAAAGGAAAATTTAAGATAGTCCATGGAGAAGAGACTAGACAAAGTTATGCAGATATTAAACCAGAAATGACTTACTTCCTAAAGAGGGAATCAAACCTGGACTGCCAGCGTGAAATGCCAAAACACTAGCTATTGAGCTACAGAACAGGGTAGTCTCTGCTGCCCTTCCCAGAAGAAGTCTAGAGTAGTTAATTTTGAGCTTGCAAAGCCTTTTATCTACTCAAGATAATTTTTAGAGCAACCTATGACATAAACCCTAAAATTCCTGTTCCCTGGAAGGCAGAGACCAAGAGAAAGTACTGCCACATGGTTATAAGGTCAAGCACCCAAGGACATAAAACAAGATGGAGACCCCATCCAGTAGTTTGTTTGTTTGTTTCAGGGACAGGCAGGAAAGTTTGTTATCAACCAGCTTGCTGGGTCATCTTGGGCAGCGAGTTTATGGGGCCCTAAGCCCACGTTTTATCCTAAGGTACCCCTCAACACAGAAAAACAAGTTCATAGCACAAATACATCAGTATGAGACTGGCCTCAGAATTCTTTTTTGCATTAATCACAACTTTACAGAGGAGTAAACAGTGATTTTTACCATTCATTCAACTGTTCGCACAGAGAGAGAGAAACCAGAAATCTGACTGGTAAGAAATTCTTACCCTTGGCTGGGTGTGGTGGCTCATGCCTGTAATCTCAGCACTTTGGGAGGCCGAGGCGGGCAGATCATGAGGTCAGGAGTTCAAGACCAGCCTGGCCAACATAGTGAAACCCCGTCTCTGCTACGAATACAAAAATTAGCCAGGTGTGGTGGCACACACCTGTACTCCCAGCTACTCGGGGGGCTGAGGCAGGAGAATCGCTTGAACCTGGGAGGCAGAGGTTGCAGTGAGCTGAGATCATGCCACTGCCCTTGTAAAAGAGCGAGACTTTGACTCAAAAAAAAAAAAGAAAAAAATTCTTACCCTTTTGCCAGCATGCCAGGCTTCTGGGTTCCTTTTCCCTGAGTGGCCCCAGTGACCCAGCTTGCCGCATCATCACGCTGGGGGCCAAGCTGCATCATAAAGGAAAATTATCTTTTTTGGTTCTGACCAGAGTAAAATATGTGTAATAAAACATAGACATTGGCCACTCTTCTTATCACCCAATATCAAACTGATAAGCCTTAAATTTGCCCTCACATGGGCCCCTTCATCTTTAATCCAACCTCCGACTAGGAGTTTGGATTAAACTAGAGACACGTGGTCTCTGGGCAAGATGGTTGCCCTGAGTAACAGAAAAGATAAAAAAGGGAAAGGAGAGAGAGAGAGAGAGAGAAAGCATTGCCTGTGGCGGGGTGGGAAGGCAAAATGCTCAGGGAGTCTAGAGAAAGACCCACATTGAAAAGCTCAGGTGGCTGCAGCTGCTGTCATGAAGGGATTTTTTTTTCCAACAGTCCCATCAGCTCTCAAGTTTCCCCTTTTGGGGAAGGAAAACACTCCCCATGTCCCACGACCCTCTCTATGCCTAATCCTGTCACCCATAGTCATCAGCAAAGAGTGCAAGGCAGATTATTCCAAAGAGAATAGCAGTTGACATCCTGTAGTGCCAAATTTGTTCTTAGCCAAAAGGGACTTTACTGAGAGCCTTTTTTTTTTTTTTTTTTTTTTTGACAGAGTCTCACTCTGTTGCCAGGCTGGAGTGCAGTGGCCCAATCTCCACTGCGATCTCGGCTCATTGCAATCTCCAACTCCCTGGTTCAAGTGATTCTGCTGCCTCAGCCTCCTGAGTAGCTGGGATTATAGGCACACACCACAATGCCCAGCTAATTTTTGTATTTTTAGTAGAGACGGGGTTTCACCTTGTTGGCCAGGATGGTCTGGATCTCCTAACCTCATGATCTGCCCGCCTTGGCCTCCCGAAGTGCTGAGATTACAGGTATGAGCCACTGCGCCTGGTCAAGGGTCTTCATTTTTAAATGTACTTCAATGCATTGCTGTTCATTCAGAACATTCCACTGTAAGTTATCTTTAGTAAGATTTTGCCATTTCTGTAAGACTTCGCTGCCTCCCAGGCCTAAAGTATAAGCCAGAAGGAACTCAGTTTTCCAGAAATTAAGGATCCCATTTTTACCTAAAATATTGGCTTTACTCTCAGGTTCTCTTAACTTAGCCAATAATTTTTCCTACCTAAGCATGCAAGAAAAATGAAGCAAAAGGGTAGAACACAAAAATCCCTGTGAAGTTTCAAAAGCCAAATTTTATAATCCCTGAAATATTACTGCTTACTACCAGTTCCTTTCTGACCCATTCAGATGTAAGACACCTCTAATTGGATCCAAGCCAGTTCATTACTGGATCAAATCCATTCCTGGACCCAGTCCAGTTTCTGTTGCAACTCCAAACCTAGTTTGAACCAGATATTTGCTCAAAGGAACTTGGAGAGCTCAAAACACAAGTCTGTGGAACTCTGAAATCCAAGAGGAAGCTTACTCACGATCCCCAGTCACTCTGAGAGATCAGTGGACACAAGTGGGTCCTGCAGTCACCTTGCGTGTTCACTCAGTGCTCCTGGGGGTTGCTAGAAGCTCCACTTCAGATCCCGCTTCTGACACCATCTGATAAAAGAAAAATTTCAGCCAAATTAAATTTAAAGGAGTTTAATTGAGCAATGAAGGATTCACAAATCAGGCAGCCCCCAGAATCACAGCAGATTCACAGAGACTCCAGGGGTGCCTCATGGTCAGAACAAATTTATAGACAAAAAGTTAAAGTGATGTACAGGAATTGGAAGTGAGGTACAGAAAGAGTGAGATTGGTTACAGCTCTGCATTTGCCTTATTTGAAGACAGTTTGAGCACTCAGCAGTCTATGAGTGGCTGAAGTATGGCCACTGAGATTGGCCAACACTCAGCTATTGTTATGTGTGCATACTATTAAGCTAGGTTTTCAATTTTGTCTGACTATTAAGCTAAGTTACAGTTCAAGCAAAAGGACTCCAATATAGAAGTATGGAGACCTTCTCAGGTCATATTTAGTTTGCTTTAACAGCCCTAAGCAGTTCCCAGCATGACTTATTCCTTTAGCTAAGTGATTTTGGGGGCCCCCAAGATTTTTCTTTTTACCTTTCCCCTCTTTCATTTTAAAAATCTTTTCTAGGAAGTATTTTAGAAGAAAATGAGTCTCTGGTTTGAGGTTCTGTTTGATCTCTCATGGCTAGAATGGTTTATTCCTAGACAGGTAGGTCCTGAGCTATTAGTGTATCCTGAATTGGTGGGTTCTTGGTCTCACTGACTTCAAGAATGAAGCCGTGGACTCTCACGGTAAGTGTTACAGTTCTTAAAGATGGTGTGTCCGGAGTTTTTTCCTTCTGATGTTCGGATGTGTTCGGAGTTTCTTCCTTCTGGTGGCTTCGTTGTCTCGCTGGCTTCAGGAGTGAAGCTGCAGACCTTCGCAGTGAGTGTTACAGCTCTTAAGGCAGCACGTCTGGAGTTGTTTGTTCCTCCCCTCCAGAGTTGTTCATTCCTCCCGGTGGGTTCATGGTCTCGCTGGCCTCAGGAGTGAAACTGCAGACCTTCACGGTGAGTGTTACAGCTCATAAAAGAAGTGTGGACCCAAAGAGTGAGCAGCAGCAAGATTTATTGCAAAGAGAGAAAGAACAAAGCCTCCACAGTCTGGAAGGGGACTCGGGGGGGTTGCCATTGCTGGCTCCAGCAGCCTGCTTTTATTACCTTAGCTGACCCACCCACATCCTGCTGATTGGTCCATTTTACAGATTGCCGATTGGTCCGTTTTACAGAGAGCTGATTGGTCCATTTTGATAGGGTGCTGACTGGTGCATTTACAAACCTTGAGCTAGACACAGAGTGCTGATTGGTGCATTTGTAATCCTTTAGCTAGACACAAAAGTTCTTCAAGTCCCCACCAGATTAGCTAGACACAGGGCACTGATTGGGGCATTTACGAACCTTGAGCTAGATACAGGGTGCTGATTGGTGTGTTTACAAACCTTGAGCTAGACACAGAGTGCTGATTGGTGCATCCACAAACCCCGAGCTAGGCACAGAGTGCTGATTGCTGCATATACAATCCTCCAGCTAGACATAAAAGTTCTCCAAGTCCCCACTAGACTCAGGAGCCCATCTCCAATTACCCACTAGACTCAGAAGCCCAGCTGGCTTTGCCTAGTGGATCCCATGCCAGGGCCGTGGGCAGAGCTGCCTGCCAGTCCCACACCATGCACCCGCACTCCTCAGCCCTTGGGCAGTTGATGGGACCAGGTGCCGTCGAGCAGGGGGTGGCGCTCATCGGGGAGGCTCCAGCTGCATGGGAGCCCACGGGGGGGGGGTGATTGGGCATGGAAGGCTGCAGGTCCCGAGCCCTGCCCCATGGGGAGGCAGCTGAGGCCCAGCGAGAATTCGAGCGTAGCGCTGGTGGGCCGGCACTGCTGGGGGACCCAGTGCATCCTCTGCAGCTGCTGGCCTGGGTGCTAAGCCCCTCACTGCCCAGGGCCAGTGGCACTGGCCGGCTGTTCTGAGTGCAGGGCCCACCAAGCCCATGCCCACCCTGAACTTGCGTTGGCCCGTGAACACCAGGTGCAGCCCCGGTTCCCACCCACGCCTCTCCCTCCACACCTTCCCACAAGCAGAGGGAGCTGGCTCCAGCCTCGGCCAGCACAGAGGGGCTCCCACAGTGTAGCGGCGGGCTGAAGGGCTCCTCAAGCATGGCCAAAGTGGGCACCAAGGCCGAGGAGGTGCCAAGAGGGAGGAAGGGCTGCCAGCACGCTGTCACCTCTCATTAGGAAAGCTCATTTTTAGCAGGGTGTGAAGTCTCATGTCCTATGAATTAAAAATAGGGGGAGGAAGGGAAAAAACAACAACAAACAAAGAAACAATTCTGGAAAGTTGATATTGGCCACATTACTCTGAAGTCCATACATAAGTAGGCAGGTATGAAAGTGCCTTATGTATGTAAATAGGTTACTATTATTTTCTTCTGAAGTTTAAGTTGTCTAGCTTCAGTTTACAGAGTTTTATGAAAGTACAGCTTAGTTTTTGGTGACTCCAAATTATAAAAAATGGGAAAAAAAGAAGGAAAAAATTTGAAAACATTATTTTGCAGGCTTATAGCCAAGAAAAGTTGGTGCAAACTGTAGGAAATAATAAAAATTGAAAAACATTAGGCAAGACTAGAATCTAACAACAGGTTACTGTAGTTTTTGTTTTTGTTTTTGTTTTGTTTTTCTTTTTTTTTTTTGAGACAGAGTCTTGCTCTGTCGCCCAGGCTGGAGTGCAGTGGTGTGATCTCAGCTCATTGCAAGCTCTGCCTCCTGGGTTCACGCCATTCTCCTGCCTTAACCTCCCAAGTAGCTGGGACTACAGGCGCCCACCACCATGCCCAGCTAATTTTTTGTATTTTTAGTAGAGACGGGGTTTCACTGTGTTAGCCAGGATGGTCTCAATCTCCTGACCTCGTGATCCCCCTTCCTCAGCCTCCCAAAGTGCTGGGATTACAGGTGTGAGCTATGGCACCTGGCCTACTGTAGTTTTTGAAACATATTTTTTCTCTCTCCAGTTTCCCATTTTTACTGAAGACAAATCATGGTAGGACTGGTTTGCTTTATTATACTTGGCCTGATTATTTGTATACAGTGCAGCCAGAATAATTATTTTTTACATAGCCTTTTAAATTGGCTTTGATGGAACTTTGTTCCATAGAAGGAATTTCAGATAAGACTTTTTTAAAGCCAAGCCCAGCCATAGATTTGTACCATCAAATACCTATGAGTTAGGTGAATTCCTCTCCTCTTGAGGGTTTAAGATAAACTTAGGGCTCCTGGGCCTGTCAGAAAGTGACATTCTTTACTTACCACAAGTCAGAAACCCTGTATGGGGACTGTGTAGACAAAGGTATGAGACCAGTATTTCCAAGGGACTTTTATTGGCTCCATAAAACAAGTTTTATTCCTTAAAGGAAAGCACACCATTCCAGCCAAAGCCTTGGTAAAATAACCAGTTTCTTTAACTGTGACGTGTTACAAATGAAAACAGATTCTTATTGCACTTATGCAAATAACTGTATTGTCATAAGTTAAGAATACTCACAAATAGTTTCCAAATTCTGTAGAAATAAGGAAGAAAGAAATGAATATGCTCCAAATTGTGTTCATAGGAGTATATTTTACTCAATTGTTAAAAGCTGTAGATAGCTTAAAAGTTTTCTTGACTCTGAAAAATGAAACGAAAGATCAGCAACGTTTTTAGCAAAAAGTTAAAAAGATCACTTCAGACTTCTGTTATTTTAGTCCATGTAGTTAATTTCTGTTCTGCTTGATATTCATAAATATTTCAGCTCTCCATCAGTCCTGAAAGTTTTTCCTCTATTCTGATGTCACAATCATCAAAGTTATCAGAAACCTGCATTCAAAAGCACCTGTTAGAGTTTTATAGTTGATTATAAAACGACCTTCTAGAGAGGACTAAAACAAGACAATTGTTCATGGATGACAAAAAGTTTTAAGGCAGCCATAGCCAAAGACACAACTGACAAGGAAATTTGTTACCTCTGTGGCACACAATAATTTAACATAACAATTATAATTATTAAATGTACATTAAGCTATATCAGAATTATAGGAGTTTCCCATAATTTTGGGACACATGCTAATAACATATTTATACAAATACAGCCCAAGGGAAACCAAACACCATTTTATACTTGACAATATTTCCTGTACAATTTTTATACCAAATAAGCAAAATATGTCATTTTTGGACTTTAGGGAACCTAATATCTTAAAGGATTAATTAGGTCAGAAAAAGATATAATTTATAATTTTTTTTTTGAGATAGAGTCTTGCTCTGTTTCCCAGGCTGGAGTGCAGTGGTACAATCTCAGCTGACTGCAACCTCTGCCTGGCAGGTTCAAGCAATTCTGTTGCCTCAGCTTCCAGAGTAGCTGCGACTACAGGCATGCACCACCATGCCCAGCTAATTTTTGTATATTTTTAGTAGAGACCAGGTTTCGCCATGTTCGCCAGGCTAGTCTTGAACTCCTGACCTCAGGTGATCCACCCACCTCTGCCTCCTGAAGTGCTGGGATTACAGACGTGAGCCACCATGCCTGGCCATAATTTATAATTTGATTTGGAAAGTTTGTTCAACATCAAAAGTTGAAAACACTTGATATCACAAAGTACCATTACAGGTCACTGTAAAATAAGTAATTTCATTTAATCAAAGTAATATCTCAAGGATTTTTAAAAAAGAAAAAGGTAAAACCTTCATTCTTTGAGAGAGGAGACTTAATTTTCCAAACAATAAGCCCTAATAAAAACAGCATGAAGCCAATTAAATTTGTTTTTCAAAATTTAATGAACACTCTATAAAATTTTAATCTTTACCATAAAATATAACTTCCATAAGCCTTTTATAACCTTTATTCAGGAGTTGGTTAATACCTCAAGAAAACCTTGTTAATCTGACACAGGGGCCCATATGCTGGTCTTGCATTAGTGTACCTTTGACATTGATGATTAATTTATAGAGAAACTGAACTTATTTTATCTCTTAAAATTGGCCTTTACAATCTCACATGTCTACCTCTTCCACGATAGTCCCTAGGCCTTGAGGAGTTGAATAACTTTAATTTCTGGCCCTGTGTCTCAAGAATGCAGTTTATTTTGATTGGCATCTTCAACTGGGACTGAAGATGGGGTTTTAATTGCTGTCAGTGTTTAAAATTTAGCAGGACTTGGTGTCCTTTTTAGACCCAGGAGTCAAAGCCCTGTAACTCAGTGTCACAAGTATTTTAAAAGCAGAAACAGAAAGATACACAGATGTAATAACCTTAATTTTTAAAATTTTTTATGTTTTTTCTAAAGCAAACCAAAACTTTTTTTTTATTATTATACTTTAAGTTTTAGGGTACATGTGCACGTTGTGCAGGTTAGTTACATATGTATACATGTGCCATGCTGGTGCACTGCACCCACTAACTCATCATCTAGCATTAGGTATATCTCCCAATGCTATCCCTCCTCCCTCCCCCCACCCCACCACAGTCCCCAGAGTGTGATATTCCCCTTCCTGTGTCCATGTGATCTCATTGTTCAATTCCCACCTATGAGTGAGAATATGCGGTGTTTGGTTTTTTGTTCTTGCGATAGTTTACTGAGAATGATGATTTCCAATTTCATCCATGTCCCTACAAAGGACATAAACTCATCATTTTTTATGGCTGCATAGTATTCCATGGTGTATATGTGCCACATTTTCTTAATCCAGTCTATCATTGTTGGACATTTGGGTTGGTTCCAAGTCTTTGCTATTGTGAATAATGCTGCAATAAACATACATGTGCATGTGTCTTTATAGCAGCATGATTTATAGTCATTTGGGTATATACCCAGTAATGGGATGGCTGGGTCAAATGGTATTTCTAGTTCTAGATCCCTGAGGAATTGCCACACTGACTTCCACAATGGTTGAACTAGTTTACAGTCCCACCAACAATGTAAAAGTGTTCCTATTTCTCCACATCCTCTCCAGCACCTGTTGTTTCCTGACTTTTTAATGATTGCCATTCTAACTGGTGTGAGATGGTATCTCATAGTGGTTTTGATTTGCATTTCTCTGATGGCCAGTGATGATGAGCATTTTTTCATATGTTTTTTGGCTGCATAAATGTCTTCTTTTGAGAAGTGTCTGTTCATGTCCTTCGCCCACTTTTTGATGGGGTTGTTTGTTTTTTTCTTGTAAATTTGTTTGAGTTCATTGTAGATTCTGGATATTAGCCCTTTGTCAGATGAGTAGGTTGTGAAAATTTTCTCCCATTTTGTAGGTTGCCTGTTCACTCTGATGGTAGTTTCTTTTGCTGTGCAGAAGCTCTTTAGTTTAATTAGATCCCATTTGTCAATTTTGGCTTTTGTTGCCATTGTTTTTTGTGTTTTGGACATGAAGTCCTTGCCCATGCCTATGTCCTGAATGGTAATGCCTAGGTTTTCTTCTAGGGTTTTTATGGGATTAGGTCTAAAATTTAAATATTTAATCCATCTTGAATTGATTTTTGTATAAGGTGTAAGGAAGGGATCCAGTTTCAGCTTTCTACATATGGCTAGCCAGTTTTCCCAGCACCATTTATTAAATAGGGAATCCTTTCCCCATTTCTTGTTTTTCTCAGGTTTGTCAAAGATCAGATGGTTGTAGGTATGCGGCATTATTTCTGAGGGCTCTGTTCTGTTCCATTGATCTATATCTCTGTTTTGGTACCAGTACCATGCTGTTTTGGTTACTGTAGCCTTGTAGTATAGTTTGAAGTCAGGTAGTGTGATGCCTCCAGCTTTGTTCTTTTGGCTTAGGATTGACTTGGTGATGTGGGCTCTTTTTTGGTTCCATATGAACTTTAAAGTAGTTTTTTCCAATTCTGTGAAGAAAGTCATTGGTAGCTTGATGGGGATGGCATTGAATCTGTAAATTACCTTGGGCAGTATGGCCATTTTCACGATATTGATTCTTCCTACCCATGAGCATGGAATGTTCTTCCATTTGTTTGTATCCTCTTTTATTTCCTTGAGCAGTGGTTTGTAGTTCTCCTTGAAGAGGTCCTTCACATCCCTTGTAAGTTGGATTCCTAGGTATTTTATTCTCTTTGAAGCAATTGTGAATGGGAGTTCACTCATGATTTGGCTCTCTGTTTTTCTGTTGTTGGTGTATAAGAATGCTTGTGATTTTTGTACATTGATTTTGTATCCTGAGACTTTGCTGAAGTTGCTTATCAGCTTAAGGAGATTTTGGGCTGAGACAATGGGGTTTTCTAGATATACAATCATGTCATCTGCAAACAGGGACAATTTGACTTCCTCTTTTCCTAATTGAATACCCTTTATTTCCTTCTCCTGCCTAATTGCCCTGGCCAGAACTTCCAACACTATGTTGAATAGGAGTGGTGAGAGAGGGCATCCCTGTCTTGTGCCAGTTTTCAAAGGGAATGCTTCCAGTTTTTGCCCATTCAGTATGATATTGGCTGTGGGTTTGTCATAGATAGCTCTTATTATTTTGAGATACGTCCCATCAATACCTAATTTATTGAGAGTTTTTAGCATGAAGGGTTGTTGAATTTTGTCAAAGGCTTTTTCTGCATCTATTGAGATAATCATGTGGTTTTTGTCTTTGGCTCTGTTTATATGCTGGATTACATTTATTGATTTGTGTATATTGAACCAGCCTTGCATCCCAGGGATGAAGCCCACTTGATCATGGTGGATAAGCTTTTTGATGTGCTGCTGGATTCGGTTTGCCAGTATTTTATTGAGGATTTTTGCATCAATGTTCATCAAGGATATTGGTCTAAAATTCTCTTTTTTTGTTGTGTCTCTGCCCGGCTTTGGTATCAGAATGATGCTGGCCTCATAAAATGAGTTAGGGAGGATTCCCTCTTTTTCTATTGATTGGAATAGTTTCAGAAGGAATGGTACCCGTTCCTCCTTGTACCTCTGGTAGAATTCGGCTGTGAATCCATCTGGTCCTGGACTCTTTTTGGTTGGTAAGCTATTGATTATTGCCACAATTTCAGCTCCTGTTATTGGTCTATTAAGAGATTCAACTTCTTCCTGGTTTAGTCTTGGGAGAGTGTATGTGTCGAGGAATTTATCAATTTCTTCTAGATTTTCTAGTTTATTTGCGTAGAGGTGTTTGTAGTATTCTCTGATGGTAGTTTGTATTTCTGTGGGATCGGTGGTGATATCACCTTTATCATTTTTTATTGTGTCTATTTGATTCTTCTCTCTTTTTTTCTTTATTAGTCTTGCTAGCAGTCTATCAATTTTGTTGATCCTTTCAAAAAACCAGCTCCTGGATTCATTGATTTTTTGAAGGGTTTTTTGTGTCTCTATTTCCTTGAGTTCTGCTCTGATTTTAGTTATTTCTTGCCTTCTGCTAGCTTTTGAATGTGTTTGCTCTTGCTTTTCTTGTTCATTTAATTGTGATGTTAGGGTGTCAATTTTGGATCTTTCCTGCTTTCTCTTGTGGGCATTTAGTGCTATAAATTTCCCTCTACACACTGCTTTGAATGTGTCCCAGAGATTCTGGTATGTTGTGTCTTTGTTCCCGTTGGTTTCAAAGAACATCTTTATTTCTGCCTTCATTTCGTTATGTACCCAGTAGTCATTCAGGAGCAGGTTGTTCAGTTTCCATGTAGTTGAGCAGCTTTGAGTGAGATTCTTAATCCTGAGTTCTAGTTTGATTGCACTGTGGTCTGAGAGATAGTTTGTTATAATTTCTGTTATTTTACATTTGCTGAGGAGAGCTTTACTTCCAAGTATGTGGTCAATTTTGGAATAGGTGTGGTGTGGTGCTGAAAAAAATGTATATTCTGTTGATTTGGGGTGGAGAGTTCTGTAGATGTCTATTAGGTCCACTTGGTGCAGAGCTGAGTTCAATTCCTGGGTATCCTTGTTGACTTTCTGTCTCGTTGATCTGTCTAATGTTGACAGTGGGGTGTTAAAGTCTCCCATTATTATTGTGTGGGAGTCTAAGTCTCTTTGTAGGTCACTCAGGACTTGCTTTATGAATCTGGGTGCTCCTGTATTGGGTGCATATATATTTAGGATAGTTAGCTCTTCTTGTTGAATTGATCCCTTTACCATTATGTAATGGCCTTCTTTGTCTCTTTTGATCTTTGTTGGTTGAAAGTCTGTTTTATCAGAGACTAGGATTGCAACCCCTGCCTTTTTTTGTTTTCCATTTGCTTGGTAGATCTTCCTCCATCCTTTTATTTTGAGCCTATGTGTGTCTCTGCACGTGAGATGGGTTTCCTGAATACAGTACACTGATGGGTCTTGACTCTTTATCCAGTTTGCCAGTCTGTGTCTTTTAATTGGAGCATTTAGTCCATTTACATTTAAAGTTAATATTGTTATGTGTGAATTTGATCCTGTCATTATGATGTTAGCTGGTGATTTTGCTCATTAGTTGATGCAGTTTCTTCCTAGTCTCGATGGTCTTTACATTTTGGCATGATTTTGCAGCGGCTGGTACTGGTTGTTCCTTTCCATGTTTAGCGCTTCCTTCAGGAGCTCTTTTAGGGCAGGTCTGGTGGTCACAAAATCTCTCAGCATTTGCTTGTCTGTAAAGTATTTTATTTCTCCTTCACTTATGAAGCTTAGCTTGGCTGGATATGAAATTCTGGGTTGAAAATTCTTTTCTTTAAGAATGTTGAATATTGGCCCCCACTCTCTTCTGGCTTGTAGGGTTTCTGCCAAGAGATCCGCTGTTAGTCTGATGGGCTTCCCTTTGAGGGTAACCTGACCTTTCTCTCTGGCTGCCCTTAACATCTTTTCCTTCATTTCAACTTTGGTGAATCTGACAATTATGTGTCTTGGAGTTGCTCTTCTCGAGGAGTATCTTTGTGGCGTTCTCTGTATTTCCTGAATCTGAACGTTGGCCTGCCTTGCTAGATTGGGGAAGTTCTCCTGGATAATATCCTGCAGAGTGTTTTCCAACTTGGTTCCATTCTCCACATCACTTTCAGGTACACCAATCAGACGTAGATTTGGTCTTTTCACATAGTCCCATATTTCTTGGAGGCTTTCCTCATTTCTTTTTATTCTTTTTTCTCTAAACTTCCCTTCTCGCTTCATTTCATTCATTTCATCTTCCATTGCTGACACCCTTTCTTCCAGTTGATTGCATCGGCTCCTGAGGCTTCTGCATTCTTCACGTAGTTCTCGAGCCTTGGTTTTCAGCTCCATCAGCTCCTTTAAGCACTTCTCTGTATTGGTTATTCTAGTTATACATTCTTCTAAATTTTTTTCAAAGTTTTCAACTTCTTTGCCTTTGGTTTGAATGTCCTCCCGTAGCTCAGAGTAATTTGATCGTCTGAAGCCTTCTTCTCTCAGCTCGTCAAAGTCATTCTCCATCCAGGTTTGTTCCATTGCTGGTGAGGAGCTGCGTTCCTTTGGAGGAGGAGAGGCACTCTGATTTTTAGAGCTTCCAGTTTTTCTGTTCTGTTTTTTCCCCATCTTTGTGGTTTTATCTACTTTTGGTCTTTGATGATGGTGATGTACAGATGGGTTTTTGGTGTGGATGTCCTTTCTGTTTGTTAGTTTTCCTTCTAACAGACAGGACCCTCAGCTGCAGGTCTGTTGGAATACCCTGCCGTGTGAGGTGTCAGTGTGCCCCTGCTGGGGGGTGCCTTCCAGTTAGGCTGCTCGGGTGTCAAGGGTCAGGGACCCACTTGAAAAGGCAGTCTGCTGGTTCTCAGATCTCCAGCTGCGTGCTGGGAGAACCACTGCTCCCTTCAAAGCTGTCAGACAGGGACATTTAAGTCTGCAGAGGTTACTGCTGTCTTTTTGTTTGTCTGTGCCCTGCCCCCAGAGGTGGAGCCTACAGAGGCAGGCAGGCCTCCTTGAGTTGTGGTGGGCTCCACCCAGTTCGAGCTTCCTGGCTGCTTTGTTTACCTAAGCAAGCCTGGGCAATGGCGGGCGCCCCTCCCCCAGCCTCGCTGCCGCCTTGCAGTTTGATCTCAGACTGCTGTGCTAGCAATCAGCGAGATTCCGTGGGCATAGGACCCTCTGAGCCAGGTGTGGGATATAGTCTCGTGGTGCGCCATTTTTTAAGCCGGTCTGAAAAGCGCAATATTCGGGTGGGAGTGACCCGATTTTCCAGGTGCATCCGTCACCCCTTTCTTTGACTCAGAAAGGGAACTCCTTGACCCCTTGCGCTTCCCAGGTGAGGCAATGCCTCGCTCTGCTTTGGCTCGCGCACCCACTGGCCTGCACCCACTGTCTGGCACTCCCTAGTGAGATGAACCCAGTACCTCAGATGGAAATGCAGAAATCACCCGTCTTCTGCGTCAGTCACGCTGGGAGCTGTAGACTGGAGCTGTTCCTATTCAGCCATCTTGGCTCCTGCCCTCAGCAAACCAAAACTTAATAATAATATGATAACTTGATCATGTAAAAGTTTTTTTTTAGGCTGGGTGCAGTGGCTCACACCTGTAATCACAACACTTTGGGAGGCAAAGTCAGGCAGATCATCCGAGGTCAGTTCAAGACCAGCCTGACCAATATGGAGAAACCCCATCTCTACTAAAAATACAAAATTAACTGGGCATGGTGGCGCATGCCTGTAATCCCAGCTACTCGGGAGGCTGAGACAGGAGAATCGCTTGAACCGGGAGGCAAAGGTTGCAGTGAGCTGCGATTGTGCCATTGCACTCCAGCCTAGGCAACAAGAGCAAAACTCCATCTCAAAAAAGAAAAAAAAAAAAAAGTTTTTTAAAATAAATCCTCTCTGTGTGACTTAGACCATTCACGACATGCTTGGACTTTCTGGTTTGGCCTGAACACCCTTCTTTTTTAAACAACCAGTTATTTACTTTACTCCAGGACTAAATTTACCATACAAGATTCTTTCTCATATGAAATTATTTCTTTTTCAGCTTTCTTACCAATAAAAAAACTCTTCATTTTTATAACTTATTTTACATTTCTCTTATTTCATGGTTCCTTTTACCTTGTTTTACACATGACCTTTAAATAAGCTTTGAATTAGATGAAAAGTGTTCACATTTTTTAAAAGGACACACTTTTTTAAAAAGAATGTTTTCTTACAAATATATTTTTATTGGAAAATACCCAAATAATGAAATATCTATTATGTAATTTAATATAATTTAGATTCTAAATTATGACAAGTTTGTCTATAAGTATGTATCCAATTACAATTACCTAATTATTTTATTTTAATTGTTTTTTGTTTGTTTGTTTTTGAGACAGTGTCTCACTCTGTCACCCAGGTTGGAGTGTAGGGACATGATCTTGGCTCACTGCAACCTCTGCCTCCTGGGTTCAAGCAATTCTTCTGCCTCAGCCTCCTGAATAGCTGGAATTACAGGCATGCGCCACCACACCTGGCTAATTTTTTTTTGTATTTTTAGTAGAGGTGGGGTTTTGCCATGTTGGCCAGGCTAGTCTAAAATTGCTGACCTCAAGTGATCCACCTGTCTCGGCCTCCCAAAGTGCTGGGATTACAGGTGTGAGACACCATGCCTGGCCTAATTTTTTATCTAGATTATTTATGAAAACTGCAATAGTCATTGTTTAAAGTTATGGAACCACCATTGCAAAATTATAACTGAGACAGTGAAAAGATTTAACCTAACTGACTCCATCTTGCTTCTAACCTCCAAACTGCCCTTGCTCATCCTGGACTTTGGGAGGAACTTAGCTTATAGTTTAGCTTTCAGACAAAGCTAAACTAATAGCAGTTCAAACAAATAGCAGTTCTTTCCCAAAACAAACCTCATTACTACCTGTGGACTAGACTGCCTAAAGTCACAGAATTAGAAGTTATGGTAATTTTATTAAATAATTCAAGATGTAGTTATTTTCATTAAACCAATATCAATGTCTTATTTATTAAAGACTATACAAGCAAAGTTTTATTCTGTCTTGGGCTAGGTTTATAATTTTGTAAGCCCTATGCCAAGTTTTGACAACTTATAGTATTTGGCAGGGATAAGTATGAAATTGCTTGATTAAGAAATGCAAATAAAAATGTATGCTGGCAATTCTTATGACATTTCTAATATTATTTTACCAATAATTTTAAAGCTAGTTTATTTATTAAAGATTTTACTTAAGTTCTGTAAACTTGAAAAAGCATTTGACTAGTCTTTTCTTTTTTCTTGATAAAGTATATGATTCAAGCACTTTTACTTTTCTTTAAGCCAATTAATTAGAGCTCTTTTATATATTTTCAGTAGTGAAACATTGTGTACACAACACATAAATACATAGATGTGCATGTATTTCATGCCTATCAAGGTACATCTTATAGATTCAAAAAACCCTTTTTTTCCCCCTGTCTTAGACTTTCAGATTCTTGATAACCTGCTTCACAACCCTAGGCAGTTGTTAGCAAAACAGACTTAAATTTGCATATTAAAGGAAATAACCCAGGTGAAAATTAAATAGCAAAATTTACATCATAAGATACAGAGAGGGCCGGGCGTGGTGGCTCATGCCTGTAATCCCAGCACTTTGGGAGGCTGAGGTGGGTGGATCACCTGAGGTCAGGAGTTCAAGACCAGCCTGACCAACATGGTGAAATTCCATCTGTACTAAAAATACAAAAAATTAGCCAGGCATGGTGTGGAGTGCCTGTAATCCCAGCTACTTGGGAGGCTGAGGCAGGAGAATAACTTGAAACCAGGAGGCGGAAGTTGCAGTGAGCCGAGATTATGCCATTGCACTGCAGCCTGGGCAGCAAGAGCTAAACTCCGTCTCAAAAAAAAAAAAAAAAAACGAACATGAAGGCCTTTTAAATACAAACATACACACGCTCTCATACACACATACATTTTGGATGTTAGCTTTTAATTAAGCTGACTTTAACCATTAAGCTGCTTTAAAAAAATTTTTTTTCTTTTTTTTGTTTTTTTTTTTAGGCCAGGCGCGGTGGCTCACACCTGTAATCCCAGCACTTTGGGAGGCTGAGGCTGGCAGATCACAAGGTCAGGAGATCAAGACCATCCTGGCTAACATGGTGAAACCCCATCTCTACTAAAAATACAAAAAATTAGCCAGGCATGGCAGCACTCACCTGTAGTCCCAGCTACTTGGGAGGCTGAGGCAAGAGAATCATTTGAACTTGGGAGGTGGAAGCTGCAGTGAGCTGAGATTGCACCACTGCACTCCAGCCTGGGCAACAGAGCAAGACTCCATCTCAAAAACAAAAATTTTTTTTAAATCTCATTACTGAAGCAGCCTTATTGTCTGGGGTGATACCCAAGGTTTATTATCTCACAGCCACAAAGATCAAGGACACGAACACACAAGAGTGAGGTTAAGAATGGAAGTTTAGGGCCAGGCGTGGTGGCTCATGCCTGTAATCCCAGCACTTTGGGAGGCCAAGGTGGGTGGATCACCTGAGGTCAGGAGTTCGAGACCAGCCTGGCCAACATGGTGAAACCCTGTCTCCTCTAAAAATACAAAAATTAGCTGGGTGTGGTGGCAGGCACCTGTAATCCCAGCTACTTGGGAGGCTGAGGCAGGAGAATTGCTTGAACCCAGGGGGCAGAGGTTGCAGTGAGCCAAGATCACACCATTGACTCCAGCCTGGGCTACAAGAGCTAAACTCTGTCTCCAAAAAAAAAAAAAAAAAAAAAAAAAAAAAAAAACGCTCGGCGCGGTGGCTTATGCCTGTAATCCCGGCTCTCTGGGAGGCCAAGGCAGGCAGATCACCTGAGATCAGGAGTTCGAGAGCAGCCTGGTCAACATGGTGAAACCCCATCTCTACTAAAAATACAAAAATTAGCCAGGTGTAGTGGTGGGTGCCTGTAATCCCAGGTTCTTGGGAAGCTGAGGCAGGAGAATCACTTGAACCCAAGAGGCGGAGGTTGCAGTGAGCCAAGATTGCGCCACTGCACTCCAGCCTGGGCGACAGACAGGGACTCCGTCTCAAAAAAAAAAAAAAGAGAATGGACGTTTAATTGGCAAAAGAAAGTGAATAGCTCTCTGCTACAGAAAGGGGTCCTGGAAAAATGGATTGCTGGATCCACAGTGAAATGCAGGGAGTTTTATAGATGAGCTGATGGGGAGGCGGTGTCTGATTTACATAGAGTGCAAAAAACTGGTTAGGACCAGATGTGCCATTTGCATAGGGCATGAATCTCTGGTAGCCTCCATCCTAATCTTTATTTTATTTTATTTTTTTGAGACTAGGTCTCACTCTGGTTAACTAGGTGCAATCTCGGCTCACTGCAGCTTCGACTTCCTGGGCTCAGGTGATCCTCCCTCCTCAGCCTGTTGAGTAGCTGGGACTACAGGCATGCACCACCATGCCTGGCTCATTTTTCGCATTTTTAGTGGACACAGGTTTTGCCATGTTGCCCAGGCTTGTCTCAAACTCCTGCACTCGAGTGATCCTCCTACTTCAGCCTCCCAAAGTGCTGGGATTACAGGTGTGAGCTACCATGCCCAGCCTCCTAAAATTTTATTATGCAGATGGGTTATCCGCCTGAGCTGTGCCATGTTACCCATTTCTTTCTTACTGTACACATCCTAACAAAAAAGGGAAGATGGAGCCTCCATGTTGGACATGCTTGGTCCCCAGGTAGCCCTTTTCTATTGACACAGCTGCCAGCATTCCCCCGTGCAAGCTTCCAGCTTGCTTATCTATGTTTGCAGCTCGATTTTTCAGGCTTCTCTGTTTTAGGGAAAAAAAATGATTTTGGGGGACTGCTTACTGTTAGAGGGGAAGCTCTGCCGAGGACTCTTTTGCCCTCACTATCTGCCTAAATAATTTCTTTCTACCTCCTGTATCATTATCATATTTCAGCTAGGACAAATTGCTGCTATTTCAGAAGTACCAAGTATCAAACCAGAAAGGGCTTGATTTAGGAACAAAAACCCAGGCTGTCATGGTGGAAAAAAGAAAGTAGAACCTTAGCTATCAAACTGTAGCACGGGGTAACAGTCATTGCTTTCACTTTGGCCTGGCTAGCAAAAGGTGGCCTTGTTATGTAAATAAAGCCCCTTTTGTAGTCAAAATAAAAAATCTTTCCTCCTTTTTTTTCTTTTGCTGGCCATTTTTTGCCCCCACCACACCACCTTTTTTGTGTGTGGGGGAATTTAGGCAGTTCAGAGGACTTGTTCCCCATAATTTGGAACTTCCTTTGTATTTGATCAAGTTGGATAGAGTTGACCAAACCCAATGGGAAAAAGACCGAAACAACAACAAAAACAGAAACAAACAAACAACAACAACAACAAAAATAGGTAAACTTATGTGATCACTTAGTGCTCTAATGGTAAGGAGAAATTAAGACCAGCTGGTTGTTAATTTTCACTTTAGCCACGACAATCCTCAATTCAGTTACTTACCTAGGGATGGGTCTCAGGCTGTAGACTGCTCTCTACCACTTTAGAAGCCTGAAAAAAAACTCACCTTCCCTGTTGGAAGCGAGCTGAAACTCTATAAAGGAGTTACCTGCCTTCCATCATCATGGAAACAGGAAATCTTGCCTTCCTTATTGGAAGCAGTAAAACTCCAAAAAATAAGAGGAGTTGCACAGCAAAATAAACTTTAGATTTCAACCAAATTTGGGGAGATCAGGGATTTTCTGGAGGGGGTGCTCTTAGGCCTCAGCAAATTGTCCTATTGGTTTGAGCCATGAAGTTAGCTCATGCTGGTCCCAAGCACTGATAGATTTGTCAAAGGTCAGGGGCATCTCCACTCAGAATCCCCCCATGGTTACCAAAATGTGAACCCCAAAAATCTGAAACAGGTCTCAGTTAATTTTGAAAGTTTATTTTGCCAAGGTTGAGGACACATGCTTGTGGCACAGCCTTAGGAAGTCCTGATGACATGTCCCCAAGGTGGTCAGAGCAGTTTGGTTTTTATGCATTTTAGGGAGACATGAGACATCAATCAACATATGTAAGATGAACATTAGCTCAGTCTGGAAAGGCTGGACAATTCAAAGCGGGGAGGGAGCTTCCAGGTCATAGGTAGATAAGAAGCAAATGGTTGTATTCCTTTGAATTTCTGATTAGCCTCTCAAAAGGAGGCAATCAGATATACATTTATCTCAGTGAGCAGAGGGGTGACTTTGAATAGAATGGGAGGCAGCCTTGCCCTATGCAGTTCCCAGCTTGACTTTGTCCTTTAACTTAGTGATTTGGGGGGGCCCAAGACTTATTTTCCTTTCACAGAAGTATCATATAATATTGAACCAATAGAATGTAAGCCATGTCTGAAACACCCAAAGCCCAAGCGAGCATAAAAATCCCAGCCTGCCACCAAACACTGGAGGACAAGAGCACTACTGTCCCTGCGTCTCTCTGGAGTAACTGGACAATTTCATGTAAGTCGTGAGGTCTTTACGACTCCCTCGTGCTGGTTAGGGTAAACAAAATCCATGAGCAAAAGAATACTTTGATGAAAACAGCCAAGAAAAGCTGACCAAATCCTGGCACTAAAGTAGCATGGGGCTTCCCTTTTGTTAGTTCTCATCGCCAGCTAATTGAGCAATACACTGATTTTTATTAACTTGTTGAGTGCAAATAAATGTGTGTATGGCAAGCATTAACTGGCTCACAGTTTTCTTGGTTGCCTCTTCTGATTGACATCTTTGAACTTGGTCTTTGCTGTAATCTAAGCAAAAAATCTAAATTAAAGAACAATGACATAATAATTGGCATTCAGTTTAAATAGATCAGGCATATTTATAACAGTTCACCAAGTATGTTTATTGCAGCACTGTTTGTCATGAAAAGGAAGTGTTAATTAATATATTCATTTGATGTAGTAATATGCAAAATTTTAAATGAGACATTTTCATGTGCTTTTATAAAGAGACCTCCAAGATATATGTGTCATGTAAAAAAGCAGTATGGGGTTCCACGTGTATAGTATAATTTCTTTCCTGTTTAAAAAAAAAGTTTATAAGTAGACAATTTGTAGGGTCACTTCCATCAAAAATGGTTGAGTAAATTCAAGGGAAAATCCTTCCTTCACTCCAAACAGATCAAATTAAAATGACAGATAATATATCCCAAATATGTATTAAAAAGACAAGCCATGTTCAATAAACAAAATAAGCATCCTTTGAATTGTTAAGGGAAAGATAACAGCTGGGGGCTTAAGTCACAGGTCTGCTGGGCTACACGACAAGAAACAGCACCTGCCAGGAACCCAGGTCTTTTGGAAAACTCACTGGATGTTCTGATGCATGACAGGGGGTTGTATAACGTTGTGACTGCTAGCCGGGCTCCATCCATCCATCCAGAGCCACTTGCCTAGAGTGATTGAGAAGAGCAGAGAGGACAAGGCTAGCCCAGCCCTGTCCCCAGCCCTCTAGGCTGCCATGCAGAATTGGACTTTGCCTACAGCTGGCTGGGGGTAGGATCAAGCAACATACTGTCTGGATTTTTTGTTTGTTTGTTTGTTTTGAGATGGAGTCTCGCTCTGTCGCCCAGCCTGGAGTGCAGTGGCGCAATCTTGGCTCACTGCAACCTCCGCCTCCCGGGTTCACGCCATTCTCCTGCCTTAGCCTCTCTGAGTAGCTGGGACTACAGGTGCCCGCCACCACGCCTGGCTAATTTTTTTGTATTTTTAGTAGAGATGGGGTTTCACTGTGGTCTCGATCTCCTGACCTCGTGATCCGCCCGCCTCAGCCTCCCAAAGTGCTGGGATTACAAGCGTGAGCCACCGCGCCTGGCCTGGATTTCTTTTTTTAAATGTAATCCCCCTGCCTGTCAAATGTAAATTCTAGGCTGTGGAGACAGGCTTGGCACCACTTAACATGAAGGCATGCAGTGGGGAGAGAGGGAAACCTACAACTCCAAAGTGGACTGGCAAATTTAGCACCCATTACAATCTTTTCCTAATGAATCTGACTCTGCTGGAGTATGAAAAACTGCATTTTCTGAACTCCCTCTGAGCTAGCGTTCCTTGTGTCAATCACGTGCACACTTGAGAAATCTGAATTGGGATAGGGCTTAAATGGGAGAACGTGGGAGGACCTTGAGTGGAAGGTGTCTGCTTTTCTAATGTAAATTGTGGCAGAGGCATTGGGGTTCCTCAGCTAGTAGTAGCTTCCTGGTTTTGAAAGCTTGCTGCACCGGGCATGGTGGCTCATGCCTGTAATCCCAGCACTTTGGGAGGCCAAAGCAGGTGGATCATTTGAGGTCAGGAGTTCAAGACCAGCCTGGCCAACATGGTGAAACCCTGTCTCCTCTAAAAATACAAAAAATTAGCCGGACATGGTGGCAGGCGCCTGTAATCCCAGCTACTTGGGAGGCTGAGGCAGGAGAATCACTTGAACCCAGGAGGCAGAGGTTGCAGTGAGCCAAGATCACACCACTGCACTCCAGCCTAGGCAACACAGTGAGACTGCATATTAAAAAAGAGAGAGAGAGAGCTTGCTGCAGTTGTGACCCCAGTTTTGCTGATACCAACAGAGTTGTGTGATTCTGGAGGCAGGGAGCTGTTTCTAGAAGTTCCGCCTAAAGCAGTGCTTCTCCATTGAGTTTCTATCGGTGTCTAGGGAAGGGCAAGTCTTTGTTGCATAGGCTTGTTCTGTTCATCATAGGACATTTAGCTCAGCTGACACCTGCCCACCAATTGCTGGCAGCTGGCCCAGCTATTATGACAACCCAAAATGGCCCCACATATTTCCAAAAGCCTGGGGAAGCACTATCACCCATGGCGTAAAAAAACCAGGCCCCAAATCACATTGTAAGCCCCCTAATACCAAGAAATAAACCCCTGTCATCTACAATGTTTCTGTCAGCTACAATGAACCCTAACAAGGACACACACGTACAAGAAATTCACACACAAAAAACAAGCTAGCAAACTAAAATTTCAAAGCTCTTCATGAAAATTAACATAATGAAAGATAAAAATATTAATACACAAGATAATTTATTCTAGAGTAAACAGAAATAATAGATCAACTGGAGAAAAAAAATTAAATATAGTCATCCCTCATTTCTCAATTATCTGCAGAGGATTGGTTCCAAGACTCTTGCAGGTACCAAAATCCCAGAATGCTTAAGTTCCTTATATGATATGGTATATTATTTATATATAATCTATGTACACACTCTTCTATACTTTAAATCATCTCTAGTTTCTTTATACCTAATACAATGTAAATGCTGTGCAAATCGTTGTTACACTTTAAAATTTGTATTATTTTCAATTGCTATATTGTTATTTTTTTCCAAATATTTTTGATCAGCAGGTGGCAGAACTGCACTTGTTGAACCCAGAGGGCCCACTGTAAGTATGTTTAATATCCTCAAAGATGAGGAAACAAAAAGACATGACAACTAAATACACTAAGTAAAAAATCAGCTGGGCGTGTTGGTGAGCACCTGTAGTTCCACCACTTGGAGGCCGAGATGGACTTGAGCCCAGGAGGTGGAGGCTTCAGTAAGCCAAGATCATACCACTGCCCCTCAGCCTGGGCAACAGAGACTCAAATCTCAAAAAAAAAAAAAGTCTTAATGTCTACAAAACATGAGAAAAAGAGAGAGAGAATTAAAATCAGTATTTCGGTATTCAGCTGAGGCTAAATATCACCATCATAGAATGAAATGCTGAGATACAAGAACTAATATGAAGTTCTATTAGAAAGTTTTAATTATTAATATTTCATTATGAAAAAACTTTAGTTTTTAGAAAGCGTGACAGTTACACGCTAAAACAATTTCTCAGTACCGTCACCAAATTATTAAATAGACATTCACTTTCTTTTTTGTTTGTTTTCAAGACGGAGTCTCACTCTTGTCACCCAGGCTGGAGTGCAATGGCATTATCTCGGCTCACTGCAACCTCCATCTCCTGGGTTCAAGCCATTCTCCTGCCTCAGCCTCTGGAGTAGCTGGGATTACAGGCGCCAGCCACCACGCCCAGCTAATTTTTGTATTTTTAGTAGAGACGGGCTTTACCATGTTGGCCAGGCTGGTCTCGAACTCCTGAGCTCAGATGATCCGCCCGCCTCCACCTCCCAAAGTGCTGAGATTACAGGCATGAGCCACCGCACCTGGCCAACACTCACTTTCAACTAAAGTAAATAAAGGAGTGATTTTTTTCTTTTTATTTTTACTTTGAAATAATTTCAAACTTAGATATTTAAAGAATAATACAGAGCACTCCCACGTATCATTTATTCAGCTTCACCAATTTTTCACATTTGGTCACATTTTATCATTTTCTCTCTATATATAATTCTATATAATTTATAATAAATGTGATTAATTATCAAATTAACAATAAAATATAAATTATACATTATATATACCACACATATATATTATATAAATGTATCACATACACATTACTATTATTTATTTTTTCTGAACAATTTGAGAGTAGATTGCAGACATCCTTCCACTTTACCCTTTAACACTTTAGGTCATATTCTCTAAGAACAGGGATATTTTATTACATATCCACGGTTACCAACTTTGGGAAATTTAATATTTACCATTTATCTTTTAACAAAGATAAAACAACGTTTATCCGATCAACTTTCCATATTCCAATTTTTTTTTTTAGAAAAAAAAAAGATAGGTTCTTGCTCTGTTACCCAAGCTGGAGTGCAGTGGTGCAATCATAGCTCACTGCAGCCTCAAACTCCTAGGCTCAAGGAATCCTCCCACCTCAGCCTCCCAAGTAGCTGGTACTACAGCCACGTGCTGCCATACCTGGCTAATTTTTTAAAAAGTTTTTGTAGCCCAGCCAGGTGGCTCACACCTGTGATCCCAAAACTTTAGGAGGCCCAGGCAGAAGGACTGCTTGAGGCTAGAAGTTGAAGACCAACCTGGGCAGCATAGCAAGACTCCATCTCTACAAAAAATAAAAATAAAAATAAATTTCTGTAAAGATGAAATCTCATTATATTGCCCAGGCTGGTCTCAAAGGCCTGATCTCAAGCGATCCTCCTACTTTGGCCTCCCAAAGTGCTGAGATTACAGGCATGAACCACCTCACCTGGCCCCAATTTTTTAAATAGTCCCCCAAAATGTCTGTTATATCACTTTTAATCTAGGATCACATATTGCATTGAGTTGTCATGTCTCTGTAGTCTCCTTTAATCTGGAGCAGTTCCTCATTCTTTGTCTTTCATGACCGACATTTTTAAAAACTACTAGCCAGTTTCTTTTTCTTTTTCTTTTTTTTTTTTTTTTTGAGACAGAGTCTTGCTCTGTCACCCAGACTGGAGTGCAGTGGCGAAATATTGGCTCCCTGCAACCTTTGCCTCCCAAGTTCAAGTGGTTCTCATGCCTCAGCCTCCCAAGTAGCTGGGACTACAGGTGTGAGCCACCATGTCCAGCTTATGCCTGGCTAATTTTTGTATTAAGTTTCTTTTTTTTTTTTTTCTTGTGACAGAGTCTCGCTCTGTCACTCAGGCTGAAGTGCAGTGGTGCGATCTTGGCTCACTGCAATGTCCACCTCTGGGTTCTAGGGTTCAAGCAATTCTCCTGCCTCAGCCTCCAGAGTAGCTGGGATTACAGGCACTCATCACTATGCCCGTCTAATTTTTGTATTTTTGGTAGAGACAGGGTTTCACCATGTTGGCCGGACTGGTCTCGAACTCCTGACCTCAAGTGATCCACCCACCTCGGCCTCCAAAATGCTGGGATTACAGGCATGAGCCACCGTGCCCAGCCTGTTTCTTTTATACAGAGAAAATATTCCTTACTTGGGGTCTGTCTGTTTCTTTGTATTTAAAATCAAGTTATGTATTCCCAGCCACATCACTACATAAATGATGTCATGCTTTCTCCGGGGAACATTTCTGGAGGCACATGATATTCTTCTGTCCCTCATTGGTGATGTTAATTTTGGCCAGCAAGTCAAGGTGCTGTCTGCTTTTCCCACTGCGCGGTTACAATTTTTCCTCTTGCAACGAATAAGCCAACTATGGGGAGATACTTTAAGCTACGTACATAAGCTGCTTCTGTCAAACTTTCCCCCTAGAATTAGCATTCATTGATAATTCTTGCCCAAACCAACTTTTACTCTGATGGTTGCAAAATAGTTATTTTCATGGGGGGAGGGGGGAGGAATAGCTTTAGGAGATATACCTAATGCTAAATGACGAGTTAATGGGTGCAGCACACCAGCATGGCACATGTATTCATATGTAACTAACCTGCACATTGTGCCCATGTACCCTAAAACTTAAAGTATAATAATAATAAAATAAAATTTTAAAAAATAGTTATTTTCCAACTCCATCAGCTCCCTCCACATTTATTAATTGGCATTCTCCCTTCTCCTTCATTCATTTAATTAATTAATTAATTAATTATCTATGTATTATCAGTGTGGAGTCATGGATTCCTATGTTTTCAATGGTTCATAATTCATTCCTGGTCATCTCCGCTGGGGGCACCAACCAGATAAAGTATACCTGTCTTATATGTTACAAATATTTTTTCACAGTTTGTCATTTCTCTCTCAAATTTAGTGTATGTTAATTTCTTCACTCAAGTTTTTCATATAGTCAGATTTATTAATATTTCCCTTTACATCTGGCTTAGAGATCTCTTCCCTACTCCAAGATCATAAACAAAACAAAAATTCCATGATTTCTTCTTTTGAGACAGAGTCTCGCTCTGTCACCCAGGCTACAGTGCCATGGCACCATCTCAGCTCACTGCAGCTTCAACTTCCCGAGCTCAAGCAATCTTCCCACTTCAGCCTCCTAAGTAGTTGGACTACAGGTGTGAGCCATCTTGCTGGGCTAATTTTTAAATTTTTTGTAGAGACGGGGGGGGGGGGGGGTCTCACCATGTTGCCCAGGCTGGTCTCGAACTCCTGGTCTCCTATCGCAGCCTCCCAAAGTGCTGAGATTACAAGCATGAGCCACTGCGCCGGGTTTCATGATTTCTTTCACTACTTTTATGATTTCACCTTTAATATTAAAATATTTAATACATTTGGAATTTTGGTGTAAGAAGTGTAGAGATTCCACTTTCACCCCAGCTGATTAGTCATTTGTTTGTATAAAATTCATTCATTCAATAATCCACCACACACACACACACACACATATTTTCGTTATGTTCTATATTTCTTGTTATATCTTTTTTTCCTATTGAATCTTGATGCATCTTTTATTAGAACCACGGAGCCACAGAACTCCGATTCTCGGCAATGTGAGGTATCAGGCTATGACCTAAGGCTTGCAAGCAGAACTACCGCCAATCTGGCCTCTCTGGGGTTCCCTTCCTCCTGCAAGGTTGCACCAAGCGGCAGTTCGGGGAAATAGGGCCTTCAATTACCCAGTGTGTATCTCTTGAGTGTCTGTTAAATAATGGGGGGCAGGGCGGGGAGGAGGGGGAGAGGGAGGCTGTGCCTCAGTCTTTGTTAGCCAGGCAGAGCGTTTATTTTCCAGGGGTTGTTTCCTTTATCTTCATCCTAACATTCAAACTTGACTTGAGTTTTAGCGCGCCCCCGCCCTACCTCCTCCCAAAGCCCTTATTTGCCCATCCTTGCCTACAAGCTCAGAACGAGCAGGCAATGGAATGGATGTCGTGGGAGCAGGCGGTTGAGATGCCAGTGTTTGGAGGCTAAGGACTGGGGGCTGTGAGCGAGGACCTTCCCGCGTTTGCTCCGCGCCCCCGCAGTTTCCTCCGCGCCCACTAGAAGGCGCCGGGGCGCTCGCATTCCCCGCGCGGAGCCGAAGCAGCCGCAACGAGCCGGGAGCTGAGCCGCGCTGCGCTGCGGTGCGAAGAGCCGGGCGGCGGCCAGAGCCCTCCCCGCGCTGCCAGTGGGACGCGGAGCCAGGGATCCCCGGCTTTGCCCCGGGGCTGGGGTGCAACAGACTCTTAACTTGGTCCTCGCGCCCCGCCAACCGCCCCCGGGCAGGAAACGCCCAGAACCACCACCGCGCCGCGCTCCACAAAAGCCCCGGGAGTTCCAAGACGGGAGGGATCGGGCGCGCTCCAGAGGCAGGAGGGTCCCCCACACCCTCAGGCTCATGCCCAGCTCCCCCATCGGGCAGCCCCCAGCCCCATGAGGACCCTCAGGCCGGGGCGAGAGCCCGGCACAGCCCGGACCGAAATTTTGCCGCTGCCTTAGAGCGTTAGACAGGTCAGTGCCCGGGGGTGGGTGGGGGTGGGATTGGTTGGTGAGGGGAGGAGGAGGAGGCGGGAGGAGGCGGGAGGAGGCGCGCTTCCCGGTCCACTCTGTCCCCCGCGCCGCTTGCCGAGGCCACTCATCGGGTCACCTCCGCCGGGGGCGCCCGCCAGCACGGGCATGATTCTGCATTTTTTCCTGACAGGCTAGGTGTGGAGCCGCCCTCCGCAGCCCACCCCGGCCCAGGTGATGCTCAGACTGAGGAGTCGGGGGCGCGCCGGCCAGGGCGGGCGGCGGGCTTGGGGACTGCCACTGCCCTGATAGAGCGGGGCTTTTCCGCTTACGCACGGCCGCGTCGAAACCGCGGCATCCAAATGTCTTCAGCATTAAGATGCCAGGCCTCGGGTGTGTGAGGAAACCGAGATGCAGGAGAGGGCGAGAAGAAAGGAGGCCGGGAGACCCTGGGGCCTGGGAAGTGAGGGGAGGGGTACCGGGAAAACCGCGGCTGGCAGTGCAAACCCTAGCGCGATGTGTGGAGTGGAGAGCGCTCTTGGGAGCCGGCAGGAGCCTCTGAGGACGCGGGGGCCAAGGGCCCCATCCCTTGCCCTCCCTTCTTCCCTCCCTTTCTCACTCCCCACCCTACCCCCACCTAGGATGTGGCTGGGCCGCCGGGCCCTGTGCGCTCTGGTCCTTCTGCTCGCCTGCGCCTCGCTGGGGCTCCTGTACGCGAGCACCCGGGACGCGCCCGGCCTCCGGCTACCTCTTGCGCCGTGGGCGCCCCCGCAAAGCCCCCGCAGGCCCGAGCTGCCAGATCTTGCTCCTGAGCCCCGCTACGCACACATCCCGGTCAGGATCAAGGAGCAAGTAGTGGGGTGAGTGCCGACCGCGGCGGCGCAGCGCAGCGCTCGCTGGGGGTGGTCTGGGGGCTTTTGTTTTCTCCACTGCTGGGCTCAGATGCCTGCATTCTCCTAACGGGCTGTGTGGAGTGAAGTGGGAGGTGGAAGTGGGAGGCTGCTGAGGCTTGGGCTGGGGAAAATCTGTTCTCCCTGAACCTTGCCATGGGGATAAGGATGGGGATGGGCGTGGGAGGTTGTGCAGTCAAGGGAGGGCCCTGAAAGACTCCCTGAGGTCCTGATTCAGGTATGAGAAGAGACTCCAGGTGGGGTCCTGGTTGGTGGGTAGGCAGCTCCTGAAATCCTGGTAATTGGCCCTATCCTACAACTCTAAAATCCAGATTTAGGGGATAGGTCATCCGATCCTTGGTCCCCCTCCCGAGGACTATTTGAAGGGCAGCATTTAAGGGGACAGAGCCTAGACAGACAGAATTGCAGGGCCAAGGTGTGGGGTGCTGTGTCAGTGTTTATGGGATGAATGGAGCTGTGTAGCTGGGCTCTGATGACCCTCACTACCTACCCCCTTCAGGCTGCTGGCTTGGAACAACTGCAGTTGTGAGTCCAGTGGGGGGGGCCTCCCCCTCCCCTTCCAGAAACAAGTCCGAGCTATTGACCTCACCAAGGCCTTTGACCCTGCAGAGCTGAGGGCTGCCTCTGCCACAAGAGAGCAGGAGTTCCAGGCCTTTCTGTCGAGGTACCAGCTTGAAAGAAGCGCATGACTCCTCAGGGGGAGAGCAGTGATTGTGCCGGGAGGGAGAGACCCTCTCCCCCCGACTCTGCTCTGTCCTCTCCTTCCTCCACTGCCAGGAGCCAGTCCCCAGCTGACCAGCTGCTCATAGCCCCTGCCAACTCCCCGCTCCAGTACCCCCTACAGGGTGTGGAAGTTCAGCCCCTCAGGAGCATCTTGGTGCCAGGTAGGGAGGAGGGTCCCAGAGGATGACCTCAGCCACAGTGGGGGTGGCAGAGCCCAAGGTTGGGTGGGGAAGAATGGGAGATGATTGGAATGGGAGGTGGGAACCTCTGATGAATGGGGGACTTAAGCTCAAACGGCGGCTTAGGAGGTGGGAAGTGAGGACAGAAGGGACTCTAGGAATTTCAGAAGACTGTAACTGGGGAGTTTTGGGGGAAATAATCTATTCTTTGCTGACTAACCATTGGTTAGGTGGTGGTCAGGGCAGGCCATAGGGCAAGCTTTGACGGGACGGGCTCAAAAATCAGTCACTGTAGGCTATGTTATACAGTGTGCCCTGCTGAGGCCTCAATAAGAAGAATAGGTGGAAAGTTCTCTATTGTGTGTGGTGACAGCAGGGAGAGAAAATGAGAAAGAATTCAGGGCTGCCTATGTGATTCTGATCCCCCCACTCCTTTCTCCTAGGGCTGAGCCTTCAGGCAGCTTCTGGTCAGGAGGTATACCAGGTGAGAGAAAACAAGAAGGCAAGGAGGCCAAGTAGGCATCAAGAATGCTGGGAGGGAGGCAGGGCTACTAAGGGAAGGATGGGCGAATCAGGGAGGCAAGAAGTGGGTCTGGGGCCTAACCCTGCACTCTCCAATCCCCTCCTAGGTGAACCTGACTGCCTCCCTAGGCACCTGGGACGTGGCAGGGGAAGTGACTGGAGTTACTCTCACTGGAGAGGGTCAGGCAGATCTCACCCTTGTCAGCCCAGGGCTGGACCAACTCAACAGGCAACTACAACTGGTCACTTACAGCAGCCGAAGCTACCAGACCAACACAGCAGACACAGGTGCAAGGCCTGGGTGGAGAGACGGGCAGGCTGGGCAAACAGAGAAGAACCAGAAAGGCTGGAGTGGGCAAATGGCAGAGGGCATGGGAGGCATCTGGGCTATGGCCAGAGCTGTCCAGCCACACAATGGGTGCTTCAACTGGACCAGCAGGGCCAGAGGGAGAAAGGGGGCCTTTGTTCATCTGGGGCTGGAGCAGGCCAGAGGGAAACCCGAGCCTTGGGTGTGTCTCCCCTTTAGGCCAACTGTGGGGGGCCCCAGGAAGAGACTTGTCTAAGGAGTTAGAAGACTATATTCCCAACCCACCCCTTACTAGAGGGCAAAGGTCTTTACTTTCCTGAGATCCCATTTCTCTTCCAGCAAAAGAGGCCTAAAAGCCCTCTTTGCTTCTCCCCAAAGCTGGTTTGTTGCACTAAGTTTGCTTCCACCTTAGGGCCTTTGCACTTTCTATTTTCTCAGCCTGGAATGCTCTTCCCCAGATTTTTGCAGACTGGCTTCTTCTTGTCATTTAGATCTCAGTTCAAATGCCTCCTCTTCACTATCACATTACTTGTTTGTCTTATTTTCCACTCAATACTTACCAGTATCTGAATTTTTTAATTTACTTAGCCTGGCACCAGACTGACTAGGTTGCTATCAGTTTTGTTGCTTAATAGTTGTGTAAATGTGGCAAGTTACTTTTCTGTGTCTCAGCTTTTTTTTCTGTTGTAGGAATCTACTTAATAGGGCTATCATGGGGATAAAATGAGTGCATATATTTAAGGTAATTTTTTAACGGGTCTGGCACATAGTAAGTGCTCAATAAAGATTAGCTTTTACTTAAAATTTTCTTTGTTGTTTTTTCTCCTACCCATTAGAATGTAAGTTCCATAAAGGTAAGAACCTTCTGTTCTTGTCCACCAAGGCCTAGAAAGGTGGGACACAGAGTAGGCACTTAAATATTGATTGGCTGAAAACAGAATGTTATCCCACCCTTCAGGGTCAAATGCCATGTCCTTTCTTCCCAGTCCGGTTCTCCACCGAGGGACATGAGGCTGCTTTCACTATCCGCATAAGACACCCGCCCAACCCTCGGCTGTACCCACCTGGGTCTCTACCCCAGGGAGGTGAGGCTGGTAGGGGCAGGGACATATTAGAACCAGCCTTGGTGGGGAGCAAGTTGGGAGAGGGCAGTCCTGGGAGGGGATATCTACCTGTTCCCCTCTCCCAACCCTCCTTGTCTGCACCCAACCCTGTGCCCCCAATCTCAGCCCAGTACAACATCAGCGCTCTAGTCACGATTGCCACCAAGACCTTCCTCCGTTATGATCGGCTACGGGCTCTCATCACCAGTATCCGCCGCTTCTACCCAACGGTTACCGTGGTCATCGCTGACGACAGCGACAAGCCAGAGCGCGTTAGTGGCCCCTACGTGGAACACTATCTCATGCCCTTCGGCAAGGTGTGCAGCTAGCAGGCTGAACGGCAGGCCAGAGGACTCCCGCAGGGGGTGTGCCCTCAATCTGCAGCCTCCAGGGTAGTGATTCGAGGACCACCTGCCTCAGAATCATGGGGTGCCTGTTAAGCATGAGGATTCCTGGAATGTAAGCTTCGTGGGAGCAGGAAATTCTCTCTGAATTCTTAGAATGGTGCTTAGTGCCTAATGGCATTCAATAAAATAGCTGATGAATGAATAAATAAATGCACACGGAAATTAAACGCATTCTAAGACCACTGACTTGGAACCTCTGTGGGGATCTGCATTTCTTTTACCTAGCTCCTGGCCTTTCGAAAGCACTCAAAAGTCTGGAGAAGAATACAAGCTGAGAAGGGTCGGGGGAGAGAAAGAAAGGTGGCAGAGGGCCATGTCCTATTTCTGCAGCCTCCCCAACCACACACACCTTTCTGCCAGGGCTGGTTCGCAGGCCGGAACCTGGCCGTGTCTCAAGTAACCACCAAGTACGTGCTGTGGGTGGACGACGACTTCGTCTTCACGGCGCGGACGCGGCTGGAGAGGCTTGTGGACGTGCTGGAGCGGACGCCGCTGGACCTGGTAGGGCAGGGGCTGCAGGATGTGGGGGTGGAGAAGGGCCTTGAACAGGCTAAGGCCACAGCGGGGGCGCTGCGGCCAGGAACGGCCAGCCCTAGGACAAAGAGAGAACCACGAAGTGGGGCCTGGGAACTGTCTGGGTCCTGCAGGGGTGAAGCGGAAGAGGATGGGGCAGGGGTACCCCCGAAGGCACCGGAGCGCAGACCTTGACCCCTTCGGGTCCCCTATCCCAGGCCCGCCTGGAGGCAACCTCCCTCTCCCTGCAGGTGGGGGGCGCGGTGCGCGAGATCTCCGGCTTTGCCACCACTTATCGGCAGCTGCTGAGCGTGGAGCCCGGCGCCCCAGGCCTCGGGAACTGCCTCCGGCAAAGGCGCGGCTTCCACCACGAGCTCGTCGGCTTCCCAGGCTGCGTGGTCACCGACGGCGTGGTTAACTTCTTCCTGGCGCGGACTGACAAGGTGCGCGAGGTCGGTTTCGACCCCCGCCTCAGCCGCGTGGCTCATCTGGGTGAGTGGCACCCCCTCCCGGTCGACCCTGGCAGGAGCCCCACGGGGAGCTGGCGCACGGTCACGCGCCTCTCCTCCTAGGCTGCACCCGCGCCCAGCCGCCAGCGGGAACCCCAGAACAGTTCTGCAGTGATTTACCAAGACCTGCACCTGGGCGAGAGACAGCTCCCACCCTCTCCCAGCCCCGCATACTCTTTTTTTTTTTTTATAAATATATATATTTTTTGTTATACTTTAAGTTCTAGGGTACATGTGCACAACGTGCAGGTTTGTTACATGTGTATACATGTGCCATGTTGAATCTCCATTCCCAGCACAGCCGCTGGGCCCCCATAAGCTTCCCCATCACTGTTCCCGCCACCCCTGCTCTACTCCCAGGGCTTCCCCTAGTTCAGACCACAGTCGGTGCAACCCATCTGGCGTTTATTTAACCTCTGGGAGTAGGGGTAGGTTTTTCGATTTTCAAAGCACAAGTATATTGACTCCATTTACACAAGAGTAAGACTGAGACCCAGGGAGTTGATTTACATGCTCAGGGTCCTTAGAAACAAGCCTTTGCACACACACTTTCCACACCCTAAATTTGAGAGTTCTCCCTTACCAGTCGGCCTTCTGCACCCTCAGGATCCCTCACTGTGTACTCCCCTCCACCCCCAGAATTCTTCTTGGATGGGCTTGGTTCCCTTCGGGTTGGCTCCTGCTCCGACGTCGTGGTGGATCATGCATCCAAACTGAAGCTGCCTTGGACATCAAGGGATGCCGGAGCAGAGACTTACGCCCGGTACCGTTACCCAGGATCACTGGACGAGAGCCAGATGGCCAAACACCGGCTGCTCTTCTTCAAACACCGGCTGCAGTGCATGACCTCCCAGTGATGGCCCGCTGGGGATTTCTGACTGTCAGGCTGGGCCTGCCTCCTTGTCCCTGCCAGGAATTTCCAACAAACCCCACCACCCTGTGAGCACTCTACTGGCTGTCCCTGAGCCTCTAGTTCCTCACTCTTCCTTTTCAGAACCTGATGCCCAGTAGGGGTTGTCCTGGTGACACCCCTCCTTTTTCCAGTGCCCAGAGGCCTGGTGGAGCCATAACCTCTCCCACAGCCAGTGCCAAGTCCTCCCCCTGCCCATTCTCATGGGGCAGGAAATGGGGGGATCACTTTCCAAGTGCCAAAGAGCCCAGAGGGACTCTAAGAACCTAAGGTGGAAACACTGTCCTCTCATCTTGGGACCGAGGGGGTGGGGAAGTTCCCCAACACATAATCCCAAGACTGTGCCCCTCATCTGCATCTTCAGATCCAGTACTCTGTGTACCTGCTCCAGCCCCACCCCCACAGAGAGAACTTGTGGCTCTGGGGCTGGGGTGAGGGCTGGTGGTTGGTGAAAGCCATTCTTAGTTGTGTCTCTGCAATGCTGTGGGCACAAAAGAAGGGGCACCAGAGTCCCTGTGCAAACACCTAGACTCACTTCATGGATTCCAAAGCTCTCAGCTTCATTTTATTAGTTACGTTAGGTAAGGGGGTTCAAGGGTCATGGTCCTCATCACACACATGTCATCAGGGCCCTCTGCACTCCACATGATGAGGTCAGACCCACACGGTGCAAATCTTTGGGTCAGTGAGCTCCTGGAGAAGAGAGGAGACATGTCAGGAATAGATTAGGCACCCCTCTTCCTTAATGAAATGTGGCAGTCCTCTCAGGGGTACCCCACCTACTTAGGGATCTGAGTTCTTCAGTTCCTCACCCATAGCTCAGCCCGGGCTCCCTGATTTGGTCTTCAATCTACTATTCATTCCGTCCCCACCCTTTTCTTCTTGATCTTCCTCAGACCCTTTCCCAAACCCCTCTCCCTGGGTCTCCAGCCACTTACCCCTGCCTCACTTGCCGCAGCCCAGTGCCTCCTGGCTCCCGCTCCTGGTGCTACTGCCCCTTAACAGGCTCCCCAGGGCATAAGCAGCTGCATCCTGCACACTCACAAACAGCTGATCTGGAGTCACCCTGTCCAGGAGTCCTACCCGGGTCAGTGTCCCCTGCACCAAGGCTATGTGGGGAGGGTGTCAGACTCTGAGACCCTAAGTCCACACCGGGTCCTTTTCCCTACCGCAGGTGTCCAGTCATTGCCCAGGCACTGGGCCCCGCTCTTCTCCACACATCTCACCATTACACTGAGCCAGGAGGAGGCGGATCCTAGCATCTCGACATCGGCTGGCCAGCTGCAGGGATGGGGCAAAGGGGTTAAGTCCCAGATCAGAGGGTATGAGTGAGATGCTAAGGGGTTTCTCCTCAACCTACCCTCTCCCTCACCTGCACCACTTCTCTGGCCCCAGCAGCATCTGCAAAGGTGACACCACTGAAGTCTAGGACCACCACCCTGACAGGCTCAGCAACTAGAATGGGAGAAGACAGGAGTACCCAGGTGTCACCATGCAACATGCCCAAATCTTCCTTCTTGTCACCCCATCTCACCTGCAACCATTGGGCCATCTGGCTTTGAAGTCTCCTATAAGTAAAGAAGGGCAGTCACCACTCCCGAAACACAGCATGAACATGCACCCCTTGAGCACAAGGATCCCCCTCAGAACACCCACCTGCCTCCCACTCCCTGAGGATCCACATCCCTCCTAAACCAAGCTCCTTCACCTTTTCTCCTTCTCCGAGCCCCAGGTGCCACTCCAGGTTGCAGCGAAACTGCCCACGGGTCCCAAAGTACAGTGGTGTTGGATAGCTCAGGATGCAGAGCCCCGGGACCTGGAGGAGCTAAGAGGTCAAAGGATCAGAGAAATGTCTGGGGCTAATCTTCCCTTCCTTCTTTGGCTGCAGCCCACCCACCCTGGGGCTTCCTCTGAGTGGTCTGTAGAGCTCTGTCCCCTCAGCCTGTCCAAGTGCCAGGCACTACACCCTAGGGAAGAAGGTGGGGCCAGATTTCCAGCTTAGCCTGGCCTGGCTGGAGAGTCACCCCAAGCACCTCATTCTCTTCCCCTGCCCCGACCTCAACTCCACTCATCTCTATGCCCACCTCCGGGTGCGGCAGACCACAGTCATCATGGAGAAGACCACACCCACAGCCAGGCCCAAATCCACACTCAGGGTCACTACTGCCACCCAGGTGACCATCCACACAGCCTGCAGGATAGGGATAGGGGTGGATTGCCCAAAAGAAAAGCCAGGCCATCACTGCTGGGTAAAGAGATCCAGGGCAGTGACTACCAAGGCAAGTGATGGGGAGAGATGATCCAGGAAGAAGTGGAAAGCATGACAGAAGGAAACAACAGGGTTGATTCAATGGGACACACACCAAATGTAATGACCCGCACCAGTTGGGAAGTTACAAATATTCAGGCCAAAGGGGTTCAAACCCCATCCTTTCCCTTGCCTGTGAGTAAAGCATACTAGGAGTTATGTTTGCTGGGGGAGTGGGTGGGTTGCAGAACTTAAGACCAGGACAATTAGGTTTGGTTCAGGGCAGAGGCTGGGGATGCTAACAAGATGAGAGGGGGCAATCTGGGGGTAATGGCATTTCTCACAAAGTCCACTCGGCTGATGTGCCATAGTTGTGGAAGTTCCTGCATCTGGCAGAACACCTGGCGCATGCTGGAGATGTTGATGCAAGCCAGGACAGCCTTGAGGCAGAGGAGGTGGGCTGACTACCTCGATGTCCTGGAATACAGCTACCCCTCCCAGCCATGCTCATGCCTCCTCTGCTCATTACCTTGGGCAGATAGTAAAAGAAGGGCCCCAGCCACAGCAGCACCGACAGGACCACTGTGCAGGAGAAGAGGCCTGCCAGCTAGAGAAAAGGAGGAACAGGAGCAAAAAAGGAAGAGAGCCTCCCACCCCCACATGAGAGCTGGTCTTCCTGCCCACTCTGCCTAATCTTCCTCGGAAGTCTCCCTTCTCCCAAATCTCCTTCCACACAACCCCCTTCTTAATATTCTGCCATTCACATCTAACCCTCCCGCTCCCCCCAATTAATTAAATGCCCATTATTCACCAGTCTCCTTGTAGATGTCCATTGTTCAAGTTCCCCAGTTTTGTAGCCCACCTCCACCTTAAAAGCCACTGTTGGGTTACCCTATAAGCAGGGTATATGTGTTTAGGGCACCAGCAAAGTAAGGGAAACCAAAAATATTAGGGGGAGACTTTGATATGTGATATTCCTTTTAAAAGACAATGTCATTGTGTGAAAAAAATAAGAATTTTATCTCTTAAGTTTATTTTATAGTTTTGTGTTTTTATTTTGAACCACACCTGGGGCACCATAAACTTTTTCAGCGCTTAGAGCCTACAAAGGTCTTACTGGAACATTGTTATCTTCCATCTCTCCTATCTATAATTCCATCCCCTCAGTCACCCTTTCTCACAGATCCCCAGTCTTCTCTATATAGGTGCCACCTGGGATTCTAGCCATCTTCCACCTGTTTCTCCACCACCGCCACCTTGCCTGGATGGCCCATCCTTTCTCCTCATCCAAGGATGCCCTCTTACCTGTGTTTTCCCACCAGCATCCACCAGTAGATTGGTGGTGGCCAGCGTAGCCGAGTTGGGAAAGCAAGAGAAGAGGGAGGAGATGAGGTTGGAGGCACCATGTGCCAGGAACTCCTGGAGGGATACAGTGAGATGAAGTGGGAGAGACAAAGGCATGGTGGGAAGTCAAATGAGAGGGTTGGGGTCCACAGTCAGAGTCCCACCTGGTTGGAGTCAATAGTGTAGCTATACTTGTCTGCATGGATGGAGGCCAGGGAGGCAGACACCGCAAAACTAACCAGTGCAATGGGCAGCGAGTCAGCCAGAATCCTGGGCAGCTCAGCCAGGTTGGGGAGGAGGGGTTGGGGAAATCTGGAGAGGGAGGGATCCATGGTGAGGAGGGGTTAGGTGCTTCAGTGAGATAAGGAAGGCAGAGAAAATGGGGGGTGGAGATAAGAGGGAGTGTTGGGTGGGAGAGGTGGGAGAAGAGAAAGCTGGCATCTTTTCATTCTCTTACCCTCCAGGCAACAGCCCCACTATCTGGACTTGGTATCTTGTGTCCACAGAAGAGGTGAAGCAGAGCACGGAGGCCAGAAGCACCTGAAAAAGAGAGCAAAATGAAGGCATGGGAAGAGATGGGGTCCCTGGCAGAAGCTAGAAGGGGCTGACCATGAGAGAGGACCATAATGCAGGCCTAGCTGGCTGCAGGAGCCCAGCACCTGGGGGAGCGGGGATGTGTTTGGGATGAGGGCCTGACAACTGATTTGTAGTGTAGAGCTGGGAAAGAGGGATGACATATGCCTGAGGCCACAGAGCCTGGAGCCGTGGAAGTAAGAGGACGCTTCTGTGAAGGATGGTGGATATGAAGAGATGCCACTGAGCCTTCCAAAGAGGGAAGCTGGACGATATCTAGTGATATACTGGCATCTGTGGAGACGCGGAACGTTTATTTAGTTGGGGAGAGAGAGAAATGTCGGTGGAGGGTGGAGAGGGAGATGCACTGTGAATTACAGGGAAGGACCCTGGTGAGGACAGATGTCAGAGAAGGTGCTGTGACCAGCAAGACCTCAAGGGAGCGCTGTAGGATGGCAGAGGAAACTCCAAGAGGTCTAGGGGGTGCTCCGTGAGAGACGTGGGACAGTGTCGAGGGGGGCTGTGGAAGGTCAAAGCGTCCTTCTGCAGGAGGCCAAGGAAAGTGTGAGCCGGCCCTCTGTTCCGTGGCCTCTCTGCACTCCACCAGGGGGCGGCAGCGGCCAGTTCCCACAGGACCGCAGGGTCTGCGCGGGCAGGGGGCCGGCGCGCACGGCCATCCTCACCAAGACGACTTCCCCCGGGATCGGCGTGGGTAGCCGGTCTCGGAATCTCACGTTCAATTCCTTGACCGGCACGAGCAGCGCCAGGCTGAGCGCGGAGATGGTCAGTTCGGCCGGACTGCTCCGAGGCAGCGCAGTCAGCAAGGAGGCCAGCGTCTGAGGGCAGGGGCGATGAGCAGAGGGCCCCGTGCCAGGGCTCATGCGCCCCGGCGCGGGACCCCCAGAGCGAGGCCCTCTCTACCCAGTGCCACCAGGGCTTACACCTCCTCAGCGCCCTCGTTCAGCCACGTGGCTCCAACCTCCTTTCCTGCTCCCTTGTCACATACTACCCCTCCACCCTCCGTCCTTCCTCCCTTTTCGAGTTTCCCTATTCACGGGACCTCTAGAAGCCCCTTCTCCTTTCTTCTTCCACCCCCACCTTGAAGAGAGAGAAGCAGCCGATCTGGCGCGGGAGGGACAACCCCAAGAGGCTCGGCAGCTGGGACAAGAGCACGTGCAGCGCGGCCCCGCTGGTCAGCGCCTTGACCACAGGCTCGGACAAAAAGGTGGACAAGACGCCGAGCTGCAGCACGAACATCCCCAGCTGTGGGGGAGAAGACGCGCTGTCACCATCTAGAGGAGGAGCAAACCAACCCCGCGCACCTCCGCCCTCCCGAACCCAAGCCGAAAGCTGGTCCCTCCCTCTTCCCCGGCCCAATTTCCCTGGCCCCTCAGCAGGGATCCCCCCGGGTTCCTCCCCGGGTCCTCCCTCACCATCAACGCCCCGCTCCCGAAGGCCACGGCCGCGGCTACCCCAACCCGTTGAGCGTCCAGCTGCTCCTTCTCGATTCCGCTCAGATTCCCCACGAGGGGTTCCGGCACCAGCCGCTCGACGGCCGAGCCTGTCATGAGGCTGAGTATGGCGAAAGTTCCTGCCGCCGGGGGACAAATGCAGACATCACCAGCTGTGCAGCCCTGGGCAGGGCAGCAGCTCAGGGTCCATGCCTTGGGTCCGAGATCCTGCTGCCAGACTCGGCTCTCCAAGAAGGCTGCTGCCCCGTCAAGACTGTGGGGCGCGAAGAGCTGCGCTAGCCGGCAAAAACTGCTCCCTCCTGCAGATTCTCTGCCTACTGCGTGCCCCTTTGGGGGACCATGCACCTATTCTTCCCCTTCCAAGTCCCTGAGATGTTCATTTTAACCAAATTTCATAGGGGAAAAAAGTTCAGGTAAACTCCCACCTCTTTGCACCCACTCTAGCAAGCATTGCCTAGGTCAGTTTCCTGGCAGGGTTGGGCAAGGAGGGAGGTGAAGGTAGGAGAGGTGAAGAGGGAAATTAGGAAGAAGGGAAATAACAGCCCCTGTCCATTTTCATCCCATAGGGAAGAAGAGTCATTGGAAGTCCCTGGTCACTCACCTGTGGACAGGTGTCTCCCAGTACCTAGCAAGCTGTAGATGAGGACGGGGAAGAAAGAAGTGTAGAGTCCAAACACCGGGGGCACGGAGGCCAGGAGAGCAAAAGCCATGCCTGGGATAGAAGTGGATGGAAAGGTGTGCTGTGGGGAGGGGGCCTTGTCCAACCTCCAGGACTTAAATGCACTTCCCAGACTCTTAGGAGCTGACATCAAGGATGCTAAATCAAGCCTCATCAGGGAACTGAGGGGTTAATGGGCCTCAGTGAGAGGTCATGGAGCAGACAAGGTCAGGGACGCTGTGGCCAAGTCCTGGGGGCCAGGCGTTGTGCCTCTCTCCGGTTCTCTGAGCCAGAACCTGTCTAAGGCTTCTCGCAGGATTGCGCAGATGAGGGGAGGTGGGGATGGGGATCTGATGGAGCTCCACAGTCCTTACCTCAAACTTGGCCTCAGATCCCTCTCTCCCACCCTCGACGGTAGGAACCCACCATCTGCTCCCGGATTCCCAGCTCCCTAAGCCTCCTCCCGGAAGCCCTCTAGAGCTTGTGCTCCCGACAGGCTGCTGTTAGGGCCTCTCACCCTGGGGCACGTGCACGATGCCCACGGTCACTCCGGCCACCGCATCTCCGAGCAGCCAGGCCCGCCAGCGGTAATGGGGCAGCCAGTGCAGCGCGGGCAGCCGAGCCAGCAGCAGGCGCCACGCCCCTGTCCCGGAACAAGCGCGAGCCCGCAGCCTCCACAGCCCGAAGAGCCGGGGAAAGCCGCGCTCTTCAGGTAGCTCCGGTTCCTGCTCTTCGCCCCTGAAGAGCTGATGGAACCGAGCCTCGGTGAGAGCTTCCCTGAGCCTGGTCGCCAAGGGGTACTTAAGGTCAGAGGTGTCCCCCGCGCCTGGGTAGGTCCTGGTGCCCTGAATCCCGCTCATTCTGCCCTTGGCCACCTCCAACTCCGCCCGGTCTTAAATACTCCTCCGCCCGCTAAGCCCTGAGTCCCGCCTCCCACGAAGCAGGGTCCAATCCGGCCCTGAGGTCACCCTCGCTTGAGGACCTTCTCGGGTCTGGCGAGAGCCGCGGCTTGGAGAGGGAGAGTCTCTATGTTAGGCGTTTCTGCAGACATCCTTGGCCGGATCTGATCGCTGGCTCTGGGGTGGCTGTGGAAATGTGTAGATATTAGAGAGAGAGAATCCGAAAGGCAAGCGCACCCCGACACTCAACACCCGCTATTTACCCTTCCTTAGACTTTTCACTTAACTCCCGGTTCCTTTCCCCATCGGCACCTTGGGCGGAGAGAGAGGCTGGTTCCTCTTGGGTCACTGGTCCTTCCCTGAGCCACTACATTCTCCCAGCCAGAGCAAAAAAGTTCAGCGCCCATCCTGAACCTCACCCAGACCCACATCTTCATGGGGCACAGCTGGTTCCAAAAAGCAGTTTCATGTCCTACTGACATGGAATGCAGCCACATGTATTGGAGAGGGATAATGACAGAACCAGCACCCACACCTCTGTGAGGAGTGGCTGGGCCTAGTTCAGGGCCTCAGGGGAAATACTGAACCCACAGGATATTTTTTTCTTAGGAACCAAAAAAACTGAAGCACCATTTATCACATTCAAATGCTTTTCACAGGCCAGGTGAAATGGCTTACGCCTGTAATCCCAGCACTTTGAGGCCGAGGCAGGTGGATCACCTGAGGTCAGGAGTTTGAGACCAGCCTGACCAACATGGTGAAACCCTGTCTTTACTAAAATATACAAAAATTAGCTGGTTATGGTGGCAGGTGCCTGTAATTCCAGCTACTCAGGAGGCTGAAGCAGGATAATCGCTTGAACCCAGGAGGTGGAGGTTGCAGTAAGCCGAGATGGAGCCACTGCATTCAAGCCTGGGCGACAGAGCAAGACTCCATCTCAAAAAGAACAAAAAACAAACAAACAAAAAACAAATGCTGTTCACAAAGTAGGCATTCAAAAGCACATATGTGGTCAAACTAAGTTCAAAGGGGTCAGCCACCCCGCTCATGTGTCCCTATGGTTCCTAAAGAAATATAAAGGTTCTAACTCCAGAATCCTGCTGTTTGCCATGATCCTCCACCCCCATTCACAAGAATCTTCGGCACCCCTCCCCATGATCCTCTGGTCCCCCAGTCCACGACCCCAAAGCCCGGGGGGTGGGGTGCAGTGAGGGTGGGTCTCCCTTCTTCAGTTCCTCCTATTGTTCCGCAGAAGTCTTATCTGGGCGCTACATCCTGTACCCCCCTTAGGAATCCCTCCCTATTATCGGCTAAAGGGACCTCGGGCCCACAGGGAGGCTCCAGGTCTCCTCCTCACCCTCCCACCCCAGCAGTCTATTGTCTGTTGAGGAAGCCCAAGTGCACGTGACTGAGCCCAAGGGACGAATGGATACAGTGGACTCGGAGATGCATTAAGGACCCAGGACAGGGCATCTGGACATGGCTGTGTGAATGTTTGGCTCGCTCTGTTCCAGCGGCTCTCCCAGAAGTTGGGAGGGGTGAAGATCCCCTTGGGCTGTCCGCTCTTGGGTCCATGGCTTGAAGAAGAATCCCCTTCTGCTCACTATGAACATGGCTTATGACCTCGCAGAGAGCAAAGATAAGGAGACCCAGAGCCAGGAAAAGGTCTCAGCCCCCAGGATCCTCTCCACCTTCCCATCCTCCCTCAGCTGAACATGGTAGCCTCAGAAGGAAAGGTACATTGGCATTTTGTGCTTTCGTATCTGGGTGTTGGGGGAATGGTGAGAAGTCACACTGCATTGGGCTTTCTGGTGGGGTCTAGACCAGAGGGTGGGTAGGGAAAAAGAAGGGCTGGGTAAAGAGGATACATCAAGAATCTAGGGCTGGCCAGATGCAACGGCTCATGGCTGCAATCCCAGCACTTTGGGAGGGCAAGACTGGTGGATCACTTGAGCCCAGGAGTTCAAGACCCTGGGCTACATAGTGAGACCCTAACTCTACAAAAAAAAAAAGGGAAGAAGAAGAATCTAAGGGCTTTCCAGTGGTTCCATGCCTCAGTCTTTGTCCCTCAACTGCTGCAACTGCAGTTGAGGGACAAAGATAGCAACATCTTTTATCTTACACCCTGTCCCCTTCTCCTTTCACCAGACCCCCTCCTCCAATGGCTGGGGCCAACCGATCTCTTCCATATCACTTCACCCCACCTACCCCCACTACAGCCTCCCCTTCCCTCTGCCAAGACAGCAGCCTCGGTGATATAACAAAACCTTTATTCTCAGAAAACAGGAAAAACAAAATTAAAAAACAAAACCAATAATTTCTATCTGGCCCCTGCCCCAGCCCTCCCACCCACCCACATATCCTCCTTTTGGGGGGACCATGATGCATGCATAGGGATGGGAGCTGAAGGAAACTGTGTTCCTTGGGCAGAAAAAAGTCCTTGGGTCTAGGTGTTCTCCTCCAAGTTGATATCCCTCCCAGCCTTGCCCACCCTCCAGACACACCAAGAAGGAGGAATTCTGGAGCAGTGCCAGAAGGACTGCCCTGAAGCTCCTTGGGGAATAGGCGGCTGAGTCAGCACCACCCCCATGGTTTTCACCAGTTACAGCTCATCTTCATCCAGCTTGGCAAGTCTGGCTTGGCAGGGAGGGGTTTTTGGAGTTGGAGAGACTGGAGGAGAGTCATGGGGAGCCTGGGGGATGTCACCAAGGGCCTGAAGAAAAGATTCAAGTCAGAGGATCAAAAAGGCCAGAAATCTACCCTCACTTCTCTCTTTTCAGTTTAAGTCCCTAGCCAAGCCACCTCCTCTTGCTAGATATCTTAGACTGTCTGAGACTATCAGCTTCTCCAGAGTTAAAATAGAGGGGAGAAGCGTAAGGGATGGGAAGTAGGAAGGACCAGATAAAAGGAAGGAATGATATGGGGAGGGAACTTGGGGTCCCAGAACAAGAGAGGCTCTCCCCTTTTTATCCCTACAATGAGGGAGCTCTATTCGTCATACCTGTTTATCCAGTGGCAAGAGGGCTCTGGCCACCTCCCCTTTGGGTGACAGCAGCAGAGAGGGGAGAGAGCCATTGATGGGTGTGTGTGTGCTGCCCTGGGCCTGATCTCCAAGCTGAATTCTTCCAGGGCTCCCCACTCCAGGCCCTCTTGGCCGCCCCAGGCTGTTGGTCTGGCTCTCCCGTCTCTGGTACTCAATGGGTGACTGCAATGCTGGAGCAAAGAGAGGAACAGAAGGAGGGTTACCGCAGAGACAGGTCTGCTCCCTAGGGCCTGTATCATTCTCCCACTTTGCCCTCCCTCCCTGTCAGCCAATGTCAATTGCTTAGGGCTTTAGGGGATTCTATCAAATTTTGAGCTAGCAGTGGAAAAGGGGATGGGCCATGGTCAGAGGGTAGGTACTGGAGACTGGGCAGTGAGGGATTCAGGAGGTTAAGGGGCTGAGAGAGCACATCGGGAAGAAAGGATGAGAGCTTCACCGTTGAGGAAGTCCCGTTGGCTCTCCAAGATCTGAGCCACATGCTTGATCCAGGCCTGACTGATAGCAGGGTCTGCAGCCTGCAGGACATAGCGCTGGATCCCACCCTCTGGCCCTCTGGAGGTCAGTGCAAAGCGGCAAGGGTCACCTTGGAGGTTCCCCTCCAGTCCCAGGCAGCTCACCTGAATTGGCAGATAGGAGACAGCCCCCAGATTCCTCAGGCCCTCCCTGGCTCCTCTGAGACATCCTCTCAGAGGCCTCATGCCCTCTCTCTCTCCAAGCCCTCCCTCGTGGCCTTCTCCCCACCTTAATGCTGTTCTTGTATACATATCCAGGCTGTGTTCCACCTCTCACTCCTCCTCCCAGGGCTTCACTGAAGATGATGATTTGCTCAAAGAGGAAGACGCGCCTCTCTCGACCTCGGGAAGACAGCAGCCCTCCAGCCTCAGGCTCGGTGACCCAGAAAGTGTCCTGGCCCAAGAGCTTCCCCTGAGCAGTCAGTTTGCCCTGAAACCAAAAGGATAGTGGCCTTGGAAAAAGAACAAGAAAAAGGACAATTCTCTGCTCCTCCCTTCCTCGCCTGACATGCCCAACCAACCATGGGGTCAGCCCCAGGAGAAGACAACTCCCCATAAGGACCTCCTGAATGCTAGGGCTGGGGCAGAAGAGCATCGGGCCTCCAGTTTCTTGCCCTATCTCCGTACCTCAAATCCCCGCAATCTCCCCAGCGTCATCATATCGTTGCAGCGCTTGGGCACAAAGCACATGACCTCCACAGCTTGCTGGGACACAGGTGAGGGAGGCGCATTGTTGGGCGAAGAGAGTCATTATTGGGAAAGAGGCCTCCTCGGCCAGTTGCCTCTTCAGACGGTATCTCAACCCCAACCAGCCTCCCCCTAAAAACCAGACAGCTGTAAACCACCCAAGGGGCTGGGGGAACCCATGAGATACTAGGAGGATAAGGAGCACATGGTGTGTCCTGGAAGATCTGGGGTCCTCACCTCTAGGTCTGCAGTATCCATCCCAGCTCTATTGTAATACTTGAGAAAATCCTAAGACAGAGAGAAGAAATGCTCAGGGAGGTCACGAGGACACCCTTAGAAGCTCTCACATCCTCCCCTGAGGACACCAGTGAGGGCCCTCAGGAAGTCTGGGGGAGCCCTAAGAACCCTGGGGAGATGAATGAGGAAACAGCTGTGCCAGCCAGCTGTGCCCCCAGGAAAAAGGGGGTCCTGACCTTGAGCAGCAGCTGGTATTTCATGATCCGCTGCACAGGTTTGATGAGGAGGTCGTTCAGCTGCAGGCGGTGCCCCAGCTGCTGCCGGAGCTCCTGGGGACAGGGACAGGGTGGTTATGCAGCCTGGAAAGCCCCAGTTCTGTCCTCCTTCCCACCAAGACATCTCAGCTACTGACCTCAAAGTAGCTGTCCCCAAACTCTGACACCACATGCTCTGACTTGGGCTTATTCTGACAGTACACCACATACATATGCAGCCGGCGCTCCTAACAGGGGTAATGTTTAAGAGAGAGCAGGGTGGGCAAGGAGGGAGGACGCATCTCCAGAGAATCCCAGCCCATTCCTAAGCCCCGCCCCAGGCCCTGCCCCCTCAAGCCTCACGTGTTTGATGAATAGCTGAGCCAGCCAATCAGGATCTTTCAGACACCGTTGTAGCTCTTGCAAGAAATAGCTGGAGGGGTTGGTAGAGAAGCAGCAGGTCAAATACATTTCACAACCCCCACCTCGCCCACTCCCAGCAGTTTCGAGCTGTCTGCCCTGGTAGTGTGCCCTACAAAACTTCTCCAAACATTCCTTAAGTCGCAATGGGCTGATGTTAGGATACAGGACAACCAGATGAGGGCCCCTCTCCAGCACCTAGCTGTCAGAGTTCCACCACTCACTCTCGGTGCCACTCATAGATTTGCTGGATATTCCCAAACACAATCCTGTCACGGCCTCGAAGACTCTCGGGGACCCCCTGAGCAGCCATGGTGGCCATATAACCCTGTGGGAAAGTTGAGGTTGGGTCATGAGCATGTGGTGGCCCTCTCCCCACCTTAATGGTGCTCCTGTACACAAATCCAGGGTGTGTTCCACCTCCCCCTCCCTGGTGGGAGCCGCCCTGCCCCCAGAGTAGGAAGGTCCAGGAGTGGGGAGGCTTGAGAGGTGGGACAGAGGAGCGCCCAGGCACCTCCTGAAAATAGCCCTGGGCAGATGGAAAAGCAGGCAGGAGGGGCTGGGAAGGGGTAAAGGGAGCTACCTCCACAATCTGCCCCAAGTCGTCCACGTACATTTTCTCTGTTTCTACCAGTTCACTCAGGACATACCTAGGATGAAAGCAGGAGGAGGCCCCCACTTCAGCGTCGGAGCTCATCCTTGGTTCAGCCCGTTCCTCCCTCCTCCCCTTTATCATCATAGCCAACCTTGGAGGAAATTCCATCTAAAATGTGAGGGACAGTCTTCTGGAAGTTGTGCAACTGCAGGGAAGGGCTGTGGACACTTACATACTCCTTTCCAGAGCCTTCTTCTTCTGTTCCTCCTCACTCTCAGGGGCTTGGGACAAAGTCTCCTCTTCAGGTGGCTGGAAGGAAAGAACATCCTAGGGTGAGCAAACGAATGCCCCTTGAGTGAAAGGAGCCTCCCCAGAGCCTGTCCTCACACCTGCGTCTTATCTCCAGGGCCCTCCAACAGTGTGGTCAGCAAGGTCAGTTCCGGCAGCTCCTCTCCTGTGGCTAGAGCTGGCTCCAACATCCAGTTCTGGGGGCCAGAAATCAAGTGTCAGAGGTCGGGGACAGTAGCTGGGTGGCCCCAACTTGCCCTCTCTGCCAGTGTCCTTCATAGATGTCCCACATGCTTTGGTGCCGTTCCCTGCTCACCTCATATGGTCCTGCCTGACCACTGTCTGCCTCAGTTTCCACACTGAGACAATGTTTGGAATGATCCAACCATCTCCTCAGGCCACTGACGGGCCCTGGGGGGCCTGGGGAACAGGGGCCAGAGCTGAGGCCAGAGCTGGGGCCAGAGGGGGCAGCCAGACCGGAGGCAGCAGAAGCCGATATACTCCCCTCACTGCCCGCAATGGAATAGGATTCTAATGGGAGGAAAAAGAGAGGAGGTGATAGACCTTGCCCCAGCTCCAGACTCAGGGTCCCCAGGGAACTCCCAGGGTCTTCTCTTCATGATGCTCAGCCTCTCTCTCCAAGGGCTCACTCTCTTGCCATCCTCATTTGAGTTGGCCAGGATAGAAAATTTCACCAGGGCACCCCTGGGAGAAAGCACAGTAAGGTAAACGCCTGGCTCTCCAGGCCTGGAACCCCCAGTTACATGTGGAGGTTCCCCATATCCTGAGCATAGCATAGATATGGGGGTGGGGGCAGCCATCTGGGCAGACATTGGAAGCTGGGGGTGGCCATCTGCTCTCCTACAACCCTCCCTCTTTCAATGGGTACAGACCATTCTCTGGGAAGAGGGGAGGATGAGCTGGGTCCATCTGCCACTCCCAGTCCCCTCCTCCACCAATTGCAGTAATCACTATAAAAAGAAAAGACTTCTGCAGCCCACCTCCCCAACACATGCGTAGACCCAATAGAGGAGGCCAGTGAGGAGGGTCCATCAGGGTTATCGTTGGCCTGTGCTCAGCGACAGAGAGCTGTGATTCCTTATAAAGCCCCTTGTAGAACCACCTCATTCTCATTCCTCCATTCTCCTGTCCCTCTTCAGAAGTAGATTCTTAGCAAAAGGTTTGAGGAAAATAATCGGTTCTAGGCCTAAGGGGATTGTGGGTGGGTTTTTCTCAAACCCATTTGACAAAGGGAAAGAGATGAGTTCCCTGCCCCTTCCCCTATTTCCTTAACTTGAACTAACAGAAATTTGGAGGCAGAAGGGACCTTAGGGATCACTTAAGAAACCACTTTCCTGGAAAACACATACAGTCTCCAACCCTAAATCCCAAGGGCCAGGGCAAACAGATGCCCTGAACCCCCAGCCCGCCCCCCACTCAACACTGGACCCTCTCGACCTGGCACTCACCACGTCCCCCCCGGGCGAAGCAGCAGCCGCATTTTGCCAGCACTTTTCGGATCACACGGGGACAGGCACAGCGACCCCCTTTGTGCCCCCCCCGCATGGCGCCCGGGCCCCCCCGCGCCCCCCACCCGGGCCGGCCATGCAGGGGGAATCACGGGGGGCGGGGCGGGGACGGCGCCGGGCGCACACCCCCCCTCCCTCCTACCCCGGTCCAGGCTGTGGGAGGGGGGGAGGGAGGGGACCGGGAGGAGGTGTCCAGGGGTAGGCGGAAGTCTAGTCTTGAGGAGGGCTGGGGGCTCTAGAGAGAGAGAGGCGCGGGGCCCGGCCGCCGGGCTGGGCGGGGAGGGTTTCCGGAACCCTGTCGGTGCGGGGGCCTAGGGTCCAGATGTCCAGTGGAAGGGGGAGGGATGGTAGGGGAGGCTGGGCCGGGATGCGGCAGCCGCTCCAGCTGTCTCCGGCCTCTGGTTAGGGGTGGCTCTAGGCCCGGGCCGGGGAGGAGGCGAGGGCCGACCCCCGAGCCACTGGCGCTGTGCGGGTCCCAGCGGAGCGGAGAGCTGAATAACAGGCCTGGCCGCGGGGCCGCCACGAGGCGGGGCCTCTGCGGCCCAGCTCCGCCCTCTCCATCGCGTTCCCCCTCCTGCCTGCGCCGGGTTCCCGCCCCGATCGCCCCTCCCCCAGACACCACCACGTTCCCACTCCACGTCCCCAGCGCTTTTTCCCCTCCCCAGCCCGTGCTCCCCTGCCCCGGGGTCCCCCTCCCTCTCGCATCCCGGGCTCTGCGGAGCGCTGGGGTCGGGGTTCAGCCTGTCTGCAGGGTCTGCCCAGGTCTCCCCTTGGCCTCTGCGATGAAGGAGGACTCAGTGGATGGGGCCTTGGCCTGTGCGAAGATGTTCTGGGTTTGGGGCTGTCCCCGGCCGAGTGGACAGAGGCCCCCTGGTACGGGGTGCGTGTATGGGGAGTCTTTTGTGGGTGAACACAACCCAGATGCCGCCCTCTCTCAGGACCCTTCTTTCCTCCAGGCCCCGGGACTCCAGCTAAGACTAATCGCCAATTAAGGCGAAGTCCTGGAGCCCGGGCTGGCGAGGGGCCAGGGGTGGGGCGCGGGGACACTCTGCCTGCGAGGGCTCGGGATCGACTGGGATGGGGGACACACATTGGACTCGAAGGCAAGAAGAGTGGAGGTCTCTGCGATTAAATGGGTCTCATGCAAATTAGATGCGAACTTTATGCTAATAAGAATAGAATATTTTTGAATTCGCCACTTGGCGCAGGATAGCAAACTGTGCCCCACCCCACCCCCAGCTTCTTACCGGGCTGCAGAGCCCCGGCGAGGACCTCATGTTCGCGATCCCTTCTGTGATCTCCCTCCGTACGTTCAGACTCTGGCTCGGTACCCACCAACCCTAGAGGGCTTCTCCTTGGGGGCTGCGGGGACAGAACCACTGTAAGGAACCTGCCCTCCTAGGCAGCCCTGACCTCCCCCTTCCCCTTCTCCTACCTGTCAAAACCCACATTGTTATAAAAGGCTCGCCCAGAACGGGGCTATGGCCCTCGTAATAGAATTCATGTATTCCTGCGACTGCCCCGCAGAACTCGTTTTCGGATAAGTTGAGTTGTGGGTGCAGCCCTCCTGAAGGCCCCGAAAGACCCCCGACCCCACCGCGAGCCCCCATTCTTACCCCCTCCTGCCCAGGGAGGGCGCATGCGCGCAGCATGCCCCCCATGACCCCCAGTATCCGGTCAGTGCGGCCAGGGGCGGGGCGGTCCGGGGGCTTCATACTGAACCCCCACCCTGCTCCAAGTTTCAGGGTCGAGGGGGCACTGAAGCTGGGGGGCTTTGAGGCCTGCGCGCGTCCGGGGAGTTGCTGCTGCGGAATCCGCCCCCTGCCCGGCTCCGCCCCCACTCCCACCCCAGCCAAACTTCGCAGAGTGGCTAGGGTTGTTTTCTCTACAACCATAGTTGAACAACAAAAAAACACCCTCTTAATACTAATTCCAACATCGAAGTGACCCAGGGTTTCTCAGTGTTACTACAGAGCCCGCTGGTGCATCCCGTTTCCCCAGGTCCTCAGGAGGCAGAGGGACTGGGAGTGCACGCAGGGATCACCCCATCATCCCCTCTCCCCTTTCCAGCAGGTCCCTCTCCCCACCCCACCCCCACCCAGTCCCTGGAAAAGAACGGGTGTGGCATAAAGAGTTGCATATTTTACTTTATTTTTATTAAATTAAAAGCTACAGTCTGGCAGCGATTCCAGAACAGGGTAAGGAGGTTCCTCACAGGGGTCAGAGAAGAGCGGAGAAAGACAGACTGACGGAGACTGAGACACAGGAGAGAAAGGACAAGGTTAAGGGAGAACTGTATCTGATGAACACACACAGCCGGCTCCATGGCGGGTGACGGGGAGCTCACATCAGCCCAATTTCTCCTCCCCGGCACCCGAAGTTCAGCGGTGGAGCAGTATGTGGGGGCGGTTAGGAATCAAGAGACCCTCCCTTCCCCACCCTAGGTCCTTTCTCGGCTTGGTCGTGGAGCACAGCACATACCAGAAAAAGCCAAGGGCAATGGAGGGGCAGGGAAACCGGGAGTATATGTACACGGGGAGGGGAGAACAGAGCCTTGGAGGTCGGCCTCTGCCAGAAGGGAGTGGCTCACACTGCATTGAAACACTTGGCCAGTGGGGGATGGGGGAAGGGATTGCCCCCTCCCTCTCGGAACTCCCTTCCCAGTCAGACAGGTCCCCTACAGGTGTGGTGTGGGGGGCAGGGGGCAGAGAGGAGAAAGAGGCTTCTGCTGGGTCCTAGTAGAGGCAGACAGCAGGGGCCTTGGCAAAGGCGATGTCCTTCAGTCATCTGTGATACCCTTCGCTCTCAGCTCCTCTTGCACCCGGGTCAGGTAGGTGGGGTCTGGGTACCCAAACCTGGGAGCAAAGAGAAATGAGGGTGAGGGTTGTTAGCTGTTTGAACTTGCTATTATCCCCATGCTCACCCTCATTCTAGGTGGCTCAGACACCTCCCCACCTCCCCTAAGGGAGGACACCTCCAAATCCAAGATAATTTAGCCCAGTTCTGCTTATTTTTGTAGGCTAAGCTGGGCACACCAGGACCAGGTTGAATGTAGGAGAAACTGAGATGGCTGAACAGTTTGGAAGTGGTTCTCTCCAGTTAGGAGGCTCCGTGAGCGAGGGGTTGGTGGGTCCCTCAGTGGAAATGGAACAAAGGGGAGGAGCCAAGGGAAAGGAAATGAAGAGGGGTCGCACAGCTGGGGTCCCCCTGTGCAGCTGGTCTTGTGGTGGATGTCGTTCCAGGTGATGACATTCGGTCTCCCTGTGGTCATGGACGTGCCGATAGTGAAGGTGAGACGCTGGTCAAACGCCTTGCGGAACAGGGTCAGCACCTTGTTGCCCTCAGGGCAGTCCGGGAGGTAGGCCACCCGTGTGGTGCCAGGATACCGAACTCCTGGGTTTGGGTGTTCAGCCTGGGAGGAAGGTGAAGCAGAGTGGGCAGTGAGCAGCCAGGCATCCTAAGGCCCAGATGCCAGAGGAGGGTCATCCAGGCTAGTCTCTGTCTGAGCACCCCCAGCTAATGCGAACGGGGCAGCAACAGGCTGACAGCTTTCCACAGAAGGAGAGATTATACGGCCTCGGCAGCAAGAGCCTGTTTCAGAGCATAATCCTTATGTGTTAAGAGATTTTTTCTGCTGTCTCAATCCCTCAAGTCTCCATTCAGCAACAAATGGATTCTCAGAAGTGATGGAAGTTAGCTGGTCCCTACACTCCAGACAACTCAGCAAAAATGTGAAGACAGAATAATCTATCTTTCAGCCTTCCCTTCACCTGAAAATACTCCTAATGTTTCTGCCACTGTCTAACTTGTTCCATTTTCCATCACTCTTCTGTGCAGCTTCTTCACCCCTCTGCAGCCAGAATTGCACATTACTCTTTGTCCAGCAGGAAGACACCTATAGGCCTTGACTACTCCTGTTTTTACAGAGTGATGCTCCTGGCTCTGTTGGGTTGGTCAGATCCCTTCCTATTGTGCCTCCCTTCCCCTAAGCCACCACCTCCACAGAATTTACCTCTGCCAAGATGTCAGCACAGTATTTGTGTTCATCAAGGAAATAATATGCAATTCCTTCCTCTCATATCTGATTTGCTTTTTTTTTTCCTAGCTCATATCTGATTTTCACGTGTGCCTTGGGATCACAGGGATGGAAAGGCTGGGCCTCACGGGGACCTCCTAGGTCCAGGGCACTGAGTAGGAGGGCACAGTGGAAGACAGCAAGACTGTCTCACATCTAACAAGCACACTCACCCTCACCCGGTTTTCCTAGGTCAGAGCTTGGGGAAAGCCAAAGGGTAAGGGCAGGCCATGGTCTTCTTACCCCCTGGACACCGGGCGGGAAGACGTACTGGATGACAATGGTGCCGTACTTCTCATAGCTGGGCAGTAGGAGGGTGGCGTCCTTAGAGACCAGCATCCGCCCATTCTGGGGCTGGTTGCCCACCAGCTGCCCATAGAAGCGGCCGCACATGGGGCAGGCCTTTTTCACCTGCAGAGCCCGGGTGATGCAGCCCTCGCAGAATGAATGCCGGCACTTCTCCAATGTCTTGGCATTCTGGATCTCCCCCAGACAGATGGGGCAGGTGCTCTCCTGCTCTTCTGCCTCCTCCCGAAGGCGAGGAGGAAGAGGTGGGGGCAGGGGGGGAGGAGGAGGGGGGAGCCCCCGAGCTCCTGGGGGCAGAAGTGGGGCTGCTCGGAGAGGGGGTGGGCCTGCGCGGTGCATCTCAGGGTGCTCCCCTCCACCCCCCAGAGCCAGGCAGCCCATCAGCTCCCCCTGCCTCTGAGCTTTCTTCAGCTCTTTCTCTGCCTCTTTTAGCAGCCCCTTGAGAGCCTTCCGGGCTAGGTAGAGCCCATTTGGAGGGGCCGGGGGAGGACCCTGTGGGGAAAGCTGGAGAACATAGATGTCAGAAGTCTCGCCATCTATGAGGATGGACACACGGTGCTCCTCCCGAAGCCGGGCCAGCCGGGCTGGGGTCTCTTTGCTCAGGAAGTCCCACACGGGCTTGGACACAGTCACTTTGTTCTTGCAGGTGCCTCCACAGGCTGCCATTCTGGACAGGACGAACGACACTGCCCCCAGGGTGAAAGGGACTCAGGGTGGGGGGTCCCCATTTGACAAGTATCAGTGCCTCCTACTTCAGGTTCCTTCCAAACCCTCTATTACCTCTGTTTTCTCAAAGCCTAATCCCCAACCCTTCACCCAAATTCATATTCTGTCTCCCCTTATCTTCCAAACCCAAAACCCACTGAAGAGCAAAAAAGTTTCCAGAGCTATATTATCATCTAAGCCAAGTATCAGTCTTGTTTCTCCTGTCATTTCTCCCAGATCATAGAAACAACTTGCCCCTCCCACCTCTTGGGGAAAAATGGGCTGTTTAAAGGGGAGGGAGACTCTTTGCCCCTCCTTTTTGCTTACTTTGATCCTGAAGAGCTTAGAATTGGCATGCAGGCTCACTCTTCTTTCCCTGCTCCCTACTTGTAGGTCGTGTGACCTGGTAGGGCGGAAAAATGGAAGGAAAGTGAGAAACCCCTTCTCCCAATTCCCATGGCCCCCAACCCAGCAGCCCATGGAACAGAGACAGAAACCTGGGTATAGGTTACTAAGAATGGCATTACTTGGAACATGGAATGAAGGAAACCAGTTTAAGGGTGAAAATTGAGGATCCCTTGCGGGGGAGATACCTGGAAAGCCCATGGAAGATGATGGCAGCAGAAATCCTTCTATTTCCACTCAGCTGACCAGGACTGGGAGTGGGGGAAGGGTAAAAAGTTATGATGGCAAATGTTACCATTCCCCTCAGCCAACCCAGAAATAAAAACTCCCCTTCCATCTCCTCTCTTCTCTGCAGAATTCCATTATCAGCTTCTCCCCAAGTTGCTCAAGAAGGAACTTCAACATGCTAACCTTCCTCCTTTCTTCCCCAGCTCTGAGGCCCCCAAGAAAGCCTAGGGCACACATAAGAGAAGTCAGGAAAGAAAACGCCCACACAGGTGGAGGTCTTCTTGCCACCTCCCTCAGATCACATGGACCGGAATATTTCCTATGCTCCCCAACTCCTCGCCTGCTCCACATTGCCAAATAATTCAGCCCCTATTGCCAGGGAGCCTTCCTTGAGAGCTAACTCAGTCCCTTCTGCTGAAGTCTGTTAAGGATGTGAACAAAGTGGCAGCAGCCCCTGCAATAACAAAGTTCTCATTGTCACCTTTTAAACCCAGCACAGGCAGTGCTGTCTGTCAGCTCCCAAGTCTGGCATTTAGGGAGGGGCGGGGCTCACACAAGGGCTCAGCTGGAGGGGCCTGATGTTTTCCCTGAGTCTGGTCGCATTGGGCTACGGGGCTGTCTCCACAACACTTCCAAATGCAGCTCAAACAGAAAGAAGGGCCATTAGTGTGACCTCCATTTATTGACTGATCCAAGAAGGAGCAGCTGTCCCTTCATGCCTCCATCATCGTCCCCCAAGGCCAGATGCACCTCGAGATTCATAAGTGAAAATGGAACCCTAGAGTCTCAGCCCATACAGTCTATCCGCGATGCAACACTTCTCTCCCCATCACGGGGGACCCAGGACCTAGGTGTCCTAGGTCCAAGTCCTGCTGGCACAGAAAAGGGAGGCGGGGCCCCAGTTTAGGGTGGGTCTGTGATTCCTCTGTGGCAACCCAGGCCGGACAAGGAACCAGTCTCTCCCTCCAGACAGAGGCCAGAGGGAGGCACAGCCCGGATGGGCAAGGGTCCCTGGGGGCATCCACTGAAGCAGCTCCCGCCCTCCCCCCACGGCCTCCTCCAAGACCCGACCCGGAACCAACTCCCCACATCCCTCAGTAGCCAAAGCCCCCGGATCCCCACCGCCGGGTGGGGGTGCATGTCGGCCCGATCGCAGCCCTCAGAACCCCCGAATGGAGGCCAAGGCTGGAGGGTGCTAGAAAGATGATCGGCCGGGCACGGAGCGGGGAGCCCGGAGCCGCGCGCGGGGAGGGGAGGTGGAGGAGGGGGCGCCGGGGGAGCGGGGGGCGCGTGAGGGGTGCGAGCGGGGCCCGGGGGGCGCGCGGTGGGTGTGGGGGGCGCCGGGCTCACCTACCTCTCGTCAGCGCCGCCATTGCCGGTCACATGACTGAGGCTGTTGCTGGGATGACGGTCCGGGCCTTAGCAACAAGGAGGGGGAGACCCCGAAAGGTGGGGGATTGCAGGGGGTGCAGGCTGAGGAAAAGGGAAGGAGGGAGGACAGCACCCCCTTTCCCCTCACAGGTGATAATCACCGTTCCTTTGACCCCCTTCTATCCGCAAGCCCCTGCCCTTCCTCCCCAAAACAAAAATGGAGGCGCTGTCCCAGTCTTTGGAGGGAGGGGGTGGCGTCATGGAACTGAGGGTAGGAGGTTAAATCCCTGGAGACGCCACCCTACTCGCTCCCCGCTCCCGGCGGAGCACTCTCCCTTTTCTTTCCCAGCCAGCTGCGTAGCAGCTCCCAGGAGCTGGTGGTGGATGGGTGGGTGAAGTGTTGGTGGGTATATGGGGATTCGGGGGGAGGGCGGCAATTTTTTGAATCCTTATGGTAGAAGGGCCTTTGAGGAACAATGTGGGATGGGAAGAGTCATAGTAAAAAGAAAAGCATTGGCTCTAAAAAATAAACAAATCCGGGTACTAAACTATTTCAATCCCCTCCCTCATCTCCTGCCTCTTTCTAGATTGTTACCTCCTATGACCCCCACAACCTGCTCTCAGATGATCATTGGTCAGTGCCTCTGATTTTTCTTTCCACAAACAGGGATATGGAGGCTGGTGCAGAATGGGAAGCGAATACATTTTTTAAAAAGTGGCTCGAGGTGGTGGTGGTGTCAAGTGTATGGTTCAAATAGAGTTAAAAACTCTCAAAGAAGAAAAAAAAAAAGCTCTGCTCTGCTTCCCACATCAAGCAGTCTCCGCCCAATCCAACTCACTTCCCTGGGGCCACATCAAGCCAGGTTTTTCCACCAGCCAAAAGACTTCCTCAGCCAAGACAGGCAGGAATCTCCCAAACTGGCAACAACCTCTATTCATCCACCCCTTTTTCACTCCCCCCTCTAGACTGGAGGGCTAGTCACTTTCTTCACTTTCCCAGGACCCTGCTGTACTCTTCCTTCCCTCCAGGAAGAGGACAGCTTTCCCAGGAAGCCTGGGGGAATACTAGATTCCTTTTCTTTTAGCTGGTGGGCTGAGAGGCCTACTCACCTTTACAAAGATGGAGTGTTAGCAAGCCCAGAACTCTGGGAAGAGGAAGGGTCCCATCACCCTACTCTTCCCTGGCCCTCACTACCGCTGACCTCCCACAAGGTTAAAGACTAAGTTTTCCATTCCCGTGCACACCCTTCACAGCCTTTTTAAAAAAGTTCACAGCCATCTGTCTAGAAACCCACATCCTTAGTTAGGGGCCCAACACCTTGAACACCAGAATTCTTCAGCTGGTCTCTGCACCCTTAAACACAGGCTCCCTGAGAGAAGTGAAATTTAAAAAAAAAAAAAAAAAGGCATTTCTGTACAGAAATTTGGATTGAATAATTTATTCCCTGTATTATTATAGTAACAGGAGCAAATACATAAATTTTTATTAATAAAACAAAAAAGATGAAAAACAGAAGCAACAAATGAAGACATCCATACTGCCCATAACACATCAGCCATATGATCAGAAAACCCATTTCTAAAGAGCAATGGTTGCTGGTGTCACAGAGTTTTATTGCATTCATCGGGGGAAAGGGAGATGGTTGGAATGAAAAAGATCCATCAGTCTTCTGACAGGAAGATGTTATATGGGGGCTCCAACCCCTAACTGGGTACTCCTCTTGCTACCACCTTTGGAGCAGAAGATGAAGGGGAGAGGGAGCTTCTCCCTATGGCCTCATGGCTTCTTGTGAGACAGATCAGTCCAGCCAGATACAGAGCAAAGCAGCTTTGCATCACCACAGGCCAGTTGCTGATGCCCAGCTTTATGTCTAAAAAAAAAAAAAGTGGAAGCCTCAAGGGGGATGGAGGATAGCAAGAAGAATGGGTGCCTTGGCCCCAGAGGCATTGTAGGGAGAGGAAGACAATGTATCTCATCAGGGTTCTCAACATTATGAGATTATCACACATCAACTATCTTTGGAGGGGCTGAGTGATTGAGTTATGGCTCTGACTCCTCTCTGGGGGTGGAGAGTGAAGATGACAAAGAAGGCCATCTGTCCCCTAGGAGACACAGTTGCAGTATAAGACAGGACAGAAGAGAACAGAAAAACAAATCCAACTGGAAAAAGGGGTGGGAGAAGGAAGTGTGCTAGGTACACACATCCAGGGAGTAGGGGAAGTTCCCACACTTGAGGCCTCCATCCTCTTGAAATGACCAGAATTGATCCAAGTAGAGATATTCCTTTCTTCTGGAAATAAACCTTGGGGATGGCTAGGCAGGATGAAAGGAAACTTTACATGGAGAATGAATCCTACACCCTGGCCCATCATTCCAGCCTCCAAAACTGGCCACACACCCACTGAAGGGTTCCAGTCCCAGGAGAGGTGTGAGGTTCTGGTGAAGAGCAGCAATAGTCAAACATCTTCCCCCAGGCTTGAATGCTTTTGGCCATCTCTGGGTTGCTGTGCCCAGATGTAGAGATGGGTGGAGATGGAATTGAGGTAAGGGAAGAGATTACTCAATCTATGACAGAGACCCAATCCAATTCTCTGCATAATCATGAGTCCTCTTAGGTCCCACCTCTGTGAGGTGCCAGGCTGCTGACCCACTCTCTACCCCACCTGTGTAGGAATGGCCATATTCCATCGTGTGTGTGCATGCCTGCACCCACATCTGTAGTATCTTGAGTGTCATCCATCCTAGGGCCCACCAGGAGGGAAGCATGCCATAGTGAGTTTTATAAAGTTATCAGCAAAATTCAGACACTTTTAGTTCATCCCACACAGCAAAGTGCATCCAGAGTAGTTGCTTGAGCCAGGTCCATCTGTCCAGTCAGGTCCTGAAGAAGGCAAACAACCCCCTTCCCCTAGCTCCTATATCATAGAAACAACAGGAGATATTACAAAGATCAAGGCACTTGGGAGAGAGTCAACAATAACATTCTAATACTACAAGCAGACTTCTCATGGGGAGGAAGAGAGGGAAGAAAAATGGGCAAAGAGGAAAAAGGACAATGTATTTCTGAGGGTCAGAAAGAGCCTACTCGACAGGATGGAGTTATCTGGATGGAAGGAGCCTGCAGCCTGAATTTAGCAAAGGAAGAAGAGAACTGGTGGCTAGAATATCCCCACAATTCCCCCAAGTGTCTCAGAACCCCACCACCTTGAACATCAGAGAGAACCAGGCAGTCTCTTAGGCAAAGATGTTGGTAATAAAATCCAGGAATCGCTTAGCATACTGCTCCGGATGGACAGTAGAGATCTCTGCCCCAGCCTGTGAGAGGAGATACGGAACAATATGTCAGGCCACCCTAGCACCCGTCCCCATCACCCCCACCCAATCTACCCCAGACCACCTCCATTCTTTTGCCACCCCATTGCTCTGGCACAAGAGACTCTATTCCCAAAGAATAGTCAAGACAGGAAAGGAAAGGCTTTTGCGAACTCTCACCCCATGCTTGACAGTTTTGGCTGCATGAGCTGCTTTCTTCTTAGCATCATACTGTGTAAGGATATCAATGAGGCCCATGAAGTAGACCTCCTTCTGGGGGGCTCCTGGGAGAGAGACCAACAATTCAGAGTAGGTTTAGTTCCAATTCCCTTTCTCCAGGAAGCAGTCAGTTTTGTTCTGAAAAGCTAATCAGGCTCTCCCCCAGCACTCTGGTCTCTGTCCTCCAGGAAAAATCCCCTCTCCACCCTTAAATTGTCCCGGTTCTCTCACCTTCAGCACTCCGGATGGCATAGACATCAATGAAGGACTCAAACTCTCCTGGGCCCAGGGGCCGATGGGAATGGATGTAGCCTCCGATACCCTCTGGGGAGGTGCCATAGGAGCCCACCAGAGCAGGAGGTCCAGTCAGGCTGCAGTCCCCATCCACCTCTGACTCATCCTCCCGCACGGGCGCTTCCTCCTCTGGTTCAGAGCCCCGAATGATGTCGTGGATGCCTAGCAGAAGGCTGTAGTCCATGATCTTCAGCTGCACTAGAAACTGAGACCCACTGACAAATCAGACACCTCTCTCTCACTCTTCACTGCTAGGTATCACCCCTGTACCTGTACCTTTGAATTTCTGGGGCCCTTCTGGGGAAAGGAAGTATAAAAATTGAGGTTGCAGGGCATACCACTGCCTTTAGTGCCTATATGTCCTAGTATCTAAGATCATCCTTTTAGCTTATTCCAGCCACCCCTTCCACGGGTCAGCTCCAGGGGTTTTTCATGTCTCATACTAAACCCCCATATAGGCAGAGGACCTGAAGAATAAAGGGAAGGGGAGGAGCTCCCTCATACCGTGAATGAAAGAGACAACTACCCTCTAGGGAGCAAAAAAAGGAAAGCCATTTCCCAGAGCACCCAATCATCACCTCCACATCTCTCTTCAGCTTCTCCAGAAATATTTTCTTCTCCTCTTCACCAATATATACTTTCTGGTTCTTGTTGAGAAAGTCCATATCCTTAAGGGTGGGCAATTCTTTAACCTAAGAATATGTAAAGGGACATCTTGGGAACATATCCCTTCCCCAAGGTCTCAGAACCCCACCTTCTGTCTAGGGCTCTATGCTAGCTCAGTTAGATCTCATCTAACTCCACACTGTGATGCTTCCCTGGTCTGTTCTCACCTCCAGTGACTTCCACAGACTCAGTCACTACAGCTGTATCCCAAATCACATCCCACTACTCTCTGCTTATGGTTTTTAGCCAAGACCCTCCAGGCTGACTTTTCTTTCTCCTCTTTTTTTTTTTTTTTTTTTTTGAGATAGGATCTCGATCACTCTGTTGCCCAGGCTGGAATGTAAGTGGTGTGATCTCAGCTCACTGTAGCCGCGACCTCCTGGACTCAAGTGATTCTCCCACCTCAGCCTCCCAAGTAGCTGGGACTACAGGCGCGTGCCACCACGCCCGGCTAATTTTTGTGTTTTTGGTAGAGATTACGTTGCTCAGGCTGGTCTGGAACTCCTGGGCTCAAGCAGTCCTGCCTTGGCCTTCTAAAGTGCTGGGATTACATGCATAAGCCACCATGCCCGGCCTGTGTCTTCTTAAGCAAAAGTAGCTGCTTGAATAAAATAACCCAGAATGGGAAGTGGAAGTTAAACACTTTGCTCTTCAAGTCTGGCAACCTCACCCATCCCCAAGCCTTCCATATGGAATAACCCATGCCAGTGTTAAAGCAGCTGCTCCCACTGCCCCTTCCAAACAATCCCCGGATCAACAGAAGTTTACCCCCTTCTTTTAAGTGGTTTAAGATAATAAATAGCTAGTAATCCCTATTCCTATATAGAGTGGCCTCTCCATCCTAAGAAGTTCCCCTCATCTGCCCTCCCTCATCCCTCATCCCTCACCCTAGCACATAAAATTACTATCACCTTTTCCTTATCGCTGGCTTCCCGGGACACTAGGGAACCCTGCAGAAAGACCCAAACACCAAGTCAGTAGAAGTGGCTAAAAGAACAGTCAGAACCCAGCCCCTAAGATGAGTACTCAAACCCAGCCTTCTTTCCCTTAAAAGGAATCATCCAAAGACCTCCCAGGGTCTTCCCCATTCTCAGGCTATCAGGAGCCTCCCTCTAAGTCCGAGCTACCCTCTTCTTACCTTGAGGTCATACTTCCTGTGCACAGGAAGACGGTGGCTAAACATATTGCGCATCACAAGCATGTAGCTGTCTTCGTTGTCCACACTGACTCGGTACATCCCCAGGAACTGGGGCAGAAGCGTGTTGCCATGGCACTTCACAATGTACTACAGTGAAAGAGGGGGAAGGAATGGGGAGAGGCTGAGTAGCAGATACACAAACAGCCCAGGGAAGTTCAAACACTGCCATTCCAGGGTAGAGCAGAGGACTTCAAGTAGAGAGATTACAAAGTCAAAAGTGGTGGAAGCTTCCCCAAAACACTCCAGGTTATCCATGCCGTTTCTGAATCCCCCTTTCCTCTGATTCCTTCCATTTGTACATCTCTTAATTTTTAAGTGTCATCTCTCAATTCACCTTTATCATTCTTTGAGATGAGGAAGGTTAAGTGTTATTATCCTTATTTTAGACCCTTTCTATATGCAAGTGGCACAGAACCAGGATTACAACTTATATCTTATCAATGAAATCATTTTATCTAGAGCAGTGTTTCTTCATAGGCTAGATTCCCATAATTTAAAATGTCTGCATTGGGTTGGGCTGTGCTGTGTCATTCTGTCACTGTAATATAAATACAGATTTTTATACCTAAAAAAAAAAAAAAGTCTGCATGATGGCCTACAATTTGGATTTTTTTTTTTTTTTTTTTTGGAGATGGAGTCTCACTCTGTTGCCCAGGCTGAAGTGCAGTGGCACAATCTAGGCTCACTGTAACCCCCGCCTCCTCCCAGGTTCAAGCAATTCTCCTGCCTCAGCCTCCCGAGTAGCTGGGAGTACAGGCGCACACCACCACGCTCAGCTAATTTTTTGTATTTTAGTAGAAGCGGGGTTTCACTGTGTTACCCAGGCTGGTCTCGAACTCCTGAACTCAGGCAATCTGCCCACCTCGGCCTCCCAAAGTGCTAGGATTACAAGCGTGAGCCACTGCACCCGGCCTACAATTTGGATTCTTTTTTAAAAATTCTCCTGTTAAGCCAGGCTCACACCTGTAATCCCAGCTACTTGGGAGGTTGAGGCAGGAGGATCGCTTGAGCCCAGGAGTTTGAGACCAGCCCGGGGAACACAGTGAGATCCTGTCTCTAAAAAACAAAAATTACTCCTTCAGTGCTTACCATCTCTCTTTCTGTGTTGCTGCCTCTTTCTCTTCACAGCCAACCTTCTCAGGAAAGTAATCAGCAAGAAATCCATTTCCTGTCTCTCATTCACACGTTGAATCACTGAAATCAGGTTTATACCTCATTTCTCCTCTGAAATCTCCCCCATATCCCTCAGTTGTCAAATCTAGTAAGTATTCTAGTCATTGTCATATTTCAGCTTTGTGGCACTTGATCCTATTGACCAGTCTCTCCTTAAAAGTCTCCTCATCCTCAGCTCTTATTATACCACCCTCCTGATTCCCCTCCTCTCTGTCGTCGAATCCCGTATGGAATGTAGCATGGCATAAATAATTAAAAGTGTCCATCTACTCTTAGTTTCCTTTATGGGCTCATTTCTTCACTTGTTCCTTTAGGTTCTGTCCTCAACCTTCTTTTCATTTCACTGCACACAACCTCCCTACAATAATCGTATCTATAGCCATGGTTTTAATGATCACTTACTCACATATAATTCTCAAACCTATACTCCCAGTCTAATCCTCTTTCCTGAATTCTGTACACATACCCCAACCACTTACTGGACATCCTCATCTGGATGAATTGCAGAAACCTCAAATTCAGTATGTCCAAATCAGAACTTTCTTCCTCCAAAAACCTGTTCCTCTGTTTCTAATTTCTGGTGAATAGGCACCCAGTTATCCCTAACCAGGAACTTGGAGGCCCCTGTGTCTTAACTCTCAGTTCTCCCATAGGTCTTCCTTTCTATCCCCACCACCATCGCTCCCCCAGGCCTTCATTGTTTCTACCCTGGACTATTAAAATTACCTCCTAACTGGTATCCACCCTTCCAGTGTTCCCTCCCACCAATCCATTCTCTAAAACGCTGTCACATTTTCTAAATATTTCTAAATAACAAATATATCACGCCCCTTGCAAAACCACCTTCAGGATAAAGTCCAAACTTCTTTGTGGGGCTTATAAGCCTCTTTACAATCTGGCTCCTGCCTATTTCCACAGTACTACATCCCATCCAAATGGAATTTCTTGCTGTTTTCTAACACCAAGTTCTCTCATGGCTCTGTGCCTTACAAGTGCTGTTTTCCTTTGCCTAGAATGCTCTTCCACCCTGTCCAATGGTTAACCTCTACTAGTCCTTCAAGGATCAACTCTTACAGTATCTCCTCTAAAAAACTCTCTTTAGCCTCCCAGGTGCATTTCCTTCCCCAGGTGAGTTCGGATGCTCTTCACTAGCTTCAGAATATTCTGTACAGACTTCTACTATTGTATATATCTTGCGGTGTGCTAATACTGGGTCACTGGTCACTGCCATCAGACCAAGGGATCTGTAAGGGCCACAGATGTTTCATTTACCTCCTACTCTACTGCCTAACATAGGGCCTAATAAGAGGTATTCAATATTTGTTGCATAAACCAAAGACTCCTTTTGGACTCTGATGTATTCCTTGCTCACTGATTTTGGTGAAATTTTTCTTCAGTAGAGATGTTCAAGAAGAGTGTTTTTACTGCCAAAACATTCCATAAACTCCACATTCCAAGTAAATCTTTTTTTTTTTAATCTTTTTTTTTTTTTTTAGGCGGAGTTTTGCTCTTGTTGCCCAGGCTGAAGTGCAAATGCACGATCTCGGCTCACTACAACCTCCGCTTCCCGGGTTCAAGTGATTCTCCTGCGTTAGCCTCCTGAGCAGCTGGGATTACAGGCATGAGCCATCATGCCCAGCTAATTTTGTACTTTTAGTAGAGACGGGGTTTCTCCATGTTGGTCAGACTGGTCTCGAACTCCCGACCTCAGGTGATCCTCCCGCCTCAGCCTCCCAAAGTGCTGGGACTACAGGTGTGAGCCACTGCCCCCAGCCTGTAAATCTTATCAGACAGAATAGCTTCCCTCATCCCATTTAGGGCTGGATATGATTATGGATTCTCTCTTCCAATGAGTTTTCTCCCCAGTTGGCATCTATTACTGACAATAGCTGAGCTATATGTGAGTAGGGAGGAGAGGGAAAGAATGGGGCTAGAGAGAGGCCTGACCTGGTGATAGTTGGAGAGGTTGCTATGCATGTCAGCAATGTCCTCACTGGATACTTCTTTGATGACCAGAGTCCGATCGTAGGAGATAAGGAAGCGACCATCACTGCCTTCACTTTCGCTGGGGGGGTTTCGGGTAAGGGACACCTGGGGACACAGAATAGGCCAGAGCTCTTTTCCTCCCTCTTTATATGCAGAAACAAGTCATAGGAAAATGGTCAGCTGAAAGTGGATGAATCCCTGGGGTAGGAGATTCAGCACAGTTCCTCATCAGGTGTCCATATGTGGACTGAAGGAAACTGAATGCAAAATTCTTTTTTTTTTTTTTTTTTGACAAGGAGTCTCGCTCTGTCACCCAGGCTGGAGTGTAGTGGTACGATCTCAGCTCATTGCAACCTTCGCCTCCCAAGTTCAGGTGATTCTCCTGCCTCAGCCTCCCAAGTAGCGGGGACTAGACGTGCGCCACCACACCTGGCTAATTTTCATATCTTTAGTAGAGACAGGGTTTTGCCATGTTGGCCAGGATGGTCTCGAACTCCTGACCTCAGGTGATCTGCCCGCCTCGGCCTCCCAAAGTGTTGGGATTACAGGCGTGAGCCACAGCGCCTGGCCAAAATTCTTAATGTATCTACATCTTTTCCCCCAAGGACAAGGTTTATAATTTTCATTAAATTTTTGAAAATGCTGCAATCACAAAAAGGTAAAGAATTATATTTGCCAAGACTCTCATTTCTCCAAATATGGCTGTCCCAAATAGTACTCCTCAGTTGCTGGGGAGAAAGGGCTACCCTCACCCCTTAATGGACTCTCACCAAGTAATCTTGGTCATCAATGCCAAATCGATCACGGAGGTTCCTGAAGACCTGGGGACAATACTCCTTGAACTTGAAATGACTGGGCAGATTTTCCCTGAAATTCAGGTTTTCAAAGTAAGAAAACAAACAATATTACATTTACATACACTTGGTAGTTTATAAAGTACCTTCAGACATATTACCTCATTTGATTCTCATAAAACCCTGTGAGGTCCTTTTTTTTTAATTTTTATTTGTTATTATTATTTTTTGAGACAGAGTCTCACTCTGTTGCCAGGTTGGACTGCAGTGGTGCAATCTCGGCTCACCACAACCTCCATCCCCCGGGTTCAAGCAATTCTCCTGCCTCAGCCTCCCAAGTAGCTGGGACTACAGGCATGCGCCACCATGCCTGGCTAATTTTTTGTATTTTTAGTAGAGATAGGGTTTTGCCATGTTTGCAGGCTGGTCTCGAACTCCTGACCTCAAGTGATCCACCCGCCTTGGCCTCCCAAACTGCTGGGATTACAGGCATGAGCCACCACGCCTGGCCCTTGTGAGGTCCTATAAAAACATATTATTTCCATTTTATAGAAGAGGAGACTGTCTCAGAGTGATTCAGTGACCTGCCTAAGTAACATGGTTGGTAAGTGGTATAGTAGAGCCAGGATCTACTACCCATCCAAACAGCAGCATTTCCCAAATCTCAAGCAAGTCAGAAGCATTCTAAAGTCAGCAACAGACACCACTGTTTTGAATGGCATCTTCTTTTCCTAGGAGGGCTTAGTAGAGAATTCAAGTTTTTCTTTCAAGGAGTCCCTGTCAGAAGCTAATGGTTCTCATGGCATCTCCAAGGTCACAAGCAGAAAAAGAGAGAAAGAGCAGGTAATGGTATCTGTACATATTTACTCTATGGAATTGCCAGGCTAGAGGAGAGATAACACTGATTCATATAAGGATATAGGGAACACCAGAAATTATTCTCATGGTTTCCTTGCACAAAACTAATTTCTGCATTTGGGAAGGATGTTAAATTTTCAACTCACTGAAACTTTTAAAATTATTTATTACTCCTTTCTGGGAAGGTTGACATGAGAATGGCAAGGATCATCACTTACCTGTGGAAAAGGTGATTGTTGACCTTGATCTTGGAGCTGGCCTTAAAGTCATCTGGCAGCAGCATCACCGGGGGAGGCACCTGGCTGAGCTCATTGATCTGATAAGCCAAACCATGAATAGGGAAGCCATGAAGAAGGGTGTGGAGAGCTACCCATACACTGTGTCTGGGCAGCAGTCATGCAAGGGCCACTCAGACCTCATTCCTTTAAAAACACTGGCTATGCATATGCTTGACAGAAGTGAGAGAATGTGTCTAACCCTTCTGCTGCCCAAGAAGGACTACAGTAAGCAACCCTCACACACAGCCCCCAACACGCCCACCCCCATGGAACTTCATGCTCACAACAGTCATTTTATATTAGGCTAACCCTGTAAGCAACTCAGGACTATTTTTAAAGCTGTGAGAAATTCTAGAAAAAAAAAAAAAAAAAAAAAAAAAAAAAAAACTCTGCAAGCTCAAGGCAGCTACATGTTCCATTAGAAAAAGAAAAAAAAAGGCATTTTAAAAATGCACAAGAGTGTTAATGGGATTCTGTGGGGCCAACCACAGCAAAAAGGATAAATGTCCATATCCTGCAAAAGGCATCTCTTTGCAAACAGGACCAGTCTTCCTAGACCACTCTGACCCAGTTGTTTGCAGTAGGCCCCCACCTGTCTAAGGTGTAAGGTAAAGGAAGAGCAGCTGATTTCAGAGCGAATGCAGGCAATCAGAGGATATGAGCTCATTAGGCGTCTGTTCCCTAAAGCCAAACTAATCCACAGCCCAAAGGACACAAGCATCACATGCTCTCCTCGGCCCCCAGGATCTGCAGTCTGCTAATTCAGGGTAGAAAGGGAGCTCTAGTACTTAAAAATCCTGAGCCGTGCTTTCTCCTTGGTGTTGCTACAGTACCTTTCACCTGCCTTTGTTACTGCATGACTCTAATCACTAGTTTATGTAAGTTCTCCCATCTAGATTGTGAGCTCTTCAAGAACAAGGGCTCATTCTAGTCGTCTGCATCTTTCAGGTGTCTAACTAGCACAATGTTTGGCACACAGTGATCCTGACATGTCTATTAATTGAATAAATGAATGCCTTGCCTATCCTTACTAGATCATTCCACAGAGGCTATGAACTGCAGTCTAACCTAAATCACACACACTGCAGTGCAACCAACTCCTCCCGTTCTCAGTAGAAAAGGAGGACAGAACATATCCCTCCAGATTAAAAAAAAAAAAAAAGCCACTTGAGACTCCCAGCCTAAAATTCAGCTATAGCTCCTCCTGCCCCCTCCTCCCCACCTGCTAAGCAAGCTGAATCATCACTAAGACATATGTTCAAGGAATTTCTCCATTCCAAACACTTGAAGTAGATGTGTGTTGGCAGAGGGTGGGGTGCTGGGGCTAAAGTATATATACCTAGTGAAGCTGAGGTAGGTCTTACATGTAACTCCCCCAATCCTTAACAAGGGAAAACCCTCCCTGTTAAGCATCCCACAGGGAATGGATGAATCACCTGGAAGGTACATATGAGAGGCAGCCCTACCTCCATCAGCCTTCCCCATACCAAGTGCCTTCCACTGAATACTCACTAAGAGCTTACCACCCAGAGAGCCACAAATCCAAAAGAGATCCGACTGGCCACAAACAACATTCTTAATTTTTGGTTAAGAAATTCTTTACCACAAATTAAAAATGTGACAAAACGCGTATTCTTCCTCACAACTTCCATCTCCACAGCCTAGCCATGACTATATTCAAGAACGCTGATTTCGAAAATATTCCGTGTCACATTCAAGATAACTGCATTTCTCCCACTCCAGACCTGACGGAAGATGGGCAATGGCTGTGCTTCTTTCAGCTGAGGTATCCTCAGGAAAGGGGATGGAGGTCTCCTTGGCCTCCTCCTGACTCCCAGAGCAGTTTCCTGCTTCAAAAGTTCACCACCATAGTGACCTCAGGAACAGAGCCCCTCAGCCTTCTCTTTGGTCAACAATCGCCACCACCTACACCAAACACGATCGCTCTAGCCAGCGATAAGGATGCAGTTAAGACCAAAGGCATATATACATAAGTCCTGAGAGTGTGCAACTTCTAGCTCAGGGTGGGGTAGCTTCTCTAAAATGCTGTACCTCTGGAAGGGAAAGGAAGGGACAAGCAGGATTAGAAAGCCCAGGAAACCTGGAGCTTCCCCGAGACAAAACCAAGATTCAAAAGCCAAGGACCGGGGCTGGGAAGCAAGGTGGAAAGCAAAGTGAAAGAACCTTTTCATCCATCTACTCCCCTCGGCCCCTCACCCTCCACCTACACTCTCACCAACAACCACCCGAGAAAAAGCCACTCCCCCTAATGTCCTCCCCGCTTGCGCCCGGTCCTGGCCAGTCCGCGTAGCCTGAGGCTGAAGCTAGACATGGCAGGAAGGAGTCAAAGCACAGGGAGCTGGATTTCACGGGGGGAAGGTGGAACTAGAGTGGAGCAGTAAAGAACTGTTGGGGAGAAAAAAGTCCACAGTCAGAAAACCTGCTGGGGGAACACCTGGGGTTGGTGGGCAGGGACCAAGACAACCCGGGGGAGGGGAGTGGCACTGCGTGGGGCTCCGGAGGCTGGAGCCTGGAAACAGGGACGCCTCGGAGCCGAGGGGTTTGGACAGGGCTGCGGGGGTCTAGGGCTGGTTCTCACCGAGTGGGCTACGCCCCACAGGAACACACCCACCAGCGGGTCGGCCGCCCGGAACACCTTCACCTTCTGCTGCACGAAATGCTTCTTCTTGGTCTTGGAGGCGAAGCCGAAACCTGGGCCGGGGCCTGCTGTCGCCGCCGATACCGTGGCTGGTGGGACCGAGGAGGACGCCATAGTCTCCCGCGCAACCGACCAAGTGGAAGCCGGAGCCGGCAGCTATCCAGGCGCCCGACCCCGGAAGCGGCGCTCACCTGCGCTGCTGTCACGTGACCGGAGGCCGGACAGCGGACGCGCGAACAGGGCGAGGCAGGACGGGGCGGGGCGACGCTGGCCCCGCCCCCCGGCGCCTGCCTGCCTGCCCCAATGTCCGCTCAGTGTGTGGGCTCACCTGGCGTGCGGGATCCCTGTAAGCTGACGAAGCAAGCGGCCCGCGAGGCCCCTCGAACTGTCAACTAGGAGACCGTGGTGCGGCCTGGGCTGGCCTGATTGACTCCCAAGGTCTAGGGCTTCTTTGCTGCAAAGTGGCCGCCTTCCGGCTTTGCCCAGTTTCTAATGAGTAACCTCGGACCTGATGCTAATGCGAAAGCATTCTTACCGAATGGGGGTTGGGAAGGGGAGGGTTTTGGAAACCCAAAATTCTTACCAGTGGTCTCAAGCGTCTTGAAATTCATTCATTCATTTAACAAGTATTTATTGTGCACTTAGTTGTACTAGGTCCTGTTCTAGGGGCTGATTTTCCTTTTATTGAAGCAGGGTATAGGACAGTGACTGCCCCGAAGTAGTTGGGAGTCTAATGGCACTGGCTGGCCAATGGAGATCAAGTTTGCAGTATGCAAAGTATGAGCTATCCTAGAACTGTGTATGAAGCAAAGACAATGATACAAAGAAAGGAAGTGTAGCTGGTCAGGGAAGGCTTCAAAGAGGATAGAGACTTTACTGAGTTTGGAAGGGTGGGTGGAGTTCAGGAATAGAGGTTAAAAGGCTGTCTAGACAAAGAGAACAGCATACAAAGACATGGAGACAAGAAAGAACGAAGCCGGGCGCGGTGACTCACGCCTGTAATCCCAGCACTTTGGGAGGCCGAGGCGGGAGGATCACCTGAGGTTGGGAGTTCAAGACCAGCCTGGCCAACATGGTGAAACCTCGTCTCTACAAAAATACAAAAATTAGCCGGGCATTAGCCGGGCGTGGTGGCGTGAGCCTGTAATCCCAGCTACTCAGGAGGCTGAGGCAGGAGAATCACTTGAACCCAGGAGGCGGAGGTAGCAGTGAGCCGAGATCACGCCAAGCAGAGATCACGCCAAGCAGAGATCACGCCACTGCACTCCAGCCTGGGTGACAGAGTGAGACTCCATCTCAAAAAAAAAAAAAAAAAAGCCGGGCATGTTGGCAGGTGCCTGTAGTCCCAGCTACTTGAGAGGCTGAGGCAGGAGAATCGCTTGAACCCAGGAGGCAGAGGTTGCAGTGAGCCCAGATCATGCCATTGCACTCCAGCCTGGGCGACAGAGCAAGACTCTGTCTCAAAAAAAAAAAAAAAAAAAAAAAGCCAGATGCGGTAGCTCACGCCTATAATCCCAGCACTTTGCGGGGCCGAGTCGGGAGGATCACCTGAGGTCAGGAGTTGTGGGCAAAGGATTACCCAGGTGCCAAGGCAAGAGACTGAAGGCACAAACTGTTGCAGTATAATAAAGAAAATAGTTAGAATAAAGAGTAGTTACAATACAAATTAGATATAGAGATGATCATGGACAATTATCAATCATCAGTATAAACATTATAAATCATTAGCTTTTAATATTACTCTTTGTGGCATTACTAATATAACCTAGGAATAACCGGCAGGTATAGGGTCAGGTGCTGAAGGGACATTGTGAGAAGTGACCTAGAAGGCAAGAAGTGAGCCCTCTGTCACGCCCGCATAAGGGCCATTTGAGGGCTCCCTGGTCAAGCGGTAACACCAGTGCCTGGGAAGGCACCTGTTGCTTAGCGGACCGCGAAAGGGAGTCTCCCTTTCCGTGGAGGAGTCAGGGAACACTCTGCTCCACCAGCTTCTTGTGGGAGGCTGGATATTATCTAGGCCTGCCTGCAGTCATCCAGAGGCCTAAACCCCTCCCTTTGGTGCTGTGCTTCAGTGGTCACGCTCCTTGTCCACTTTCATGTTCCTCCTGTACTCCTGGTTCCTCTTTGAAGTTCTTAGTAGATAGCGGTAGAAGAAATAGTGAAAATCTTAGTCTTTGATCTTTCTTATAAGTGCATAGAAGAAAATGCTGACGTATGCTGCCTTCCCTCTCTGCTTTGGCTACCTAAAAGGGAAGGGACCCCTATCCCATGATCACGTGATTTGCTTGACCTTATCAATCACTTGGACAACTCACCCCTCCTTACCCTGCCCCTTGTCTTGTATTCAATAAATACCAGTGCGCCTAGCCATTAGGGGCCACTATCGGTCTCCGCGTCTTGGTGGCAGTGGTCCCCAGGCCTAGCTGTTTTCTCTTTATCTCTTTGTCTTGTGTCTTTATTTCTTACAATCTCTCGTCTCCGCACACAGGGAGAACACCCGCTAAGCCCAGTAGGTCTGGACCCTACAAGGAGTTCGAGACCAGCTTGACCAACATGGTGAAACCCCATCTCAACTAAAAATACAAAATTTAGCCGGGCGTGGTGGCGCACACCTGTAATCCCAGCTACTCAGGAGGCTGAGGCAGGAGAATCGCTTGAACTGGGGGAGGGGGGGTGCCAAGGTTGCAGTGAGCCGAGATCCTGCCACTGCACTCCAGCGTGGGCAACAGAGCAAGACTCCATCTCAAAAAAAAAAAAAAAAGGATCACTCAGGCATGTTCCTGGAGGATGACTTGAGTATTGCAAAAGTTCAGGGAGAGATAATGAACTAAAGCAGTGGCTGTTGTGTTTGAAAGAAGAGGGTGGCATCTAAAGATGCAGTTTGATGTCAACTTGGAAAATTCATATGAATGTGGGGATTGAAGGAAAAGGGAGGCATTGAGAGTGAGTCTAAGGCTTCTGGCTAATGATGATGATGATATCAGAGAGATGATGGTGACATGAAAAGGAGCAGATTCAGAGGAAGGTGAGTTCGGTTTGGAACATGTTTGAGGCATCTGAGGTCAGCTGGACACATGCTCCCGCAGCTGAGCAGAATGTTCTGGACTGGGGATACGGATTGAAGAATTGTGGAATCTGCAGGCATGGATGACATGTCTTAGAAAGAGCAAGGAAGGAACCAAGGGCTGAGCCCTGGGATAGAGCAGCATTTAAGAGGCCTGGGGAGGAAGACTCGGAAGGGTGGCCAGGGAAGTACAGGGAGCCAAGACAGCAGGGTCACAAAAGCCAAGGGGAGTTGAGTTTCAAGAAGGAAGGAGTGAAGAAGTATATGTCATGGAGAGGTGAAGCAAAACAAGGACTGTTGTCCAGAAGAAATGTCCACTGTATTTGGTAACTAATGCCATTTGGAAAAGCAGTTTTGAGCAGAACAAGAGGCAGATCAAGGTGGGCTAAGGAATGAATAGGGGGTGAGGAAGTGGGGATGGGAAGCTTGGGATGGTTTCTGGATATCTGACTTTAAGAAAACAAGTAAGATAGAGAAACACACAGTTAGAGAAACACACAGTAAAGGGAGGGACTCTTATGGGAAGGACCTTACAAGGAGATGAGACCACTGAGACAGGCATTAATAAAGAAGATGCACCGAGGCGGGCGGATCACTTGAGGCCAGGAGTTTGAGACAAGCCTGGCCAACATGGTGAAAACCCATCTCCATTAAAAATGCAAAAATTAGCCGGGCATGGTGGTGTGCACATGTAGTCCCAGATACTCAGGAGGCTGAAGCAGGAGAATTGCTTGAACCTGAGAGGCGGAGGTTGCTGTGAGCCGAGATTGTGCCGCTGCACTCCAGCCTGGGCAACAGAGCGAGACTCTGTTTTAAAAAAAAAAAAAAGATGCAAACTCCTCAAGTCTCCATCAGTTTATCAGTTTTAGATATGTTATATATTTGTATATTGAGATTCTATATCAGTATCTCAAGAATGAAATATCTAGAAGGGATTCACTTTAGCCCAGAGAAAGGAGATTTATCACTGGTCAGAAGGGAGAAGGAAAGGATAAGTGCAGACACAGATAGGTAATTGTGTAGGTGCATGTGGGCAGGGGGCAAGATAAAAGAATTTCAGGCTCAAGTGCCTTAGATGACAAAGTTGTTGCCTGACAGAGGAGGGTGGAAAGGGTGTAGACCCTTGCTCTGGGAGATAGGAGAGGAAAGTGAGAAGCACCGAAAGTCCGGGCAGGTTTGTAGGCTCTTCAGTTTTACTTGCCCCAGTTTTTTGGGTGTGCAGTTTTCTCCATCTGAGAAGCTTTGAGATATGAGCAGAGAAGAGAGGTGGAGTATGCTTTAAAATGGGGGTTGGAAGGGTGATTGTAGTGGATGATCCTGGGACAGGAATATTGATCTGTTGGCTGTGGAGAGATGGTGAAACACTGGAGTGGGAAGGAATTGATGCCAGGACTGAGACTGCTCTGGGTCAAAAATGAAAGAACAAGATAGTGCTTTTGGTAAAAATTACAAACAGTATAGATATCCACCAGTCGTAGACTGGTTGAATGAACTGTAGGATAAATATGTGAAAAATTATATTTTAATGAGGTCAATTGATATATATTGACATACAAAGATCTCCAGGATATATTGTCAAGTAGGAAAAAAATCAAGCCTTATGTAAATCTATAGAAAAACATCTGGAAGGATATATTCTATCAAGTTCCATTTCATCCAAAGAAGGCAGTGAGATTGGGAAGGGATAAAGAATATTTACAACAACATAGAGTTATCATTGAATTTATTTTATTTTAAAGTTATCTATGTACACCAAGTAAATACACACAGGGGGTTGCGCAGTTTGGTTTGTCTTCCACGCTGGCATGCAACATTTTGGCAGATGTGAGTGGGCAGGCCAGGTGCCCCTTGCAGTGACCCTGGCTCTGAAAGGGATGCGGTGAAGGTGGGGAGCAGGAGGAGGAGGAGGATGTAGTGTGAAGCTTCTGGTGAAGGGTTTGCGTGTGTGTTGTTTCTTTTTTATGTAAGTGAATTATATTTCCCTTACATCTTGCTAAAGAGAAGGCTGCTCCCTCTGTGTCATCTCTCTCCTCATCTGCGCTACACCCTCACATTTCCTTATGTGTTTTTAAAAGAACCATGTGGTGGCAACATTACATAAAACCCCCTGGATTCTTAAGTGCCCTGCTGACAGCAAATATTAGCCTAAGTCCACAGGCCCACAGGAACCTTCCTTCCACCCTAGTGGGTCTGGAGACAGCATGGCTTGTCTACCCCACCGTTGCCCTCTTTTCCATGAGTTGCAGCTTTAGTGCAGAGGAGCCAGATTGGACCCCCTTCCTCAGAACAATGGTTTTCAAACTACTCCACAGAATCCTCAGGGTCTCTTAGGACTGTTCAAGGGCTCATTTGCTGAGGAGCCTTTGAACAGTCAGTCCTAAGAGACGCTGAGACTTCTTCCACCAAAAAAAAAAAAAAAAAAAAATGCAAACTGCCCAGGTCTGCATTACTTTATTTTTTATATTGGGGTTCTATGTAAGATTTGTTTTTGAAAAACATTTAAAAATCACTGCTTTGGATTTATTCCACACTCCACTGGTATTTTTCCCCCTGCAGTTCTCCCTAACTGCTAAAAGGAGCTCAGCAGGTAAAGGGAGCAGGGCCTCTTTTCCTTGAAGGAGTCATGGGCCAGTGCAGCCTGCGCTTACCAGCTGGCATTCCCACTCAGCTTCCTTTCCTGACTTAGAAGTTGGGTGATAGGCTGCCCTGCCGCTGGAGAATCTTGGTCTTCCTCCTAGAAAAGACTGGATATCAGGACACCAGACTTTCTCTCCTGGTTTGGAATGGCTAGTGACCTCCATCCCTGCAGTTACCTAGAAAACCACCTTAGCACCATGTGGAAGGAAAGGACCGTCTGAAACTAAAACAACAGTCCTCTTCAGTATGGAGGGTGCTGCATATGGGCTGAGAATGGCTGGGAGAAGACCCCTCAGGGTCAAGCCTTAGAGCTTCCCACCTCTTGAAAATCCACCCTGCCCCTTTCTTTAAAGTGCACTTAATACCAGATGGGGACATTAGAGAAGGAACTCTTTGTGGAGAAAAAAAAAATGTACATTGGGGAAAAGTCAGGCTCCAGCTTGAAAGGAAGGCAACTAGAGAGATTTTGCCAATGAGCTGGAAGCCCCCAAACCAAGGGGTGGAGATGGGAGGAGCATGCCGCCCAGTATGGAACAAGAAAGAAATCCAGCTCATCACTTCAACTTGAGGGCACTGTGACAAAAAAAAAAGGCTCAGAAATTTCCCAGCCTATTCACCCCCAAACCCAAGGAATCAATCATTTTGACTACACCTGCCTGTAACCATCTCCATGGACAGATGAGCAGCCATTGACAGGCTGCTGGGAGCAGTCTGCCTCCTCCATTTTTCAAAATATTTTAAATCAGCTCTGGGTTCTGGTCATGAGCTCTGGGGCAGGGAATATCAAAAGGAGCTTGAAGAAAAAGGGAAATGGTCCCTTGAGCAACCCATTTCTCAGTCCAGGGGAAAACAGGAAGAGGGAGGCAAAAGGCAGACTTTGTAGGGCAGAAGTAACACCTGAATCCTTTGATTAAGGTGAGGGGTGTATGAAGAAAATTATATGTCTCAATTAGCAGCCCTTCCATTTTACCTTCCCCTGTGCTATATGTGAAAGAGGAGGGAGGAAGAGTCTATTTCTCTGTCTCATGATGCTAAGACATTCTTCTGCTTAAGGCTTTGTGTGTGTGCATGCGTGTGTGCATGTTTGTGTGCGTGCGTGCGTGTGTGTATGAAGGGTCACAACCCTCTAGCTCCCATTTTTCCTTTTGTCATCTCTGTGACCTCTACTCAGTGACTAACACCACTCAGTGTGAGACGAGTAGATGAGAAAGAAGAAACATTCACCCTCCTCCCTATTGCCCCAAATAAGGAAGGTAGACTATGCTTTGAAATTGCTAAATACATCAGTAGATACTTGAGAATAAGACAGAAGAGAGACATAGCAGCAGCTTTTGATATATAGATACAGAGTACAAAGAGATACAGAGTAAGTAAGAGAAGACATCAAACATAGTACAGTCCAACAACAGGGGTTGGGGAGGGAGTTAGTATCAGAGACCACAGGTTTGCAGCATGCTGAGAAGAGGCCTCAGTCCCTCTTAGAAACTGGGAAAGAAAGAGAAAGAGGGTGTGAGGGCCCAGCTTGTAGCTCAGTCACAGAACAGGAACAGGTGGCATCTGCACACACTTTGGTTTACTGTCCTGTTCCTTTAATACCAACAAGCAGACCCCCCTACCACCGCCCCCCGTGACCCAGGCTTGCACCTCCACCCCTAGGTCTCCCCAACTCCTCTTCTGCATTCCTACTTCTCTGCTTCTCAGACTTTTCTGCCTGTGTGTGCCTGGTTTACTATTCTGGGAAACCCCTGGAGAGGGCTCAGCTTAGATGCAGCCCAGTAAGAGACTGGCCATGTTCTCTGTGCCACTTCTGGGCCCTAAAGCAACCTTGGTGAGAAACCCAGTGACACACAAGAACAAAGAAGGTTCCTGTGCTGCTAGAGGAGAGCACCTGGGGACAGAGGAGGAAAAAGAGGGGCTTTGCCACCTCCACTGAGCAAGATGGGAGGGGAGCGCTGACTGATTTCGTGGGGCGTTTCCTAAAGCTTACTGGTGGCATATACAGATGGGAAGAGGATGGGACACAGGTGCAGGCGTGAAGCAAACATCGCCTTAACTGGAGATGTCTTAGTTCCAAAAACACCTATCCATCCAAAATTATTTCAGGGTGGAGGAAGAGGTGGGGTTGAGATGGCCCCCTAGGGTCTCCTGATAGATCTGCAGTCTACCACCCCTGTGGTTCTAATCTACAGCGGCCAAGCTCACTTCTTTGGACATGTGACAGTGACCCCTAGTGGCAAAAAGACAGTACTGTGGTTACCACTGTAGCCTAACGGAAAGCAAAAGGGGGCACGGGAGGTCAACGTCCAGATTACATGGGGCAGCACAGGTGTAGCCCCCAACAGGGGAAAGCAGGAGTTGAGGGGTAACTACATAATTAAAGTTTTGAGGTGATAAAAAAAAAAAGAAGCAGCAGCAGGAAAACCAAAGAGGCTGTCAGCAAGAAGGGAAGCAACCTGAGGCTGGTCCGAGGAAGCAGCCTGACGCTACCTGAAAGTGCAGGTATGCAGCCGTGGGTGTGGGAGATTAGCTGGCTGCTGTCTCTTGGTGGAGAGGGAAAAGCTTGGCCTGGTCCTCAGCCTCATAGCCACACGGCAGGTCACTCCTGGAGGAAGAGACCCACCATGATCAGCTCCATAGAAATTAAAGTATTCCTGTCATCATGGTTACTCTGCTCTGAGAGTGTCCCTGTGAGATCACAAACGGCAGGGACTATTTGTGTTTTACAGGAATACAGGGAAACTCAAGGCCAGAGGGATGTAAATGACTTGTCCAATGTCACAAGGCTTCCAAAGGTAGGAGAGAAACCCAGTCGTCAGATGCCCACGTTGTTTTCGTCCAGACCTTATCACTGGAATAGGGAGAAGCCACAGATGGGATTGGAGGAGGGGAGATATTCTGCACTGAGGCAGGGGAATGACTGGATCTCCTGGACAACACAGTGATGAAAAGAATGAGTCTCACTCCCTCCCCCTTCCCCAAAGGCTCCAGGAACCTCCAAGTGGGGCACAAGGGAAATTTAATCATTTCTTCTGGTCCCACCCAGAGAACCCAGGGGTAGTGGGGACTGTTGTACCTATTGTCATTGATATCTGTGGCATTTCCTGAAGAGATCATCATTGAGAACACAGGATTAGAAGAAGAAAAAAGGAGATTGGGTGTTAGAAACAGTTTGCGCAAACCCTCTCCCATCTTAATCCCTTAGAGAAAAAGATAAGCTGTGACACTTTCTCCTTAGTTATCCCAAGCTACATCATTATTTTGTTCGAGAAAAAGTTTCTGCAGCCCCTCACCAAGGAGAGGAAAAGGGAACTGGAAGGCAAGGGCTGGGATTGGCGTGGTAATAGGAGGAATCCACTCCCAGGCAGCCTGAGACCTAAAGGGCTGGGCAGTGCTCAGGCTGTAGGTACAGGGTCACTTTTTTCTTCATATGTGTTATTATTATTATTTTAGAGATGGGGCTTTACTATGCTGCCCAGGCTGAGTGCAGTGGCTATTCACAGGTGTATTCACAGTGCACTTCAGCCTTAAGCTCCTGAGCTCAAGCAATCCTCCTATCTCAACCTCCCAAGTAGCTAGGACTACAGGTGCATGCCACCACACCTGGCTATATGTATTTTTTTTTTTATTTGAAGCCTTGGCACACCAGAAAGGTTCAGTCAGTGTTTTTTGTACACTAAGGTCACTTACTTTTATGCCTCTCAACTTGCCCTGAGGACCCCAAAGGTGGGATTACCCATCTTTTTCACTCACCATTGTCCATGTTGGCCTTCTGGTAGGAAGCCAAGGGGCCGCCAGAAGATGTGGCTCCACTGCTGGTACAGGAGTTTGCAAAGCTGGATGGAGCAGAGGAAAGAGGCAGCCTCTGACACCCACCCTCCACTAGTCTGAGGACCACTAATCCACACTCATCCTCAGTGATAGAGCTGCTCAGCCCTCCCCATCCCCAGAGAGCAGAGGAAAACAAACATGGCCACAGGCTGGGAGGGCAGACACCTACCTTCTAATCATAGGCATGAAGTTGAGAAAGGGTTTAGGAAAATAATTAAGCCACAACCAATAACTGCCCCCACCCTATGCCTTCTAGGGTCCAGGGAGCTTTGGGTGGGACTCCAACCCACACGTGTGGTCACTCACTACATATCTGAGGTGGAGCTGGGTGTGGCCTGCAGGTAGAGATTCTGGTAGTTCTGGAAGAGGCTGTTGGTGTAACTGATGCACTCAGGGCTCCGGGTGCCATAGGGGTTGGTGGGTGAGGATGCTGGGTAGTGGCCAGGCCGGACGGGTTTGGCTGCAATAAAGAAAGAAAACAACCATGAGGAGGCTATGACCCTGCATTTGCCCTGGTCCCTGAGGTCATTTAGCTGGGGTTGAACTGAGTTGCTTGTAACATAATCACTTTTTTACTTTTTGGGGGGAAGTGGGATGAGGCTAGGGGTAGGTAAGAAGCAATAATCTAGTTGCTTGGCAATTAGCAATTTGCTAAATTTGCTTCAGGAGATACTCCCACCTTGCCTGCTAACACCTACTCACCAATCTGGGCAGAATGGCCCCGTTTGCCCGAGCTCTTGTAGCGAACGGCCTCCTTGATGCGGTCCACCTCCTGCTGGTACCGGCGCTTGTCCTTCATGGCGCCCTCCTTGGCCTCCTTCAGTGCACCCTCCAGGGCCTTAACTCTCTCAGCCGTAGCCCTAAGTCGTTTTTCCAATTTAGGAAGCTCACAACGCAGATCTGCATTGTCACGTACCAGCTATGGGGCAAGCCAAAGGGAAGAAGTGGAAAGGAAGGCAAGTGACCCAAGACGGTCACCCAGAGGAGCGTAGGGGACAGGGGTGAGGAGAGAGAATAAAGAAAAATCAGGAGTCAGAGAAGATGGAGACCATGTCATTTCCTCAAAAGGCCTCATTGCCTTTATGTAATGGACTGTTCTGTCCAGCTCATTCCTTCTCCCAGAGCGAAGGGTGGGTGGTCAGGCATTTAAAAGTTATATAATTTTCTAGGCAGTAAAACCTGCCATCTCCACTGCAGCCCAGAACTCTTGTGAGAGCGCCTTGTCCTGTCTCCATCTGGTTTCCCCCACATCTCCCAGCATGTGCCAGATCAATAGCCCCAGGGCGGCCATGGGGATGAGGGACCCGCTTCCCCAGAGAGGGCTTTGTGGGCATGCAAAGGGTGGGGCAGCAAGGGCACAGTAGCAGTTTGGTGGCTGTGGCATTGAGGAGAATCTGTGCATGGCAGGTGCAGTGCAGAGCAGGAGCAGAAGCTGGAATTCAGGAGCCCCTGACATACACATATAGACAGGCAGAGCCCGCCCCGTAGGAAGGAAAGAAAATGTTTGAGGTCTCACAAACATTTGCACTCATTACCTTCACATTCAAGGACTTCCTGGGTTATCCCTCCCCCAGTGAAATTAAGCTAGAGCATGGGAGCAACCACCCTGCAGCCCGAAAAGACTTCCTGATCTTTTTACAGGTTCCACACAATGACTGGGGGCACTATAGGTTGCAAAAGGAGCAGGGCCTTGGAAGACAGCGGGTAAATCAGCATAGCGGGGAACACTGGGGGCTCAAGGGGACAAGCTAGAAACCCTTCCATGCAGTTTCCATTTGGACAATTTATGGAGTATAAGCAATGTTTTGCTGTGACAATACTTTAGCTTAATTGATATAGGGCTATAGTCCTGGCTGTTAAGATTCTCTTAACTGAGAAGTTTTTATCTCCTTTTCCTTTTTACTCTTGTGTCTGCTGAGGTAGGAAATTGTAGTGAGTCCTCTATTTATCCTATAGGTGAGTCATTTTTGTTTTTTTGGGACTTTGAACAGAGGCAGAGGCTTCAGTGACGATAAAGGAAACAGTGTGTGGTTGTGTTTTTTCATGGAAATTTTTCTGGGGCTTGCTCCATAGAGCAGGGCTTTCCCATAGGCAGAGAGGCCCAGAGTAGCACACACATGTGTGTGTGTGTTCTAAGCAACATAATATGGATTTGGACAGAGAGGGAAAGTGAATGCGGGAATGAAAATCGAATGGCAGAATTGATTTCAAATGTTTCCTATCTGCCTTTCAACTTTTCTATAATTTTGTTACTCAGTTTCATAATAAAGGAAATAAAATCGTAGCAAAGCCCTCTGCAGGCCTAAATAAGATAAATAAACTCTGTACATTATCACTGGGCACAGGTTTAGGATTCATTAAGAAAAAAAAAAGTACTGAATATTTACTATATAAGCTGGGCATTATACTGGGAGGAAAAGAAGTTTAAGTGCTAGGCTAGTGAGAATGTAAGTTTAAATGGAATCTTAAGGTAGATTTGAAAGGAAAGGAATGAAGTATAGGTTAGGGTTTATTTTATGAATTAGTTAAAAGGACCAGTTGACAGCCTGCCGAGCCTGTCTTCAAGGCTCAGATATTTAGTGCTAGTGAGAGTGCCCCTACCCAGCATGCACCAAACATTTCCTGTCCTGACTCCTTTGGACTGCCCTTCTGCATCCCCAGCCCATACCTTTGAAACCCAGTCATCCACCTAAAGAACCGCAACAGCAAGGAGGGGGACAGAGAGGCAGCAACTTAATACACAGGAGTTTTGACTGGGGCCCCAACCAGGGGCTGGTTGGGCCATCTTAGGGACATCATTTTTTTTTAATTGAAACAGGGTCTCACTCTGTCACCTAGGCTGGAGTGCAGTGGCATGATCACAGCTCACTGCAGCCTCTACTTCCTGCGCTCAAGCAATTGCCCTACCTCAGCCTCCCAAGTAGCTGGGACTATGGGTGTGTGCCACCACATCCGGCTAATTTTTGTATTTTTTGTAGAGATGGGGTTTCGCCATGTTGCTTAGGCTGGTCTTGAACTCCTGTGCTCAAGTGATCCGCCCGCCTCGGCTTCCTGAAGCGCTGGGACTACAGGCATGCACCACTGTGCCTAGCCAGGGACATCATTTAATGTCCCTGCATGCCTGCCACAGACCTAGACAGATGGAGTTCTCTCCACGAAAGAAGCCCAACTCCCTTGCTTCTTCTCATCTCCCTGCCTTCCATCTCTGGGTAACGTCTGACCAGTCTCCCTCCTGTATAGTTACAGCCCATGCCTCTGTTAGTTTCAACCTCTCCCTCCAAGGTAGGCCTGGGGAATTCCACTTTGAGCAGAGGTGGGTTAGAAACTTTGAGAAGGGAATACAGGCATGAAACAAAGAACAAGGTACAAGTGGACCAAATATGGTATAAAGAAGGGATTAGTAGGGAAAGTAAAAGCGAACAGTAAGGAAAACATGCAACTAGATTTTCCTGAATCCAAGGGGCCTCTGAGGATTTGGTATGCTAGCTACCCGGCCTCAAAAATTCTCTTCACTCCTTCAGCAGACTCTTACCTGTTTGTGAACCTTTGTAAGCTGTTCCAGGTTGTTCTCAAGAAAGGAAATCTTCTGCTTTTGGGAGTGAATCCCCCCACTGTCTTCGGGCTCCATTTCTGCACTCTGAGAACAGATAGAAGGAAAGACGTGGCTGTCCTGAGGCCAAACAGGTCCCACCAAGACCAGGCCAAGCCAGCCCCATAGGGGCAACAGGGGCAGGAGAAACCTAAGGATAGGAGGAGGATGTGGGGGCTGACAAAACCCCAAGGACAGCACTCACTTTCTTGACTCGAGTCGTGACGTCTTGAACGAACAGCTTGCGAAGGTTGTGGAGGGTCTGGAGTTCCCGGGCCTGGAAAGAATGATGAAAAATTGGGAATAGCCAGATACCAGGTCTGTCCTATTCCTCCAGAATTATAGGTACCTCCAGTCTCTATAATCAAGTGAGTCACTTATCCTTTAGGAAAAAATGTGTCTTGATTACGCTACAGAATGGCTGCAAAAGGGCAGGAGGAATAGGGTTAGGAAGAAATGAAGCCTCCCCACTCCCCAGTCCTGTGAATTTGGCACAGAAGGGAACCACTCACAACTGTCTCCTCCAGACCCTTGAGGTCCTGCTTGGACTGCTCATGTCGCTCGTACAGAAATCTGTAGCAAGAGAAATAAGGGAAATGGAAAGATCCCTCAGGACTCTCCTTCCTCCTGCCTCTTCCTCTATTACTTTTATCTCCATTTAAGTATTACTATTATTGTTATTTTGTGAAACAGGGTCTCATTCTGTTACCTAGGCTAGATAGAGTACAGTGGCACAATCAGGGCTCACTGCAGCCTCAACCTCCTGGGCTCAAGGGATCCTTCCCACCTCAGCCTCCCAAGCATCTGGGACCACAGACGTATGCCACCATGCCCAGCTAATTTTTGTATTTTTAGTAGAGACAGGGTTTTGCCATGTTGCCCAGGCTGGTCTCGAACTACTGAGCTCAAGCAGTCCACCTGCTTTGGCCTCCCAAAGTGCTGAGATTATAGGTGTAAGCCATCGCACCCAGCCTATTATTATTTATTACACAAGTTACTCATGTTTACTGTGCAAAAATTAGAAAAGAATTTTAAAGAGAGACATAAGGTGAGTTTTTATAAAAAGCCTATGATTCTACTATTTACAGATCAAACCAACATTAACCTTCTGGTGTCCACCTTTCTAGACTTTTTTCTATGCCTACATATCCATGTATACATTTTTATGGGATCATACCATGCATATGGTTTTGTAACCTGTTTTTACACTGAATAGAACACGTAAACCTCCTTCCATACTGGTGAATACTCAACGGCAGTCTTTGCTGAGAGTGTCCTTTTGGTCCCGTCCCTACCCCATCATATTTTTCCCATGAGTCACCCTATCATGTCTGCATGTGTGTCCTGCCTCTGCAAGCGTGTCTGAGTTCACAGTTCTGAGCCTACAAGGCTGTAGTTTTACAGGTAAATCCATGCCACTCACGTCAGCTCCTGCAGCTTGGTGCTCTTCTCGTGTTCTTCGCTCTTCAGCTTCTCGTAGTCAGCCTGAAGCTTCTCTAGCTCTAACTGGAGCTTCTGATTTAGGCTACAGAGCATCAGAAGGTAATGGAGATGGGGGAGAAAGATGTTAATGAGGGGGAAGGGAAGGCCAGCTCTTCAAACTTCTTCCTTTTTGAACGAGTGAGTCCAGTTAGAATTGATGTGTCCACCTTCAGATACCAGAGGCAGACTCAGGCCACTGTTTCCATGACAGAGCCAGGAACCCTGACCTCTCTAATCCTGGGACCCTCAAGGATAGGGACTAGTCGTTATTCCATGTGTCTCCTGAGGTGGGGCTACGAAGTTGTGGCATTGTTGAGGGAATGACACATGGATGTTAAAGAATCAGACCCAGAGGGGACATGTGAGTCAATACAGCAAGGTGACAGGACCCGGGAGGGGCTGGAGTCGCCCTTGGGAACCCTTACTCTTTGAGCTCATCAATGGTCTTCTGCTTCTCGTTGATCTCGTCCCGGAGCCGGGCCAGCTGCCGGTGATGGGCCTCCCGGTGACTCTCCATCTGCAGCTCCAGAGCCTTCTGCAAACAACCCCACCCCAAGCTCAAAGGCCAGACTCCCAGCAACAAGCTCTGTGAGGGCCAGCACAGCTTTCACCACACCAGGCCCCAATTGTCCCTGACACCTTCCTTACTCACCTTCACTTCATCTGCATCCTGAGTGTCAGGCTCCTTGTCCTTCAGGGCCACTTCATGCACAGTTTCTAAGGGAAAGAGGGGAAGACAGCTGACATCAAACCTACCTCTTTCGGAAAGAACTTCACGTTGTGACCAGAACTCCAGGCAGGGCTGGGAATGGACCCACAGGGATGTTCTTCTGTGTTAGGACTGTCCAATTTGATATAGCAGGAACAGAGAACAAGGGTGTATGGTTAATGTAAAATGAGCTACATGCAAAACCTTGGCTAACATATGAGTTGGCATCCATGATTTCAAGCTAATGCTTTGAGTGAGTGATTATTGGGGTGATTTATTTTGATGTTTCTGACTTTTCTGCCCTGGACAGTGGGATGGAGGTATAAGAAGGCCTCACCCTGGGCCTGGAGCTTGGCCAGCTCATCGCTCAAGGAGTCATAGGACTCTTCCAGGTGCCGCTTCTTTAGCTCCACGCTCTGCATGTATTCCGTAAGCGAGCGGATCTTGGCCTCATGCTGGTGGGAGAAAGTTGGTGAGAGGAAGAAGATGGAGCAAAGGACACAAACCCAGGCCACACAGATCTCCAACTCCAGCTCTCCTCCCAGCCCTCCCTCCTGCTACACTTCCCATGAGGGTGCAGGGTTGGGGGCCATTCCTATGGGGCTCTTCCTTTAGCTCCCATGGCTCAGGGGGCAGTACCCGCCCTGAGCCTTTACTTTTTTGGCCCTGATCTGCACCCCTGCCACCCCAGCTTTTCTGTCCTTGATTTCACTTGACCCCAGAACTTTGACATAAAGGTGGGTGTTAGGAGTTTTAGCCATAACCCCAGAGTAGCCTTCTTTCTCCCATGGCATCTGAAGGTTCTCAAACTTAGGCACTCACCTGAGAGATGAGGAGCTGGCAGGATGAGAGCTCCCGCCCGGTCACTTCCATCTTGCGGTGACACTCCACCTGGAGGTTCTCCAGCTGCCGGCACCGCTTGACCACAGACTTGACTTCTGATTTGATTTTGCTGATGTAGAGTCGGGCCACAGTGAACTCCTCCTCGATGGCCCCACTGATCTCCACTGGCTAAGGTGATTAAAGGAGGAAGAGATGCTTCTTGGCTGCTGGGAAGCTTTATCTGTTCCCTCCCACCTTCTACCTACCCATACACACCCACATACGCAGGGACTCAAATGGGATGGGTATTTTCCAAACGACCTTTAGCAGCTCTCTATCAGCGGCATTTCACATTAAATTCCTCCGCCTGCATTTAAAAATCCAATTCTGGCTGGGCGCAGTAGCTCATGCCTTGTAATCTCAGCACTTTGGGAGGTCAAGGTGGGTGGATCACCTGAGGTCAGGAGTTCGAGACCAGCCTGACCAACATGGTGGTGAAACCCTGTCTCTACTAAAAATACAAAATTAGCCAAGCATCATGGCACATGCCTGTAATCCCAGCTACTCAAGAGGCTGAGGCAGGAAATTGCTTGAACCCAGGAGGCGGAGGTTGCAGTGAACCGAGATCACACCACTGGACTCCAGCCTGGGCGACAGAGTGAGACTCCATCTCAAAAAAAAAAAAAAAAAATCCAATTCTGGGCCGGGCTCGGTGGCTCACGCCTGTAATCCCAACACTTTGGGAGGCCGAGGTGGGTGGACTACGAGGTCAGGAGTTCGAGACCAGCCTGGCCAATATGGTGAAACCCTCTCTCTACTAAAAACATAAAAAATTAGCCAGGAGAGGTGGTGTGTGCCTGTAGTCCCAGCTACTCGGGAGGCTGAAGCAGAAGAATTGCTTGAACCTGGGAGGCGGAGGTTGCAGTGAGCTGAGATCACACCACTGCACTCCAGCCTGGGCAACAGAGCAAGACTCCATCTCAAAAAAAAAAAAAAATCCAATTCTGACAGTCCCCCACTTACAAATAAATCTTATAAAGCAACATGATTTTCTTTTGATCTCCTTGATCACCCAGATTATTCTCACATCCACAGATTTGCATATTTCATTCTGAACTCTGTGCCTATGCCCCACCTCTAACTCCTACTGCAAGCACTGCTCTGTTGCTGCTGCTTTTTTTTTTTTTTTTTGAGACAGAGTCTCCCTCTGTCACCCAGGCTGGAGTGCAGTGCCGCATCTCTGCTCACTGCAAGCTCCGCCTCCCAGGTTCACGCCATTCTCCTGCCTCAGCCTCCTGAGTAGCTGGGACTACAGGCGCCCGCCACCATGCCTGGCTAATTTTTTGTATTTTTTTAGTAGAGACAGGGTTTCACTGTGTTAGCCAGGATGGTCTCAATCTCCTGACCTCGCCTCGGCCTCCCAAATTTTTTTTTTTTTTTTTTTGAGACGGAGTTTCACTCTTGTTGCCCAGGCTGGAGTGCAATGGTGCAATCTCGGCTCACTGCAACCTCCGCCTCCAGGTTCAAGCGATTCCCCTGCCTCAGCCACGTGAGTAGCTGGGATTACAGGCATGAGCCACCACACCCGGCTAATTTTATATTTTTAGTAGACACGGAGTTTCTCCATGTTGAACAGGCTGGTCTCGAACTCCTGACCTCAGGTGATCCACCCGCCTCGTCCTCCCAAAGTGCTGGGATTACAGGCGTGAGCCACCATGTACAGCCTCTTTTTTTTTTTTTTTAAGACAAGGTCTGGCTCTGTCACCCAGGCTGGATTGCAGTAGCTCAATCATGTCTCACTGCAGCCTCAACCTCCCATACTCAGGTGATTCTCCCACCTCAGCCTGTCAAGTAGCTGGTACTATAGGTGTGTGCCACCACCCCCAGCTAATCGTTTGTATTTTTTGTAGAGATAGGGTTTCACTATGTCACCCAGGCTGGTCGTGAACTCCTGGGCTCAAGCGATCCGCCTGTCTCAGCCTCCCAAAATGTTGGGATTACAGGCATGAACCACCATGCCTGGCCTCCATTGCTTCTTTATTCAGCACCCGTTAGAATTTAGTTTTGTTTTGTTTTGTTTTTAAGGCAGAGTCTCACTCTATAACCCAGGCTAGAGTGCAGTGGTGTGATCTCAGTTCACTGCAACCTCTACCTCCCAGGTTGAAGCGATTCTCCTGCCTCAGTCTCCTGAGTAGCTGGAATTACAGGTGCACATCACCACGCCTGGCTAATTTTTGTATTTTTAGTAGAGACAGGGTTTCGCCATGTTGGCGAGGTCAGGTCTCGAACTCCTGACCTCAAGTGATCCGCCTGCCTCGGCCTCCCAAAGTGCTGGGATTACAGCGGTGAGCCACTGCGCCCAACCTAGAATGTATCTTTTCAATTGGGTCTATACAAGCCTCTACCTGTCTTCCTGGGTCTAGTTCAAAGGCATGTTTCCTGGCTCTCTGGCTGCCTTTCTCAGTATCTGTGAAGGCCTGGATGGCTCATCTTGCGTCTTCCACTAGTGCCCAGCCTGAACAAGGCTGCTGTCTCTCACCACTCACCAGCTTAATCTCCCCGTTGCCCACAATGACACTGAACTCGCTCAGATCCTTCATCAGCCCGTTCAGCACCTCAGCAATTCGTTTTCGCTGGTGTCCACTGACCTCCTGTAGCCGCTGCAACTCAGACTCCAGGGACAGCATGGTGGCCTGGGGACAGCCCCTCAGGTCATTCCTGTTGCCATCCTCCTGCTCCCTTGCCCAGCCCAGGCAGAGGCCTCTCCCTTCATGCAAGACCCTGAGGGCTGCTATGAAGAGAACACAGGCCCTGCAGAAGAGTCTGAAAGACAGAGGGACTGTGAGGGGAAAGTGCAGTGACAGGGTTGGGGAGGGACTCACAATGCACTGAACAGCAGTGCAGAGGTGCAGCCACCATACAGCCCTGGAAGGATGCAGAGGTCCCCTCGACATGGGAGATGTTCTGTGGTCAGGGAGCTGTTGGACCATTGGCACACCACTTACCACCTTCTGAGACAGCTCATCCACCAGAAGCTGGTTCTGCTGGCTCTTCTCCTCCACCTCCTGGGACTTCTGGTCATAGTTCACAGCCAGCTCCTCCAGGGCCTGCAGCACTTCCTTCACCTCATCCTTAGCGGCATCGTTCTCTGATTGCAGGTGGCTCAGCTCCCGCTGGACCTTCTCGTTGTCTCCTCGGGTGGACACCAGCAGCTTCAAGGGAGAGGAGTGGCATGTGGGAAAGATCACTGCCAGTGACCATTTCTATGGCCTTGGGTCTGGGAAGCTGAGCCCCCACCCTACCCAAAATAAAGAGTTAAGAGGAAGTGGGCTTTAGGTTTCATAGAAATAGGGCAACAGAATGAAGAATGAAGAAGCCCCCAGACTTTAAAATTTGTGCTTTAAGAAAAGCCCCAGCCGGGCGCAGTGGCTCACGCCTGTAATCCCAGCACTTTGGGAGGCCTAGGTGGGCACATTGCCTGAGCTCAGGAGTTCGAGACCAGCCTGGGTAACATGGCAAAACTCCATCTCTACAAAAATTAGCCATGTGTGGTGGTGCACTTGTAGTCCCAGCTACTTAGGGGGCTGAGGCAGGAGGACTGCTTGACCCTGGAAGATCGAGGCTGCAGTGAGCTGAGATTGCCCCACTGCATTCCAGCCTAGGTAACAAATTGAGACTCCATCTCTAAAAAAAAAAAAGAAAAGAAAAAAGGAAAAGAAAAGAAAAGCCCCAGTGAGGTTCCCAGACTTCTGCTGTTTAGGGGAGTGATTAATCCCCAAGCAGAAAGCGCCTTCTTCCATCTGATTTTAAAAAGGTCTATTCCATGCCTTCCAGTGATGAACAGAACCCCTTTCCTCTCATGTCCTGCCCTCCCTCCTATTACCTCTTCCTGGTCCAGCATTTGCTGCTTGAGCTTCTCTATGAGTTGGCTTTGTTGGTTGATTTCATCATCCTGTTGGAGGCAACAGGGAAAGACAGGTGAAGGGAAGCTACTCCTTCCAGTTTAGACGTAAGAAGTTTGGGGGTAGAGGCAGGATCCTGATAAAAATCCAGATAGTATAAGCTTTGAGTTAGAAACCCCATATCCTACAGGAAGATCGGTTGAAGCCAGGAGTTCAAGGCCAACCTGGGCAACATAGTGAGACCCTGTCTCTACAAAAAATTTAAAATATTAGCTAGCCTGGTGGTGCATGCCTTTAATCCCAGCGCATTGAAAGGCCAAGGCGGGAGGATCGCTTGAGGCCAGGAGTTTGAGACCAGCCTGGGCAACAAAGTGAGACTCCAACTCTACCAAAAAAAAAAAAAAAAAAAAATTAGCTGGGCGTGGTGGTGTGCACCTGTAGTCCCAGCTCTTTCAGAGGCTGAGGTTGGGGGGGATCCCTCGAGCCCAGGAGTTTGAGGTTGCAGTGAGCTATTACTGCACCACTGCACTTCAGCCCGAGTAACAAAGCAAGACTCTTTCTCTCAAAGCAAAATAATAATAATAAATGAAAATAAAAATACTTTTATGAAGAATTATTAATGAAGTAGGAAATTGTGCATAATATAATGCTGAATGAAAAAAATCAGATGTATAATTACATATACAGGCCGGGCACGGTGGCTCACGCCTGTAATCCAAGCACTTCAGGGGGCCGAGGCGGGCGGATCGCCAGAGGTCAGCCTAGCCAACATGGTGAAACCCCGTTTCTACCAAAAATACAAAAATTAGCCAGGCGTGGTGGCATGCGCCTGTAATCCCAGCTACTCTGGAGGCTGAGGCAGGAGAATCACTTGAACCCGAGAGGCAGAGGTTGCAGTGAACCACAATCGTGCCTCTGCACTCTAGCCTGGGCGACACAGCAAGACCCTGTCTCAAAAAAAAAAATTACTTATACAGTATAACTCAATTGCATGGTATATGCACAGAGAAAAGCAAAATGTTGAGTGTTATCTCTGAATAGTGGATGATTTTAATTTTCTTACATACATTTATATTGATGTTTCCACATTTCAAGCATAAGCATTTATCCCTTTTAAAACCAGAAAGAGGCAATATAAGCGATTTTCTTTGATCGTCTACCTCTCATCCCACCTGGCGTGCCTCAGTGCCCTGCCTGGCCGCCCTCACCTTGTCGTCAAGCTGCTTATAGAGACGGCGGATCTCCTCCTCGTATTTCTGCCGCTCCTCGGGCGCGATGCGCACCACGATGGATGAGTTGTCATTCACAGGGGTCTCCTCACAGAGCTCGGCTCCCAGGGCTGCCTCCTCCCCAGCCAGGCGCTCTGTCTCAGGCACATTCTCTCCTGCAAAGGGGCAAGACGAGGTGAGAGATGGAAGAAGAAGAAGCTGCATCCACGAGTTCTTCCTTCTCACTCACCATGCCCCTTGAACTCTCTTGCCAGGTGGACCCTCTACCTTTTGGGAGTATGGGAGGTAGGTAGTCAGGCCCCTCCCTTCCCCCATGACTGCTCTACTGCACCTGTCCAGAAACACAGCCCCTCTTCTAGGAGATTGGCCTGGCCAGAAACACCACCCAAACAGAGTTGGCTCCCAAACATCCTCCTCCTCTTCCCACTGCCCCTCACTCCCACCTATCCCTCTCTAACCATTGCGCCACCGGCTCAGCTCAGCCTCCAGCTTCGCAATCGTCTCCTTCTGGGCCTTTGTCTTCTCCTTCTCCTTCTCATATTTCTTCTTCCACTGCTCAGCAGTCAACTCCAAATTTACTGAGGCAGTGTTCTTAATGGTCTTTGCCCTGGGTGAGGAGAAGAGGAACAAAGAAATGAGAGCAACATGAGACTTGGGTGACCCTGAGGAGAGAGAGCCGCAGAGGCTGGGATGGGAAGCTGGGTACCAGGGATCCCTCTGGGGACCCTGCCACTGACCGCTGCCCAAACATCAGGGTGGACTTGGTCTCTGCATCATTATAACTGGATGGTGAGCAACAGATGAACATAGTCGTCCGGCAGTTTCCCCCGAGAGAGTCCTGGAGAATCCTTGTCATTTTGCTGTCACGATATGGAACATAGCTTTTCTGGGGGAGGAAGGAGACCAGGAATCAGAAATAAACAAATAAAATTCAACAGGGAATCAGAAAGGATAGTGGTGCCACCCCGGGATCAGACAACCCATGAATTGGGGCATGATCATATGGTGGCATTAGCAGGTGGGGGAGGAGATGGGGTGTGGCTTGAGGGGTGAGGGGACCTAAGGATCACTCACAGTGCCCTCAGCCAGTGCGGAGATCACATTGCCCAGAGCTGACAGTGACTTGTTGATATTCTTTGCCTCGTCCAGCACGGCTCCCTCTGCTCCAGTCTTGCTGACCTACCAGGGCAGTAAGAGATGAGTGTGTATGAGCAGCTGCACATGGAGAGGGCTGTCACCACCTCGTTCCAGGGCTCAGTCCACGGAGGAAGGAAGGAACAGGGAAGAAGATGGAGTAACAGAGATGCTTGGCTGGGATTGGGGAAGGCCCTTCCTCTGTTCCCCTAAACTGTCTTGTCAAACACCACATTGCCCCTAACCCCTGCCACATATTACATGATTCCTTTTTTTTTTTTTGAGATGGAGTTTCACTCTTGTTGCGCAGGCTGGAGTGCAATGGTGCGATCTCAGCTCACCACAACCTCCGCCTCCCAGGTTCAAGCGGTTATCCTGCCTCAGCCTCCTGAGCAGCTGGGATTACAGGCATGTGCCACCACGCCCAGCTAATTTTGCATTTTTTGTAGAGATGGGGTTTCTCTATGTTGGCCAGGCTGGTCTCGAACTCCCGACCTCAGGTGATCCACCCACCTCGGCCTCGCAAAGTGCTGGGATTACAGGTGTGAGCCACCGTGCCCAGCCATATGATTCCATTTATATGAAATGTTCAGGATAGGCAAATCCATAGAGACAGAAAGTAGATTAGAAGTTGACAGGGGATGGGGTTAGGGGACAATGGAGAGTGACTGTGAATAGAAGATGACAGTGCTCTAGAATTGGATAGCGTAATGGTTGCACAACCTTGGGAACATACTACAAACAACTGAATTGCACTTTAAAATGGTGAACTTTATGGTATGTGAATTATATCCCAATGCAAATCATTTTTTAGTTAAAAAAGAGTCGGCCGGGCACAGTGGCTCATGCCTGTAGTCCCAGCACTTTGGGAGGCCGAGGCAGGTGGATCCCGAGGTCAGGAGTTCGAGACCAGCCTGGCCAACATGGTGAAACCCCGTCTCTACTAAAAATACAAAAATTAGCTGGGCTTGGTGGCGGGAGCCTGTAATCCCAGCTACTAGGGAGGCTGAGGCAGGAAAATCACTTGAACCTGGGAGGCAGGGGTTGCAGTGAGCTGAGAGCGTGCCACTGCACTCCAACCTGGGTGACAGAGCAAGAATCCGTCTCAAAAAAAAAAAAAGAGCCAAGGACCAGCCTGGCCAACACAGTGAAATCCCCTCTCTACTAAAAATACAAAAAATTAGCCAGGCGTGGTGGTGGGCACCTGTAATCCCAGCTACTTGGAAGGTTTAGGCAGGAGAATCACTTAAACCCAGGAGGCGGAGGTTGCAGTGAACAGAGATCGTGCCACTGCAAACCAGCCCGGGCGACAGAGTGAGACTCTGTCTCAAAAAAAAAAAAAAAAAGAGCCAAGGCTTCCACCCACCCCATATCCACAGGACCCCCTACCTTCTCACTCCCTGCCAGGTCCACCAGATACAGCTTCCCACTGAGCTTCTGCTCCGTTTCCATGTTCTCCTGCTTGATGTTGATGAGGAAGATGCTGTGGCTCCGAGAGCTGTGTTCATTCATGTCTGCAGGAGCAAGGGAGAAACAGGACCTGCACCACCCTGCAGAACTGAGGTCCTCAGCCCCCGGCTTCCACTGACCCCAGCCCCGCCCACCCAGAGAGAAGGTGCCCACCAGGACTAGCCCTGCTGCCACATCTCCCAGGCAGCAGGGTCCCACAGACAAGGGGTCCTCCTCCTCTGGGGGGTACAGTTTCCTTGCTCACTTTTGAGTCCCTCCACCCCAGAGGACACAGAACACAAGTGGATCCTCAGACTCGAGAGATCCCCTTGTATCCTCACTCACTGGTGACAGCCACATGACGATTTGATTTCCCTTCATCAATCACATCCAGAATCTCCTCCGGGCTGGACACAAAGCGTTCAGTACAACCCTGTGGGGGACAAATGGACAGTGACCCATAAGCTTTGTTTTTTAAGTTTGTATTTATTTATTTATTTTTATTATTATTATTTTCTTTTGAGATGGAGTCTCGCTCTGCCCAGGCTGGAGTGCAGTGTCAAGAATCTCAGCTCACTGCAACCTCCACCTCCCAGGTTCAAGCGATTCTCTTGCCTCAGCCTCCAGAGTAGCTGGGATTACAGGCATGAGCCAACACGCCCGGCTAATTTTTGTATTTTTAGTAGAGACGGGGTTTCACCATGTTGGTCAGGCTGGTCTCAAAGTCCTGACCTCGTGATCCGCCTGCCTTGGCCTCCCAAAGTGCTGGGATTACAGGCTTGAGCCACCATGCCCTGCTTTGTATTTATTTTTATCTTACGTATTTACTACTTTTTTGAAACAGTGGCGGGCATGGTGGCTCACGCCTGTAATCCCAGCACTTTGGTTTGGGAGGCCAATGTGGGTGGATCACCTGAGGTCAGGAGTTCGTGACCAGCCTGGCCAACATGGCAAAATCCCATCTCCACTAAAAATACAAAATTAGCCAGACGTGGTGGCACATGCCTGTAATTCCAGCTACTCAGGAGGCTGAGGCAGGAGAATCACTTGAACTCGGGAGGCTGAGGTTGCAGTAAGCCAAGATCGGGCGCCACTGTACCCCAGCCTGGGCAACAAGAGAGAAACTCTGTCTCAAAAAAAAAAAAACACTGTCGCAGCCAGGTGCAGTGGCTTATGCCTGTAATGCCAGCACACTGGGAGGCTGAGGTGGGCGGATCACCTGAGGTCAGGAGTTCGAGACTAGCCTGGCTAACATGGTGAAACCCCATCTCTACTAAAAATACAAAAATAAGTGGGCCTGGTGGCAGGCACCTATAATCCCATATGCTTGGGAGGCTGAGGCAGGAGAATCACTTGAACCCAGGAGGCAGAGGTTGCAGTGAGCCAAGATCATGCCATTGCACTACAGCCTGGGTGACAGAGTGAGAATCTGTCTCCAAAAACAAAAACAAACAAACAAAAAAAACCACTGTCTCTCTACTACACAGGCTGGAGTGCAGTGGCACTATCATGGCTCACTGCAACCTCAAACTCTTGAGCTCAAGCAATTCTCCCGCCTCAGCCTCCTGAGTAGCTGGGACTACAGGTGTGTGCCACCATGCCTGACAAAAATTTTTTTTTTTTTTTAAACAAGAGACTCAGCATAGTGGCTCATGCCTGTAATTCCAGCACTTTGGGAGGCTGAGGCAGGTGGATCACCTGAGGTCAGGAATTAGAGACCAGCCTGGCCAACATGGTGAAACCCCGTCTCTACTAAAAATACTAAAATCAGCCAGGCGTGGTGGCACATGCCTGTAGTCCCAGCTACTCGGGAGCCTGACGCAGGAGAATCGTTTGAACCCAGGACAGGGAGGTTGCAGTGACCCTAGGTCGAGCCACTGCACTCCAGCCTGGGCAACAGAGTGAGACTCTGTCTCCAAAAAAAAAAAAAAAAAAAATTAGATTAAATAAGAGAGACGGGTCTTGCTATGTTGGCCAGGCTGATCTTGAACTCCTCAAGTGATCCTCCCACCTCAGCCTTCTAAAGTGTTGGGATTACAGGCATTTCTTCCAGTAAACTTTGATTTGCAAATTAAATTGCATGCACACTGACCAATGACCTTTCAAGACAGTATCTTTTCTTTTCTTCTTTTTTTTTAAAGACAGGTTCTCACTCTGTCGCCCAGGCTGGAGTGCAGTGGCGCAATCTCGGCTCACCGCAACCTCTGCCTCCCAGGTTCAAGAGATTCTCCTGCTTCAGTGTCCCAAATAGCTGGGATTACAAGCATGTGCCACCACGCCCAGTTAATTTTTTGTATTTTTAGTAGAAACGGGGTTTCACTATATTGGCCAGGCTGGTCTTGAACTCCCGGCCTCAAGTGATCCACCCACCTCAGCCTCCCAAAGTGCTGGGATTACAGGTATGAGCCACCATGCCCAGCCAAGACAGTATCTTTTCTGATCCCCTAGACTCTCCCTGGCCCCTAGGCACATCTCATTCCTCCAGGATATCCACCCTCCAACTTCAGGGTCACTGACCTATGCTCCTCCCCCACCAACATTCTCAATACACTGGCCCCACATAGGTGCCCCACACCCACTCTCACCTTGACAAATGGCACCCGGTTCTTGTCCTCGTGCACGGACAGATTTGTCTTGGTCACTGAATCAAAAGAATGCAGGGTAAGCAAGACTAGTACTTCCACCGCCCCCATCTGCACCTTGCAGTCAGCTCAGATGGTGGTTTTCTTCTCTGTGCTAAAGGAAGACTCTCCCTGTGAAGCCTAAACTCCCTGCACGAGCTGAAGGCTCAGTTCCTCCTCCTTCTCCTCCTCAGGGCTCCTGCTCCTCGGCCCCAGATCCTCTCGAACTGTTTATATGTAGTCCTTGGCTGCTAAGCTCATCTCCTGACCTTCTCAGTTTTTGGAAATTCTGGTAAACGGGGCCAAAAGACTTGGGTGCTGTGTGCCCTCTGCATCTCTTGTCAATTGGTACCTAATTCCAAATGCAATGTGAGCTTTCTTTTCTCCACCCTCCTCACACACCCTCATCCACTGGGACAAAACACTCACCATCCAGAAGGTCACGAATTTTGTCCAGGTAAATTTCAAAGTAAGAAACCTGGTTAAGAAGAAAGAAGGAGTGTGAAGTAAAGAGGGCCTATCTTAAATCTAGTTCAGGAATCCCATACTAATGTGACCTGCTCAAACGGTGGTGGGAGGAAAAGAACAGAAGAGAACATCTTGACAAAGAACTCTGGTAACCGGAAAGGGAGTCAAGTTGGGGAGCCCAGGCTCTTCAGTGGGAAGATTTTAGATCTTCCCCTCCCAGTCCCCATCTGAATGCCCAGCTGTCGTGCCCTGGTCACCTTGATGTGGAACTCAAGGTTCTCATCCATGGAGTAGATGTGGTTGAAGATGTCTCGGGCAATTCGAGGAATGATTCCCATCAGCTGAGGGTCGTGCAGCTTTCCCTGGCGAGTGAAGGTATTTGAGAGTGAAGCTGGGGCTCAGGGAGAATGAGACAACTCAGATGTATGCAGGTGAACACCAAGGCAAGAGTCAATAAGAAGAACATCCTAAGTTAGGAGATGGTCACCACCATGTCTGCCTTTTAGAGGAGCAAGGAGATAATTGAGTAGCCCTTTGGACTTCCATTGCTTTTCCCGATCAAAAGAAGACTGGAGTAGTGGAAAGGATGATCCACTGCAGTGGGTTGGAGGGATTCCATTAAACTTCCCCTAATATTGCCCTTCAGTTCATCCTCTGTACTCATCTATCTGCCTCTGGACCAGGCAATCCTTGATTCCTAGACCTTCCCCCACTGAGATTCCCTGATCTTCCATTAACACTCCTAGCCCCTCAACCACCAAAGCCAGAACCCTCACCTCCATGGTATGTGTTTTCCCTGAGGATGTCTGTCCATAAGCAAAAATGGTGCCATTGTAGCCAGCAAGGACATCTGGAAGAGACAGTAGAGAAAGAGTACTGGTGGAGATAGGTCGGGTAGGAAATGGGGTGCTGAGAAGAGACATTCTAAAAAGAAATCTATTACCTTTGACAATCTGCATGGCACATGCATGATAAACTTGCTCTTGAGTCGTGTTTGGGGGGAATACACGGTCAAAAACATATGGCTTCCCCTGGAATGAAAATAAAAGATATCAGACGTCAACAGGCAGGATGTGAGGGAAAAGAAATACCACAACCTCCTTCCAGCAGCTGAGAAAGGCACCCTTTTCTTCAATGCCCTTAATGAACAGAAATGTGGGAGAATGGCCGGGCGTGGTGGCTCACACCTGTAATCCCATCATTTTAAGAGGCTGAGGCAGGCGGATCACGAGGTCAGGAGTTCAAGACCAGCCTGACCAATATGGTGAAACCCCGTCTCTACTAAAAATACAAAAATTAGCCTGGTGTGGTGGCACGTGCCTGTAGTCCCAGCTACTCGGGAGGCAGAGACAGGAGAATCGCTTGAACCCGAGAGGCAGAGGTTGCAGTGAGCCGAGATTGCGCCACTGCACTCCAGCCTGGCGATAGAGCGAGACTCCATCTCAAAAAAAAAAAGAAGAAGAAAAGAAAAGAAATGTGGGAGAATAAGAGAAACTAAAGGTACTGATGCCAGGAGTTGTGTCTGTGGGGTAGAGGAGTGTCGCACAGTGAGATTGTGTTAGGGGATCTTAGTCGTGGTGTGATGATTGAGCACTCCACTACCCCAAACTCCTCCCTGGGAAACCAGATGAAAAAAGACAATAGGGCCACAGGTGATGAAAATTGAAGAACAATTCATTAACACTAAAAAGTATCTCAAGCTAGAAATATCTTCCTCAACAGATCCACGTACCCTGATATGGAAAGATCTTTAGATGTACTAAGTGAAAGATGCAAAGTTAGTGACATATATTTATAGCATGTTCCCTACCATGTAAATGAAATTCAGTCTACACTGAGAGCCTCTGTGGAAACATTAACACAAGCTCTCTCTCTTTGTGAAAGGAATATATGAAATCAGATATGTGGGTCTCCCTTTAAGAACAGAACAAGCTTTAATTAAAGAAGAACTGTGGGTCGGGCACGGTGGCTCAAGCCTGTAATCCCAGCACTTTGGGAGGCCAAGGCAGGCAGATCACCTGAGGTGAGGAGTTCGAGACCAGCCTGGCCAACATGCTGAAACCCCATCTCTACTAAAAATACAAAAATTAGCTGGGCGTGGTGGCAGGCACCTGTAATCCCAGCTACGCCGGAGGCTGAGGCAGGAGAATCGCTTGAACCCAGGAGGCGGAGGTTGCAGTGAGCCAAGATTGCGCCACTGCACTCCAGCCTGGGGGACAAGAGCAAGACTTCGTCTCAAAAAAAAAGAACTGTGAAGCAAATCATTCAGACTTACAAATCCTTGTTTAATTCAGGAATATGTTGTAAATCACATGTGCTGATAAGAATGATAAAGACACAAAATACTTACAACTTAGGAAGCTAACCAATGAATATATTTGATGGCTAGATGCATTAGAGGTAAATCTCTGGGACGAGTAAATGAGACAATGCTTGTTCTCTATCATAGGTGACTGACTTGTCAAATTGTTTTACTACAGAGTCCATCTTTATCCAATCGAAATGTAAACCTCAAGATCTACAGACGCCAGAGTTTGCAGAGTTTGGGAGATATGTTTTAACTAATTAAGGAAAGTTGTAAACCTTGGCTAGAGCTGGAGATGTGGCTCTAGGTATAGCAATAACATTGCATGAATATCTACAGAATTTTTTTTCTAGAAGGAATTATACAAAAGTGTTAACAGTGGTTACTTTGAGGAGAGAAACTGAGAGAAAGGCTTTTATTTTTCATTTTGTATCCTGCATGGTTTACATTTTTAAACTATGTACGAGCATTATATTTTAAAAAGTTTTAATGGCAAAAAAGAAATAATCGTTTATTCTTTTCTTCTTTATATTTCTTTGTATAAAAGAAAACTAATAAATGTTTTTTAATATTAAAACAATTAAATTTGGCTTATAGAAAAAAATCCTACCTAAAATATTTATCCAGTCTCTCTGTGGTGAAAGCCTCTGAAGTCCAAGAAACAGAATCCACAAAGGAAAAGAAGTTAGAAAAGTGCTCTCTGTAAATTACCAACTGATAGAACCTTTCTGGAGGACAATTCTATTAAATATTTAAATGTCCATACTGTTCATAGTCTGCACCAGGATTCCAGTGCTAAGATTTCCTTTTACAAAACAACTGCTGGGCTGGGCACGGTGACTCATGCATGTAATCCCAGCACTTTGGGAGGCTGAGGCAGGCAGATTACTTGAGGTCAGGAGTTTAAGACCAGACTGGGCAACATGGTGAAACCCCATCTCTACAAAAAATACAAAAATTAGCTGGGTGTGGTGGTGCACACCTGTAATTCCAGCTACTCAGGAGGCTGAGATGGGAGAATTACCTGAGCTCAAAAGGCAGAGGTTGCAGTGAGCCAAGATCGGGCCACTGCACTCCAGCCTGGGTGACAGAGAGAGACCCTGTATCAAACAAACAAACAAATAAACAAACAAATAATCAAAAAATCTCTCTATTTTCTTTTCTTTTCTTTTTCTTGAGTCAGGGTCTCATCTGTCATGTAGGCTGGAGTACAGTGGCGAAATCACAGCTCACTGCAGCTGCAACCTCCCAGGCCCAAGCAATCCTCCCAAGTAGCTGGGACCACAGGCACATACCACTATATCTGCCTAATTTTGTTTATTTTTTGTAGAGGCAGAGTCTCACCATGTTGCCTGGGCTGGTCTCAAACTCCTGGGCTCAAGCAATCCACCCACCTCAGCCTCCCAAAGTGCTAGGATTGCAAGCGTGAGCCACCATGCCCCGCCTTAAAAACTCTCATAAATTAGTAACAAAAAGACAAAAACTAAACAGAAAAAGGTGAACAAGAACTAGAAACAAGCAACAGAAGAAGAAATATAAATGTTCAGCAATCATGAAGATGTTCAACATTTTCCAAGAAAAGAAACTGAAATGGTAAAATTTCTTTTCACCTCTCAAACTGGAAAACAAAATTTGCATTGTAATACCCAGTGTAGATGTGGGTTCAAAAAAATGAGAACTTTCATTATTTTCTGGTTGGAGAGTACATCCATATAACAATTCAAAAATGCATAATCAAAAGCCTTAAATTTTACATATCCATTGATCTAGAAATTCTACTTCTAAGAATTGATATCATGGAAATCAAGATTTCGCTACAAGGGTGTTTATCATCACATTGCTTATAATAATGAGAAATTGAAGACGACTTAAAGGAGTAACATTTAGGAGACTGGTTAACCTAAGGAGTGAATTAAATTATAGCATATACATATATTTTATTCCTCACTGTTATTTAAAATAATGCCATAACTGGCTAGGCATGGTGGCTCACGCCTGTAATCTCAGCACTTTGGGAGGCCAAGGCAGGCAGATTACTTGAGGTCAGGAGTTCGAGACTAGCCTGGCCAACATGGTGAAACCATGTCTCTACTAAAAATACAAAAATTAGCTGGGCATAGCGGTGCATGCCTGTAATCTCAGCTACTTGGGAGGCTGAGGCACAAGAATCGCTTGAACCCAGGAGGCAGAGGTTGCAGTGAGCCGAGATCGCGCCACCGCACTCCAGCCTGAGCAGCAAAGTGCAACTCTGTCCCAAAAAAAATAAATAAATAAAATTAAAATATCATAATAGAACATTAATAAATAGAACGTCAATATATCTCAAAAACACGTTGAAAGAATCCAAACACAAAAGAGCACATACTGTATTACTCCCTTCATATGAAGTTCAAGAATGGACAGAACTTATCTGTAGTGCTAGAAGTCAAAACAGCAGCTACCTGCTATTGTGGTAACAACATACAAGTGGTATTTACAGGAAGAGGATATGAAGGAGCTTTCAGGAGTGACAGAAATGTTCTAGATCTTGATCTGTGTAGTGGTTACATGGGTGTCTACATATGTCATAAAATTTATCAAGCTGTTTGCCTAAGATCTGTACACTGTATGTAAATTATATCACTATCATAAATTATAACATCATAAAATGATGTTATAGTGGCTCCTAAATGTTAAAATATATTAATTAATATTAATTAATGCTCGACCTCACTGTTAATAAGCAAAATGCATATTAAAACTATGAAACACCATTTTTACCTATGAAAGTGGCCAAAATAAAATAGACAACGCATTACACTGGTGAGAATGTGAGTAAATAGATATTCACACATACTGCTGAGGGTACATAGAAATTGGAGCCAACTCTGTGAAAGGCAATTTGGAAATAGCCTCACATTTTTAAATGCATATGCTTTATGACCTCCACTTCGAAAAATTTATCCTGTAGACATACTGCACATATGCAAAAAATATTTATACAAGGTCATTCAACTGTTTGTAATAGCAGATGATTAGAACAACCCTTAATGTCCACCAACAGAGGCCTGGTTAAATAATGGCCTATCCCTACAACAAATTATACAGTTGAATGAGATAGCTCATGTACCGTGTAATCCGAGCCCTTTGGGAGGTCAAGTCTGGAGGATCCTTGAGGCCAGGAGTTGGAGACCAGCCTGGGCAACATAGGGAGACCCTGTCTCTACAAAAATTAAAAAAAAATAGCCAGGTGTGGTGGCATGGGCCTTGTGGTCCCAGCTACTCAGCAGGCTGAGGCAGGATGATGGCCTGAGCCTCGAAGGTGAAGGTTGCAGTGAGCCATGATTGCACCACTGCACTCCAGCCTGAGCAACAGAGTGAGACCCTGTCTTGAAAAACAAAACAAAACCAAAAAAGAATGAGATAAATCTTTATGTGCTGATAAGGAAGGGTGTCCAAGACTCTGTTTTGTTTTGGGTTTTTTGTTTGTTTGTTTTGCTTTTTGTTTTTTGAGACAAGAGTCTTGCTCTGTCGCCCAAGCTGGAGTGCAGTGGCTCCATCTCAGCTCACCGCAACCTCTGCCTCCCGGGCTCAAGCAGTTCTCCTGCTTCAGCCTCCAGAGTAGCTGGGATTATAGGCGCCCGCCACCACACCCGGCTAATTTCTGTATTTTTAGTAGAGATGGGGTTTGGCCATGTTGGCCAGGCTGGTCTTGAACTCCTGACCTCAGGTGATCCACCCGCCTTGGCCTCCCAATGCTGAGATTACAGGCGTAAGCCACCGCACCTGGCCTAATTTTTGTATTTTTAGTAGAGACGAGGTTTCACCATGTTGGCCAGGATGGTCTCCATCTCCTGACCTCATGATCCGCCCACCTCAGCCTCCCAAAGTGCTGGGATTACAGGTGTGAGCCACTGCACCCAGCCAGAATTTTTATATTTTTAGTAGAGATGGGGTTTCACCATGTTGGTCAGGCTGGTCTCGAACTCCTGACCTCAAGTGATCCTCCCGCCTCGGCCTCAAAGTGCTTAGATTACAGGCATGAGCCACCACACCCAGGCTGTTTTTGTTTTTAAAGGTGCAGAATGGATGTATAATACGCTACCATTTGTGTAAAAAAAGGTATGCATGTATATATGTATTTGCTTATAAATGTATAGTAGGTTTTTGGAAAGATCCACAAGAAGTTGCCTTCTGAAAAGGGAACTGTGTGGCTGGAAAAGAGGGGTGAGAAGGAGAAGGAAACAATATAAACCTTTTCATATCCTTTGCATTTTGTCACATGTGCAGGTAAGACATTCGAAAGTTAAATTGAAAATTGTAAAATATAGCCAGGCATGGTGGTACATGCCTATAATCCTAGCTACTCAGGAAGCTGAGGTGGGAGGATTGCTTGAACCCGGGAGGCAGAGGTTGCAGTGAGCCAAGATCACACCACTGCACACTCCAGCCTGACTCCATCTCAAAAAAAAAACAGAAAAATTGTAAAATAATAAAGTTATGTAAAAATATTTAACAATGGCAAAATAGTAATAATATTTTGTTTGAGAAAAAAGGTTACAAAACAATATATAGTTTATGATATATAATCTTATTAAAATTAACATATGTATATATGTAGAAAAAACACTGGAAAAATACATCAAATTATTATTAATAACAGTGCTTCTTTGGGGTGGTAAGATATTGGGTGATTTTTAGCTTCTTCGGTGTCCTTTCCTTTGTCTTGAACTTTGTTAACAATTAAAATGTATTAGTGTTGTAATTACATTATTTTTAATATTATTAAAGAAAAATCTACCTTAATTTTGAATTGTAATTAATTTTAAATTGTAATCTACCTCAATGTTTCTCCCACCCAGTGGCCAAGAAACAGAAACAAGCAAAATATGTCTATCTCAAGCCAATGCCTCTCATCTTTTTTTTTTTAATTTCCTTTTTCCTTTATTATGTGACATAAGACTTATTGACTTCGTATCAGCATTTAAGTATGTTAACTTTATATAATAGCATTTGGGTTGGGGATTGGTGCATTTCCGGTTGTACGAAGGATAGTTGTATTATATTAGGCGCATAATTATGACCTTATTATTGTCCTTATTTGAAGATTTGTACGATCTCAGGAGATGTGTATGGGTTCAAGTTGATGAGGGGTGGAATTGTGATGGTTAATACTGAGTGTCAACTTGACTGGACTGAATGATGCAAAGTATTGATCCTGGGTGTGTCTGTGAGGGTGTTGCCAAAGGATATTAACATATGAGTCAGTGGACTGGGAAAGGCAGATCCACCCTTAATCTGGGTGGGCATCATTTAATCAACTGCCAGTGCAGCCAGAATATAAAACAGGCAGAAAAATGTGAAAAGATGAGACTGGCTTTCTCATCTCTTTCCCACCAACAATCTCTATCCATGCTTCATGAAGCCAGGCACCCAGCCAAAGGGGATTAAATGTAACTCTCAAGCCAATCTTGCCCCTCCCCTCCCCCCACAAACACATGGGCACCAACACACCAACCACCCCACCCCAGCCCCCACACACACTCCCTCAAAACATTCCCAGTTACAGGATCTAGAAGGCTCCACAGACGCATTAAAATGGAGAGCGCTCTCCAAATGCTGAAGCCAATTATAGCCCCTTTTCATCAGGAACCCCTTTACATCAGTCTAGGCTGGGAAGAAAGAAAAGAGCAGAGAGGGAAGAAGGAAGAGATTCTCAGATCTGAGTCTAAAAGATACCCAAGAGTGGGCTGGGCGCGGTGGCTCACATCTGTAATCCCAGCACTTTGGGAGGCCGAGGCGGGTGGATCACGAGGTCAGGAGATCGAGACCATCCTGGCTAACACGGTGAAACCCCGTCTCCACTAAAAATACAAAAAATTAGCCGGGCGTGGTGGCAGGCGCCTGTAGTCCCAGCTGCTTGGGAGGCTGAGGCAGAAGAATGGCGTGAACCCGGAAGGCGGAGTTTCCAGTGAGCCGAGATCGCGCCACTGCACTCCAGCCTGGGTGACAGAGCGAGACTCCGTCTGAAAAAAAAAAAAGATACCCAAGAGCTAAAAATTGGTGCATTTAGTAATCTCCTGAGCAGGGAAAGCCATGTGACATGAGATATGATTTCAGGAGTTCTGGGAAGGCCTGCTACCTACTTCTGTATTCTTGGCTGGGCTCTAAAATTCCAAGCCTGGCTCTTTATGTCTTTAAGTTGTTTATTCCTTTTAAAATGTAAATTTGTTTTTTCTTTTTTTTCTTTCTTTCTTTTTCTTTTTTTTTTTTTTTTGAGATAGAGTTTCACTCTTTCGCCCAGGCTGGAGTGCAGCAGCATGATCTTGGCTCACTGCAACCTTCGCCTCCCAGGTTCAAGCGATTCTCCTGCCTCAGCCTTCCGAGTAGCTGGGATTACAGGCGCCCACCACCACGCCCGGCTAATTTTTATATTTTCAGTACAGACAGGGTTTCACCATGTTGGCCATGCTGGTGTCGAACTCCTGACCTTGTTATCCACCCGCCTCTGTCTCCCAAAGTGCTGAGATTATAGGCGTGAGCCACCGTGCCCAGCCAATTTGTTTTTTTAATTTTTATTTATTTATTTATTTTTGAGACGGAGTCTTGCTCTGTTGCCCAGGCTGGAGTGCAGTGGCAAGATCTCGGCTCACTGCAACCTCCGCCTCCCAGGTTCAAGCAATTCTCCTGCATCAGCCTCCTGAGTAGCTGGGACTACAGGCAGCCACCACCATGCTCGGCTAAGTTTTGTACATTTCTTTTAATTTTCTATTGATTATACTCAGGATGAATTAATTTTGCCTGATTTTTTTTTCATTACTGCTCCTTGTACAGCAGGGCTAACCCATGGGCAATGTGCCTAGAGAAAAGTGATCTTTTCATGAAAATAACTAGACCAGTGGTCTTCCACTTTTCCTGCCCATAGACATGGGAAGCACCACCATTATTTACAGCTCTCATAACACACAATACTCTGAATCAGACTGTAGTATGTTGTGGGAGGTTCCTTATCAGAATCTGGGGGAGTATATAGATAGTTAGCAAAAGCCATATCTGATGTTCCTCTCCCCTGCCTCTGCGCAGGCCACTCCATGGGCTATGGATCACAACCTTGATCCAGATTTTCTTGAAGGCAGGGATTCCCTTTAAATCCCCAACACCAAACACAGTCCCTGGCCTATAGGATGCTGATGTAGTTTGGATGTTTGTCCCCTCCAAATCTCATGTTGACATTTGATCCCCATTGTTGGAGGTGGGGCATGGTGGGAAGTGCTTGGCTCAAGGAGGTAAATCCCTGATGAGTGGCTTGGTGCCTTCCCCATGGTAATGAGTGAGTTATCGCTTTATGAGTTCATGTGAGAGCTGGCTGTTAAAAAGAGCTTGGCACCTCTTGCTCTCCCTCTTTTTCCCTCTCTCGCCATGTGATTCCTGCTCCCTCTTTGCCTCCCACCATGACTGGAAGCTTCCTGAGGCCCTCATCAGAGCAGATGCTGGTGCCATGCTTCTTGTACAGCCTGCAGAACTGTTAGCCAAATATATCTCTTTTCTTTATAAATTACCCAGCCTGGGGTATTCCTTTATAGCAACATATAGAGGACTATGACAGATGCTCTTCATAAATATTTGTTGACTAAACATAGATATTGACAAGGAAGGGAGCAAGAAGATACTTGGGATCTGGAGGTTTGCATGAAACAATTAGTAAAAAGGAAAAGTGTTACCCACTTCCCAATTTTGTCAAAGCTAGCTTGTGGGGAGATAGCATATAAAATAGTGATAATATCTAACTCTTATTGAGGGTTTACTGTGTGCCTGCCATGTTACAAAGCAGTTTATATGCATTATCTCATTTAATGTTCACAGTAATCCTAGGACATAGATACTATTATTATTACCACTTTATAGATGACGAAACAGGCTCAAAGAGGTCAGGTAGCTTCCCCACAGTCACATGGCTGAGAAATGGTAGAGCACAGTTTCAAATTCAAGCAATCTGATTCCAGACCCACACTGCAAAGTGATCCAAGAACTGAAATGCCAACACTGTGTCAGAGCCTTATCAAGGCTTTTTCTTCCCCTACTCCATATCCCCCCTCCTCACATTTGGGCATTTTTCCAAGTATTTCCAGACAGAACTAAAGCCTTTCATCACTCCCTTTTTCCAACCTCAATCCCATTTTCAGAAGTATGTAATTCTGCCACCCACCCTCTCTACCTCCAGGTAATCGAAGACTCTGTGAGTTGTTAATGAGAAATAGTCACAGAGTCCCTCCTCCTCTTAGAAATGTCGCCGAAATCCAATCTCTCTCCCACCCCCAGCAGTCTAAGTGCTCCTTATAGCCTTCTCTGAAGGGCCTCTCTTCAGAGTCCCACAGTCCAGGGTTCTTTGTTCTCTTTTAATTTAATCACACTCCGAGCCTCCCTGGTGTCTCCTCTTCCATTTGTGTATCCCAGCACCTTTCTGTACTTTTCTATCATGTGTGCTGACTGAAGCTAATTGGGGCTGGGGGTTTAAGATCAGGGGTCCAAAGATGACCAACCTGTTCAACCCTCAGTAAAGCACTTGGTATAAGCTGAACTTCAAGTGCCAGGCCTGATTTCCATAGTGACACCCGTGGGGATTGTTGCCATGGTAATGCTGGAGAGACACTGGCCACAATGAACGTTACTTCTCGTCTCCATTTTTCTTTATGAGACTCCCCCAAAGCAAAGGACAGCCCTGCTCCCCACTTCAGATATCAAATCCCAGGCCACCCCAAACAATACTGATTCTGCTCCAATAACCCTGCAGGTCCCAACCTAGCTTTGCCAAGTGAGGTACACAATGGTCCTAGTTTCTTGCATTAAGAACCCACTTAACCATTGGGAGACCTGAGGGAGGTAGCTGTGTACACTTGAATGAAGGGGAAAGAGAAAGAGTGTGTGTGTGTATGTATGTGTTTCTTCACTGTCATCCCTCCCACATCTGGTACAGATGCAGCAGTCCAGACAGCAGGCACTGGGACACTGCTGAGAAAGACCAAGGCAGAGGAAGACAGACACTTAAATGGGTCTGGCGAAAAAGTCACACTGGATTCTGAGTGTGCAAAAGCAAAACAAGATGGGCACCACACACAGACGGTGACCCAGACACCCTTCTGCTATGACTCAGGCCATTAACTTTGGCTAAGCCCCATCCCCCAGGTTCCTGGAAGAAGTCAGAGGAGTAGGGGAGAAAAAAGGCACACAGAGCTGTCTCTCCAGCTTATTCTCCTACCCTCTAACAAGCAGAACAAAGCCCACGAACAGAAGGGACTCTGAAGCTCAGCGCTGGCCGCAGTGCTGCAGAGGCGAAGGGGAGAGCAGTCACAGGAAGGAGTAGGGGCTGCATTGGGAAAGATTATCTCTCCCACCTTCACTCTTCCCGCACCTTCCTAGACATCCTGAAGCAGCCTCCCCCATTAATTCCTAAGCCAGCTCCCGACCTGGTGGGCTCCAAAAAGAGCTAGAGGGGAAAAGAGAAAAAGGAGTAGGAATTTCCTTCCCTTGTTGGGACCCTCAAGGGTCTCCTAAAAATCATGTCTCCTGTAGCCCTCATTCCCTAAATGATGAATGAATATTAAGTCTGAAAAAGCAAACTCCAAGGATGTTGCCTAAGACAAAATGGCCCCCCCGTAAGCATTTATCTTCAAGTGAGAGATTGACAGGGAGGGCTAGGGTGAGGGAAGATACGAGCAAGACAAAGGTACAGCCCTACAGATATCAGGCAAAACAGACAAGGAAGATCCAGCTGTGGAGCTGAGATGGAATCTGAATTGGCAGGGGGCCTGGGGCTTCTATTCATCTTTCCTCCTTGCCCACCTCCCACTGTGTGTCTCTCCTGTTTAGCTGGGCTAACAACAGATCGACACCACACCCCTCTTACCAACATCACCCCCTGCCCCATCCCACTATACTAGGATGGCCCAGAGAGCCTAAAGGAGTTGGTTCAGTCTTACTGGAAAAACCTCCCAGAGCAAGGAAATTGGGCCTAAAAGTTTTGCCCCCATCATCACCCTCCTCCTGTTTCTCAGCCTTTATGTCTCAGGGGGATCTGAAGCTCCAACTCTCACAACTAATGCTGGCTATCCAGGACACTCTGAGAGGGGTCCTCCAGAGTTGATCCAGGAGTTGTTTTGTGGTTGTTTTGTTTTGTTTTGTTTTGTTTTTAGCCCAGCCAGACTGAACAGACTGCAGGGCCAGCGAGGTCCCTGAAGCAAAAAGAAACAGAGGCCCTCTCCATGTGGCAAATACATACACAGAGAGAGAGAGAGAGAGAGAGAGAGAGAGAGAGACCAAAAGCATCCATTTGAGTTAACAGTGTGGGTAAGGGTGCAAGGTGGTGACAGACTGGGGCCCTTGGGGACTGGTAAGCAGGTCTCCCCCGAAGCATGTTTATTCAAAGTCCCATTCTCACTGACTCAGAAGGCCCAGGCTTCCTCCCCTTCTTTCCTTCATTCCTTTAACAAGCCTGTGTCCAGGTGCTCTGTGCCAAGCACTGTGGATAAAGATACATAAGAAGCACCTCTGACCTTGACTGCCCTCGTACATGCCCCTCCCTCCTCAAGCTAGTTTTTGTTTCCTGGCCCAGCACCCCTCAAGCCCTACAGGACTCGACCCCAGATCTTTTCTCCCCACACACAGCCTGAGGTCCCTACCAACCTCAGGGGGAGTGGGCAAGGCCTAGAATTTCCCTTTGGGCCATTACAGATAAAGGTGCAGAACAGAAACCTGGGTAGGCAATGTGATAGAAGAGATGGGAGGTTTGCAGTCACAGATTTAGGTTCAGATCCATGGATGAATAGCATGACCTTGAGAAAGTTATTCAAGTTCTTTGGGCCTCAATTTCTGCATCTGTAAAATGGAAATATTGATACTACTTCTGAATGTTGTTTTGGGGGTTAAATAATATACGTAGAGTAACAGGCCCACTGTTAATATTAGTTCCCTTAAGATATCCTCCTTGGGTAGGGCTGTCATGATGAGGTAGAGCTGGATGGCTACTTTCTATTGGATCCTCAAGAGAAAGGATGAATAAGCAGGTACTGACTAGGATCTCAGGGTTTGGGCATTTTTCTTTAGGGGGGTCAGTTGGGGAATCTGAAACCCTCTTCCTACTGTACCTGGGACCAAAAGGCAGACCTGACCTTAGGATTCCAGAGGCTCCCCCCAAGATTGGGTGTGGCATCAATGATTTCTTTCCCAGTAAACCCTGCATCAGACCTACTCCCCACAACACACACACAAAAATCCAGGCTATAACTACTTTAGGGAATGATGGAAGGTTTGGTCTTAGAGCCCACTTCCATCCACACTCTGCAGAGACCCTGGACTGCTCACCTCCCATCTAATCCACCCAAAAGTCTTCCGCCTTACCTTCCGGGAGGTGGGGGTAGAGATCTGAGCCAATAACAAAGGGAAGATGCGCTTTCTCTTGGGGAGCGGGTGGTGGAGAAGGGGAAAACATCAGAAAAACATGGGACTGGTTCTAACGGGTGGAGACGCTGCAGACAGCAGCAAAGGGGAGTTGGATCTCCCGAAGGTAGGAAAGCAGCCCCCTGCCACTCTGCAGAGACTCGGCCGCTGGCCTGGCCAGGCCACACCCAGCCATCCTGATGCAGGGGAGAGGAGGGGCTGCGGGGAAGAGGATGAAGGATGAGCGGCGGGGAGGGGGAGCAAAGGGACCAGCAGAGACTAAGGCTCTGCGGGGGGCGGGGAGATTCAGCCACCTGCCCCCTCCCCGAATTCCCTCCTGGGCGACACTCACCCCAATAACGACGCTGTCGTCCCCTTGGAAAATGGGGATGAACTTGTCTCCCCGCAGAATCTCAGCCTGGTTCAGGGGCCGGAATCGGCAGAGCACCTTGATGCTACATTCGTTGTTGGTCTCCGCCATGGTGGTAGCCGGCGTGGGGCTGGGACTCTTCTTGGGCTGCAGGGGTGGTGTGTGCTCCAGAGGAGAGGGCTCTCAGCAGAGGCCGAGGCGGAGGACAGGTGCTCAGTCTCTGGGGACAGAGTTGAGGGCGCCCGGGCGAAGCCTGGGGAGCAGGGCCGGGGCGCGCTGTCTCTCTCCTGCGGCAGCGGGATGCGGGCGACCTGGGCGTCTGGTCCTTTCGGGCTCTCTGCCTCTCCGCCCCTCGCGCTGCAGCGCCGCGCTGCGGGCCTGGGCGGGGCCGCGATGGAGGAGCGGGGGCGGGGCTCCCTCCACTGGGGACGCTGGCTCGACGTCGACCCCCGAAGGGTGGAACCTCACCGCTCCTCTCCTCCCTCCCCCACCCCTAACGTTCGGAGATAACCTTGCCCTCGACCCTTCCCCACCCAACTCACTGCATCCCACCCCTATACCCCCGACCTGTTTGTCCCTCCCTCAGACTCCACCCCCTGGAAGGGATAAGGGGACTGAGGTGGGCCTGTCGCCTGTGTAGCGAAAAGGGTCAACAGATCTCCCTCTCCCTTTATTCCAGGGCATCCCCCAACCCGTCACAGTCCTCTCTCCAAACTGGGATCACACTTCTCATTCTCCCCCTACGCCCATCCCATGCCCCACATGCACGGAAGCTGGACTCCCAACCCACTCAGCTTTCTGGGGGGACCCCTGCCTGTACTCCTATGAAGTTGGGTGTCGTGGGAGGTTCTGGCTACTCCCTTCCCCTTCCACATCCAAAGGTGCACTATACTGTCTCCCCAACGTACACACCAGGTCCCCAGTTTCAGGGAAGATAAACTCCCATTCTGGGTTATGGGAATTCAAAAGCAGATACAATACTTATTTTTGTGTCCTAGGCTGAGGATGGGAGGAAGATGGGTGGGAAACATCTTTGCAAGAGAAAGGGAGTCAGAAAGCAGTGAAGGAGGGGCAATGATGGGGATGGGTAAGGCCAGAGAGACTTTGAAGTCTGAGGCAAAGCCGGCATTTGGGTTTCAGGCAAATTCAGATACCTACGGGAGTGTGTGTTTTCTGTCTCAGTAACCATTGGAGGATAGAGTCCCAATACTTCAGCCCCCTTCCCTGGCCAAAAAAAAAAAGGTGTGGGGGAAGAAAAACGAAAGAAATGCCAAGCCCAGAGATTCCTTGTCCTTCCTTCCTTTGGGTCAGACTCCTGCTGCAGCCCCTGGAAAGAACCACCAAGAAGCTGGCCAAATTGATTTTTCTCCATGTCACAGGCCTCTGCTGGCCAACAGAGAGTTGGACTGCAGGAGTTGAGGTTCTAGGCAAAGAGGAAGGGCAGGGTGGATGGGAGAAGGAGGAGGAAAGGAAAGTTCTGCTCAGCAACTGTCTGGTGAGTGGTTAAGGTCACTTAAGACACTATGGGACAAAAGTAAGAGGCTGATAGCCTGGCCAGACAAGACCTAACTATTCAGAACTCAGGGGGTTTCCCACATTGGGGCTACACCTCTAACCTACCTTGAATCTTAAGGGAACTGAAAGAAAAGAGTCCAACATAAGGAATGGGACAGGAAAGCTGTAGGACTATGGAGAAAGGGATAGAGGCTTGGGGAGGAGCCAGGAGAAAGAAAGACAACGAGTTCCGAACTCAGGAACTCTCTAGTCACTTGGTTTGGCACAATTTCTAAGTGTTGCAGCATCCTGCAAGCTCAGGAAACATCCTGGGAAACATCCCATCCTTGGGTCCCCAGGGGCTCCAAGGTGGCATCTTTAGTAAAGGGGTTTCAAAATGCCAGTCCATGGAGGGTCACTGGTCAGAGACAAAAGTTCACTGAGTATGCCCTCACCTCCAAAAGAACAATGGTGAGTTTTTTTTTAATATAAAGATGGATTTGATAAGTTTCAAAGGACTATCTTTTATTCTGAGTGTGTCCTTCTTGCTTTTCTACCAAGTAATGATGGTGACAGTAAATAATAGGTTTTCTATTTGTAATATACTTACTTGATAAAATAAAAAGGCAAATCTTCAAGGTTTGTAGTTGTTTTAATTTTATTGAACGATGAAATTTAAAAGTCTGAGAACGGAAGGTAAGGTTGGTGAATAGGTACAAAAAATTAGAAAGTATAATAAGACCTACTATTTGATGGCACAATAGGGTGACTATAGTCAAGAATAACTCAACTGTACATTTTAAAATAACTTAAAGAGTAATTGGATTATTTGTAACTTAAAGGATAAATGCTTGAGAGGATGGATACCCTCTTCTCCATGATGTGCTTATTTCACATTGCATGCCTGTATCAAAATATCTCATGTGTCCCATAAATACATACACCTACTGTGTACCCACAAAATTGAAAAAATTGAAAAATAAATAAAAGTCTGAGAACTATTAACGAAGTAGTTAAGAGCCCAGAGAGTGTTCAGACAGACATGGAGACACCACTTACCTACTTATGAACTTCAGATAGAATTGCCAGATTTGAAAAACAAAAAACAAAAACAGGATGCCCAGTTAAATGTGAATTTCAGATACTTAATTTTTGGGGGGTTAGTATACCCACACACCACACACCACACACACACACCTACTTATTATCTGAAATTCAAATTATCTGAAAGCCCTTACTTGAGAAGATTGCCTAACTTTTTCATTCCTAACATACACTACGCGTTTACTAAATTTTACTTCTTGTTTTTATTTTGTTTTTATAATACACAGTATCAAGCAAACTTCTTGTTTTTGAAACCCCGGCTGTGTCACAGTATGACTACCTGTATCATTTAATCTAGTCATTTTATTCCTGGGAGCCCCAAACAGGAATTATAAATGTTCTTTCACTGACTTGCTGTAAAAGTGAGAGAAAAGGCTGTATGAAATAGCTCCCCAAGGTTCGTTATTGTCGCTCCCCGCCCAAGCTCCAGTACACCAAAACTACACATCCCACAATCCTAGGCGGCGTCCCCTGGCCATTACCTCATTCCCTGGCCTCGTTCTCCCCAATCCCGGCCTCTCCAGGGGTGTGGCAGCAGGGCTGTTCTCGCGACTTTTGCTTTACCCTTCTGCTGTGCTACTGCTGTCGCGAGACTTCCTGCTCATCTGCCGCTCCCTTTGCCGCCGCCTTAGCCCGGGACCCGAACCCAGCCTCTCCCCTACCCGAACACCGGCCCCGGCTCCACCGAGGCCCGGGTCCCCCAGCCCGTCTCGCCGCCGCCATGGCGGACCCTAAATACGCCGACCTTCCCGGCATTGTGAGTACAGGACCGGCCCCGGCTCCCCAGGACCGCGCCCCCGACCTCCCAAGGACCCCCAGCAGAAACCAGCCCGCGACCCCTCCCGCCTGCAGCCCATCCTCCGCCCAAGGGCTCCCGCCGCTCGTTCTCCGATCGGCCTCAGCACCCCCCGAACTCTTCTGACCCGACTGGGCCGGGCCGCCGGACGGCGCACCAGGCCCCCTTTCCGGCAGTCGCCGGTAGCTCGGCCCAGAAATCGACTCCGGGTACTGACCTCTTGTGCCTGAGTTTTTCCACCATCCGTGTCAACGCCTCCCATGTCCCCCCCAAATCTCTCCATAAGACCCCATCGCTACCCCAGACACACACACCAGACCACTTAACGATGGCCTTCATCCTGCCAAGGAAGAGGTTCTGCCATCTGGCAGAACCCTCTTGTGCCAGATGGGGAGCTCTATCCTTGAGGGAACCTATGCCCTCCCCCAGCCCCCACTCCCATGACAATCCTGGCGTGTACCTTCCTTTTGTGCTGCCCTGCCTGCTTCTCAAGGTGAGGGTTGGGACACAGGACCTTGAGTACTAAGGTCCTGAGTCACTCTCAATCCTTGTGCCAGGGTGGTGGTGTACGGGGCCTAATTGGAGGATAGCCTTCACCTTCTTTGGCAATAGTGATTGCCAAGGACCTGCCCGCCTCTAGATTTAGGGTAACATCGTTGCTATCACTTACACTCACCGTTTACTGTCAGGTCCCAATTGTTTCCGCTGTCATCCCTACCCCTTGAGACATGGGAACTGACATACTGTTGACTCACGGGGCAGGTGGAGGAGAAAGGACAGAACCCTGACATCACACCCCGCCTTCTCTGTTAGCTTATTCAAATGGAGTGGGGGAAGGGGTGTTGTTGGATGCTGGGTAGTGAGGTTGGGTGGTCACTGCTTCTACCTGCAGGCCAGGAATGAGCCAGATGTTTATGAAACTAGCGACCTACCTGAGGATGATCAAGCGGAGTTCGATGCGGTAAGAATGTGTGCTGCCACAGACTCCTCCGGACTCTGACCTTTCTCCCCTAGACAGGTCCTTCCCTTTCTCGGGGGAGCTACAGCAATAAGCGGGTATGCCAACCCCAGCCTGGGTGGTATATAGGTTGCAGGGCTTGCAAAGACCTTGCTGGGCTTGCAGCCACCAATGAGCAATGGCAGGAGGGAGAGTCAAGTCAGCGGAATTACAGCTAACAACATCTGTTTGCAAAGCCCTGATTCTTGGGCCTTTTAAATAAAATTGAAATATCTCAAAACAGGTTTGGAGCTAGTGACTTAGGCCCCTGGGTTCTAACCCATGGAAATGAATCATGAAGCCTGGGCACTTGTAATAAACTGCTACCAAGAACTAGACTTTGAAATATGGAGAAATACTTTTTCCATATGAATATCCAGTATCCATTGGGCAAGGAATTAAGAAAGTGATTCCAAGATTTTAGAGCAAAACAAATTTGAGGAAGAATGTAAATATTTCACATCAGCGGATGTGAGACTGTGGTTGCATTTTTAGATCCGAGAATTCTGAGGATGGAGTAATTAGGTACGGATACATTTTAACTGTGAGGGGAAACATTTAGTATGGTTTATTGAGTGTGTTCATTCTGTGGTTTTTTTTGTGCAATGCAGAGGAAGAAATGTCTCTGCCCCCAATGAGCCCCAGACTAATGGGGAATTAGGATACATATAGGAAACATATAGAAGGAAAAAAAAATTGAGTGAATGGAAATCAACATAGTAAAAACTCTGTTTAAGTGCCAAGAGGTGTGTTTATAGGATGTGTTTTAGGTTCTATTATTTCTGAAGACAGCTGGGCTGGGATCACATTGATGATGTGAGTTCTCAGTAAAGATGTGTCCAAGAGTCATTGCAATATGCAGGCTCAGTATGCTTGTCTGTAAGTCCTGTGGCTATGTCTGTGGGGCTGGTTAATTCTGGGGAATGCTGACTGCTGGCTTACAATGTGTGGCTTGGCGTACTCACTTATTTCTTATTTGACTCCCCCATGTGGAAGTGGTTCTTACATTGTGGGAAACACCTTCTCTGTCCCTTCTCCCAGTGGTGTGTTCCTTGTGGCTTCTGTATTTGCTGGCATGCCAATCTATCCCCTAAGCTTGAGTATCTTGGAGATAATGCAGATGATGTTGTTGCTCAAGGACCTGGGTGTGCACCTGTCACTCCAAGAGGCATCTTATAGGAAGCTGCCTCTGTCCTCACAGAATAGGAGTGTATACAATCGGTTCTCTGTATTTATGGGTTCCAAACCCATGGATTCAACCAATCACAAATGGAAAATATTTTTTAAAAATAAAAAATAGGCCCAGTGTGGTGATTCATGCCTGTAATCCCAGCACTTTGGGAGGCTGAGGCAGGTGGATCATTTGAGGCCAGGAGTTTGAGACCCCGTCTCTACTAAAAAATATAAAAATTAGCAAGGCGTGGTGGCGAGCGCTTATAGTCCCAGCTACTGTGGAGGCTGAGGCAGGAGAATTGCTTGAACCTGGGAGGTGGAGGTTGCAGTGAGCCGAGATTGCGCCACTGCACCCCAGCCTGGGTGACAGAGCAAGACTCCATCTCAAAAAAAAAAAAACCAGTACAACAATAAAAAAAAAAACAAAATTTAAAAATACAATATAACAACTATTTACATAGCATTTACATTGTACTAGGTATTTTAAGTAATCTAGAGATGATTCAAAGTATACAGGAGGGTGTAGGTAGGTTATATGCAGTTACTATGCCAATTTATATAGAAGATGGGAACATATGCAGATTTTGGTATCAAGGGAGGTCCTGGAACCAGTCTCCCACAGTTGCCAAGAGACAGCTGTATGCTGAGAACTTTACTGCACTACCACAGTTCAGACTGTTCAACTTAGGCCTAGGCTTCTGCCCTTCATGGTGAGATAATGAATAGAACTCAGTCCTTTTGTCGCTGTGATACAAACAGGTAGTTTCACAGTAATCCTCTTTCTAAACAAAAAAATACATATTGTCATTCCCTTTTGAAGATACTGGGATATCTCTTAATAAAAAGGAGATGACACCCATTCCAGGTGTGGAAGAACCTGACTGTGCAGCTCTGATTGGCTGTTTCTCCCCCAGAGCCTGAACAGCCTATTTTAGTAGCATCTAGTGGGGTGGCTGATGAGGAGAGGATACTGTGAGTGTTCATTTCCTGTGGCATGTTGCCCAGGATGCCAGTATAGAAGTGCATATGAGCTGAATGGCAAATACAAGAAGAGCTGAATTGTTTCTGTCACCTAAGGCTCAGCTAAGTGACTCTCTGTCACTAGGGAGGAATGGGGTGGGCAGACCTTCAGCCACTTCAGGGGCCCGAAGAGCCAAGATGTTTCCTGATGTCAGCTAATGTCTCTGGCCCCCGCATGTCCCTATGGGGCTTGCAGCTTTTGGGAAGTCAGCTGAGTAATGGCTCTGCCACTGCTTTTAATACTGACGTAAATATGCAATTTGAGGAGCAGTGAATTGTATGCTTAGATAATCTAGAAATGTCATGTCCGTGAGGCCTGGGATCTCACCAGCAGCCTGTCTGTTTCCTGCCTACCTGCCCAAGACCTAGTACAAGTGACAGTGCACATGACCTGTCTTGTGGCTGAACCATGAGATTTTCAGTCACCTTCTTTTTTTTTCTTTTTTTTTTGAGACGGAGTCTCACTCTGTCGCCCAGGCTGGAGTGCAGTGGCGTGATCTTGGCTCACTGCGAGCTCCACCTCCCGGGTTCACGCCATTCTCCTGCCTTAGCCTCCCGAGTAGCTGAGACTGTAGGCGCCCACCACCACACCCGGCTAATTTTCTTGTATTTTTAGTAGAGACGGGGTTTCATGTGTTAGCCAGGATGGTCTCGATCTCCTGACCTCGTGATCCGCCTGTCTTGGCCTCCCAAAGTGCTGGGATTACAGACGTGAGCCACCATGCCCAGCCTCAGTCACCTTCTTAACCCCTGACAACAGCATTCTCCGCCTTAATCTTCAGTTTATTTTCAACTTTAATTTTATCAGTTTTTAAAGTAGGTAATGTATGCACAGGGAACAGAGGATTCAAGGGTAAGTAGTGAAAAATCTGCCTCCCACCTCTGCCTACCACCACTCAGTTCTCTTCCCTAGAGACAACCAATATGGATAGACTCTTGTGGAACCTTTCAGGGGGTCTCCAGATTTCTTTTTGGTTTTTGAGACAGAGTCTCACTCTTTCCCCCAGGCTGGAGTGCAGTGGCACAATCTTGTCTCACTGCAACCTTTGCCTCCCCGGTTCAAGCGATTCTCCTGCCTCAGCCTCCCAAGTAGCTGGAATTACAGGCATGTGCCACCACACCTGGCTAATTTTCTGTATTTTTAGTAGAGATGGGGTTTCACCATGTTGGCCAGGTTGGTCTCGAACTCCTGGCCTCAAGTGATCCATCCATCTTGGCCTCCCAAAGTGCTGGGATTACAGGCGTGAGCTACCATGCCAGCCGGGTCTCCAGATTTCTGTCTAAAGGAATAGTCAAGTTGTGTTGACCCTCACTGCTCCATAACTTTCTTCCTGTGATTCCTCCACTGTGGAAGAAATTGGGCTACTAAAGGAAAAATGTCCTCAAACATCCCTTAAAGATTTAAATTGCTAATTTAACTTAAACATAAACATTTTCCGATTCCCATAGTGGGGAGGATGGGGGAGGAAAGCATAAAAGATTTAAATTTTGCTACAGATGATCGTGAATTTTTTTTTTTTTCAAGATGGAGTTTCACTCTTTTTGCCCAGGCTGGAGTGCAATGGCGTGATCTCAGCTCACTGTAACCTCCACCTCCCGAGTTCAAGAGATTCTCCTGCCTCAGCCTCCTGAGTAGCTGGAATTACAGGTGTCCATCACCACACCCGGCTAATTTTTTGTATTTCTAGTAGAGACAGGGTTTCACCATGTTGGCTAGGCTGGTCTCAAACCCCTGACCTCAGGTGATCCACTCACCTAGGCCTCCCAGAGTGCTGGGATTACAAGCATGAGCCACTGTGCCTGGCCAATCCTGATTTTTCTACTATCCCTTTAAAACAATTTTAGCAGGAAGTAAAATCTTCTAAAACAGGAATGGACCAGGAAAGTGCACGGGCTGTAGCCCTTTCCTCCTCAATCTGGGAAGATCTCTTTGCACTTCAGACACTCCCAGGTTAATTGGGGCAATAGGCTTGCTTGGAGATTTTTCTTAAAATGTTTGGAAAACTAATTCCCAAATAGAATTCCACCCACACACACACCCCGACCCTAACCCCTGGGCCCACAGCCTGCCTTGGGTCAGTGAGGCTTTCTGCTCATGGCTTTTGAACTGCTGGAATAAGGGAAGTAAATTAAGAAAAACCTCATTAGAAACAATTTAGCTTCTCTCTTTATGGCATAACTACCCGCAGTAAAAGGGGAAAAAATGACCTAGCCATAGTTTGATGGGGCCCTGGCAGAGGCTTCATTTCTCCAAAAGGTAGATATTACTGGACACTCCTGAGATGAGAAACAGTACTTCCTTACAGTTTAGAAGATCCTGGAGTATGCTTGATTGTGTTCATTGACTGTTGGCGCACTTGAACTTACCTGAGTTTTTCCTAATGCTTCCCCCATCCTCCCTCCTCACCACCTTGCCTGGACACTAGTTTGCACAAGTAAGACCATTCAATGCTTCTTCTCTGCATGTTTTTTTCATCTGCCATCTCGCATGCAATGCTCTGCCACTGTGCTATTGTTGTAGCTAATCGTTTTAAATTCCAGTGAGTCCCTGGCTGGGTCACTGAGGGGCCTGCTGGCCTTATGTTTAAAGATCATTAATCAAGGGTTAGAAACAGCTATGATCCATGAATCATTGTCTCTTCCCCTTGTGAGGTCTGCAGAGTAAAACTGTCCAGTGGAGGATGGGATAGAAGCATGGAGGCTTTAAATGTTTTTGAACATGAGGCATTTAGGGGCTGGAGTTAGAAGGCAGTTTCCTTTCTCCTCCTCAGACTAAGATCAAATGAAGATTTTTTTATGGAATGACTTTTAGCTATTCTAGACAAGGATAGAAAACAAAAGGGATGACAGCCACAGTCCTCAGTTCTTGGCTGTATGTGGATTATCTCTGGGAAAAACTCATTTTAATATTCCCCTATGCTAGGTCTTTAGAGAAATGTAAATGGGATGAGAAGGAGGTTTATATGCAATTGTAAGATAACTTGGATTATTTGTGCTTTTGTGAGTCTTTCTGTTTCTGCACCCCTCCTTTTGAAATGGATGGATGGTCAGCAATATATTGATCCATCCCGGACAGTTTTACTCTACAGCTCTGTCCATCTTCCTTGTCATCATGGTTTTGAAGTACCCTGGCTGCAGTGTTGGCGTACAGCCTGAATAGGCTCAGAGAGTAACAGTGGCCACTTTCCCTGTCTGATTTAGAACCTCAGATCTTGCCCTCTGAGGCACAGCCACTTAGCCAAACAGCCCTGGGGGGTCTGGGAGTCCCTTAGTGAAAGAGACTGGGAGTCACGTACTAGGTAAGCTGGCACCCGGGGCCAGGGCACTTGAAATCTTCCAATCAAGGTGACTAGTACTACTCCAGGTTATGCAGGAATCATGCCTAAAATCTCATCAACCTTCAACCCACCCATAGGACAGACCTGGAGGTGGTATATACTATCTGCAAACTAATATACCACTTTTCCTTTTATTTGATTTTCTGTCCTCCCTATTCTGCCCAATCCGCATGGTTTGAAATTGAGCTTATGGCCCATTGTCTTCTTTCTCTCCTTGAGTTTCTCCCAAGCTGGTTTTAGCTTGGTGGGACAAATCAGAGAAAGGTATAGTGTGTGTACTTCTCCTTTGTGTTTGCATGTTTGCACTTATGGGTGCTTACACCCACTCTATGCAGAGACATCCCAGCCTCGACCACAGGATCTGGAGCCACCTCTACCCTGAGCTGAAAGAGGAATTTTTTTTTTTTTTTTGAGACAGTCTCACTCTGTCACCCAGGCTGGAGTGCAGTGGCATGATCTCAGCTCACTGCAACCTCCGCCTGCCGGGTTCAACTGCAACCTCCACCTCCCGGGTTCAAATGATTCTCCTGCCTCAGCCTCCCGAGTAGCTGGGATTACAGGCGTCCACCACCATGCCTGGCTAATTTTGTATTTTTAGTAGAGATGGGGTTTCACCATGGTGGCCAGGCTGGTCTCGAACTCCTGACCTCAAGTGATCCACCCACCTCGCCCTCCCAAAGTGCTGGGATTACAGATGTGAGACACCGTGCCTGGTGGAAAGAGGAATCTTGGCTGGGACCCTAGCATCGTCTAGGGAACAGAGAGGTTGTGATTAAGAGGTATCTGGATGAAATCTTGGTGAAAGGAAGCACTTGTTTTTAATCCCACCATGGTTTTTCATATGCATACAACCATCCTCAACCATCTGCCCATCAGCAGAGCTCCTAGAAAGGCAGGACATACCACTGGATATCCCCTTCTGGCAGTTCTAAACCAGCCTTGCCCGGAAGTGGGAGCCTTATCTATGTGGCCCAGACTCAAATAAGGCCTCTTGGAAATACTCTCACCCTTCCCCTTTGTTTACCCTCCAACCCCTGTGAATCTTGTGAACAGAGGGTTGAAGAAACATGTTCTGCACATGTGCTAGTACCTGTGAATCTTGATGTCCCCTGGACCCTCTGTGTAAGTACATCATGGCAGAATTGCTCTAGATCCTTCGGAGCTGCAGGGTGAGTTACCAGCCACTCAAGGTGGAGGCAAACATGCCAGGCTGCACAAGGGACCAGGAGCAGCTCTGCCTCTTCCCTTGCAGGAGGAAATGAGAACGGGGCTATACTTAGGTACTTCATCATTCCTTTAACTCACCATCTGTACCTGACATATTTTGTTTTGTCTCACCTAAAGTCATATCAGACTTCCTACCTGATCACTCTCATTGTGACTGATTCTGCCATCCAAATGTCTAATTTTTCACAGCTAGAGAAACTAAGAGATAGGAAGACAAGGGCCATGAACTAAGAAGGGGAACTCCTCTCCTGAGAATTATTGACCCTCTATCAGCTACAAGTCTAAGAATTTCTAACTTCTGCTTCATCTTCTACCATTTCTAATAGCTTCCCCACCACCTCAGCCTTCTCTCCCCAGTTTCTTATTCCATGCCACTGGCTGGTAACATCTAACTCCTAGTTTTCAGATGATCCTAAACTGCTGCTGTTAATGGCAAAGCTTCATGACATCCTCACCACCAGAGGGAAAAGGGTCTCATGCTCTTCTTTCTCTTGGGGTATATGGTGACCCCAGCTGAAATTTCTTGGCCCCTAAATTTCGCTAGGCTCCCCTGGGGCCCTGTGGTGCAGTGTGTTGGAAGACTGTCATGTAGTGCATGTGACAATTTGCTAATAACAATTTTGTCTTTTTTTTCCCTCCCTCATCCCCATTCCCCCACTCCCTTTCCTTTTAACTCTTTTGATTTTCTCACCTCTGGGGAAACCACAAGGAGCTGGTAAGAAGCCTGACCTTTCATCTGCTTTTTAACGGGGTGTGCTATGATGAGCAGTTGTTTCTCTGTCCTTTAGACTCTACTAAATCTTTCATTCATCTATTCAGTCCCACACCCAGCCTTTTCCTATCTCACAAGTCACTGTAATTATACTGCCCCCAACTCATGCCCCAGATCTTCAAGACACTGCTGGAGTAGGTGCTACTGGAGGACTAGAGTGTGCTCCCGGGCCACAGCCTTGGAGAGGCTCCAGAGGATGCCAGCGCCAGGTAGCCCAACTGGCCCAGGACACTCTCCCACAGCAGGAATGAAAATGCTCTCTGTCCCTGTGACTGTCCAGAACCTCTGAGACTCACCGTCTATGTGTTGACCCTCTTCTACTCCCCGCTTTCCCTACTTAGGAACGTAAATAAGAAAGTAGGTTCCATCTGCATAGTGCCCGCCCATAATAAGGGCTTAACAAATGGTAGCTATGATTAATTTTTTTCCTGGGTCTGTAGGTTATGCCTCCCATTCCTCTTTTTTAAGAGGATTAAACAAAAGAGGATGGGTGGGATTGGCCTGGATTGGGGCTTTCACAGGGAGAAGTGGCATATTCCTGAGTATGAACTTCAGAGAAGATGGTTGTCTATCCTTAGCCTGAGCCCTTCCCAGTTGATAAGAGGCCAGAGATCACACAGCTATTAGATGGGTGGGTGTTCTGGCCGTAACATTTCAGAACAGGTTAAAGAGATAATCATTTGGGACTCAAATGTCTCTCCCCCCGGGCACTTGCATATGGGACATTGAGTCCTTTTGTTTTCCCTTGATCTATAGCTCTTACCCCTCTGCCCAGTAATTCCCTGAGGAAGAGGTAAAGATCAAAGTTGATACTTTGTCCTTTCCTTCCTTCTTCCCTTATTTTTAAAGCTGTCACCCACACTGATTCCTGCTCTAATAGCAGAGCAGAGATGAAGGAAGGAGCTTCCTTCTATCTGCTTTTCTTTCTCAATGATGTCCCACCATGTCCCCCTCACACCCTCTCCCCACATACCTACACACAGGCAGAGATTCTCAGTCCTGGCTGTAGGTTAGAATCACCTGGATATCTGGCCCTACCCCAGAATAATTCATTAGAATCTCTAGAAGTGGGCCCAGGCCTTTTTTTTTTTTTTTTTTTCTTTTCTCTCTCTCTCTTTTTCTTTTTTTGAGACAGGGTCTCACTCTGTTGCCCAGGCTGGAGTGCAGTGGCATGATCTCTGCTCACTGCATCCTCCACCTGCCAGGCTCAAGTGACCCTTCCACCTCAGCCTCCTGAGTAGCTGGGACCACAGGCACGTGCCACAATACCCAGCTATTTTATATTTTTTGTAGAGTTGGGGTTTCCCTATGTTGCCCAGGCTGGTCTTGAACTCCTGAGATCCACCCGCCTTGGCCGAACTTTGGGAGGCCGAGGCGGGTGGATCACTTGGAATTAGGATCCTCCCAAAGTGCTGGGACTACAGACAGGCTTGAGCCACCATTGCCCGGCTGTCTATTTAAAAAAAAAAAAAAATTATAAGTGATTCTAACATGCAGCCTGGGGTGAGAACCATTGTTCTAGGTGAAAGAAGGAAGGCTCATTTTGCCTTCCTCCCATAGAAGGTAGAGATGTCATCCCCAACAGAAAAGGACTCCTGGGTCTCCCTCCTACTTCCATCAGTACTCTGTTGGGAGCTGTCAGGCTTCTGACAATTGAAAAAGGGACATGCAGTCAGGAGTGCTTGGTGCAGTCTTGGTGTTGTCACTGGAATCTGAACAGCATGTAGATATCTAGTAAGGAGGGAACCTCTCTGCTTCAGTTTCTAGGGTGAAGTCTCTTTCACCGCCTACTTGTGTCCCCTGTTTTTGGAAGAGCTTCAGTGCTTAAAGCATAGCAGAGGAGTCAGGGAGAAAAATCAGGTGCTGCAGCGTCTCTGAAGAGATGCTGGTTTATCTCCATTTCAGAGCTTACATGTGGCTCTTGCCCATGGATACTCTTGGCAAGCAGATATTGCCTATGTTTGTTGCTTCTAAGATGTCCCATAAAGATAATCCAGTAAGCCCTTGCCCCTTCTCCCTGTCCCTGAGTTCGCTGGCCTCATGGCAGCCTGGAAATCAGGCTTCTGGTCAGGCCCTCTGTCGGCCTTCTTTTTGTACTAAGAGCTTGTGTCTTACCTTCAACAGGTTTAAAGTCCTAATATTCACACTCAGTGTTAGTGGCCTGATTATCTGCCTTCCCTCCTCTTTCCTTCTAGCAAGGATGGGAGGTTAGCATTAAAATGGACTTGCTCAGCGGGCAAGATTTACTTTTGGGAGGGGGAGGTTAAAAGAGGTCAGGTTGGTTTCTTGCCTTGAGTGCATGGCGTGTGCCAGACAACTGGGAGGGGTAGCATGGGGGGATGGGAAGGCTTATGTACAGAGAGGGTGGGGAGGTTATGCTCCCTCTGCTCCCAGTTGAATGAGGGTGTTAATATTTATACAACTGAGGCTCCAAATTTACCAGGAAGCTTCAGTTTCCTAGGTTAAGCCTGGGTAGGCGCCTTGGAATAGAGCCACCCTTCTTTCCCCTTGGACAAGTAGGGCCCAGTCACCTAATGGTTTGGGGATTTTGTGGGGTAGAGTAAGTTCTAGAGTGGGAATGAGTGTGTCCCTGGCCTAAACTACCTGTTCTTGCAGGAGGAGCTGACAAGCACAAGTGTGGAACACATCATTGTCAATCCTAATGCTGCCTATGACAAGTTCAAGGACAAGAGAGTGGGGACAAAGGGACTTGGTGAGACTGGGCTGGAAGCTGGGTGGGGGGAAGACTGGAGGATAAGCATGAGAAGTGGTTTCCTGTCCTAAAGTCTTAGTGAGTTGTGCTTGGGGGAAGGGGTCCCTCATGGAGATATTTTATGGAAGCCCTCACAGTCACCTGAGACCATGACTGCCTTGGGCCTAGATCAGGCCCTCAGTTCCATCTTCTTTTCTTGGCAGATTTCTCAGATCGTATTGGAAAAACCAAGAGGACAGGATATGAATCTGGAGAATATGAGATGGTTTGTTGTGTGTGTGTGTGTGTTGATGGGAATGGTGTAGTGACCCTATCTAGCAGACATGTAGTAGGGAGATCAAGGGATACAGGCGGGATTCTGTTCCTCCTCTGTTCCTGAGGAAGCAGCAGGATGCAGCCAGGGAAACTCTGCCCTACTGCTGTTTGTTCTGGAGAGCCTCCAGCCCTCTAGCTGTCCTCAGTTCTTTGGTACTAGGGTGTTGTGGATTCTCAATTGGATATGATACCTTTATGACTTAGGCCCAGGGTGTGGATGAATTCTTGAGGCTCCCTGTAATGAGACATATAACATTACCCTCTGTGCCTGCTCTCTAGCTTGGAGAGGGTCTGGGAGTGAAGGAGACACCCCAGCAAAAGTACCAGCGCCTACTGCATGAGGTCCAAGAGCTGACAACTGAAGTTGAAAAAATCAAGGTAACTACAAACTCTCTTCTCCCTTCTCTGCTGTGACTTACACAGTAGAGGAAGACCTCAAGCAAGAAGAGAAAGATTCCCTGCCTGGCTGGGTGCGGTGGCTCACGCCTATAATCCTACCACTTTGGGAGGCCGAGGCAGGCGGATCACCTGAGGTCAGGAGTTCAAGACCAGCCAGGCCAACATGATGAAACCCCATCTGTACTAAAAAAATACAAAAACTTAGCCAGGTGTGGTGGCGCATACCTGTAATCCCAGCTACTCGGGAGGCTAAGGCAGGAGAATTGCTTGAACTCGGAGGCGGAGGTTGCAGTGAGCCCAGATCATGCCACTGCACTCCAACCTGGGTGACAGAGCGAGACTCCATCTCAAAAAATGAAAGAAAGAAAGATTCCTTAAGCTCCTGGATAAAGGGGCTAAGGTTTCCAGAGTTTACAAATATGCATCCATCTGTATGCAGTGCTACATACAGGTGGGCAGTCTGTCATGCTGAAAACCATCCCAGTGACCTCCAGCTACAACTACCTTTAAAGGGCTTGACCTATTTTTTTGCTTCTTGATTCATTCTTGCCATCCCCCGATTTCTACCTTTTTTCATACTAGACGACAGTGAAGGAGTCAGCCACAGAGGAGAAGCTGACCCCTGTGTTGCTGGCTAAACAGCTGGCAGCCCTGAAGCAGCAGCTGGTTGCTTCCCACCTGGAGAAGCTGCTGGGACCAGATGCTGCAATCAACCTTACCGACCCCGATGGCGCCCTGGCTAAGTGGGTACCCTACTTTGTTGAAAAATCATTGCTGACTGGGGTTGTGGATGGACTCAGCCAGCTACTGACAGGGGTGCTAAGTGGCAGAGAAGTGGCTTAGATGTTTCTTAATGCTGATTATGAGGCAAAAGTGAGGGAGAGTGACTGGCCCTTCTCCTTCCAGTCATGATATTATTACTCGGTCTCCTAACTAGGCGCCTACTACTGCAGCTGGAAGCAACAAAGAACAGCAAAGGGGGATCAGGGGGAAAAACCACTGGGACCCCCCCAGATAGCAGCCTTGTCACTTATGAACTACATTCTCGGCCTGAGCAGGACAAGTTCTCTCAAGCTGCCAAAGTAAGTGTGGATACAGTGTTGGTTGGGAAGCCAAGGGGAGATGTGACCCTAGAGATTTTCCTGCCTCTCTCCAAGGAGAGGGTGCTGGGAAGGCTTCTGATTCCTCTGATTCCTCTTGATTGATTCCTCTTTTGATTCCTGATTCGTTGTTCTCTATGTTTCTTTCTTTTTTTTTTTTTTTTGAGACGGAGTCTTGCACTGTTTCCCAGGCTGGAGTGCAGTGGCGCAATCTTGGCTCACTGCAAGCTCCGCCTCCCGGGTTCACGCCATTCTCCTGCCTCAGCCTCCTGAGTAGCTGGGACTACAGGCACCTGCCACCACGCCCGGCTCATTTTTTGTATTTTTGGTAGAGATGGGGTTTCACCATGTTAGCCAGAATGGTCTCGATCTCCTGACCTCGTGATCCGCCCGCCTCGGCCTCCCAAAGCACTGGGATTACAGGCGTGAGCCACCGCGCCCGACCTCATTCTCTATGTTTCCCTCGCCCATCTACCTTTGGTTAGGATTTTAAGATTGTGGCTAGGTATGTATTCCAGGGAAAGGAATCCCTTGGGGTGGTGAGTGGCAGGCAGAGTAGAGCAGGATCGTATTCCTCCCATTGCAGCAGCAGGGAAGCAGATGGCAAATCTCACCTCCTTCCTCCCACTAGGTCGCAGAACTTGAAAAGCGCCTGACAGAGCTGGAGACAGCTGTACGTTGTGATCAGGATGCTCAGGTCAGGTGTTCTCCTGTACATAATCTGAGCCTTAGATCCTGCAACTCTAGGCCTTAAGGTCTACAACATTCCACATAAGCCTGGGAGGAGTCATCAAAGGGCTTCAGTTACAGGGATCAGCTAGTGGGTTCCCAGCTAGAACCAGGAAAGATGGGAGAAGACGATAATCATGGAGATATAAGGACCACTCACTTCTTCCCTTCCTTTCCCACCAGAATCCCCTTTCTGCAGGTCTACAGGGAGCCTGTCTCATGGTGAGTTTGGAAGAAACTGGAGTGTTTGGATCACAGAGGGGATAGTTGGGTTTGGGTTTGCTTTGAGGATTATTTTTGAGTTTGTAGCTATATATTAATTTAGTGGAATATGGGAGGCCTCTTGCTAGTCTGCCTTTCCTCTTCATGATGCTTGTCCCAACTTCCATCCCCAGGAGACTGTAGAGCTGTTGCAAGCAAAGGTGAGCGCCCTAGACCTTGCAGTTTTGGATCAAGTGGAGGCTCGGCTACAGGTATTAAATGGAGGGAAAATTAAATTATGGATAGCTTGGGACTCTGGAAGCCCTGGATGCCCTATCAACCTTAAAATCTGTGTTTTCAGAGTGTCCTGGGAAAGGTGAACGAGATTGCCAAGCATAAAGCCTCTGTAGAAGATGCAGATACACAAAGCAAGGTCAGGAAGACACCTTCCCCATCTCCTTTCCACTCCCTCAGGTTCTCCGAGTGGCAGTGTCAAAGCATGAGAACACACTGACTCCTCAGGTCCCCATCTTCATAAGCTCTTATGAAGAGCTTATCAGCTTGGAAAGTCAGGGCACTGCTTCCCTCTGCCCACTTGATCCTTTCCCCCATTACGGTGAAATAGCAGTCTGTACATACTGACCTGGCTGCCTCAGCCATCCCCTCTGGGCCCCATTGTGTCCCTTCAGGTGCACCAGCTATATGAAACTATACAGCGCTGGAGCCCCATTGCCTCCACCCTCCCTGAGCTGGTGCAGAGACTTGTCACCATCAAGCAGCTGCACGAGCAAGGTGGGAGGCCAGCTGCCAGGAGTGCTAAGAGAAGTTGAAAAATGGGCAACTTTTGGTCCCCTCCCTTATCTTGGATTCAAGTCTCAACCATACTTTTCTTTTGTAGCCATGCAGTTTGGTCAGCTCCTGACACACTTGGATACCACCCAGCAGATGATTGCTAATTCCTTGAAGGACAATACCACCCTCTTGACCCAGGTGTGTGCCCCTTTGTTGATCTGTCCTCCTTTCTCCAGCATGTGCAAACTAGGTTCTCCAGTGTTATAGGGTTCTGCCTTAGCCTATTTTGTAGCATGGTGTTGTGGCAGGGGGTTGGTCTGGAGTCTCCATCCTGCTTTCAATGTGAAGGCCCTTTGACAACTTATTTAACCTATGAACCTCCATCTTTCCATCTGGGAAATTATACCTCCCTCAGAGTTATGTAGATGAGGTGAAATAATATGGGCAAATTGTTAGGGGCTAGTGAACATGTTTTCTTATAAAACCCCACTCTTTCCCTTTGTCGTCTCAACTTTACTCTCCCTGATAAGCACAGTACACTGGAAGGAATCCGGGCTTTGAAGTCAGAAGCAGGCCCTAATCTCGTTCTGTCGCTTCCTTTCTGGCCCTGGACAATGAGCCTCACCTAGCTCCTTCATTCTTTTAGTAATGCCTGGCACACAGCAAGTCCACAATTTCTTATTGTTTTTTATTTTTAAGACAGAGTCTCGCTCTGTTGCCCAGGCTGGAGTGCAGTGGTGTGATCTCAGCTCACTGCAGCCTCCACCTCCCGGGCTCAAGCAATTCTCATGCCTCAGCCTATTGAGTAGCTGGGATTACAGGCACGCACCACCACACCTAATTTTTTTTTTTAGTAGAGACGGGGTTTCACCATGTTGTCCAGGGTGGTCTCAAACTCCTGACCTCAAGTGATCCCACCCATCTCGGCCTCCCAAAGTGCTGAGATTACAGGCGTGAGCCACTGCACCTGGCCGCAAGTCCCAATTTCTGTTGGAGGCACTGTTCTCAGTGCTGGAAGGAGCATTAAAGTCGAGAGACCAGCATCAATCACAGGATCACTGAGATAAATGAAAAAATATATAAAGGACTTAGAATAATATCCTTTTCCTCCAGAGCAGTTTTCTAACATTTTGAACCAGTGAAACCCTCATTTCAACAAAATCTTATTTAGCTCTCATTACATAAAACAGATTTTAAAAAACTGTTCTGGCTGAAGTCAGGATGGGAATTCTCGAGTCCTACCTGCTTGGGCTCACCCCAAGCGTGGTCTATGTACTCTAAGGGTAGCTTGAAAATTGGTGCTATAAACATCCCCCCTCTGTGGCCCACAAATTGTGCTTCCATTTCTTGTCTTCTCTCTCAGAGAATTCCTTCAGGTCCTCATCCAGTTAAGCAACTGGACCTGACAAAGAGTAAAACCTCTCTACCACTTTGTAGGTGCAGACAACCATGCGTGAAAACCTGGCCACAGTTGAGGGGAACTTTGCCAGCATTGATGAACGGATGAAGAAGCTGGGAAAGTGAGCACATTTGGGAGCTGGAGAACAGGGGTTATCCCTACCCCTGTGAACTCTGTTAACAGCTTACATAGGGTTTCCCCTTTACTATAACTCTAGCATCCCCATCCCATTTGACACTGGGGGCAAGGGTTCTTCTTGCATGTGGGGTTTATACCCCTCCCCTGATGAATACAGAGTGGTAGCTAGGGGTTGGTTATCATCAGAAGGTGGTCTCCCCTCAGGCCTGGGGGATAAGGACGTGGGCCCAGCCACATGCCAACTCATGTCCAATACTGCTTTGCCTGGTGTGGGGAAGGATTGGGTCTTGTCCCCCAACACAGCTTCTGTGGCTGACTGTAATACTGTACAACTGTTTCTGACCATTAAATGCTGTTGTACTCTGTGTGGCCTCTGCTGTGTTTCCTGGGGAGGAAGCAGCACTAGGATATAGATATTCATTCGTCATAACAGGCAATCTAAGCCACTCTATACTACAAGAGATGGATTTAAATTGTAACCTGTTCTTACCAAAGAACTAAATAAAAAATGAGTACAGAGCCAGAGCCAGAGTTTCAAAATATTCTCATCTGTTAAATTAAGAGTGTCTCCCATAGAAAAGCAGTGGAGGCCCCACAGGGCAAGTACAAAACAGAATTAAAACTCCCAAGGGTCTTGTCTTTACAAAAGAAAAGGCAGGAGGCAGCCCCTGGACAGCTGGTCATGCTGGCCGCTCCGGTTGGACCACGTTGCATAATCCTCAGTCGCATCATCACAACGTCTCTGAGCGTTTTGATGGGGGGAGAAGGGGCAGTGTAGTGTGTATGGGAGGAGAGGCCCAGAGGGCTCTCTTTGCCCCCTTACCCCCTTTTTTATATCCCAGAGGAAAGTCGGGGGAACCTGGCTACACCTTGAAATGAGGCTATGTGTTTCAAACCTGGGGACGGGGTAAGAGAGGATCTGTGCTTTGAGCAACCTGAGCCAGAGGCAGAGGGGTGTTGGAGGGGTAAGGGGAGGATGCATGATGCTTATTGCTTTGTACCTTTCACTGGGAAGGAGGGCAGCAGCCAACAGTAGCTCACAGGTTTGTAAACTGAGCCTGTTGGCTTTAAGAAGGGAGGCAATGAAATCGAATTAAATATAAAAGAGTCATTTGTGCAAAAATAACTTAAACAAATAAAAGACCTGGGGAAGGGGGTGTTCCCCTTAGCGCCTGGTGGGGAAAGGGCCATATACCATCCCCCCCAGGCCTTTTCAGTGACATGGCTTCGGGGGGGCGGGGGGGTGGTGGGGGGGGGTGAACTTCCCTGCCCCCTGCAATGGCTCAGGATGGGATTGTAGGGGAAGGAGTTGCATTTGTGCTCTGAGTGGGGAGTAGTGCCCCCACCCACTGTCCACAGGTGCAGGTGGCTGGCAGGGGCTCCCAAGGCTCAGCACTCAGCTCTCCCCAATCAGGGTCAGATCCAGCTCCAGGTATGGCTGCTATGGGGCCAGTTTCCTCCTCTTGTTTTTGGCAGGACGGCCAGGGCGGGCCCGGGGAGGCAGAGGGACAGCTGCCTAATATCAGAGGGGAAGTTGATAGAAGTGGTCAATTGCTAGGTATCAGGAAGTCTTCTTTTCTCCCCACTCCCTCTAACCCTCCTTTCCTCCTGCCGCCTCATCCCTTACACCCTACCCATCCACCCATCCACCCAAACACACACTTACTCGGGCTGTAGGGCTGGGTTCCAAGGTAATGTCCTGGCGGGAGCTATTGCTGTTCCGGGTAGGGCTGCAATAAGGGGCACAGATGATCAGGAACAGCTCCCAAGCACCAGGTGAATTTCAGAAGTTTGGGTGGGAAACTTTCTACATTTGGATAGTAAAGGCATAATATCCTTATTCATATTCAAATAAGAATCTGCCCTTTTGAAAACCAAGCCACTATTTGGACATTAGAACTGTCCAAACCAAAAAGAAGTAGGCAAAGGCCAGCACTATAGTAGGCCCAACACTCACTTGTATTTTCTCCTACGGCCACGACGAGACTTTCTGACTACTCCCGGGGGCACCTGAGAAAAGATGGACTATGTGTGTGGGAAATTTCGAAAAAGGCTCCAAAGCCCCAACCTTTCCTCAGAGCCCCTGAGCCCAGACTACCAGCACTCTGCACTCACCTTAAGGTCCTCAGAATGGGGCCCGGGAGGGGGTGGATCCTTGGGCTCAGCACCCCCTTCAGCCAGCTCCCCATTATGCTGCCAATGGTGGGTTCTTCTTGGGGACCTTTCCATTTGTCCATTGAAGCCACCACGTGTCCCCCATTTGAGGGCCAGTCGGCCAGGCTCCCGCCGGCTGCCAGGCTTTCGGCCCCGGGCTGGCCTGGCCTCACCATTAATGCCCCTAAGTCCCCCTCCTCCCCTCCGGCCCCGTTTCCCTGACCCCCTCCCAGTGAGCAGCTCAGGGACTGGGGGGTCGGGAGAACCATGGGGTGGGGCTAAGGCACTGAGGGGAGGCCTGGCAGGCTCTGGTTCGAGGGCTGAGGCAGGGCTCTCGGGGGGTAGACAGGGGGCTTCTGGCTGCTCTGGAGGGATCTGCTGGCAAAAAAATAAGTTCTCAGTCAATCTCAAATACCGTCCCTCTTCTACTATAACTCAGAAAGCCCTAAATTTCCAGTTTGAGAAAAAATTATCTCCCTGACAAATATATGCCCACACCCTCACCTGGAGACTCTGTAGCAGGCAGGCTAGGGGACTAGAAGCCTCTGAGAGGGGTGGAGGAGCTCCCCCCCCAGGGAGGAGCTGCAGCCCCAACTGGCCAGAGAGAAGAGGGCCAGGAGGCTGCAACAGGCTGGGGAGGGCTCCAGGGCTGCTGGTCAGTGAAGACAGGTCACCTGTTGAGAAATTATAGTCAGGGGTCTCTCCCTAGGCAAACCAATTAGGCTGAGCAGACCTACTATTCTCTTTAGGCTTTATCCAGTGGCCAAAGACTTTCTTCCCCAATTTATTCAGCCACTACTCCCAAGTTTTACTCCTGCTTTTTCACACCAAGAGTGTGAATTCACACTCCCTCAGACTCACCCAGCAGGCTGGCACCCAGCAGAGGGCTAAGGAGTTGGGGGGGTCTCCCTGAGTTGGAGGGGGCCTTGCCCAGAGAGGAGGCCCCCGGGTCAGTAGTTGCCGTGGTGACACTGGAGGTAGGTGGTCCAGGTTGGGGGGCACTCAGGACACAGGGCTAAGAAAAAAGAATGATTCTAACACTTACGCGTGTAAAATACTCAACAGATTTATAGTGCTTTCACATCCACTATCTGACTGAAGCCTCAAGTGAGATAGGCCATGCTTATTAAATACAGACCCAATTCTTGCAGTCATCCTACCCCCAGCCAAGAACTAAGGCCTCCCCAAAGGCCCCAAGGAAGAGCTCAGGAATGAAACTGAAAGCTTTTGATTCCCAGCTCCCATCTCTTATTCTACATCTTGTTCTGTCCCACCTACTCACCCCCATCCTCACCTGGGGGGGTGTCCCCGAGGGGGGATCCAGGGTGGCAGCCAGCAGCGCAGAATTTAAAGCTATGAGGGTAGGGGGGGCTGAAAGTGGGGGGAAAAGTAGGGGGGACAGGTCTCCCAAGCCTGAAAATGGCTCCCCACTTGGACCCCCGGCTCCCTCTGCAGATCCCTCCCCATCCCCAGCTGTGGGGCCCAGAGCCAACAGGGGCAGGAAAGAGGCAAGGAGGTTGCTGGGAGGTGCTGAAGGAGGTGGAAGAAGGTCTGAGGGTGGTGGAGGAAGCAAGGAAGCCACCAAAAGCGAAGGCCCTTCAGGCTCTCCTGGGGCTAGGGGAGGACCAGGTCCTCCTGGTGGGGGTAGCAGGGGCTCAGGGGGAGGTTGTCCTCCTCCCCCAGTCAGCACACCAAATAAACTGTGGTTGAGCAATGGAGAAGGTGGAGGCTGCCCCAGACTCAGAGGGAGAGGCAAGGCCCCAAGCATCCCAGGGAAGCCAGCTCCACTCAGTGCCAGGCCCTGCTCAGGGCTGGGGAAAGGGAAAGCCTCTCCACCAGCCAGGGGAGGCAGAGGGCAGGCCGGGCCTGCCCCCATCCCCAGTCCTTCGGATGGGCTTTGAAGCACAGGGCTGGGGACTACTGGGGCTTTGGAGGCAGCTGGTGGGGCAGGGGCACCTGTAAAAGAGGAGAGAAATTCAGCTCAAGGGAGGCCCTTTCTCCCATCATCCAAAGAAGCCAACCTCCCTGCCCCCAACCCAGAAAACCCTCAAAGAGCTCTCTGAACATTCCCCTAAATGCCTTGGCTGCCTCTTTCCAGCCAGGATGAGGAAGGGCTCCACAATACTCACATACCTGGCACACTGCTGAGGCTGCCACTGGTGGTCCCAGGCAGGGAGGGCTGGATGGGGTGCCTGGGCTGGGGAGGGCTCCCTGAGGAGAGGGTTGGGGGAGGAGGAAGGTGTGCATCTGACCCCAAAAGGTTAAAGCTTCCATCAGAGTGGGAAGGGCCAGGGGTGGGGAGTCCCAGCAGGGACAGCACAGAAGGGAGAATTGGTTGGGATGGCTCCGGGAGAGAAAAGGGTTGGGGGACAGGAGCAGGGGCCCGAGGACGGCTCCGTCTAGGGGTTTGAGGGCCTCTCCCTTCTAGCAATCGAAATACAGTAGGGGGTCTGCGGGGACGACGCTGAGAGGGACGAAGTGATGAGGAGTGGGAAGCTGAGGGTGCCTGGGCACGGGGCCTTCGGCCCTGTAAAGTGCTGGGAGGGGGTAGTGGGGGATGCTGTGCCTTGGCCGCTGCAGAGAGTAGGCTGCTAGCAAGGAAGGGGGGTGCCCCAGGCCCCTCCACCGTGGGGGCCCCTCCCAGGGGCCCCAGGACCAGGGGCAGGTGCATAGTGGCTGAAGACACTGGTGGCTGAGAGGCAGGACCAGGGTGGGCGGGGAGATTATTGCTCGGGGGCAGGGGAGGGGGTGTTAAGGCATCACTACAGTGGAAGAGAGGAGGGTCTGAAGGTGGTGAGGAGGAGGCATGAGGGGCCGGAGGAGAGCCCAGGTCAGAGGGCACCAGGCTGGATCTGAGGGCAGCTCCCCAGTTGTATGAGGGAGCATTGAGGCTGATAGCAGGTGGAGGAGGTGGGGCTGGAGAGGGGGCATTGCCCCTTGGGAGGAAACGGGGGCTGCTACTGCCCCCAGAAGGGACTGGGTCAGCAAGCCTTGGGGGGAAAAGCCCCCCAGGGCCTGCTAGAGTGGGAAAGGCCTGGGAAACTGAGGGTGGTTCTGGGGGAAGGGAGCCAGGACCCCCATTAAGTGGAGTTGTAGGAGGAACTCGACAGGGAGGGCGGGCAGAGGGGGGCCCTGGGGACACAGTGTGGAACATTTGGGGGCTCGCTCCCTCTCCTGCAATAAATGAAAAATGAAGGGTCAGCCTGTGGCTCCCCTTCCAAAAACTCTTTTGTCTTCTCTAGTCCCATCTCCCACAAGTTCCCAACCTCCCTGTGCCCTCCTTTCAACATGCAGCTCCCCACCCACTCCCCTTTCTCTTTGCTCCCTCTCAAGGAACTCCTCCCACCACCAGCCTTCCAAGCCCTTAGGTTTTCCTCGGTCTTCTGTAAAGTGGCAGAAGACTCACCAGGAGAAGAGTGTGAGCAGGTGGTCTCCATGCTGCGGTACAGAGTTGCCATAGCAACAGCTTTCCGCCGGTGGTTGCACAGCTTGGTCATGTCCTCCTCTGATGCTGGCCCCACCCCAGCCCCACCCGGGGTCACCGGGGCCAAAGGGTCAAAGTTGAAAACCTGTAAGGTGGAAAGCAAGGACAGGGACCCTGAGGGGCTGGAACCTGTGAGAAGGGCTACCTCAGTCAGTGATTTGCATTAAGACTTTTAGCTTATCTCTGTACTCTCAGGCGCCCCTCACCACTCTGACCTTGGGGACATTAAGTGGACACTCCAGACCGCACTTGCAGGTCCCATCGCTGAGGAGGTAGCTCCGGGTTTGCTCCAAGGAAGACAGCTCTGTGCCACTTGGACTGCGAGAGGACAGGGTCAGAGGACATGGGGTTAGCTGGCAGCGAATCAGGCAATACTCCTAAAGCACAGTGCTTAAGTTACAGATCCTCCTAGAAGAACAGAGGATAAGGAATGTGGGAAGACACAGAAAAAGGGAGAATGGATTCAAAGGCCCAGAGCTACAGAAAGCAAAAAGGCTGAGGAAGGAAGGGGAAGAGAGGAGAGCAATCGGGTACCAGAGAGCTGAGCTGAGAGAAGAAACGGAAGAAAGAAAACCTGGGCAACTGGAGTGGCAGAGCTTGGGGACCTGTGAAGATCCGTACCTGATGTAGAGCACAGCACCCTCTCGCACACAGCGCTGCCAGCCGATGGGGACAGATGTGGCCACAGGGCCCCCAGCTCTGTCTGCTCCACTGCTCTCATTGCCCCCATTCATTGTGTGTAATCAGCTCCCGCGTGCCTGATAACACAGACATCCATGTAGGCACTAGGAGGATTAAACTGAGCGAAGTACCTGAGAGAGGACTCCAGGAAGGCAAAGGTTGTGGGGAGACCCAAGAAAACTCAGGGGAAGCCCCAGAGGAGCAAGGGGAACCCCTCAGCTGGGAGGGAGACTGAGGAGTCCTCTGCCGTATCACCACAGCTACCTGAACATCTCTGCAAACATTGTGGGGTCCAGTCTAAAGCCGGGGCCACCAGCTTAGCCCACACCTGCAACGCAAGTAGAGAGATGGGACTGTCAGGAGTCTGCCCAACTCTAAAGAGCAGCACAGCCCAGCACCCTCTCAAAAGAAAGATCCTTAACAATGTGAGGCAAGCACCTATAAAGATCTCGGGGATCTGCTGGCTTAGTCTACAACCATCCTTTCCAAGCCCAGTCCCTAGGGACCAGAGGGTCAGAACCTCAGCTCCCTGGGACCAAGAAAGTCTAGCCCAATTCTTAGGCATATGAAGGGCAAGGCCTCCCTCCATTCGGAGTAGAAGACTTCAACCAGGAGTATGGGCACATTCCCATAATGCTAGGCCACTAGGAAGTTTCCCAGAGTGTCTGGCTCCTGTTGTTCTCTACCCAGGAAGATGATATAAAAAGTACAGATTGCCCCACAGGTCACCAGGCAATTGCCCAACTGCCCGCTGGGGTGGTACCAGCAGAACTCCCCCCATGCCTGCTCCATCAGACAATCGCTGATATAGTTCATTCGGGTCTTAAGAGGTGAGGATCACAGCTCAGTCTTCTCCCAGGATCCTGGGAAGCTCCTGATTTTCCCTCAAGCCTACGGCAAAGGGATTCAGAACCTCCTATTCCACTGGCTTCCGATTATCTCCAAGAGAGCCTGTCCTCCGATAGAAGGGGAAGCCCCTCCAACCTGCAGGTATCCTCCCCAGCCTCACCATTGCTCCCACCCCACACTGGCGGCTTCCAAACTTTCCCTCTCACAACAAGGCGCCCTGTCACCCAGACTGCTTCCCTCAGCTTGAGGAGGAGGGGAAGGCGCACGAAGTAGGAAGGAACTTGGGGAGAGGGCGGGCGGAGGGTGGGCGAAGCACTGAGGGGAGGGCGGTGAGGAAGGCAGAAGTCTGGCAGTGAGAGGGAGAAGCGGCGGGGGCAGGTGAGGGCGGGGGAGTGGGGATGGGGCCGGGGAAAGGGGCCGAGAGGACGCGGAGGGGGCAGAGGGTAGGGACGGGAGGGGGAGGGGCAGGGTGGGGGGGGCCGGGCCCCGCACTCACCGCGGCCCATGGTTCGGCCGGCCCCGCCCTGCGCAGTCGCGGCCCAGAGGGTGAGTGGGAGGGGGTGGGAGGAGGGTCGGTGGAGCCCGAGCCTCCGGTACGGCCCCGGCCGGTCCTAGCAGGAAGCGCCGCTGCCGCCGCCGCGGATCACCGAGCGGCCTCCCGCGCATGCGCCATGGGGGCCAGGGGCAGCCCTGGGGATTCCGTTCCCAGAAGGCACTGCGCAGGCTGCTGCCGCTGCCGCCGCCGCCGTCGCTGCCGCAGCCGCCGCCGCAGGAGCCGCCGCCTCCGCCGCTGCCCGGACGGGAGAGGGGCGGGGCCGGGCCCCCGCCCAGCGGACAGCGACGAGCCAACTGGAGGGGCTGCAGTGCGCATGCGGGAGCGCGCCTACCCCTCCCCCACAACCCCCCATTAATCCCCAAGAGAACAAACACCCCACGCGGCCCCCCCGCCCTCCGCGGAAGGATCTGCGCCTCTTCCCAGGCCACTGGTGGCCAATCCCAGCCCTCCTCAGGGAGGGGCCCCTTCCAAAGCCACAGTCTGTTGCGGGAACCAGGAATGCCAGGTCCGGGAGGGGCCAGGCCCCGAAAGATGAAAGTCGCGACTTGCCCTGCCCCGCCCCAAAGGCTTCCCGGGTAGTGTGCTGGGACTTGACCCGCCTCCCCAGGTCAACATGTCACAACACGACCTCAGCCTGTCAAGTCACATGACCTCTGCCTGTCACTGACAACCTGGTCTGTCTTTAGGCCAGGGGAGACCATCTGGTCCACCCTCCACACTACCCCCATTTTCAGAGAGGAAATGGAGGTGTGGAGCAGCGGAGCAGCCTAACCAAAGACCTGTCATTGCCACACCACTCCAGTCACAACCGGCCTTGTGACAGTTTCTACTTAAACTCTGGCTGCCCCCATGAGGGTATGACAGGATATGTAACAGGCCACCACATGGCCTCTGTTTTCAAGGCACAAGAAAAATACTTTGCATTCTGGGTGGTGCGTTTTACTTTTGGTCAAGTTGCCTCCAAGTTCATGGTTCTCATTTTACCTTCACAACTTTTATCTTTAATTTACAAACAAGGACGGTAAGATCCCTTGGCAAGTGATGGGGAGTTGAGTCTAAAATCGCGGCTCCGGTCTCCCCAGTCCAGGGCAGTCCTGCGCTGAAGTGCACTCACACGTCCCGGGATGAGACTCCGCTGTAAATCTCGACCCGAACACCTAGGAGGCAGGCCTGTGCCGCGCTCCTCACACAGGGAGTCACAGGACTTGCTGTCTGGTACAGCAAGAGAGGGTCTTGGAGAAAGCCATAGGAGTACCGTGGGGGAAAATAGGTGGCCAAACAGAATCGGGTCCACTGGGCAAAATACATGACTTCTGGCAGGCTGAGGGCTTACCAACTACAAGGTAAAAGTCAAGGGCGCTGTTCTGAGAGAAGCGGAAAATGACTACCAAGGGATTCCAGTACCTCGGCCCCTTTTGGGAGATTTACGGGGCTAGAACAGGAGACCACCCCCGTTTTTTTGTTTGTTTGTTTTGTTTTTTGTTTTTGGTGAAACGTAGTCTCGCTCTGTCACCCAGGCTGGAGTGCAGTGGCGCGATCTCGGTCACTGCAACATCCGCCTCCAGGGTTCAAGCGATTCTTCTGCCTCTGCCTCCAGAGTAGCTGGGATTACAGGCGCGCATCACCACACCCGGCTAATTTTTGTATTTTTAGTAGAGACGGGGTTTCACCATGTTGGTCAGGCTGATCTCGAACTCCTGACCTCAAGTGATCCGCTCTCCTCAGCCTCCCAAAGTGCTGGGATTACAGGCGTAAGCCACTGAGCCCGGCCAGGAGACCTCTTTAAGAAGACTCGAGATGTCGACAATCCCAGTGGATGGATACCAACTTTAAAAAGAAAAGTTCAAAAGGCCTATGTGCCCATTAGCTGGGAGGGGCCAAGAAATATGGGAGTCCCTTATAGTGGGGGTAAAACGGCGGGTAAAGCTAGGTGGGCGGAACAGCAGCTTCTGGGGGAGACAAGCGGCAAAGAGGCTCACGACCGACTAGGGGCGACCAAGGCTGATAGCCGTTGGGGCCGTTGGGCGCCGGGAGCTGGCGCCCCGCCCTCTCTCCTCTCCCCCACCCTCCGCACCTCCCACCACCCTCGGTGTCCCCTGCGCGTGCGCGTGCAGACACCGGTTGCCAAACATTGCATCATCCCCGCCCCCCTTTCCTCCCCTCCCCCCCCGCTACACTCCCCTCCGCGCGCGCGCATGACTCACCCACCTCCTCCGTGAAGCCTCGTGACCCAAAGCCACTTCCGGGTCCGACACTACGTCGACCCCCTAGCGAGAGGGAGCGACGGGGGCGGTGCCGCGGGGCTCCTGAGTGGCGGATGCGAGGGACGGGGCGGGGCCAATGCCGGCGTGCCACTTTCTGATTGGTAGGTTTTGGGGTCCCGCCCCTGAGAGGAGGGCAAGGCCATGGTAAAAGATTACAGCCAGGCGCTCCCGAGGTCAGAGACTTAAGTCTAAGGCACTGAGCGTATCATGTTAAAGATGAGCGGGTGGCAGCGACAGAGCCAAAATCAGAGCTGGAACCTGAGGAGAGAGGCGAGTACTGATTCCCATCTACCTTTTACCCTCCCGTCTCCTCAAAGTTGGGGCGTCCGCTCTTTAGGATCGGCCTCACTCCTCCACAGTGAAGTTAGGGACCGTCCGAGAGAGGAATGGGGAGAGTCCCTTATTCTGGGGTGGTGCTTACAAACCCCTATTGCTTCGGACGACGGCGTCTCTCCACCCCTGCCCGGAGCCGGAACACGGGCCCTGCTCTGTGCTGCTGGGCAAAGGGACCTCGGTTGCCCTTGGGAAATTCATTCTTTCCCGTAGCCAACTTCAGGCCTCATCGTTAGGCCTGTCCGCGGGGAGGCAGGTCAGCAGGACACACCCCCGCTCTAAGACTGGGTGACCATCGCTCAGGCCGTTTCCGCCGCTTCGCCACCAGCGGGCCTTCTCCCTACCCCACCCCCAATTCTGTCTCAGTCTCAGTGCCTCTGGTGTCAGCATGGCCACCTTGGTAGCTGGGGCTACTGGACCCTGCAGCGGATAGGGGAACCTTGAGGAGACACAAGCCTTTGGGAGGGGTGCCGATGGACAGGGAGTGGTGTGTTTTCCTTTTGCCGTAGAGGTCTCTGGGCCTCCTGCACAAGAGAGCAGCCTGGATCTCTTAAGTGTAGGAGGCCATTTGGGGTCTCCCCAGGGTATTGTCCTTCCCTCGGGATTAGTCCCTGCCTCTTTAACCCGGTCCTGTCTCCCAGCTAATCTCTGTGTAACCATTGCATCAGGCCAGCCCCGTTTGGCTCTGCAGCCTTCTGACCTGAGGCTCTACTGCTGATGAAAGCCAAGTCCCACACACTGGAAGGCAAGGGAGGGTTCCCCAGGGAGGACAGCCCTGCAGAGAAATACTTCGGGCAATATTGCATCTCTAGCCCCTAGGGATCAGCAGCTGCCACTCTGCTTCTGCCCCTTCCCTATAAGAGAGACTGGGGGGAGTTTATCCATTCATTCTTAACAAATACTTAATGAGGACCTACTGTGTGCCACACAGTTTGGGGCTCAGGGTACATCCTTGAGCAAGAGGAAAAAATCATCTCAGTGGGAGGCCTACAGTAAACAAAATATAAGTGCCACGGAGAAAGCTAAAGCAGAGAAAGGAATGGAGAATGTTCAGGATGGAGGTCAGAGTGTTACATCAGGTGGTCAGGAATTACCTTAGGTAATTCCTCCACTCAAAACCCTTCAGTGACTTCCATGACATGAAATAGGAAGTCATTGGAGGGTTTGAGCAGAGGAATGACCTGTTTTAAAAGGCTCACTCAGGCTGCTGTATGGTGAATAGAGTTGCGGAGGGGTGGCAAGAGAAGAAATGGGAAGACCTTCTGCAGTCAGAAAGTTTCTGCAGTAATTTAGAGATGGTAGTGAATTGATCTAGATTGGAAACAATGGAATTAGAAGTGTTTAGATTCTTCTAAGCAAAGGTTTTAAAAACTCATTTTTAAAGAATGAGTTAAGGGCCGGGCATGGTGGCTCACACCTGTAATCCCAGCACTTTGGGAGACCAGAGGTGGGTGGATCACCTGAGGTCAGGAGTTCAAGACCAGCCTGGCCAACATGGTGAAATCCCATCTTTACTAAAAATACAAAAATTAGCCGGGCATGGCAGTGCATGCCTGTAATCCCAGCTACTCCGGAGGCTGAAGCAGGAGAATCGCTTGAACCCAGCAGGCGGAGGTTGCAGTGAGCCGATTGCGCCACTGCCTTCCAGCCTGGGCAAAAAGAGTGAGACCCGTCTCAGAAAAAAAGGAATGAGTTAAAATTTGCTAGTACTTTGGATTGCAGGGTGTGAGAGAAGAGGAATGAAGGATGATACCAAGGTTTTTAGCTTAAGCAACTAGAGTTGTCATCTGAGATGGGGATGACCTTGGAAGGGGAAAATCAGCAAGAGTTTGCCTTTGCACATAGTCTTAGGTGCCTATTAGACATTGAAAAAGAAATGGCAAGTAGGCAGTAGACAGCAGAGTCTGAAGTTCTGGAAGAGGTCCAGACTGGAAATGTACATTTGGAGGATGTCAGCCCTGTGGGAATGGAGTTAGGAAAATGCTATGATTTGTTCCCTTCCCTGTAGTTTAGTTTTTACCCTGGCAGATTTGAGGCCTGCTTTGGATTTAGAGAAAGCTGAGTTGGCCAGGACTTTACTATTATGTAACCAGGACTACAAATGTCAGCAACTAAAAATAAAGAAAGTCAGGCCCTCTTCTGCCCTTCGAAATGGCTACAGGGACCAAGTATGCATACCCCACAAGACCAGAAGTAAGGAAGGACCAGTAGGAGGCTGGAGGTAAAAGAAAAATAAGGGCCCAGCACGGTAGCTCATGCCTATAATCCCAGCACTTTGGGAAGCGATGGATCACAAGGTTAAGAGATGGAGACCATCCTGGCCAACATAGTGAAACCCTATCTCTGCTAAAAACACAAAAATTAGCTGGGCGTGGTGGCACGCGCCTGTAGTCCCAGCTACTCGGGAGGCCGAGGCAGAAGAATCACTTGAACCGAGGAGGCAGAGGTTGCAGTGAGCCGAGATCGCACCACTGCACTTCAGCCTGGCAACAGAGCAAGACTTGGTCTCAAAAAAAAAAAAAGAAAGAAAAAAAGAAAAAGAAAAGTAAGTTGCCTCTCCCCCTTCCAAAAATGGCTGACATTTCTCTTTGTTGCCCACAGTGTTCAAGAAGGAAGTGTATCTTCATACATCACCACACCTGAAAGCAGGTAAACTTAACCTACCCTTTTCCAAAAATTTTAAACGGCAGGACAGTAAATATTTTAGATGTTAAAAGTCCTATAGTCTCTAGCGTGACTCTTCATCTCTGCCACTGTAGCACCAAAGCAGCCATAAACAATATGTAAATAAACAGATGTGGCTGTATTCCAGTACAACTTTACCTACAAAAACAGGCATCAGACCAGCTTGCCAACTTGTGGCATAGACTGTTTGCTACATGGAGCTTGTTCCAGCCACTCCCCATTATCCTGCAGATGTGCTTTTCCAGACTGATCCAACTGCAGAGATGGCAGCTGAGTCATTGCCTTTCTCCTTCGGGACACTGTCCAGCTGGGAGCTGGAAGCCTGGTATGAGGACCTGCAAGAGGTCCTGTCTTCAGATGAAAATGGGGGTACCTATGTTTCACCTCCTGGAAATGAAGAGGTAAGAATGTTAGCCCTAAAGCTAAAGGGGGATGTTACCTTTCCCTTCTCAACTAATATCTATGTTCCCTTTCCTCATTTCCTTGAAGGAAGAATCAAAAATCTTCACCACTCTTGACCCTGCTTCTCTGGCTTGGCTGACTGAGGAGGAGCCAGAACCAGCAGAGGTCACAAGCACCTCCCAGAGCCCTCACTCTCCAGATTCCAGTCAGAGCTCCCTGGCTCAGGAGGAAGAGGAGGAAGACCAAGGGAGAACCAGGAAACGGAAACAGAGTGGTCATTCCCCAGCCCGGGCTGGAAAGCAGCGCATGAAGGAGAAAGAACAGGAGAATGAAAGGAAAGTGGCACAGCTAGCTGAAGAGAATGAACGGCTCAAGCAGGAAATCGAGCGCCTGACCAGGGAAGTAGAGGCGACTCGCCGAGCTCTGATTGACCGAATGGTGAATCTGCACCAAGCATGAACAATTGGGAGCATCAGTCCCCCACTTGGGCCACACTACCCACCTTTCCCAGAAGTGGCTACTGACTACCCTCTCACTAGTGCCAATGATGTGACCCTCAATCCCACATACGCAGGGGGAAGGCTTGGAGTAGACAAAAGGAAAGGTCTCAGCTTGTATATAGAGATTGTACATTTATTTATTACTGTCCCTATCTATTAAAGTGACTTTCTATGAGCCAAGGTCTTTTACTTTTTCTTCTTGCCTTTAGGGGCTTCAGGGGGTTTCCCCTCAGCTACAGCCAACTGTTTCTTTAGATCCAAGAGTTTCGCCACCTCCGCAGCAACCTCGTTCTTGTCTGCCTTTTGTGCTTTCAGTTCTCGGACAATGTTTCCCTAAGATAAAGGGGGGTGGGGAGGTAACAGTGAGGCAAGAAAAAGATCTATTTAGGATTCAGCTTGTCCAGTCTCCCACAGGGCTTAAGCTTCATACTTGTTTTGTCACTTCATCCATCAGCGCTTGTATCTGCTGTGGCTTGGCTGTTGTAACAGTCTCTACAACTGCTGGCTTCGGGGACGTTTTTGCCTGGAGAACAACAAAGTTATCACCAGCAACCATAAATATCCCCTAACCTCCAGTTTTATACAGCATCTCAGAGGGAAAGTGGTTACCTTTAAGTCGAAGGTCTCTTCTAGTTAAGACAGGAAAGAAAAACTGTAAGTGAGGAAGCGGCAGGGCCAAAAGATGGAAAGAGTGATGGGTGAGGACTACTTAGGGAAATTAGGGAAGTGATGCTGTGGCTGTTGTGGAGCGAGGGCACAGCCTTTAGCTTTCTCACCTGGCCCCCTCCAAAGCGCTGCCTTAAACTTTCAATCTGGTCATTTTCCAATTTTTGGAACAAGGGACTGACCTGTAAAAAAAGAGTTCCAGAATCATCTACTGATTGGATACAGACTCTACCATAGACTATACAGATGACCTCTCCAACCCCAATCTCTGATGTGTTTTAGAAAGAACGAGCTTAACACTGAGCTAATATCTGCTGATTTTAGGAAATTAGCTGTAGCTTTCCCTGTGAAACCCCAAATAATTTGTAGGGTCAAAGATTCTTTAAGCTCTCTAAGGATGCTAGGCTGATCCAGAAGTTTAGCAATGTACTTACTTTTTCATTTTGTGTCAAAGAGGAAATGGCTTTCCTGTATTTTCCCTGCCCACTATCTGCTAGCATTATGGAGACTAGGTGATCACAGTGTTTCTTCAAATATCTGTTTACCAGTTAGTTTTGTGTGCCAGGTTCTGGTTTCTGGCATGAAGAACAATGAAGATGTACAGATAATTCCGGACTTGTGAACGACTACCAAGGACTTTATATCAGAAACTTAGGAGTCCCATGACCAAAGTAACACTGGAGAGATGTTAGGTCTTCTCTCACCCACTCCAAAAGCTGCATGGCAAGAGTATCAATTTTAAGAGAGGCTGGCTCTTCCACCTACTGTGCCAATCTGGTGTCCTGCTGGTAAGGTACACAGGAAGTTTGTCAGCAGGATACTGCAGGCTGGAGGTGGGAGCTGCAGCTGGGCCTGGATTGTGGCACTAACCGTGGGCATGTAAGGCTGAAGCATGACAGAGAGCAAGGCAGCTATATTCACTGCCAAGCCAGTCACTGTTCCTGCCCGTTGCCTGAGGAAGAGGAGACATTAGTCAAGACCTCCAGGAGGATACAGCTTACAAGCCACTTTATGCCTTTAGCCAACCCTCCCCGCTTACCTACCTGTCAGCCTCACTGCCTTTAATCCGCTTCCAGGGCTCATTCACCTGAATATATTGGTTGCCATGTCGAGATATGGTGAGGATACTGCGCAAGGCATCCCGGATCCTGGGAAGGGAGGAAGCAGGCCAAGGTGTAATGTCCTACAGAGACCAATACAAGGAGGCTCTCAACATGCCAGCAGAAAAGACAGAGGTGTCAGTTACTTACCGAACCTTCTCAAGTAGCTGGTGATAGTGCTGGAGCTCCAGGGTGACATGGGCCAGCAGGCGCTGATCATCAGGGGTGAGCACCATCTCAGGCACATAGCCCCCAAAGAACTTAGACACAAACATCCCAGCTCTTGGTTGGGAGTAGGAAAGCAGAAGTGGAAAAAAGAGGGGAAGTTATTATCCCGTCTCCTTGTTAGAATTTCACCCAATTTCCACAGCTGTACATTCTCTCAGGATTCCTGCCTGGAACAGGTAACTCCTGGCTCCCTCAAGCTAGTAGACAAGGCCTAATTATTTACTCTTTCTCTCCCCTAAGAATCTGACTCTGCACATAAGAAACCTGATTAAGTTAAACAACTGTACCTCTTATTTTTAAGAAGTCATTACTCGGCCGGGCGCAGTGGCTCACGCCTAAAATCCCAGCACTCTGGGAGGCCGAGGTGGGCAGATCACCTGAGGTCAGAAGTTCAAGACCAGCCTGGCCTGGCCATGGTGAAACCTCGTCTCTACTAAAAATGCAAAAAATTAGCCGGGCGTGGTGGTGTGCACCTGTAATCCCAGCTACTCTGGAGGCTGAGGCAGGAGAATTGCTTGAACCCGGGAGGCGGAGGTTGCAGTGAGCCAAGATCGCGCCACTGCACTCCAGCCTGGGCAACAAGAGAGAAACTCCATCTCAAAAAAAAAAAAAAAAAGTCATTACTCAAAATGACCAAGCTGAGTATGTGTTAACTGCTATCAAACAAACACTCTAGGCAAGTACTTTTTTTTTTTTTTAATTTTTTTTTTTTTTGAGGATTCTCACTCTGTTGCCCAGGCTGGAGCACAGTGGCATGATCTTGGCTCACTGCAACCTTTGCCTCCCGGGTTCAAGTGATTCTCCTGCCTCAACCTCTTGAGTAGCTGGGATTACAGATGTGCGCCACCACGCCCGGCTACTTTTTGTATTTTTAGTGGAGACGGGGTTTCACCAGGTTGGCCAGGCTGGTCTCGAACTCCTGTAGGTAAGGACTATTTATTAAATGTGGTTAATTACCAAAGCTGAAAGTGAGTAGCAGGACTGACCTATAAGGGTCCAGGGCTCAGAGAGTGTGACTAAAGAATCCTAAATTCTGGAGAATACTGCTTTAGATTGCAGAAGAGCTGAGATAGGCACCAATGATAGAATGTGAGCCTAAGGTAACAAAAACTCTGAACTCTGAAGAGTATAGCAGAAGCCTTTTTTTTTTTTTTTTTTTGAGACAGGATCTCCCTCTTTTGCCAAGGCTGGAGTGTAGGGGTACGAGTACTGCTCCACTGCAGCCTCAATCTCCCAAGTTCAAGAGACCATCCCGCCTCAGCATCCTGAGTGGCTGGGACTACAGGTGTGCGCCACCACGCCTGGCTGATTCTTTTTGTAGAGATGGGAGATTCATTATGTTGGTCAGGCAAGTCTTGAACTCCCGGCCTCAAGTGATCCTCCTGCCTCAGCCTCCCAAAGTGCTGGGATTACAAATGTAAGCCACCATGCCCAGCCCACAGAAGCCTCCTACCCCCACACCAAAATAACCCCTTTCTTCAGCCAAACTTTTCAATGATCTGCAGGTGAACTATTTTGCTGGGAGAGAATACATCTTCAATTCTACAAAGAACAGTAATAAGGAAACAATTTACAAAAACCCACTTTATAACCAACTTTGCTAAATCACATCTCTACAGCTAACTGTTCCATCAAGCACACATAGCCTAGTATGTGCTAGGAACAGATCCCAATTAATAGAAATCAACTTTCCACAGTGTCCTCACAGCCTCCTGCCCATTTTCTAGTTCTCTCCACATTCCCATCTCCTGAGGGAAAATGAGCCCCACCCCAGCTCACTGCTAACTCTGACCCCTTACCAAGTCCTACCTGTTGATGAAGTTGCCCAGGTTGTTAAGCAGCTCAGAATTATTCTTCAGCAGCAGGTCCGTCCAGGAGAAAGCACTGTCCTGGCCCTCAGGCCGAATGTACAGCAGATAGAAGCGCCAGATGTCAGCAGGGATCCCCGTGTCCTGGGCCATGTCCCCAAACACTCCCACACCGCGGCTCTTAGAGAATTTCCCATCCTCATAGTTCAGGTACTCTGGACAGAGGAGAATGAGTGAGAACCATCTGCTCACATCACATCCTTCCCCTCTCTAGCCCACTAACTCTTCCTTCTTTCCTCTTTCTAACCTCAACTATGGGTGTCTAGCAACATTTCTCCTTAAGGGGCTGGTATGCTCAGATTTTGGGAGTCCCTTCCTATCCATTCTGGCCCTTTTTTCTCTTTGCTTATATCTACTAAAGAGTTTTAGCTTTAGACTTTTGCTTTCTTCAGGTTCTTGTTCGTTTCTCTAGGTTGAGTTCTCATTTTAATTATTTCCTATTTCAGCTCAACTCCTAACTCAAGATAGCAGCTCTCCAAGATCTTTTTCCAAGTACTGCCTCACCCCTCATTTCCTATGAACACCCCATCAGTAGTCTTCCAGGGTACTTACCTGTAGCAATGAGGTGGCTGACCAAGGTATAGTTATCCTCAGCTCCTAGGGCTGAGCAAGGAAAGACTAAGCTATGGAAAGGAACATTGTCTTTGGCCATGAACTGATACAGGTCCACCTAGGGGAATGTGGTTAGGAGAGATTTCCTGAGACCTCCTTCAAAGGCCCAAGGAAGACCAGACACCCAACCCTAACACCCACACCCTACCGCCTACCCTCCCCATGCACAGCCTAACCAAGAACTGCTCACTTGCTCTGGGTTCTTCCACCATCTCTCCCACTGGTCTGTGTAGTTGGCTGTGATGGACAGATAGCCAATAGTGGCATCAAACCAGACATAGAATACCTGGAGGTCAGAAGGAGGTAAACATGTTAGGGACCAATCCAAAGTCTCAAACTGAAACAAGACATAATCAGCAGTCTACTCTGCTAGCCCAGGGTTTCAACACTAAGGCTGAATGATATGAATAAAAAAGGGTTTTTACCTTGTCTTCAAAACCTTCTAAGGGTACAGGGGTTCCCCATTTGAGGTCTCGGGTTATGCAGCGTGGCTTGAGGCCATCCCGAAGCCAAGAACGGGTGATAAACTGGGCATTGGGTGTCCAGTCACTGCCAGGCAATGTCCTCCCCAACCACTCCTCCAGTCGCTTCTCCAGCTGAGATAACGGAGAAAGAGGGCTGATTTAGGAAAGTCTCATATATGGTTAGCATAAGGATAAACACATATAACCTTTTTGGAGCACAATTTGGCAATATATAACTTTTTTTTTGGAGACAGAGTCTTGCTCTGTTGCCCAGACTAGAGTGCAGTGGTGCAATCATAATCACAGCTCACTGCAGCCTAAACCTCCTGGGCTCAAGCAATCCTCCTACCTCAACCTCCCCAGTAGCTGGGACCACAGGTGCACACCACCATGCCAGACTGTAATTTTTGTAGAAACAGGGTTTTGCCACATTGCCCAGGCTGGTCTTGAACTCCTGAGCTCAAGCAATCTGCCCACCTCAGCCTCCAAAAGCGCTGAGACTACAGTTGTGAGCCACCCTGCCCAGCCTTAACTAGATTTTTAACACACAGCCAGGGGCAGTGGCTTGCGCCTGTAATCCCAGCTACTCCGAAGGCTGACGCAGGAGGATCACTTGAGGGCAGGAGTTCATGACCATCCTGGGCAACACAGCAAAATCCTGTCCCTAAAAAAAATTTTTTTTTTTTTAATTTTTAAAAATATGGAACACTTCACAAGTTTGCATGTCATTCTTGTGCAGAGGATGTGCTAATCTTGTCCATATCAGGGTCTCACTGTCACCCAGGCTGGAGTACAGTGGCACATCATGGCTCACTGCAGCCTCAACCTCCCAGGCTTAAGTGATCCTTCCACCTCAGCCTCCTGAGTAGCTGGCACTACAGGCACGTGCCACCACACCTGGTTAATTTTTGTATTTTTAGTAGAGATGGGTTTCACCAAGTTGCCCACCCTGGTCTCAAACTCCTGGGGTCAAGCAATTCTCCCGCCTCAGCCTCCCAAAGTGTTGGAAGTTGGAATTACAGGCATAAGCCACCGTGCCCAACCAATTTTTTCTTTTTTTAAATACAGACAGGGTCTTGCTTTGTTGCCCAGGCTACTCTCAAACTCCTGGCTTCCAGCGATCCTCCTGCCTCAGCCTCCCAAAGTGCTGGAATTACAGGCATGAACCACCATGGCCAGCTGAGGAAGTGCAAAAAAGAAAAAAAAAATTTTCTTTTTTTTTTTTAAGGTAGGGTGTCACTCTGTTGCCCAGGCTGGTCTTAAACTCCAAGGCTCAAGCAATCCTCCAGCCTTGGCCTCCCAAAGCATTGGGATTACAGGTGTAAACCAGCATGCCCAACCAAAAAAAAATTTTTTTGAGCTGGAGTCTTGCTCAGCTGCCCGGGCTGGAGTGCAGTGGCACGATCTCAGCTCACTGCAACCTCCCCACCTCCAGGTTCAAGCGATTCTCCTGCCTCAGCCTCCTGAGTAGCTGGGACTACAGGTCGGTGCCACCACGCCTGGCTAATTTTTGTATTTTTAGTAGAGATGGGGTTTCACCACGTTGGCCAGGATGGTCTCGGTCTATTGACCTCATGATCCGCCTGCCTTGGCCTCCCAAACTGCTGGGATTACAGGCGTGAGTCACCATGCCTAGTCAATTTTTTTTTAATCAGCCAGGCATGATAGTACACGCCTGTAGTCCCAACTACGCAGAAGGCTGAAGCAAAAGGATAACTTGAGCCCGAGAGTTTGAGAGTGCGGTGAGCTGTGATTGTGCCACTGCACTCCAGCCTGGGTGACAGAGTGAGACCCTGTCTCTAGAAAAAAATTTTGTTTGAACACACTTGGCTATATACCCTTAGTCTAGGGGAGGAATCAGGATTGCCAACAAATCCTAAACTCTTTTTAATAGGTTATTTTTTTTGTAGACGTACCAGCAAAGCAATTCTGAAATTGTTTTAGGTATATTGTAGGATTGAGCTAATAAGTAAATGTGCTGATGCCTATTGAGAACCAGGACACCTACAGTGGAAGAAGGTAGATAGAGACATGAAATAAATAAGAGAAAGTGACGAAGAACTCTGTGGGGATGGACTGAAATTGCAGGTGTCAGTGTGAACTTAAAATAAATACCAACTGGCCAGGCACGATGGCTCACGCCTGTAATCCCAGCACTTCGGGAGGCCAAGGCAGGCAGATCACCTGAGATCAGGAGTTGGAGACCAGCCTGGCCAACATGGTGAAACCCTGTCTCTACTAAAAATACAAAAAAAATTAGCTGGGTGTGGTGGCAGGTGCCTGTAATCCCAGCTACTCAGGAGGCTGAGGCAGGAGAATCGCTTGAATCCTGGAGATGGCAGTTGCAGTGAGCCAAGATAGTGCCACTGCACTCCAGCCTAGGTGACAGCAAGACCCTGTCTCAAAACAAACAAACAAACAACAAAAAACAAATACCAACTCTCTTTGATAAAAGGTCCTAGTAGCAAAGACACCCAGTAGCAATGAGCACATCTACCACCTAGATTTTGGTATCTAATACTGTTCCCTACTAAATTAAACTCAAGGTTGGTGACATGGTTGATTTCAAGGCTGAACCAGATGAACCTAGAGTATTTTTTTATGCCACAAATTAAGGAAGTGTTTAAAACATGATGGGAGATCTCAAAAGCAGACAAGCCACCTTGAATACGTTCCTACTGATGAAATAAGTAACAATTTGAACATGAAAATAAATTTAGGACAGGAAAGGATTATAAGAAATTGAAAAAAATAGGAATCCATGAGTCTATACTGATAATAAATAGTTAACTAAATTAAAAAATAAATGGAGGGAGAAGGATAAATATAGAGAGTAGTGGTAGAGTTGGAAAATCACCATAATAAAGATTGATTCAGGTAAGAATGATCAATGAATGCTACATTTATAGGGAATATTTTGTTCACGAAGAGCAAAGTATTGCATGGTCTTTAAAGTGTATTCCCTCAAGGCTGGGCGCAGTGGCTTACACCTGTAATCCCAGCACTTTGGGAGGCTAAGGCGGGTGAATCATTTGAGGTCAGAAGTTTGAGACCAGCCTGGCCAACATAGTGAAACCCCATCTCTATTAGAAATACAAAAATGCTCTCCCTCTACCCTCTACCCTCTACCTCTACCTCTACCTCTACCTCTCCCCACGGTCTCCCTCTCCCTCTCTTTCCACGGTCTCCCTCTGATGCCGAGCCGAAGCTGGACTGTACTGCCGCCATCTCTGCTCACTGCAACCTCCCTGCCTGATTCTCCTGCCTCAGCCTGCCGAGTGCCTGCGATTGCGGGCGCGTGCCGCCACGCCTGACTGGTTTTCGTATTTTTTTGGTAGAGACGGGGTTTCGCTGTGTTGGCCGGGCTGGTCTCCAGCTCCTAACCGCCAGTGATCCGCCAGCCTCGGCCTCCCGAGGTGCCGGGATTGCAGACGGAGTCTCGTTCACTCAGTGCTCAATGGTGCCCAGGCTGGAGTGCAGTGGTGTGATCTCGGCTCGCTACAACCTCCACCTCCCAGCTGCCTGCCTTGGCCTCCCAAAGTGCCGAGATTGCAGCCTCTGCCGTGCCGCCACCCAGTCTGGGAAGTGAGGAGCATCTCTGCCTGGCCACCCATCGTCTGGGATGTGAGGAGCCCCTCTGCCTGGCTGCCCAGTCTGGAAAGTGAGGAGTGTCTCTGCCCGGCCGCCATCCCATCTAGGAAGTGAGGAGCGCCTCTTCCCAGCTGCCATCCCATCTAGGAAGTGAGGAGTGTCTCTGCCCGGCTGCCCATCGTCTGAGATGTGGGGAGCGCCTCTGCCCCGCCGCCCTTTCTGGGATGTAAGGAGCGCCTCTGCCCGGCCGCCGCGTCTGAGAAGTGAGGAGACCCTCCGCCCGGCAGCCGCCCCATCTGAGAAGTGAGGAGCCCCTCCGCCCGGCAGCCGCCCCGTCTGAGAAGTGAGGAGCCCCTCCGCCCGGCAGCTACCCCGTCTGGGAAGTGAGGAGCGTCTCCGCCCGGCAGCCACCCCGTCCGGGAGGGAGGTGGGGGTCAGCCTCCGCCCGGCCAGCCGCCCCGTCCGGGAGGGAGGTGGGGGGTCAGCCCCCGCCCGGCCAGCCGCCCCGTCCGGGAGGGAGGTGGGGGGCCAGACCCCCGCCCGGCCAGCCGTCCCGTCCGGGAGGGAGGTGGGGGGCCAGACCCCCGCCCGGCCAGCCGCCCCGTCCGGGAGGGAGGTGGGGGGCCAGACCCCCGCCCGGCCAGCCGCCCCGTCCGGGAGGTGAGGGGCGCCTCTGCCCGGCCGCCCCTACTGGGAAGTGAGGAGCCCCTCTGCCCGGCCAGCCGCCCCATGCAGGAGGGAGGTGGGGGGGGGGTCAGCCCCCCGCCCGGCCAGCCGCCCCGTCCGGGAGGTGAGGGGCGCCTCTGCCCGGCCACCCCTACTGGGAAGTGAGGAGCCCCTCTGCCTGGCCACCACCCCGTCTGGGAGGTGTACCCAACAGCTCATTGAGAACGGGCCATGATGACAATGGCGGTTTTGTGGAATAGAAAGGGGGGAAAGGTGGGGAAAAGATTGAGAAATCGGATGGTTGCCGTGTCTGTGTAGAAAGAGGTAGACATGGGAGACTTTTCATTTTGTTCTGTACTAAGAAAAATTCTTCTGCCTTGGGATGCTGTTGATCTATAACCTTACCCCCAACCCTGTGCTCTCTGAAACATGTGCTGTGTCCACTCAGGGTTAAATGGATTAAGGGCGGTGCAAGATGTGCTTTGTTAAACAGATGCTTGAAGGCAGCATGCTCGTTAAGAGTCATCACCACTCCCTAATCTCAAGTACCCAGGGACACAAACACTGCGGAAGGCCGCAGGGTCCTCTGCCTAGGAAAACCAGAGACCTTTGTTCACTTGTTTATCTGCTGACCTTCCCTCCACTATTGTCCTATGACCCTGCCAAATCCCCCTCTGCGAGAAACACCCAAGAATGGTCAATTAAAAAAAAAAAAAAAAAAAGACAAAAATTAGCCAGGCATGGTGGTATGTGCCTGTAATCCCAGCTACTCGAAGGCTGAGACAGGAGAATCACTTGAACCTGGGAGGTGGAGGTTGCAGTGAGCTGAAATCACAACACTGCACTACAGTCTGGGCAACAGAGCGGGACTCCATCTCAAGAAAAGAAAAAAATAAAGTGTATTCCCAGACTGCTCATAAGTTGCAATGGGGAAAATATTAATCACACAGTGAACAAATTGAATAACACCTGACCAAACAAAATTAAGATTCCCAGTGAAGGGGATGGCCATCACGTGGCTCTGAAAAGGACACAATGTCATTTATGTAGTATTCCAACCAAGAATGCATAGCCTGAAATCATGAGGAAACACCCAACAAACCCAACCTGAGGACTATTATATTTTATGTATTTATTTATTTTTGAGACAGGGTCTCACTTTGCTGCCCAGACTGGAATGCAGTGGTACAATCATGGCTCACTATAGCTTCCAGCTCCTGGGCTCAAAGCAACCCTCCTACCTTAGCCTCCCAAGTAGCTGGGGCCAGAGATGTGCACCACCACATTTGGCTAATTTTTTCTTTTTTTCTTTTTGATACAGAGTCTCAGTCTGTCACCCAAGCTGCAGTGCAATGGTTCAATCATGGCTCACTGCAGCCTCAAACCTTCCCAGGTTCAGGTGATCTTCCCACCTCAGCCTCCTGAGTAGCTGGGACTACAGCTGCTCACAACTCACCCAGTTAACTTCTGTATTTTTTGTAGAGATGGGGTCTCACCATGTTGCCCAGGCTGGTCTCAAAGTCCTAGGCTCAAGTCATCGGCCCACCTAGGTAGCCCTTGCAAAATGTTAGGATTAACGCGTGAGCCACTGCACCCAGGCCAGGTTAATTGTTTCACTGTTTGTAGAGTCAGGGTCTTGCCATGTTGCTCAGGCTGGTCTCAAACCCCTAGGCTCAAGCAATCCTCCCACCTCAGCCTCCCAAAGTAATGGAATTACAGGAGTGAGTCACTGCATGTGGCCTTTAATTTTTTTATGCTTTAGAGATAGAGTCTCACTCTGTTGCCCAGGCTGGAGTATAGTGGCACAATCACAGCTCACTGTAACCTCAAACTCCTGGGCTCAAATGATCCTCCCACCTCAGCCTCTTGCATAGCTGAGACTACAGGATCGCACCACCATACCCGGCTAATTTTTCAATTATGTTGTAAAGACAGTGTCTCACTATGTTTTCCAGGCTGGTCTCCAACTCCTGGCATCAAGAGATCCTCCCACCTCAGCCTCCTAAAGTGCTAGGATTACAGGCATGATAAGCCACTGCGCCCAGCCTATTTTTTTTTTTCTCCAAGCCCAGGGTACAGAAGGAGGAACACTGTATTTTAAAAAGGAGGTCAGGCTGGGATGGTGGCTCACACCTGTAATCCCTGCACACTGGGAGGCCGAGGTGGATGGATTACCTGAGGTCAGGAGTTCGAGACCAGCCTGGCCAACATGGTGAAACCCCATCTCTACTAAAAATACAAAAATTAGCCAGGCATGGTGGCAGGCACCTGTAACCCCAGCTACTTGGGAGGCTGATGCAGAGGAATCGCTTGAACCTGGGAGGCAGAGGTTGCAGTGAGCCGAGACCGTGCCATTGCACTCCAGTGTGGGCAACAAGAGAGAAGCTCCATCTCAAAAAAAAAAAAAACAAATCAGGAGGTCAATGCTGGACACAGTTGCTCATGCCTCTAATCCCAACACGTTTGCAGGCAGAGGCAGGAGAACTGCTTGAGCCCAAGAGTTTGACACCAGCCTGGGTAACACAGTGAGAACCCATCTCTACAAAAGCATTTTAAAAATTAGTCAGGTGGCCCAGTGCGGTGGCTCACACCTGTAATCCCAGCACTTTGGGAGGCTGAGCCAGGCAGATCATCTGAGGTCAGGAGTTCGAGACCAGCCTGGTCAACATGGCAAAACCCTGTCTCTACTAAAAATACAAAAATTAGCCGGGCATGGTGGCAGACGCCTGTAATCCCAGCTATTCTGGAGGCTGACGCAGGAGAATCACTTGAACCCAGGAGGCGAAGGTTGCAGTGAGCCAAGAGTGCGCCATTGCACACCAGCCTGGGCGACAAGAGCGAAACTCTGTCTCAAAAAAAAAAAAAAAAAAAAAAAAATCAGTCAGGCATGGTACTTGGGAGGCTGAGGTGAGAGGATTGCTTGGTCCTAGGATATCAAGGCTGCAGTGAGCTATGATCATGCCACTGCATTCCAGCTTAGGTGACAGAGTGAGAAGCTATCCCTTAAAAAAAAAGAGAGACATAAAAATACTTTTATATGCATATGACATTTCTGAATAGACACAAAGGAAAAAGTAGTAAATACCTCTCGCAAGTGGGCCTGGGGCTTTCACTTTGTGCCCTTTAATCTATTTCATCTCTTGACAATAGTATGTACAATTCTTAATGGAAATTTAAAACTTTTAAGAGTAATCTGCTCTCAGTATTTGTGGCTAAGGCAGAGGGGACAGAAGAGGCCTCCTGAAAACTAGGTTGAGAGAAAAGCTCACTTACCTTAGGCAGGTCCAGAAACAGGTGCTGGCTCGACTGCACCACAGGGCATGATCGGCAGACTTTACACTGAGGCTTCTGCGAAGGAAAATTCCAGAGGACAGATCAGGCCTGCAGGCCAGGGGAGGGGTCCAGGCAAGGGGAGGAGCAGAGAAGGATTAGCTCCTCAGTCTGCCATCTAGTTTAGCTTCAGGCTCACACTCCAATAACTCTACTATGTGGCCTACTCTAAACATGGAGACTCAAATCTTCTCAGTATAACTCCATTTGTTCTCAGAGTTTCAGATCTCTGTCCCATCACACCAGAGTAAAAAAAACATTCTCTGAACATAGGCTAGGTACAGAGCACTGCACTGTACTTGGCTGTGTGAGGGGAGGAAGGAGTGATGAAGTGAAGACATAGCCCCTCTCTTTGAGGAAGCTACAAGTCAGGGAGAGATGGCTTATATAAGAAACAAGTGTGGGCCGGGCGCGGTGGCTCACGCCTGTAATTCCAGCATTTTGGGAGGCCGAGGCAGGCGGATCATGAGGTCAAGAGATTGAGACCATCCTGGCCAACATAGTGAAACCCCGTATCTACTAAAAATACAAAAATTAGCTGGGCATGGTGGCGTGCACCTGTAGTCCCAGCTACTTGGGAGGCTGAGGCAGAATTGCTTGAACCTGAGAGGCAGAGGTTGCAGTGAGCCAAGATCATGCCACCGCACGCCAGGCTGCTGACAGAGCAGACTCTGTCTCAAAAAAAAAAAAAAGGAAAAAGACACAAATGTGGCTGAGCACCGTGGCTCACGCCTATAATCCCAACACTTTGGGAGGCTGAGGCAGGTGGAACACCTGAGGTCAGGAGTTCAAATCCAGCCTGGCCAGCATGGTGAAACCTCGTCTCTACTAAAAATACAAAATTAGCCGGGTTTGGTAGTGCGTGCCTGTAATCCCAGTTACTCAGGAGGCTGAGGCAGGAGAATCACTTGAACCTGGGTGGTGGAGATTGCACTGAGCTGAGATCGCGCCATTGCACTCCAGCCCGGGCAACAAGAGCAAAACTCCATCTCAAAAAAAAAAAAAAAAAGAAACAAGTGCAGATCTTTACAAAATAAATTTATTTGTGTGGCATAAACTGACTATATAAACATGGAAGGGTGATGGCTAATGGAGTGAACAGTTAGGTGGAGCTAATGAATGAAAACTTTCGAGTTTTTTGTTGTTGCTCTTTTTTCCATCTTTCAGAGAGGGCTTTGTAGTAGAGTTTTGTTGTTGTTGTTGTTGTTGTTGTTTTTGAGACGAAGTCTCACTCTGTTGCCCAGACTGGAGTGCAGTGGTGCAGTCTTGGCTCACTACAACCTCCACCTCCCGGGTTCAAGCGATTCTCCAGCCTCGGCCTCCTGAGTAGCTGGGATTATAGGCACGTGCCACCGCGCCCGGCTTATTTTTGTATTTTTAGTAGAGATGGAGTTTCACCATGTTGTTTAGGCTGGTCTCAAACTCCTGATCTCGTGATCTGCCCGCCTCAGCCTCCCAAAGTGCGCGGACTACAGGCGTGAGCCACCGTGCCTGGCTTGTTTTTTTTTTGTTGTTGTTGCTTTTTTTTTTTTTTTTTGAGACAAAATCTCGCTCTGTCGCCCAGGCTGGAGTGCAGTAGCGTAATCTCAGCTCACTGAAACCTCCACCTCCCAGGTTCAAGAGATTATCCTGCCTCAGCCTCCCTGGTAGCTGGGATTACAGGCACGCACCACCACACTCAGCTAATTTTTGTATTTTTAGTAGAGGCGGGGTTTCGCCATGTTGGTCAGACTGGTCTGAACTCCTGACCTCAGGTGATCCGGCCGCCTCAGCTTCCCAAAGTCCTGGGATTACAAGCGTGAGCCACCACACCTGGCCCCAAGTGAGTTTTGATCTGAGTTTTTGAAGGTGAGAAATTATAATTCCTCAGGACCTCTCTCCTGAACTCCATATGCCTAATATCCAACTGTCTACCTGACTTCTCTGCCTGGCTATCTAACAGGCATCTCAAGCTTAACAAACCCAAACAGTATGGCTGCATCCCACCTGAAAGCCTGTTCTCCTCACTCACGTTCACAGATGGTACTACCATCTACTCAGGCCAAAAACTTACAAGGCATCTTTTTCCTGACCATCCCAAATTCCAGTCTATCCAACTCCGTGGAGTTTACCTCCAAAAATATACCTCAAGTCTATTTTTTCTTTTCCATTTCTAGTGCTACTAACCTAGTGCAAGCCACCATTATCCCATTTCTGGGTTGTAGCCTTGTTGCCTCCAAATCCTTCTCCATACTTTTTTTTTTGGTGGAGGGGGAACAGTCTTGCTCTGTCACCCAGGCTGGAATGCAGTGGCAATCTTGGCTCACTGCAACCTCCGCTTCCCAGGTTCAAGAAATTCTTCTGCCTCAGCCTCCCAAGTAGCTGGGATTACAGGTGTGCGCCACCACGGCCTGGATAATTTTTGTGGTTTTTTTTTTTTTTTAGACAGAGTCTTACTTTGTAACCCAGGCTGGAATGCAGTGGCGCAATCTCAGCTCACTGCAACCTCTGCCTCCCAGGTTCAAGTGATTCTCAAGCTTCAGCCTCCCAAGAAGCGGGGATTACAGGGGTCCGCCACCACACCCAGCTAATTTTTGTATTTTTTTAGTAGAGACAGGGTTTCACCATGTTGGCCAGGCTGGTCTCAAACTCCTGACCTCAAGTGATCTGCCCACCTCAGCCTCCCAAAGTGCTGGGATTACAGGCGTGAGCCACCGCACCTAGCCATTTCTGTATTTTCAGTAGAGACAGGGTTGCCATGTTACAGGCCAGGCTGGTCTCAAACTCGTGGCTTCAAGTGATCCACCCAGCTTGGCCTCCCAAAGTGCTGGGATTATAGGTATGAGCCACCAATGCCCAGCCCCTTCAACATACTTTATTTCTTGCTTCCCTGCCATCCATTTTCCACAGAGCAGCTTGTCATTCACCAGAATAAAATCTAAATTCCCACAATGGCTTCACAGGCCCTGGTGATCTGGCCCCTGCCATCTCTCTCACCTCATCTCAGTCTACCCTCCTCCTCACTCACTGTGCTAGTGCTATACTGGCCTTGCCAATTCTGCCTTTTCAGCTCTTAGCTGCCTCATGGCCTTTGCATTTCCTAGTCCTTCCGCTTAGAACATTCTTAACCTCTTATTGCCTGGCTTGCTCCTAATTCTTTGGTTAAACTCTCAGTTCAAATGTTACTGCCTCTGAAAGGCCTTCCCTATCTACCTAAGTTAGATCTTCCCCCAGAAGTCACTCTCTGTCACATTTTCCTGGCAGTTTATTCTATATCATTTCCTTAGTTAGTGTTGGTCTCCTGACCATACTAAATAAAATCTGTCTTATTCATTGCCATACCCCCAGCACGCAGAATTGTAATTGGCCTATTCTAAGGATTCAAAAAATGTATGTTGAATAAATGAATGAAGAAATAAATTAACAAATGGCTAGAAGAGAAGATATTTAAAGAAGAGAGAAGGATCTAAACAAATGTAGATCAGGTGGTGTGATGCAAGACCAAAGGTTGGGAAATATAAACTCAACTTGTCTGTTTCTTAGCACAGTGCTCAGCACATAGTAAGTGCTCAGGGAGTATTTTTCAAATGAACTAAATGACGAGTTGCTGAGATGGGGCAGAAAGGGCCACTGGTTAAAGGTCTAGAATGCTAAAATAAAAATCCTAAATGGGACAGGAAGGGCGTCCCTTAAGAATAAGGACTGTCTCCTTCCGGGCTCCCATGGAGACCCTCCTCTTACCTTAAGCTCGACAGCATTGATGAGCTTGCCACACTTGTCACACTGGTCACCCCGAGCCTCCTCATAGCCACAGAAGGGACACACGCCCTCCACGAAGCGGTCAGCCAGGAAGCGAGCACAGTGCTCACATCGCAGTTGCTCCACAGTATCTTGCAGCACAAAACCTCGTTTCAGCAACTGCTGGAAAATGTCCTGGGTGATTCTGGTGAGGTGGGCCAGGGATCAGGAAGAGACAGTCAGAAGACGTGGTGGACCCCTTCCTCCTGCCACTCCAACCAGGGACCCAAACTCAGTGACAAAGAAATCAGGCAGAAGGCTCCTCAAGGAAAAGGGCATCTATTCATCTTTTGAGAGTTTTACTGGATGAGCTCAGACCCATCACACATATTCCCCAACTGCCCACATAATCTTTCCCCTCAACACTTTAGAATTCACTTTTGTTGAACACAGATTTATCTGTTTTGTATTTTTCATTAACAAAAATCTCCAATAGGATAGGACTGTGCCTGTTCTTTAATATATCCTAAAAATTAAGTCAGTCCAAGTGCTAAACTAAACTGCATAGCACTATCAGTTGGCGGCCTGTCTACTATGTAAAGTTTTGGGGGTTTTTTTGTTTGTTTTGAGACAGAGTCTCGCTCTGTCGCCCAGGCTGGAGTGCAGTGGTGCGATCTCAGCTCACTGCCTGCCTCAGCCTCCCGGGTTCAAGCAATTCTCTGCCTCAGCCTCCCAAGTAGCTGGGATTATAGGTGCCCACCACCAGGTCCAGCTAATTTTTGTATTCTTAGTAGAGATGGGGTTTCACCATGTTGGCCAAGCTGGTCTTGAACTCCTGACCTCGTGATCCACCCACCTCGGCCTCTCAAAGTGCTGAGATTACAGGCGTGAGCCACTGCGCCCAGCCCTTTTTTTTTTTTTTTTGAGACAGTCTCACTCCGTCACCAAGTCTGAAGTGCAGTGGCACTATCTCAGCTCACTGTAAGCTCTGCCTCCCGGGTTCATGCCATTCTCCTGCCTCAGCCTCCAGAGTAGCTGGGACTACAGGCGCCCACCACCACGCCTGGTTAATTTTTTTTTTTTTTTGTATTTTTAGTAGAGACAGGGTTTCACTGGGTTAGCCAGGATAGTCTCGATCTCCTGACCTCGTGATCCGCCCGCCTCGGCCTCCCAAAGTGCTGGGATTACAGGTGTGAGCCACCGCGCCCAGCCCCAGCCTTTTTTTTTTTTTTTTTTTTTTTGAGACAGAGTTTTGCTCTTGTTGCCCAGGCTGGAGTACAATGGCATGATCTTGGCTCACCACAACCTCCGCCTCCTGGGTTCAAGAGATTCTTCTGCCTCAGCTTCCCAAGTAGCTGGGATTACAGGCACCCACAACCACGCCCAACTAATTTTTGTATTTTTAGTAGAGATGGGGTTTCTCCATGTTGGTCAGGCTGGTCTTGAACTCCTGACCTCCGGTGAGCCGCCCGCCTCGGCCTCCCAAAGTGCTGGGATTACAGGTATGAGCCACTGCACCCGGCTATGCAAAGTTTTTATAAGGATGAGTATTAGGCAGAGGAAGAATGAGTTTATGTGTTATAAATGCATACAGGAGTGGGAAGAAGTGTCTTAGACTTCAGGACACAGAGAGGAAGGGAGGCACTAGAGGGAAGATAGATATTTCCCATCAGCCTGCGTCTGGTCTCTGCCCTCCCTCAGCTGCTCCTTCAGCTCCTGGTCAGGCTTCTACACACACCATCTTCCCTCAAAAATGCCTGGATAACTGCCCAGGGTGATATTGAGATCCTAAGTTTAGGAGTGCCCAGACAGCCACCCGGGTTCCTTCTGTCTCCAAGATACTCCCACTGTTCCCAGTCTCAGCCTTCAAGCCCCATTTCTGCCTCATTAGAGGAAACTTACTTGGTCTGCTGTGGAGTGGTGGTGCGACCAAAAATATCAAACGAAATGTTAAACCAGCGGTAGATGTCAGCATGGATGATGTGGTACTTGTCGCAGATCTCCTGGGGGGTTAGTCCCTCCTCCAGAGCCTTGGTCTCTGTTGCTGTACCATACTCATCTGTCCCACACAGATAGAGGGTGTTCCACTGGCGGAGGCGAGAGTACCTGCAAGGGAATATGGTGATCGCTAGGGGGCCCCGCTTCAGCGCTTCCTTGTCCTTGGGATCTCCCCAGCCCCACCCTTGAAGCATCCTATTCCCCTGGGACCCGCCCTTCCCTTAGGAGGTCTCTCCCCGAGCAGCTGGCTCCACCTGGCAAAGACATCGGCACTGAGCACACAACCAATGATGTTCCCAAGGTGGGGGACATTGTTGACGTAAGGGAGGGCACTGGTGATGAGCACATTCCTTTCTCCAGCCACAGGCAACCTAGTAAGGAAAGAGGAAGAGAACAGTGCATGGGGGGATGTGAGGGTCAACAGGGACGAAAAGTGCACAGAACACCCGGACACAGATTTGTTCTACTGTCATGTGTTCATGTACACTTGAAGTCTTTCTGCACACAAACCCACAGGACCACAGCTTCCCGAGGCACTCTAAGATCCCCAGAGATGCAAATACAGGGCACTGCCACAGTGAGGAAGTCTCCTGTACTGCTATGAAGGAGCCTTGTTCAACACCAATTTCTGTCCCTTTTACTGTCATGACTGCTTGTTTTCTATTACCTCATTCTCAGGCTCAAACTCTCCCTAGGCTCTGTCCAATCATTACCCTCTCACCACTCCCAAGAACACTTTCCCAGCGCTGGCTTCTCCCCTTCTTTCCAGGTGCTATGTTACTATAATCTCTAGCCACTATCTGAAATCCAAAGAGCTCACCAGCCTAGATACGACCCGTAACAAGTCCTTTTGTACCGACTCTCTAACCCATGTCTGTCACTTCCTCATGGCCTAACTCAAACCAGCAGGCACCAGTTTTGCCTTCACCGTCACCCTCTCCTTCCCACTTTTCTAGATCGTTGCTGGTCATGCCATTCAACCTGCTGTCTGAAGGCACTCAATGCAGTATTCCTTTTCAAGTTTCATCATCCTTGACATCTGAGCTGTACACATCCTGTATCAACATCCCCTCTTTAGCACTGACACTACACTAAGGCTCCTATCATCTTTCCAACCATTCTTAGCCTACAGTCACTGCCTCCCCGATTCCCTCACATTAACCTCAACCCTTCTTCCCAGCTGCTGCTATATATCCCAATAGATGGCCCAACTACTTCCTAGAACATTTACAGCTTATTTCCATAAAACGCATCTCACTAATTTCTTGTGCATCCATCACCCTTTCTCTCCATAACTGAATATCGTAACTTTCTCTGAAATCCAGCTTAGAAATCACCTCCTCCAAGAAAACCTTCCTTCACTGATGGCCATCTTCCCACACAGTCTTTTTTGTATCCCAACCCCCTAACCACTTTGTACCATATTGAGTAGTGCTCCTTTTGTGTTACCCTGTCACTTATCTCTCAGAATGAGTGTGCTTACTGCTGTGGCAAGTATAGAGGCAAATATGCCCTAGGTTCTGCTCCCAAGGGTATTACATTCTATTATGTAACTGCTGACTGGGATCAGTGTAATGAAGAGGTGCAAAGTGTCAAAGGAGATCAAAGGAAGGCAAGCACTCTAGCCCAACACAGCTTAGTCTGCCCATAGGATCTTCAATGCCAACTGTCTCCTCCTCCACTTATGCATTTAAATGTATTTGCCTGTATACATGCCTGAGAAAGGTTATCTCCCTTTTTTTTTTTTTTTGGAGACAGGGTCTCCCTCTGTCACCTAGGCAGGAGGGCAGTGGCACAACACAGCACACTGTAATCTTGAACTCCTGGGCTCAAAATGATCCTTCCATCTCAGCCTCCCAGGTAGCTGGAACTTCAGGCAGGCATCACCGTGCCTGGATAATTTTTAAATTTTTTTTGTAGAGATGCAGTCTATGTTGACAGGACTGGTCTCGAACTCCTGGGCTCAAGTGATCCTCCCGCCTCAACCTCCCAAAGTGCTGGGATTTCAGGCATGAGCCACGGCAGTACTTCCTATTCTATATGAGCCTTGAAAGTGCTTAGTATTGGCCGGATGCAGTGGCTCACGCCTGTAATCCCAGCACTTTGGGAGGCTCAGGCAGGCGGATCACGAGGTCGGAGCTCAAGACCAGCCTGGCCAACATGGTAAAACCCCGTCTCTACTAAAAAAGTACAAAAATTAGCCGGGCCTGGTGGTGCGTGCTTGTAATCCCAGCTACTCGGGGGGCTGAGACAGGAGAATCACTTGAACCCAGGAGGCAGAGGTTGCCGTGAGCCTAGATTGCGCCACTCACTCCATCCTAGTGAGACTCAGTTTCAAAAAAAAAAAAAAGAAAGTGCTTATATTGCCGGGTGCAGTGGCTCATGCCTGTAATCCCAGCACTTTGGGAGGCCGAGACAAGTGGATCATGAGGTCAGTTCAAGACCAGCCTAGCCAACATAGTGAAACCCCGTCTCTACTAAAAATACAAAAAATTGCTCCCTCTCCCTGTCTCCGACTTTCCACGGTCTCCCACTTTCCACGGTCTCCCTCTGATGCCGAGCCGAGGCCGGACTGTACTGCCGCCATCTCGGCTCACTGCAACCTCCCTGCCTGATTCTCCTGCCTCAGCCTGCCCAGTGCCTGGGATTGCAGGCGCGCGCCGCCACACCTGACTGGTTTTTGTATTTTTTGGTGGAGACGGGGTTTCGCCGTGTTGGCCGGGCTGGTCTCCAGCTCCTGACCGCGAGTGATCTGCCCGCCTGGGCCTCCTGAGGTGCTGGGATTGCAGACGGAGTCTCGCTCACTCAGTGCTCAATGTTGCCCAGGCTGGAGTGCAGTGGCGTGATCTCGGCTCGCTACAACCTCCACCTCCCAGCTGCCTGCCTTGGCCTCCCAAAGTGCCAAGATTGCAGCCTCTGCCCGGCCGCCACCCCGTCTGGGAAGTGAGGAGCGTCTCAGCCTGGCTGCCCATCGTCTGGGATGTGAGGAGCCCCTCTGCCTGGCCGCCCAGTCTGGGAAGTGAGGAGCGCCTCTTCCCCGCCGTCAACCTGTCTAGGAAGTGAGAAGCGTCTCTGCCTGGCCGCCCATGGTCTGAGATGTGGGGAGCGCCTCTGCCCCGCCGCCCCGTCTGAGATGTGAGGAGCGCCTCTGCCCGGCCGCGACCCCGTCTGGGATCTGAGGAGTGTCTCTGCCCGACCGCCACCCCATCCGGGAGGTGAGGAGCGTGTCCGCCCGGCAGCCGCCCCATCCAGGAGGTGGGGGGCAGCCCCCGCCCCGCCAGCCGCCCCGTCCGGGAGGAAGGTGGGGGGCAGCGCCCGCCTGGCCAGCCGCCCCATCCGGGAGGTGGGGGGCAGCCCCCGCCCGGCAGCCACCCCATCCGGGAGGTGGGGGGCGCCTCCGCCTGGCCGCCACCCAGCCCGGGAGGTGGGGGGGCACCTCTGCCCGGCCGCCCTGTCTGGGAAGTGAGGAGCCCCTCTGCCCGGCCGCCACCCCATCTGGGAGGTGTACCCAGCAGCTCACTGAGAACGGGCCATGATGACAATGGTGGATTTGTAGAATAGAAAAGGGGGAAATGTGGGGAAAAGAAAGAGAGATCAGATTGTTACTGTGTCTGTGTGGAAAGAAGTAGACATAGGAGACTCCATTTTGTTCTGTACTAAGAAAAATTCTTCTGCCTTGGGATGCTGTTGATCTATGACCTTACCCCCAACCCTGCGCTCTCTGAAACATGTGCTGTGTCCACTCAGGGTTAAATGGATTAAGGGCGGTGCAAGATGTGCTTTGTTAAGCAGATGCTTGAAGGCAGCATGCTCGTTAAGAGTCATCACCACTCCCTAATCTCAAGTACCCAGGGACACAAACACTGCGGAAGGCTGCAGGGTCCTCTGCCTAGGAAAACCAGAGACCCTTGTTCACATGTTTATCTGCTGACCTTCCCTCCACTATTGTCCTATGACCCTGCCAAATCCCCCTCTCCGAGAAACACCCAATAATGATCAATAAATACTAAAAAAAAAAAAAAAAAAAAAAAAATTAGCCAGGCGTGGTGGCAGGCACCTGTAATCCCAGCTACTCAGGAGGCTGAGACAGGAGAATCACTTGAACCCGGGAGGCAGAGGTTGCAGTGAGCCAAGATCATGCCATTGCACTCCAGCCTGGACGACAGTGTGAGACTCCATCTCAAAAAAAAAAAAAAAAAGAAAAAAAAGAAGAAGTAAGTGCTTAGTATTAAACTGAATCCACAATATATGCTCAAGATATACTCAAAACAAGGCTGGGCGTAGTGGCTTACGCCTGTAATCCAAACACTTTGGGAGGCCGAGGCAGGTGGATCCCCTGAGGTCAGGAGTTTGAGACCAGCCTGGCCAACATGGTGAAACCTTGTCTCTACCAAAAATACAAAAATTAGCTGGGCATGGTGGTGTGCACCTGTAATCCCAGCTACTCGGGAGACTGAGACAGGAGAATCACTTGAACCTGGGAGGCGGAGGTTACAGTGAGCTGAGATCACGCCACTGCACTCCAGACTGGATGACAAGGCGAAACTCTGTCTAAAAAAAAAAAATTAAAATTAAAAAATATATATATAATATATAATATATATTATATATATTATATATATTATATAACATAAATATATATTATATATTATATATATTATATAATATAAATATATATATTATATATTATAATATATAATATAATATATATAATATACATTATATAATATAATATATAATATATAATATATATTATATATAATATATATAATATAATGTATATAATATATATTATATAATATAATATATAATATATAATATATTATAATATATAATATATATTATATATAATATATATAATATATAATATATATTGTATATTATATATTAATTATATATAATATATATTATAATATATTATATATTATATATTATAATATATTATATATTATATATTATAATATATTATATATTATATATTATAATATATTATATATTATAATATATTATATATTATATATTATATATTATAATATATTATATATTATATATTATATATTATATATTATAATATATTATATATTATGTAATATATTATACATATCATATAATATATTATATAACATATATTATATATAATATATTATATAATATATATTATACATATCATATAATATATATTATATAACATATATTATATATAATATATTATATAATATATATTATATATATATACTCAAAACAAGCAAAACAACAAGGATGGACTTTCATAAATTCATTCAAATGTTATCAATATCTACAGAACATTTGGCCCTGTGCTAGCAACTGAGCCCCATAAAAGAGACACCTCTACCTTCAATGAGCTTACAAATTAGTGAAGAAACAAACATGTAATGTGACAATTACAACATAATATGACAATGGGACCTCCCAGAAATTGAAGCACTTAAGACTGTCTCACACTCTATAGAGAAGGAAAAGGCAGAACTCCTCTCTGCAAGAAGAGTTGTGCATCAGGCAGGTAAGATGCTGGCATTCCAGGGAGAAGGAACAGTATGCATAAAGGCACAGAGGTGAGAGACAATGGTATGATGCCAGCCCCACCTGCCTCTCAAAACTCATTTTGACCCATGTGCCCCCGACTGACCAGCCTGCTGCCACTGTCCTTTTAGGAATTCCTTAAGAGGCAAACTCTCTTGCTTCTCAGGTCTTTGCATATTAGATTTCCTCTCTCTGAAACACCCTCTCTCCACTCTTACTCTTGCCTAACTAGCCCCTACTTAATCTTGCAAGTCTCAAATTTGTTTACGTCTGTGTGTGTGTGTGTGTGTGTGTGTGTGTGTGTGTGTGTGTGTGTGAAATGGAGTCGCGCTCTGTTGCCCAGGCTGGAGTACACTGGCGCAATCTCCGCTCACTGCAAACTCCGCCTCCCGGGTTCAAGCGATTCTCCTGCCTCAGCCTCCTGAGTAGCAGGGATTACAGGCACGAGCCACCGTGCCCAGCTAATTTTTGTGTATTTAGATAGAGACAGGGTTTTGCTATGTTGGCCAGGCTGGTCTCGAACTGCTGATCTCAGGTGATCTGCCGCCTTGGCCTCCCAAAGTGCTAGGATTACAGGCATGAGCCACCGCACCTGGCCGTTTTAAGTCTTCACTCAATGTTTTAGAGAGGCCTCTAAATTAGTCACCTCTGATATTTCCTCGCATAGCAACCTCTTCTTTTCCTTCATTGGACTTTTTTTTTTTTTTTTTGAGACAGTCTTGCTCTGTCTCCCAGGCTGGAGTGCAGTGGCATGATCTTGGCGCACTGCAACCTCCGCCTCCCAGGTTCAAGCGATTCTCCTGCCTCACCTTCCCGAGTAGCTGGGACTACAAGTGCCCGCCACAATGCCCGGCTAATTTTTGTATTTTTAGTAGAGGCAGGGTTTCACCATGTTGGCCAGGCTGGTCTTGAACTCCTGACTCAAATGATCCACCCACCTCAGCCTCCCAAAGTGCTAGGATTACAGGCATGAGCCACCGCGCCCGGCCTGGACTTTTCAAAATGTGTAATTCTACATTTGTGTGACAGTTTTTAAAATACCTGTCTATCCTACCAGACAGAAAGTCCCATGACAGCGGAGATCCTGTCTGTCTTGTTCCCCTCTGTATACCCAGCTCCTAGCATGCAGGGACTGGAAAGGAGTAAACACTCAAATGTTTATTGAATGGCAAACATACTCAGAACTGTAAATAATTTCATTTTGACGGAAAAAACTGCGTATGTATAAATATTATCTTAGTGTAGCAGGAGAGTGACAAAATATGTTACTGAGCCTGCAGTCAGGGGCCTTGTGAATTACACAAAGGAACCATCGATAGAATTCTAAAAAGGAGTGATAATAGTCTGTGCAGTTTTAAGCAGTCACTCTGGAGGCAGTGTGGAGTACAGAGTGTCAGGGAAAGAGGATAACAGATGACAAGGTCTGTTAGTATCTGTGTAGTGACAGTGACAACAGAGAGGAGAAGGGGTGGATTCAAAGACTACTTAACAGTTAGAGTCAACGACTTGGTAAGGGAATGAATAATACAGCTAGGGAGAAACGAAGAAGTCTAGATAACACCAAGATTTCTGGCTTGGATTTTTAGGTGGAAGGTGGAGGCTGTTCAACAAAGGCAGGTGAATAAATAAAAGGGCATTTAGCAGGAAAGGTAACAGGTTTGGTTTTGGATATGTTGAATTTGAGATGCCTGTAGAGGTGAAGGAGTCTAGGATAGTATGGCAAATGTGTCTGGAGTTCAGAATACAGATCTGGACTGGAAAAATAGAGTTAGCTCCTATCGGTGGGTAAAAAGTAGCTGAAAAACATGGGTGCAGGGCCGGCACAGTGGCTCATGTCTGTAATCCCAGCACTTTGGGAGGCCAAGGCTGGTGGATCACCTGAGGTCAGGAGTTCGAGACCAGCCTGTCTGGGCAACATGGTGAAACCTTGTCTCTTCAAAAAATTAGCCAGGCGTGGTGGTGCACACCTATAATCCCAGCTACTTGGGAGGCTAAGGCAGGAGACTCGCTTGAACCCGGGAGGCGGAGGTTGCAGTAAGCTGAGATCGCGCCAATGCACTCCAGCCTGGGCAACAAGAGCGAAACTCCGCCTCAAAAAAAAAAAAAAAAAAGGATAGACAAGAAAAACATGGGTGCAGATGGGACAGATGGAGTGTCCAAAATGATAGGCTAAGAGAAAATGTAAAAAAAAAAAAAAAAAAAAAAAGAGATGTAAGAATTAAAAGGAGAGGATGAAAAATTAAAGAGAGATCAGCAAACGGGACCTAGCAGGCAGGTTCTGGCTCTATCAACAATTTCCACTACAAAATCAAGCCCCACTCACATGTGCCATGTCTACTCACACTGGATTCTGCTGGGGCCGCAGCGGGGGCAAACTTTCTAGGCCCTTCTCCCAAGCAGTAACAGCCATAGCAATCTCCTCCTCAGATAGGGTAGCCAGCTCCTCCTCCTATAAAGAGTGGAGAGAATCCCTTACCAGGTGAGGAGGGCCCACAGGGTAAAGAAACTTTCTCCTTGCCACTACCTGAAAAAGTTAGTGGCCATGCTCAAAGTCCATCTCCTAGCCACCTCCCACCTCAGGCCCCAAGGCTCTGCCCTATTCCAAACCTCAGGCTCATTGGTGACAGCCCTTCCCTCAGCGGGGCTGGGCTGGGGCTGCTTTTGGAGGTAAGGCCGGAGAGCCAGGACACCTTGCTGTTTCAGTACAGTCTCTGCAGCTCGCTGACATGGTTCCTGGGTACTCAGTGTCTGGAACCAGCTGTGCAGGGCACTCAGCTCCTCTGTGGGTATGGAAGAAAAGAAAATCAGCAAACATAAGGACCTGGTAGGCAGGAGCGGGCATCTTTCCCCTTCTTTGTGAGGTTTCTCCAGTTGCTTTCCCCAGTTCCCTCAACCATCTTCTGCTATAGTTGCCCAGTCAAGCTGTACCTTGAAGGGAGTTCTCAGTATTCTACTGCCCATTCTGTAACCCCTACACCAAGCTCCTAGGGTTGGAGTGATATGCACAGTTCTCACCAGGGAGGTAGGCGGGATCTTGCAGTAATGGGTATAGGGCTCCCCACAAAACAATGTCGGCTAGAGATTCTGTCTCCTTTGTTGGGGATAGAAAAGGAAAATGTACACAAATGAGACACTCAGTTTCTTCCCAATGGTAATATCTAACATTTACTGAGCACTTTATATGTCAAGCACTGTATTAAGCACTTTATATGATCTCACTTAATCCTCACAATAACTCACTGAGATAGGTACTAATATTATCCCATTTCACAACTGAAAAAAATTGAGGATTAGAGAGATTAAGTGATTTGCCAAGATTACACTACTAGTAAGTGGCAGTGTTGGGTTCGAACACTCTGAATACAGTCTTCCCTCTTAATCCTTACACCATAAGCCTTCCCCAGTCCTCATCTCAAGACCCAACTCACCCCAGCCAGGAAAGGACAGTTCTGACGACTCAAGCTGTGGTCAATGTGAGTCAGGGCTCTCCGCACTGAACCAAGAACATCTTCCCCCTTCTTGCCTTGGACCACTAAATAGTACAGGGCAGCAGACAAAGCTGGCTAAAATGCAGGGGACATGAGTCAGGATGGCCACGCAGAACAAGGGCCTGCCTGACATCCCCCATACCTTAGTCCTACCTGCAGCTCTGTCGCTTCCCATTCCAGCCACTGGTTAGTGAGGTCATCTTGCTCCCAGCCAGATAACAAAAAAAAATATCTGCCCAGAGAGAGAGCAACAGATGATGGACTTAGAGGGGCCCATTTAGCCCATTTCTCATCACACAGGGAAACAATGGCTGCAAATAAAGCCACACAAATGACAGTGAGGCCTGATTTGATTCAGCCACCTCCCTACACCAAGGACCAATACTGACCGGCAGATTGCACTAGTGGAGAAGAGGTAGTTGCCGCTATCCAGCTGCAAGACAGGGACCTTAGGCCGGGTCAGGAACGGGACCACACAATCTGATGCAAGAATGGAAAATGGGTTAAAAAAAAAAAAGGAAAAGAAAAGAAATACTTTGTCAACTTAGGATAACCTTGCATTGTTCAGTGAGTAAAAAAAGAAAGATGGGCAGTCTCAACCCAGAAGTTCCAGGATAGGACCACTGAAAGGGGGTGGTCCGGAATGGGCTGGAGAGGCCAGCAGGTGTTCAGCTGAAACTGCCAGCTGGAAGCAACAGATGGGGACTGCAGAGGAGGTGGTGGTATTGGGATAGTGCTGCAGCCAAGAACTTAACGACTGAAAGTAACTGGGATATCTTCATAATTATCTGAAGGTCACAGTGGGAGAACAAAATTAAAAGAACTGAGAAGACTTACAAGAGAACCTCCTAAGAGTCACCCAAACAATCGGCTGAGAATGAGAAGAGGTAAACAGAAAGGAACGTGTGTGTGTGTTAGGAGGGGAGAGAGGGATTTCCTAAGAACACAAAAGGGTGCCTGGGGGCTGTCATGCTAGTAACTAAAGAGCAGAGGGGGATGCCTGATAGGTGTAGGAGAAGGTTGGGAAGGGAAGAGCAGTTTACTGGGGTGAGGCGGGGACCGGGAAGACGGAAGAGGGGAGGAGAGAGATAAGGGAAGGGTATTATATTGAGGGTAATTAAAGGAAGTGAAAGATGTGACTGGGAGGGAAGAAGGCGTGGAGTGATCAAGGATAATAGGAGAAGTGGTCGATTGGGGTGTGTGGCGAGGGCTAGGGGTTTGGCAAAGACAGCTGCAGAGAATCTGGCGTGTTTCGGTCCCGCCCCCCCATCCACCGCCCACCAGCACCAGCACGAGTACCTTCCGGGCCTACAGTGCTGATGAGCACCTCTGCTCTGCCCCGGGCTCTCCCGGCGGCGGCCAGCACCGGCAAGCAACCCGGGACGCCATCACTCACGAACAGTCTCATTTCGCCGTGAATCCCTCGCTGATGCAACCGGAACCGGCCTCCCGCTTCTGAGTTCAGCGGCCTCCGCGAGGCACGCCGGGAAATGGAGTTCCGTATTAGGCCACTGCCCTGGCACCGCTACCGGAAAGTAGACTATTTCTCCCATCATGCAACGCTAAGACACAGGAAAAGACTATCATCGAGATGAAGAGGCCGCAGATGCGGGCTAGACTGCACTTTTTTTTTTTTTTTTTTTTTTTTGTGAGAGGGCGTCTCCCTCTGTCACCTGGGCTGAAGTGCAGTGGCACGGTCTTGGCTCGCTGCAACCTCTGCCTCCAGGGTTCAAGTGATTCTCCGGCCTCAGCCTCCCATGCAGCTGGGACTACAGGCACGTGCCACCACGCTCGGCTAATTTTTGTATTTTTAGTAGAGGCGGGCTTTGACCATTTTGGCTAGGCTGGTCTCGAAGTCCTCACCTCAGATGATCCGCCCGCCTCGGCCTGCCAAAGTGCTAGGATTACAGGCGTGAGCCACTGCGCCCGGCCTAGAGCAGCACTTTTTTTCTGGAGATCCAGAAGAGACGTTTAGGTTTTAGGGCAAGTCGCACTTTTATCCTCTTACGCTGCTGGAGGGCGGTGACTGAAGCCGCGGCTGCTTCTCTTGTTGTGGAGAATGAAATGGCCATGTCATAACAGCAGCTACTCGCAGTGGCTCTCGATGCAAGCTCTTAACGGTCAGAGTTTTAGAGTTCGGAGTTACCATGTGCGGAATTAGTGACAAAGTGGAAGTTAGTGTACATATCCATCCTATCAACAACAACAACAAAAATGTACATAGGCCGGGCGCGGTGGCTTATGCATGTAATCCAGCACTTTGGGGAGTCGAGGCGGGCGGATCACCTGAGGTCAGCAGTTCGAGACCAGCCTGGCCAACATGCTGAAACCCCGTCTCTACTAAAAATACAAAATTAGCTGGGCATGGTGGCAGGCGCCTGTAATCCCAGCTACCCGGGAGACTGAGGCAAAAAAAATCGCCTGAACCCGGGAAGCGGAGGTTGCAGTGAGCCGAGACCGCGCCATTGCACTCCAGCCTGGGCAACAAGAGGAAACTCCGTCTCGAAAAAAAAGAATGTAGACAAGTAAAATATTAATACCAGTCTGAGTTCATATACAGCTCGACGTCTCATCAAAGGGGTAGAAGAGCATCTCTTTTTTTTTTTTTTCTTTGAGACGGAGTCTTGCTCTGCCCCCCAGTCTGGACTGCAGTGGCGCGATCTCGGCTCACTGCAACCTCCGTCCCCCGGGGTTCACGCCATTCTCCTGCCTCAGCCTCCCGAGTAGCTGGAACTACAGGTGCCCGCCACCACGCTCGGCTAATTTTTTGTATTTTTAGTAGAGACGGGGTTTCACCGTGTTAGCCAGGATGGTCTCGATCCCCCGACCTCGTGATCCGCCCGCCTCAGCCTCCCAAAGTGCTGGGATTACAGGCGTGCAGCCGCGCCCGGCCAAACATCTCTAGGGAAAAGATGAAATTGAGAAGTAAGGCCGGGCGCGGTGGCTCACGCCTGTAACCCCAGCACGTTGGGAGGCCGAGGCGAGCAGATGACTTGAGGTCAGGAGTTTGGGACCAGCCTGGCCAACGTGGTGAAACCCCTTCTTTAGTGAAAATACAAAAATTAGCTGGGTGTGGTGGTGCACGCCTGTCATCCCAGCTACTCAGGAGGCTGAGCCAGGAGAATCACTTGAACCCAGGAGGCAGAGGTTGCAGTGAGCCGAGATCGTGCCTCTACACTCCAGCCTGCACAATAGAGCAAGACTTCGTCTCAAAAAAAAAAAAATTGAGATTCAAGATGGCTAAGAGTTTGGCAATAAGTATATATTATGCAAGGAAGCACATACCTGTTATTGAGAAAGGGACGCTTCTTATTCATCTTTATATTATTTTAAGAATAATTAATATCTAATAGTACTTATGAGCTAGGCACTGTTTTAAGCACTTTATATTTGATCTCAGAAAATTCTATGGAGGTTCTGGGCCTTTTGAAGCTAGGCCATAAGAAGTTTTGCAGCTTCAGTTGCAGGCTATCTAGCACACTGGTAGCTTTGAGCTGCCATGTAAGAAATCCTACCACTTTGAGCTGCCATGCTAGAGAGGTCTCATGTAGATATTCTGTCTGACAACTCCAGCTAATCCCAGCATTCCAGTCATCCTTACCAAGGTGCCAGACTTGTGAGTGAAGCCTTCCAGACCAGCCCATCTGCCCACTGAAAACTCTTAAGTAACCCTTGGTAGGGTCTCAAGGCCACATGAGATAGAAGAATCACCCACCTAAGGCCTACCCAAATTTCTGCTCCATACCTATACAATTGTTAAACTATAATAAAATGGCTGTTGTTACATTAACAACAACAAAACAAACAAACAAAAAACTAGGCCAGGCCCAGTAACTTATGCCTGTAATCCCTGTGCTTTGGGCAGCTGGATCACTTGAGCCCAGGAATTCAAGACTGCCTGGCCAACATAAAAAAAATAGTTTTTTTGTTTTTTTTTTTTTTCAGATGGAGTCTTACTCTTATTGCCCAGGCTGGAGTGCAATGGTGTGGTCTTGGCTCACTGCAACCTCCGCCTCCTGGGTTCAAGCGATTCTCCTGCCTCAGCCTCCCTAGTAGCCGGGATTACAGACACCTGCCACCATGCCCGGCTAATTTTTGTATTTTTAGTAAAGACGGGGTTTCATCATGTTGGCCAGGCTGGTCTCAAACTCCTGAACTCAGGTGATACACCTGCCTTGGCCTCCCAAAGCGCTGGGATTACAGGCATGAGCCACTGCTCCTGGCCAAAAATAGTTTTTAAAACTAGCCAAGAGGCTGGGCGTGGTGGTTCATGCCTGTAATCCTAGCACTTTGGGAGGCCGAGGTGGACAAATCACCTGAGGTCAGGAGTTCGAAACCAACCTGGCCAACATGATGAAACCCAGTCTCTACTAAAAATACAAAAAATTGGCGGGGTGTGGTGGTGCATGCCTGTAATCCCAGCTACTTAGGATGCTGAGGCAGGAGAATCACTTGAACCCGGGAGGCAGAGGTTGCAGTGAGCTGAGATCGTGCCATTGCACTCCAGCCTGGACGACAGAGCCAGACTCTGTCTCAAAAAAAATAAATAAATACGCTGGGCGCAGTGGCTCACACCTATAATCCTAGCACTTTGGGAGGCCGAGGCAGGCGGATCACCTGAGGTCAGGAGTTCGAGACCATCCTGGCCAACATAGTGAAACCCTGTCTCTACTAAAAAATACAAAAATTAGCTGGGCATGGTGGCGCATGCCTGTAATCCCAGCTACTTGGGAGGCTGAGGCAGGAGAATTGCTTGAACTTGGGAGGCAGAGGTTGCAGTGAGCCGGGATCGCACCACTGTACTCCAGGCTGGCAACAGAACGAGACTCTGTCTAAAATAAATAAACAAACAAACTGAGGTAGGTCTCTCATCGCCATTTTACTAATGAGGGAACTGAGGCATAAAGTTATGACTTTATGCCAGAAATCACTGTAGAAGTGACTGTAGAAGGCATTGAAGGTACAGTTATCAACAAAATGGATGTGGGCTTCTGCTACCTTGGCAGCACTCACAGACTTCCTGAAAGTCAGAAAATCAAATAATCCTTAAAGTGTGATTAAAGTTATGATAGAGGAGGCAAAGCCTGCCATCGTACCTCCTAGTTAGGGCCCCTCTAATGGGTGAAAAGATGCTTTTTTTTTTTTTTGAGACAGAGTCTCACACTGTCGCCCAGGCTGGAGTGCAATGGCGCAATCTTGGCTCACTGCAACCTCCACCTCCCGGGTTCAAGCGATTCTCCTGCCTCAGCCTCCCAAGTAGCTGGGATTACAGGCGCCCACCACCATGCCCAGCTAATTTTTTGTATTTTTAGTAGAGACAGGGTTTCACCATGTTGGCCAGGCTGATCTCGAACTCCTGACCTTGTGATTCGCCTGCTTCGGCTTCCCAAAGCGCTGGGATTACAGGTGTGAGCCACCGCACCCGGCCTTATTTTTTTTTTTTTTTTTTTTTTTTTTTGAGACAGGGTCTTGCTCTGTCACCTAGGCTGGAGTGCAGTGGCATGATCTCAGCTCAGTGCAATCTCTGCCTCCCAGGTTCAAGTGATTCTTGTGCCTCAGGCTCCCAAGTAGCTGGGACTACAGTAGCTGGGCCAGCACACCCAGGTAAGTTTTGTATTTTTAGTAGGGATGGGGTTTTACCATGTTGCCCAGGCTGGTCTCAAACTCCTGACCTCAAGTGATCCACCCGCCTCAGCCTCCCAAGGTGTTGGGTTTACAGGTGTGAGCCATCACGCCTGGCTGAGATGCTTTCCTGTGCATGTAATCTTTCAGCTGAGATCTCAGTGATGCGTAAGAGTTATCTAGGTGAAGACTGGAGGGAGTGGAGAAGGGACGTGTTTCAGGCAAAGGAAACAACATATGCAAAGAATCTAAGATTTCAGTGCACTTTAAGAATGTGAGGAATTCGCATAAGACTGCAGTGTGGAGTTTGTGGTGGAGACTGTGAAAAGTGTAGAGAGGGAATCTGTAAATGACATTATAAAATGTGGAAAGTCTAAGTCAGGAGAGTAGCAGGGCATATGTGTTTTAGAAAGGTCACTCTGGCTGCTGTGTCAGGAATGGTTGGAAGGGGAGCAGAACTATATGCAATGAGAACTATATGCAATGAGACTAGTTAGGAAATTATATCATCCAGGCTAAAGGAGTGGTAGTTGTGGGGATAAAAAGTAGGTAGATTGGGAAAATATAAATTGAAGTGTTCAGTAATCAATTGAATCAATGTGGGTGGCGAGGAAACAAGATAAATTCAGGTTGGCTGCTAGGTTTCTGGCATGGGAAATAGGGCATACTTTCTATGTGCTACAACAGATGATAGTATTTCCTCTATCATAGTGATCATTATTACATCATATTTTCATTGTTATGAGTGGGCAGGGATCATATTTTTTTGTTTTGTTTTAAGACAGAGTCTCGCTCCGTCACCCAGGCTGGAGCGCAGTGGCATGATCTTAGCTCACTGCAACCTCCGTCTCCTGGGTTCAAGCAATTCTCCTACCCCAGCCTCCCAAGTAGCTGGGAGTACAGACACCTGCCGCCATGCCCAGCTGATTTTTGTATTTTTATTAGAGATGGGGGTTTCACCACATTGGCCAGGCTGGTCTTGAACTCCTGACCTCAGGTGATCTGCCTGCCTCAGCCTCCCAAAGTGCTGGGATTGAGCTGGATGTGAGCCACTGCACCCGGCCCCATATTTACCATCTTAATTGACAATGCCTAGCACATAGTTCCTGCCCGGCATATATGGTAGTAAACATTCAATAAATATTTATTAAATTATTTTATTTATTTATTTTGAGACAGGGTCTCACTCTGTCGCCTAGGCTGGAGTGCAGTAGCACTATCACGCATCACTGCAGCCTCAACTTCCCAGGTTCAATAGATACTCCCACCTCAGCCTCCCGAGCAGCTGGGACTACAAGGCACACACTGCCATACCTGGCTAACTAAAAAAAATTTTTGGCCAGGCGCGGTGGCTCACGCCTGTAATCCCAGGACTTTGGGAGGCCGAGGCGGGTGGATCACGAGGTCAGGAGACCGAGACCATCCTGGCTAACACAGTGAAACCCCGTCTGTATTAAAAATACAAAAAATTAGCTGGACATGGTGGCGGGCACCTGTAGTCCCAGCTGCTCAGGAGAATGAGGCAGGAGAATGGCATGAACCTGGGAGGCGGAGGTTGCAGTGAGCCGAGATCACGCCACTGCACTCCAGTCTGGGCGACAGAGCAAGACTCCGACTCAAAAAAAAAAAAAATTTTTTTTGTAGAGGCAGGATCTCACTATGTTGCACCTCAAGCTCCTAGGCTCAAGTGATATTCTGCCTTGGCCTCCCAAAGTGCTGGGATTATAGGTGTGAGCTACTGTACCAGGCCAATATTTATTGATTTCATATTAAACTAAATAGTGGTATTGGGAGAGAAACAGGTTTGTGATAAGTTCAGTTTGGTTCATACTGAGTTTGTCGTACCTGTGAAATACTCAAGTGGATTTTCTGGTGGACAGTGGATTAGATGGGAGCCCCAGAGAAAGATCTGGACTTGAGATACAGTCCTTAGCAGCACATGGAAATCATTTGAGCTGGGGAGAGAATAAGACCACCCAGGGAGGGTATGCAGAAAGCACAGGGCACAGGATCTCAGATAGGCTTCTGTGGTTTAAGGAACAGGCAGAGGAAGGTCATTTCTCATGCCACAGACAAGGAACTGCCAGAAAGGTAAGAGGGATACCAGCAGAGTGTTTGTAGGAGAGAAAGGTCAATTGTGTTGCCTGCTACTGAGATGTCAAGCAACATAAGGATTGCATAAGGACTGCAGGATGCTCAGGCAAGGTCGGGGGTGACTCTATTGAGGAGTGACTTTGAAAAGGTGGCGGAGTGAGGGGACAGGAAATGGAGATCCCCTCTACAGTGTAGGCAACTCAAGAAGTTCGACTGTAAAAAGAAAGAGAGAGGCTGGACTCGGTGGCTTACGCCTGTAATCCCAGCACTTTGGGAGGCTGAGGTGGGCAGATCACGAGGTCAGGAGTTCGAGACCAGCCTGGCCAACATAGTGAAACCCTGTCTGTACTAAAAATACAAAAAAAAATAGCGGGCATAGTGGCAGGCGCCTCTAATCCCAGCTACTTAGGAGGCTGAGGCAGGAGAATCACTTAAACCTGGAAAGCGGAGGTTGCAGTGAGCAGAGATTGTGCCACCGCACTCCAGCCCAGGCAACAGTGCAAGACTCTGTCTCAAAAAAAAAAGAGAAGAAGAAAGAGAGAGAGACATATATATGGTGGTACCTGGAAAGCCCAGTAAGGGGAGGTTTGTCTAAAGATGGGAGAGACTTGGATATGTTTAAAAGTGAATGCGACGAAGCTAACAAAAACAAGCTAAAGTATAGGAGAGAGAGTTTCAGAGAAGGCAAAAAAAGGGTGGATTCAAGCACTGAACACCAAATGAATAAATAAGTGAATAAATGGGTGAAATTAGTCACTATTTTGGAAGTGGGAAGGAAGAGTTGAGGGGTAGGATTCTCCATGTGTTGAAGTGAAGTAAACTAGGAAGATCACTGAGGCAGAAGCCCAGTACTAGCCACCCAGCCCTCAGGGGAAGAGAGCTGGCTCTCTGATATCACCAGTGGGGAGGGTCATTCGCTCCTTAACCCACCTCTCCAAACCCAAACAGAAAGCCTCACATTGTGCAGTGGAGAAGCTGAGAGAAGAGGAAAAGAGGAGTGGCCAGGTAAGGCAGAAGCAGAAGTGTGGGTTTTAAAGTGCTGGTAATCCAGGGAAGGTCACTTCCCACCTTCCACCAAGGAGAAGCTGGCATCAGTCCCCTATCTACCTGTCATAGCGTCTTGCATTACTTGTCCATTGTTCCTGATTCAATTGTAATTATTAAGTTTATTGTGTCATTAGTTAAGGTCTGTCTCTCCTTAAGCTCCAAAAGGGCTCATTCCCTTCTCTCATCTCCAGTGCCTGACACTGCTCCTTGCACGCAGGAGGCACTCAATCAATCCTTGATAAAAGCATAAATGAGGCCGGGCGCAGTGGCTCACACCTGTAATCCCAGCACTTTGGGAGGCTGAGGCGGGTGAATCACCTGAGGTCAGGAGTTCTAGACCAGCCTGGCCAACATGGTGAAACCCTGTCTCTACTAAAAATAAAAAAACTAGCCAGGTGTGGTGACAGGCACCTGTAATCCCAGCTACTCGGGGGACTGAGACAGGAGAATCACTTGAACCCGGGGGGCGGAAGTTGCAGTGACCCGAGATCTCGCCATCACACTCCAGCCTGGGGGACAAGAACGAGACTTCGTCTCAAAAAAAAAAAAGCATGAATGAACCCACACACTAAAGTAGCTCCTGCCTCAAGAGGCTTGTGTGTACAGGACAGTATCAAGGCTTCTCAGCTCCCAAAATCGTGTCCTGGATTGGGAGGGTGGTGATATTTCAACTCTGAATCCCTCTGTGTTTCTCCCACTTTGTCTTTCTCTCTGATTTGGTCTTGGTATTTATTTGGCTTTCTGTTTCTCTGTCACCATGTCTCTCTGAGTCTGCACAGGAAGCACGCAGCTATGGTCTGAGGTGACTGGTAACGGAAACATTGATGCTTGCATAAATTTAATAAAGAATAACACACATTTTTGTCTTTGTCATTAACCTTGTGTCTCCCTGTTTCTGTCTTGAACCTGATTCTTTCTTCTTATCTCCTTCCTGTGTCCACCTCAAGACTCCCACCACTACCCAGGACCAACTCCTGCTCCTGAATCTTCTGATGGGCCCCACAAGGTACTTGGAGGAAAACTACTGGCCTAGGTCATCTCCTCTAATTTCCTGCCTTGCTGGCCATGCAGCCCTGCTGACCACATCCTCTCTCATGTTACTTACATACTTCCTCACCAGACACCACCAGGAGTTCTCAGCCCCCAAAACCTGTCACCGATCCTCACCAGGCTGTTTGCTCTACCCTCTCCCCCAACTCAAGGGCTCCCGTCCTCACCTCCCTGCAACACTGCTCCTAGAACCATGTCTGTCTACCTGGAGACAGCCAGGCCTATTCCCTTCTGGGTCTCCAGTGTCCCTTTTTCTCACAGGTGACAGTGCTGGCTACAATGCTATCCAGCCGGTGGTGGCCAAGTTCCTGGGGGATCCTAGGGCTGGGCCCCCGAAGCCCTCCTCGGGGATCCCAGCTCTGTGCCCTCTATGCCTTTACTTATACTGGGGCAGATGGCCAGCAGGTGTCTCTGGCTGAAGGGGATAGGTTCCTACTGCTTCGAAAGACCAACTCCGACTGGTGGTTGGCAAGACGCCTAGAAGCTCCCTCCACCTCTCGACCCATCTTCGTCCCAGCAGCCTATATGATAGAGGAATCCATCCCTTCCCAGAGTCCAACTACCGTCATCCCCGGCCAATTGCTCTGGACTCCTGGTGAGTAAGCGCTAAGCCCTCTCCCTTCACCTTCCTACCTCCCATCACCTTCCTACCTCCCTGGCTTCTGGGAATTTTGGGGAGGTCCCCCTCCCTCAAGCTTCTGCTAACCATCTTCTCTTGTTTTTCTTTGATCAGCCTACCTCTTGCCCCCGCCATGGCATCCTCATCCCACTGCCTGTCCTCCTAGTCCTAAGGCTTCTAGGTCTCATGCCATTTTCCACATCCTCCCTCTGCCCTTCTTGTCTTCCCTGTGAGTTCCCAAGATGAGGGACCCAGTTACAACAACACCTCTGATCACCTGCCACCCACCCTCCCCTTTTCTGTTTCCAGGGCCGAAGTTGTTTCATGGTTCCCTGGAGGAGTTGTCTCAGGCCCTCCCAAGCAGGGCTCAGGCTAGCTCGGAGCAGCCTCCTCCACTTCCCCGCAAAATGTGTAGGAGCGTCAGCACTGACAATCTGAGCCCCAGCCTTCTGAAGCCTTTCCAGGAAGGACCAAGCGGAAGATCCCTCTCCCAGGAAGACTTGCCGTCAGAAGCCAGTGCCAGCACAGTGAGTCACAGCTCTTCTGAGCTGGGCCCTGTTCTAGGCACAGGACAGACAGCACCTCTGTCTTCAGGGGACTCCCCTGGGGATGACAAACACAAAAACAAATAAATAAGATAACGCTTGGTACTACTGATAAGTCTAAAGGCAAGTTAATGTGGTGGAGAGTGGCTGAGGTGGTGCGGGGAGACATCTGTGAGGTCACGGCATTCAGTTGACTCTGAGCAAGGAGGAGAAAGAGGCAGCCGAGAGGCAAACTGGGTAGGAGGTGAGAAGGGACAGTAGGTACCAAAGGCCCTGAGGGGACAGGGCACAGGGCGCAGTGGAGGCACTGAAAGGCCAGCCCTGTGCTCTTCCTTCCTCCAGACTCCTAGCCCAGGGCAGGGTTTTTCTGTGTTCTGCTTGCCTGATAGGCTACAGCAGGTCTCCTCTAGAGATGTGACTTGCCCAGCCCTTCCCTCTCTTTCTTAACCGTGGGTGGAAAGGGGCTCCTCTTCCCTTCTGTAGACCCTTCTCTGTCTTCTTTTACCTTGCAGGATGTGAGGGTGGGGCACCCCCTTCAACATTCCCCCCACCCCACAAAAAGCCTGTTCCCCTTTCCTGTGGCCCTGAGGTGGGGGTGGGGTGGGGGAGGCGGGAAGTTGGCAACAGGAAGTGAGGAGAAGAGCAAAGAAAACTGTGAGAGAGAGAATTTTTAAAAAGCAGCTGGGGCCTGAGGTTTCTCCCCCAGTACCCTGGGTCACCTCAGCCCAGAGCTGGCGGTGAGAAGACAATGGGGGAGGGAGCAGGAGGTGGGAAGGCCAAGAGAAGCATGGGAAGGGCAACAGGCAGAATGACCACCTCCTTCTTCCCCCTTTTCTGGCAGGCAGGCCCCCAGCCCCTCATGTCAGAGCCCCCTGTGTACTGTAACCTGGTGGACCTTCGCCGCTGTCCTCGGTCCCCACCCCCAGGCCCTGCATGCCCCCTGCTGCAGAGGCTGGATGCCTGGGAGCAGCACCTGGACCCCAACTCTGGACGCTGCTTCTACATAAATTCACTGACTGGCTGCAAGTCCTGGAAGCCCCCGCGCCGCAGTCGCAGCGAGACGGTGAGACCTTACCTCCTGCTTCTCCACTGTCCCCTCAAGCTCTTCCTTCCCCTGATGAACCTCAAGGTAGTGTGTTTTCTCTCCGGGGCTCTCAGAAGATCAGAAGAATCAGCCAAGTATAAGAAGGGTGTGGAGAGTGGGTAGAGGTGGCATCTGGATGTAGCTTTATTTCCTCCTCCCCTAACCCAGAACCCTGGCTCCATGGAGGGGACACAGACCCTGAAGAGGAACAATGATGTCCTGCAACCTCAGGCAAAGGGCTTCAGATCTGACACAGGGACCCCAGAACCGCTTGACCCACAGGTGAGATCCCTCCCATCTCCCAGTCACATGCAGAAAAAGCCAGCTTGTTATGACTTTCTGTTTTGTGTAAGACATTCTCCATTCCCCACCACACCCCCCACCTCTCACCCGTATCCCACCCCTCTTCCTCCTTCAGCCAGGGATCCCTGAGTCGAGCGTTTCCCCACCTGTTTCTCCAATCCTCTCCCCTAGGGTTCACTCAGCCTCAGCCAACGCACCTCGCAGCTTGACCCTCCAGCCTTGCAGGCCCCTCGACCTCTGCCGCAGCTCCTGGACGACCCCCATGTGAATCTCCCATTTCTTTGTGAAGGCCAAGATCCTCCCTGCCCCCCCTCCCCCCTTTTCCTGCTCCACATAAACATCTTCCTCTTTCTGAATATCCTCCTACCCAGCCCTCCCCCAGCAACTTTAAGGGACTTCACTCCTGGGAGACCCCCTAGGGAAAGCCGTGGCCACTATGGAGGGCGAGGGTGACTTACAGATCCCATTCCCTCCACTTCCCAGGAGGTGGAAAAGTCGGGTCTGCTCAACATGACCAAGATTGCCCAAGGGGGGCGCAAGCTCAGGTGAGAACCCAGAATACAGCTAGGGCCTGGGCTGTCAACTCCATAGGGTAGAGCAGGGTGTTGGAAGAGCACCCTCCTCGTGTCATTCTAGAATGACCTGTTCGCTACCACTACCTCCCCTCTCTGTCCCCGCAGGAAGAACTGGGGCCCGTCTTGGGTGGTGTTAACGGGTAACAGCCTGGTGTTCTACCGAGAGCCACCGCCGACAGCGCCCTCCTCAGGCTGGGTGAGTGTGAGCGAGAGGCGCAGGATGGGTGCGGGCGCTGCCTACCGCCTCACGCCAATGTGGGGGCGGCAGCGGGGAGGGCGGTGCAGAGGAAAGTAAAGAAGTGAGGAAGCCTCCCACCTCCTCACAGCCCACCGGGGAGAGGGAAGCAGTGAAGGAAACAACACCGTGGCCTCAGTTTCCTCCCTCATTGTCAGGGACCAGCGGGTAGCCGGCCCGAAAGTAGCGTGGACCTGCGCGGGGCGGCCCTGGCGCACGGCCGCCACCTGTCCAGCCGCCGCAACGTCCTGCACGTGAGCGCCCTCCCGCGCGTCCCCAAGGCCCCACCCGACCCGAGGGCGCCCCCAATCTCCCGCGCAGGCCTCCCGCTAGGTCTCCCTGCTTATTATACTCCTTCCCGTTGACCCGAGCGTTTCCTTGCCTGGCCCTCAGATCCGCACGATCCCTGGCCACGAGTTCCTGCTGCAGTCGGACCACGAGACAGAGCTGCGAGCCTGGCACCGCGCGCTGCGGACTGTCATCGAGCGGCTGGTTAGATGGGTGGAGGCCCGGAGGGAGGCTCCGACCGGCCGGGACCAAGGGAGTGGGGTAGGAACGATAGGAGTCAGGAGCAGTTGGGGGCAGGGTGGGCTCAGTGGAGAGCCCTTGCCTGGGCCGGGATGTGGGACCCCGGCAGTGGGTCAGAGTCCAGCTAGGGATACAGATTTCTCTCCTCTCTCACCTTCGACACGGCCCGCCCCGGGTCTAGGATCGGGAGAACCCCCTGGAGCTGCGTCTGTCGGGCTCTGGACCCGCGGAGCTGAGCGCCGGGGAGGACGAAGAAGAGGAGTCGGAGCTGGTGTCCAAGCCGCTGCTGCGCCTCAGCAGCCGCCGGAGCTCCAGTGAGGCGCGGGCTGGGGAGGGAGAGTCCGGGAGCGCAGCGAGGCTCCCGGGCGCTCACGCCCCGCTCTACCTGCCTCCTGCAGTTCGGGGGCCCGAAGGCACCGAGCAGAACCGCGTGCGCAACAAACTAAAGCGGCTCATCGCGAAGAGACCGCCCTTACAAAGCCTGCAGGAGCGGGGTCTGCTCCGAGGTGAGGGGGCTGGGCCAGGTTCATGGATAAGAAAACTCCAGCGAGGCTCAGAGTAGAGCTTCCCAGAACTAGACCACAACCTTCTGTGACTGCTGCTTTCCCACTACCCCAGATTGTTTAGGGGAGAAGCTGGGGTGACCTGTACCCCTTTGCCAGATTGTTTGAAGCAGGGGAAGGGAGGTGGAGTGTATTTCCTTGCCCAGGCCTGGCACAGGCAGCCAGGAGGACCAGCCTCACTTAAGGATAAAGACCTATGCTGAGAAGAGCTCCTGTGAGTGACGCTGGCACTGGCTTCCCGCCTCACTCTACTTCCCCAGACCAGGTGTTCGGCTGCCAGTTGGAATCACTCTGCCAGCGGGAAGGAGACACGGTGCCCAGCTTTTTGCGGCTCTGCATTGCTGCTGTGGATAAAAGAGGTCATTTTCTCAGAGACCCCAGAATCCTCTTCCAACAGGCTAAGGCCTAGAATTTTCTGCCTCCCCCATTCTACCTAGTCTTCCTACTGCCCTTTTTCTCTCCACCCTTATATCCCTCACCACACACACTTTCAAGCAGCAGTCCTTATCTACTCCTTCCTCATCTCCCAGGTCTAGATGTGGATGGCATTTATCGGGTGAGCGGGAACTTGGCAGTGGTCCAGAAGCTTCGCTTTCTGGTGGACAGAGGTGAGAAGGCTTGTGGGCCAGTGGTTGTACTAAGAATGTCTTGCCTGAGAACCATGGGCGGTCCTACATGAGGAAGCTGGCAGAATAGAGAGGCCGTCAGGCTGGAAGTGTATGTCTTAGCTCCTGATCTCTCCTCATTCATGTTGCAGAGCGTGCGGTCACCTCCGATGGGAGGTATGTGTTCCCAGAACAGCCAGGACAAGGTACTTACATGGAAGACCCTTCAGATCCCTAAAACTTCCACATATCCTCTTTGCTTCCCGTGGAAACCCCCATGTACTATTCCTGGGAGGGTTGTCCTCATCCCCACCTTAGCTACCTTGCCCCACTGCAGACCCTCTAGGCATTCCTATAGTCTGCTTTGACTGGATTTCTCCAGAACTTCTAATCTCTCAGTCTCTAAATCTTTCTGGCCCTTCATGAGCCCCTATACCTCCTTCTCCCTCCAGAAGGTCGGTTAGATTTGGACAGTACTGAGTGGGATGACATTCATGTGGTCACCGGAGCCCTGAAGCTTTTTCTCCGGGAGCTGCCCCAGCCTCTGGTGCCACCACTGCTGCTGCCCCATTTCCGTGCTGCCCTTGGTAAGGGTTGGAGCTTTGGAAAGAACCCTTGATGTGGGGGACACGGGTGGTAAATAATAGAATAGAGGTTCCCTTATACTCTTCTTTCCCATTCTGACTTTAGAGATGGAAAATAATGTTCAACTCAGGTGCCTACTCCAGTTGCTTTTTTGTGAATGTTTAGAGGGCTGAATTGAAAAGAATTATGAGGCTATAGTTGGGCTATGTGAAAAAGAAAGCTGTGCTAGATTAATGATGTCTTCCATGCCTGTGGGAAAGAGCAGTGCATTTACCCATCCTGTCCTAGCACCTTCCCTAACCTTACTACCATGCCTTTCCCATCACTCTCTCTAGCACTCTCCGAATCAGAGCAGTGCCTCTCTCAGATACAAGAATTAATAGGCTCAATGCCAAAGCCCAACCATGACACTCTACGGTACCTCCTGGAGCATTTATGCAGGTCAGGAAGACAGAACCTCTTTGTTCATGCTGGGGAAAGGTGGAGTGGGGAATGCCACAGGGACTCTGTGCAGGTGGAGTGAAGGTAGGGAAGCACCTAAGTTTAATGGGCAGGTGAGGAAGCAGGCAACCTCTGTGCAGGAGCATATTACCAGAGTCAAAACCTTTATTTTTTTATTTTATTTATTTTTGAGACAGAGTCTCGCTCTGTCACCCAGACTGGAGTGCAGTGGCGCAATTTCAGCTCACTGCAACCTCTGCCTCCCGGGTTCAAGTAATTCTCCTGCCTCAGCCTCCTGAGTAACTGGGATTACAGGTGCCCGCCACCACGCCTGGCTAATTTTTGTATTTTTAGTAGAGACGGGGTTTCACCATGTTGGCCAGGCTGGTCTCGAACTCCTGACCTCAGGTGATTTACCCACCTCAGCCTCCCAAAGTGCTGGGATTACACCGTGCCCGTCAAAGACTTTAGGTCAAAACCTAAAGGTCAGCATCAAGTGGGGAAATGGAACCAAGATGCTGTGAAAGGAATAAGGGAAATCTTACTTCTCCCTTCCCTCTGCCTCTTTGTCTCCCATTGGGACATTGCTGATGGCTTCTTTGGTTGAACTGGGCCTGGGCAGTGACTTCTGAGAGAGGATGGCCACTTGAATTAAAGACTCCCAAACTGTGAGCAGGCAGAACTCTTGGGGCAGCCCCTGAAGTCGGAAGAGGCAGTTATATCTTCAGGTTGTATCCTGAAGGTTTCTCCACTGGTCCATCTCCATTCTCCTTGTATCTCCTTGGTTTTTTTGTTACCATGTGGAGGAATCCCAGAGTGAACTCTTCCCTGCTCAGAACTTTGAAGGGTTAGTTAGATTGCTATGAAGTGGCAAGCTGCTGCCATATATCCCCTTCCTTGGCCTTTGCTTACAGGGTGATAGCACACTCAGATAAGAATCGCATGACACCCCACAACCTGGGAATTGTGTTTGGACCAACCCTGTTTCGGCCAGAGCAGGAGACATCTGACCCAGCAGCCCATGCTCTCTACCCAGGGCAGCTGGTCCAGCTGATGCTCACCAACTTCACCAGCCTCTTCCCCTGATGCAGGGAAGGAAGAAGAGAAAACATATTTCCGGTCATCTCTGGTGGTGAGAGGCTGGTGTTCTGTTTTGAGGATATCCCTTTAAATCTCCCAAATGACTGTCTCTATCTTCATGAGTGTGACTTGAGGTGTTGGGATGGGTGAGGGAGCTTCTCTAAAGAGGAAAGTGAGTGGATTAACCCCTGCTTCTCTTCTTGTTCCCTGTTATCATTCCTCCCCAACATAATAATACATAAAGTGGCATGGTATTTTTTCTGATGCAGTTCCTTTATTATCAGGAAACAGTGTCATTATCAAATTTCTCCTCAAAACGTATACAGACTATACATAGCCCCCAGCCCATACCTCCCATCCCTGGGGCATCTTGTGCATGGGACTGCAGCTCCCCCAATTTTTCTGGAAGGATAGAAACCCCTTAGGAAATGCGATCTGTGATGGATGAGATTCCCTACTCTTTAGGCACTAGAGTTGAGGAATTCTGTTTCCCCAGGTAGGGATCTCAGTAAGACACTCATGTTGCCCACAGCCATGTTGGGGGGCCCAGAGGGAGGTGGGGTATGTCCAGAGCTGCCCCGCTGATCATGGGAAGGAGGAGGACTCAGCCCCTGGGGCTCATCCAGAATAGCCACAAAGTCCAGCTGAGTGTTGTCAAGATCAAGAGAGTCCAGGGGGTTACATACCTGTCCTTCGGGAGGAGGGTACAAGGCAGGACCCCCTCCTAGCCTGCCCACCTCAGGATGACCACAGCTGGGGTTTGTGCCTCCCACTTTGAGAGGCCCATAGCAAGTGGGCAATGGGGGCAGAAGTCGAGGTGGTGCTGCTGCCCTATGTGAAGCCCTATTTGCCCCCACTACAAAATTTTCATGGCATGGTGAAGGGGTGGGATAGGAACCTGACTTGTGATTGGGCAAGTTGGGTCCAAAGCCAGGTCCATATGTGTTCACTGGAGCTTTAGCACGGCTTGGGCTAACCTGGGAACCCCCCAGAAACTTGGGACTCTGGTAGGAAGGTTCCTGGGCGGGGGCATCTTCCCTGCCCCCACCCTCCCACAGTAGCTCCTGTTGAGATTGAACATAATTACACACAAGCTGAGCCTTGAGCTGCCCTGTGGAATGGGTGGGGGAATCAAAGTCCAGGCAAGGCCTGGGTTCTGAAGGAAGATAATCAGGGGGTGGCTGGGTATAGGGGCCTGACTGGAGATATTGGGGAGGAGAGGGCTGGGGGTAATGGGAAAAGAGAGGCTGTGGATGTGGGGGCCCCTCACTGGGGTGGGCATTGAGGCAGGGTGCCAGTCCTGTGGAGTCAGACCCCACTGGGCACCCCTGTTCTGGCTTGACTTGCACTTGTCCATAATGTTCAAGTCGAGGACACTGGCTGTAGGTTCCACCTAGAGCCTTGGGGCCTGGGTACAGCCCAGAGTGGGAAGGGAACTCACCCCATGTTTCTTGGGTGGGGTCAGGATATGAGGCCTGCTGGGGACAGGGGTTGGGGCCATAGTTGGTGGGTGGACCAGGCCCAAGAGGCAGAGAGCCTGGACCCCTCGCTCCATAAGGCTCAGCTGCTGCCCCTTCAGGTCCCCCATATCCCAGAGTATCAGTAGGTGGGAAGTCCATATAGGGGTTCAGACCACTGCCCACCATGGAGGTCCCAACTTCTGGCTCTTCCTGTAGCCCTCTAGCATCCATGGCAGCATTCTCAGTGATGCTGGGGGGCTGTGGTGAGTAGACAGAGGTTGGGAGGTAAGGATCAAAGTTCTGTCCTCCCCCTGCCACAGTGGGTGGGGTATGGACACAGCCCAGGCTCTTGAACCTCTGGACTCTAGCTGGAGCAGGACGGTCAGCAGCCTGGGCTGGGTCACTGGCCCTCCGGGTGACCCCTGCATTGGGGTTGTATCCTGGATACTCGGCTCGGCTTCTCCAAGGAGGCATGGGAAGACCACCTATCCGATCCAGGCTGGATGCTGCAGTGGGCGAAGTACCACCCCCTCTGGCTGAAGCATATCTTGCCCGAAGCAGGTAGTGCTGGGCAGGCATAAGGCCAGGCAGGGAGGATGCTCCATTCTCTGGTGGGGAGCCAGGGGGGAAAGGAGAGGCCAGGGAGGAGCGGCGGCTGACAGTATAGGCAGAGCTGATGCTGCTGGAGCTGCTGCTGCGGCGTTCAAGAGAGACTGGGGGGCCCACGCGGCGGGACACAGTGGTACCTGCAAGTGATGGGGAGAAAAGGTAGGATGGTCAAGGAGCTTCCTAAATTTCACCCTGCCTCCTCCATGCAACAGCCTTGCCCTGGATTCTCAGGGGTAAGCTCGTTATCCCTAACCAGTCTGTTCTGTCTCCTACTTCTCCCATGCCTATTCTGTTTCTGGGTTACCAAGGATTCAGGGTTGCTATGAACAGTTGTGCAGGTTGTGTGCTGCACAATCCTAGGGAACAGCATTCGCATCATAGCCTTTGCATACTTGTTTGTTTGTTTGTTTTGTTTTGTTTTGTTTGAAACAGAGTTTCGCTCTTGTTGCTCAAGTTGGAGTGCAATGGCGCAATCTCAGCTCACTGCAACCTCTGCCTCCCAGGTTCAAGCAATTCTCCTGCTTCAGCTTCCTGAGTAGCTGGGATTACAGGTGCCCACCACCATGCCTGGCTAGCCTTTGCATGTTTGTACATCACAACTATTTTCTGATAAATGGAAAGTGTCTTGAGGAAGGACACCATTTTCTAATTATACAAAAGTGCTGTGTGACAGCCCTCAAGGGTGACTTCCTCCTCTCAACCTCAGGGCAGGTCCAGATCTCACCCCAGCCACACCTCCCACACCCAGGTCTCACCGGTGTGGGACAAGCTGGGCAGTTTGAGACCCCGGGTCCCTATTGGCCGGAGTTGATGTAGCTGGTCCAGCCTGAGGTTCTCAAGGCGGCGAAGAGTGGACAGACCAGTGCCAGCAATGCAAGGTCCCTCGTCCAAGCTGGAGAGGTCTTCAGTGCTGCCCCCTGCATTGCCAGTCATTTCCACACCACTGTCTGTATTGGCTGCACTCCCTGCCGGGGAGTGGTCACTGCTGCAGGATGACTGGGCCCCAGGGCTTGGCTGTGGCTTCTGTGGAGAAGATGAGGTCTGAGGGCAACACCCTTCCCCACAGCTCCTTCAACTTGATGAGTGGCTGAAGCCTGTGTCCCAGTGACTGCTGGGGTTCCAAGGAAGCTTGTAAGTGTAGAAAGGGCTAAGCAGGTAAGAGATGGGGGAGCAAACTGAATGTGAGACGTTTGATGAGAAGAACCTAGGCTGGAGCACGGACTGGCTGGACTCAAATTCTTGCTCTTAGTTCTATGACCTTGGGCTATTTCTCTATGCCTGAGTTTCTTCAACTGAAAATGGGAACAGTGAGTCCCTTTATCATGAAGTTGCTGTGAGGAGTACATGAAATTATACATGTAAAAGGCTTGGAACATATACTAAGTGCTATTTAAGAAAGAGTTGCCGGGTGCAGTGGCTCACGCCTGTAATCCCAGCACTTTGGGAGGCCGAGGTGGGCAGATCACGAGGTCAGGAGATCAAGACCACCCTGGTTAACACAGTGAAACCCCATGTCTACTAAAAATACAAAAAAATTAGCCCGGCGTGGTGGCAGGCGCCTGTAGTCCCAGCTACTCAGGAGGCTGAGGCAGAATGGCGTGAACCTGGGAGGCGGAGGTTGCAGTGAGCCGAGATCATGCCACTGCACTCCAGCCTGGGCAACAGAGCGAGACTCCGTCTGAAAAAAAAAGAAAGAGTTTGGGTTGGATGCATTGGCTCATCCCAGCACTGTGGGAAGCTGAGGTGGGAGGATCGCTCAAGGCCAGGAGTTTGAGACCAGCCTGGTCAACATAGCAAGACTCGATCTCTAAAAAGAAGAAAAATTAGCCAGGCATGATGGGGTGTGCCTGTAGTGATCACTTGAGCCCAGAAGTTTGAGGCTGCAGTGAGCTATGATTATGCCACTACACTCCAGCCTGGGCGACAGAGCAAGACTCTGTCAGAAAGAAAGAGAGAAAGAGAGAGAGAGAGAAAGAAAGAAAGGAAGAAAGGAAAGAAGGAAAGAAGGAAGGAAGGAGAGAGAGAAAGAGAGTGAGAGAGTGAGACAGAAAGATTCTAAAACCTCTAGATTTGGGGAAGCCCAAAGAGCAACACTAAGACAAGAGACAGGCAGACTGGTCACAGAAGAGTGACTTCTATAGGAGGGAATGGATGGGTTGGGAAGTAACTAGAAAGATGTCCACAGGGTGGGCTGGGGTATGGAGGTGAGGGTTGCCTGGGCTCTCTCACCATGGCACCCTCTGGCACAGTCAGTCTGCTTTCCTCCCTGATGGGACCTCCTTCCCGCTCCCTCTTGGGCTCCACTGTAGAAATGGATGGTGCCCGAGGCAGGGGGCCATCCCCACGGTGCCGTTTGGTCACATGGGCGTCAGGACCATGCACTGTCTTGACATGTTTTCGCAGCGAGCTAGGATCTGTATAGCGTTTGGTGCAGCCAGGGAGCTTACATACATACGGCTTCTGTTGAGTGGAGAGTGGAGACAGAAGGCAAACGGATCAAAGCGGAAGAATGCAGAAGAAATGGGAAAAAGTGGTGACAACACAGGGGGCAGGGGAGGAGCACACAGCACCAAAGGAAGTAAGGAGGATGGAGGCCTCCGGTGGGAGTCAAAGATGCAGAGATTAAGTGGAGGGTTAGGAAAACTGACAGCCTGGGAAAGATGAGGGGGTGAACCCAGGGCTGTGAGGTCCCATAAATCCAGGGGTTGGAGGGATCAGGGGTCTCCTCTAGATGGAATCTTTTAGGTTAGCCTTTTGGCTGGTTAGAGGTTAGAGGTAGGAGGAGGAGTGGTTAAGTGGAAATTCTGGGTTTCAGAAAAGCCTTTTCTGGGCGAATTATGTGGGGAGGGGGACTCACCTCTGTGGAGTGGGTGCTGGGCTAAGGGATTTCTTATGGGGGAATCTCCCTGGTAGGTGGCTTCTCAAGAGGGGAGGGTCGCTTAGTTAGGGCATTCACCTCATTGGAATGGGTCCGATTCTGGTGCTTGGCTCGGTCACTGGCATTGCTGAAGGCTTTACTGCAGCCCTCGTGCTCACACATGTATGGCTTCTCACCCGTGTGTGACCGCAGGTGCGTCTTCAGGTTTTCGAGGCGTGAGTATGACTTCCGGCACCCTTCAAACTGGGGGACATGCAGGGGTCAAAGGATAGTTCTCAGACAGAGGACATGGAGATGGAAGGAACCCTCAATCTCCAACAGGACACACATCAGAGAATATAACTCAAGATGAAAGGCACTGGGGCTTCGAGAGAATTCCCAAAACTAGGGGACAAGGGCAGGCAAGAACTTGGAGAAGGGAAGCAGTTGGAGGCACTCTCCCTTTGGGAATATAAAGATGCTAGAGCATCTTCTGACCAAGCCAGGGCAGATTTCTCTGCATGGGGATCTTAGGCTGTCCCAAGATGGGGTCATCTTGGGGGAACGGGCTGTTGTCCTTGATGCAGGGTTTATCCATTAGGCAGAGTAGTAGGCACAGTACTGAAGGCCAACAATACTTTAAGAGGCCCACGAACATGTTTTAATGTCTTTTTTAAAAAAAATTTTTTTTTTGAGGCGGAGTTTTGCTCTGTCGCCCAGGCTGGAGTGCAGTGGCGCCATCTCAGCTCACTGCAACCTCCACCTCCTTGGTTCAAGTGATTCTTCTGCCTCATCCTCCCAAGTAGCAGGGACTACAGGCGCCCATCACCACGCCCAGCTAATTTTTATATTTTTTAGTAGAGACAGGGTTTCACCAATATTGGCCAAGCTGGTCTCGAACTCCTGACCTTGTGATCTGCCTGGCTCAGCCTCCCAAAGTGCTGGGATTACAGGTGTGAGCCACCGTGCCTGGCCTGTTTTAATGTCTTTTAAAATCAAGGGGAAAAAAATGAGCTTTTAGGTCCAAGAGTGTTTTAATATATATCATCATATTCATCTTTATGCCAACACAGTCACACAAACATTATTTTTAATATTTGTTTATGGAAGAAAGGACTTATAAAAGCAAAAGTCTGCCTTGGGCCCTACCTTGAAGGAGAGCCCTGATTTAGGAAGAGACCCTGGACTTGGGACACTGGTGCCTCACCGTGCACTTGTGTGGCTTCTCGCCAGTGTGTCTGCGCATGTGAACCACCAGCATGTACTGGGCTTTGAAGGGCCTCAGCTCCCTGGAGCAGCCCCCCCAGTGGCACACGAACTCCTTCCGCTCCCCGTGGATGTGCTCGCTGTTGATGTGCTGAGGGAGAAGATACAAAGGCTCTCCAAGGCTCTCCCATGACCCTGAGGTCCAGAACAGACCTTCCCTCCACCCCCTGTTCCTCTTCCACGACTCCACCTCAAGGAGGAAGAGGCAGGAGCAATATCATATCTCACATCTCAGGTCTTCCAGCTCCCTAAGGCAAAGCTACAACTTCTGAGCTTCTGCCTACCCAACTGAGCATTCAACCTCAGTCTCCTCTGACCTCCTGCCCTCAGCCGGATTCCACCATGTCCCACTCAGAATCTCCTAAAGGTTCTGGCTAGCCATTCCTGTTACCCCCTGGGGCTCACGTGCACCAGCTGCTCTTGGGAGTCAAATTCCTGGCTGCAGCCATCCCAACGGCAGTCAGTTTCATACACAGATTCAGGCTCACGCTTCTCCTCTCTCTCGAGGTCCTCCCGCCCATCCAGCATCCCCAACAGGGGATCCTAGGGCAAGAGAGGCAATCTCAGGGTCACTTGGGTGACAGCTTTAGTTTTGCTCAGGTCCCAGAGGTAAAGCTCCTGCCCATCCCCTTACCTGTATGCCTGTGGAGTTGGGGCTGGACATATCACCTTCCAAGGGTTCCTCCCGGCACTTGCCAACCAGCATGTCCAGCTCAGACTTCAGCTTCCCCAGGGGAAGAGGTGACGGTGATGAGGGTGGAAGTAAGCAGAAGGAAGAGGAAACCAAGCCAGGTCTTCCTGCCCTAAGTGCCCCCACCCAAGCAGCTGGAACCTCCTGGGTTTGGAAGGGACTTCCTCCTCAGACTACACTGGTGAATGGGATGGGCAAAAGGTGGGATCCCATTTGGAAGCGTCTGACTCAACTGCAAGGAGTGAACCCCAGCACCCACACCTCTTTACTTTTCTAGTACTGAAAACTTATATCCCTTGTCCTTCCTTCACCTTTCCCCTACAAAATCCACCACCCACCCACCCTGAGCTGAGGGAAATCAGGTAGCAATATGGGGACTCTCACCTGGCAAGTTGGGAAGGGTCCCCGGGACTGAGGATGTGGGATCATCCCACCCCGGGCAGAGTCATGGGGACCACAAGGCTGGACCCCAAAGGAAGGCGAGGGCCCTTTTTGGTGATTCATCTGGGCTGGGAATCCCAGAGATGGGCTGAGGAGGAGAGGAGGCAGTTACTTAAGACAATTAGGAAGTCTCAGGAAGGATTGGGCTATTTGGAGGATTTCTGGAAGACTTGGGATTTGTAGTGGTTGAGGCAGTCCCAGGGAAGTACTGAGGAGAGTTGTCTTTGAAATGACAAGGATTCAAATAGGGTTAGGTAGTTTGAGGGCTTGAGACTTTTAATGGACTTGGGTAGGGGCTTTAGGGGCCTCTTGGCCCGGGGCTGACTGCACCTCATGGTGCCAATGGAGAGATGACCGTAGGAGCCTCCTGGAGATGTGCATCGCGAGTTGATGAAAGCTACGAGGGAGCTGGGTGAGGTGCGGATAACCGTCTGCAGGTCCAGGCTGGCATCCGACAGAGGTGAGATGGACAGTGCCCGCTTCTTGGTCAACTTGACTGCACTCCGGGGAGAAGAAAAGAGTGGGCCTGGGGCAGGAGACAGCGGAGACGGATATGGTAAAGGGGCATGTCTCTCCATGCACCTAACCTATGGGTCCTGACTTGGCAAAACCAATGATACTTGATTCTGCTTTGCCCTATTGATGCTATCTGTGACTTTTTTTTTTTTTTTTTGAGAGACACAGAGTCATGCTCTGTAACCCAGGCTGGAGTGCGTGGCACCATCTTGCCTCACTGCAACCTCTGCGTTCCCAGGTTCAAGTGATTCTCCTGCCTCAGCCTCCCCTGTAATCGGCACTACAGGTGCAAGCCACCACGCCCGGCTAATTTTTGTATTGTTAGTAGAGACAGGGTTTCACCATGTTGGCCTGGCTGGTCTTGAATTCCCGACCTCAAGCGATCTTCCTGCCACGGCTTCCCCACAAAGTGCTGGGATTACAGGCGTGAGCCACCGCGCCCGGCCCCATCTGTGACTTCTTGATGGTGCTCTGACGCCTCACATCTCCAAGCATCTCCTCCTCCAAGTGAGATCCCCTGCCCTCCCACTTTCTCTTTCAGAACAAGTCAGAGAGGGGCAGAAAGGGAAGAGGTGTTGCCTGAGCCCTCACCCTCGGTGCAGCTGTTGGTCTCTCTGGCTGGCCCATAACTGTGGGGGCCGGACATGAGGTTAGCTTGGTGGCAGAAGGGCGGGCCAGACAGTCCTAGAAAAAAGAGACAGCTGGAATGGGAATGGAGGATACATAAACCTCACCTTAAAACCCCAGACATGACCTGATCCCAGATTCCAGGTCCATATGACATGGGGCCTCAAATCCTCCTGTAGATAGGAAACTGGCATGGGGTGGGGGTGGGCCCAAGTGGGAGATCTGCCAAATCCTCAAGGCCCAGGGATTGGTATATACACTGACCTTCTGTCCCCACACTGGGGGCCCCCTGACTGGGGAGGGGCCGGAGACAGCAGGGCTCGCCATAGCTACTGATTGGTGGTGGGGTCATCGAGTTGAACATGGCGTCTCAGAGGAGGGTGTGGGGACACTGCAGAAAGGGAAGGTAGGTATAAAGGTGGAGGAAATAGAGACTGTCAGACAGCAGTCTCAGGCACAGAATCCTGGGCAGAACATCCCTGGTATCCCCCACCCCTCTAAGACATCTGCCACGGAATTCGAGTTGAAAAGAGCATCACTGAGCCGGGCACAGTGGCTCACGCCTGTAATTCCAACGCTTTGAGAGGCTGAGGCGGGAGGATCACCTGAGGTCAGTTGAAGACCAGCCTGGCCAACATGGTGAAACCCCCGTCTCTACAAAAAAACAAAAATTAGCCAGTCATGATGGCGGGTGCCTGTAATCCCAGCTACTCGGAAGGCTGAGGCAGAAGAATCGCTTGAACCTGGGAGGCGGAGGTTTCAGTGAGCCGAGATGGTGCCACTGCACTCCAGCCTGGGTGACAGAGCTAGACTCCGTCTCAAAACAAAAAAAGCATCACTCGCTGAGTGAGGGGAGGGGTAAGGGGAAATGATGTCCCAGAGAGGCAGAGGCAGTCTTGTAGTCTGTGTACTCTGGGGATCTTCTTGGGAACTGGGTGGGAGCTTTGCCTGGGTGGGAGCTTTGCCTGTGTGGTCTGTGTGTAGAAGGCATGTTTTGGACTAATTGTGCCTATATTAACTTCAAGTGATTTTAGTAACATGGACCCTCTAATTCTTCTTGCTGTAACCCTGGGCCGGCTTTGAGGGTGGGATGGGAGAACTCGTGTGATGGATCTGACTTCAAGCACTGGGCGGCTCTGCTAGAGCCCGTTCCCCCTTCCTTCTCGTGCCCCTCCCCAGGGACAGCCCGTGTACAATCTCTGCAGTGTCCAGCAGAGGGAGCCCTAGCCACAGTCCCGACACAGAGCCAGGTGGGGCCAGGAGGGAGCACAAGCCATCTGCCCTCTTAGACAGAAAACAGTGTGGAGGAGGAGGTAAGGTTCCTGAGGGGAGTCTTCTGGGTCTGTTGGGCACAAAGGTGAAAGCTGGTGTTATTCTGGGGTAGTTTAAATCAGGCCCACCTAATCTTTTTGGTCTCTGTTTTGGGGGAACAGGAAAGGAAGTATGAGGGGAGACTCTGAGAGAATGAAAAAAACAATGTGATCCTTATAAAAGCGTAGCGAGGAAGAAGGTGCTGCTGTCCGTTTTTCTTTTCAAACTCCAGTTTTGACTCCATCCCGGGTTTTCCAGTCTCCCGGGAATGAGGGTGGGGTGGGGCGGGATGGGGTGGAGAACCACCGGGAGCGGGCCGGGCCGGCCGGCGCGGTGGGTGATCCCGGGATGCTGGGATTTAGGGTGAGGGCGGGGTGAGATGGGGAGCGGAACCCGGACCCCGCGACCCAGCCCGGCCCGGCAGCCTGGGCTGTACCCTTTTCTAACTCCTCCTTTTCCAACCGAGGTGCGGATCCCGCATCCAAGACCTCCCAACTCGACCTTGGAACTAATGTTGGGGGGCGGGGGGCACAGCTGGTTGGCAGCTGGATGGGGGGACAATTCTCCCGCCTCCTTCCCTCTATGACTCACCCAGGGGAAGGAGGGAAGTTTGCAAATGATCCCCCAAACACTAGAGACTCCCCCAAACTTGCCTACTCAGTCATCTTTCTGCCCCACTGCCTAGCTGCCGAAGAGCCTCCAAGGAAATGGGGCTACACCCCTCCTCGCCCACGCGTTCCACAGCCCACCCATATCTCCCCTTCAGGCTAGTAAAAGGAAAATGTCGCCAACTTTTTTAGCTTCGGTAAAGTTTTTCTGGGGTGTGAGAGTTCGGGATGGGACAGGGAGCTCTAGGGTTCCCCTGCCGGAGCCCTAAACCATCTTCGGTGTCTCCCTGTTTTCCAGCGTCCCCCTCGCACCCCCGCTCCCCAACTCCCAGGAGTCGGCTCCGCCCCCCTACTCCCGGTCCCGCCTTCCCCGCCCCCGTGCCTCCTCGGCCCACCCAAGTCGCCGCCGCAGGCACTGGCTGCAGACGGCTCCGCTCCCCCCACCCGCCCCGGGAGCCCAGTAGAGCGAGCCATAGGGGTGGGGGCTGAGGGGCGGGCCACATTCTTCCCTCCTCCTCTCAGCACATCCGGAAAGCAGGCAGTGGCGCCCAGGGGGGCACTACTGGAGAGTGGGGGTCCCCGTTGGTGGGGTTAGAAAGGGAGAAGAATCCAGAAAGTATAGGGGAGAGAAAGCAGAGAAAGTGACTGGGTCAATAAAATTAGGTGTGTATGGGGAGGAGGAGGGGCCCGGACACCTTAGGTTGCTGGTTATAGCAGCCGGCTTCCCAAGGGTTAACCCCTCCAGACCCCCGGGAACCCCCTGGTGACGTCAAGGGCGGGGATGCCAGGGAGATAATGGTGGAGGGGGAGAGGTCTCTGGACCCCGCCCCCTAGGGAAAACCACACTTATTCCGACCCTTACATATCCCCCGGGAAACCGCCCGCCTTCTCCCTCTACTGGAACGTAAAGACCTATCCTAGAAGACCCCAGCTCTCCAGACCCCTAAAACCCTCAGTCCCCAGGCTCTACGGGGTCCCCTTTCCGTAATCCTGTCCCGAAAGCTAGCTGCCCAGTGCTGATTGTTTCGGGGTCATGGGACCTGAAAGAGGATTCAGAGCGGGGAGCAAGGGCAGGCAGGGTGGTCTGAGCCAGAGGAGGGGCCTCGATCCCCAGCTCCCGTTTGGGCGGGGTGCCAACGGGGATACACAGGCTGGCAGTGGCCAGTGGTCCCGCCCAGCCCCGGTAGGGGTCTCCCTGCGGCTGGCTCCCGCTGCCCCGGTGGTCCTGAGGTCAGAGGGTCAAGACAAGGTCTCCCCGGCTCCTCCTGAGCTCCTTGCCCACAGCCCTTGGGACTCAGGAGTCCAAATTGCATGGGGTCATTCTAGGGCCTTCACTAGACCTTGGACAGCCCCCCCCCGCCCCAGCCCCCTTCCAAGTCCAGAAGACACTCCTTTCCCCTAAAGCACAAGCATCCACTGGCACATCTGTCACAAGACAGGTCAAAGGTTCAAGCCTGGCTGGCCCCTAGTGGCTCTGTTGCCTCCCACACACCCGTCCCCACCCCACCTGGAGCTCCCTCCTTTGCAGTCCCCACCTTTCAGAAACACTGACATCTTCCTACCCCACGCGCAGACACACACCTGGGGTTACCTCTCTACAACGCAGACCTCCAGCTAGCCATCCCTCCAGCCTCTTAAACTTAACCGCATGAAAGTAAGATATTTCTAATATATGGGAGAGGCGGAGACAAAGACCCACGGTTCCCTGAGACAGAGATACACAGACTGACAGAAGAAAAAAAGGGAAGAAAAAGAAGATACAGAGAAAGACACAAGTGAAAAATCTGGAGTTTCTAATGTCTCACCCCAGGCTCTCCCACCCCTATTTTGCCTCTATGTCCCGGGTCTGGGATGAGTCCCTAAGAAGCTGAGCATCCCCTCAGGCCCCCTCCCCCACTGCTCCCAGGTGGTCCCCCGCCTGCCCCCCCTTCTCACCTCTGTCTGGGCGCTGGGCTCGGGATGCGCGGTCCAGGGCTGGAGTCTGGGCTGGGGGGTGTGCGGTGGGGAG